>NC_000005.10:78859807-80109807 GCF_000001405.40 Homo sapiens | reverse complement strand
TCCTCACTCCAATGGTGCCAGCTGGCTCTCGGGCCAGATAGGAAGGCTGTGCCCAGGCACACCATCATTCCAGATCCCAGGAGAGTTGCCAGGAATTGGGCTGCTGGGTTTTCTCATCACAGCTGAGGCCCTTCACTGGGGCATCTGGGAGGTACAGAGAACTTGGGCTACTTTCTTTTCTTTTCTTCTTCTTCTTCTTCTTCTTCTTTTGTAGTCCATTTTATTAATTTTCCTCCAGCTTTATTAAGGTATAATTGACAAAGATGAGCCACTGTCATTTTGAGGGGTGGTGGTTGTTCCCAAGGTATTAAAAATGCAGAAATGCCAGCCAGGCCCAGTGGCTCATGCCTGTAATCCCAGTACTTTGGGAGGCCAAGGCAGGTGGATCACTTGAGGGCAGGAGTTCAAGACCAGCCTGGCCAACATGGTAAAAACCTGTCTCTGCTAAAAATATATATATATATATAAATTAGCCGGGCCTGGTGGTGCACGCCTGTAATCCCCACTACTCAGGAGGCTTAGGCAGGAGAATCGCTTGAACCCCGGAGGCAGAGAGCCAAGATTGTGCCACCGCACTCCAGCCTGGGCGAGCGAGCAAGACTGTCCCATGAAAAAAAAAAAAAGCAGAAATGCCAAAACAAGTTAAAATGTTACAGTATATTTTTAAGAAATGTTACATTTTAAAAATGAATGCTTAGAAACACATCCCAGGGGCATATGGATAGAACTTTATACTAGTTTGCTAGGGCTGCCATAACAAACTACTGCAGGACCAGTGGCTTAAACAGACATTTATTGTCTTGCAGTCCTGGAGGCTGGAAGTCAGGGATCAAGGTGTTGGCAGGGTTGGTTTCTGAGGCCTGTCTCCTTGGCTTGCAGATGCCATCTTCTCCTTGTGTGTTCATGTGGTCTTCTCTCTGTGTGTGTCTGTGCCAATTTTCCTCTTCTTATAGAGACACCCTTATTGGATTAAGACCTACCCTCACAACCTCTTTTTAACTGACTGACGTCTTAACCCTATCCTCCAAATTCAGTCAGATTCTGAGTTGCTGGGGGTTAGGACTTCAACATATGAATTTTGGAGGGACACAACTTGGCCCATAACAAACATCAGTTGGAAATAACATCAAAAGTCTAAAAGTCCTTTCTTGAACGTAAAGCCCAGGCCCAGCAGCCTTCTTGCCCCTACCTCTGTCTATGTCCTGGACTCTTAAGCCATCTAGCTAGGCAGCAGGAGGTATCTGATTTTTCCTGTTTGTGTGTTGTCTTAGTCTGTCTGGGCTGCTAAAACAAAAATACCATACACTGGTGTCTTAGAAACAACAGAAATTTATTTCTCACAGTTCTGGAGTCTGGGAAGTCCAAGATCAAGGTGCAGGAAGATTCAGTGTCTGGCCAGGCCCAGTTTCTGGTTCATAGATGGAACCTTCTTGCTGTGTCCTATCATGGTAGAGTGGGTGAGCTAGCTCTCTGTGGTCACTAAATCCTAATCATGACGGCTCTGCCCTCATGACTGAATTACCCTTCAAAATTCCCACCTCCTTATGCCATCACTTTGGGGTTTAGGATTTCAACTCATGAATTTTAAGGGGACACAAATATTTAGTCCATTGTATGTGTGGGGTGGGTCAGGAAGAAAGGTCCTCTCTCCCTCTTGCCCTACTGGCTGCTTCTTGCCCTCTGAATTCATCTCCACTTTGCCCTCATGTGGATCCCAGCAGCTAGCTTCCCTTTTGGTAGGAATGTTTGAGGTTGTGGCTTCAGCTGATGCTCATGGCTGGGCACAGTCTCCCAGGGACCAGGATTCTGTTGCCCCTGTGGTTGGGGCCTGCATGAAGAAGCCCTGCCCAATGTGGCATCTTCTGTCCCTGAAGATGTTCCTCAAATCTAGAAAAACATCCTTGAGGAATTATTCAGTAATCACAAAGTATAAAACCTCCCAGTGTTTACCTCTGCCTGGGAACCTGCCCTTTTAGATGAGGAAATTCTGGCCGGGTGTGGTGGCTCATACCTGTAATCCCAGCACTTTGGGAGGCAGAGGTGGGCGGATCACCTGAGGTCAGGAGTTCAAGGCCAGCCTGGCCAACATGGTAAAACCCTGTCTCTACTAAAAATACAAAAATTAGCCGGCCTGGTGGTGGGTGCCTGTAATCCCAGCTACTTGGGAGGCTGAGGTAGGAGAATCACTTGAACCCAGGAGGTGGAGGTTGCAGTAAGTCGAGATGGCACCAATGCACTCCAGTCTGGCGACAAGAGTAAGACTCCATCTCAAAAATAAATAAATAGATAGATAGATAGATAAATAGATAGATAGATAGATGAATGAGGAAATTCTCCTCTTTCAAGTCTTCCTTTCTCCCCAAAGCCACTGTTGTGGGTTGAATTGTGTCCCTCTAAAAAAGGTATGTTGGAGCCCTGTATTAGTTCATTTTCACACTGCTGATAAAGACATACCCCAGACTAGGTTACTTATAAAGAAAAAGAGGTTTAATGGACTCACAGTTCCACGTGGCTGGGGAGGCCTCACAATCTTGGTGGAAGGTGAAAGGAACGTCTTACATGGCAGCAGGCAAGACAGAAAATGTGTGCAGGGGAACTCCCATTTATAAAACCATCGGATCTCATGAGATTTATTCACTATCACGAGAACAGCACAGGAAGGACTCACCCACCCTGATTCAACAACCTCCCACTGGGTTCCTCCCATGACATGTGGGAATTACAGGAGCTACAACTCAAGATGAAATTTGGGTGAGGACACAGCCAAACCATGTCAAGCCCTAACCCCTAGTATGTCAGAGTGTGATTATATTTGAAAACAGGGTCATTATAGAGGTAAAAAAGTTAAAATGAGGTCATTAGGATGGGCCCTCATCCGATATGACTGGTGTCCTTAAAAGGGGGATATGTGGGCGAAAAGACAGACATGCATAGAGGGAAGATGATGTAAAGAGACACAGGGAGAAGATGGACATCCACAAGCCGAGGGAGGCCTGGAGCAGACCCCTCACAACCCTCAGAAGAAACCAGCTCTGCCGCCATCTTGATTTCCTAGGCCAGTTCTCCAGAACTGTAAAGACAGTAACTTTCTGTTGTTTCAGGCAGCCTGAGCAAACTGTTATACCATCTGTGGTAACTCTTCCCCCTTGCACCACTTCTTGTTCACCCAGCTGCTCACTCTTGGGCTCTACACAGATGATAAGCTTCCTGAGAGCAAGGACTAGGATTATATTCTCCTTCTCAATCCCACAGGCCCCTGCATGGTGCAGAAGCTCAATGAAACCATGTTGATTTAAAGGACTTTCCCTCCCTTCCTC
The DNA here is from genome assembly GCF_000001405.40 of Homo sapiens. Classification (NCBI taxonomy): domain Eukaryota; kingdom Metazoa; phylum Chordata; class Mammalia; order Primates; family Hominidae; genus Homo; species Homo sapiens. Next base: position 80,106,490 of record NC_000005.10, on the reverse strand, counting down.
TGTTCCCCTTCTTCTCTTAGACTTTCTGGCACCGTTTGTGTGGGAGGCTGAGCCTAATAAATGTGGTCCTTGCTGGTGGGCCTAGGGCACAGCTGTGCATTCACCCAGCTCTTGGGTTCTTGTGACTTAGCCTTTCTTTCAACTTCCAATCTGATGCTGGGAACAATCTTGCTCAGCTGTAGCGCATATCACCATGACCTTGAAATGACATCACAGTGCAAACATAGCAATCCCCATGAAGCTCTAGGGTTCAGGGGAGGGCATCCCAGGGAGGCCTCTCTGGGTGGTGAGGGGGTAGGGAAAGGGCCTTCTGGCTGCTCCCTACGGGAAGCTGCCTCTAGGTCCCAGGGCTTGAGATACCACAGAAGCCCGGCCTTCCCTAGGGGTGGCAATTGGTCTCCCTGCAGATCCTTCTCAGAGGATCTTCCATTTGAACTTTGATGACAACAGCCTCTAAGACTGGGGTTCCCGCCCCTGCTCTGTCCTCAGGTGCAGCCCTCACAGCTGCAAGTGTGCTAGGGATTGCTGAGGGGGAAGGGAAGATATTCAGAGTCCCCAGAGGGATAGACTACTGAGGGAAGACACTATGACTAGAAAGAAGAGGCACCCCGGAGGAAGGGGGTGGGCTTCTGATGCAGGGAGGGGCTGTGAGTTGTTACACAGTGGAGGGGGCCTGTGCCACGCTCTCAGAGGGTGCAGGAAATTGGACAAAGTGTTCTGGGGCTCAGGGGAGGGAGTGATCACATCTATCTGAAGGGTTGGAGAAGCCGCACAGGGGAGGTGACATCTGAATTAGGCCCTGGAGAGTGAACAAAAAACCCATAAGGAAAAGTGGAGGCTTCAGAGCTGCCCGCAGTCCTCCTCACCCGGCACCTGCAGGTATAGCCCATGGCGGGAAGACATTGCTGGCCAAAGAGCCCCATTTCTTCCAACTTAGTTGCTAAGGATGCGGCCTGTGATGGACCAGGTGCCAAGGGCATTTTAAAGAACAGAGCATGTCAGGAGAGTGGCAGGAAAACAGGTTTGCAGTATTAACCCCACTTTGCCATTCTCCAACTCCCTGTCCCCCTCCAACTTCCAAGCAGGTGACTTCCTGGCTCATTGCCTCAGCTGTGGAATGTGACAGACAGGAAAGCAGGACTGGACCTGGGATTCAAAAAGCCCAAAGCCACTCCAGAGTGTACAGGACTCCAGATCTAGCCAAAATATTTGGCATATGGGAGGTTTGATGAGAAGGTGATTTCCTTGGTGGTGTGGGGAAGAAGGAAAGCAATGACAGTGCAGAGGTGGGGGTACAGGTCGGAAACAGGGGGCAGATCGTCCTGTTTCCTGCAACCTAGAAAGAGCCCTGGGAGACCCCAGAGAGGAAATGGCTTGTGTGTGTGTTGAGGTAGACGGGACCTTGCCTTCTAGAGGTTCTATCCCAGCATGGTTCAGAACAGAACCAGTTCTTTCCCAAGACAGCCGCAGTAGGGGCAGCAAACCTTCAGCCTTAAAAGGACCATGACCTTGACAGGGCATCTGTCTAGTGAATGGGCTGAGAGGTGAGTGATGGCAGCTGCCCTGCACACCTTCAGGGATGTGCTCACACAGTGGCCTTTGCTGTAGGCAAAACTCTAAAGATACTCTCCCTTCTCCCTGTTTGGTCAATCAAACACAAATTTAGGTTCTGCTGGGAAGGGGCTTTGCAGGTGGAATTAAGGTTACTAATAAGCTGACCTTAAAATAGGGAGGCGACCCAGCACATCCAGGTGGGCCCGATGTAATCAAGCAGAAAAGGAAGGCGGAAGAGTCAGATGCCGCAGAAGGCCGAGTCCATGATCTTCCAAGCGTGAGAAAGATCTGATGCCTCCTGGATGATGTGCAAGGACCAAAGAAGGAACCTAAGGAGCTGAGGGTGACCCTAGCTGCCACCTAGCAAGTTTACCCACAAAGAACTGAACTGGGCCAGCAACCTGAACGAGCTTGGAAGAGGATTCTTTCCCAGAGTCTCCAGCTATAAGCCCAGCACAGCCACCACCTGGTAAGACCCATGTTGCACTTCTACAGAAACTGTGAGAAATAAGTTTGTGTTGTGTTAAGCCATTATATTTGTGATAATTTGTTACAGCAGTGAGAGCAAACTATATAGCCTTTGAATAGTGGTCTGCAGTTGTGTAAGACACAAAGTAAGTGACAATAGGTGGCATCTTCTAGACACCTGTGTGACAAAAGACAATAAAGACCCCATCTCCCAGAGCTCAGTGGGACTTTGACAAGATCCCAGGTTCAGGATGTGGGTAAATTTTAAATCAACAGAGATTATGTTTCTGCCACATTGGCAGGATAGGAATCAAATAGAATTAAACTCTGTGACAGAAAAATTGTTTGTTGGCTGGGTGTGGTGGCTCACACCTGTAATCCCAACACTTTGGGAGGCTGAGGCGGGTGGATCACCTGAGGTCAGGAGTTGGAGACAAGCCTGGCAACATGGTGAAACCTTGTCTCCACTAAAAATACAAAAATTATCCAGGCGTAGTGGTGCACACCTGTAATCCCAGCTACACGGGAGGCTGAGGCACAAGAATTGCTTGAACCCGGGAGGTGGAGATTGCGCCACTGCACTCCAGCCTGGGTGACAGAGCAAGACTCCATCTCAAAAAAAAAAAAAGACAAAGAGAAATGGTTTGTTTTCTGTACACCTGAACTTGTGGCCTAAGATTGGGACCCACTTCAAGAGATCTTACATTAAATGGAGCTGCAATTAAGGCCTCCTAAATGCTGAGAGCTTCTGTGTCCAGGTTAGCGTTCAAAGGACAGGAGCAAGGGGGAGGAAGGCAGAACAGATAAATAGTTGAAGAGGCTCCCAGACAGGTCTTCCCCCCAATACAGCCAGACCCACGGAAGCTTCCACCAGCCCAGACAGGCTTTGCCCTTGTGCTGTCGTGCAAGAGGAGCTCTGGGGCCTGACTGCTGCTGCGTGGGGGAAGAGCCAGCTGTCTGGGGGCTCTCACAAGTACAGTTCTGCTTCCTCTGGCTTCCCACTGTTGGGACTCAGAAAAGAGTACTCTAAAATGAAAGCCTCAGAAGTTAAAAGTTTTTCTCTGCATACCTGCCCTCCTTTCTCTCAGGCGCGTTCTCCCCTAGTCTAGCCTTAGAAACTAGAATCCCTCTTCCCCATAGAAACCAGAACCTCTTTTCCCCAAAGCCAGCCATAAATCCTAAAAATATTACTCTTATTTTCCCTCTGCCTTTCTGTGTAAAAACTGGCCATAAAGAAATGATCCGACTTACCTTGTTTGACTGTAGGTCATAATTCCCCCATTCCCGAGAGGGTCCTGCCCCACACACAGAAGAAAGGGATGCTGTGCAGAGAGGCCAAGAATCTACACAGGCCTCACTGAATCTCCCAGCTCAGTCTATCAGCATTAGATCATACCCTTTTTTTGTCCAGTCGCATTTGTACATAGCTGTTCATACTTCGTTAATCTTAAGCATCAGTATGGCCAATTTCCGCGTTATCTTTGGGTTTTCATTCTGAAGGATCCTGTGTATAAATGTGAAATAAACGTGTATGACTTTTCTCCAGTCAACCTGCCTTTTGCACAACATGTCTCACCGACAGGGCTGACCTTCCTTAAAGGCATCCCCTGGGCTCCTTGCACCAGATAAGAAGGAGCAGGGGTTCCCATGCTACAGCCAGAGCAAGCCTGTGGACAGCCCCTGAGTGAGGTGTGTGACGTGAAGGAGGGCTGAGATCTAGTGGCGGCTCCCAGCACCCTGGTGACTTGGGAGGGCTAATGGACCTCCTAGGGTGACCAAGCATGCCAGGGACTCTCTGAGCTAGGTGCTGGGCTGCATGCAGAAAACTCGGGGTGTGTGGCTCAATGGAGGCTCTCACGGCTGTTTGACGACCTACTTTAGATCCTCTTTGGGGTCCAGAAGGCAGTGAGGCATCGGGGTCACTGGAGGCACCGAGAAGCCTCCAGGGAGAGGTACATAAAGTCCTGTGGCATAAGAGTGCGAGCTCCATGGTCAGGGTACTAGGTCCAAATCCTGGCTTGAATCTCTTTATTAGCTGGGTGAAGCTGGGCATGCTTCTTAACCGCTCTGGGCAGTAGTGTCCTGATTTATAATTGGGGTTATTAAGATGATTTTCTTGTTTGCTTTGTTGTAAGGCTTTAATGAGATAACTCATGAGAAACAATTGGCATGTAGGATGTACACATCTCAGCTATGATAATGCACAACAGGCCTAGAGAGGGAGGTTTTGCATTTGACAGGATGCAAAAATCCTATTGAAAGTGCTCTATGAGTATTTAGAGAAGAAGGTGTGGTTACTAGGAGTCAACAGAGGTTCCTGTGCAGTGGACAGTGGTAGCTCTTGGCTGTATATCATCTAACCCTCATTTTCTAGTAGCATCTATTACTTTTCCTTTTGGGGGACCATACTCCTGGGTTGTGGGGGGAGACAGTGCCCTTTCCTTCTAGACCCAAATGGGCCAGATCCTCCCTTTCCTACCTAGCCATGGGTTGGGCACATGCCTTTGGCTTGGCCAGTTACACTCTCTGTCCTGGAGATTGTCTCTGTTGTCTCTTAGCGGACTCCTATTAGGTAGATATTGGGTCTTCTGGATTGGTCATCTTTTCTCCCATTTTCTATCTCTCTATTTATTTTTGTTCAATTTTCTGGATAGTTAGCCTACTTTATCTTCCAGAGTTTCTGTTGAATTTACTACTTCAGTTGTTATAACTCCATCTCCAATAACTCTATCTTTTTTTTTTTTTTTTTTTTTTGAGATGGGAGTCTTGCTCTGTTTCCCAGGCTGGAGTTCAGTGGCACGATCTCAGCTCACTGCAACCTCTGCCTCCCGGGTTCAAGGAATTCTCCTGCCTCAGCCTCCCAGTAGCTGGGATTACAGGTGTGCACCACCACACCCAGCTAATTTTTGTATTTTTTGTAGAGATGGGATTTCACCATGTTGGCCAGGCTGATCTCGAACTCCTGACCTCACGGGATCCGCCCCACTCAGCCTCCCAAAGTGCTGAGATTACAAGTGTGAGCCACCATGCCAGGCCTTCTTTCATGTTTTCTGATTACACCCCATCCTCTTCTGTTTCTCTTTCGTGGATGCATATCTTTTCATATTTCATAGAGGATATTATTTATAGTGTTTTGTTTCATTTTGGTTTGAGGGATCCTCTGATCCTTTATAGTTTCTCTCTCTTTCCTCTGAGCTGCTTTTGTTCTGATTATTTGGTCTCTCACTTTTTAAAGTGAGGCAATAAAAAGCGAATTGAAAGTTCCCTGGGCATCCCCACCCTATCACCCCACAATTGACAATCATCATCATGTTGATTTCCACCTTCCACATTTTTTCCTAAATGTTATTTTAATGCTTTTCATTATTTTATATGTTCCATTAAGCTAATGACCATATTTGCTTATAATTTCCCAGTTGTTTTTTTGGACATTGTTTTTTTTTTTTTCTGGCTCTTAGAGAAAAGTTTGCTATAAATATCTTTCTACATGTGACTTTTATTTCCATCTAAATTATTTTTTTGGAATAAATTTGAGGAGTAGAATTACCGGGTCAAAAGCTTATGGGTGTTTTCATCAGTCTTTCCTGTGTGTTGCCAAATTTCTAATGGTAGTGTATACAGGTACCATAGCAGCAGCAACAGGAGTACAACCCTCCCAGCACTCTTTTTTTGGAGACAGGGTCTTGCTCTGTTGCCTGGGCTGGAGTGCAGTGGTGTGATCATAGCTCACTGCAGCTTTGGCCTTCCAGGCTTAAGGCATCCTCCCACCTCAGTCTCCTGAGTAGCTGCGACTACAGGCGCACTACCGTGCCTGGCTAATTTTTTGTAGAAATGGGGTTTCATCTTGTTGCCCAGGCTGGTCCTGAACTCCTGAGCTCAGAGATCCACCTGCCTTGGCCTTGCAAAGTGCTGGGATGATAGGTGTCTGCCACTGCACCTGGCCAGCACTTGATTTTTGAGTATTTTCTTTATAGTTGTTTGTTGTTATAAAGGTACAAAATAACACCTTAACCTTATTATTTGAATTTGTCTATCTTTGAGTATTGGTGTGGTTGAACATTCTTTCATCTAGAACTGGGAAAATTGGCCGGGCGCGACGGTTCATGCCTGTAATCCCAGCACTTTGGAAGGCTGAGATGGGTGGATCTCTTGAGGTCAGGAGTTCGAGACCAGCCTGGACAACACGGTGAAACCCCATCTCTACTAAAAATACAAAAATTAGCTGGACGTGGTGGTGCATATCTGTAATCCCAGCTACTTGGGAGGCTAAGGCAGGAAAATCACTTGAACCCAGAAGGCAGAGGTTGCAGTGAGCCAAGATTGTACCATTGCATGCCAGCCTGGGCAACAGAGGAAGACTCTGTCTGAAAAAAATAAAAAAATAGGGAAAATTAAGCTTGGAGAAAGTCTGTTAGAAATAAAAAAGTTCATAAGAGAATTTCCAAATAGATACAAGAGCAACGTTATTTTGTGTTAGCTGTGGTTCTTAACCTGGGGTCCAAGGACTGGGGTAGATTGACTCCCTGAAATAATATGCAGAGTTTTGTGACCATATGCACAGTAGCATGGAAAGGGTCCTTGGCACTCATCACAATTTCACAAGGATCTGGACCTAAAAAGGCTCACTTATAGGATGGAAGATTTCTGCCCCAAGTAGAAAAAAGGCAACAGAGGAAAGCTCTCAAAGGCCACTTTTTGTTTGAAATTGCATTCTGCCACTTGCTAGCTAGCTCTGTGATCTTCAGCTAATTATTTACTTCTCTGTGCTGTAAGTTTCCTTGCCTGTCAGGTCAGGTGGAGTAATAACAATAGCATCTATTTCATAGGATTGTTGTCATGATTAAATGAGTTGACACAGGTTAAGCACATTTCATTTAATTTTTATTTTTAAAGGAGTTGAGGTCTTGTTCTGTGGCCCAGGCTGAAGTAGAGTGGCGCGATCATAGCTCACTGCAGTCTTGAACTCCTGGGCTCAAGGAATCCTCTTGCCTCAGCCTTCCAAGTAGTTGGGACCACAAGTGCACACCACCACACCTGGCTAGTTAAATTACTTTTAATAGAGGCTGGCACATAGCAAATGTTTAATAGATGATGTTTACTAATAAGAATTATTAGTAACTAGAGCCTTCCAACAATAGGATAGGCTACATCATACAGCGGTGAGTTCCCTGTCACTTGAGGTGTTCATGAAGGAGATAACAGCTGTCAGGCAGGCTCTTGAGGGGATCCCTGAGTTGGGAGGGAGGAGGAATCTGGCATTCTGAGTTTCTGTGAATTAAATTTTCCTGTTGGGCATGTGGCAAATGGTGAGACTAGCAGTTCTCAAGAAGCCAACAGGCCTCCAGCAGGAGTGACAGCTGCGCCTGCTAATATGGAAATGTATTTCTGAGCAAGCAGCCTGTTTCAAGAGCATGTTCCTGGCCCATTCTCCTGAGGGTGCAGAAGAATAGGTTTTTTTTTTGTATTTTTTTTTTCTTTTTTTCTTTTGAGACAGAGTCTTGCTCTGTCGCCCAGGCTGGAGGGCAATGGCGTGATCTCGGCTCACCGCAACCTCCGCCTCCCAGGTTCAAGCGTTTCTCCTGCCTCAGCCTCCTGAGTAGCTGGGAATACAGACGCGCACCACCATGCCTGGCTAATTTTTTTAATTTTTAGTAGAGACGAGGTTTCACCATGTTGGCCAAGCTGGTCTGGAACTCCTGACTTTGTGATCTGCCCACCTCAGCCTCCCAAAGTGCTGAGATTACAGGCATGAGCCACTGTGCCCGGCCTGAAGAATAGTTTGAAAAAACCAAATGCAGTTTCTTCACCATTCTGTGCAGAGAGACTAGGAGTGGGGAAATCACCATAATAGAGCAGGGGTTGGGGGCAGGGTGTATGGCGCAGGGGCAGAGTGTGTGCTCCCAGTAGCTTTGCTGACTAACAGATATTTACTGAGCACTTACTGAAGGCTGTGGGTGGGTGTGATTGCAGGTGGTGAGTGGGGTTAAAAATATGAATTAGATCCAGTATCAGTGTCTCTTCATTTTTCTAGTTTCCATTGTCCTTACTGGATTTCTAGGCTATTCTTGGAAGGGCAGTAAAGCTCAGCTGAGTGGCTGAGGCATATGATTGTCTTTGGGTAGTGGGCTCAGAGAAAAGTTGGAAATTTCCTTTTTTAATTGAGATACGGTCTCACTCTGTCACCCAGGCTGGAGTACGGTGGTGCCATCATGGCTCACTGTAGTCTTGAACTACTAGGCTCAAGTGATCATCCCACCTCAGTCTCCCGAGTAGCTGGGACTACAGGTGTCCACCATCACACTCAGCTAAATAATTATTTTTGTAGAGATGGGGTCTCCCTAGGTTGGCCAGGCTGATCTCAAACTCCTGGCCTCAAGTGATCCGCCTTGGCCTCCCAAAGTGCTGGGATTACAGGCGTGAGCCACTGCACCCGGCCCGAAATTTCTATATATATGTCTGTGCGCATGCTTTTGAGCACAGGGTATCTGTTCAAACTTAATATTCCCTAATTTTGGAGTAAGTAAAATCTGAGTGCTGAGGAAGGTTTGCTTCTGGTCAGCTCCCCCAGAAGCAGACCCTGAGATAAGGATGAGTGAACCCTCTTTATTTGGGAGGTGAAGCACCCCTAGACTGGGGAGGGAGGAGAGGGAGGAGAGGGGCCTTACCACTGGGGGCAGCTGGAGCCTAATCATGCGGGAACAATGCAGGGCACATTCCTCAGACTCAGCCCCCACCAGGCGAGGGGCTGAGGCTTTACACACCCGTTCCCTTCATCTCACTGGAGCCCATTCCTTAGGTCTCCTAAATCCCCCGCACCTCCAACATAGGCAGAAAAAGCAGCTTTTGCACCAGAGGAAGCCCAGAAACAAAGAACTGCAGGTGCTGGTGCTTTGACATCCGTGAATGACAAAGTGAAAGAAATGGGCAGGCCACCAAAGCATCTGCCACGGTGTTTCCAGCAGGGCCGAAACTCCCTCGGTGTGAGTGGGGCCGGGTGCGCACAGGGAAGCAAGATGGATCCAAGCGAGCTCTTTGTCAAGCCCAGTCCTCTGTAAAAGGTTGTCGGTCTGTGTACTTCATAGAGGGACTGGCCAAGAAGGCACAGGTGGGGTGAAATCTAGCCCGGGTTCCACCACTAAGCACCATATGGGTTCGAGGCACTCTGTATAGACTTAGGTTTGAACACCACGGGAAGAGGGAGGTGTGAAGTCTGATGGGTGAGAGGAAGGTGAAGAGGAGGGAAGCTGGGGCCTGAGAAGTCCCAGGTCATACCTGCCTTCCACTGTTGAGTCTCTGCCCATCGAAACTGGAAGCGGGATGGCCTCCCAGGAGATCTCTGAAATTTCATCACGTACAGTCTATCAGCATGTTTTCTTTTTTTTCTTTTCTTTTCTTTTCTTTTTTTTTTTTTTGAGATAGAGTCTCACTCTGTCACCCAGGCTAGAGTGCAGTGGTACCATCGTAGCTCACTGCAGCCTCAACCTCCAGGGCTTAAGCTATCCTCCCACCTCAGGCTCCCAAGTAGCTTGGACGACAGGCACATACCATCACATCCAGCTAATTTTTGTATTTTTTGAAGAAATGGAGTTTTACCATGTTGCCCAGGCTGGTCTCAAACTCCTGGGCTCAAGCGATCCACCTGCCTCGACCTCCCAAAGTGCTGGGGTTACAGGCGTGAGCTACGGCAATCCGACACTGCTTTTTCTTTGAGTCCTCTAGACAGAAACCCCCTTTTGGACTTTACCCCTGCCCTGGCCTACCTGAGGCAGTTCTCATAGCAGGAAAATGAGAACCATGAGCCTGTAGCCCCAAAACCTGGGATCTGGCCTCAGTTTTGCTCCTAACTAGCCATGTAACCCTGACAAACCACAGAGGTGACTAGGCCTCAGTTTTTCCAACTGTAAAATGAAAAGGCTGAAACAAAAAGCTTCCTGATGACTCTTCAGATCTAAGATTTGGTGAGTCTATGGTTCTGGATACATGACTTTATAAACACTTCCCCATCCGGAATTTCTTTTGCATTAAGGAGGATTAAATTTAGCTGGAAGTAACAGTAAAGCCCCAAGAACAGATGGAGATTTTTCATGTCCACAAAGTCCAGTGATAGAAATCTTATGGTCTGTTACTGGTATGTTACTCCACGGTGTCAGTTCTATCTTGTTCTCTGTGATGACGCTTCTATTCCCAAGGCTTTCTCATCAACTCAAGACAGCCTCTGGAACTCCAGCTATTATATCCATATTCCAGCCTAGGAGGAGGGATAAGAGGACGAATAAGAAATATTAATGATCTGGCTGGGCGTGGTGACTCACGCTTGTAATCCCAGCACTTTCGGAGGCCGAGGCAGGTAGATCATGAGGTCAAGAGACCGAGACCATCCTGGCCAACATGGTGAAACCTAGCCGGGTGTGGTGGTGCATGCCTGTAATCCCAGCTACTTGGGAGGCTGAGGCAGGAGAATCACTTGAACCCGGGAGGCGGAGGTTGCAGTGAGCTAAGATTGCACCACTGCACCCCAGCCTGGCAACAGAGTGAGACTCCATTTAAAAAAAAAAAAAAAAATTAACCCTCTTTAGAAGAAGATTCCCAGAAGCTACCATGAACTTTTTTGCTTATATGCCACTGATCAGAACTTAGATGGCCACAACTCACCTGGGAAGTATAATCTTTTATTCTGGGCATCTGGGTTCCTGCAAAAATTTGGGACACTATGACTATGAAAGAAGGGTAGAGCTGGTATTGGGGGTGACTGCCTCACCTTAAATTTCTCTAGGTATGAGACTAACCAAATAAACCACTTCAGTTAGACTCTGTCCCTTGTCATGTGTCCAATCTCAGGGGTCTCCACTTTGAGTTTTGCTTCTCCAGCTCTGCAGGTGTTTTGTGGTGATTGGCCTCAACTTTTAGGCCCCTGTTTTCCATTATTTTCTCATTAGTGATGCCTGTGATGACCTAGCACCTCAATTATTCTTTGCACTTTGTAAGCCCAAAGCCTCTTTCAGTTGTTGGAGATAGTTGACTGATGTTTCGGGGTCTCCAAGACCACTACATTTAAGTGGTTTGCTAGAAAGTCTCATCGGAGGCTTTCTAGACAGGGATGTTTAGAACAAGGCTCTCTTTGGACCCAGGTAAAAACTCTCAGGATTAAGTAAGTCTGAGTTCTTCAAATAAACAAATGCCCTCTAAATAGAATCTAGTGATTGGCTGAAGCATAACTCAGCATCTAGTTATTCTTACAGTTATAATTTATTACAGTGAAAGGATACAGGGCAAAATCAGCACCAAAAAAAAAAAAGAAAGAAAAGTGTATGGGGCCAAGTCCAGAGAAAACCAGGGGGGCAAGCTACCAAGAGTCTTCTCCAGGTGGAAGTCACATAATATGTGCTTAATTTCCCCAGCAATGAGTTGTGACAAGGGATATGAAATGTTGGCCACAAGGGAAGCTCATTAGAGACTCAACACCCAGGGTTTTTATTAGGGTCTCGTCTTGTAGGCACCTTCTCCCTACCATGTACCAAAATTCCAACTCCCAGAAAGAAAGCAGATGCTCAGCATAAACCACACTGTACAGTCAAGACATGGTGAACCACTCTTATCAGTTTCAGAAATGGTGGGAACACTCTGGAAAGCCAAGTGCTCAGATACCAGCCAAGGGCCAACTTTGCAATTAGGCCTTTCTAACTAAAGATCAGCAGCCATCTCGGACCTGCTGTTAACTCTTCTCTGCATACCTGGTGAATGTGTGCTGTCGCTATAAAAGAATTTCAGATTTTGGAACCAGAGTCAGTGATGCTGGGTTTGAATCTCTTTCCATCTATTGATAAGGTAGGAATCTTCTACCTGAGACCTCAGCTCCTGTCGGCTGGCCCCCAGTGTACCCCTATCCTCTCCAGGCAGTGGTGACAACCCCTAACAGGTTGTTAGCCAGAGTGTTCCCAGACTGAACTGAGGGTTGGGCTGCTTGTTCTCATGGCCCAGTAATGAGATGCAGATAAACTGGGAAAGAAGAGAGTTTATTTCTGTAACCCGGTACAGGCAGAAGGCCAGGAAAATATCACCAGACCGACTCATATTTACAAAGTTTTCCAGTGCTTATATGAAGCTATATGTCTACATGTAAGTGTGGATTCATCAAAAGACACAAGTGACTGATTCCCTGTAATCCATAACTAAGATCTGAGTCCTGGAGACCTTCCTCCGGAGCCTCAGTAAGTTTATTTAATCTAGATGGGTCCAGGTGCTGGGGGTGATTACCCTTATCTTGCCTCCCGCTGAGTTATGGCGGTCTGGGGAGTTCTTTGCTGACCCCTAATAAAACGTGTTTAATCCTAAACGTGGGTACGAGGAATGTAAGAATTTCTTTGTTATCTTGTCATGCTTCAAGGCCCAGGAAAGGCCTAGGCAAGACTCTTGGTGGCTTTTGTCACATTCCAGCCTTTGTGTAAGGACACTGGCTCTTGCAGCCTTTAATGTTTAACCTAAGCACTCAGTCAGTGCTGAAACAGTTGTCATGGAGGCCTGCCTGTTTAGCTATTCGTGAGACCTGGCCTGCCACAAGAGGGGTTGAGTCCCAACCTTCTCCATATCCCCTGCAGGCCGCACAGGGTACCTGGGAAATCCCAAGTACGGACTCTCATACTCGATCACTTACAGAGTCAGGTAGAAACTTACATGTGTGGACACTGCGGTGCATGGACAACACAGGCCCTTTTCAAGGTTCCTGTGCGTGAATGCAGATGGAGGCTGGAGCTTTTGACTTTTTAAAGAGAAGTTGGAAATCCAGGTTTTTGTCTAAAAACACTCAAATTTTAAATGTTTGCTCAAGTTAGCAAATAGAAAACCCAACAGCAACCACCAAAACACTATATGGCCCAAAGAATTTTTGACTCAAGTAATTTAGGTCATGCAGACTGTCCTGGGCCAGGAAGCTGCCTGCCCCCTGCTCCCTGGAAGTGTTCTTCCTGGCAGGGATGTTTAGGACGAGGCTCTCTTTAGACCCCGCTAAAACCTCTCAGGATTAAGTCTGGGTTCTTACAACAAACAAATGTCTTCTAAACAGAGCGAGAGAATCTAGTGGTTGGCTTTGAGGTGCATTTAATTCTTTTTTTTTTGAGATGGAATCCCCCTCTGCTGCCCAGGCTGGAGTGCAGTGGCACAATCTTACTGCAACCTCTGCATCCAAGGTTCAAGTGATTCTCCTGTCTCAGCTTCCCAAGTAGCTGGGACTACAGGTGCATGCCACCACACGTGGCTAATTTTTGTATTTTTAGTAGAGATGGGTTTTGCCATGTTGCCCAGGCTGGTCTCAAACTCCTAACCTCAAGTGATCTGCCCGCCTCCACCTCCTAAAGTGCTGGGATCACAGGCTTGAGCCACTGCGCCCGGCCAGGTTCATTTAATTCTAAACTACACTATAATTTTGCAGTTATGATCAGTATTATTAATAGTAAGACAAAGGCTTTCAGTCATACAGAGGCCTGGACTAAAATGGACTGGCTTTGTGTACTTTTAAAATCCCTCCCAGTATCTAGCACAGTGCCTGGTATGTAGTAATTGCTCAGTGTGTGTCTGAAGAATGAGTGAATGATGAGTGGATAGATGAATGGCTCTTTGCTTTGCTCATGGAGAAGACTCTATCCTGTGAATTTAGGCTGAGGGACAAGGCAGAAGTCTTTGCGAAGCAATACCTAAAAGAAAGCGAGGCTTCAGTGTTCGTTCAGAGACTAAGTTGCAATAATTCACGTTTAGGTGGTGGTTTCCTTCCTATGTGGTGGTTGTTGCTTTTTGTTGAGATGTTCGTTTTGATAAATAAGAGTTCTTTTTTTTTAGACAGGGTCTTGCTCTGTCACCCAGGCTGAAGGGCAGGGGTGCAATCATAGCTCACTGCAGCCTGTCCACTCAGGCTCAAGTAATCCTCCCATCTCAGCCTCCCAAGTAGCTGGGACTACAGTGCACACCACCATGCCTGACGAATTATTAAAACATTCTCAGTAGAGATAGGTCTCACTATGTTGCCCAGGCTGGTCTCAAATTCCTGAGCTGAGGCGATCCTCCTGCCTCACCTTCCCAAAGTGGTAAGATTTCAGGCATGAGACACCACTCCTGGCCAATAAAATTGTTCTTAAGCCCTGAACTATTAGCATATAACATAGTGCTAGGAGCAGAGTAAGTGTTTAATAAATTGTAGTTGTTGTTATTCTTTTTTTTTTTTTTTTTTTTCCTGAGACACATACTTGCTCTGTTGCCCAGGCTGGAGTGCAGTGGCGCGGTCTCAGCTCACTGCAACCTCCGCTCCCCGGGTTCAAGCGATTCTCCTGCCTCAGCCTCCAGAGTAGCTGGGACTACAGGCGCAAGCCACCGCACCCAGCTAATTTTTGTATTTTTAGTAGGGATGGGGTTTCACCGTGTTGGCCAGGATGGTCTCGGTCTCCGGACCTCGTGATCCGCCCGCCTCGGCCTGCCAAAGTGCTGGGATTACAGGCGTTTGTTATTCTACTTTTAATGAAATTTAGTCATCTTTTAGCTAAAAAAGTGGCTGGTTTAGGGGCTATTTTTAGAGGATTGCTGCCCCCTAGTGGATGATATGAAAGATACAAGAATTTGAGGCCTCTTGGCCTCGCCAATTCCACAAATTTGTACTTTATTGAGAGGTGGAGGGTGAGATAAACATGGCACGGTCCTTATCCTCCAGGAGCCTGTAGAAAACCACAGAGCTACTGGGACTTTGGAGATGTTAGTTCTCAAGCCCTGATCCTCAGAATTCTGGTAGGAGGGGTAGGAGTGGGATGGAATTGTTGTGAGGAAAACTCCTTAAAAATATGCTAATGGAGAAAATTTTTCGTTCAAATCTTCCTTCCATAAATTTTTCTTAGACATTAGATATCTGCTACTGTTTACTCTAATAGGTGCTGCAAAATAAATAACTAGGCCGGGCGCGGTGGCTCACGCCTGTAATCCCAGCACTTTGGGAGGCCGAGATGGGCGGATCACAAGGTCAGGAGATCGAGACCATCCTGGCTAACACGGTGAAACCTCGTCTCTACTAAAAATACAAAAAAAAATAGCCGGGAGTGGTGGCGAGTGCCCGTCGTCCCAGCTACTCGGGAGGCTGAGACAGGAGAATGGTGTGAACCCGGGGGGCGGAGCTTGCAGTGAGCCGAGATCACACCACTGCACTCCAGCCTGGGCGACAGAGCAAGGTTCCGTCTCAAAAATAAATAAATAAATAAATAATGAATGACTAGTAAATACCCCCAATGAGGCAGCAGATGCTCACACTTAGTTGGATGATGCTTGTGAACGCGTATGTTCACAGCAGTGAAATTCTATTGTGCTTTGCAGTATATAAATTTAATGTTACTCAACAAGTTAAACTTAATGAAAGGGAGACTTATGCGCTGAATCACAGCTTGGATGATGGATAAAAGCAAACCTTCCCGCCCGCCCCAGTGTATCCTAAGCTGTGACTTCCTAGGTCTCCTCCTCCAGGCCAGGATGGGAACTGGGCTCAGCCACCCGTCTGCCTGGAGCCATCAGCTCATTGGTTATTTGTGGAATTTCTAGGGTGAGTGATCTGGCCTGGTTTAAACATAGGCATCTTTTAGGAACAAATCTAAACAGTAGGAGGCCACGTGTGGTGGCTCATGCCTGTAATCCCAGCACTTTGGGAGGCTGAGGTGGGAGGATTGCTTGAGCCCAGGAGTGTGAGACCAGCCTGGGTAACATAGTGAGACCTCATTTCTAAAAAAGAATTTTTTAAAATTAGCTATTGAAGTTGTTCACAATATGTTGTGGTAGCACTTTGAGATATTGACCCATTTCCTTTTCATATTTCCCTTTGCCCCAGTCCTCCCATTCTGGCAGAGTGGACTCTGGGCCCACTATTTCAGTGAGGCTGTGGTGGTGTGAGTCAGAGCCAGCTTGCAAACTGTTCTAGTTTTTGTGTACCCAGAGCTAAGCCCATAGTCGAAGTCTGGGGTTTGTGGGAGTGTCTTAGTCCATTTTGTATTGCTATAACAGAATACCATAGATGGGGTGACTTACAAAGAAAGGAAATTTATTTTACATGGGAGGTTGGGAAGTCCAAGATAGATCAAGTGCTGGTATCTGGTAAAGACCTTTGTGCTGTGTCATCCCCTGGTGGAAGATGGAGGGGCAGAGAGTATAAGAGAGCAAGAAATGGAACTCACAGCCTCAAGGTCTTTTATAACTGACATTAATCCATTCACAAGGGCTCTGCCCTCATGAATTAAACACCTCCCACTAGGCCTTAATTTTCAAAAGTGTTGTATTAGGGATTAAGTTTCCAACACATGAACTTCAGGGGGCACATTCAAGTCATAGCAGGGCGTAAGTGAAGGAACACCGGGAATGGATAAGATTTCTTGGCCAAAAGCAAAAGGGAGAATAAGGCTTCCCTCCTCATACTTGAGAAGGATTCTCCCATGCTGAGAGAGAAGGAAGGGAGGCCTGTGGGAGCTTTCTGCAGTCCATAGGTAAGGGGCCAGTAAAGGAATGGCTGCAAAGGTTCACACAGATTTGAGGTCCCCAGTGTGGTCTGTTAGAGTATGGGGGGTGGGTGCTGACTATGGTCACGTTAGAAGGAATCTGTGTGGATAGATGTCCCCCTCCCCAAACACCTTGGTTCTGAGAAGACATCCTAGAGTCTTGATTCTGGAAGAAGAATGGGAACCCCAAGAAAGACTGAGGTTATGTTTCTCTTGAGTTTGGCACAATAAGTTCTCAGAAGAAAAACAAGGTGAAATTTGGGAAATAAAGTTGTTTTTCTCAAAGACCTGAGTTGAAGGCGTGGATGCATGTCCACTCCATAGTTGAGGAGGTAGACAATGTGAGGAAAATACTTTTCGTTCTTTTATGATGAGCCAAGGAAATAAGCTAAAGTTACTTCTCAGTCAGGTGGCGCAGTCAGAATAGGAGAGCTTTCATTCTGGACGTCTCATTCACCCCAGCCCTCCAGATAAGCAGACATGTTTAGGCATCCTTAAAATTTTTGATGTAGTAGGGAGAAGAGAGAGGTGCTCCTTGCCACATCGCCACACCAGGGCCCCAAGTTGGGGCTAGTGCATTCTTCAGGCCATGTGTCCTGGAAAATGAGGGGTTTGAGAGCTGACAGCAGGATAGCTCAGGCCCCCAGCGTTGCTGCAGCCAGCTGCTTGGTGATGCCCTGGAGTCAGGGAGAGCTGAATCAAGGTCCTTAATCCCTCTGTGCGGTGACAGTCCCCAATGTAGAAAAGGGCAGTGTTCTGGGATGATTGTTAGCCCCTTATTTGGAATTGAGGATGCAGTTCTCCAGATCTCCACCCCTCAATAAAAAAAAAATCAGTGCTGACTGTCACTGTGCTGTTTTTTATTGATTTTGTTATTTGCTTATAAGGGTAGCTTTCATACACAGAAAACACAATTTATGGTGACTGGTTTTTAAAATTAATGTTTGATTAAAGTTACAAATTACAAAACCTTAAGTATAGAAGTTCAACTTAAAAATCTTACGACTCTACTACATCTATAAATATACAAATCTACTTATTACTTTATAGCAAAATTTATAATCACTTGTAAGCTTTTGATTGTCTAGTGCCATTTGTAAACTTAATTAAATTTCTTTAAATGCTCTAAATTCCATTTATAAATTTAATATATTTATAACAATATACTATGCTAATTTGTAATACATTATAAACTAAATTTAAATTGCATTTATAATGTTTTATTTTTATGTCACTTGTCTGACAAAACCTGCCTACGCACTTAAATAACCCTTGTAAATTAAAAAAATTTATACAGTGGATTATAAATTATCTGAACCACCTCAGTATCATTTACATATTCAACCAAATTCTCCCTACCTTCTGATTTAAAATCAGAAGTCTGAAATCAAATACTCAACTACAGACAATCCCCAACTTATAATGGTTTGACTTAAGATTTTTTTGACTTTATGATGGGCTTATCAAGATATTAAATGCCATGCTGGCTAACACGGTGAAACCCCATCTTTACTAAAAAAATACAAAAAATTAGCTGGGTGTGGTGGTGGGTGTCTGTGGTCCCAGCTACTCGGGAGGCTGAGGCAGAAGAATGGCGTGAAGCCAGGAGGCGGAGCTTGCAGTGAGCCGAGATCGCACCACTGCACTCCAGCCTGGGCGAGAGAGCAAGACTCCATCTAAAAAAAAAAAAAAAAAAAAAAATATATATATATATATATATATATATATAAAATGCATTTTCACTTATGATATTTCTGACTTGCCGTGGGTTTATCCCAGGATGTAACTACATGGTAAGTAAGGGAGCATCTGTATGCATTTTAAACTAGAATCCCACATTGAATTTATTGCATTCTGTATGCCAAATTCTCTTAGATATTTCAAGTACTTTGGCACATATACAAACATAATTCCCAAGCACCACACAAAAATATTAGGATGATGGGTCCAATTGACTTCAGCATATCTGTACTTAGTTCTACAATTGTAGAATTATTTCTCAGGAATAAAAGACCCTTCTCCACTAAGGAAACTCTACTGCCTCAGGAAATTTGGGGTGCATGTCAATTGTCTGAGGTTATTAACCAACGATTTGGGCGAGGTGGTAAAATGTGGAGCTTGTAGGAGGCATTCCTTATTCCTGAAGGAAAGGTTGTCTTTTACAGAAAACACAATTTATGGTGACTTTGGTTTTAAAATTAGTATCTGATTAAAGTTACAAATTACAAAACCTTAAGTTAAAAAATTCAACTTAAAAATCGTATTACTTTACTATATTCTATAAATATGCAAATCTACTTATTACTCTATAGCAAAATATATAATCACTTTTAGGCTTTTGATTAATGTTTAGTCCCATTTGCAAACTTAATTAAATTTCCTTAAACACTCTAAATCCCATTTATAAATGTAATATATTAATTTATGACATACTATGCTAATTTGTAACATTAAAAACAATATATTTAAATTTCATTTATGCATTTTTTTGTCATTTGATGAAACCTACCTATGTGCTTATATAACTTGTAAATTTAAAAAATGTATATAATGGATGAGAAATTATCTTAATCATCTCAATATTTTCATATTCAACCAAATTCTCCTACCTTCTGACTTAAAATCACAAGTCTAAAATCAAATACTATCTTTGGGAGGCCAAGGCAGGAGGATCATTTGAGCCCAGGAGTTTGAGACCAGCCTGGGCAACACAGTAAGACCCCATCTTTACAAAAAAAAATAGAAAAAATTAGCTGGATATGGTGGTATGAGCCTGTAAGTCTTAGCTACTTGGAAGGCTGAGGTGGAAGGACTATTTGAGCCAGGAGGTTGAGGCTGCAGTGAGCTGAGACTGCACCACTGCACTGCAGCCTGAGCGACAGTGAGATCCTGTCTCAATAATACTAATAATGATGATGATGATAAACCAAATATTCAACTATAAACAACTCCCAACTAATGATGGTTTGACGATTTTTATCAAAACATAACCCTATTTAAATTGAGGAGTATCTGGACTTCATGATGGATGACTTAAACTTTTGACTTGGGTTTATTGGAGTACTAAATGCACTTTGGACTTAAGATATGTTCAACTTACGGATTTATTAGGACATAGCCCCATTTTAAGGTGAAGAGCATCTGTCTGCATTCTATACTGGAATCACAAGTTCAATTTGCATTCTCTAATTATGCCAAATTCTCTTAGATATTTCAAGTACGTTGCCACATATTCAAACATAATTCCCCAACACCACACAAAAATATTAGGATGATGGGTCCAATTTACTTCATCATCTCTATACTTAATTCTATAGTACTAGAATTATTTCTCTGGAATAAAACACCCTCACCCACTGTGGAAACTATACTGCCCCAGGAAATTTGGGGTGAGCGTCTCTGTCTCCTGAGGTTGCCTATGACCAAATTGGGCGGGGCTGTAAGATGCGGAGCTGTGGACACTGCAGGGGGTTTCTTCATGCCACTGAAAGGTTGAGCCACCCTTACAGTCCCGATGTTACTGGGGACCCCAGGCGTGTATCCCAAACAGGGGCACCCCACCTCTCACCCCTAGATTTATGCTGTACAGTATCTAGTTTGCCCACGGCCTCACTTCTGGACCAGATTCTTTTTTGCTGCTTGAGTCTGTTCCCAGTTATCTTCTAGCCTAGGCAATAAAAAATGCCTACAGATGTTTCAATAGCAGGTGGCTGGATTCTATATCTTCCTCATTCTCTTTAACTCTATAGCCTGTCTCCAAAATTAACCTAAGGATAATCACCATAATACTTCTGGAGCCTAGGACTAATAACCTGGATGGGGAGAAGGAAGAGTTTTTTTTTCCTTTTTCTTGAGTGTAGGCAAAAAGGGCTGCACATCCCTTTGTGCACCTGCTCCCATGCCCCCAGGCCTCCTCTGGCTGCCCCCAGTGCCCTCATCCTGCCCCCAGAGATCTCCCACACTTCCCGTGGGATTCTACTCAGCCATGATCTTTTCCCTACAGTGACAATGCCTCTTTTCTTTCCCAGCCACGCCTCCCATTCCCCCACAGTGACAATGCCTCTTTTCTTTCCCAGCCACGCCTCCCATTCCCCCAGTACTTAAAAAAAAAAAAAAAAAGTGAGACAGGATCTTGCTATGTTGCCCATGCTGGACTTGAACTCCTGGGCTCAAGTGATCCTCCCCATTCAGCCTCCCAGGTAGCCAGGACCACAGGTGCACACCACCATGCCCAGCTCCTCAGTCTTCTCGATCTCCATGAAAAGTCAGGAGGTGAATGGGCATTGGAATGAATTCATACTAGTTGGTGAGAGACTGATGGCCACTCAGTCCTAGAGGTGTAAGATTCAAATGAGGCTCTTACTAACCTAATGGAACTGTAATAGGAATTTGAGTCATTGTGCTAAGGTTGAGTATAACAAGTATCCAAGAAGCCCAGGGAGTTACCTGGGGGAGAGCATACCACACCTGCTAGCTCATCCCGTCAGTCTGCAACTGGCTAGCTTCTCTCAAGTGCTTCCTGATTTTCACTTTTTTTTTTTTTTGTTTTTGTTTTTGGAGACACGTCTTGCTCTGTCGCCCAGGCTGGAGTGCAGTGGCACGATCTCAGCTCACTGCAACCTCCGCCTCCCGGGTTCAAGAGATTCTTGTGCTTCAGCCACCTGAGGAGCTGGGAGTATAGGCAGGAGCCACTGCACCTGGCCTAATTTTTGTATTTTTAGTAGAGATGGGGTTTTACCATGTTGGCCAGACTGGTCCCAAACTCCTGACCTCAAGCGATCCTCCCACCTAGGCCTCCCAAAGTGCTAGGATTACAGGTGTGAGCCATAGCACCCCACCCATTTTCACTTTTCTTACTTCATTTCTTATGCAAGAAATTTTCTGAAAGCCTCAAGTTTTCTACATCAGCTTCAAAAATATAAGGAGGGCCAACTAGGAATAGGACAAGGTAGAATAATCACTTGTGTGCTGATAAATATTTAACAACCAGTTCTCTGGAGCCCTGATTTGTAGTGTTTGCCAGTTTCTGTGTAAATACTCCCACCATGGCCAATTTCAAACTACCAACCGTTTAACTGGCTCACAATATTCCTAAAACTTGAATAGTTGGCTCTTATGAGCTGGTAGGAGTTGGCTTCAGCACACTGCTGGTTCTACATGCGTCTTTGTTTCTTGTTTTGCATAAATAACAAGTTTTGTCTTCCCAAAAATGTAATAAGCTCCCTAAGGGATGGAATTATGTTCTGGATCTCCTGTGGGCCCATGGTTTCTAAAATAGTTATAGACACAAAAGATTTAACCAAGAGAGTCTGTTTCCTGTGGACATACTGCGTTCTTGGGCTTGCACAGCCGACAACAGGGAGGCTGCCCCAGGGGTGGGCATGGTGTGGGTTGCTGCCTCCTTTCACCAGCCTCACTCTCATTGCCCAGGCTGGAGTACAGTGGTGCAATCTCTGCTCACTGCAGCCTCTGCCTCCCCAGCTCAAGTGATTCTCCCACTTCAACCTCCCAAATAGCTGGGACTATAGGCAAGTGGCACCACACCTGGCTAATTTTTGTATTTTTAGTAGAGATGGGTTTCGCCACGTTGGCCAGGCTGGTCTTGAACTCCTGGCCTCAAGTGATCTGCCTGCCTTGGCCTCCCAAAGTGCTTGGGACCACAGGCAAGTGCCACCACACCTGGCCCCATTGGAGTTTTTGATGTAGGAGATCAGATGTCCTGGATTACAAGGCCACACACATCTCCAGGCTGTACATGAGAGGAGGATGTCCAGAAATCCTCCAGATCTCATGCATGCACCATTGTATTTTCTCACTGTTAAAGTCATGATAAAACTGTGGTGTTTTTTTCTTCATACATGATTTAATATATCTCTAGGAATTCTGGAATAAGAAAATATATAACCGCACAGCAATATTCTTTGAAACAAAATTTCTAGAGAATTTATAAAAATTTGCTTGGATCTTGATTTACAATTGAAATACAAGAAAGGCTAGTGTACAAATTAGGCAAGTTTCTGTGCTGTACATCCAGCTACTGGTACCACAAATAGAGGATATGTTGTGACTTTTTGAGTTGAGGAGGACTTTTATGATCATGTACACTCTACTGTCCTTTAAGAGGCATTCATTCATTCATTCTTCGTTTATTAATTCAGTAAACATTTACTGGCTATTTACTACATTCCAGGTACTGTGGGGATATTGATTGTAATGACATGATCCTTTATTGTCAATATGCTTACAGTCCACTAGGGGGAGCCAAATATATAAATAAGCTTAAGAATTACGTTGAAGGGGCCAGAATAGAAGTCTGTGGAAGGTGTGGGATGGGATGACAGCATCAGAAAGAATTGGGCAAATCTGTCCCAGGACTAGGTCAGAAAAACGCCTCCCTAGGGAAGGTGCCACCCCAAACACGTGTTTCTGAGACCCCTTACCCGAAATAAGGAGGCTGCCAAGGTGAGCATGGAACGGTTAGGCGTTTTGTATGGAGCAAACTGGGGGGACCCCAGCTGAGACCTCTGGCCTGGGCCTTGTGATTCACGCATAGGCTCATCTTATCGGCCACCGGGTCTGAGAAGAAACTACCACCCTGCAAGTTAACAGGGATCCCTCCGAGAACGGGCACCTCAAAGCCTGAGCCACGTGAGAGCAATGTCTGAGCAACACGGTTTTTAAAAATGATCTCTTCTCCTTTATTGCCACATTCACATAAAACGTTTTGATATATTTGGGTTGGTAAAAGCTAAAGAAAATTGAAGTTAAAATATATATGGTTTTAGTGTTCCGAAAAGCAGTTACAGATTGCTTCCTTGGTTTAATTATCGAAGCGGTCGAAATTCTGGGTTTGAAACTCTTGGAAGTCCTCAGGGATGGTGTCTGCAATAGGAATGGGCACAGGGAGGTTAGCGAGGCTCCTTCCACCCCGGACCCCGGACCCCCGCCCGCGGCTCAGGCGTCCTGTAGGGGGCGCTGTTAGCCCGCCCAGGACGCCCCGCAGGCCCTCGCCGCCATTTTCTCCTGCAGGCTGCTTTGCAAACCGTTGGCTTAAAGCCCAGGAGTGCTCCTTCCCGGCCGTGCAGAAAATCAGCAGGCAGAATGGATTTTGCATCTGTGATTATGTTTTAACCACATGAAAATAAAGGCTTCCTGTAAATTAAATCTGACTGGATTTCTCACTGAACCCCAAACCCTAAACCATGCAGTTAAATTCTATGGGTCTTAATTTCCACATGGATAAAATAGGATAAATGTGATCTGCTTTTTACTTCTGGTACACAGGGACTATCAGGTTTTAATGACTATGTGGTATGAGCGTTGGGCTTTTGGGGGGGAAGTGCGGTATAAAAATAAGGTGGCAGTGTTTGACTAATTCTAGTAACAATGTTGAACAGTAACGAGAATGCACATTACCATTGCAGCGATACTTGAGGTTGGACCAGATGATGTTTTCTTGAGAGAAGCAGAAAACGCCAAGTCGGCCTCCACGCATTGTGGTGTCTATGGTGACGCCAGAGTCAGCCACCAACTCAGAGCCTTCATAAAATCGTACCCTGCGGACAACACGGCCGGAGGGGCCTCCATGAAATCCAACCCGGGGTAAAGTGCCCACTGTGAGGCCCAGGGGCCCCACTTCTTATACGTACCTGCGTCTTTCTTTGCTCTGTTTTAGGCTCCATTTTTCGCTGACCTGGATTGTACTGTAGCTGTTGCCACTTACTTACTAGACTGGAAGTCCTTGAGGGCAGGGACCGTGTGTGTCCGTGTGTGTGTGGAGGGGGGTGGGGGGTGTTTCTTCCCAACTTCTGTCTCTCACAAGGCCTAACATGATGTTGGTCACACTATCAAACTTGAGTTAAAAATCAAACCAAACCAAACCTGCTATCTTGAGTGAGAAAGTTTTGTGTCTTATTGTCATGTGAGTTGCCTTGTCTAGATACCATGCTTAAAAACTTTGGCTTTTCCTTTGGTCTGATTTATATCTTTTGGTGGAATCTCAGAGCAATGATTCTCCACAGGAGACAGCACTCCCTAAGTAGAGTTGGAGGAATCTGTGGGGACACTTTGGGTTGTCACAGTGGCACTGAGTGATGGCAGCCAGGGATGCTGGATGGCGAGCAATGCCCTGGCGAGAACAATCAAAACCTGTCCTGCATTCCATACACTTCTGGAGTGTTCCTCAGACACCAGGGTAGGTAAAGAGCAACTATCAGGGCCTAGAACCTGACTCACTTTCACTTGTAAACAGCAAGTATATTTTGCACAAATTTTAATATAAACTATATTTTCCAGGGTAAATTGAGAAAATTTGTTTGAAAATTAACATTCTAAAATGTGTACCATTTGAGAAATTTACATTGCTGTCATCAACCAGTGTAACAAACATTTAAGTCACTGACACAACAGTCTGTTAGAATGTCACCTTCGTAGTGATTCTAGGCATGGGTGCAAGTGTCTGTTTCATTTTGTCTTCTGGTGTGGCTGTGCTCAAATATTTAAATTATTTTGTTATAAATTATTCTTATTTCTCTATGATATTGTTAGGGCTCACATTGATTTTCTAGATTATACGTGTAGGTAGGTTGTAATTTCTATGATTCCATTTTGGGACGGAAAAGGGGGCATTTCAAAATATTTATAATAAAAAAGGGGCATTGGGCTTAATAGGGCTGAGAACATGATCATCTCACTGTGAGACAAAAAGAGTACATTTGACATAATGTCACAAAGAGAAACAAAACATGAATTTGCCCTCATGATTTTCTTTTTTCCACAAGGCTGCTTTCCTGCCCTGATGAGGAGAATGCACTCAGTACTCCTTCCTAAATATCCTACATAGGCTAGGATGGGTGTTGATCTGCAAGTTCAAATGAAGAAGAACACTATCTACATTTCAAAGACACAGCCCTAAGCCTCCTAACTCCCGAGAATACTTAAAAAACAACAACAAAAAAGTCCTATAAAGAAAGAAGTCAGACTACTTTGGCCTACATGATGATCAGTTCATGCCACGTGTAGTAGATGTCAGGCTTTGTGCTAGGCACTGGGGAGATCAAGATAAAATAATAAGCTATGGCTAGGCACAGTGGCCCATGCCTGTAATCCCAGCACTTTGGGAGGCCGAGGCGGGTGGATCACGAGGTCAGGAGATCAAGACCAGCCTGGCCAGCATGGTGAAACCCCATCTCTACTAAAAATACAAAAATTAGCCTGGCGTGATGGCGCGTGCCTGTAATCCCAGCTACTCGGGAGGCTGAGGCAGAAGAATCACTTGAACCAGGAAGGCGGAGGTTGCAGTGAGCTGAGATCACGCCACAGTACTCCTGCCTGGCAACAGAGTGGGATTCCGTCTCCAAAAAAAAAAAAAAAAAAAAAAAAAGATACAAGCGCTGCTCTCATGCAGTTTGTGATCCAGCAGGGAAGACAGACTGTAAGGGACATAGTGCTGCAGTCAGGGTGAAATGTGCACTAGTAAGTGATTACACAGGGCCCAGAGGTGCCACAGGGGAGGGTGTGGAGAAGAGACCCTGCCACACCTCTTACCTCATACCGATTGGCATGTCCACCCTCAGGCTTCTCTGCAGAGCATGGCAGAAGGGCACAGCCATCCAAATGCACCAACCCCACAACGCTGGGTCGTCCCCTCAGCTCTGCTCCTTCTATCCCCATCTTGGTCCTACTGTCCTGTCCGGGTGGTCTGACCCTGAATATCTTCTCTCCCACCTCTTTTCTAGGTTCCCCATCCTGCGGTCACAAAAGTCCTGGCATGTCCTTGGGGACTATCCTAGGTCAGAATTGCTCAGGGAAATGAAGGCTCTGGGATGCAGAACGGAGAATGCTTTGCTTCTAGAGCAAGGTAAGGAGATGGGGCCTCTACCTACCTGATGTAGCCCACCTGGGGCCTGTGCTGTAGGAACCAGCGGTAGGACACCTTGTCCTTCCAGCCCACATTCCTGGAGTCCTTCCACAGCAGCCTGACCTGGTCACTGGTGTCCCCCGTGTGCCACAGGGAGTTCCGGAGATGCTCCCCTGGACCTGTCTTAGACTTCACAGCCTGCATGATGACACAAGCAAGGTTTTAGGACAGGACACAGGCACCACCCTTCCTGCTTCCTGGATCTGAAGTGATGATCCAGGTTATAGTCATGGTTATAATCCGGCTGCCTTGGATTCAGAACAAAGCATAAACACTTAAATGTCATTTCTATGGAGGTGACCCCAACCTTTTACTACTAAGCCTTGCCCAGTATTCCATTACACATTCCATGTTTGTTCCTGCTGCACATCCATTGCTCCCTACATTTGCCCAATGAGGGCTCCTATCAAACGTCTGGCTACTTAAGTCAGCCTTGTGTCCTAGCAGGAGTGACAGAAGTAGCCCATCAGCCCTCCTGTACAAAGTTGGACCTATCGATGAAATTTATTAGCCAGTTTCCAACACAGTGTGCCTGAAGATGCACTCTAAACCTTCCCTCTCTCTGACCTCATGTAGGCTGGGATTCCCACCATGAGAGGTTAGAATGTAGCTGGCACACAGGAATGAAGGCAAGGGTCAACTGTAGTCTTCCCTGACTCTAACGTTAGCATAAATGCATCAATTTTTTTTAGATTAACTAAGTACCACATGGGAAAACACAATATCTGAAAAAAGATGAGAGGTCCAGAAGAAAGGGAGATGAATGACTTCAAACCACCAATACCTTGAGCTGAATGCCAGGTTCTGCAACTGCTCGGAATGGGGTGGCTTGCCAATATGTCTGCTCCGTCTGCTTCCACATGACCACGTAGAAGCTGGAGCTATCTTGGTAGCCAAAGATAAAGCCTGCATAGTCATCATCTGTCTGGGTATTCACATGGAAGGTCCCTTCGAAGTCAACTCCATTAAAAGCTGTGTACCCTGTAGGGACCAGATAAGATTAGAACAATAGACAAACCACACTAGTAGCTGGAAGAATTCTATGTGAGTGGCAACTGAGGCCCTGGACATACCCACTGCCAGGCCAGGATCACTGTTCATGGTCTGTACAATCTCCATGCCCTGCAGAGAGAGTTGAGGGAGTTCAGAACAGTCTTGAAGGGGCCAAGTAACCTTAAGGAAGCTCAAAACCTCAGGCACCATATGAGTGAGTGGCCAGTGATGTCTGACCTCCATATAAAGATTTCATTATCTGAAATAGTTGCTCTATTGTGTTATGTGCTCAAAGAAAGCATGTGCTTGTAAAGGTTAAAAAAAAGCTCAAAGCTGAATAGAAATAAGTTTGCTGAGACTGTCACTTAAGCTGATTGGACAGGCCCTTAACTGGGGAGCATACAACATATACTTCTAATCAATGTGACTTGCTCTGTGACTCTGGAAAATCTACTAAGCCTCTCTGTGCCTGCACTTCTTAGTTACACAATGAGGAGGATATGCAGAAGGCAGTCTGCTGCAGAGATCAGAAGTGTGGGTTCTAGGGTCAGACTGCCTGGGTCCCAATTCCAGTCATCTCAGCTACTTACCACAGTGCTACCATCATTAAAGCTGCTACAATCATGAAAGCTGTAGCAGACAATTTCATCCTCTGTAAAATGGGCATAATTGAAGTAGTCTGTCATAGGGCTGTTGAGGAATAAGAGCGAATGTGAAGAATGCCTGGCTTATTGTCTGCACCCTCTAAACATGACCTACCACTATCAGAAGGGCCTCTGTTGAGAGGCAAGGCTGAGCCATTGCCGCCCATGTGACACTCACCTGGTTCAGGACCACCCAGTTGGGATCGATCTGGGCATCCCCTTCAGGATCCAGGACCACGGTCTGGTAAGCCCTGAAGTCGGTCAGGGTGACCTCTGCGTTCTCTGGGCAGACGTCGATCCGATCGATGACCTGGTCCTGGTCAAAGTCAGACTCACAGATGTCTCCCACTCCGTCGCCTGAGTGGGGTGGAGAAAGGACAGGAGCTCAATAGCGCTCACACCCACCGCCACTCCTTGGCAGGGAAGGGGGCTGCATGAGGAACAGAAGGGCTCAAGCTCCCACAACCAGGGCCATGATTTCCCATCAGTGTTGGGAGAGGAGCCCTGGGGACATGTCTGAGCTGGTGCCAGGCCCCATTCTGGAGTCCTTGTACTGGGTGACCAGGCCAGTCCTCCCAGAGTTTTTTGAAAGATCAATTTGAGCAGTTGCCCTCCACTCTGTCCTCAAGAAGTTCTTATTACCTACAGTTGAGTTCACCAACTGGTGGATCTTAAGCTTGACCTCACATAAGCAAATGTCTACAGCACTTTCTGGACTGTAATGTGTAGAAAACAGGGAAATTATTGTTACCAGAATATCTCTAACACTAACTTCTGGTGGCCCCCACGTGTGTGTTGTTCAGCTAACGTGCTGGCATTTTTGCATGTGCACTGCTGTGGATGGGCATGCCCTCTCCAGGTCACTTCAGTCCCCAACACTCCCTGCTGTCTCATGTCTGGCTTGGTGCAGACATTTTCTTATCTGCCTGGCACCTGCAGGCATCTGTGTTTGTGAACCCAGCATATACCACTTCTACTGTGCCATTCTCTCTATCCTGCTCCTTTTCTGGGACTCCCAGTGGAAGGTGGCAGGTGACAGGTAAGATGGTGGAGCAGCTCTCCAAGCCCTTTGGGGACTGAGCCACAGTGTGTGGCTGCTTCCCTGACCTGTGTGATGGCATCCTAGGGTTGTTCAGGAAGATGCAAAGCAGCTCAGTCCTGACTGAGTTGGAGACTGGTGTCTACCAGATATCTGCTGTCCACACAAGCTGCAGCTATGCAGAGAAGCTGGGTGTAGAGAAGCAGCTGATGGGAGCTGGGGATATTCTGAGTTGGTGCCTGGAGAGAGGCGTGCCCCCATGTGCCTGGCTGAAGGGAGCCCAGGGGTGCTGTGCAGCTCTGGGCTGAGCCTGCTTACTGTTGCTATCCTCCTGGGCTGGGTTGGGGACCAGCCGGCAGTTGTCTGGTCCAGGGGGCACCAGGTCTGGGATACCATCATTGTCATCATCATCATCACACTCGTCACCAATTCCATCCTTATCGGTGTCCAGCTGGGCACTGTTAATGACGGTGGGGCAGTTGTCTGTGCTGTCCTGGTGCCCATCTCCATCACTGCAGGAGAAAGGACAGGTGATGTGGCTCACAGTTCAGCAGGGAACAGGAAGGATCCATTTTTAGGAAGGAGAGTCTGTGCTTGAGGTTTTTTTTAAACCAGGGTTGGCTCTTAAAATCAAACCCACTGGGGTCATTCCCTTAGATAAGGCTGCCCTATGGGCCTCAGAGACAATTTTCCCATCCCCAACCTCTTAAAACAAGTGAGTCATTTCCTACTAAAGAAGATAAGGGTCTATTTCTATGATTTATGACCAGATGCTCCTATCAGTCAGTCCCTGGGAACTGCTAGATGATACTCAACTCAGAGGATGTGTGAGGGGAACAATGACAGGCAGTGGAACCAGACAGCCTCAGTGTAAATCCTGGCTCAGCCACTGTGCCCAGCGTGTGACCTCAGGCATGACACCTGACCTCTCTATGGCTCAGTGTCCTCATCTGTAAAATGAGAATAGTACCTACCTCATAGAGTTGTTATGGAGATTAAATGATGAAAATCAGAATGTTGCATATTAAATTTCAATATATGAAAAAGTGCTGACTCTTAGGAAGCCCTACAGTGTTTTCCGTTATATTACTCTTCACAATCCCTGGCTAGTGGATCCAATGAGGATTCAGACCTGAACGCCATGGGGAGAAGGGCAAAGTGAACAGGGCCACGCCTTCTCGAGGAGAGTGTGTAGGCCGGGCTCAGTGCTGGTCTAAAGGACTTCTCAGAACTCTCCTTCTCTGTCCACCTGACTTTCTGGGCTGAGGGGCCACCTGAAGATGAGTCTGCCCTGCCTCCAAGAGGTGTCCTGGAGTCTGAGACCTCTCATGGTTACTCTGGAAAAGAATGAGCACTCCTTTAGACCTGGTCCACCTGCGGCCTGTCCTGGGCCAGGAGCTGCCCCTGCACCCTTTTGGAGAGGGAAGCCAGGGACCAGACCATGCTCTAGGGCCACACCTACCACATGGTACAGGGGGACAGAAAGGGTCCAGTGAAAGTGAAGTCAGCCTTGACAAGCAGAAAATGATGTGGCTCAAACAGCAGAATCCCTGTGCATGCAGCAGGTCTGCTTTATAAAACACAAGACTGAGCTATTTCCATTAGCAGCCGTTCTATGTAGCCCTGAACATTTTTATGCAAAAACAAGCAGTTCCTATCCTCTTCTCCAAGGTTCAACTTTGTGGGAATTAAAACATAGCAGAATGAGTCATTTGTTTTGGGCAAATATCTAGAGGCTGGTGGGACAGGATATTTTAGAAATTAATGTAGATAGTAGTCAGAGTGCAAGATGACCTGCACCAGGGAACATTCTTGACGCACATCATTTAGGGCAGTTGTCAGGATACAGTCCCACCTTCCTCTCGGAAGAGGAGAGGGACATCTGATGTCAGGCTCTGTTGCTGATGTGCCTTTCCTTGTACTGTGATACCAATAATAACACGGCCCCTGTTTTCTGCATGTCACCCTTGGGCCAGCACTGTGCCGGGAGCTTTACCTACATTATCTTGATTTTTCACCATAACCTGTGCGATGCATTTATTTATCTCCTCTTTGCAGATGAAGAAGTTGAGATGTGAAGAGACTGGGAAATATGTTTAAGTTCACTTAGCTAGTACAGTCAGGCCTCTGTATCCGCGGTTCCGTATCCGCAGATTCAACCAACTGAGGATTGAAAAGATTTGAAAAAGAACAATAAAAAATAACACCAAAAAAATACAAATAAGAAACCAATGCAGTATAATAACTATTTACCTAGCATTTACATTGTATTAGGTATTAAGTAATCTAGAGAGGATTTTTAAAGCATATAGGAGGACAGGTATAGGTTATATGCAGATATTACATCATTTTATATAAGGGACTTGAGTATTTGAGGATTTTGGTATCCTGGGGGCAGAGGGGTATCCTGGGACCAATACCCTGGGACACTGAGGGATGACTATATGTACTTTGCAGCAAGGACACAGAGCATAATGAAAGAGATGCACACTTTGGGAGGATGAGGCAGGTGGATCACTTGAGGCCAGGAGTTCGAGACCAGCCTGGCCAACATGGTGAAACTCTGTCTCTACTAAAAATACAAAAATTAGCCAGCATGGTGGCACACACCTGTAATCCCAGGTACGTGGGAGTCTGAGGCATGAGAATTGCTTGAACCCAGGAGGTGGAGGTTGCAGTGAGCCGAGATCACGCCAGCCTGGGTGACAGAGCAAGACTCCATCTCAAAAAAAAAAAAAAAGAGAGAGAGAGCTGTGGCTTCATAGGAGCTGTCCTTGAGTAAGGTTTGGGTCAGGAACTGGTTTTCTGCAGGGCAACCTCTGATCCAGGTATCAGGAGAGAAATTGCATCTTTTTTTGCTTTCTCTTTTAGAATCCTTTCCCTCTCATCCTTGTCCTGGCTGCCTTTGTAAGAATTCCCTATGGAGACAAAAGGGTTTAGAACCTTGGGTTGCAGGTGCCGCTAGGGCTGAGTGACACACGTCTGTTTTTGGTGATGTTCTTCCAGAATCTGATCAGTTGATCCAGCCTTGAGTCTTAATGTGGGACTCCATCGTGTTGAGCTAGGAGGGTTCACAAAACTCACTTCCACAGAACAATTCCACTTAAATAAGGAAAACTGAATTAAAAAAATTTCAAGGACCAGGAAATAATAGCAATCCCTCAGCAAACTGACAGCCTTCTATTTTGGGATGATGGTGAAGTTTTCCTGAGCTGAAAGAATATAAAAATAAAAGAGCTAATGTCTATTGAGTGCTATGTATATAACAGAAACCATAATGAGCACTTTCCATGGATCAACTCAATCTTCACGATGGTCCTATGAGCTAGATCTATTGTCATCCTCATTTTACAGATGAGAAAATTGAGGCAAAAGTATTAGGTAATTTGCCTAAGGTTAGCTGGCATGTAAGAGAAGGAGCTGAAATTTATATCTAGCTGTCTTATTCCAGAGCCCATCTGTGAAGCATGATGCTATATTACCTCTCCTGAAATAGATCTCACTTGCTGGAGTGCCTAGTAACCTATTCTGACACCGTTATACCCTATACAGAACTTTCAGGGAGAATTTTCATGGTAATTCTGACCAGAGGCAGGGCTATTATCCCACCAGCAGCTCAGTCCACCCAGAAAGATCCCAAGGAATGGAGCAGCAGGAAGTTCTGAAATTTAAAACCCTCTCCGGGCTGGGCACAGTGGCTCACGCCTGTAATCCCAGCACTTTGGGAGGCCGAGGCGGGCAGATCACAAGGTCAGGAGATCGAGACCATCCTGGCTAACATGGTGAAACCCCGTCTCTACTGAAAATACAAAAAAATTAGCCAGGCATGGTAGCGGGCGCCTGTAGTCCCAGCTACTTGGGAGGCTGAGGCAGAAGAATGGCATAAACCTGGGAATCGGAGCTTGCAGTGAGCCGAGATTGCACCACTGTACTCCAGCCTGGGTGATAGAGTGAGACTCCGCCTCAAAAAAAAAAACAAACCAAAAACCCTCTCCGGATGTTTGCATCTGTCTCTCTGCAGTTGGGAGACATGCCATACCTGTCCTGATTGGTGTCACAGGAGTCCCCAACCAGATCATTATCCACATCAGACTGCAAAGAGAACAGCACATGTTATTTATTCCTGGGCCTGCATGTACCGAATGTTCCAGAGAAGGCAGACCTCACCCATCATCATTGGATTTGGGGAATTATTTCTCTGGAACCGGGGTGGTGCAAAACTGCAAAAGGACAACACCATATTGGTGTAGGCACAATGCTGAATTTTCAAAAAAGCCTTCTAAAATATCAAGCTACATGGATGGGCTGCCCACACACCAGATGAGCTGATTGGAAAGGGGCGCTGGGGTAGCATGGTGGCAGGTGGAGGCATGGAACTCTGGCACGGGTCACAGGGAGCCAGCCATAGGCATGGGGAGAAGGCAGGTTGATTTTGCTTTGCTTCTGCAATTTGCAATTTGGCCAAAATCATGAGTGAGTCACAGAGGGCAACCATGACTCCCCTCTCTCAGGGCTTTAAAAATAAATGACACATCATACCCAATTATCCAGACAGGGAGGAGGAGTGAGAAGGGAGATGCAACACATCCCTGGCTGAACTTAATCTGAAATGTCCATACATAGGCTGTGTAGGGGTTTAGGGACTAAAGGGACACAAGGCTCCCAATGGTTAATTTCCATGCTCCGTTTTCCTTTCTGCAGGAAAAATACTTGTATTGAGCATCATGAAGTTCGTGTTACTAACCTCACAGGCAATCGACAGCCTGGGAGATAGTCCCTAGGGCTTCAGATCTTGTGTGGTGTTCATCCCACCATCTTCAGGCCCACAGTGTGTCATTTTTCCACCTCTGCTTTGTTAGGTAAGTGGCAACAGCTAAGAGGCTCTGCTGTTTTTCTAGACACCCGTCTTAAATGAGTCTTTGCATAGAGGAATTCAGCCTGGAGTTTGAATTCCCCAGTATCCTACTAACCTGGTTAGGGTTGCTGACATCAGGACAACTGTCACAGGCATCCCCCACACCATCACCATCCTTGTCCCGTTGGTCACGATTGGGAAATTTTGGGCAGTTGTCCAGAATGTTTTTTATTCCTGTGAGAAAGAAATGCTACCTTGAGTCAGGGGAATGTCACTGACTTCTTCTAGGTGCTGGAGAGATCAGGCGCATGGTGAGTCACTTCTGCCTGGGCCAGTGTCACACAGAGACTACCCTTTTCTGCAGTTATCCAGAGGTAGCTTCAAAGGACGGATTCTGGGAGACTTAAAAATGAACAGCTCTCAGAGGTATTTATCGACTGAATTCTAATTTGTCCAAGATGTCAAGGGCTATGATAGCAACCACGAGGAGGGGATCATGATGGCTGTATGGCTGACCCTGGAGAGGGAGGATCTCGTGGGTATCTGAGCTATGACTGAGACCCTAGGGCTCTAGGCAGTGTTGTGCTGGAGCTGGGTCCATTGTGTCCCTCTCTTTTCAGTTTTGTGTTTGATGATGTCACATTGGTAGCTTGAAATCAGCAATGAGGACAATGCGGAGTTACATCATGGAAACTGGAAAATGCTACCAACTAGGGCTTTCTGTGATTTGCTTACCAGCATATACCACTGGAAATGGGTCATCAGTTAGGCTTGCAGAAGGTGAGGTCATGTTTTAGGGGGGTGTGCATGTTCTGGAGTGGTGTATGTGTGTGTGTGTGTGTGTGTGTGTGTGTGTATGTGTGTGTTGGGGCAGGTGGTATTTCAAAAAGGTTTTTCCTTCAAGGGCCCACAATGGGATGTGTAGCCTGTGATGCATAGTCTGTGACCCTGCTCAATGCCTTCTCATTCAGTTCTCCACTTCTGGGTCTCTCACATGTAGAAAGGATAGTGGAGAGTGAGGACAGGTAGAAATGGGAAGGGAGATACCCCATAAAGACACACTCTGACAAGACACTGCTTGAAGGGGTCATACAAAGTTTCTGGCAATGATACAGAGTCCTGGAAACATCCAGAGCCATTAGGTAGTGGAGTGGGCTGTGGGGTCTCCTTCCATAGACACAAGTCCACCTTGGGTCTTCCAGATGCAGGCCACAATGAGCCACCCACAGCTGGAAGGCTCCGAATCAGTCATTCTATTCCTACTCTCTCAGAGAACAATGGAACAAGGTCAACTGAATTCCAAATAAAAGACAAAAGCAAGATAAATCTACCATCTCCATCCATGTCATCATCACAGGCATCTCCTCTTCCATCCCCATCGGTGTCTTTCTGGTCGTTATTTAAGACACTCAGGCAGTTATCACAGGCATCCCCAAAGATATCTTTATCGCTGTTCCTTTGGTCCACATTATGAATCAGGACACAGTTATCCTAAAAGATGAAAGGACAGAACATCACTCAGACTTTTACTAAATCCACTTCCTCCATTGTTGTGAAGCATCAGCACTCTGGTGGCCCAAGTTTGTCAGTTTTATATTTCAAACATCTGTGAATCTTATAGGGTAAAAAGCTGCAGTGCTGTGGAATGCAGGCATGGAAACTAACATTTGGGATGATTCATATACATAGTTGACATCACAGGCTTTCTCCCATCATCCCTGGTACGTGGCAATTCACAGGCCCTCCCAGCGAAGCAGGTACCTGCTCATTCAGGATCCCATCTCCGTCAGCATCCTCGTCACAAGCGTCGCCAATGCCATCTCTGTCTGCATCTTCTTGGCCAGAATTTGGCACATATTTGCAGTTGTCCTTAGGGGGAAAATGCAGTTCCGAGTGACATCCTACATTTGTGTTAAGCCAGTAACTGTTTCTGACCTCAAGACACTGTGGCTTTATTGTTGGTGGCTGTTTCACTTCCTCTGAGATGCAGCTACTTTACAAGTACAATTTTAAATTAGATCCACAGAACCTCTCCCCATAGAAGATGTGACTTTGGAAAGCCACAGTGCATGTGTGCCTACTGCCACCCCACACCCCTTACCTTTTTACAGTTCCTGGCAGAGCATGGCAGTTCTTCGTCGGGGTAACTGTCGATGTCCACATCCTTTCCACAGATATAGCCATCTCCAGCCCAACCGACTCCACACTGTAAAGGGAAAGCCCATCAGAGGCCTGGGAAGCTGAGCCTGGCAGGAAGCTGGTGGCTGACAAGGGCCTCTCTGCTCCTTTGCTCAATCCCAGGGGGAGGGCCCAGAGTCACTCAGCCTTGTTGGGTGGGGCTTAGAAACTATTTAATTGCACTTGAATAGTGTAATGGTTCACTATTCAAAGATATAAAGGGAGACTCAGAGAGAAAACTCTCCCTCCCACTCCCACTTCCAGGAACAGGCAGAGCAGCAGAAGGGAGATGGGAGGAGGGGACCCAGAAGGTCACAGGGAACTGGAAACGCAGAGGGAGAGAAAGCTGACCTGGGACGGGAGGTAAAGGAAGGAAGAGGGAGAGAGTCTGAGGAGCAGAGTCTGGGCCAAGGGAAATCAGACTTATGTGAGCACAGGTTAAATTTCCTGGCCTCACCACCCAAAAGCTTTCAGACCAGTGACTTCCTCAGCCACAGCCTGCTTATTCTCAATCATCTGTGCTCTCCCTCTGCAACCAGGATTTAGGAGGCAGAACTCCAGAGAGACCCTCCCGGGCTCCTGGTTCCTGCTCACTTGCCCCAGCAGGGCCTTTGGAAGGCCTGGAAGGCTGATCCACGAGGCTGATCCTTGACTCACTTTAATGAGGAAAAAATGTCCTCTAGGAACAAATACATTTTTAATGAGCTATTTTCTGGCAGATTCAATTATTTTAGTAGTCACGCCAAGTTTATTAATCCTTTACCATCTGTCGTTGTGCCTTATTACAAATTCAAAAACATATTAAGAGCCCCATCACCCATCATCCCAGGGGAGTTGTCAATTTGTTCACAGAAAATGGGGATTTCAACAGAGATATACACTTGTTTCTCAATGACTGCTTTTTGGTAATAAACAAGCCCAACCATGAGGAATTCAGGAAATTGCTGGGGTTATTCCCCCTCTGATACACCACATTCTTCCATCTGACCTTGTTACAGAATATCTGTATTGCCAAGGAGGGCTGACTTCATTATATTTATTTATTAACTCATTTTTGACTCTTATTTTTCCTATTTGAAAAGTGGTAGGCTCATTGTGGAAAATTGTGTATGCATAAAGATAAAGAAGCATAACTTTGAGATAAAGATGGAAAAGGGCTCCGAGAATCCATCTTGCTACTCAGGGGTGATCACTGTGAACCAGTGACCCCAGAGTCTGACGGGCCACCGGCCGAGGGCCTGGCATCCCAGGAAGTGCAGAGGAGGGGGGCAGCTGAAGTCTGCTGATTTTTCAGTGCCTAGGATCCCCAGGACTTTGGATCCTTGGATTTGGGAATGGATGGCAGGCTGAGGACTCTGGATCCTTGGACTTGGGAATGGATGGCAGGCTGAGGACTCTGGATCCTTGGATTTGGGAATGGATGGCAGGCTGAGGACTCTGGATCCTTGGATTTGGGAATGGATGGCAGGAGCATGCCCTCTCCTTCACATAGGGCCCACTACAAGCTCAGCATGGGACCCATGTCAGGCCCTGCTGTGACTGCTCTACTCTCTTCCCAGCCTCCCCTCCCCAGACCAGCTCCGTGGCTGGAGAATGCACAGGAAGCGTGACCATTCATGGAGCTGTCCCTGATTGGAGTGGAGGTAGACATACAGCATGGCGCCGTCTGGCCCTGCCAGTCACCTGCCAAAGACGGAAGGTTTCTCCCGGAGGGACTATGACAGTCCCCACCTCTACACGATGGCCCACCCCCAACAGGAGCGTCAAGGCAGACAGACTCTGGAAGTTGTAAGGATGAGGACAGTTAGAGATGACAGCAGGTATGTTGTCATTATACAGGCAGGTAGATGGGGCAGAAGAAGGAAAGGGGAGAAGAATGTTCCTTCACCTCCCTGCTGCTGGCTTCTGGGCCTTTCCATAGAAGGTGCTTGGGAGCTGGGGCTTCACCGGAGGCTCTGGCATCCAGGTACCCAAGTGGACAGGGTTGCCCCCCAGCCAAGAGGGAGAGAAAAGGCAGCTGATGGTTAGATGGATGTCAGGCTGCTCCCCACAAACTCGGTGGACCCTGTTCCTATTACACTCCATGCTCATTTAATTGCAATGCTTTCATTTTGGAGTACTTTTACCCTGAAGCACATAGAAACTGGAGAGAGGTGGTGTTAAAAATGGAAGAGGAAAAATGATAGAGGAAGTCAAAAAACAACTTACCACACATGTCACATCCCCCTGCCTCTCTTCAATGCACTGGGCATTCACACTGCAAGGGTTCAGCTCTGGGTTTCTGCAGTTTCTTTCCGCTTTGCATCCCCTTATCTGATCACCAGTATACCCCGGCTTACAAGGCCCACAGCGGTAAGATCCCTGCAAGGAACAAAGATCAGGTGATGAGCTGAAAGCTGTGGGCAAAGGTACAGTTTGAGCAAAGGTACAGTTATTGTGTATATTTTCACAGGTACTCATTGCTGGCAGGAATCAGGCATCAGATCCATGCCTTCTTCTTTGCTTACATGTAAGATCATGTGAATGTTGATGAAAACACCATCAGACTGGAGGCTGCGTCCGGCCACTCAGACAAAGAAGGAATAGAAGTGAAGGAAGAAGGCTGGACTGTGAACCAATGACACTGAGTTGCCCGCGCCACCGTGGAGGGCATAGGGGACAGGTCAAAAGTTCCAGTGAAGTCCTGGGAGGTGGTGTGAGAAGTTTACTCTGGGGACAGGGAGATGATCTGCTTAAAAAGCAAGTTAATTTTTCTTATTGCTGTTCCTTTGGCTCTTTTACAATGGAATGACAAAGGAATGGGTGCACAGAGAAATGCTGGTGGCCTGCATTGAGAATTTCTGATGAGGTAGGCTGAGAAACTGACAAATGAGCTGTCAGCTCCGCTGCAATGACACTTCAGGGGCCAGGTTTTTTTAGCTTTTATATATATAATATATATTATCACACTGCACACTATATATGTAATAAATATTATACAATATGTTTAAAAAATGAAAATTAAAATTTTCATCTTTATTGAGGTATAATTGACAAAACTGAATATATTTAAAGTGTGCAGTGTGATGATGTGATATACGTATACATTGTGAAATGATTACCACAGTCAGTTAAGTAACACATCCATCAACTGACATAGTTACCTTCCTTTTTTTCTTTTTCAGTGAGAACACTTAAGATCTGCTCTCTTAGCAGATTTCATATATATAATATAGTATTATTAACTACAGTCACCATGCTGTACATTAGATCTTTTTCATCTTATGCAGTTTTATTGGCATAACATTTACAGGTCGTAAAAGACATCCATTTGAAGTATATATATTGTTTAATGATTTAAGTCACTCACAACCTCTTAGTTGCCAAATCCAATGCATGCTTTCCAATGACTTGTCTCGATCTTTCAGCCTCCCTGGCTGTGCTATCAGTTCGCTCCTTTTTCTGGCTTCTGCTCTTTTTCCTTGGCCTAGTCCTTCGTTTTTGGGGTTTCCTGGAGTTCTATTTACTGTCTACTTTCCTTCTCTCTAGGTGGCTCAGTTATTACCTTTACACCAAGATCTCGCAAATCTATTTGCAGACTACTTTGTCCTGGTAAAAGCTGAGAAGCAATAAATCCCCATCTATTCCTAAGCAATATAGCATTGCGGAGAAGAACTCAGGCTCTGTAGCCAACCTGGAAGATGTGTGACCTTAGTCTAAATACGTAACATTTCTTTTTTTTCTTTTTGGAGACAGGGTCTCCCTCTGTCACCCAGGTTAGAGTGCAGTGGCGATCACAGCTCACTGTAGCCTCAAACTACTCTTGTACCCAAATGATCCTTCGGCCTCAGCCTCCTGAGGAGCTGGGACTATAGGCATGCTCCACCATGCCTGGACTTAATGATGTAATATTTCTGTCCCTCAGTTTCTTCAATTGTAAAATGGGGATAATAATAATCCCTGTTTATGAGGTTGTTGTGAGGATTAAAATAAGTGACTTGATAAATGTAAAGTGTTTTTACTTACAAGGAAACAAGGAACCTAGAGGCTGGATAACTTTCAAATAGTCATACACGTAATCAGTAGTTCTTTTCTTGATAGTCAACTCTGGTACATCTCTCATCTTGGACACAGTTTGACAGGAACTTTCAGAAATAAAACCCATATCTGAATACTTAAGTTATAGGCATCCCTAAGTGCTAAGCACTTTAATTTAATACAATGAAAAGTTTTGAAAAGTTTTTTTTTTTTTTTTTTTTTGAGAGGGAGTCTTGCTCTGTCGCCCAGGCTGGAGTGCAGTGGTGCGATCTCGGCTCACTGCAAGCTCCGCCTGCCGGGTTCATGTCATTCTCCTGCTTCAGCCTCCAGAGTAGCTGGGACTACAGGCACCCGCCACCAGGCCCGGCTAATTTTGTTTTCTATTTTTAGTAGAGACGGGGTTTAACCATGTTAGCCAGGATGGTCTCGATCTCCTGACCCCATGATTGAAAGTTTTATGAAAATAAATAATGCCATTTGGGGATTGTGTAGTCACCAGTAAAATACTGAACTATTAATATAAACTACCAAGCTCTTCACAATTTTAAAATACAGGAGTAATAATTATTTACTCAATAAATAGTTATCTAATAGCCTAATATTGCAACTTTGATAGAAAATAAAGAACTTGGCACTTATAAAATTATTCTTACATAAAAATTACTTTTAAAATTACTCATATTAAACACTTTTTCAGCACAAACTTTTGCCTTTATTCTGCCAATCAAATATATTATGCCCACATGTTCTAGGTGTGTTTGGAAGCTATGATCTATAAACATACACTTGTTTTAATAACCGGTTCTGCTTTGATAACAACAGCTGTGAGAAATACTTACCAAAGTATTAACGCAGATCGAGTTGGGAACGCACGCTCCATTTCGACACTCATCAATGTCAGTGCAGACCTAGTGCAGAAAAGTTCAAAGAAAGTTTAGCGAGACATGCTGCTTAAATAGAAATGCAAATAAATCTCCTTTGTTTTGCTATCTTTGTGTGAAGTGAAGATGCGGAATTTCGGGTAGAATGGTAATCTGAGGGTTATTTGTGCCATCTCCCTTGCATTTGTACCAGTTTGTACTTAATCTAATTGCAAATGAGAATTGCTTTCATGGTATTGAAAGTTATTCAGAAAAGACAACTTGTATAATTCATCTGTTCCATCACCTTTTTAGGTTAGGAAAGTTTTATTTTTTTTTTTAATCTTGCTTGGGAATCAATGCAGTTCTCCTAAATGAGGATTCTTAGCTTTTTTCAATTCTGGAACATTCTCAGCTTCCCCCGACTGCTTTCTAGTCTTTCTTTGGAACTACAATTGGATGAATATCGAACTTTCTTGTTAATATCTTCTTTTGACTCCTAACCTCTTGTTTATATGCTCCATGTCGTTATTTCTCTGTGCTGCATTCTAGATGATTTCTTTAGGTTCACCTCCTAGCCCATGAACTCCCTGCTAAGCTGTGTCTAATCTGTTTTGCCCATCTATTAAGTTC
Source organism: Homo sapiens (assembly GCF_000001405.40). Taxonomy (NCBI): domain Eukaryota; kingdom Metazoa; phylum Chordata; class Mammalia; order Primates; family Hominidae; genus Homo; species Homo sapiens. The sequence goes on along the minus strand of NC_000005.10, from coordinate 80,064,823 downwards.
AACGATTTTCCATTGATAAAAGTTTTATTTGTCTGTTTTACAAACTTATCTGTTTTTCTCACATTGCCCTATATTTTTTTGTTGTTGTTGTTGAGACAGGGTCTTGCTCTGTCGCTCAGGCTGGAGTGCAGTGGCACAATCACAGCTCACGGCAGCCTCGACCTCCCAGACTCAGGTGATCCTCCCACCTCAACCTCCCAAGGTTGCTGGGACCACAGGCATGCACCATCACACCCGGCTAATTTTTTTGTGTGTATTTTTTGTAGGGATGGGATTTTGCCATGTTGCCCAGTTGGGGCATTGCCCTATTCTTTAAGTATGGTATTTATTTCTTTACCTTTTTATATTTACTTTGCATTTATCATGTTTCCTCATGGGAGTTTCTTTATATAAACTGCCATTTTTGTTTATAAGCATATCTTCAGTAGCCCAAATTTTGCCTGTGGGCATTCCATTGGCCCTGAATTTTGGCATGTCTTTACAGAGTGGTGTGCCTTTGACTTGAGTCAGAGCCCTGGGGATTTCACTTCTTCATGGCTGGTTATTATTTTAATTTTTTGGCTTGTGTTTCTGCATTATATGTATAACAGATTTGGAACTCATAACTGTATGTGGTACAAGTGTGGTGCTTTGATTTGCTGTAGGCAATTTTCATTTTTGTCAACCATGTATTAAAGCTAAAGAGCTTCTTTGTTGTTTCTTAGGGCTACTAAAGGTTTCCTGTCTCCTTGTAATTGATAAGGTGGTTCTCTGAGGGTCCTGGACTTATGCAGGGGTGTTAGGCCTTTCCAAAGTTCCCAGACTACATTGCTGCATCCACTCCACACAGGTGGTAAAAGCCAGGTCCCTGTTACTAAGACCTGGACCCAACTCCCACCTCCCAGGATCTGCTGTGGCATCAGCTCTAGTCACAGTTCTGGCTTTGAGTTTTCTCTTTGTTTCTGGACACTGCGCCATTTCCTTTTATTTTCTTTGACTTTGGAATGCAGTAACATTTGCTGTTAAATTTAGCAAGGTGGCTCCCTTCCACTTCAGTTCTGTCTGCCTTGTTACTGGAAATCTATTGAGAAGTGCTCCTTACTACCTTACACCAAGTACCTTATGTTTCCTTGGTTTGTTCTTAGAGATTTTGTCTTTAGAGGACTCTTAACAGCTTCTTATCATTCCTATATGTCTAGCTGGCCTCCCTTTTCTAGTCTAAAAAATCATGCCCTCCAAGGACTTCATGATTAAAACACCTAAAGCAATGGCAACAAAAGCCAAAATTGACAAATGGGATCTAATTAAACTCAAGAGCTTCTGCACAGCAAAAGAAACTACCATCAGAGTGAACAGGCAACCTACAGAATGGGAGAACATTTTTACAATCTATCCATCTGACAAAGGGCTAATATCCAGAATCTACAAAGAACTTAACTTAAACAAATTTATAGGAAAAAAATCAAACAACCCCATCAAAAAGTGGGCAAAGGATATGAACAGACACTTCTCAAGACAGTTATGCAGCCAACAGACACATGAAAAAATGCTCACCATTACTGGCCATCAGAGAAATGCAAATCAAAACCACAATGAGATGCCTTCTCACACCAGTTAGAATGGCGATCATTAAAAAGTCAGGAAACAATAGGTGCTGAAGAGAATGTGGAGAAATAGGAACACTTTTACACTGTTGGTGGGACTGTAAACTAGTTCAGCCATTGTGGAAGACAGTGTGGCGATTCCTCAAGGATCTAGAACTAGAAATACGATTTGACCCAGCCATCCCATTACTGGGCATATACCCAAAGGCTTATAAATCATGCTGCTATAAAGACACATGGACACGTATATTTATTGTGGCACTATTCACAATAGCAAAGACTTGGAACCAACCCAAATGTCCATCAATGATAGACTGGATTAAGAAAATGTGGCACATATACACCATGGAATATTATGCAGCCATAAAAAAGGATGAGTTCATGTCCTTTGTAGGGACATGGATGAAGCTAGAAACCATCATTCTGAGCAAACTATCGCAAGGATAGAAAACCAAACACCGCATGTTCTCACTCTTAGTTGGGAATTGAACAATGAGAACACTTGGACACAGGGTGGGGAATGTCACACACCAGGGCCTGTCATGGGGTAGGGGGAGGGGGGAAGGATAGCATTAGGAGATATACCTAATGTAAATGACAAGTTAACAGGTGCAGCACACCAGTATGGCACATGTATACATATGTAACAAACCTGCACGTTGTGCATATGTACCCTAGAACTTAAAGTATAACAATAACTTAAAAAAATCATGCCCTCTAGAACCCTTTGATAGGCAGCTAGGAAATAATAAACCCCTGCCCTTCTTCAAAGCTAATAATTTCCCTAAGGTAGTAAAATATATTTATAGAACAACCATTTTTAAGGGCTAAAAACATCAAAAAGAATTTCACAGTCAGTCAGTTAAATAATGACCAGAATATAGTAGAGCATTGGGAAATAAATGGAGACTGTCAAGAAGTACTCAAGTGCTTTATGGCAATTTATAGCTTACATAAGAAAAAGGGGAGGTTGCCTTGGGGGATTATTTCTACTCTTAAAATCCCCTCATCTCTGAAACAGCTTCGATTGGCAACAATGACTCTACAAAAGTGACCTAATTTTTCAAAGCTTTTGTCTCCGTGGTTCTCAACTTATTCTGCAGGACAAAATGCTCAACAGCTATCAACAAAATAAGACTGAAATTATGCCAATAGCCATATTACCCCATTTACTGTTTTTCTAGTGATACTCTATTATCCCCTCTTAAAAGCTTCCTCCCTTCTAGATTTTATAAATGTAAATACTCAGAAATGGTTGAAAAACTTCCTAATTTGCTCATTTTGCACCATGACATTCCACATGGCCTTGACTGCTCATGGAGGTAAAGGTTTATACCAAAGAGGTGGGAACCAACCACAGTTGTTTTGTTAAGATGAGAAATGAATAGAAACCATGACTTCAGCCTACCTGCTTGTTTGACTTGGCAAAACTGATCCCAACACCCTGCACCATGGGCCCTGTGAAGCCCACTGGGCAGGCGTCACATCTGAAGCCAGGAGACAAATTTATGCAGTGCACGCCCGGGTAGCAGGGATGGTATTTGCACTGGAGACAAAAAAGTTCAAAGTCTTTAGCCACACCGAGAAAACACTCTCAAACTTTTCTTCATCTATTTGCACATACTTGTTTAGTCATTTAACTATCTTTTGGTGGAAAAAATAATAAAAGGAAATAAAGGCTTCCAACTCCAGTTACCCACTGAATCCCTGACCACACAATCTGAGGTTGCTTTTTAGTAGGCTTTGCTGTGCTGTAGAATAATGGCACATGCATGTTGAAAGGGTCCTTGATATTAACCAGCCTACCTCTCAATGTAATAAGCTCCCTGATATTCTGACATGGAATTTGCAAATCTCTGTGAAAGGACTATGTCCCTGGACCACTTAGCTGGCTGTTAGATGCCTCCAAAAGCATCAGCAAACCAACTACTCAATCAGAAAGACCTCGAGAAGGCAAAGCCAGGGCCGGTGCCTCTTCATTACCATGTAATCCCTCAGGGCCTGTGCCTGCCTCCATGTCCTGTCAAGTCCATGCTATTCCAAGGCTCTAGGAATCTTGGAGATTGTTTTTTGTTTTTTTTAAACCACTTCAACTAATGTAAAAAACATGACCACTTCCTGCCCTTTCAGAAAGAGGAAAATTCTACCTCACAGATAAAAACCAGATGCAGTTCAGTGAAATGTATGCAGTTGTTTCTCCAATTGAGGGATTACTAGAGACCGTCTTAATTGCTTACTACTAGCGAAGGTAATCAGCTGAGTGTTACTAACATTACCATGGGCCTGCAGGAGCCCCAGGGAGTCAGTGTGCCTAAGTTATGTACCTGCATCTCTCCCCTGCGCTTCTCCTTTCAGCCTTCCTTGGGCTGGGTGGGAGGAGAAAGGCACATTGAAGGCACATTTTGGTGGCAGCCTTGCTACCTGCTATGAACATTGCTTTGCAACTGGACTGGTGATTGCCTAACCATGTTTTTTTTTGTTTGTTTTTTTGAGACAGGGTTGTGCCCAGGCTAGAGTGCAGTGGTGCCATCATGGCTCACTGCAGCCTCAACCTCCTGCCTCAGGCAATCCTCCTGCTTCATCTTCCAGAGTAGCTGGGACCACAGGCACATGCCACCATGCCCCAGTAATTATCATATTTTTTGTAGAGATAGGGTTTTGTCTTGTTGCCCGGGCTGGTCTCAAACTCCTGGGCTCATGTGATCCTCCTGCCTCAGCCTCCCAAAGTGTTGAGATTGCAGGCTTCAGCCACTAGGCTGGCCTGCCTAACCAGGGTCTTGAAACAGTCTCTTCTGGGGCTCTGCCAGCCGGTCAAATAGCTGGTATTTGCTGGATGTGCCTCCTCTGGGGCCCTCCCTGGGCACGTTTAGTTACTCATAGGTTACAGGGCCTCCCCCTTGTTGGTGTGAGATTCCCCTCTGCTCCTTTATTTTAGGAAGCCTGAAGAAATCCACGGTGACTCCTGAAATATACCCTTAGAAAAATCCTCCCCTTCCACATTTGCAAAAGTGGGGGAAAAACAAAATTGTAGCACAGACTATTTAAGAGAAATAACCAATGCAAATGTCAGCGTGTAAAGCAGAAACCTCAGCACTGTAGCCAATGGACCAGTAGAAGAGTTGGAAACACAGAGGAAAAATGACAAACGCAGCCATAACCTTGGGTCATGTCTCCTTCCGCCATCCCTTGTCTCAGGGTCTCCAAGCAAGTGGTTTCAATGGAGCCTGGAGGACAGCCCAAGTCAGCCCTTAATCATCAGCTTGGCTTCTTTTTCCAAAAGCTGCAGGGTGAGGAGGATACTTAGGGATCCCCTCCCAGTCTAAGTGAACTTTTACCTCATCAACATCAATACAGGTGATCCCGTTTCCTGTGTAGCCCTCGGGGCAGGGCCCACACTGGAAGCCATCTCTACTGTCGGTACATTGGACACCTCGGAAACATGGGTTGGAGTCACACCGACGAGGTGGGCGTGTTGGCGGTGCAGGGGGAGCCGGGGGCACCACCGTGCTTGGGGTCGGAGACTGAAACTTGAGAGGACCTAGAGAAAAACAATCATCCACAGGCGTATTCACCGCCAGGAAGATATACAGAAGGCAAAACAAAATTTGGTTTCCTATTGAACTTTTCCTCCCTCCCCTCCAACTATGTGGTAGACCTTCAGAAACTGCGGTCAACACAGCCTCACCGCAAGCCCTTCATCAGCCTGCATCATCCAACTCAGGCGAGCCCATTACTAGAAAAGCACTTACCGCAAGCCTGGCATTCAGCTATGGTGTTTCGCAAAAATGATGTTTCCTTAACCTTTAAAAATGAGAAGGGGAAAAAAGGATTGAAAAGGAATGCCTGATATCATCCAGGAATGAAAGAATCCATGTGGAGCTATCTATGTAACACTTTTTTTTTTTTTTTTTTTGAGACAGTCTCAGTCTGTCGCCCAGGCTGGAGTGCAGTGGCACGATCTCAGCTCACTACAACCTCCGCCTCCTGGGTTCCAGCAATTCTCCTGCCTCAGCCTCCTGAGTAGCTGGGATTATAGGCATGCACCACCATGCCTGGCTAATTTTTGTATTTTTAGTAGAGACGGGGTTTCACCATGTTGTTCAGGCTGGTCTCGAGCTCCTCACCTCGTGATCTGCCCACCTCAGCCTCCCAAAGTGCTGGGATTACAGTCATGAGGCACCGCACCTGGCTCTCTGTAACACTTCTTACAGTAGCGTTAGCAGCCCTTGATGGCTCCCGCTCTGCTTAGAGCCATGGTGTGTTCATCACGAGCTTGGACCCCATTTCCAGAGAACTTCCAGCAGAGCCCTGGCGTGCGGGGCTGCGTGGGCCCCCGGAGATCTGGCTCAGAGGCTGCCCCCGTGCCTGGGCAGGCCTGCAGCTCCACTAGCTTGTGGGGAGCTGCTCTAAGAAGACGAGGGCTTTTCTGATGATATGTCCCGCTTGTTACCTGCTGTCTCAGAAGGTCCTTCACCTCTCCCAGGAGTTGGTTTAATTGTGTCATTTGACCCAAGAACTGCCGGTTAAAGTCCCCTGTAGGAACAGCAAAAGGCAAAGAGTTTTCAGCCAGTGATGGTCATTTCTAAGTGACTCAAAACCAAATTATTCCCCAGGAAATCATCCTGACAAGATGATTCAAAAACCCAGAATCTTTGAATTTAATTTGGGGTAATTTCTTTAATTCAGCTAAAAAAAATAATGATAATGATGCCACTGACTAAGTCTAAATTCCATGTGAATCATAAAAATAAAAGCATAATGAAAATATTCTGTGCCCTGGATTTTGTTCAAGAGACTGATTTTCATAGATACGTTTTGTTGGGCTGCTCTGTTGACAGTCCCACTTTTCGGTGATGGGACCCAGCCTATTCAGGGTCTTTGGAGTTTGTGTTGATGAAGGCATGCAAACTGCCCAAGAGCCCACACCTGTGCCTGTGGCAGCCAGTGGCTCACTCTGCTGCAGGAAGCAGTCTTGCAGGCTGGCCACCTGGAACAGTGAGCCTCTCACCACCAGCTTCAGCTCTTCCAAGAAGTCCTGGAAGAAATCACATTCATACCACAGATTGCTGACACTGTTCAAAAGCCAATGTGCTTGCCTACTCACGCAATTTTCATAATCAAGTAGTCCTGTATACTTGGACCCTCTGACATCTTACATAATTTTGTAGGATCACATTTTTTCCTAAAGCCTGCCAGCCCTATCTTTTTGACTAAAGTGAATATGTAAGTAGCCAGTAGCCTAGGAAAATGCTGGCATTGTCACCAAGACAGCTGAGAAAACGAAAGGCTCTTTTCCTACATGGTAAAGGAGTTATTTTGTGGCAGGAGCCTCTTAAGAATTGTCTGTAATTTGTTTATGGAATTTAGATAATAATAAATAAGGTGTTAACCCCAATTTTAAACAGTATTATTTTTTGGTTGTCTTGGCTCAAGGGTCTAGCAAAGCCTCTGACTTCTTTGGGATATGAGAATGAATAAATGATATCTTCTATGATCATTAGGTAGTTGGCATCATATTTTTATATTACGGGTTGATATTATTCATTGTTAGTCAAAAAGTCAATGTCCTTGCCCTTTTATCTTGTGAATGCTGCTTGCAATCACCTTTATTATATCTATATACAACAAAACATTTATGTTAACTGCCAAAGTGAAGTCATCATCCTTATTTTAGAAATGAGCACAGCTAAGGATTTTCAGAGGAATTCTGCTTTTTGATTTAGCTAAGATTTAGGCAACATGTGCTATTTAACACATATTGTATTGGACATCAGACTATAATCTCCGCAGAGTCAGGAAAATGACTGGCTTTGCCCACCATGGTAGCACTAATGCCTAGAATGTGCCCATTTGTTGACTGACTGAATGAGTGAGTAGGTGATTATGAGACTGAGCCACTGTGATCACTACCATGGTCTAAGGAGGTAGAGCTTCTGAGAAAATTCCAGTAAGTACAGTTTCTGATGACTTTGTCAGGGGTGAGTCCTGACTTTTAGAAATTGACTTATTTGGTGGTGAACACTAATTTCTGAAATAAGCAGTGACACAATTTCTGACTGTCATTCTGATTACATGCGCTACTATGGGGATGCAGAAAGAGAGTTTAGCATATCTTTCTATTAATTTTTTTCCATATGTAAATCTACATTAAAAATCTCTCTATATATGACTGAAAAACAAAAATCCCCAAAAACCTCGGATTTTAGCTTTCTTGGAATTTCTGATTAAAAATGCTTCCTGTTGTTCAAGGGCAAAACTTCTAGGATCAGATTCATAGTTTTTATATTACTATCTAAAACTGCACAGCATTCCTACTTGCAATGGAAATTATTGCTTACACCCTGCTTCTCTGTACAAAGGGCTCAGAGTAGCTTGTAACTAAAGCATATATTAATATAATGAATTAACAAATGGAAAGTGAGGATTGAGAGGTAGCAGACAAAAATAATATGGACCATTACAGAAGAACATAGTTACTGATTTGACATTGGCTTATATAGCGGATGAAATTCAGGAACTTTAACCAGTTATACATTATTGGAAAGGACAAAGAATACTAGTTCTTTATAGAAAACAAAGCACTGCCTAGCACAAAATTCTAAAAGAAATGTATGTGGCAATTTCTACAGCAGGTGCAATGACAGAATAATAAAAATACCATCAACCTGGAGTAAAACAGAAGACAGAGGTGATGGTATCTTAAGACCAAATGCAGCTAAGCTAAGCTCCCTTTTGTTAGTGGATGTTCTGACAAGACCTGTGAAAATGCTGTTATGAAAGCTTGGCAGTTTCTAATCATTCTTTTTTATTTTCATTATAGAAAATTGAAAATAGATAATGTCATCACCCTGAGGTAGTTATTTTTACTTTTGCCCTTCCTTTCCAACGTTACAATTGTATCCAGAGTCTCTACTTATCATTGAAAGCACAAGCTCTCAATTTCGGCATCACATTAGAATTGGTATTTTAAAAATATGCTGATGCCCCTAGCATAAAAATATGCTAGGCCCCACCCGACAGATTCGGATTCAGTTTGTCCTAGGGGCAGCCCCCTATCACTTGCTTTTCAAGCTCCGCAGGTGATTCTGATGTGCAAGCGGCATTAGACCCACTGACCTGCAGCAGGAATTTCTCAGCACGCTCCTCTGCACTCCCTAGGCACTGGCAGCTCATTTTTCCACTTCAGAGAATGGTTTGTGGGTTCCTACCTGTGGCTTCCTCTGGAAAGTCCTCAATTCAATGGTCTCAGGTTTCTGGGAGGGGCCAGCAAAGGCCCTGGGGAGATTGTGAACGGAATCCACCTGGATGCAGTCCAGGTAGAGCTCTAGGGAGCCGGCCCCTCGCTGCAAATTGCTCAGCCTCAGGAGGATCCTGTGCCGCCTTCCGTCTGCCAGCTGCAGGTTGTTGAAAACCACCAAATGCACCTTCCCATCGTTCTTCAGGTAACGGAGGATGGCTGGAAGCAAGCACAGGTCAACCAATGGTGTGATAAGTGGCAGAGGGGGAAGTGGAGGGTCAACAAATGGTGTGATAAGTGTCCTGTGCTGAACAGCCTCCTGGTAACAAGACTGGGTTGCTGGACGGAATGTGAGTGAGAAATAACCACAAATATTGATTCACCATCTTCTGTGTGCTAGGCACTGTTTTCAGGCACTGGGAACCAACTCTTCTCCTGAGAATGTTTTGTGTTGATGGAGAAACAGACAATATGTGGCAAATTTGAAAATAAACAATACAATTCTCATATAGTGATAAGTACAATGAGCAAGCAGAACCCAATCTGAAAGCAAAGTAAACTCTATATAAGCGTAGAGCATGAATCCATTCATTCACCAAACACTTGCTGAGCACTACCATGGGGCTGGGGGCTGTCCTTAGGTGCTTTAAATACTTGATTTCTTCCCTTTTTTTTTTTTTTAAAGACAGGATCTCACTCTGTCCCCCAGGCTGCAGTGCAGTGGGACGATCTCAGCTCACTGCAACCTCTGCCTCCTAGGCTCAAGTCATCCTTCTGTCTTAGCCTCCTAAGTAGTTGGGACCACAGGTGTGAGCCACCACACCCAGCTAATTTATATATTTTTTGTAGAGACAGGGTTTTGCCATGTTGCCCAGGCTGGTCTCGAAATCCCGAGCTCAAGCGATCCACCTGCCTCGGCCTCCCAAAGTGCTGGGATTACAGGTGTGAGCCACTGTGCCCAGCCTAAATACTTAATTTCTACTCACTGCAACCAAATGCAATTGGAATAACTATGGACAAGGAAAGTGAGTCTCAGATAAATGAAGGCACTTGCTCAAGGACATAGGAAGTGGCAGGACTAGAATCTGAACCTGAGTGTGATTCATTCCATGACTAAAGCAATGCTAGGCATGCACAGGCCTTAGTCAGCACACATCAAATCGAGTGTAATCTGTCATATCGTCCCTCAGCAACCCATCCCTGAATTTAACAATGCTCAGTTAGATAATAAGAGGTATTGGCTGGGCACAGAGGCTTATGCCTGTAATCCGAGCACTTTGGGAGGCCGAGGTGGGAGAATCGCTTGAGTTCAGGAGTTTGAAATCAACCTAGGCAACATAGTGAGACCTCATCTCTACAAAAAGTAAATTTAAAAAAATTGGCCAGGCTGGGCGCAGTGGCTCACGCCTGTAATCCCAGCACTTTGGGAGGCTGAGGTGGGCAGATCATGAGGTCAGGAGTTCAAGACCAGCCTGACCAATATGGTGAAACCCCGTCTCTAGTAAAAATACAAAAATTAGCCAGGCATGGTGGTGTTCGCCCATAGTCCCAGCTACTCAGGAGGCTGAGGCAGGAGAATTGCTTGAACCTGGGAGGTGGAGGTTGCAGTGAGCCAAGATCACACCACTGCACTCCAGCCTGGGTGACAGAGCAAGACTCCATTTCAAAAAAAAAAAAAAAAAAAAGGCCAGGTGTGGTGGCACATACTTGTAGTCCCAGCTACTTGGGACACTGAGGTGGAGGATTGCTTGAGCCTGGGGGATTGAGGCTGCAGTGAGCCATGATCGAACCACTGCACTCCAGCCTGGGCAAAAGAGCGATCCTGTCTCAAAAAAAAAAAAAAAGAAAAGAAAAGAAAAGGTATCCATGGTTGTAAAAGAAGGACTCCCACCTTATTTTCTGTTTTTGTTTTTGTTTTGTTTTGTTTTGTTTTTCCTATGTGGGTAGCTATTCACATATCTGCTTAAGCCCACATATCTTCTGGTTTTCAGCCTTGTTTTTTTACTCCATTATTGTCCTGAACATAAGAGGCCCTGAGCTAAAATCTGCTCTTGGAAGCTGACCCTTTGTGAGTGGAGCCCATTGGCTAAGGTTTGCTAGAAAGACCAAAGTGATTTCAGCTAGTGTCTAAACACACCTCTAGGTGCATCCACAGGTACCATTCCCAAACCCAGCACTTTGGGAGGCCGAGGTGGGCAGATCACGAGGTCAGGAGTTCAAGACCAGCCTGACCAATAAGGTGAAACCCTGTCTCTACTAAAAATACAAAAATTAGCCAGGCATGGCTAATTTTCACCGGAAACAATCCCAGGAACAAGGTCGGAGGCTAATTGCAAATGTTGCTGGATAAGGGAGGTGGTAAACACATCATTGCAGCTGCAAAGCTCTGGCCAGTCTTCAGCTGTCCCAGGGTGGGAAAGCGTTAAGTAGAACTTAAAGCAGAACTTTTCTGGAGGGTAATTTAGTCACATGCATCAGAACCTTAAACATGTGTAAACCCAACAGCCCAGCATTGCCACTTCTAGGAACTAAAACTGAGGAAATTAAAGAAAAGAAGCACTTCAGCACTGTCCTGGGTTATAGAAAAAAAAAAAAAAGCAGCACCAAGATGTATGGGTGAGAATGTTCATTTCAGAAATACTTATTGTAATCAACACTTGGCACAACATATATGTCCAAAAGGAGAGGGCTGGCTACTTAAATTACAGTATAATTATAAAATGGAATACTATGGAATAGCTGAATATTAAAAACACAAAAAGACATTCCCAGTATTTTGTTAAGTAAAAAAAAAAGGAGGTTATAGGTCAATATGGGTTTAGAAAAAAGTGTGCATGTGTATATATATGTACATATATGTATACATACATACCTAGAAGATTAGAAGAAAATATGTCTACATTAGTATGGTTATTTGCTGGGTGTTTGGATGGTATTTTTTTCTTCCTGCTCATCTTCATTGTTTTAACTTTTCTACAAGAAACAACCATTACTTGTATATAAAAATAATAAAAAGATATATATTACACATATACACCCAGACTGTGCTGCTGTTAATCTGTGTGATCTGTGGCAAGTAACTTGGACCATCTTTCTCCTCAGGTACCTTTTCTGTAGAGTGTAAATGCCAAGATGGTGCCGCCAGAGATGAACTAGCCAAGAATACCTATTTATGTTGCAGTATCGCCAAAGATAATAATCACTATTGTGGAACATGAAGGATATATTTTAAGGCTTTCTCCACATTAGACTTTCTAGGTTCATTTTCCCACCCTTCTGAAATCTGACTCGATTTTCCAGTTGACCACAGTCTGAAGAGAGCCAGTTGGCGTGAGGTTCTGTGACCTACACAGATGGTGGGAGGAGTCAGACGGGAAATCTCTTATGTCGACGTGGTCACCACCACTTGCTTCTTGAGGGAGAAGAATCGGAAAGACCTGGCAAGACAGACTAGCTAGAAGGGCTTTCTGATTCCAGAACAATACTAAGTTTCCTGAAGTAAAGTATTAAATAAATATAAATAAATGGTAAGACGTATATAAATGTGGTATGAAGAGGAAGAAAATAATGGAATGGAGGGAAATAGACACAAATAGAAATTCTAAGGTATTTCTAATCTGGGATAGAACAGAATTCTTCTCCTTTTATTTAATATTAATTGTTGAGAATTCACATGTACCCCTTAAATATGTAAAAAGTATGTATCAATAAAAATAATTTGTATCTGAAAATTTTTTTAATGTTGAGAATTTACAATAGTAACTGCACAGCTGGAAATTAGAACCATATATAGTAACCAAAAGAGGGAGAAATTGAGTCCAAACATATGCACTAACTCAATTTTTAAAAAACTTCTATTACATTACTATTTAGAACAGTTTTGCAAATACCTGTAGTTTTTACAGGCCAAGAAAAATACCACTTGGACCACCAAACTTGAATTAGGTCACACACACACTCACTCACTATCTCCTTATTTCAGTTATGGCCACTACCTCTGTTCTCTACATTAACTGTTTCAGAGCATACACATAGTGGCTTATAACAAAAACTCTTGATTTTTCTTCCTCAAACTAAGATTTCTGTGAAATTCAAAGGAAACATATTTTCTTGGGCATGTTGCCTGCTTTTAACAGGGCTTCACAGGGTATGTGGGCCATGGTTTATTTTCATAACTAAATAGCTGGCTTTAATTTGATGAATAGTACCTAGTGGGATACTTTACATATAGCAGGTGCACACTAAATGTTGTTAATATAAACTTTAAATGAATAATTAAATGATTGTATTTAAAGCTTTTTATATAGAAAATAAAGTTTAGAGAGCAGCAATTCAACATCTAATTCCAGGTAGCAAAACCTCCTATTGTGTTCATACTCTCATTTAAGTGGATTCTGTACTTCTGCCTTGCTTTTTGTTGCAATGTAACACTCAAATGACAAATCCCTCATGCCCCTAGATCTCATGACAATAGCAAAAGAAAACGCAGGGAAGGAAAACCATGGAAACTTCCACCTTCACAATGTCTGTTTGTTAGCAGAAAAATTATCAAGTGCCTTGACATTTCCCATTCTTCACACTTGATCCAATACTCATTTCTCTTATGGCTTCCATTTTTCATTTTCTTTTTTATTGCAAATTCTTTACTTCAGTGCCTCTACACTTATTTTATTATCAGAGCAGTTAGACTACCCAGAGGGCAAGCAGGCTCAGGAAACTCAACGTTTTCACATCAGTCATATGGAGTCTGGAAAAAGCAGAAAGCTCTGGCCCCAGGAGCCTGCAGCCTGTTGGGTGCGAGTTTTCCTCACCTTCTCCAGAGGCAGCATCACTGGGAAGGGGAAGAGAACAGACAGGGTTCCCTTCCTCTTGCCAGCCCCCTTTCCCGGTGCTCATCTTGCCCTATCTTATCCCAACACATCCACACATAGCAGAAGGAACAAAACGCAGGGGAAAACACTACAGCAGGAGGAAGATGACCATTTTGTCCCTCCAGGAAGGAAGAAGAAGCCAGGCCCCTGAGGCTGGAACCATCCCACCTCCCGACTCGACCACACCTCTGCCTGGCCACCACCCTGGAAAGCACTCAGGAAAACAGTCACTGGGTATGAAACTGTCTTTGCCAAATTATAACTCAGGAAATTATGACAGTGAGAGAAATCAGACCTAACCGACTCTATCTGGCTTCTAACACTTAAGCTTTCCTTGTTCATTCCCGGGCACAGGCCGAACTAACTTTGGGAAGGAATTCAGTAGATGCTTTGACTCTGAAGCAAAATTGATAACAGCCCTTTCCCGAAGACCCTCTTCTTGCCTGGGGACCAGTCTGCCTTTGCAGGACTAATAAATTAGCTACAGGATTAGAAATTACAGTTTAGAGGTCATGCAGCCTCTGGCTCCAAGAGTCTGAGCAATCCCCAAATTGCTCCCCAAATACCTCCAAATTGGGGGAACATCACTATTGTAAAGCCTAACATCAGTGCTTGAGATATTTTGCAGACCCTGCACTGGATGTATCAGCTGACACCACCCAGACCAGTAATGTGGCCCAATCATTTCTGCCATCACACCCAGGAACAGAAGACGTTAAGAAAACCTAACTTTGACCCACTATGATTTCATTTCCAGCCTGACCAATCAGCACTCCCCACTTCCCAAGCCCCTACCTGCAAAATTATCTTTAAAAACTCTGATCCCTGAATGCTTGGGGAGACTGATTTGAGTAATAATAAAACTCTGGTCTCCCACACAGCCAGCTCTACGTGAATTACCCTTTCTCCATTGCAATTCCCCTGTCTTGATAAATGGGTTCTGTGTAGGCAGTGGGCAAGGTGAACCCACTGGGCGGTTCCAGGTACAACTCTGTTTCTTCAGCTGCAGCACATTGAGTTCACATCCTTGGTTTTCACTCACCACCAGCTGCACAGGTTTTCTTGGCAATTGCAGCTGGTTATTGTGCAGGGTTAGTACCCAGAATGCAGTGCAGATTGGATTGGAACTGAAGGCTGTCAGTCAGTGGGTGCTCGGATCTCAAACGGTGTCTCTGACTCTGCTCCACCTCTGGGCTGCTCTGTTAGATTCCTGACTCCCCTTCCTACTTTAGGTCTCTTTCTGCACGGACTTTTTGGACTGAGAGATTGAACTTCTTATAGGACTGTTCTGATCGTTATTGCCTCCTCAAAGCAAGCAAGCAAATGAAATCCTTCAATAACTCCCTAGTGGATTCTAAATAATGTTTCAACTCCTTATCCCAGGACTGGCCCTAATCTTCCCACCACCTTAAGTCCCTTCATGCTGCCAAGTCTATATCTTACTGATTTTCCCACATCCCATAGTATCTGAGGGCACCACTACAACTACTTATGGGAAGTGAAAAAAAATAGATAAAATAGAGTGTGTCCACTCTGACTTTTATTACTCACAATTATGTCTTTTTTAAAATGTGGAACACTTTGTTGGTTATATAAATCCTTTCCCTCTAAACTTGGCATCTTTGTGTAATTGACAATTTGGTCAGGAGTTTGAGACCAGCCTGGCCAACATGGTGAAACCCCATCTCTACTAAGGATAACAACAATAACAAAAAAAATTAGGTGGGCGTGGTGGCGCCTGCCTGTAACCCCAGCTACTCAGGATTGCCTGATTTTATGGCACTGTCCAAGAGCTACATTTCCATGCTTGGGACCAGCCGGACACAGGAACCACATAGCCCAGTCTGATTAAATACGATTTCAGTGACTGGCAGGAGATGAAAAAGCAAGCCCAGGCAATGAAGATTTGAAATATTGCTATCTTCAGAAAGAATTTTCAAAAGATGCTTTTTGAAAAGTGGACCTGGTAGTCAAAAATATTATGATATGTTGAATGTCAAAGTTATGAAGCAGGGTGCCAGCTTTAAAGAACTGGAAATGATAATATTTTGTCTGCTTGGGCAAAGGAGTCCAGAGTGGCCTGGCCTGCAGGCAGCAAACTCACAAAGGTAGTCTGGAGCTCTTTGCTTTGTTTGGCAAATGGCTTTGCTCTTTGGCACTTTTAAACATATGATGGAAGCCATCATTGTCAATCTTTCCTCTTCTTTTTAAATAATTGTACATTTAAAAATTGCCTCCTTGACATTAATGTCTCTTGTGATGGATATTCTTGTTTGCCTTTGCTTATTCATCTTCATGCCCTATACACTAGGTCTTTGTAACTTTAGTGCTTTGGAAATACATACAAAAGGTAAATCAGCAAATTGCTTTTTCTGAAAGTACTCTGGGTGACTCCTAGCTGTGATAAATGCAGTCTGTTTCAAAGTTTTCTTATGGCAATTTGAATAAATGTAAAGTATACAGAGTAACACACACACACACACACACACACACACACACATCTATCTAGTGAAAGGAAACACAGCAATTATGCTAAACATCTGCAGAGGACTTTGTGTTTTGAAAAAGTATGAGATTCATCATAGTATGCAACTATCTAGTAGACAACAAAGCAGTGAGTGTGCACAGAAGCCCAAGGTCATGTTACAGGAAAGAGGTGCAAAGCAATTTCTTAAGTGCCTATGAAACTTCTCTAGCCTTGGTACAATGACAAAATATTAGCATTATAAGTCATCCAGCTTAATATCTCACTTCACAAATTCCTTCAATAAAAGTGCAGCCTCTACCAGCACATTTCCAGTAACAAGGAACTCATTACTTTGCAGAGAAGTCCATTTCACTTTTGGATCACTCTCCAAGATTTTCCTAATACAGAGCCAATATCTGTTTCCTCTGTCTTCTACCAATGGATCCTAATTTTACTCTTCAGAGCTAGACAGAGATTTAGTCTGATCTTCATTCCAAATGACATTTTTCAAATATTATTTAAAAATTATTTTTAATTATTTTTATTTTTTTGAAACAAGAGCTTGCCCTGTTGCCCAGGCTGGAGTGCAGTGGCATGATCACGGCTCACTGCTGCCTCAGACTCCTGGGCTCAAGTGATCCTCCTGCCACAGCCTCCTGAGTAGCTGGAACTACAGGCATGTACCAGCGAGCCAGGCTAATTTTTTAAAAAATGTATTTTTGGCTGGGTGCGGTGGCTCATGCCTGTAATCCCAGCACTTTGGGAGGCCGAGGTGGGTGGATCACGTGGTCAGGAGTTTGAGACCAGCCTGGCCAACATGGTGAAACCCCATCTCTACTAAGGATAACGACAACAACAAAAAAAATTAGGCGGGTGTGGTGGCGCCTGCCTGTAACCCCAGCTACTCAGGAGGCTGAGGCAGGAGAATCGCTTGAACCTGGGAGGTGGAAGTTGCAGTGAGCTGAGGACGCGCCATTGCACTCCAGCCTGGGCAACAGGGTGAGACTCTGTCTCAAAAAAAAAAAAAAAAAATTCTTAATTTTTTACCCAGACTGGTCTTGAATGTGTGGGCTCAAGTGATACTCCTGCCTCAGACTCCCAAAGTGCTGGGATTACAGGCATGAGCCACGGCACCTAGCCCTTTTTTCAAATATTGTAAGGCAATTTTCATATTTTTCATGTCTTCTGTCTGGCTTCTTCATTTCTCTAGTTCCTTTAACTTTTCTACTTAAATGTGGTAAAAACAAAAAACAGAAAACAAAAAACAAAAAACAAAACCAAACAAAACAAAAAAACGGGGTCCAGATAGGTGCTCTTTTGGTGACTCTTTTCAAGGTAATCTTTGACTTGACAGTGTCCTTGTGAAATGTGTCCAGGACTAGACACAGTATTAGATGTGGCCTGGACAATTAAGAGTACAGTGGGACTCTTAGCTTCTTTAACCTGGCCATATGTATGCACTAATGAAACCTAAAATGTAAGGAGCTTTTTATAAACAGTTGCATCACAGTATCTGTTCATTCATTCATTCGGCAAATATTTTTGAGTATCCATTATGTGTCAGGCACTATCCTCAACACTGATTAGGATTTGTTGTTGATTAGAGAACTCTTAGGACAGATGTCTCACATCCTGAACTTCTGCAATTTGCTTTTCACTCCTAGTTGATAGCTTTACATTTATTCTTGTTAAATTTCATCTGATTGATTTTGGCCCATTGTATTATCTGGTAGGACTTTGTAAATATGAATGATAGTATCCAACATGTTCAACTGTTTTCTAGCTTTGAATTGCAAACACGATAAAATGCTGTCTTTGCTCAAGTCACTGACATGTTGGACAGTTCAATACCCAAGACAGAGCCCTGTCAAAAACCACTAGATAATTTGCTATACAGTGACTTAGCAACCCCTAGCGGTACTATTACCTAGCTCGTTCTTTTTTATATTATTTAGAAAGGTATAATAAGCGACTTCATCCAATTCTTTTCTGAAGTCAGATACATTATGCTCACAGCATGTTTTTTTAATCTATCAGCTTTGAAACTTTACTGAAAAAAAAAAGTTTGGCATGATTTATTCTTAGTAAATCCACTTTGTCTTAGAAAAAATCCCAGATTTCTTTTCTGGGCAATCCCAAAATACATGAATAATCATATAACCCTCTGGAGCTCTGTCCTAAATTTCAGTAGCCTGTGGTTTTCAGAATCCACCCTTCCCTTCTTTATAAAAATGGAAACATTTGCCTGTCCTGTCTTTTAGGACCTTTCTGTTCTCCATGATTTCTAAATGAACTAACAGTGGCTCCACTATGACTTTCTTCACTAAATATCCCAATGTGTAATTCATCTGCTCCTGAATAGTTAATCTCACTAAAGAGAGTGGGCGTTTTTCTGCTATCTCCTCATCTAGCTTGGATTTTTGTTTTCTTTTAACTGTTCTTGACAATTTGAAGAACACTCCCCTTGATGGGTAAGACAGAAACAAAAGAGCCATCTATGACTTACCTCTATCACCTGTTAATCTCCCATTACCTATTCCAGGAGGTAGGCTTATTTCTTCCATATCTTCCATATCTTATTCTGAACATGGCTAAAAACATCCATTTTATTATCTTATGTGTGAATCACCAACTTTGACTCAATTAGGTTTTAGCTTTTTTGTCCTAATTATTATAGTTTTGTGTCAAATTTTAAAATTCTTTCCATCTTCTGCACATGACCACTTTAAAATTAAGCTAATTCAAGGGCATGTCATAGGAATATTGTGAAAGTTAAAAGGGGAAATAGGCTTTGAGCTTTTAACACAGTCCTGGTACATTAAAAAGACTCCATAGGGCCGGGCATGGTTGCTCACGGCTGTAATCCCAGCACTTTGGGAGGCCGAAGCAGGCAGATCATCTGAGGTCGCGAGTTTGAGATCAGCCTGACCAACATGGAGAAACCCTGTCTCTACTAAAAATACAAAAATTAGCTGGGTCTGGTGGCGCATGCCTATAATCCCAGCTAATTGGGAGGCTGAGGCAGGAGAATCACTTGAACCCGGGAGGCGGAGGTTGCAGTGAGCCAAGATCGCGCCATTGCACTCCAACCTGGGCAACAAGAGCAAAACTCCGTCTCAAAAAAAAAAAAAAAAGACTCCATAAATATTATTATTAATGTTTGAGGCCCCTCATTTTTTCCACTTATTATTGTGTCTATAATTTTATTTTTTAAGCTCTACCATCTCTCTTAATCTATATTTCTCTTTAGCTTGCAAGCTACAGAACCACTACTCTGAACTATTTGACATGTCCTATCCTTAGGCTAAGGAGTTTCACTGACACTCTCTGGTCATTACAGCAAACACTTTGGGTTTCCTTCACTTCACAGCACCAAGTTGTTCTGAGACAATCATACTAAGACTAAAGAAGCAGTTCTTGTGTTTCTTTTTCTGAAAGGTGAAATTGTCATCAAGGCAAGCCAAGAGTTCACCAAACCATCATCATTAGAAAACAGTTGCCTAAATAGTGGAAATCTGTCTCTAATACTGTTTAAGAGTATGAAAATTTTATTAAGCCTCATAGTCTGAAGAAAGTTATTATACCTTATATAATTCAGTTCTTGCAACCAGCCTGTGAGGTAGCTATTATTATCCCCATTTTATAGGCAATCAACAAGGGCTAAGAGAGATTCAGAGATGTATTCATGGTGATGCAGTTTGTGACTCAAACTCAGGATACAAACTGGAAAGTTGTCTTTACGCCAGATACTAGAAGAGCATCAGCCATATCTTCTATCCAGCCAGGTGGTTTCTGCAGGATGCTTATTTCTATCAAGATTTAAAGGCTGTATTACTCATAACCTGGCAGATCACTTCTACCAGAAATACTACCTGTATCCTCTTACATCCTATTCCAAAAGCCCTTCAATATTTATTCATTAAAAAAAAAAATCTTTTTTTGGCTGAGTGTGGTGGCTCAGACCTGTAAGCCCAGCAATTTAGGAGGCCGAGACAGGAGGATCACTTGAGGCCAGGAGTTCGAGACCAGCCTGGCCAATATGGCAAAACCCCATCTCTACTAAAAAAATAGAAAAATTAGCTGGGCGTAGTGGTGCGCACATGTAGTTCCAGCTACTCGGGAGGCTGAGGCAGGAGAGTCAGTCGAACCTAGGAGGCAGAGGCTGCAGTGAGCCGATATCTAGCGACTGCACTCCAGCCTGGGTGACAGAGTAAGACTCTGTCTCATAAATAAATAAATAATTTTTTTTTTATTACCTACTATGTGTCAGATATTGTGGAATCCCAGAATTTCACAATGGTGTATGTCATTTTTCACAAACAAGTCTACTCTTCTCAGCCTCCATTTATTCTTTTCAATCTATCCATGAACTACTTCTATGTACAAGGCACCTTGCTAGGTGCTGCAGCAGATGCAAAGATAAGGGCTGTATAGTCCCTGTCTCAAGAGAGCTCCCAACCAAATGGAGAGAAGACCTAGAAGTAATTCAAGTACAAGGTGAGCTAAGATGAATGTCTTCCTTAAGAGGTACAAAGTCATATTAGAAAGAATATCAGAAGGAGCTGGAGATGGGTCTTGAATGTGTAGGATTTGGGTGTCAAGAGGTGATGCAGGATATGTGTCGAGGGAGCAGACAGCAGGAACAAAAGGATGGAGGAGAGGCAGCATGTGCGGCCCCAAGGAATGGCAATAGCCTATCTTGGTGAAGCTCAGGCTGCATGGAGGCTGGAATGAGGGATAAACTGGAAAGGCTGCTTGGGGCCATGCAGAGTGGAAGCCCCGAATGCCTTGCTGAGACATGGGTACATTATTCAATTTGGAAAGGGGGCCACTAGAGGTCTCAGAGGTCAGATGTATCTTGATCCAAATTATGTTTGTGAACAGTAATGAGGTGGCCTGGGGTAGGCTGACTTGGAGAGGGTGAGAGTAGAAGCAGAGAGCTCAGTGGCAAACTCTTTCTTTGCAGTCTTCATTAGCTACATTTTAATTTGTTTCAGGAGGTCATATGAGGCCCAGATGACCAAATTCTGCTCTTTGATGCTGTGTAGTCACCCTCCTTCATCTCCCAGTCCTGGACTTTAATGGAGGGAAGGGTGTGTTTTATTTCCTACTCAGGTGTTTTAAGTCAGTAGAGATCCACTTGGATTTCTTCTGTTTCACCGTTTTCCACGCAAATCAGCAAAAGAGGAGATCAGCTGAACCTTGGCCAGATGAATGCTGTCTGGAGCCTACCATGTCCAGGTAGATAATTTGTGGAGGGTTGTGGGGAGAATTATGTCAAGTCAGCATGGCCACCACTGAACACTGCAGTGGGGAGTCTCAACCACAGGCTCTGTCTTTTCCTTGGATCTGATGGACCCAGTGACTTCTTTTTATTGTTCCAGTCAGAATGGACTTCTCTTTCCTGAAACTTTTATATTCACCAGTGCTGGCAAATCTTCGTATTTTTTCCGACTGCTCCAGTGAAACAACTTCTCTGTGTCATTCTTCAACTCTTCAAGCTCTAATAACAGCATAAATCCCTCTTTGCCTTATGAGAATTCTCATTTCTAGATTCTTCCAGGACTCCTTCTGCCCCCACAGTTTCTAAGAACAATTTATCTTTCCTAATAGGTTGGAGGGTAGGGAGATGTTCATCTTTCAGTTCTTCATCTCAACCCTTTCATCTTTTCCTCTAATTTTTTTTTTCTTTTGAGACAGAGTCTCGCTCTGTCACCCAGGCTGAAGTGTGGAGTGCAGCGGCACAATCTCAGCTCACTGCAACCTCTGCCTCCTGGGTTCAAGTGATTCTCCTGCCTCAGCCTCCCGAGTAGCTGTGACTATAGGCACATACTGCCATGCCTGGCTAATTTTTGTATTTTTAGTAGAGATGGGGTTTCTCCATGTTGGCCATGCTGTTCTCGAACTCCTGACCTCAGGTGATCTGCCTGCCTCAGCCTCCCAAAGTGCTGGGATTACAGCCCCTAAAATATTTGATCAACTGGTATTTACAGCTGACTCATATTACTGGTGATTCTTCAGAGGAAACATACTAACGATCCCCTTACCCTCTACCTACTGCCCATTAAATCCAGTGTTACTCTTGTCTATACAAACTGAAAGGATCCGTTCAGGGGAAGTTGCTTCCTTGTGTTTCCCAGCAACAGACTTTCCACAATGGGCTCACACATACTGGCCAATTTAGAAATAGAGGGTGAGAGGCAGTGAGGGCAAAAGCTTGGAGCAGTTTTTTACTCTGCAGAGGAACTTCTGGCCATTAAGCTGGATGAACCGAAAGAAAAATCTTTGCAATGCCTCTGAAATAGACAGGTTAGGAGAAGCTGCTGATCCACAGATGAAGAACGGTGATTTTTACGATCACAAACTGAGTAGCTGGGTTGTCAGAAGATGAGCAGTTCCTTCAGCAGATGCTAGGCAAAATGGGGCTGTTTGATTCAAGGCAGAGACATGGGCAGAATCCCCCCTCATTAGGGCTGAAGATGGGGAAAGGGGGACAGGAACGGTTGACCCATCTGCTGGCCATGTCCTCAGACTCACTTTATTATCTGACACCTCCTCAAGGCCCCTGACAGGCTATGAGGCACATACAGAGAAAGCAGACTTGGGAGTAGCGTGGAAGCAGGCAAGAAGCATGTTGGAATCTGACAGAAAAGAAGGGGTTAAAGTCCCATTCATTTATACTTTTAACTTTAGAGTCCTATGAAAGTTAAGAATTAGAAACTTCTTTCATTTCCTAATGCCTGCAGATTTAAGTGTACAATCACAAATATAATCTAAGAGAGAGTTTGAAGCACTAGGAAGTGTCCACTTTGTAAAGCAAACTGAAATAAACATAAAACCCAGCCAGAAGAACCAGCCCTCCTATTTTATTAAATGCATGAAGCAGCAGGAACACGCATCTGTCACATTCCTTAATAAACAGGAACAGGTGTTGTCCCCCGGGGAAGGAGTGGAGGAGAAGGCAATGAAAAATAGTGACCATTTTCTTTGGGACTCACTTCTCAGTGCTTATAGTAACTCACTACGGCAACAAAACAAATGACAGCAGAGGGATCAAACCAGTGACAGGCCTGTGTAAATTGGCACGCACAGGGAGAAAAGAGCCCTATTCATCCTGTTCTACTGGTTGAGGTATATTCTTTCCATCACGGCCAGGTAGGTGCTTAAGGAGTTAGGAGCTAGGTCTACTGAGCACTGGCTTCAAAGGGAACATAAGAATAGTATGGGGTGGCTGTCATGGGCTGAATGTTTGTATCTGTCCCCTTCCTCCCGCCCCATCAAATTCATATACTGAACTCCTAATCTCCAGTGTGATGGTATTTGGAGGTGGGGCTTTTGGGAGATGATTAGGTTTAGATGAGGTCCTGAGGGTGTGGCCCTCATGATGGGAATAGTGACTTTATAAGAAGAGACACAAGAGAGCTTGCTGTCTGTCTTCATCATGTGAGGACACAATAAAAAGATGGCCATCTACAATCCAGGAACTGGGCCCTTACAAGGAGCCAAATCTGCGGGTGGTATGGTTTGGATATGGTATGTCTGTCCCTGTCAAAACTCGTGCTGAAATTTGGTCCCCAATGTGGCGGTGTTGGGAGGTAGGGCCTTGTGGGAGGCATATGAATTATGGGATTGGATCTCTCATGAATGGCTTGGTGCTGTTCTCGAGACAGTGAGTTTCAGCTCTTGTGAAAATGGATTAGTTCTCAAGGGAATGAATTAGTTCTTGAGAGAGTGGGTTATTATAAAGCTACGGTGCCCCTCAGGTTTTCCCCTCTTCCCATGTGTCTGCTCCCTCTTTGACCTTCTCCACCACGTTGTGACACAAGAAAGTCCTTGTCAGAAGCCAGGGCCATGCCCTTGAACTTCCAGCCTGCAGGACTGTGAGCTAAATAAATCTCTTTTCTTTATAAATTACCCAGTCTCCGGTAGTCTTTTATAGCAACACAAAATGGACTGAGATGGCACCATGATCTTAGACTTACCACTGTCTAGAACTGTGAGATGTAAATGTCTATTGTTTAAGCCACAAAGTCTATGGTATTTTGTTATAGCAGCCTGAGCTGCCTAAGATAATGGCTGAATTGTCCCTTGTCCTCTCTGTTCCAGAACTGGATTCAGAATAACATCAGGATGAGACAATGTCAAAAAGCATCTTGGTCACAGCAATTCTTTTTTTCTCCCAATGTCACTTTCTTCCTGAACCGCCCCCCACCCCCCCGCCAATATAGGTAAATGTACAGTAAGAAGAATTCAGTATTAAAAACTGAAATGACTAGTGAGTGAGAATATAATTGTACAAGGAAACCATCTCAAAGACAGTATACCCCTAATCCTGGAATAGAAAAAGGAGATTTTTAAGAAAATAATTTCAGCAAATTTGCTTACCTTTGTTTAAGCGTCCCATCACAGTAAATTCAAAATATTTACTGTTGTCAGTTGAAGAGTAAAGACCGAAGATGGTGGCTGAACTTTTAGTCTGCAGCTTGAAGGTGGAAATCACATAGAGATCATTCAGGGCGGGGTCTGTCAGGACTGGCAGCAGAGCGCCTGGGTTTAGCCTCTGACTGGAAGATGGGAGAAGGTCAAAGACTGGGAAGAAGGGAGAAGAAGGGGTATAAGTGAAAGATTCAATTTTGGGGAAAACAGGGTTTCTTTGTTTGGGGGGGGTGCAATTTGACAGTAAGCTACAAAGTAATGTAAACTAATCTTGTAATCCCTTTTCCGTATTGCCAAACTCACCAGTTCTTCCCTGTCACTTTTATAGTGGCTGGACATTTGAGCCAGAAGAAATACAGCACAATATTCATCACTGGGTGTAGCCCTCAAGAGAGAGGACTGAATTTGCAAACACATAATTGGGTTTGGCTGAACAAGTAGCTCTGAAAATGCCCACCAGGAAAAGCACTAAAGGCTTAAAGTACAAGGGGGACTGGTGAAAGCATCCAAGCCATTGCTTTACTGATGTCCCCAAGCAGTGAATTTCTGTCACGGAGTCCCATAGGCACCTCCAGGACCAGAGCCAATTGTGTTTTCCTGGTCAGTGACAAATGACAGGAAATGCAGCAGAAAACATGGCTATGGTGGTAGATGTGCTGGTAGAAAGTGATTTGCCACCTTTGTGAGACCTAAGTGTTCCCTTTGTGCCTTTACAATTCTCCAACATTTCTCTGTTTAAAAAAATCCCAATGTGGAAACAAAACAAAACAAAATGATGTGGTTTCTGTCTCTTGACTGATAGAATTGCTCTACAAAAATCAGAATCTGCATTTGTATTTGTATAAGTTGCTTTTGATCAAGCAAGCAGTACTTTCTCTCACAAACTTTGTAATATTTATGAAAGCTATGAGAGAGTATGCCCAGAGTCATTTAAAAGGCAAAGGCCAAATTTGGGTAATACTCAGTGGAAGTTATTTAGTATATCTATTAGCAGACGCAAATATCATTTGAACAATTCCATAGGCTGCAGAAACTTCAGCACCTACAGCTGTCTCTTGGATATAATAATCTGGTTATTAAATGGGTAATATTGACAATTGATAAAGAGTTCTTACAAATCAATAAAATGATAAGCATCTTAATAGAAAAATGGGCAAGGAATATGAAAAGGCAATTTACATAAAAAGAATTACAATGACCATTAAGTATATAAATAAATGTTCATGTATTTACCTAATGATGCAGGAGTTGCTAACTTAAACAATAACGTATTGTTTTCACCATCGAATTGGAAAATTAGTAAATACAACAGTACTCAACTGTTTGTGAGGGTTCAGGGAAATGGGCACTCTCTGTACCACTGTGTAACATTTAAACTAGTATAAACATTTTGAAGACAGTTTAAACAACAGTATCAAAGGCCCTAAAACATATGTGCTCCTTGATCTAGCAATTCTGCTTATGGGAATTTATCCTAGGGAAATAATGGATAACATGGTAAATGATTTAGGTACAAGAATATTAGACACTAGTGGTAATTCTAGAATTTCTATTTAGGAAAGAATTAGGTGAAAATCTAATTGGAAGAGAGGTAAACCTGAGCTCTGTTGGCATAGCATTTTGCTATGAAAACATTAACTGTCCTTAGCAAAAAAAAAGAGAAGGGCTTGGCTGAGATTGAGGGGATGGTTAAACTCATCCCAAACCATCCTGTGACACCTGCACTTGTTCAATAAATTAATATTTACAATATCAAAACCGAAAACAACTTAAGGGTTCTATATTACAACCCTGGCTAAATACATTTTGATTCTTCCAAAAAGCAGAATACTACCTATTTTTAAAATGTAGCTGAATACTTACAGATGTGAAAAGATGTTCATGATACATTAAGAAAAAAGGATTCTAAAACTATATGTATAACGTAATTCCATTTGAAATATATTTTTGCATAGAAAAATATTTGAAATGAAAGACAATACAACAACATGTTAATGTTAATAGAAGCTATCCCCGGGTTGCATAAATATAAGTTTTAAATTTCCTCTTTTCTTTTTATTTTATTTTTTGCTTATCTAACTTTAATCTTTTCTACAATGGGCAGGTATTGCTTTTGTAATAAGAATGAATAAAAGTTCTAAAGCAAACAGGCAAAAACCTAGTTACTCAAGAATATTTACCCCTTTTAAAAGACAATTTGTCTTCAAACTGGATCTATACTGTATTTTTCACATGTACCAGGGGTCCTTACACAATAATGAAATTAACATGAGATGTGTTGGAAAGCAGAACATTTACTGTGCTCCTCTTAGTGCCTATATCCCTAAACCATAAACACTGTTGCCTACTGCATTTCAAAAGGGAAATTGGATTTTTTAATTTTCAAGAGAATTGGAAACTTTACATTTCCACTAATGAGGGCAAAGGGAAATAAGGCAATATGTTTTAAAGTTCCATTCAGGACAAAACATCTTCAGAAAAGAGATATGTATTTAAAGTATGGGAACTACATTCAAAACAAAATTCTTAGTACTCTTGATTCTTCCTTTGACTATGATCAGGTTCATGATGTAACTCAAGCTAAACTTGCGGTATTTCAATCTATGGTTCGTCTGATTCATTTGCATCTCTCTCAAGCGGCAGAGATGGGATTAGTTAGTAATGAACATAGAGAGTGTTTTGAAAAGGAAATGAGACACTACCATTTTCTATTAATGTTATTACGTTTAAGTGCCAGGATCAAAGCACAACCCTCTACTGTTAGAGGTGAAATTACTGCTACCAATGAGCGCAGCTACCATGGTATGTAAATTGAATATATACTAATTTAAGACCAACAATGAAGCTCAGGGGAAGAAGGAGATAATCAAATTATCCTGTTAAGCCTGATAATTGCAGACTAGATAATGCAATAAAAGAATCTATCAGAAACTTAACTTAATCAGATCATCTACAGCAACTAAATTACCCAGATAATTTAGGTTGTATAGGCCGAGTTCAAATCTCCATAAAATGGTCAGGTATGTCTGAGACATACCTAAGGCACACCATAAAGCTGTATGTTCAAAAGTCAAGAACGTATATAACACAAAAAAATTATACCTATAAATTTGAACTTGCCAAATATCATCACAATAAGACTTTTGAAGTGTTTAAAAGCTTCCTTTTTTACCTTCCTAGAAGTATGGGGCACGGACTACAGCATTTCAAATACTTCAACACAAACTAAAAGTTAGCAGTACTCTAACCCCTGAAACCACAGTTCTGGTTGTCTGGTCTGGAATGAAAATGAGTTATTTGGCGAAATGCAGTTTAAATGGGTGATTCCAGCAGCGAGAGGCAGGGAAGTTGAGAACGCCCTCATAGGCAGTCTTTGCTCTGGCTACAAGAGGAAAAACAACTTTTACTTCAAGTTGTGCGTCTCTTCCAGTTTTACTTCCACAGTCAGTAATAAATCAACCCAGGCACCAAGTTCAAACAGATGAAGCTCACGCCTGACCAGTTAGGGCCAGTTATAGCCCTAAGATCTTTCTTTGCTTAAATCATGTCTTCCTTTTGGTCTTTACAAAAAATTCTGTTTAACTGCTTTCTACCCAATGGCTATTTCACCCCATTTCACCAAGGGGTTTGAGGATTGTCCAAGTATCTTTTCACATTATTTGTTGAATTTTTACCGTTTCATAGAAAAAGATCAATTTCTTTCTTTTTTCTTTTTAAATTATAGATTCAGAGGGTACATGTGCAAGTTTGTTACATGGGTGCATTGCATAAGGTGGGATTTGAGCTTCTAGTGAACACATCACCCAGTGAACGTAGTACCCAATTGGTAGTTTTCCCAACCTTCCCCCCTACTTTTGGAGTCCCCAGTGTCTACTGTTTCCATCTTTATGTCCATATCTATCCACTGCTTAGCTCCCGCTTGTGAGAACATGGTATTTGCTTTTCTGTTCCTGCCTTAATCCACTTAGGAAAATGGCCTCCAGCTGCATCCATCTTGCTGCAAAGAACTGATTTCATTGAAAAAGACCAGTTTCTCAGCCCTTCCTATTTACCTCAGAAATTAAGACATCAAGCCAATCCTTGAAATAAACTTTCTTTTTGTCGTTCAAGCAAAGTCAGAGCAGAAAATGCAGGTGGCAGGGCAAGTAGAGTAATTCTGCGTCTTTCTCAGGGATGTCAAGAGCAGACTCTGGGCATACATCGCTCCGCCTGAGGAAGGATTTAGGGAGCAAGGCTGCCTGGAGGGAACCGGCACAGGGTGCAGGACCCGGAATTCACCCTACACCAGAGCCTAACATGTTAAGAGGTCTAGGACCGTGTAGCAAGTTTTGAAGGCAACCCCACCCCACATCTTTGCATAGTCTGAAACAATTTTGCATCCCCCAACTATTTAGGCAATTGTTCTCATCATTGGATAATCGAATTTCGGAAAATTCTAGACTAATCACTACCTCCAATCACAATATGCTTTGATTGGGCCCGGGAGGGACAGAGAGGGGCTGAGCAAGGCCACAGGAGCACAGGGCCGAGCAAGTCCCTCCACTCACTCAGCAGATGGGGCACCCGGTGCCCGGCGCTCCCAGGCCCGACCCGAACCCACTTACCCTGGGGGGTGGCCTGGGCGCCTGCCGCTAGCCACCGCTGCAGGACCAGGTGCAGCAGGAGGACGGCGGCTCCGCGCGGGGCCAGCATGTTGGCTCTTCCTGCTCCCCGCGAGGCCGGGGGCGACGGCGGCGTTGGCCCCGCCTGGGGGTCCCCGGGCCGTGCGTTGAACCTCGGTCGGCGCCCGGGCCGGCGCCGCAGGTGACCCGTGCTCGGCGTCCGGGCTGCCGTCGGGGGCGCGCTCGCGTCCCCGCCGTGCGGTGCTGGGGAGCTGGCTGCTGGGCTCCGCGGCAGCGGCCGGGCGCTTTATGGTGCGGCCGGGCGGGGGAGGGCCGGGGCGGGGGCGGCCCCCTTGGCGGGATCCCCTGTCCTGGGAAGAGCTGGGCAGCTGGAGCAGCGAGCCGGGGCCGCAGGGAGAAAGGCGCGGGTGTGAGGATGGGAAGGAGCCTGGACGGACCAGGTCCTGGGGTGGGTGTAGACACGGCCCCGACGCGCGAGGGTAGGGGCGAAGATGGGCAGTCGGGGCTGGAGAGAAAGGGGTGCTGAGCAGAGACCACAGGGGAGAAAGGAGCGGGAGGAAAGGGGCGAAAGGGAGGAAGAAAGTGACACTGACCCACTAGCTTTGGGCACCTTCAGTCCCCTACTCCTTGCGCTCCTTTTGTTTTCTAAAAAGAAGAATATCCTTTGGATCGGCTTTGAATGCCCACCTTGGGTTCCCTTGCGAATGAATCCTGAAGTTCTCCAGGAACGCTCTGCCTCCTAAAGTGGCCCAGAGAGCAGCGAGTTTCTTTTATTTCTTCAAGCTTTTCTTGAATACTTGAAAGGCTGAATTTTTTTCTCTATCATTTTGAGACACAGTGAAAGTTTGAAAGTTGTTGTGTTTTTAATGGAGATAAAACACATCTCAAGGAATCCATCCAGACAGAGCCATTTCTAGGCTGGTGAATCTGTGCTTTATGGATAATTCGTTTTCAGTATGGTTTCCAAACGCCCTGCTTGCCCACCTCTATTCCTCTGTCACCAAAGATTCCGTGTGACAGTTTAAAGGTACGGGAGTAGAACTTGAAAGAGATCGGAGGAACGCAAGTAATTCGTCCTTTTCCTGGGCAAAGCTCCCGGAATGATATGGATTAACTAGAGGAAAAAATATTTGATAAACAGTGGCAAAAATTTCTCCTCTGTAACAATCTCGACTAATGGAGAACATCCAGCAAAGTATTGCTATCTCTTTTATGTCTCAAATAATTCCATTTCAAAGTTTAATAAGCCACAAACTGGGAGATTAATGCACCATTTTATCCCCAAACTGTGCTAAAATAACCTGACACCAATTATCACTCAATTTACAGCTAGCGACTTGGAGATTTGTGAGCTATCTGCAGAGCTCTCTAATATGTAAGGTCCAATACAGGTCTATCCAGGGTTCCTTTAATGCCACATTACACTACAGTCACTCTTTGGAATGGGGCATATGTCTACACATGAGAGAACACTGAGAGACACAGAGGATGTGCATAAATATCGACTAATGAGATAAACTAGATTTGGGAACATTCAAATCTCCAGACCATGTTCCCAGGAGTGGCCTGGGTTTGAGAGGAATCTAGGCTCCCAAGCTACGCTTCAAGCAGAACAGCCTTGCCTTTCTATGTTTTTACAGTAGACTTCAGAGATTAAGATTTTCTGTGAAGACAATATTTGGATGCTCAAAATTTTGAAAGCCACTATTCAGTGGTTCTCAGCTGATTGGGTATACCAGAATCTCCTGGGGAATTTAAAAAACAGTGATTAGGTGCCTACAGGGAACAAATGAAACCAAACATCAAAAGCAGCAATATGCTATATCACACCATAGACTACTCTGATACATAAAATAGGGTTACTCCTTAAATGAGTCACCAAGCAAGCCTAGTGGATGCCTGTGAGAGTTCTTGTGTAGTGTGCCACCAGACACTGCCTGTTTCCTCTCAGATCTGGTGCTCACCTTCCACTGCATGCTTGTCAGCAGTCTAGATAAAATGGGAGACTAGAGAGCAATAAGAAGGTAGAAGGTAGACACTAGAGTATTTACTTCTCTGTGACCTGAATGGATGCATCTTCTTTGTGACTCTTGCAGGTGGGGTCCACCATGATTCTAGCTTCTGCCTTCTCACCATTTGCACCCTCCAGCCATGACATTGGAGGTCACTTACTGCAGTTGCTAAAATGTGGATTGCCTCACTCTTCTGTTTGACATCTCAGTTCTTCTACTATATATGTAATCATTTCCCTGTATTAAATTTCTTCTATTTAAAATACCTAGAGTATTTGCTAGGAATCTCCATGGTGAGGACAATGCACCACGTGCTGCTGGAGGTAGATGTGTTGGAGGGCACCCTGCAGTGCCCAGAGTCTGGACGTGTGTTCCCCATCAGCCGCAGGATCCCCAACATGCTGCTGAATGATGAGGAAACAGAGTTGATCATGCCAGGTGCCAGTTTTTCTTTTTATGACCGTGTGTATTTTTGTTGATGTTACCCTGTTTCTGAATTCTGCCATGTGTGTCCCCAACCCTTGACCCAATGACACACCAGACGCACGGTGTTCTTGAGCACAATAGTATTTTTTCTCATTAAAGATTCAAAACCAAAACAAACAAACAACAAAAAAACTAGGAATTTTCGATCCTAGCAAATTCCCAGCAAAATAGCTTGCACATCATGATGGTTAATGTTGAGTGTCAACTTGACTGGATTGAAGGATGTAAAGTATGGCTCCTGTGTGTGTCTGTGAGGGTGCTGCCAAAGGAGATTAACACCTGAGTCAGTGGACTGGGAAAGGCGGACCCACCCTCAATCTGGGTAGGCACCATCTAATCAGCTGCCAGCATGGCTAGAATAAAGCAGGCAGGAGAAGACGGAAGAGCAGACTTGCTGCGTCTTCTGGCCTTGATCTTTTTCTGTGCTGGATGCTTCCTGCCCGCAAACATTAGACTCCAAGTTCTTCAGCTTTTGGACTCTTGGACCTACATTAGTGATTTGCCAGGGGCTGTTGGGCCTTCAGCCACAGACTAAAGGTTGCACTGTCAGCTTCCCTACTTGAGGTGTTGGGACTCAGTCTGGCTTCCTTGCTCCTCAGCTTGCAGACGGCCTATTGTGGGACTTCATCTTGTGATCGTGCGTCAATACTCCTTAATAAACTCCCCTTCCTATCTATCCTGTTAGTTCTGTCCCTCTAGAGAACTCTGACTAATACACACATATAGGCACACAATAAATTTTGGTTGACTACTAAGTGTAACGGAAAAACAAAAGAATCAAATGACTTTCTGTTAGCCTAACAGAATTTACAATCTGGTTTTGCTTTTAGAGGGCTTGCATTTTTATGCAGCCATTCGCTAGGGAGTCTCAGTAAACTTTATGTCCTCAGGTCTACAGTAAATTTGATTATAATAAAATTAATTTAATTAGCTATGAAATATATGATAAAGGAGACAAAAGAGTTTATTTTCATTTCCATGCCACTTCTTATTAAAATATCTATTCATGTACTTACATTGGATTTTATTTCATTTATTTTAATAATGTATTAATTTGTTTGATTTTTTTTCCAGTATCCAACTGTGAGCTCCTTAGGATTATCTCATTTAGTTTTGTAACTCTAATTCCAAGTACAGTACCTAACATTTAGTAGTAAATATATCATTGAATTGACTTTCCTTCTCTTAATACTGTAATCTAGGATAAGAGTTGTGACATATTAGTAATCCATTAATAGGTGCAGTAGGTTACAAAAATGGCCCCAATTCTTTGCTCTTCTGTGTACACATCTTTTATTTTTCTGTGTACACATCTCATGGCTTGGCCACGTAACATGCTTGGCCAACAGGATTTTGGCAAAAGTGCCACAAGCAGAGGCTTAAAAAGTGCTTGTGTTATTGGGCTGGTTTACTCCTGCACCTTTGCCTTTGCCATGATAGCATGCCTGTGCTGGCCTACTGGAGGATGAGAGACATAGAGCAGGGTATAGCCCACCCCTGGCAAAGCCAGCCAAGATCAAGCTGACAGATGAATGAGTTCAGGCAAGATCAGCAGAGCTGTTTAGTTGACTCCAGATGTGTGAGCAGGACACATTTATTTTTGTATACCATTGAGGTTTGGGGGTTGTTTGTTATGTAACAATATTGTAGCAATAGAGAACTGATATACTACATTTTATTTCTTTTCTAATTGTTGTAATACAGAGTATGACTTAATTTTTGATGTTTGACTGCAGACAGTTCTCAAGCCCCACCACTTCCCTTCCTCTCTGCCCCACATCTGAGCAAACTGATAAGAATGCCTAGGTGCTCCTTCCTTGGCACTAGCACAAAGTTCCAACAGTAAGCCCTAGCCCATGTACAGGAACCCTCACCACAGCCCCACTCCTAACCACAATAAGAATCCCAAAGCCATTCTCCTTTCTTGTTCTCTCTAGTTTTCAGACCAGCTTGGAAGCCCATCTTACTCTCCCCCAAAAAAACGTATTATGTGAGCAATAAACCTTTCAAACCCCTTTGCTGCATGTGTGATGGCATTATTGATTTTGATATCCAAACCCAATTTTGAGAGTGGGGATCTATCCTGCTCCTGTGCGGTGACTATAGCACCATTCTTCGCAAGTGGGGGAAATCACCCATACTGTGCACTGATATTTGGCACAACTAAGTAGAAGTTTTATACATATGTGTTAATTGATATAGGTATAATAAAAAAGTTACCATTATTTATGTCAGGTTTTCCACTTGAATTTTTGAAGGAAACAGAAATGGATATAATTATTAACATTAAAAGATGGATAAAGGGGCCAGGCATGGAGGCTCATGCCTATAATCTCAGCACTTAGGATGCCAAGGTGGGAGAATCACTTGAGCCAGGAGCTGGAGACCAACCTGGGCAACATAGTGAGACCTCATCTCTATAAAAATAAAAATTAAAAAATCAGGCCAGGCGCAGTAGCTCACACCTATAATCTCAGCACTTTGGGAGGCCGAGGCCGGTGGATCACAAGGTCAGGAGTTCGAGACCAGCCTGGCCAACATGGTGAAACCCCGTCTCTACTAAAAATACAAACAATTAGCCAGGCATGGTGGTGGGCACCTGTAATCCTAGCTACTCAGGAGGCTGAGGCAGGAGAATCGCTTGAACCCGGGAGGTGGAGGTTGCAGTGAGCCGAGATTGCACCACTGCACTCCAGCCCAGGCAACAGTGTGAGACTCTGTCTCAAAAAAAAAAATTAAAAAATTAGTTAGCCATGGTGGTGCCCACCTGTGGCCCCAGGAACTTGGGAGGCTGGGGTGACAGAATTGCTTGGGCCCAGGAGGTTGAGACTGCAGTGAAAGCCATGATCATGCCACTGCATTCCAGCCTGGGCCACGGAGCAAGACCCTGTCCAAAAAAATAAAAATAATAAAAAAAAAAGATGTTTACATTCTACCGTGTGATGACATTTATACTCTAGCACTGGGAAAGGCAGACTTTGGACTCCTATTTAGTTTACTATTAATAATAAAGGAAGGTGCTTAAGTGACAGGAAAAAAGCTATTCCAAAAACTACTTAGCACAGATAAGGTCTCTGTAAATGAAGCTGGAGTCTTTTGATTAGTGTGCAATTCAAAGTAGAATTTCCTATTATTTTTTTTTGAGATGGAGTCTCGCTGTCGCCCAGGCTGGAGTGCAGCAGCGCGATCTCGGCTTACTGCAACCTCCGCCTCCCGGGTTCACGCCATTCTCCTATCTCAGCCTCCCGAGTAGCTGGGACTAAAGGTGCCCACCACCATGCCCGGCTAATTTTTTTTTTTTTTTTTGTATTTTTAGTAGAGACGGGGTTTCACCATGTTAGCCAGGATGGTCTCAATCTCCTGACCTCACGATCAGCCCGCCTCGGCCTCCCAAAGTGCTGGGATTACAGGCGTGAGCCACCGCGCCTGGCCCAAAGTAGAATTTCCTCCCCAGAATTTAGAAGATATTTTGCTTTAGCAATTAGGCACTGACGATTAGTAAAGCAAGAAAAGAGGTGTGAAAAATCAGTCATTTTCAATCTAAGGGTCTCTATAAAAAAATTATCATTAACCTCTTTAATATATTTTACTAAATAAAGTGTAAAATCCTTAGAAAAATAGCCAGAAATCAATTGTGAGGACATGTTACAATTAATAATTATGTATACATTTAATAATTATGTATATACCAAACTTGAAGTCCAGAGAGAGTTTATAACAACTAGGATCTCTTAAAGTAATTGCTTGCCTTCATTAAACAACACATTTATCCATCCATATGGTGGTTCCTGCAATGTCTAATGATAACAATGATTATCGTGCCAGGAATATCCCTTACTGAGTGCCAGGTGTCTAGATGTATTTGCTAAGAAAATATGATGTGGAGTGTAATGAATTAATATGGCATAAAACAAACTTGCAAAATACACGAAAATTACATGAATTTGGATCCTGCCTCAGCCTCCCAAGTAGCTGGGAATTTTGGATAGTTTGATTTTATTTGGGCTGAAGTTCATCTATGGGGAAAAAATGGTTTGCAAGCAAATGAATAGTATTACTTCATTTCCTGGGGGCATGTTTGTCCTAACTAAAAGAACTGTCACATCGAGGGATTTTAGTAGTTAACTTTCAACAGGAAAATCAGTGCTGCTAATTACAAATTACTTCTAATTAGTTCACTAAAGCTGTAGGTACAGATGAGACTATATAAAAAGAGTGGGTAAAATAAGAAAAAACAGGGAGGGGGGTACAGGAACACTGGGGAACACTAGTATTAAGAGCCTAGTAGAAGGAGAAGCCAGAAATAAATACTTAAGGATGCAAAAGAAAATCTGGAAAGTATGGTTTTGTGGGCCGGGCATGGTAGCTCACGCCTGTAATCCCAGCACTTTGGGAGGCCGAGATGGGTGGATCACTTGAGGTCAGGAGTTTGAGACCAGCCTGGCCAACATGGTGAAACCCCATCTCTATTAAAAATACAAAAATTAGCTGGGCATGGTGGTGGGCGTCTGTAATCCCAGCTACTTGGGAGGCTGAGGCAGGAGAATCGCTTGAACTCGGGAGGTGGAGGTTGCAGTGAGCCGAGATCACACCACTGCATTCCATCCTGGGCGACATATCAAGACTCTGTCTCAAAACAAACAAACCAAAAAAAAAAAGTATGGTGCGGGGGAGGTATAGTGTATAGTATCGACTATTTTGACCTGTGTGGAGAGGTCAGGCCAGATAAGAGCTAAAAACTGTGCTTGGGTTTATCAACTGGGAAGTCACTGGTGACTCTGTTGAAAGCAGTTTGATGGAGTAATGTGGGTGAAAGAAGGGCAGAGTATTGCTATTTGAGGAGTGAGGATGACAGAATAGGAAGTGGAGATGGTAAGGGTAGATAAGTTGGTGGGTTTTTAGAGACAGTGGCGGAGGTGGGGTGGGGTGGGGATGTCTTGCTGTGTTGCCCAGGCTGGTCTGAAACTCCTGGGTTCAAAAGATACTCCTGCCTCAGTCTCCTGTGTAGCTGGGATTGCAGGTGTGCACTACTGTGCCCTGCTAAGGACAGATTAACTTTTAAGAAGTTTGTCTGTAAAGCAGAAAGTATATATAGAGCAGTAACTCTGTGGGAGAGATATGAACGTATTTTGATTTAGGTCGAATAGAGCTGCCAAGGAGG
The DNA here is from genome assembly GCF_000001405.40 of Homo sapiens. Taxonomy (NCBI): domain Eukaryota; kingdom Metazoa; phylum Chordata; class Mammalia; order Primates; family Hominidae; genus Homo; species Homo sapiens. Next base: position 80,027,948 of record NC_000005.10, on the reverse strand, counting down.
GAGGAGTTATGGTATTTTAGGTTTTTTCTTCCTTTTTTTTTTTTTTTTTTTTTTGGAGACAGGGTCTCACTCTGTCACCCAGGCTGGAGTGCAGTGGCACGACCTCGGCTCACTGCAGCCTCAACCTCCTGGCCTCAAGTGATCCATCTCAGCCTCCCAAGTAGCTGGGATTACATGTGTCCACTACATGCCTGGCCAATTTTTGTATTTTTTTTTGTCGAAATGGGATTTTGCCATATTGCCTAGGCTGGTCTTGAACTCCTGGGCTCGAGCAGTCCACCTGCCTCCGCCTCCCAAACTGCTGGGATTACAGGTGTGAGCCGCTGTGTCCTGCCTGATATTTTATGTTTTTTTGTAACGGGTTTTTCATTTTATGTGTCACATCACTCCTCTAGCAATGTAAGCTTTGCAAGAATGAAGTCTGTCGGTGTAATAAATGGCAACAAAATTCCCATCTTGGGGATTTATTATTGCCTACAACAGGAAGTCCAGGGGGAGAGAGCTGTGGAGGTGCTTTGGTGAATTAATGATGTTATGCCTGTGGACCAATTCCTGGATTTCCCTCATGGTTGCAAAATGGCTGCTGCAGCTCTAAACACTGTCTCTTTACATGATATCATCTAAAAGTAGGAAACAAGGAGAGGGTGGGGATTCTGCTCTTGTAGCTTTCTTTTTTCCAGTGAGAAAAACCTTTCCTAGAAGCACCCCAACAGACTTCTCTTCAGGTCTTACTGTCCAGGAGTTGGTCACAGACATACCCCTTTGTTTGCCAGGAAGGTGGAAAAGTAACAATCTGTTTTCTTCAGACTATTATAAGAGGTGGACTCTACCAGGAAGAAAGAAGGAGAAGGGAATGGATTATTGCCAATGTCCACATGATTGGCCACAGGTTCTGTGTCTTCCTCTTTGTTAGTGGCTGCTGCAGTGCTGGGTGTTTACAGGTGGGTCTTTGGCAAATAGTTTTATTCTCCAGTGAGGTTTATAGTGCAATAAAACAAATATGTGAGGTAGAGAGGAGAAGTAATGTCCTGGTAAATCAGAATGGGAATGAGAGTGTGGGGAAAAAAATTAAAGTCTTAGGGAAAAGTAAATGGGCAGAAAGAGAGAAAATGACTTCAATTTCAGTGGTTTTAATGAGAAGAATACTCTTAATGTATTAAAAGTTTTAGACCAGGGACTGGCAACTATAGCCTATAGGCTGAATCTGGCCCACTGCTTGTTTTTATAGGATCAGTGAGCTAAGAATAATTTTTATAGTTTTAAATGATTGGAATTTAATATTTGTGATGTGAAAATCATGTGAAATTCAAATTTCAAGGCTCATAATTAAAGTTTTATTGGAATACAGCAATGCTGTGTCCATTTTTGTGGCACAATGGCACAGTTGAGTAGTTGTAACAGAGCCCATGTGGCCTGCGAAGGGCTCAGATATTTACTCTCTGGTCCTTTACAGAAAAGGTTACTGACCCCTGTTCTAGATCATGCCTTTTCTGGCAATCCTTGTCCATTAATATTAGACTCAATTATTAAGCAGAAGAAAACACAGAAGGAAGGAGAAGGAAATATTAGTGGGCTTCTTTTCTTGCTGGTAGTCCCTTCCCTACTTTCTTATTGACTACTCAGATCTAGGAGTCGAGGCACACAGGGCATTAGAGTTACCAGCTTGCCTCCTAGTACCGCAAACGAAAAAATATTAAATCTGTTGTTCATCTCCTTCTAAGTATAGTGTTTCTTTCCAGTGGTATTAAAATGATCCAGGTTCATATAAATTTCAGGAGAAGTAGGAGGGAATTGGTCACTGACTTGAAAACTGTTTAATGGAAATGTGATTTCATGTATGGATCTAGAAATGTATACTGCAAACATAGTTTATTATTCCATTTGAACGTTAAATTCCATTGGTATGTAGCATGTGCTTTATCATGCATGTCAGTTAAAAATGACTTTCCGACCTATATAATCCTCACAATAGGATTTCCCTGTGGAGTTCTGCCATGCCTCTTCACCAGAAGAGTTTTTGAGTATGGGTATAATTACTAGTGATGTTGATTATTTTGGCTACCACATTTAAAAATTGACTAATGGGAAAGGAAAATAGATGTAACAAATCTAATAAAGTTTACCCAGAAATCCAGGGTGAGTAAATGTAGTAGAGGAATTTGGAATAAGAACAGAGAAGGGGAACGCGTGGAGGACCTCAGAAGGACAGGTGAGAGGCGACAAAGGGTCCCTCAAGGATGAATGAGCTCATCACATCCAGGGGTTTTGAGCACTGATTCCTTTAAAGCACCTATCAGGAAGAGCTCCTCCTGAGTGAGCCCCAAGCCCCATTGATGATTCCTTCTTCTTTCCTTGATGTTCCCCTGACCACTCCCTGCAAAGTAAGAGCTCATTTTCTAGTGCCTTTCCAGTGGGGCCAGGTACTTCATCCACAGCAGCTCCCTAAAGTTGCTTGTGGGGTCATGGGCTTTGGGGCTAGTTCTCTGAGGGCTGCAGTGCCTTGAACACAATCTTTCAACACTGTCTGTGTATCCAATAGTTAAGCAGCTAAAATCAGAGGCCTGCAGACTTGCCCTAGCATACTTTATCAGGGCTTCTTCTGCGAGATTATGACTAGTTTTTCTCATCTTCTTTTGCACACCACAATGTTCTAATACATATGTCCTTGTACTCATATTCATGCATGCATATATATGCATGTTTATTATAAGTAAACATATATCCACACGTCATCTTTTTCTTTTTCTGTGGAAGAGTATGGTAAGTTTTTACTGCCTAGAAACCCACATCATAATAATAACCAACTTTAAATATCTCATTCAGATAGGGAGCTTTGTCTTATATTTGATCTCATCTAATCTTTACAACAATGAGGTGGGACAGATGAGTGCCATAGTTATAATTATAACGCACCAATTTTTTCAGCAGGTACTATAGTTATAATTTCCACTGCACAGATTAGAAAACTGAAGGTCAGGGAGATTGAACAACCTTCCCAAGGAAATGCCAGAAAGTGGACTCGAACTGAGGTCTTCTGACCCTAGACACAGTGTCCTTCTACTTGCCTGCACTGCCTTAGGGAGAGTGAATGTCTAATCAATGCATAAAACTTTGCTTCTGGGGCACACTACGTGAATTGAGGCCATGAGAATGCATTTCTTGTAATTAATTTAACGTACTTCCTTCTTCACATATTATGTGAAGCCAAAAACTCAGTTTTTTAGTATTTGCTTTTTTTCTCTGTATTTTTAGAAAGCCATTGCCAAAATGGTTGTGGTCACCAGCATGCTACATCATGATATAGCTCTGTCCCGTGAAGGAATCATAATGCTATGTATGATCTGGAGAGGCAGCACGGTGGAGCCACACCTGGGTTTGAAACCTGGCCCAGCCACTTACTAGCTGTGTGGCCTTGGGGAAGTCCTTTACGCTCTTGGATGAATAAAGGAGTGGTGTCTTACTTTCCTCACTGGGAAATGGGAACGATAGCTACCTTATGGGTTAAGAACCAGCTCTAGGGTGGTGCGTAACATATCATGGCTCTCAATGAACAGCATTGGGCTTCTGACTTCAGGGACCTGAAACTGATTCCCAGGATGCATGATCTTGAAACATTTCTGAGAGTGGCCGGTAAAAACAAGAAGGGGTAGTGTCCTGGTTAGGAGTGCAACAGCCTTTAATACTGGCTCCATGACTATATGACCTTGGGAAGCCATTTAATGGTTCTGTTCCTTAGAGTGGTCATTCATAAGATGAAGATGCTAATGGGACCTGTTTTCAGGTGAGTGGAAAAGCCAATAGTACTGTTCTTAGTTGGAGGATGAATATAAACACTTAACCCAGTGCCTGGCACATGGTGGTTTCCTTATTATTATCTTTATTTTTGTGGGTGCTATGGTTTGGAGATGGTTTGTCCCACCCAAACTCATGTTGAAATTTGATCCCCTTTGCGGTGGTGTGGGGAGGTGGGCCCTAGTGAGAGGTGTGTGAATCCTGGGGATGGATTCCTCAGGAATAGATTAATGCCCTTCCACAAAGGTGAGCGAGTTCTTACTCTCGTGGGATGGATTAGAATGGGATGGGTTGTGAGAAAGAGCCTGGCTCCTTGGTTTCTCTCTTGCTTCCCCTCCCACCATGTGATCTCTTTGCACACACCAGCTCCCCTTTTGCTTTCCACCAAGAGTTGAAGCAGCTTCAGGCCATCACCACATGTGTGTGGATGCCCAAACTTGAACTTTTCAGCCACCACAATCATAAGCCAAATAGACCTCTCTCTCTTTCTTTTAAAATAAACTACCCAGTCTTGGATATTCTGTTACAGCAACACTAAATAAATTAAGACAGTGGAGTTCAGATGTTTCCATTTGTAATTGAGTTTGTTAATCTATTATCACCCAAAGCTTAAATAAGAGGAAACGGGGAAACTGTAGGTTATTGTTGACAATCTTTGAACAAGTAGAGCATACTCTGTTAGGGAAGGGGCACCTAACCCTCTTGTAAATGGAAGGAAAATACAGCAGGACTTAGAGTAAATTTTAATTGCCCTGACTACAAGTAGAATGAGTGATTTCAGCTGCTTTTGTAACAGAGCAAATACTGAGCTCCAAACTCAGGTGGAGTGTGTGTTACTTTATATAGAGATACGATATATCTCACATGTGTATATGCAGGTACAGCTAGGTATATTGTCCAATGTAGAGATGAGACAAATAGAGTTCAAGGGCTGGTTCAGGCCAAACAAGGTCTCAGGATAAAAATATCCAGCATCTACAACCTGTAATGGACACTCGGGAATAATTATTCCATGATAATCAGGGACTGGGTTTTCATGTGATGTTATAATTCTGAGATTTGTTTTTTGCAGAATCATGTCTGTTTACCTTTTTCTTTATTTTTCTTTAATAAATAATTGAGGCTGGTGTTCTTGCAACTAAGGAAATTGATGATAACCTACTCAGTTATCCAGGGGAAAGGTCTATCCTAAATCTTAAGGGGAGGCTTGAGTAAAGGGGAGTGGACCATCCTCAGGCAGTAGTCTAATCCCGAGGATCCCAAGCCCACTACACTAAAAAGGAAACCATGAATGACATTGGCTTTAGAAACCTGCTTCTTATATAAAAATGTCCTTGCAAATTAAAAAGCATGAAAAAAGAGATGTACTGCACTTGTCAACAGGGCTATTTCCACATTGTTATGAACGTATTTATGACTTTTGAGAAGGTGTTTTCTCATGATCTGGCCTATCTTCATACTTTTTTTTGTACAGAATGTAGAATTCTGAATTCACAATAATTTGAATAAATGAGCTGCACAAATTAGGGAGAAAGATTGGTTTGATAGAGCACCTTTTTGTGTTGAGACAACTATATTTTCAACTGTGTAATTGAAAGGTGAACATGCTGGATTTATGCCTTAGGGCCACAAGCTTTTTTACAGTATTATGGTAAAGAATTTTTTTTTCAAAACTTGCTTGTGGTTGTAACCACTATTTGAATCTCTTGCTTGTGGCTGTAACCACTGTTTGAATCTCTGCAAGAATTGGAAGAAAAGTGATTGCAATTTAACTTCCATTTAAAATGCTGTTGCATTGTTTCTAGTAGTGTAATGTGATGACATACCCTGAATGATCCTCCCAGTGAAAATAACTAAAAACTTGGGGTAGAAATTTTAAAATTAAATGAATTATTGAGCTGGCAAGAAAGCAAGAAACGTATAGAGACCAAATATAAAATGAAAGCCTGAGTCCTGAGAGGGAAAGCGAGTGCCAAAGCTAGATTTTACCCTGAAAGTGCCTGATAAAACCTGGGACCTTAAACTTCTGTTGTATCAGCATAATGGGTTGAAGAGATTAAGAAAAAGACATCCTAGGGTGAAAAGCCCAGTAGGAAACCTTTCATAGAAAACTGAGACATCAGGAGTCGCACCCTCAGTGTAGGGTAGCTTAGACATAAACCCTCCTCCCAAAAGGAGAGAACAAGAAATTTGCCTCTCCCGATTTTGGCTGTGGAGTAGAGGAGAACACCTCTAGGGGAATTCATGTGATTTTCTGGTTTGTTTTTACACTTTCCCACAAAATTTAAAAATTTGTGGAAATTTTGAGCCTACAAAAAAGTTGAATGAAAAGTACAATGAGGCCAAGTGCAGCTGCTCCTGCCTGTAATCCTTGTACTTTAGGAGGCCGAAGGAAGAGTATTCTTTGAGGCCAGGCGTTCAAGACCAGTCAGGGCAACACAGACCCCGTCTCTACAAAATATACAAAACACAGACCCCGTGTCTACAAAAAATACAAAAATCTAAGCTGGATGTAGTGGCGCATGTAGAGGCTGAGATGCAAAGATCCCTTGAGTCTGGGAGTTTGAGGCTATAGTGAGCTACGACTGTACCACGACACTCCAGCCTGGATGACAGAGACCCTGTCTCTAAGAAGCAAAGTACTATGAACAGTGCTCTTAGAGTCACTACTTTATCTCATATGCCTATACATATGTGTGTATGTGTCTGTGTATAGATAATGTTTTTTCACTTATTAACATACTTTTATTAAAATCAACTATTTTTCAAAATGAAAAAATTTAGTGATAAGACTAGCATTGTTTTACCTTTTTGCAAATCTCTTTTATGTCTGACAATGGAAGACAGTTGGATTCTCAAGTCTGCTTCTTCATTTGATGCACTGCTTTGGTTAAAGTATATGAAGAAAAACTAGTTTCACATGGACTTGCAGTTGGAGGGAGAACTTCGTGAACCCCCTGAAATGGTCTCAGGTACCCCCAGGAATCCTCAGACCATATTTCGAGAACCACTGCAACAAAACTGTTTCTCGGTTGAAGATTCTCTATAGCTACCAAATTAGTACTAGAATTGGCAATTCCTTCTGTGGCCCAAAACATTTTAACAAGTTGTGATGAGGTAGTGGTAGTAAAGGAAACTTGAACTCTTGTGTTAATTCAATTTTAGGTGACATCAGTTTTTAAATTGAGTTCATACATTTGCCAGCCAAGATTACATATTACAATTTTTTAAAATTTATTTTTCTAAGCTAAGAAGAGAAAGCAACATGTCATATGCATGCAATGTTTACATTTCTATAGTGGTTTTGCATTTTATAAAGCCTCTTTCTGTGCCCCATGTAATGCCATGTAGTCCTTAGAAGCCTGCATTATAGAGGAGAAAAGCTCAGGGTAGACAGGCAACGTGCCCGAGATTGCCATCAGTAGCCAGCCTATGCAACCAGGACTCAGAGCTGGGTGTGATGACTCTGAATCCCACGTTCTTTCCTCATTCAGCTGCCTGCTGCTATCACACCAGAGGAAGACAGGGCTGACTGCTGTTTTCAGGGTCAGCGATCCACATTCCCCCTTGTACAGTTGGAGTCCTCTGACTAAGCGATGCACTCACAGGACAATCCTGTTCTGGCTCTAATGGACACACATTTCACTTTCTTTTTTTGTTTGTTTGTTTGTTTTTTGTTTTTTGAGATGGAGTCTCGCTCTGTCACCCAGGCTGGAGTGCAGTGATGCGATCTTGGCTCACTGCAACCTTCGCCTCCCGGGTTCATGCCATTCTCCTGCCTCAGCCTCCCGAGTAGTTGGGATTACAGGCTCCTGCCACCACGCCTGGCTAATTTTTTTTGTATTTTTAGCAGAGACGGGGTTTCACCGTCTTAGCCAGGATGGTCTCGATCTCCTGACCTCGTGATCCACCTGTCTCGGCTCCCAAAGTGCTGGGATTACAGGCGTGAGCCACTGCGCCCGGCACATTTCACTTTTAAAAGGTGGCTTTTCAGCCTTGGAAGAGGGGACCCTTCATTTACGTTCACTTTTGTTCACATACACAGGAGACAGCATTCGCTCTAGAATCCAACTGGACTTTATTTGACACAGAATACAATGTGGCTGCGAGAACAGCAAATGGCAAAGACAAAGCAGAAAAGACACAGTTCTATCTAATTTATAATTAAGTGACAGAAGGGCAAGTCATTAAATGAATCACAAAACAGTTAAGCTTGATGGAAGAATTCTTTTTCTGGTGTCCATACTTTGGGAATTCCTATTGTCTGTTGTCCAACAGGCACAGCTGTTGTGTTTTGAGCCAGTGAGAGAGACAGTGAAGTGAAAAGCACGGTTACAGGCTCCCCGTGCAACGGTACACACTTCTGAAGTGGCAGACTCTTGGTTAGCTTGACATTCAATGCAGATCCATGCTGTGATTCCTGCAGATGGCACAGTTATTAACCACAACATCCCAAGCCCAGAGGGCTAGCTACTGCATTTCACTTTTTTACTTCAAAGCACTGCTGTTGGTACTTCTTGGGGTATCCACATCCATTGCCACTGCCATTTTGGACCAGCTTTTTTTGTTTGTCTGTTTGAAAGCCAGTTATAAGCACAGGACACTTTACCCTTCAATACTTCAGCAGCCATCTCCTAGATGAAGGACATCTCTTGTATAATTACAATATCCTTATCTCACCTAAGAAAAGTAATGATAATTCCATAATGCCATTTAATATACAGTTTGCATTCTAATTTTCTTAAGTGACTCCCAAATATCTTTTATGACTTAAAAAAATCCAGAAATCAATGAAGGGCATGCCTTGCATTGGGCTGTTCATCTCTGTAGTTTCTTTTGATTTCTATCTTATAAATTAAGGTGTACGTACATGTGTGTGTGTGTATGACTTTTTTGAAGAATCCAGGCTCTATAGAATGTCCTAGATTCTGTCCTATAGTCTTGATTTGGTCAATTATTTCTCATGATTAGATTCAAGTTAAATATTTTTATCAATGATACTTCATAGTTGATGTTGCTTCTTGTGGTTTTGTAGTTCCAAATTCATGCTACTATAGTTGAGCCAGTGAGAAATGCAGTGGAAGTGGAAAGCATGACAAGAAAAAAAAAAAAAAACAATCACAGAGAGAACTGGTAGTCCTCCCAGGCAATCGAAGTAAAAGAAAATCCTTTCTGAAGGACACCAACTTTAACCAGTTCTCAAAAAATCCTGCAGATAACATTCTAAAGAACATGAACTCCCCTCCCAACACACAAAGACAAAGTATACTAGGCAAAAGGCACACCAAGTAAGAGCCAGAGGAAATAGCAGACAACAACATCACACTTTCACAGACTTGCAGATACTAGAAATATCAGAAGTAAACTATACAATAAATATACTTAATATGCTTTAAGAAATAAAACAGACATTTGAAAATAATGACAAGAAATAAAAAATGTTTAAAAAATAAGTATATTTGGGCTGGGCACGGTGGCTCACACCTGTAATCCTAGCACTTTGGAAGGCCGAGGTGGGCAGATCACCTAAAGTCAGGAGTTTGAGAACAGCCTGGCCAACATGGTGAAACCCCATCTCTACTAAAAGTACAAAAATTAGCCGGGTGTGGTGGCAGGTGCCTCTAATCTCAGCTACTAGGGAGGCTGAGGCAGGAGAATCAATTGAACCCAGGAGGCAGAGGTTGCAGTGAGCCGAGATCATGCCATTGCACTCCAGCCTGGGTGACAAGAGCAAAACTCTGTCTCAAAAAAAAAAAAAAAAAAAAAAGTATATTTGAACTGGAACTTCTGTAAATGGAAATATAATTTAAATTAAAATCAATGTATGAATTAAACAGCAGACTGGACACAAAGAGATAACTAGTGAAGTATAAGATAAATCTAAAGAAATCATATAAAATATAGTACAGAGAAATGAGATTTCAAAATATAATAAGAGAAAAAGAAAGAGTTTTTGAAAAAGTCCATACACCTAATTGGAGCTCTGGAAAAACACAGTAGAAAGAATGGAAAAGAGACAATATTCCAAGGAAAAATGGCTGAGAGTTTTTCAGAATTGCTGAAAGATGATAAGCCAAATCACAAGCAGATAAATACAAATAAAATAATTCCTTGGCACATTAGAGTGGAAGTTCAGAACAACAAGGTCAAAGAGAGGATCTATCTTAAAAGTAGCCAAAGATAACAAATCACCACAAAGGAATAAAAATTAGAGGTACAGCAGTGTTTCCAACAGCATTAATGGAAGCCAGAATATCATTTTCAACGTGTCAAAGAAAAAAAAAGATCAATCCCAAATCCCACGATTAGTAAAAAGATCGTTTAAGAATAAGAGTAAAATAAAAGACATTTAAGACAAACAAAACTGAGTATAGATCCTCACAAAAGAAAATTTCGAAGGATATACTTGAGGCTCACAGAAAATGAATCCAAATTGAAAGTCTGAAATTCAAGAAGAAATGGTGAGCAAAGACATTTATAAATAAATACACTTCAACACTGGCCATATAAAACAATGGTGATGACAATAATAATAGTGTTTAATTTGTAGAATTAAAAAGCAAAATAGAACTAACACACTCAACTAAAACAACAAATAAAGTGGCATGGGAAGCAATTTGATTAGTCTTATAATCCCCTTGTATTTTTCAGAAGCAGGTAAAAAGATTTAAACTTAGATTTTATTAAATATTAAAATATTTGGGTTAACCTCAAATGAATAGACAGAGGATGCATTATTTAAAAATTAGTAGATGGAAGAAATTGAGCAAAGAACAAAATTCCTTAAAAAAACACACATTTTGTTGGGTTGCATGTTGTTAGATTGTATTGTGGTATTGTGTTATCCATATCACTGAGATTTTCTTATCTAAATAAAAAATTTCTTTCAGATTCGAGTGCCAAGAAAAAGCTTTCTTTATTTGGGGAGGTTTTCTTTACGGTATTATTTTGTACCTATTATAATTTCATGTATGCTTTTGCCACCAGGAAGCCCAGCTTGAACATTGGCCTCCATTTTAATAATTATGTAGGAACTAGCATTCTACACATCTTTGTAATTCTAATTCCTCCTCCCATCTTTGTCATCTAACATTTATTTTTATTTTTCTTGATCCTGATTTTTATCTTGTGTTCTTATCATCTGTCTTAAATGCTTTGGAACAACTTAAGTAGGAATAAACCAACATAATTGAATGGATCAATAAATAAATATAAAATGATTAAAGCAAATAGAAGATTGACATCTGGGAAGTGGAAACTCTTTTGCTGTTTTGTTTTTTCATTAGTGTCAGCACAGGGAGTGTGGTATGGGTTAATCTATCCGTTTTGAATCAGTTCATCAAACGTTGGAATTTTAAGCAGTTTGTCTATGCTTGAGGTTTTGGGTAGCTGCGGGCAGTGCAAATCACTAACAGGACAGGCAAAATCTATTATGAAAAGGAGAAACAAAAAATTATCACCTCACATTGCCAATACTTCATTGATCATTTTTTAGGGCTAGCAATACTATAATCCTAAATACAATAATATGTGTATATTATTTGTTCATCATTTATGAAGAACTCAGTTTGGTTTCTCAAACAGAAATTGTCATCAGTAAAGAACCTGCCCTGCTTTCATACAGTGAAACAGTTGAATTTGTTACAAGATTTTGTCTCACTGGATTCATTTTGTGCTAAAAATAATACCATTTCGCAGACCAATCCCACTCAAAAAAATCAGTGGAACACAGAAAAAGAACACAGAAAATAAAAATGAAATAAAATAAAACATGATGACATTTCAACACTACAGTGTAGGTGTTATATGGGAGGAAGGCAACAATGGGGTGACCCCAAGAATTAGGCTATGAAGGGACATAGCCCTTTGCCAGCTGAGCACATATAATCGGTCAAAACAGTATGCAGTCACATCTTCCAGAAAAAAGAAACTTCACTTTAATCTGTCTTGATTAAAGACATCAACACGTTTAAGGCAAGACCATGTCAATCAGAAAGGGAATTGGTGAGTCATTGAGGTTTGGGAATGTGTGACACAGGAAGAGTCAGTGAGGCAAAGTCTGGCAGTAGATGCGTGAATACTGTCCAGGGAAGGGTCTTCCTGGCCCCAAAGACAGCCCTTCTGGTCCAAGAGGCAGACAGAAACACATGGTGGAAATGGATGCATCATGTAATTATAGGCTGACCCCATTAAACATCACCCTTGTTGCTTGCCAAGCAACTTTCTGTTAAATTGGCTTCCGTGCAGTTTGTCTAAGAATGTACTTGCCAGGCTGATGCTAATGCTCACCTCGTAAAAGATACCTTGCCTTTTAATGACAACATTGGCAGTCTGCTTATTATTCTTCAGCTTCTTTCAGGCACTGACAAGAGTTTCTGCATCTCTGAGACTGAAGGCCTGACCCTGGTCCCTGGTGCCTTCATCATGGAAAGGAACACTTGCCTTGGGAGCCAGCATGCCAGTCTTCCCTGCAACAGCTGACCTTCCCCAGGGACCTTCTCCGTGAATGTTGACAACCAGCAATCATTTTACTAATGATGAGGATGATGTTGTTCCAGTGAAACAAAGTATTATAAGGAGGTTTCTTATCAGAGGGAGAAATGTTCCAAAAGGCATAGGGATCGGCACCAGAACATGGACTTATCCTTCCTGTTATACAGCTCACAGGGATACTGGTGATCTCACTGCCCTCAAAGGTGAGACAGGCTTCAGCCCTTGAGGGGGTGTCCTCTTACCTCCCTAAGTACTTGTAGGCCTTTATAGAGGGTCTCCCACCATGACTAGGCCTTGCAAGCCCCACAAGGGCATACTCACCTTGGCAGAACCTGATAGCTGGATCATCTAAGGGAAGCCCATACCTGAGATGCTCAGCCCCTACTTAGCTCTTGCTGCCACCAACTCAGTACTAAAGAAACCAAAACTTTCCCCATCCCCTAACTGGATATTTATTTCAACGCCAAAAGGAAAAGTATGATAGGGTTACACCTTTTTTCCTTGCTTCATCTCTTCTCATCTAAATTTGGAAAATGTTCTAAGGTTGAGTACTGAATGTTAATTATTTTAGAAGATGTAAAGTTTCCATTAAAAGATTTCTTACCAGAATGGTGACATTTCCAAGTTTTTGAGAGTCACCACATTTCAACTGGCAAGGAGTGTTAGCAAGACTTTGGCTTTATCTGAATCTGGTAGTGATGAAATAAAATTATCAAAGAAAAGACGTCAGTTATTGAGTGCTACTCTTTTTCCTCCTTTCTATACACAATAAGGTTTGAAGAAATTAAGTGACAGACTTGGATTAACACCTGGTTCTCCAGACTGCTGGTCCGGTGCTCTTTCCACTTTCTCATTGAAATACAGGGCTGTAAATGAAGCTCTTAGTTTTATGCTTATGGTGACCCCAGGTAATAGAAGTATACTCCATAGTTCCTTGGCTATTTTCCTCACTCTTGTCCAATTCAAAGTCTCTTCTTCACATTCCTCATACCCCAAATGTCTGTACCTTGGGCTATAACCCACACATGGTCATAAATAAATACCTGCAGCTACTCCATGGTATCAGACACTTTCTCCCTCTCTTCCCCCAACTACTGGCTAACACCACATCCTTGGGCTCGAGTACCACTTTTGCTGAGCCTAAGAGATATCTGAACTCCCTAACATCTCAATCAGTCTGAGAATGTTGATGCTTCCAAGGGTCCTGCTGTATCCACAGAACATTATTCTGCTTGTTCCAGAGATCCCACCACATCTGCGAGGGACCACTGTCATGACTGCTGGAATCATCAGTACCTCTGTTGGGAACCAGAGCTGTGTCTACTACATACCATTGGCACATCACCTGAAGACCATGGTCATATCTGTTGGAGGCCACCGTTACATCCATTGAGTATCCTCTGATGCTTTGGACACTGTGAGATTCCAAAGCTGGGCAGCATTTAAAGCAAAGTTTGAGACGTTATCTCTTTCCTGGTTAGGTGGGACATATGTATTGTAGGAAGTGGTGGTGGTGGTATCAAGACAACACTGTGCTGTATCCCAAAGCCTTAAGGAGTTTTTACTGAAACCATTCTTTTCACAATTTACTTACAATCCCACCTCTACATGGGACTCAGTGATGAATAACAGGCAAGCTGGGCAAGGAGACATAGCCAAGAGCTGGGCTCCAAGCTATGTCTGGAATCTCTCCTTCTGGGGTTTTGTTACTGGATCAAGTTGACTTTCTTCTTACCTTATGGTAAACTTCCTTCAAAGACGCTTAGTTATGGGGTATCTACTATTAGAACTGTCATTTATCAGTGCTTACTACGTTTTAGGCCCTATGCCAAGAACGAATTATACATCATTTAATTCTCACAATAGCCTTGTGAAAGTATTATTATATCTCTATTTTACAAACGAGGAGATGAAGTCTTAGAGGGGATACAGACTCTTCCAGGGCCACAAACCTAATAAATGGTAGAGCTGGGGTTTAAACCCAGACCTGTGGAATACTGGAGCCTGCTTTCTCAACCCCATGCTACATGGCCAGGGTGCAAATATACCCTGGGCAGGCTGTCACCTACCCACTATCACACATGCCCAGCTACAGCTAAATCCCAGAGGCAAACATAAATAGGACTCAAAGTGGGGCCCTTCATGGAGATATCACTTTATTCTTAAAATATGACAATGCAGGATCCTGGCTAGACCCCTTTGGGTTTAAGAAATTACACACATTTGGCCAGGCATGGTGGCTCATGCCTGTAATCCCAGCACTTTGGGAGGCTGAGGTAGGCAGATCACCTGAGGTCGGGAGTTCGAGACCAGCCTGACCAACATGGTGAAACCTGTTTCTACTAAAAATAGAAAAATTAGGCAGGCGTAGTGGTGGGCACCTGTAATCCCAGCTACTTGGGAGGCTGAGGCAGGAGAATCACTTGAAAACAGGAGGCAGAGGTTGCAGTGAGCCAAGATTGCGCCATTGCACTCCAGCCTGGGTGACAGAGCGAGACTCTGTGTCAAAAAACAAAACAAAACAAAACAAAAAACAAAAAACAAAACAAAGAAATTACACACTTTTGATGGCGGGAGAGGGCAGAAACTTGCCTTGTTTTGAGGATCCCTTGGCCTTGCCGATATGCAGCTGAGAAGTCTCATGTGTTCCAGCACTGAGTTTCTGGGAGATGATGGGGATGAGGGCACAGGGGAGAGGAGAGAGGATGTCTAGCAGAGTCAAGTGCTGTGCAGGAGAGTCCCAAGACGGGGCCAAGTGGGACCTCGTGTGACAGCCCCAGTCAGTAGGGGTAGAGATTTTCAAACACACTTTAATCTGAAGATAGAATGCCACTACTTAAGTAGAGTGAAATTTCCTGAGTTGTGAATCTGGATCTTAGTTCCAGCATACTTTGCAGATGGGATGAGGCTTTCTTATTAGGTGTATTTCAGGTGTTTGGTGTGGGGACACTCAGATTGTCTCAAGTGATGGACACTGATGGCCAGGAAGCCAAGGCAAAGAGAGCCCAGGAAATCAGAGCCTTGGAGTGGGCCTGTGAGGGGAAAAGTGAGAAGCCCTGAGTCTTGATAAGCTTCTTAGCTTCAACCTCTAGTTGAAATTTGCCTCTGGGGAAGAGACCAAGGACACCTCTAGGAGCTCATCAGCCATTTGAGAAGTCAGACATTTTATGGCCCCTCCTACTCCCTCTGTTTGGGTTTCTAGAGTTTTAATGTGTTTTTCCTGTTGTACACACCACATACCCTCTCCTGTCCACAAGAGGACCACCACATTGGTTGGTTAGATGCCCACACTACCTCATACAGTGTCACTACCAGTCAGAGTTTTATTACCAAGTTTCCTCACAGGCTACTGATAATCTTATGCTCATCCTAGAGGTGGTGGCTGCTTTATGTTAGTTTCCAATCCCTGGTTCAATCAGTGGCAGAGGCTGGTCTGGCTATTTTGTTCAGAAAGAAGGGGAGTGGGCCCTTAAGTATTTCTTGGTCTCCTTCCTTTATTTTTATTTTTACTTTTAAATTTTATTTATTTATTAATTTTTATTTTAGGTTCAGGGGTACACATGGAGGTTTGTTATATAAAGGGAAATTGCATGTCATGGGGGTTTGGTGCACAGAATATTCTGTCATTCAGGTAATAAGCATACTTTGGTCTCCTTCTTTTAAACAGAACATTATTATGTTGAAAATCCAAGCAACACTAACAGAAAGTGATACATTTTAATAGTGCTTTCTTGGGTCAATACAATTACTGTTTGGGTTTCTTTCTTTCTTTTTTTTCTTTTTTTTTAAGAAACAGAATCGTTTCTCAGCATATTTTATCTTTTACCTTAAGTGACTTTTTCTGATATGTAGCAGGTCTTAGGAAGAAAAGCATCTAAATATCAGTTGTCCTTGTGACTTGGGGTTTCAGGTGCAGGTTGGACGTGTGTCCTCAGGAGCCCCTTCCTGCAGAGTTCTGGGGAGTTGTCCCTGGCTCATTCTGAAGCCTACCTAAGTTTGGTGTAGTCCTCACTATTTAAAATATATTACTGGATAAGCAGTTTCTCAGTTGTTCTTATCCCATTTTTAGCTCTCTTTCTGCTTCTGTGTTTGGTGGGTTGCTTTCCTCAATGAAGTGGTTTTTGATCTACAACAGTCAATAAGCTGAACAAATCAAAGAATGATTTTCCTTCCCTCTTGTGATTGCTCCCCAGTATCCCTTCTCCCTTCTTCCTTTTAGTGCTAGCTAGGCATAGGGCCTCCTAGCTAGAGACTGTATTTCCCAGCCTCCGTGGCAACTATGGTGGCTGTTCTAGACATTCTAGATAATGAGGGGTGAATGGAAGTGGTTTACCCTTGTATTAGTCTGTTCTCATGCTGCTGATAAAGACATACATGGGACTGGGTAATTTACAAAAGAAAGACGTTTAATGGACTTGCAGTTCCACGTGGCTGGGGAAGCCTCACAATCTTGGCAGAAGGCAAGGAGAAGCAAGTCACGTCTTACATGGATGGCAGCAGGCAAAGAGAGAAAGTGTGCAGGGAAATTCCCCCTTTTAAAACTGTCAGGTCTCATGAGACTTATTCACTATCACAAGAATAGCATGGGAAAGACCTTCCCCCATGATTCAATTACCTCCCACTGGATTTCTCCCACAACACATGGGAATTCAAGATGAGATTGGGGTGGGGACACAGCCAAACCATATCAATGCTATTTCCAGGTCACATCCTGTCCCAGATGCTCTGCTGTGCTGCCATCTGTCCAACTGCAAGGCTACTGGCTGACAGCTCCCTTTGAGAATTGCCTCAGCTAAGAAAAGTCATCTCATTCAAGGTCACATCCCTTTCCTGGAATGGCTTGCAGCCAATATCTGGTCTCATCCCAGCTCTGAAGGACCAGCTCAGCTTCAACGCCCCGTATCAATTTGGATGAGACCTTGTTGTGACTGTACTGCAGCTTAACTTTTCCATCTTCCCAGTTCTGCTTCCTTCCTTTCCTCCAGTGGGTGATAATTCATGGAGCACCCCATAGTGAACTTCCTGTACACTAATCTCCATCTCAGAGTCTGTTTCCTGGGGGACCCACCCAGCAACACAAATTTAAAAGAAAGCTATTTGCTGGCCTCTCTGCCTACCTTTCTACAGATTGGGACAGAGTGAGGGTAGTGGTGAGTGAGCTTTGACCATGTGGATGAGGAGAATGTCTTAAAGGGTGGGAAGCAACAAGATAGAAAGTACTTGGGTCAAAGTACCTTATTTAGATGGCTTCATGGATCAAACTTTCCACAAACTCTGAACCACTGACCACTGCATACTTCTACCCTGGTAGGTGAGAGAATTATCAACTTTGATCTCATTTGAGCCACTCTATTTTTTTGATCTCTAACTTAGAGCAGCTTAGCATATAACTTGGAGTTGGGGAAAGTGTAGTCTGCTCCAATCAGATAATTTAGGACCTTGTAGACTGCAGTAAGGATTCTGGACTTTGTCTTAAGGGTAATGGGTTTTTGCTGTATTTCTAGGTGTTGTGTATTATGTTTATCCAAGAATGAACTGTAGATCAGAACTGAGTTGCTTTGTCAGTGCAGTGGTCCAATCATGGTTCATTGCAGCCTTCAACTTCTGGGCTCAAGCAATCCTCCTGCTTCAGCCTCTTGAGTAGCTGGGACTACAGGCACATCCAGCTAATTTTTTTTAGGGGGTAGGGTGTGGGTAGAAACAGGGTCTCACTATGTTGCCTGGGCTGGTCTTGAACTCCTGGCTTCAAGCAATCCTCTTGCTTCCTCCTCCCAAAGTGCTGGGATTACAGGCTTGAGCCACCAAGTCTGGCTGCTTTAACATAACTTTTTTTAAAAAACAATATAGCTAGGACACTTGGCCCCTAAATTTAGTGAGAATGATTCAAAAGAATTTTTTTTGCATTATCCTGAGAAAAATACAAAATTGTAGATGTCAATTAATAAAGGCAGAATAAGAAGTTCATGTATTCTCTTTGGAAACTTGTTTGAATCACTGTTTTTTTTTTGAGTTTTTCTTCATTGGAAGTAGATTTGATTTTTCACTCCAATCTGGCAATCACAAAGAATTTGAGTGGAAAACAGGATTATGCTGGAAATTCCTTGGAGGAAGGAATGCTTAGTGACTCTCACTACACAACCGAAGAGCAGTAATTAGAGCCACAAAGACTCTAAACGTTAATTCCTTAAAAACTTCCCCATAATATGTATAACCACATTAGTTTCTTGGTTTAGACAGCAAAATAAATTCATATGTTTTCTTGGGTAAAATAGAAGGAACAACACTTTAGCAAAATTCCCTGTTGAATTATTTTCTGAAAAATCAAACAGTAAACAGTTTTCCTATTCTGATTCTCAATGCATCTCTTGGCAATTTGTTTTTTGGACACACACATATAATTATTCAGCTAGGTGGTCTAGGTTGGAATTTCAGTTATTGCTATCCAAATAAAACACTCCTTTTCCAGAAATCAGCAGACTCTGTACTAACTGTTCTTTCAAAGCCTTGGATGAAGTCTATATTGGGAACCTGAGCCGTGTCATGAGTACTTTCTACTGCCTTTTTCTCTCAAAGCTGCTGGAGCAAACAGAAGCTTCTGTCATAGAGCCTCAGACTGCAAAATAATCCCACGTCTACCAGCTCTCTAGTTCCTCAGCCATTTCCATTGGTGCTTCTCCCATGATATTTTAAAATAAAGGCTACATAAAATATGGCTTTCCTCTTCTTTCTTCAAGATCAGGACAAGTTAGTTTTCTACTAAGATATTAATACATATACTGTACTTATAAATAAGCTTCTTCCCTCAGAACAGGGGTCCTCACCCAGGGATGATTTTGTGACCCCCTCCCCACCAGACATCTGACAATGTCTAGACATTTTTGGTTGTCACAACCAGGGTATGCTACTGGCATCTGGTGGTAGAGGCGAGGGGTGCTGTTAAGCATTGAACAATGTACGAGAGCCCCTCACAACAAAGAATTAACTGCCCCAAAATCAATAGTGCCAATGTTGAGAAACCCTGCCTCTGTGAGATTTGAAATTGTATTGAGGTATTTTCCAAATTAATTGGCTATCATATGTACTTTGGATCTTATTCAGGGGCAGTGTTTGGAAGCAAATTTTGTCCTTTAGATTATAGTTGCCATACTTAACAAATAAAAATGTGGGAAGCCAGTGAGTCGAGATCGTGTCACTGCACTCCAGCCTGGGCGACAGAGTGAGACTCCATCTCAAAACAAAATTAAAAAAAAACAATAATGTGGGAAGCCCGGTTAAGCTTGAAATTTTTACTTATAAGAAAAAATTACCTGTTATTCATATGAAATTCAAATTTAAGTGGGCATCATCTTATATTTTATCTGGCAACTCTGTCTTAGATGGAGACATTTGCCTTAGTTTCTCACTGGTAGACCCACATTTACATCTTAATTTAAACCACTGATTGTAGCTGGAAACTGCTTACTATTTTTCTATGTTAATATAGTACATAAACAAAGTATCTTTCAGAAAGATAGTATTACTATAAACACAGCCTTAAAGTATCATTAGTTTCTTCTTTGAAAATTATACCAATTTGATTTTCATTGACACCGACATGATGTGTTAATAAACTTTTTAATGCTTTTATGCTGTGCTAGAAGTTGTCCACATTTATTCCAGACCTGGGCCCAGTTTGTTGTAAGATCTTACCCCAAATACACAAATCAGGGTCTTTCATTCTCTTTTCTTGTAGGAGCATCTATTGCCTTAATTACTCTCAAAACCAACTAATTACTATTTGAGAAGAATCTGAATAATTGATATTCATAAAATCCAACATGCCATCCACATCAGTAGAAGAAAAGTGACAATAATGCCCCAAACAATGATATTTCAGAGCACTGTGTGTTATGTGCACGAGCCCAGGGCTAGGGGTCACAAGCCCGGCATTTTGGTTGAGGTTCTGCCACTGGCTTATACCTAGTCTCTCAATGATTCTCTGGGCTACAGTTCTATTCACAATTTCCACCCCCGAGGCAGATGGACCCCAAGAAGTACATCACTTGACAGAGTGCGAGCCTTGAGGTAGAACTTGAGTGAGAAACAGGATCTGAGTAGTAGCCACGTTCTGCAGACAGGACACACATGGTGGACGGTAGTGGGGACACCTGCTTCTTAGAGGACTGGCCACGAACACCAGCCACCTAGCTTCATGGGGCAGACGAATTCCAGGAGGCACAGGGATGCCCCTGCACAAAGCACCACTGTGCTGGCTTTGGGCAACACAAAGGCTGCCCTTTGAAGGCCCGCAGACCACAGATAGGCATGGCTGGGACAAGTAGGAGCTGACACAAAATATCAGAGTTGGAAAAAATTACTACCATAAAATTAATTTAGTTCTTTTAACCATGCTATTGTATATGTCTGTGAAATTCATATGAAAAAAATAAACTTAATTACTCCCTGTTAGTATCTAGTCACATTATGGTCAAGTCTGGGTCTGCACGTTTATGGGCTATGGAATTATGAATGAGGATGAACACTCCTAAGCTTTATCCCATTGTTCACTGGGCATCATTGACTCTTCCTTGTCTCTGCTCCTTCTGAGACTGTATCTCCTTGGTCTCATATTCTTGAGTGTAAGCTCCACAAGGGAAGGAATTTTTGTCCACTTTGTTCATTTATGCACCTCAGGCATCTAGAAGAGTGCCTGGCACATAGTTGGTGCTCAATACATGTTTATTAAATGAATGAACAGCATACCCCTTTATTCTTTTTTAAAATTCCTTTTTATTTGTATAAATATATGGGGTATAAGTGTAATTTTGTTACATGCATAGATTGCATATTGGGGAAGTCAGGGCTTTTAGAGTATCCATCACTCAAATAACATACATTGTACCCATTAAGTAATCCTTCATCATCCACCCTGCCCCCTTTATTCTAAACCAGCTCTTGCAATGGCAGTGAGACTCCTTTTTGGGCCATTCCCTCTTCAGACATTTTAACTCCTGTGGGACTGCCAGCAGGGTGATGTTGAGGTCCAGTGTGGAGAAGTGTCCAATCTGACAGTGAGTGGCAAGACAACCAAAGGGAAGAGGCCTAGTTCCAAAAAGAACTAGAGCAGAGGTGTATTAGTCCATTTTCACGCTGCTGATGGGCAATTTACAAAACAAAGAGGTTTAATTGGACTTACAGTTCCACATGGCTGGGGAAGCCTCACAATCATGGCAGAAGGCAAAAAGGAGCAAGTCTCCTCTTACATGGATGGCAGCAGGCAAAGAGAGAATGACGACACAAAAGCGGAAATCCCTGATAAAACTATCAGATCTTGTGAAACTTATTCACTACCATGAGAACAGTACAGGGGAAAGCACCCCCATGATTCTCCTACCAGGTCCCTCCCACAACATGTGGGAATTATGGGAGTACAATTCAAATGAGATTTGGGTGGGGACACAAAGCCAAACCATATCAAGAGGGAAGCTGACCAACCTGGAGGAAGGAAACCTCCATATTTTATAACTATGAGGGTAAAAGAGTTTCCCAATTCCTTTTCTGGAAATCTTTACTTTTCAGGAAAACTATAATACATGCTTTAGTTTAAAAACAATGCCACAGGCCGGGCATGGTGGTTCACGTTTGTAATCCCAGTACTTTGGGAGGCTGAGGAAAGTGGATCACGAGGTCAAGAGATCGAGACCATCCTGGCCAACATGGTGAAACCCCATGTCTACTAAAGATACAAAAATTAGCTGGGCATGATGGCGCACACCTGTAGTCCCAGCTGCTTGGGAGGCTGAGGCAGGAGAATTGCTTGAACCTGAGAGGCAGAGGTTGCAGTGAGCCGAGATCGCGCCACTGCACTCCAGCCTGGGCGACAGAGTGAGACTCCGTCTCAAAAAAAAAAAAAAAAAAAAAATGCCACAAACAAAACATACCGTGTACCGTGTTCCAGGTTATAAACATCTCTAACATATGTCATTTCTCCAGAGTCTCACAGTGCTCTGCCAGCCAGGCAGAAGAGGGATCAGGTTCCCCTTTATACAAAACAGGACACCAAGACTCAGGGAAGTTAAGTGAACTGCTCAGGCCAATACACAGCAGAGCCTGGACCCCAGTTCTCTAGAATTCACATCTAGTGCTCATTCCTCCGTGCACACTCTTTTTACAAAGTTTAAGATGCTTTGTGGTTTGGGTATATTAAAATACATTAGAAGTGAATTAACTTATTCACAAACTTGTCAGGTCTTGTAAACTAAATTTGGAGTACACTTAATTCAGATAACTGCAAATTTGCTAATTAAATTAACCTTTAACTATGCTTATTTGTATTACACACGGAAATAACAAGCGGCTAAACCTTGAGAAATCCATAATCTATTTCTTTTTGCAAATGTATGAAAAGCTGGAGAATATTAGCGTAAAAGGAAGACATCTACAATGTTTTCTGAATTTTCTGTTTAGTAGCATTAAGGCACTAAAATAAACATTAACAAAAGGAGCTAAGAACAATAAGGAAAACCCACCCTGTCCCAAGATATATCAAGGGCAACTTTTCCGTGTGACCTTTGTTTAATTACTGTCATTTTCTGAGCTCTTATTATTATTCTAAATTTTAGTTTTTTGTTTTGTTTTGTTTTTTTTGGCTGGGCGTGGTGGCTCATGCCTATAATCCCAAGACTTTGGGAGGCCAAGGAGGGTGGATCACCTGAAGTCAAAAGTTTGAGACCAGCCTGGGTAACATGGCGAAACCCCCTCTCTACTAAAAATACAAAAATTAGCCGGGTGTGGTGGTGGGTGCCTGTAATCCCAGCTATTCAGGAGGCTGAGGCAGGAGAATCACTTGAACCCGGGAGGCGGAGGTTGCAGTGAGCCAAGATCACGCCACTGCACTCCACCCTGGGTGACAGAGCGTGACTCTGTCTCAAAAAATAAAATAAAAATAAAAAATAAATAAATTGTTTTTTATTCTTTCACTTGCCATGTGTAATTGAAAAGTGAAAGTTACACATGGTAAGTGAAACAATAAAAAACAATTTAAAATTTAGAATAATAAGAGCTAAATAATACGAAAAGTTGTGGCTTTGCTCTAGTGGATAAACACTTCACTAACCTTTTATCTGTTTGCTTGCTTCTAGTCTTTCCTGAATTTCTAAATCAAACCCGTAGGCCACAGTGGCAGGAGACTATAGCAGATGAGAAGCAACAAGGGGCCACCCTAGTGTCCTGCAAAGGTCTGAGTCTGCGGGACCCAGATCTGCATCTCCAGAATGAACACAGAGAGATGTTCCAGGTCACCAACAGATGGGAGCACCTACCTAGAAGGCAGAATCCTGACTTCCCTAGGCCAGTCCAATGTGGTGCTGGTCCCACTCACAGAATCTGAACAATATCATTTACACACATTCATCATCCTTCTAACATGGATAATCTAAAATTTTCCCATTTTCTCCATTTTGCAGGAGAAAACCAAAACCCTAAATCAACCCTGAATGACACCTGAAAAACCTGGCTTCTAGTTTCAGCTCAGTCATGGTGGATGGGGTTCCCTGCGAAAGCTACTGTCAAATGTGGAAACTGAGGAATCTGACTAGGAGATTTTCAGAACCCTTTTGGCTGTAACGCTTAGTTCCCTTTATCTTCATTCACCTCTCTGGCCCTGAATCATGCAGGTCACATTAGCAACATCCCAAGTATGAATGACCCTCCCTACTACTTACTACCAGATCCTCGCTGTGCTCAGCTACACTTTTAATTTTAAAGAAACAGACTTGTAGAAAAATGTTTAAAACCCGGGATACATGAAGAGCTTCTCCAGAACCTCTCAACAAGCGGCTTTTGATGATAAATACCAGATGCTATAGAGGACGATTAACTATGCAGACAACTTGCATGTAAATTATACAGTAACATAAGAAGGGGGTCTTCAGAGATATGGGATTTCATTTTGAATTTGGCGAAGGCATCTGCTTCTGTCCCCAAAGGGGAGTAGTTTAGAGCTGCTTTAGGTTCATTCATACATATATACTCATTGTTTTTGTTCTTTTCTTCTTGAGGGAATTGCAGGTGCTCTTTTTTTCTTTTTTCTACTGGAAGAACTGCTTTATGTTGGCTGGAGCTGTTTTGTGGCTGGGAAGTAGAGATGAGAATACCATGGCAGCTGCTTGAACCATTTGGTGAGAAACAGGTAGAGAGCTACTCAATCAGGGTAAGAATTGATAAGGAAAACAGCATGATGTGACCTCTAACCTAACCCTTCCAAAAGCTCACTAGGTTCAAAACCATTCCTTCCCTTTTTCTCTCTCTCCCTACTTACTTCTCCTCTTCTTCTCATCCTCTGCCCCTCTGATCTCTTTCTTGCGCCCTCTCATTTCCCTAAATATTGCCCGAATCTCCAATTCACTTTTAAAAGTTTATGAAATGTTTGTAGTATTTAGGCATTTATAAAGGTATAAGGAATAACTCCAGAAACATTAGTTCCTACTACTTAAGTTTGCAGTATTCAAACTGCAAATTACTGAAGCCTCTCCTATATCCCTCTCTTAATAATATCGATTCCCCTACCCTTTCTCCATCCCAGGAGTTAACCACAATATTCTACTTGCCACCCACTCACCTGTAACAGATCATAATATGGAATTTTAAGAAAACACACTTGTTCCTTAGTGAAAAATGTATATTCCCTGTTCTGTTAAGAATCAGGGAATTTAGTTAAAATTTTAAAGAGAAAGACAACATGTTTTTGTTTTTTTTTTTTTCAAATGATCTTTCGTTAACATAACAGTTCCTCTACCCACCTCCTGCTGTAAGGGGTATGCACTAATTAAGTTTCCCAGCACCATCAATGCTATTTTGTTCAGAAGTCTTTTTCTGATTCTGTGTAAATTTTAGACTCTTTTATTTTGTTCTTAGGTTTTCCTTTTTTTTTTTTTTTTTCTCCCTTCTGGAGTTTCCTCAGCTGTCCAGTGTTTCTCTACTATCTCCAATTACAGGACTCACCACAATGCCATTTACTGCTTGGACAATTTCTTCTTGAATATGAAATGCTCTCTCTCCCTGCACTCTGCACCAAGTGATTACAGTTGACTTTCTCTGCACCCTTTCTATTTAAAAGATTTGATGAAAAAGCATGAACATCGTTCACATTAGGATAGAGCATGGGGGTCACTGGGAGGGGACTTCCCAGCTTTTCCGAGGCAGCATGACTGTTATACAAGGCAAAGGTCTTTGGTCTCCTGTTTCTTTTTGGGACATGCTAATGGGTTAGGGGCAGGAGAGTCATCCTTAGTGACTGGGTCTCCCCTGACATCCATTGAGGGTATGTCAGTCTCCAATGCTAGGGCTAGGAGAAACCTCTGTTTTCATTAGGCCCAGCAGATGTGTCTTGGTAGAGGTGCCCTTGAGGTAGTGTGGCCTCAGATTCACATCTTTGTCAGGCAGCTACTGAAGGTAGTGGTTAGATACCAAAGAACAAAACGCCTGTTGTAGGGTACCCACCAGTGTAACCCCAGTATTAGATGCTGGTCAGTTTGTCATTTCACTATTAATGATAGTTAACAAAAGCAGACTGCATGGTATGGTATAAAATATGGGACTAGAAAATGTCTAATCATTGGACTCAAAGTTCAAATTGAAAATAGAGATACTACACTGGCTTTTTCCAAATAATGCTTTTATTATCTTCCAAATTAGTATTGTTTTTCTTCTTATAACTTATTTACATCTTTGGTAAATGGTTAATTTGAAGAATGTCTATGAAGTAAATATGGTTTAATGTAAAAATCATGGCTTTGGAGACAAACAGAACTGGGCAAAAATCCTCATGTAATCACTTTTTGAAACAAGATATTTACCCTTGGTGCCTCCAACTCCAAATTCCTTTGTGTGGGTAAATAGGCCTCTGACTGTGCCTGCAGTCTTATTTCTCATCATTATCTACCGCTCACTTTACCCTCCTGAAATGTTGAATTATACGTAGTTCTCAGACCACAATATACTATTGCTCTATTCCATGTTTTTACTTCAGCTGTTTTCTGTCTGGAACACCTCCCCTGGTACACCTCCTCCAGGAGTGCTTCACTGACACTGTTTCATCCCCAAGCCCTCTGCAGATGGGTGAATAATTCCTCTTCTATAACCTCATAACACTTAATTAATCTCCAACAGCACTCACCACACAAGAGTGGACGTTACTGTGTTTATCTCCTCCATGTACGCCATTCAGTAACAAGAGCTACATCTGATTGATCTTGGTATCACTGGTGCCAGCATTTAGTAAACTTAATAAATATTAGTTGGATTGAAAGGGTTATATCTGCAAAACGAGTATAATACTATCCCTTCAGTTATTGTGAGGAAGAATTCAATAAATGCCACTGCCGGTTCTGTTACCCAAACTTCTAAAATATTTCTAAAACACGGCAACAAATATGTAGTACGTGCAAAGAAAAGATATATTGACAGTCACCTCTAGATGTCGTTTTTGTACTCAAAACATTTTCTGGAGAAAAATATGTTCAACGGAGTTGTAATTATATTTGCCAATTTTAAGATATCATCTGGCTTATGAAATCCAAATAAAGAGATGATGCTCATGGATCAGGTGAGAAGTCTTATTGAGAGTCAACTGGTCTAATTTTTGTAAGCTGTTGGTGATGTCCATAGGTACAAGTTATCTCGAAGAATAAATCTAAAACTAAGCTGTTTTAAAAACAGGTCCAAATATATAATGAAGACATCTACATATAAAAAAAATCAGAGAAAGAAAATCTTTTCTTTAAAATAGAGACCCTCTGGGAATGTTTTCTTTGGCCTCAGGAAGCTTCTACCACAATTCCCGCCCGTAACCCTTCCTCCCCTCACCAGTGCACACACATACGCTCTCTTGGAAGCCTCTCTCCTGGATATTTACACTGAGTTACTGTTCCACACTGGAAATACACCTCTCTGGACTTGATTTGCTCACTCTCATCTTATCCTTTTGGTTTTCAGCGCTATGATTAACCTTGAATGAAAGTTGAAGGTCACTTAATTATCCATACCAACAAATGGAGAAAAAGGCATATAAATTATGCTTATTCATGACAGCCTTACTGTCCCATCCCTAGGATGGAAATGAGAGCTGGGAAATGGAAGGCTGTGGTGGCAATAACAGAAGGCATGACATATTAGGAAGCCAAAAGATGGAAATGCCTTGTAGTCAAGGGGCAGCAAAAGGAGGAAGACTCCAGTTACTGGGTAGATGTGGGAGAAGAAAATGCAATGGAAAGAGAGGACACAGACACCTGAGGAAACTACCATAAGGAGGGGTAGACTTTGTGGTCAAAAGCAAAGGGTAACTTTGAGACATTTGAAACTGAAGAAGCAATAAAAGTTCTGTTCTTGTAATAGTTGAATATGTTTTGTGTCCATCAACTATAAGCATCTATTATGTGCCAACTAAATGCTGTGGGGGATATAAGAGTTAGTTCCTGCATTTGAAGTAAAAATGAGTATGCAGCTTTATGCAGGTGTAATCAAATGGTGTAAGTACAGTAATATAAATTAATAATAATTCATAAGTATTTACATACTGAGACATTTTATCAAGAAGTTAATATGCCATTCTCCCATATACCTACTCAGTATACTTCTTGGGTTGATTTTAATGTTGTTGCCTCAGCACCTTGATGAATAGGGGAAGCAAGACAGTTCCAAAAGCTATGAACAATACCCAACTGTAAACACCATTTCAAACTCATTGGACCCTGTTCTTTCCTCTTCCTAACTCACTTCCATTACTCAAAATGTACGCTAATTTCTTTTAGTTTGCTAAGATGGCATTTAAAGCACTGATGTGAGTAATGACTGACATTTCAAGAGGAATTTCCATAAACTGAGGTATCAGACCAGATATATCTCATTTTACACAACTGACATGATTGTGGATTGAGAGAATTTTTATATATGGACTATTTTTAAATGCTAGGAGACTTTGCTGTTTAAAGCGATTTATGTATAAAGCAAAGAATCCTCCAATAATGAATCTTTCCTCAGGCAAATTTTAAAATGGCAGCATTTCACAAGGCAGGATTTATTTGTTCTTCATTATCGATGGCAGCCTATTAATCTGGAAAAGTAATATAACTCCCTATAAACAATACACATAATGACTTAAGTTCTGAAAATAAGATCATTTTATACACTCATTTTTAAACATTTCAGAAAATGGGATCATATCCATAACTTTTTCAATTACTACCATAAAAAAAGGAGGCATGTGAATTTACTATTTTTGCTCCCTAGTAGACTTGGCTAATCCAATGGAGGAAATATGAATAAATACATCTATTTTTTCCTGTTTGGTGTAAACAAATAAAGCTTGATATAATTATTCCTCACAGGGATAGTATAAGAAATGGATAAGCTATAAACTGTTAATGGGTTTAGAATTATAGTAATTCTTATTATGCCATAGCCCTTAATTTTAGTAATATGGCTGTAAGAACTATTGATCCAGCAAATATACATATATTCAAACAAAGCGTTTTAATATATTGCTTTTTTTTCTTAAAGAAAACTTTGAAATGTATCTTTAGCCAAACAGAGAATGCTGGATTGTTTGTAGTTTATATTAAGGATTCCAGTGATTTCCAAGGTTGACTGAATCCCAGGGGTGTAGTGGGGTTACCCAGTCCTAAGATGATTTCCTGGAGAGCATCTTTACTCCCGGCTGTCCATCCTTATTCATTGTTACTGATTCTAGAGAGCCATGTGGCCACTGAACATAGCTCAGCATCACTTCTGGGAAAACATTTAAATGGCATGGTCTTGCTGATGAAAAGATGTCCGAAATACAAAGTTCCATGAAGGCAGATGGTCCACATTTTTAGCTGCCATCTGGTTGAATGCTCTGGATATTTCATGTGCCCATTTTTTGCATCACATGCCATTACATTACCTTTAATTCTTTTTAAAAACATCTAATTTCAATTAAGTATAGACTCACAGGAAGTTGTAAAATAAATGTACAGGGATGTTTCCCCCAATTGTAACATCTACTGTAACTATTGTACGATATTAAAATCATGAAAATGACATTGGTACAAACCACAGAGTTCATTCAGATTTCACCAATTTTGGGTCTGGGTCTACGTCTGTGTTGCTATGTCTCTTTTTCCTTATAAGGTCACCTTTATTAGGCTGTTATCACATTGCTACAAAGGAATACCTGAAACTGGGTAATTTATGAAGAAAAGAGGTTTAATTGACTCACAACTCCACAGGCTCTACAGGAAACATGGCTGAGGGGGTCTCAGAAAACTTACGATCATGGTGGAAGGCGAAGGCAAAGCAGGCACGTCCCACACAGCTGGAGCAGGAGGAAGAGAGAGAAAGGGGAGATGCGACACATGTTCAAACAACCAGGACTCATGAGAACTCATTATTATGAGAACAGTAAGGGTGGAATCCCTCCTTGATCCAATCACCTCCCATTAGGCCCCTCCTCCAACAGTGGGGATTACAATTCGACATGTGATTTGGGCAGGGACACAAATCCAAACCATATCAGTTACCAATCACTGGATTTGCAGTCTATCCTAATCCAGTATGATTGGGTTGTTTTCTTGTTGTAAGTTTTAAGAGTTATTTGTATGTTTTGGACCCAAGTCCTTTAACAGATATATGTTTTGCAAATTTTTTTCTCCCAGTCTGTGGCTTCTTGTCATTCTCTTAATAGGAAATGTTGTATTTTTATTATCAATTGTATATATTTCTTTTCTGTTGACACTTCCTCTCTGACCCACTGATTACGTAGAAGTATGTTAATTTCCAAGTTTTTGGAGATTTTACTGTTATCTTTCTGTTATTGACTTCTAGTTTAATTCCAGCACAGTCAAGTAATATATTCTGCATTATTTCATTAAAAACTTTTGTTGAGGTTTGCTTTATGACTCATAATAGCCTACTTTGGTGAATGTTATATAGGCTCTTAAAAATAATGTATGTTCTGCTGTCACTGGGTGGGGCATTCCATAAATGTCTATTAGATCCTGTTGTTTAATTCATCTATATCTTTGCTTATTTTTTGTCCAGTAGTTCTATCAATTGCTGAGTGTCGGGTATAACTATAGCTTATGTTATAGTTAAAATTATGGATTTGTCTATTTCTTCTTTCACCTCTATCAGTTTTTGCTTCATGTATTTTGAAGCACTGTTGTTTGGTGCACACATTTGGGATTAATATGTTGTCTTGTGGACTGATCCATTTATCATTATGTAATGTCCTTCATATATACACACACACACACACATACACGCATACTACTTTTTTTTTCCTGATCAATGTTTGCATGGTATAACTTTTCCATCCTTTTAGGTTCCATCTACCAATGTCATGTTTGAAGGAAGTTTCTGAGGGACAGCATACATTTAGCTTAGGTTTTTTATCCACTCTGCCAATTTCTGTCTTTTAATTGGTGTATTGAGATCAACTTTACATTTAGAATAAGTCTTGGTATTTTAGGATTTAAGCCTGCCATTTTGTTACCTGTTTTCTGTTTATTCTCAACTTCTCATCTCTCTGACTACCTCCCCACTTCCAACCTATCACTCCCCTGCTGGCCCCTTGCTTTCTTGTGGGTTACTTGGACTTAAAAAAAAAAAAAAAAACTATTTTGATTTATTTAGTATTTTTGAGTATATCACTTGTATAGTTCTCTTAGTGGCTACTCTCAGTATTATAATATACATATTTAACATCACAGTCTATTGGTATATTAGGTTTTACCACTTTGAGTGAAGTATAGAAATAAGGCTTCCGTTATTTCCATTATTTACTTCCATTATAAGGTCCTTATTTCCACCTAGGACCCTTTACAAACCTCATTTTTTAAGTATAATTGTCCTATTTCCTCAACATAAATTCAGCACAATGTCAGATTATAATATTCTCATTTTGGTTTCATTTAATTCTTTTTCATACAAAAGACAGCAGGTTTACTATGCTGGAGGAGCAAAATGAATCCCTATCAGTATATATTACTGCCTGATCACCTTCACATAGCTACCAAATACATGAACTTGGCTTTTTATGCTTCTGGGTAACAAAGTATCTTTAGAGGAAGCCACACAACTGTACAAATTTAGCTAGACGTCAGGATGGCTGAGCCCCCATCATGCTGAAGCTACAGAGTTCATCTTCTTTCAATTCCTGGGGCAACTCCTAGGGTACCATCCCTCTTCTATCATCCTCAGGACCAACTTTTAAGTGGTACTAAAATCCGGATTTCCAAATAAAACTTTTAAAATAATTGGTAAAATATAAATTGATCTTGTTACATTCTGGGGCCAACTTTATTTCCATTTAAAAAAACTGAATGAATATTTAAAGAATATCTGTTTAAAGAGGCACCTAATCATTAGCCTGCCCATGGCTCTCCCTTGATTTATCGCCTTAATACTAATTTACATTTGACCTTTACGACTGTCAGCAATGCTCCCATTTACTTTTTATTAACCCCTGATATAGTCTCTAAATTATTCCGCCTTTTTTTTTGTGTGTATGTGTGACAGAGTCACTCTGTTGCCCAGGCTGGAGTGCAGTGGTACGATCTTAGCTCACTGCAACCTCTGCCACCTGGGTTCAAGCGACTGTCTTGCCTCAGCCTCCTGAGTAGCTGGGATTACAGGTGTGCGCCACCACATCCAGCTAATTTTTTTTTTTTTTTAGTAGAGATTGTGTTTTACCATGTTGGCCAGGCTGGTCTGGAACTCCTGACCTCAAGTGATCCTCAAGTGGTCTGCCTGCCTTGGCCTCCCAAAATTCTGGGATTACAGGTGTGAGCCACTGTGCCCAGCTGTCTTTTTAAAGCCCCAATCTCTTTCTCTCAGGCACTTTTATTTTTTTTCTAATGTAATAGGGAAATTTGAAGGTAACTGATTTATCTACTCAGCATCCCATAGTTCCCCTTGAAACTTCCTCCAGTGTCAGAAAGAGAGCATGTCTCTCATTTTCAATGCCTGCCAGCCCCGCTGCTCAAGCTCCGGATCTCAGCCTCAACTCTTAGGGCAATTTCTAGGATCCCATCCTTCTTCTCTCCAGCATCTTCAGACTTTTACTCATAATAGCCAATTTTGTCCTCATATGTGTGTAGATTCACCATGTCGTCTCTTTCAAAAACTTTGAGTCTTTCAGTCCTGTCCCATTTCTCTTCTTCCTTTATCAGTCATATTCCTCATGCTCTTAGACCTGTCCTTATCGTTTATACCCTTTTCTCCAGTAATCCCTTGCCACTGGATTTCTAACAACCTCCTCTATCAAAAATGCTCAGCGGAAGGGTGCCAAGTGACCTTCCTCCAATAATATTCAGCAGCATTTTCCACCACACTTTTACTTTATTTAATATAGTTTATGGGTTTATAAAATGCTTCTTCTTATAATGTCCATGTAACAATAGCTGTCTACCTCCCATCCTTGACTATGTAAATCCACTAATATTGTATTTGGACTTTTACTTGTCTTTACTTTCTCAAAACTATAAATTCCCATGCCTTCCAATTCTGGTTCTCAAGTTAGTCAACCAATACTCTCCCTGAGCAGTCTCCAGCTTATAACCAAACCCAGCATTCGTTTACTCATCTTCAGATTCCTTGCCATAGTCAGTCCTGTTTCTATGCCTTCACTTATATAGCACAGCCCATATGCAATGCCTTACTCTGTGCCAATCTAAATGCAACGTACCCACCCTTCGAGATCAGCTATCATCTTCTTTCATTAGGCCTTTGCCAAGCATTGCAGTACATTCAAGCCTTTGTCTAAAACCATACTAGACTTGTCTTCTTGACAAAATGGTACTTCCTAATAGTCTCTAGTTAGTTCAAATATGTGGGCCTTGTTTCATCAACTGTGCCTCTAAAAGCTTGAACATAAGTTTTTGCACAATCACGGCTCACTGCAATCTTCTCCTCCTGGGCTCAAGCCATCCTCCCGCCTCAGCCTCCCAAGTAGCTGAGACTATAGGCACACACCATCATGCCCAGCTATAATTTTTGTGTTTCTGTTGAGACAAGGTTTCATCATGTTGTCCAAGCTTGTCTTGAACTCCTGGGTTCAAGTGATCCTCCCTCCCAAAGTGCTAGGATTACAGGCGAACATAAATTTTTATTCCCTGACAGGCTTGCAGTGTGCTAGGCATACAGAAGCTGCTTAATGAATTCGTTTAATGGTGTAATACTAAACAAATATTATTTACATAAATAATAACAATAATATCATGGCATTGATATCTCCACTTTGGGTGAAACTGGGCTTTTTAATGGACTACACAGGAGGCTACATGAGGCAGTATGACACAGTGGTTAAGAGTATAAACTCTGAAGCCAAAACTGCCTGGGTTCAAATCTTGGTTCTACCACCTACTGGCTATATGGGTACTGATATTTTCTTCTATTTTCAAGGAGGGACACAAAGATGTTAGTTAACCTTAGGAAGGTACCTGTGTCATGAAATCATTATGGAGATAAAGCAAGTTATGTTAGATACTTGAAACAACTTCTGGCATGTAGAAATTGCTCCATAAATGTCAGAAATTATTAAATGTTCATTACACATAAAATGATAGCATCTCAGAGATAAAAGAACTTTTGCTTTATAAATGAATGAGCAGAGGTATCAATGTAAAATGATTGGCCCAAGCGCATATGGCTAATCAGAGGCCAAGTCAAGAACTCAGCTCTCCTTTTTTCTATTCAGTGTTTGTTCTTTCCCCTCCTTAAGGATTTTATATCTGAACACAAATTACAGAATCTTCAAGTTCAAAGGGATATTTAAGACTTTACAATTTAATTTTCCCATAAGGGACCATATACTGTACCATCATTTGTCACAAACCTTTCATCTTTCCCAACAGCACCATTTCCCAGATTCTTAATCACCCAGACAAAAAGAGCCTAACAAACCTTGCACTGTGGCTCCCAAGTTAAGAAACACATGAAGGATGGGTATGGATGCCAAGGTCAGGTTGCCTGAGTTCAGATGACTATCACCAGATGAAACCATTCTTAATGATCATCTTTTGAAAAATAAGATTTCTTTTTTGGGGAAAACACTGTCTGGGATACTCATTATAAAGCTGTGATTCAGGCCATCCCACACAAACATGGATGTTTTGCAGACAGTATTCTTCCCGGTAGGAATCTGAAGTTATGATTTAGATGAACTCTGAACAATACTCTAAAACAGCCAGGAAAAGGCACAGGAGCCAACTAACCATACCAGGCATAATTTCTGAAGGCTTCAATTTTCTGTGTGGTTCTCTGGAACAGTATTCAGCCTGTTTGTGCAATCAGCTATGTTAGAGTTTTTTAAATTCAATCTAACAGATACAGACTCTCAAGAGGAACTGCAGCAATAAAAGATTGCTATTATCTATGCACTAATAAACCTGTGTGTAAGGATTCTTTCATCAGATGCAATGACATGCTATTCTGTCTCAATTCAACACTAAGGGAAGAGATTTAATTTCTCTTTAATGCAAATGAAATCACTGTATGTAGTAGCAGCAGTACGGAAGAAGGCCAAACTGAGTAACTGTGTTATGTGTCCACTAAGAATGTTCATTCACTCCTCTCAGTCCTGCTACAAACAAGGCTCAGGAAATCCACATTCTTTCTGTATGATTGTTTTAAATGCCTGAATGTAGTATATGGACCCTCAGCTTTATGGCTTAGGATTTTCTTTCCCCCTGCCTTGCCTTTGTCAGTCTATGGTTTGACATTTCTAACCCTCAAAACAGGGAGGTTCCATTACAATCTGAAAGTTGAATTACTTTACTTTCTTTATACTGAAGACTCAACAGATAGTCTCCACTGATCACACAGAGGATGCACTGTCCCTCCTTTGTGTTTCTGTAGTATTTTGCTTATATTTCTAACCCTACTCGTGATTATCTGACTTGTTACACCTTGGTGTGTGTATATCTCCTTTGTGCACTGTAAACTCCCGAGGACAGAATTCATGTTTTATATATTTCTGTATTGTTCCAGAACCTTATGATGTCTAAGACATAGGAGCTGCTCAATAAATGTTTCGACAGTTTTAATGGTACATATGTTATGCATTTTCCAATTATACAGTTATTA
Source organism: Homo sapiens (assembly GCF_000001405.40). Taxonomy (NCBI): domain Eukaryota; kingdom Metazoa; phylum Chordata; class Mammalia; order Primates; family Hominidae; genus Homo; species Homo sapiens. The sequence goes on along the minus strand of NC_000005.10, from coordinate 79,992,560 downwards.
TTAATGAATTCTCATTTCTGACATATCTCTTTTTCATTTCTTAGAACTCTTGGTTTTGAAACATGTAAAAAAGACTTTAGCAGGCTGGCACTGTAATTTGAATGATTATGTAAACAGTAAGGGAGTGCCTAGCAAATATTTGTTGAATAGTAATTTTACGAAAAGTTGCAGAGGTTTCTTTTGAGTTTTAGTTAAGAAGATCCGACCATCTCAGTGGAATAGAGGAAAGAACTCAGAGGCATGACTGCGAGGGTGTCCCAGAAAGACTACTGTGCCTTCTAGAAAAAAGACCCAGCACCCAAGTTCTAACTCTGAGACCCAGTCATATGTTTGGATCATAGCATTTCCAAGACCAAAATTTCCTCTTTAATAGTTTTTCTGAGAAACTGTCAGGTTTAACGTCAAGAAACATTTAGTCTGTGCTCATTAGGCCCACAGACATGACGAGCTACATGATTTGAGGGGCCCAGTCCAAAATAAAAATGCAGAGCCCCTTGTTCAAAACTTAAGAATTTCAAGACAGTGACGGAAGAGCATCAGCCAAATGAGGAGCCTTTTTAAGCACAGAGCCTTGTGTGGCTGCACAGGTCCCAAACCTATGAAGCTAGCCCTCTTCTGTGAAAGGCAAAAGGTCTGTAGCTAGGGAGAGAAGCTACAATTCAAATATGCACAAGGGGCTACAAGAACCCAGAGCTCCTAACTTTGTAAAAACATCACAGGGAAGGTGAGTTAAGCTCATTTTTGAGGGAGCAGCTGCATAGGGAAGAAAGATATTCCAGATTGAAGGACCAGCACTGAAGGTGGGCACAATTTACCTGACGTTCAGAAATACTGTAACTTTTAAGCAGGGTTGTGCCAGTGAACATGAGGGTGAGAACAGGTTGAGGCTGGAAAGGCAGGCAGAGGCCACATACATGGGAGAAGGGGTTGAACAATTACTGAGTGCCTCCTGTGTGCCAAGTTCTTTCTCTCCGACATTGTAAATACCACAATCTTGTAAATACTGGGTCATCCCTGTTTTACAAACAGGTTAATTTAGGCATCACACAGATTTAATGTTCAAAGGGTTTGGAACACTCTAGGGATCTAATAAATATTAATATTTGAAGAATTACTGGTGGGTCTGACTTAAGGCACACAACTCTTACCCTTTAGGCCAAGCTGCTCCTAAGAGTTCTTCTTAATCCCTCCAGTCGTTGTTTCTCTCATCTCTCAAGAGCCCCCAAATTACCCTTCCCTCCCTTAGCCACGCCCCCGCGTTTCACGTGCCGGAAATTAGGAGGAAAAGTACTTCCGGGATAGTAAAGGTCGGCCCGCGCAAGATGGCGGCCCCCTTGGAACTCAGTTGCTGGGGAGGCGGCTGGGGACTCCCATCGGTTCACAGCGAGTCCCTGGTGGTGATGGTGAGGCCGCCTCGCGGGCCAGGGCGCAGGAGGAAGGGGCGGGGCTGGAGGCGCCAGGCTGACTTGCCCCAGTTTCCCGCTGCGCTGCGGGGTCCAGGAGGGCCGAGCCGCTGCACGCTGCATTGCCCTGGGCTCCCTCCCACCGACGAGTCCCAACCTGGCCGATACCCCCGCCGAAGGCCGGCGGCGACATCAAGGCTTCTCCGCTTGGCTCCGAGTTTTGTCCGCCTCACAAAGCTGTCTGGGCGGTGGAGTGAAACCCCGAAGCAAGGGGCGCGCCCTCCCTACTCTGCATCCCCAGGACCTTTTGGGGAGCAAAGTCCTCGAAAGCCGGGTGGCTGGCGCCCGCGTCCCTACTTGAGATCACGGGGAGGGATGCGGCCTCAGTATCAGTCGCCTTCTGCCTTTGGGGGATGGGGCTGTGAAGTAAAGCTGCTCTGCAGCTTTGCATTACGCACTTGGTCTAAAATGTTTGATTGCAAACTCTGTTTCAGGCTTATGCCAAATTTTCTGGTGCACCCTTGAAAGTCAATGTGATAGATAACACCTGGAGAGGTTCAAGAGGTATAGTGTAAACCTTTACACTCCCCTTTCTGCACTCTTTTTTTTCTTCTTCCATTTAAAGCTGTGAGGTATATAGCTATAATATTGAGGATTTAGTTTCTTACCGTGACCTTGGCTCTGTGTTGTTTATGGTTTGATCATTCTGAGTAATACCTCAAAGTGCAAGCGAAATCACTGGAAATTATGAGAAACGAAAATGTTCTTTAGAACCGCTCTTTGTGAAACAGCAAAAAAACCAAGACAAGCTTACTCATTTTTTCCCCTCTAAATGTGCAACTGCTATAGTTTTTAGGATATTGGAATCTCTCAGAGGAAATCACACTGTGTCCTTGTATGTAAACTGTTTTTTGATTATAGGCGATGTACCAATTTTGACAACTGAAGACGACATGGTTTCTCAGCCAGCAAAAATACTAAACTTTTTAAGAAAACAGGTGGGTGGTTCACTTTGAAGAAGTAGATTGGTAGATTGTTGATCCCTGCATGTTGGGCTTTATTTTATTTATTTATTTTTTTTTGCCAACTCATTAGACAATTGGAGATACCTGGGACAAGATGTAAAAATAGATTTGAGAATCACTGCTCTAAAGCATGAGTTCTGTGATTTGAAAGTCATATGAAGAGGTAGTCAGTTTATATTTTAATAAACTTTGCTTGAATTTTATTGAAATTTGTATGTAAGTAGATTTAATTAGCCATTTTCACTATTAAACTTATTGATAGGATTGTGTATTTTGTCACATAGTTGGTACACATTTTGTGCTGGGCATGACACCTGAGCTCTCACCAACTAGCAACTATATTATTTTTAAAAAGCTCTTAATAGCAGTTTTATGGAATAATGTATCTAAATGTTTTAACAGTAGAGAATTATGTATCCAAAATGTTTAAACATGTAAAGATTTATATGAATGGATAAGTTATTTGTTTTGCCAATACTGTACTTAAAAAAATTGTGTCAATAACATTTTGAACTTTTATAAATTGGAAGGTTTTTTCTTTTGTCTTGGGGAGAAACACAGCCAATTGGAACTGTTTCCTTCTTGTTAAAAATAATAGTTGCTTTGTTTGTACTACATGCCATGCACTGAACTAGGTCATTAACAAGCATGAAAATAATAGTAGTTAATATTGTAACATTTATTGACCATATTGTGTATGTGATGCTGTGCTAAGAACTTTATGTGCATTAAGCAATAGGTTTCACTGGATTTGTATTTCTCTTTCTCCCATTTTAATACCACGTTTGCTATTTGTAAGGAAAAATATGAATCCTGATTTGATTAGTTTTACTGTCTTTGGGCTGCTCTTTGACTTCTGAGTTTCTTTGGTTTATTTTTTTTTAATAGAAATATAATGCTGATTATGAACTCTCAGCAAAACAAGGGGCAGATACATTGGCTTATATTGCTCTCCTCGAAGAGAAGCTTCTCCCTGCAGTGGTGAGTGTTCTTAAATATTACAGTATTTTAGTAGCCTAGTTGCAAATGTACATAGTCTGTTTAGAAAAAAACCAATGAGAAAAGTCTTAAGAGAAAATTTTACTTATATGTTAATCTTAATTCCTTCATATTACTGTGAAACTGGATTCTGTTAGGCATTCAACTAGTATGTGAAACAACAAAGTAAAATAAAATGTCATGTTGGAAATTCTTTGTGGGAGATGGATCTTTTTGCTCCATGTATAGAATTGGGTGTAATTCATTCATTCAACAAATGTTTATTGAACACCTGCTATGTGTCAGGCCTTGTTCTGGGTGTTTGGAAGATAGCAGTCAACAAAACTCACACATTTAAAATAATCTTGTTTTATCCTGAGTCATTCTAACTGGAAAATTTGTATGAAGACACTTCATATAAAGATATTTATGAAAAACTCTCATGTTGATTGAGTGATCTTTCATTTAATAAAAGAACATCCTTGTAGTGTTTTTTCTCTTCTTTTGCAGCTTCACACATTCTGGGTTGAGAGTGACAATTACTTTACTGTGACAAAGCCATGGTTTGCTTCACAAATTCCTTTTCCTTTGAGTTTGATCCTGCCTGGAAGAATGTCTAAGGGAGCACTGAATAGGATTCTCCTGACCAGAGGACAGCCTCCCCTCTACCACCTCCGAGAAGTGGAAGCACAGGTATAGTATGGATTATTCTTCAAGCAAGGGCCCTAGAGAGAAAGGACAAGATAAAATGCAGACTTGAGTTTACCTAGAGATGCCTTCCTCAAAAGTAGTTTTAGAGTATCTTTTCTACTTTTGAGATATAATTTCATCCTTATTAGATATACAGAGATGCCAAGGAGTGCCTAAATCTTCTATCAAACAGATTGGGAACATCTCAGTTTTTCTTTGGAGATACGTGAGTATTCCCTTAAAAATCATTTTGGTATTTTGTGCACATATATTCAGTGAGCAGCTATTTAAAGCAAGTCCTCTTATCTCCCCAAAAGATGAGTTTTTTACTTAAAAAAAACAAGATTTAGGCCGGTGTGGTGGCTCATACCTGTAATCACAGCACTTTGGGAGGCCGAGTTGGGCAGATCACCCGAGGCCAGAAGTTCAAGACCAACCTGCCCAACATGGCGAAACCCCATCTCTACTAAAAATACAAAAAATTAGCTGCGTGTGGTGGTGGGCACCTGTAATCCCAGCTACTTGGGAGGCTGAGGCAGGAGAATCGCTTGAACCTGGGAGGTGGAGGTTGCAGTGAGCTGAGATCACGCCACTGCACTCCAGCCTGGGTGACAAGAGTGAAACTCCATGTCAAAAAACCAAAACAAACAAGAAAAAAATTTAATGGGCTTTTATTATAGGAAACTTTTTCTACCAGTGATAATCTAACATTGACTTAATAGGCTGCATATGTGAATTTAAAACATCTCAGACTGTTCCCACTCTGCCTCCAGTCTAACATTTGTGAGTAAAAATGAATCTATAAAGACAATTTCATTTTCTCCTAGAGTCTAAGCTACTCAATGAGTAAAACCTTGGTTGCATAATTTTTGTAAACTGAAATGGATAGTAAACCTTTTAAGAGACTATACTGTGTAATTCAGAATTGAGAATTTTGAAAAAAAAATTAAACACCATCCCAAGTTAGTATTTTCTTATGTGCTTAAAAAAATCCTTAATTTAATTTTTTTTTTTTTTTTTTTTTGAGATGGAGTCTTGCTCTTGTTGCCCAGGCTAGAGTGCAGTGGCATGATCTTGGCTCATTGCAACCTCCGCCTCCTGGGTTCAAGCAATTCTCCTGCCTCAACCTCCCAAGTAGCTGGGTTTACAGGTGCCCACCACCACGCCCGACTTCTTTTGTATTTTTAGTAGAGACAGGGTTTCACCATGTTGGCCAGGCTTATCTGGAACTCCTGACCTCAAGTGATCTGCCCCCGCTTGATCTCCCAAAGTACTGGGATTACAGGCATGAGCCACCACACCCGGCCTTCAGTTAATATTGTCTTATGTGCTTTAAAAATCCTTAATTTATTTCTAGGCCTTCTACCTTGGATGCCTATGTTTTTGGTTTTCTTGCACCTCTTTACAAAGTACGGTTTCCTAAAGTTCAGCTACAAGAACATCTGAAACAGCTCTCCAACCTCTGTCGCTTTTGTGATGACATCCTGAGCAGTTATTTTAGGCTTAGTCTTGGAGGTAAGCTGGCTCTTTTTCAGCTAATGTTTGTTTGCATATTCTCCTATGTATGTATAAGCAAAATCCACTACTTATTTTAATTTTAGAAGTTTGTGTATTGTCTTTAAATAGTGGTTTATAGCACTTCAAGGATTTGTGTTTTTCCGACTTCATTTTTATTCTCATGTTAGTTCTTATTTAAATAGATAAATAGATATTTGCCTTTTATCTATTCCGCTGGATTTTTACGTTTCTTCTTCTTGTTCTTTAAATATTACCCCTTTGAAGTGGGTCATTTTCTTCTAAAAGGTTAAAACCACAGGTATTAAGTCTTTGCTGAAAAACAGTATTTATCCTAATGCAAATGGACAATTACTTTAAATGATTTTTACCTGCTGCTTCTAGCATTTTCCTGCATGAACAGAAATCAGCAGCAGATTGATTTTGGTGAGGTACACTGCCATGATTCCACTACTTGAAAACTGATTGCATCAGAATGGAAGTATAGTAAATAGAGGGCACCTGTTACTTAGGATGTGCTTCATTGAGAGAGTGGAGCCTTGTGCTTAAGTGATTCAGATACTAAATTTCTATTGGGATGGTTGGCTGAAATTGTCCTTTTAAGAAACAGGTTATAAAGATAGCTGGCTTAGGTGGACAGTTTATTATTTTTTGGTGGGTTATGTATTCTGTATACAGGAAGGGGTTAGTAGTTTGGGAGTCATGAAATTAAGTAATGTTCAACCGTGTTAACTTGGGAGCAGTGGTTAGCAAACCTGATTATTTGACAGATAAAAAATCTTGGGTCCTATTCCAGACTTACTAAATTAGAATCTTTTAGGCATCAATCCTAGGAATTTGTATTTTTAAGTTCTTCTGAATACTTTGGATGTCTGGTGGGCAACTTTTTGGGAGTTACTGCCTTAGAAAACTATCCAGATAGTTGTGACCAAAGACCTATTTGAAATGGGTGTGAGAAAGGAATAGCTTAAACTTGAGAAGGAAATGAGGACTACTGTGCTTTTTTTTTCAAAAAAAAAAAAAAACTAATTATTGTGGCCAATTGCAGAACACTTGGTTAGCAGTGTCTACTTAGTGGATAAATTTTTGTCCGTTTTGCTCAGGGTTTAGTTTTAGAGCATTCGAATCCCTCTCTTCGCCTTTAAACCCAGAATGGTTTTCCTCTTTGCCTTTTTTGGGGAGGGTGGGGCACTGGACAGGGTGGGTAGACTCAAAATTCTTTCAATCTAAATAGCTTTAAAGGCTTTAAAAATTTCCTGTCTTTCTCTGATTTCTGTCCTGGCTTCTTAGGCATCTCTCCAGCTGGACAAGAAACGGTAGATGCAAATCTGCAGAAACTCACACAACTTGTAAATAAGGAATCCAACTTGATTGAAAAGGTCAAGTCTACTTCAATCATTTTATCATAGTTCAGTATTTTCCTTTCGGTAGCTAATATTGTCATTTGGGTCACACATTAACTGTACCCTTTTAGTTTTTTTTATAGAGTTTGTTTTTCAGAAAACTGTTTAAATATACTTTCACTAAAGTTGTATGTAACATAGTGTTTTGAAGCCAACAGTGGCCTGATTGGGGAAAGATCAGATAAGAGTATTGGGTTTACTTTTGCCACACAGTTAGTACCCTTTAAGCTAGGAAATCCAAAAGATTTGCTTTAAAAAAACAAAGCGGCCGGGCGCGGTGGGTCACTCCTGTAATCCCAGCTCTTTGGGAGGCCGAGGCGGGCAGATCATGAGGTCATGAGATCGAGACCATCCTGGCTTATACGGCGAAACCCCGTCTCTACTAAAAATACAAAAAATTAGCCGGGCATGGTGGCGGGCGCCTGTAGTCCCAGCTACTCAGGAGGCTGAGGCAGGAGAATGGCATGAACCCGGGAGGCGGAGCTTGCAGTGAGCTGAGATCGTGCCACTGCACTCCAGCCTGGGCAACGGAGCGAGACTCCATCAGAAAAAACACAAAAAAAAACAAAGCAAAAACACTTCTTGCTTGTGTGTCTGCCTCTCTGTCTCTTAATGTTTCTTAAGATTGTAAGCACTGGGCTTATCCTTTCTTATTAACAGCACCGTGTTCTTTTCTTCTTTCCACATGAAAGTTTTATTTTTTTCTCCTTCTTGTTCTTCTCTGCTCTAGATATAGTTTATAGTTTTTTCACCAGTGTAGATATTTTGCCACTTGGGGTGTTCTTTTCATGAGAGAAACATTGAGGAACTGGGTAGGGGAGAGAACCAACAAAGGAAATTTCAAGTGTGATTCTACTAGGAAAAATACAAAGAGGTTACATATTTTTTCCCCTGTAACTGATAAGCTTGCTTTTTTTTTTTTTCCTGATACAAATAGTAATACTTACTATTTTACAAACTCATAGGGCAATGAGGCCTGATGACACTGGCTAACAGTTTTTGAGGTCCACCACTGTGTTATTTGAGCTTGATGTGGGTTACCTCATTTAGAAGTGATCCAGTGTTTGGAAAACCACTGGATTACATTTAAAGAATTTATCTTTCTTTTTGCCTAATGTACTAGCTTCCTTTGGTCTACATATTCTCAGTTTTAAAAAGCTGGTCTTTTTTGATTGGAATACAGGTCATTTTCATTGAGGTAAAGAAGTATAGTTGAAAGAATAATAGTTTTGGAATCAGAAGACCTGGGTTCAAGTTTCAGCTCTCATACTAGCTTGTGACGTGGGGCAAATCACTTAACCTTACAGAGTCTCGTTTTGCTCATCTGTACAACAGAGAAGGTCTGTGTCTGCCTTTTCTTCATAGCGTATCGGGAAGATCAAATAAGATACTGTACGTGAACATAGTTTGCAAACTGGAGCTTAGTGTAACAGTACCGCTTTTACACTTACTATCAGAAGACCTCTTTAAGTTATGGTTGAGTTCAGTAGAATATTTATTTTGTGGAATTAACTATAATTCTGTGAAGGTATCAGGAATGAGCCACGTTGCTTTTTACAGAAACTGAGTCAGCTGGTATTTGAGGTATGACATTTAGAATTCTTGAGATTATTTGTAAGAAAAAGGTTTCTCTAGCAGCCCAGGAAACATATGGTTCTGTACTCTTCTAGGCTATAGTTTGGATGGGGAGGCCACAGTCCACATAAGCGGTGCCACAGCATTAGTCAGATGTATCTTTTGTACTTTCTACAGATGGATGACAATCTTCGCCAAAGCCCTCAGCTTCCTCCTCGGAAACTGCCAACACTTAAATTGACTCCAGCAGAAGAAGAAAATAATTCCTTCCAACGGCTTTCGCCCTGAGAGTAGTCATGGTTTGTGGCCAAAGTCAAACGATTGTTGCAGTAATCTCTTACACCAAGTGTGTGAAGGCAAAAAGAAGATACCATAATAGGTATTAAGGAAGACTCTAAACCAAAAGGAACTTTCTATGCCATCTATTTTTACTATTATTATTAGGAAGCTTGTATTCTAGCTTGGCACTGCATTTTTAATAACAAAGAGAATGCTAAATGAACTTGGTTGGGGGGGCGGGGAAGAAAAACACATCGTACTGTATACAAAGAACTGCCTTAATCATGGCAGATTTTTGCCTTTGGTTCACATGTTGCTGACCAAAGGCTACAATTCTGTTCTGAATGTGCACTCCTAATTTATTTGATTTAATTTATTCAATTTATTAACTTAGTTTTCTTAGACCAGGCTGAATACCTAATATGTGGCTTTTTGGCTGAGGCTTTTTACTTCTGTTTAGAAATTTGATGCCTATTTTAGGAACCAGAAAAAGATAAATTGCTTCAGTAGAAGAGACCATATTTAACTTTAAAAAGTGAGGAGGAATGTGCTTTTTAATTATGCTCTCATAAGTCTAATCTTTTGGGGGTTTAGTAGCACATAGATAAATATTAAAGGTGGTTACATATAATAACATCTGATAATACTCATTTCAGTATAACATTGGTCTTTGCTGATGTGTTCGATATAGGTTAGGAAGAGTTCTTTTAGTTTACTTGGGCAAATGTGGCAGTTTTAGACCTATGTCTTTGTAGTACATCTTCAGTTGTCTTTCTTGTATTAATTCCAGAAGAAGTGAATGTACTGGTTATCGTTACTATGCTAGGCTGTAAAATTCTTACTGAAATTGCCCACTTGTTAGACACTACTCAGGAGGAGCCCATGGCCAGGGTAGTAGAAATACTGTGCATCTGGTCCAAGTTTTCTATGCTTGGCTCATATTCTTTCATAAGATGCATATTCTTTCATAAGATGCATATCATGTAGTCAAAAGCTTTCTGACAACCAATTATTTTTCATATGTTTCACTTATAGTCGAAGAATACAAAGGAACAATCAGAAATAGCAGCTTTTAATGAATATTTTCTATTTATTGGTTGCTGAACTGTTAAGGGATTTGCTGTGTGGTAATTTTACTTATAATAGAAACTTGCTTATTTTAGTGGTTGAGGTGCTTCTGTTGTCCTAAAACTACTTCTGAGGTTTTTAAAATGTAGAACCATGTTTTTGATTAGTGTCTTAAAAGATTACTGTGGTGCTCAGCAAATCTTATCAAGTCGTGCAGGAACCCATATGTTAAGAAAATGAGCTTTGTAGTCAAAAGACTCATCTAATTTGAGCTGAGTGGAGCTCAGCTGTGTTTGACCCACATCCTCCCAATTTGTTCTGTATTTAGGTAGTTATTTATACAAGAGTCTTTAAGTCATTCTAAATATTTTTTCTTGAAAGTTTTAACTAAGTGAGAAATAAGGTAGTCTTCAAAATCTTGGTCATCTGTTTGGATGAGGGAAAGTACCTCATGAGTTGCACATTACTTCTACAACAGGGTGTGTGTGTGTGTGTTTGTGTGTGTCAGTCATCTTCAAAGGCAGATTATTAGATTCCAGCAATCTGAAATCTATTATTCCAGCAGTCTGAAACCTAAATATGTTATATTGGAAATCATGACTGTGAGACTTTATTGTCCTCTAGGATGGATGTATATTGGAGAAGGGTGGTTAGCACATTCATCAGACATCTGCTTATGCTGTGGTCAAGGCCAGTCATTTTTAATTTATATCAGATTTATATCAGACCCTCCAAAAAGTATTTGAAATATATTACAGTTATAACGTACAAGTACATTACATGTATATTACAAGTATATTACATGTAAAACAGGACAATTTAAAAATTTTAAATTTTAAAGAATTAAAAATTTTAAAAATTTAAATTAAAAAAATTAAAAATTTATAGAACCATATCAACACTGACAGATTCTAAAATTAAGTAGTAAATTTAACTCCAAGTTTCTCCATGGGCAAAGTCAAAAGATAATGCTAGGTTATGTCAATTTTTCTTTTCAACAAAACTGCTAATGTCTATTAGGAAGAAAAATGTGTTTAAAGTTTTACAGGAACGTGGAGCTCATGTTCTTCTGATATGTAGACTTTGATAAAGAAGCATACTGTAATGTTTTATGAACTGAAATTTTAATCAAAAGAGGTCATTTTAGAATAACAAGTATTATTCTTTTTTAGTAGAGGGAATGACTGTCAATATGATTTATTTGTTTTTGTGTCATCCCTACTTTGAACTGCTGTTAGCCTTACATTCTCACTATAGTCCATAATGCTTCCAGATCACCTTTTCTAAGATGCAACATGTGAGTTTAGTGAGAGTTTATATGTTGGGTTACTTAGTTGAGCTATTTATGTATAAGTAAATGAGATGACAGGAAGCTGTAACTGAGCACAAAGTACTTTAGGGAGCAGCCACACATACAGGAAGCTCTTAGAAAAGAACTTTTTTTTTTTTTTGAGACAGAGTTTCACTCTTGTTGCCCAGGCTGGAGTGCAGTAGCGCAGTCTCGGCTCACTGCAACCTCTACCTCCTGGGTTCAAGCAAGTCTCCTGTCTCAGCCTCCCAAGTAGCTGGGATTACAGGCATGTGCCACCATGCCCAGCTAATTTTGTTTTTTTTTTAGTCGAGACGGGGTTTCACCATGTTGCTCAGGCTGGTCTTGAACTCCTGACCTCAAGTGATTCACCTGCCTCGGCCTCCCAAAGTGCTGGGATTACAGGCGTGAGCCACTGCGCCCGGCCAAAAAGAACATTTTGTCAATCTGAACAGAGCACAGAACATTTTTTCAGACTGAACAGACTGTTGGACCAGCCTGTCATGATATGTTTTAGATAAAGTTTGAGTGAGTTCATTGGGATAAATGGTCCACAATCTTAAACAGAATACTGTGAGCCAATGCCTTTTGGAAGTAATGGTGGAGGATAATATGATTAAAGGGAACATGCTTGTGTTTATTTTTGTTGGTAGTATATGATTAGAAAAACTAGATAATTCCCATAAGATGAAGATCTTCCATGAACAAACTACCATCAATCATCCATCAGATTGATTTTTTTTTTTTTTTTAAGTAACACTAAAGAAGCTGTAAAGAACATTGAAGGTGGTCATTCCTTCAAAACTGTGTTTTGACCACACAAGGTGGGCATTAACAAACCAAATTTCAACTTAAGTTTGTTTGTATTATATTGGGGGTGCTGCGAGACTGGAGATTTTATAAAAGCAAGCATTTTTATTTCCATTTATAATTTCTATTCAATATTGCTAGATATATTAACATGAAGGAATGGGGAAGCTTATTTCAATCAAAGCTAAAATTTTCAGAAGTCTGTAAAAATGGAAAAACACCATTGAAAGAGGCAGAAACAGGTAAGGGGGATAGTATCTTAGAAAACCTGTTGGTTAAGGCAGCTGCATGTGATAAAAGTGGTACTTGAACTTGGTAGTGTTTCCTTAGAACCTCCTCCAAAAATATGCATTTACCAGGCTTGTTACAATTTTTTGACAGTTTTTCATCAACTGTCAAAAACTTCAACCCTTTTAAAACCTAGATATAAATGCTTACATGTAAAGAAAGGAAGCTAAGCAGTGGGTACCTGGGATCTCTCTGAACTATTTTTATAACTTCTTGTGAGTCTTAAGTATTTCAAAATAAAAGTGGTTTTAAAGTAAATTCATAGATTAAATGTATCATTATCTATATATAAACCATGATTTAAAACTTTAATTTTCTAAACATAGTATTCAACTTAGTTGAATAAATATATGATAGAAGTTAAATAGAATTTTTATTTCATTCTTAAGAAAAACTCATGTTTGTAACAAATGATATCTAAAGATCTATTTTGCCTTACCAGAAAAGAAAAAAAAAACCCTAAAACCAAAAACTCCTTTTCCCTAGGAAGTCAAAAATGCTGTGATTTAAAATATCTAATTATATTTTTTTCTTTCTATGGTAGTGGGGTTTACTTCTGAGGATAAAATATTTTGAAAAAGCTCTGTCCCTTGACATGGTAGTTCTCCCGTGCCTTGTACTTGTTCTCTCTCCATATGCACAGTGTGACAAGATGCTCACCTTTAATGAAGAAGGTGTAGCTTTTCGTTTTAAGCTGTAATTGTCTTTGTCTTGATTTGGCTATTTTTATAACTGAAATCCTGAGCAACAGAGATAATTTGGGTGGTAATGATCATCTTTTGTATATGTTCTTGATGTTAAGAAATATTTTTTGCTGCCATTCAGCTTTGTGGAATTTATGTTTACTTTTCAATATTTTCATATTTCTTAACCAGATTTTAAAGAAATTTGTTGTTAGTTACGTGAAATCAAAGGTCAGGTCAGTAAGCCCATTATCCTCAAACTTGAAGTTTCGTTGGATGTTCAAAATGCTAATTTTTGCAGAGATATAAGGATAAATTAGTTTTAGTTTGTGTTCTTAAGGGTTTGCAAAATAATTTGGCTCCCAAACTCTTGTTGGGGTGTAGTGTTTGCTAGGAGCCCAGGATACCTGCCCTGGACTTAAATTGTGATTGAAGTGGAGAGGTACTCTAGGAATTTAAAAAGACACAAAATTATTTTTTTCCAGACTAGTGTGCCATGGATTTCTGATAAGAATTAACATTCTTGAACAAAGGTATCAGAAAGGGTAACTCGAGTTGAAGGTTTGTGAATAGAAGGGGAAATGTGATAGAAGATTATTCAGAACAAAATAAGTAGACAAAATAACAAAAGACAGGAAAATAAGTCTCTTTGTATCCTTATTAATCATTTGAAATTATGCTATAATATTTTTTAAAACTCACCTGTTTGGTTCTGGGTGAAGCAGTTCCTGAAGGAGTGTTTTGTCAGAATATATTGTTAGGAGAATAGAGGGTTCTGTGGCCAAGTAAGTTTGGGAAATAGTGGGTTAGACAAAGTTGAGTTACTGTTGGCCTTTCAGACCTTTGATACGCTAATGTGCATTTTAAATCTCCAAGAAGCACCTCTATTTTATACATCATTTCCCTAATTTATTTTAATATGGATTTCTTGTTTTTGTTTTCTTGAGACGGAGTCTTGGTCTTGTCACCCAGGCTGGAGTGCAGTGGCACGATCTCGGCTCACTACAACCTCCGCCTCCCAGGTTCAAGCGATTCTCCTGCCTCAGCCTCCCAATTTACTGGGATTACAGGCACCTGCCACCACGCCCAGCTAATTTTTGTATTTTTAGTAGAGATGGGGTTTCACCATGTTGACCAGGCTGATTTTGAACTCCTGACCTCAGGTGATTCTGCCCGCCTCACCCTCCCACAGTGCTGGAATTATAGGTATGAGCCACTGTCCCCGGCCAGATTTTTTTAAAAGTAGGTATCTTGTGGGATTTATGTTCTGAGAGATACACCTAAGGAAATGCTGCCCTACAGTGTTTTTGCTAGTTCATACTCATTACAAAGGTTTCTTGTTGTTGGGTGCCCCTCTAGCCAGTGGTAGTAAAATGGGAAGAGACAGGTCAAGACTCCCTTGGACCATGGCATTGAGAGAGGGATGGCTGTCGGCATAGATATGTTGGTTATTTAGGCATTTGTGAGGGAGGCCCCTGGCTCTTCCAGCCTGTTTCCTTAGGATCCCAGTTGGCCGGGAACAGCTGTACAAGGGTCTGCTGAACTGGTGGTTTCAGCAGACTACCCAGTTCCTAAGCATCCATGAGACAGAGGGAACCAACTTGTATTTCCAGAACAATTTTCCAAACCTTTTCTGGCTGTACTTTAAAAGTGCCAAAAAGGCAATGGGTGTTTATGACACTAAAGTCACATACAAGCTAGTATGATACATACATCATAGAAAGCTTATAGTTGCTCAGTGACAAAGCAAAGGAAGTTTAATATTTTCCAGTTTTGTTCATTACCGAAGACAGTCTACGGTTCATAGTTTTCACTAAATTCTAAGCAGATTCTATATCCTAAAACATTTAAACCTCACTAGGCCTGCAATTTTGAGAGGGTTAGCTAAATATGTTTGGTATCACTTCAGAGTCTAAAACCAGATTACTAATCGTGTGTAAGGAGGCATTTTGTGTGTCTTTGCAATGTATACAATTGGATTATTTGGAACACCATTTTGAATGTGTATTTGAGAGAAAGCTCGCCTGTGGGTTTTGAGTTGTGGTGTAATGGTGAACATGTAGCCACGTGAAAGGCCGTTGGATCTTTGTTCTGATTCTTCAGTCGTCTTCTTGCAAATTCAGAGAAATGTCTTTTAATCATTTCGTTTACATATCCCAGATCCTTGGAAATCATGAAAAATAACTTGCCAGAGTTTGCATCAGCCCTCAGTAAGTCATGAACCATAGAGAAGGTCATGGGGCCATTTATTCTTTGGACCACTGGCTACTTCTGAAGTTCTGGCTTCCTTCTCTCTAGGAGGAGTCGTGTATTCAAGCTTTTAAGTTAAATGCATAAAAATGAGTTTTACTTCTCTTCTGACTTGATTTTTAATTTTATGAAATGGGAAATAATGTTTTTCCATTTTTCTGTTCATTTTGAAGTGGGAATTTGAGGTGTTTGTAATGTCATGTTACTGTTCTGAAAGATTGACAGTAAAGAAGACAAGAAATATATGTATGTAGTATGCATATTAGTTTTGTCCCACCAAGCCTATCTTTGAATGGCAAACATTTTAAAAACATCTGTTCTAGTTGCACAACTACTCTAGCTTCTTTATAAAGTAAACAATCTTAAAGTAAGCAATGTTGGCCATAATTTCAATATTCTAGCCTTGCCGAGTGTGAATATATTTTACTCAGAGACTATGTACAAATACACTAAAGTGGTGATGGTGATCAATATTGTAAAGAATTTATTCTGATAAATGAGAAACTGGATATAATGTCAAAATAGCTATTTTCTCAATAAAAATCTCAAATCTCCTGACTGCTTATGAATTCTCGATTTAATGTTATTTATTCTTTGAGGTAAATCTTTTCATCGCGAAGAATTTTTTGCTGGTTGAATGTGGTTGTTCAGGGCTGGGACTGAGCTATAGACATAGTGGGTTTTTAAAAAATGTCCATTCTTTTTTTTTTTTTTTGAGACAGAGTTTTGCTCTTATCACCCAGGCTGGAGTGCAATGGTGTGAACTCGGCTCACTGCAACCTTCGCCACCTGGGTTCAAGCAATTCTCCTGCCTTAGCCTCCCAAGTAGCTGGGATTACAGGCACCTGCCACCTTACCCGGCTAAATTTTTTTTTTTTTTTTTTGGTATTTTTTTTTTTTTTTTTAAGTAGAGACGGGGTTTCACCATGTTGGCCAGGCTGGTCTTGAACTCCTGACCTCAGGTGATCCACCCGTCTCGGTCTCCCAGAGTGCTGGGATTACAGGCGTGAGCCACCGTGCCTGGCCAGAAAATGTCCATTCTTTCTGTTATGTGTTGAGACCACTTGTGCTCTGGCCACTCCAGGCTAAGGGAGGTTAGAGGCCTGTTCTCTAGGCCACTGGTTTGTGTAGGACCTCAGATGCTCACACAACTTTGCAGGGTTATAGTTCTCTCATCCCTTCAGCTCTGTAAGTTTCTTGTAAATTATACCTTTTGCTCACCCAGATAGTATAGTGATAGTCCATTGTAATTGAATGGAAGATTTAACTGAGAAAAATAATGTAATTTTAGTTGGAGGGAAGATATTCAGGTTTTTTTACTGCTTCGTTTATGGGACAAAGTATATGGTTCTAGAGAACCCTGTCATTTATAGCTGTAGGTTAAATAAGGGCAAGTTCCCTGAGAGAATGGGTGTCTTTGCTAGTAGATTTTTTTAAAATTGAGTTGTAATTTACATATAGTAAAATGCATAGGCCTTCCAAGTAGAACTGTGTAGGTATGTAAGTACTTTTCTCACATGAGAAGCAAGCTACATCTTTGTCGATACTCCTTTCCCCAAAGAACACAAATCTTAATTACTTACGCACTTTGGGTTCCAGGTGAAAGCCCTTGGGTGGATTGAGGTGGTGAGTAATGATCACTTGCTTGCTGCAAGAGAACAGAAAAGAGGAGTTGCTGTTGTGGAATAATGGAATTATTTGCGGAAAGACAACTATTTAGAGTCACAAAGCTGCGAACCATATGACAAAGAGTTTCAAAAATGTTGGTTCTTAATTGCTCATCTCAGAGGTTTGACTTTCGTCTGAGACTATCTGGGGAACTCAGAAACTCCTGGATGTCCATACTGATCTCCTTCAGTGGACGGTAGGCTACAACACAAGGTGCTCTCTTTCCTTTGCTGCAGATAGCAGCTATTGGTGAGAAAACTCTTAAGTTTTGCCATGTTGGGATCTTGTCTTCAGTGAGTCTCCATAGCAGAAAGATCACTAAGTGCTGCACATTATGTTTGAGACAAATGTAAGAGAATGAAAAGCAAATGGTGGTGAAGAAATGTCAGGTTTTATCTTACTTAAGATCATCCTGTAGTTAAGTTCCTAGCTGTAGAACAAAGGAGAAACTGGTCTCTTCCTGACCAGTCAAGGGCTTCAGGAGAAAAAATGAGAAACCATGGTCCCTCTCCAGGTATATGAGTCAGCCTCCTGGAATGCTTTAGACATTTGTGACTAAGAAATGAAGACAGCTGTGCCTCATCAAAGACATTTCTAATTTCCAGTGCAGCCAACTCAAGGCTCCAAAACTTGTGCTTTTCCAAGTGGAAGAGAAGCTATTATATTTATCCTGCGTTTTGCGTGAGTGGAAAGAACAGGGGAACTTTAGCATGTATAAATACAATTAGGATTGGTTCCCCAGATCCTAGTTTGGAGAAGGTAGTCCGCTCACGAATTCACATTTTGAAGTAGCTAAGAAATCTTTCAATGTAGAAGAAAGCATGACACTTTGCAAATATCACAATTAAGACCAAACAGATTTCAGCTTTAAATGCAGGAAGCACACTGACTTATTTGAAGACTGTCATATTGTGCCCCTTCTGATATGTGTTGTCCCAGTTTTCTCCATGAGGGGGGAAATTGCGTTTTTCATCTAATGAACATGATTTACATTTTGTATTGCATATGACATCCAATTCACAGGGTTGACTGCTGCTAAAATGGTTTAGAAAACGGTGGGGAGTGTATATAGCAGATGTAGAAATTAAGAGAAAAAAGACCAAAAAGAAAGGAAAAAATAACACACACACACAGCCTAATGGAAATTTAAGCAAATTTAATCCAATCTCCGTTTTGGAGCCTTGCAAATCACATTCATGCCAGGATTGACATCTGTCACTCAGTAATGACTGCTGTGTGGAAGCCTGGAGATGCCCACGTGTCTAATCACATTCCAGCCACCTAATCTCTCAGGGAGGAGGCTGCTGTGGAGGTCTTGAGTACCTATGATTTCCAGGCACTCATTTATTTGGGGAGAATATAAAGAGAAGGTTACAAAGACTGCCCTCAAGGAACTAACAATAACAGAGAGATGCACATAATTTAAATGCAGTATGACTGATTTGCATCCATGTAGTTTTTCTCTTCTGTCCTGAAGAGATAGTTTAGAGATACCTTCCCAAAACATAGAAGGTAAAAGGAAATGCAGACGCAGTTTTCAGTTCAGACCTTGGAAGATCCTGCGGTAGAAGTGCACAGCTTGGGAACATGTGGAATCAGTGATTAGTTTCATTGGTTAGTTCATTTACAGTTGGGGAAGCTGAATCAAATTTAAAAGGGATCAAAAACAAATCAAGTGCTTAAAAGAGGGAATTGAATACAGGAACTGGTTGTACAGATGAAAGGAACACCCCTCCACCCCAATCCCCACCACCAAATCCCTGCTTTTGTGGGCTTATGAGAAGGGCAGCAAGGAGCCCAGTGTGGCTGGAATGGAGCCAGAAAGCCAGGGAGTAGAGAAAGATGAGGTCAGAGGGTTAGCTGTGGCCGATCATAGGGTGGTTCTCAATTGGCCACCCTTGGGATGTGTTTGGAAATGTGTGGTGGCAGTTCTGTTGTCACAGTGAAGCCTTGAAGGCATTTAAGCTGGCTAGGGCTAACAAAGCCCTGCTCAACAAAAAGAATTGTTCAAACCCAAATACCAATGTTTGCTGTTGAGAGATGCTGAAGACCTCGTAAGCCCTCATCAGATTTCACAGAACAAAAGCAGATGATGAAAATCGGGATGACCTGCCAGCAAGCGGGCTTTGAGAAAAGAAAGAGTTGCTTATCGCAGAAAGAGTGCCAGCTTAGAGATTTTAGAACAGCAAACCATTTTGGTGGGAGAAATTAATCTCGTGATAAAAAGCCTAGAAACTAGAAAGGTCATCAAGGGATTACTCTAGTTAGGATATAATTGGGGTTATGGAGCTGAATGAGTAGGTTGTAGAAAGAAAATGGATTTCAGACTTAGAAAGCGAGACTTAAAGTAATATACCCGATGGGTGGTTCTGAGCAAGTTACTTGACTCTTAGTCTGCATTGCTGTTTATTGCAATACAGTTGCATAACTAGATCTGAATGTATGAACATTTTTATGTTTGGGTTTTTTAAATAATTGAAATGTAGAAGATACCAATAGAAAGAACTCTGTCGTATCTTTTATGAATAACCCCTGTTAACATATTATCCATTCTTCCAGTCTTTTATTTTCTCCACACCCACATACACACAATCCTGTATATATTGTCATCCAGTAGTATCTACTATTCTGTAATATGCCTTTTTCATTTAATATTTGGTAAATCTTTCTAGGTCATTACATATTCTATATGATTTTTAGTGGCTATGTACAATTTCATTGGATGGATGTAACATCATTTATTTCATTCCCTTGCGATGGACACTAAGGTGAGTTCCTCTTATAATGGTCCTTGTTACATATTATACAGTTTCTCAGGAGGATTTTGCCCCTTTATGTTCCCTGCAGCCCTATGCAAGAGAGCCTGTATTACTGCAACCCCACCAGCGTAGAGTATTATTTTTCTCTTTACCACCTTGATAGGTAAAAAAGTAGCATTTTATTTACTTAATAAACCAGTTACTTAATAACTGCATGGTTGAGTATTTTTTCCATATGTCTATCGTCCATTTGTATTTCTTCTGTAAATTGTCTATTTGTATTCTGCATCACAGGCAAATTAATTAACTTCTCTGAACTCCTGTTTTCTCAGCTATTAGATGGGGTTTCTGTGGGGTGTAAAAGGGATTATATACATTGCAGGTCCAGAATATGGCAGGTACTCAAAAGTACTACTTCCCTTTAGTTTTTTCTTGGATTAACAGCTCCAGAGAATGGAGACTCTTTTCTTTATTGTACCCCAGCACTGAGCACAGTGCTTGGCACATAGAAGGGACACAAAAAGTTTTAAGGAAGGAAGAATAGTGAGATTTGGAAATATTTTGAGCATATCAGGAAAAGGGGTGAGAAAAGTTGAAGCCAAGATCCAATGAATCGCCAGTGAGAAAACTGGTGTGTTCCTCAGATGCTTACTAATATTGATGTGAAAGAATTTGAATCTTATTCAAAAACTCTACTAGGAAAAAATTTCTTACAGACAGATGTAGCTAAAGGGTATTAAAAACCTATATTCAAGGCTGTAACCAGCCTTGAGAAGTTGGGTAATTATTACTTTGTAAGCAAAGTATTTTAAGTATACTAGGAAAAGTCACTAGTAAAGGGATTAATATAATTAAGTTTTTGTAGGGTGAATAACTTTTTTTTTTTTTTTTTTTTGAGACAGGGTCTTGCTCTGTCACCCAGGCTAGAGTGCAACGGCAAAATCTCAGCTCACTGTAACCTCCACCAGCCGGGTTCAAACGATTCTCGTGCCTCAGCCTCCTGAGTAGCTGGGACCACAGGCGTGGGCCACCACACCTGGCTACTTTTTGTATTTTTAGTAAAGATGGGGTTTCACCATGTTGGCCAAGCTGGTCTGGAACTCCTGGCCTCAAATGACCCACCCTCCTCGGCCTCCCAAAGTTCTGGGATTACAGGCATGAGCCACCGCGCCCAGCCTGTGAATAACTTAATTTCAAAAAATGATGAATCCCGATTTTCACATATTAGATATGCCTAGGCTGGGAGTACATGTGCAATAACAATATAATATAAAAATGATAATAAGTTAAAGTAACCCAGAGAAATGGTGCCTCAAATGGAGAGGAGAGGATTGCTGTCAGGTCTTGTTTCATTCAACATGTCCTATGATCGTGAGGGAGAAGGAGTCAGTGGTTTGTTAATGAGATTTGCAGATGGCTTTAAATTGAGAGGTATTGTAAACAGCGGGAATGACTGAGAAATGATACAAGAGGATCTGGAAAGGTTAGGAACATGGACAGGAAATCAAATGATTCAGCCTGGAGTAATGCAAGCCAATCTGACATCTGGGGCCAAATACGAAGCAATACAGATATGCCATGAAAGAAGCAAATATGGAAAATAGTCATCTCAAAGGAGGTTGGGAGGGTGGGTACTAGAGGAAAACGAGAGACATGGGAAGAAGGATGTCAAATGCCCACTATGTGCCTGGTATTTATCATGTTGATTTCTTTTTGACCAAGGATAATTCAGTGCTGGGAAAGAAATTAGTTTTTTGAGGATTAATTATGCACAAGAGCTTGGGTACTTAGTGAAATAAAAACTCAACCTGCCTCTAGTTGATCCTAATGAGTGTTCTCAGTGTTGATCCTAATGAGTGTTCTCAGTGTAGAGTGAGAGTGTAGAGTGTTCTCAGTGTAGAAAGCATTGTGGAAGTGGCCCAGGGTCTCCAGAAGAGCTCCAGGGGAGATAGCGCTTGCCACATATCTGCCTGGGCATTTCTCATTCCATGGGTATTTCTTAGAATTGTTGGAGAAGCCTCCACCCGGCTATCCTAGGTGCCAGCAGCACGATGGGGGGCTCACAAAACCTTTGGTGAATTAGCCCAGTTGTCCACCTTAGGCAAAAATAAGGTGTGTGCCCCATGATCTGTTCCTTCCATTTGTGTCCCTCTTTTTCGCTCCTCTGGGACATTCATGTTAGCCTCTAGTAACATAGAGCTCCCAATCCAGCCCTTTGCTTGGGTTTCCCACTATACCGTATCCTTCTCTCTTGCTATAAAGTTCTGGCAATCGTTTGTATTTCCTCTAGATGTCAATGAGCTAAATCTGGTTTAACAGCAGCATTGGCTTAATTTACAATCTGCAATATTTCTTAAAATGGGGTCACTAGTTCTCATTTTTTTTAGTTTTAAGGTCTTGAGAAATTGGATCACAGTTCAGATTTCATGGGAATAAGGAGAAAGAGGACCAAATTACTCTAGGGAGGATAAACCCTGAACAGACACTATTGACTGTATCCATTCCCTGTCCTGAGGAGAGGACCAGAGCACTGGGATGAAAAATGTGTTGAAGGAGTGAGCTAGAAAGGAAATGGATCAAAGACATCTCATTTGTAGTTCGTTCAAACTTGTAAGATATGTTAATGGCTCAGATTGGAAACCTGAAGCTGAATGTATCACCTGTCCAATAATATTTGCCTTATACTAGGGCCCCTTGTGATTGAAGCCTAAAACATTAATTCAATAAGCATCTACTGAGTGCCTCCTATGTTCCAGGCACTGTTCTTGGTGTTCAGGATACATCAGTGAACAAAACAAAGACCTCTGCCTTTGTGATTCTTACACTCCAGCAGAGATGACAGTTGATAGTGAACCTAATAAATAAGCAGATTGCATCACATAATAGGAAGTGATATGTGCTATGGAAAAAGAAAAAAGTAAAGCAGGGCAAGGAGGCTGGGACCACTGGGGCTGGGGCAAGTGACAGTATGAAATATGGCAGGATAAGTGGCATTGGGAAGATGGCATTTGAACAAAGCCATGAAAGAAGGGTGGGGCTGGCCTCTAGTATCCGACAGCATTCAAGGCAGAGGGCACACATAGAGCTTGTCTGGCATGTCTCAGAAACAGCAAGGAGGCCAGTGGTCAGGAGCAGAGTGAGCAGGGGAGACCACGAGATGAGGTTGAAACTCAGGGGAGGGAGCAGACCAGGTAGGAGCTTGAAGGCATTTTTAAGGCTTTGGCTTTTACCCTGTGTCATTGCAGTTTTTGAGTAAAGAAGTGATGCCACTGATTACTTTTTAAGAAGGATTACTTGAGCTATGGTTCTGGTGCTAGACAAGGGTGTATAAGCAGGAAGAGAAGCTGGGAGTATATTGTAGTGACTTTGAGCCAAGAGTTGGTGGATCAGGATGGTAGCAGTGGAAAGGTAGGAAGAGAATGGATTCTGGGTGTACCTTGCAGACACTATCAACAAGATTAGATGTGGATTGTGAGAGAAAGAGAGAAAGATGACTTCAAGATTTTTGGCATGAGCACTGGCTTAATCAAGTTGCTATCAACTGAGATAAGGAAGGCTATGAGTAGAACAGTTTTTGAAGGGAGATGAGGAGTTCCATATTTGACACATTGAGTTTGAGATGTCTATTGAACATCCAAGTGGAGATGCTGAGTAAGGCTGGAGACCAGGAGGTACTAACTGAAGAGTTGTTAGGGTAAAGGTGTTATTTAATACCATGAGACGGGATGAGACGATCAAGGGTTTAAGTTATAGAGAAGAGGACTAGGAACTGAGCCCTGAGGTATTCTGAACACTAAGAGACCATGGAGAACACCAGCAAGGAAGGCTAAGCCCAATGAGGTAGGAAAAAAATGGAAATAATGTGTTATTCTTGATGCCAAATGAAGAATGTGTGTCAAGGAAGAGGTGGTGATTTGCTGCACTGAATGCAATTGATGGATCATGTTAAATGAGGACTGATGCCTGACCATTGGATTTAGCAAAATGGAGGTCATTGGTGACCTTGACAAGCAGTTTTGATGGAATGGTGGGGGCATAAGTCTGATAGGAATAGGTTCAAGAGAGACTAGGAAGAAAGAAATTGGGAAGAGAGAGAAGAAAAAAATGATGAATATGATAATTATAAACAGCATAAGAAGTCTGGGGAAGATACCTAGAGGTAAAAATGCCTTCCCCTGGGTCCTCCAGCTCACATCAAGGAGGCAGCCACTTATTTATTTATGTATAGCTGGAAAGCAAATTAATGTGCAGCAGCAGTGTTAAGCTAGGTCACTGGGAAATCTTCCCCATTAACGGAAATCCACATGGGGTTTAACAGGGTTTGTTGAGGGACTTCTAATTTATTACAAAAATATTGCTGTTTGAAACATGGGCTTTCTGTCACAATGATGAGCTAAATTATTTTAATAAATAGGGTCTAGCATATTAATACTTCTATACTTAGTTAAGCCAGGTGATGTGGAGACCAAATCAATCACTGGGGTATTTTCTTCTTTGTGGAGGATTTTAGCTTCTGTGGTTTAGGTAATAGATTTTTTTTTCTACCCAGGCCTGGGACCTAGAGTGCATATGAAGTAAGTCGCATCTTTATTTTCCACTTGAGCTAATTAATGACTGCATGCATTCATCAGGAGACAGGATGAGAACATATTTGAAAATTAAAGGGTTATCCCTACAGAAGACATTGAGGGTGCTGCATGGAGCATAAGGATGGATTAGGAAAAATGTAATATTTTAAGGGCACAGAATAGTCTGAACAAAAGCAGAGGCCATGGCGTCATCCTCTCTCTTACCTTCTCTAACTAGTCAATCACCTCATCCTGTCTGTTTCTTGCTGTGGTCATTACTTAAATTGGAACCGTTGGCCTCCCCCACAGTCCTGGTTTGTCTTTTCTTTGCCTTTGTGTTGCCTTTTCTTTCCTGGGTTACTGTTACAGATGCACCATTGGCCTCTCAGCTTCTGGATTTGCTCCTTTTCAATGCATTTTCTACCTTGTTCAACAAAGATCTTTCTCAAATACGAAATAATCGTGCTTCACTGTTGCTTAACACTTTGAATGGCTCCTTACTGTTATCAAGTTTAAACTCCTATGACAGCTTATAAGACATTTCATCACCTGGTTCTAGTTTATGCCCCACCTTCTGTCTTCGCCATTGAAGATCCAGCCATGAAACTACTCATATCTCCAAATTCTCCAGACTTTCTTTTAAATCTTTGGATCAGAGATTCCAATGAGGGATAGGAGAAGCCATAAAATCAATGTAACAGGGCTAAACAGAAAATTAGAGTTTTAAGCTCCATTAAAATAGAAATACAAGGATGTCCTTTGTTTGAATATTCCTTATATTCAAATTATACCAGATGTTTCTATTTCCACTTGTCTAATGCATGTGCATAACAGCACTGCACATAAACCAGTAGTTGGCCCCTCATTCTCCACTTGGCTTTCGGAACTCTCATGGTCAGTCTTTGGCCCTGTATTCACACTTTGCTCACTCTACACACTCTTCCTTGCTTGCCTTTCCAATCCCTGGGCTTCAAATGTTGCCTGTATTTGGAAGTCTTACAGATTGACATCTCCAGCCCAGGGATCTCTTCTGAGATCAGACTCCT
Organism: Homo sapiens; assembly: GCF_000001405.40. NCBI lineage: Eukaryota > Metazoa > Chordata > Mammalia > Primates > Hominidae > Homo > Homo sapiens. The sequence goes on along the minus strand of NC_000005.10, from coordinate 79,967,243 downwards.
GCCCAAAGAGAGATGTCCAAGAGGTCTGAGCAATCTCAAGCCTGTATCTAAGGCTAAACTGTGATCTTCAGTCCATCAAAGTCTCTTTTTCTGCTAGTCTTTCCCATCTCAATAAATGTCACCTGTATCGCTCCATTGCTCAAGCCAGAAGCATGGAAACTTACCTCTTTTTCAGTTTGTAAGTAAACCGACATGCAGGCAATGTTTGAAATGTTTTATGCATGTTAACTTGTTTAATCCTCATAACAAATCTTCAAGGTAGCTACTATTATTATCACCCACTTTTTAGATGAGGAAACCAAGGCACAGTGAGGTTAAGTAATTTGCCCAAGGTCACATAACTTACTAATGGAACTGGGATTTAAACTCAGACAATCTAGCTTCAGAGTTCATGTGCTTAACCTCTACCCCAACTGTTATTCTTAGCACCTTTAATTCACCCTACATAGAAACAATCAAAGTGCAATCAGTTCTGGCTCCCAGAATCTCCTGAATTCATCAACAGTCATAGGCGTCATAGTCTTTTGCTGCAAGTATCATAATAACTCCACAGGGATCTCCAGTTCCGTCCTTGTCCTCCCGCAACTCTCCAATCCCAGGCATTCTTCCCAGAGAAGCCAGATCTTAGCTTTGATGTAATTTTTTCCCCCGATTGGGAATCCTTCCTTGGCTCTCATAACTGAATCACATCCCCCCAGTTATTTTCCGCAGAACATCCTATTGTCTTCTTTCATATTAAGTTTTCTAATTTAAAATGCTGCATCTGTGTTTTACATTTTTTAAAGCAAGCACCATGACAGCAGGGATTTGATTTTATTTTCTGCTATCTACCGAGTCCCTAGCACAGAGCTTCGCACATAGTAGGTACTTAGTAATATTTGTGAACAGTTGGATGAATGAGTCCCTAATAATAAGTAAAAAGTGACTGTATAATTTTTATTTTATGTATTAAAATGAAGGTACAGTGATACCTTTTTATAATGAACTAATGAAAGGAGGCTCATGAATTAATGAAAAATATATAACATATGACTTTTAAAAACTACAATGCAGTTTTATTGTTTCAATGAAGAACATTGTATAATTTGGTTATGCATGCCACCCATTGCTTCTAACCCCACACTCCTTTCTAAGAGATTCCATCCATACTCTCACACCCCTAGCTCAGCTCATTGGACCAGGGATGGAAACTGACCCAAGCTGGGCAAATTAGATTCTCCCTGTTCAGAATTTAGAATCAGGAAACTGAGAAACAGATCTTTAAAGTAACTGCATTCATCTATCTGTCAAATGTTTTTCAAGAATCTAGAATGAGCTGATTATTGGAGATATGATGAGGAAGATACCTTGAAGGTTTTTACAATCATCTGAGAAAACTGATGAATAAAGCTGCTGCTGAAATTCAGAGTGTTGAGTGCTGTGATATAGGTAATATAGGATGTAAGTACTATAGAAGCATATAGGAGAGGTCCCTTATTCAATCTTGGGAAGGATGAGAAGCTTCCCAGGGGAGGTGATATCTTAGATGGAAGAAAGCTTTATAGATCCAGGGGAGAGTGGAGGTGAGGGGGATGGCATTCTAATCAGATGGAACAGAAAATGCAAACAGTGCATTCAGTCTGGTGTGCAAGAGTTATGCTGAGGGTGGAATGTGGTCTCCATCATGAAGGCCCTTGTCAGCCTAAGCGAAGTGTGGGCTTTATCTTGAGGGCAATGAGAGTCCTGAACAATTTGTTGTTGTTGTTGTTGTTGAGACAGAGTCTCACTCTGTCGCCTAGGTTGGAGTGCAATGGCGCGATCTCGGCTCACTGCAACCTCCACCTCCTGGGTTCAAGCAATTCTCCTGCTTAGCCTCCCAAGTGGCTGGGATTACAGGCACCCACCAGCATGCCCGGCTAATTTTTTTTTTTTTTTTTTTTGTATATTTAGTAGAGACGGGGTTTCACCATGTTGGCCAGGCTGGTCTCGAACTCCTGACCTCAGGTGATCCACCCGTCTCAGCTTTCCAAAGTGCTGAGATTACAGGCATGAGCCATCATGCCCGGCCCTGAACAAGTTTTTTTAGCAGAGGAGTGACACGTTCAGATTTGCATTCTAGAAAAATTTCTGTGGTCTTAGCAGGAGAAAGGTTTTAGAAGCAGATGGATCAGTTAAAAGATTGCTATAGAAATTTGGACAAGAAAGGATGATGGCAGGAATAAGTTGACAACAGTGGGAAGAGACAGGGTGGATGTTTAAAGTGATATTTAGGATGATGATGGGAAGGGAGAGAGGAATTAAGCATAAATTCCAGGTTTAAGGCTTAGACTAGCAATAGATAGTGGAGTCACCCACTAAGACAGGATACACATGAGGGAGCTCAAGGAAGAGATTGAGGCTGGAGACATAAACATGAGCATTATCTGCATATAGTTAATTCAAACCTTTGGGTGAGTTTGTGGAGTGAGAAAAGAAGAGGTTTATGGATGGAACCCTAAGTAACTCCACCTTTGAAGTAGCTGGGTGAGGAAGAAAAACCCACAAAAGAGCTTGAGGAGATGCGTCCAGGGAGCCCATTGGAAATACAAGGAAGAGTGAAGTCACAGAAACCAATGGATGAAAGCTTTTCTAGAAAGTTCTAAACAGTGTCAGTGCTCTCACAAAAGGACCTAAACAAGCACAACTCCAAATGTAATTAACTGCTTGTGCATATCTAACAAACATGAATATTTCTCTTAAGTAAGCATTATTCTCAGTAATCTTATTCACAGCCTCGATTTGCTTGTCTCAAGAATGCTTTGAAAATTCTCTAAGAGTGAAGTCTGAATTCGTGAAGGTTTTCCAAATTTGGTTTTCAAATGTTATTACGTGTCGGTTCGTGAAGTGCATTTGAATGTCAGAGTTGAGAATGTGGAAAAAAGTAGACATAAGGAAACTTATTTTAAAAATGTTTTTCAACTTTAAGGAAAGCATCTAACAACCCACTACGTTTAGCATTTCATGTGTGTTTATGACCTGTCAAAAACTGCCAGAAATTTACTTGTGAGCAAGAAGTAAAAGATGTTGCCTGTTTGTTATCTTTCAGAGCGTCCAAATTCTGAAAGCCACTTTGCAACCCAAAAAGAACTTTCCTTCATCAGTGGACATATGTCAAAGAAGAGAAACATTAGTAATAGGATCCAGGCCATGTAATGTTCATTAAACAATTAGATGCTGGTGCCAGTGTGTAATCGCTTTTTTCCATTTTATTTTCAACAGTTTGAGTGTTCCTAAGAGGCTTGCATGGGATTGAATCTGGTACTTTCATCAGAATTTTAGTGTATTTTCAGTATTGGTAACATCTCCTCTCTCCTACTTACACTTTGCAACAGACTCTCCTGGGTCTGATTTGTGCTCCTTCTTCTGAATGTTTAGTCAATTTAATATACACAGTGGAAATATTCTGAAAAAAAAAAAAAAATGCTAGGTTTCCAGCAGAGTCATTTCAAAGATGAGGTGTTGTTTAAAAACAAAACCATACCATCTATCACAATTACAAGGCAGGAAATACAATGCTCTACAATGTTTAATCAGAGCTTTTCTTAAGGACTCTTGTTTTCTCAGCCTTACAAGCACCATAAACTTCTCTGAAGATGATTTTGTGGCATCCCTCTGAAGCTTAAAGTCCTGGAAAAACTGAACAATGTTTACCGAATGCTTTTCATTTAAAACTGTTTTGTTGAATCATTATTGAAATGGAAAAGAAAGTGTAATACGAAGCATTCGTGGTCAATGCTACCTATTCCTGGGTCCAGGACAGAAGGCCTGCGTCTAGCCAAATGCCCAGGATAGAGTACGAGCACAGGCTCTCTTATCTCCTTCTGGGTGAACACGAGGGGTACGAGGGCAGGTGGCAGAGGGCGTGAATCCCAGTCCACAAACACAAGGTTGACGAGTTTTCTTTTGTTTTCTGTAACAACTTAATTTATAATGCCAAGCTCTTATTTCTTCTGGCTGGCAGAAAAAATAAAAAATAAACAAAAAAATGCATAACCTCAGTTTTCCCAGGAGTCCCTCGCCCGTGGTTATTAACGCCAGAGTTTCTGGAGCTCACGCAGTGCCAAGGCCTCTGGGGTGAGGCCCACCTGGTCCTCGCTTCTCTGTCTACAGATCCCTGAGACAGCCTTGCCCTTGCCTGGCTGTCCTGACCCCTCAGGTCTAGTCACTCTGTGCTGTGGCTCCCGGGTCCCCAAGCATCTCTGCTGAGGCCGCCTTTGAGTCATGCTGACATCACTCTCCCAGGAAGCAGTGCTTGGTTCTGTGCTCCTGGAGCCCCATCTGTCTCTCTGTCACCTCTGCATTCACCTCCTGTTAACCAAATGGGATTTCTTTCTAGTTTGGGGAAATTGCTTCTTTCCTTCCATGTTTCTTCAGGACAATCTGTCTTTTGTTTTTTGTTTTTGTTTTTGTTTTCCATCGAATCCTCTTCTGCTGAGGGCTTAGGCTTTTGTTTCCAAAGCTTAGAAGCAAAGTCTTTGCTTTGTGCCTTGCTGCAAACCTCCTGTGAGGCCTGAGCACAGAGTCAGCTATTATCTGCTTGAATGGGAGGTGGCGGGTAGGGGCCGGTGCAGGAGGGCAAGAGAAAAAGCAGGGATAAAATGGATAAAATCACAATAGCTAGCTAGCTCGAAATATTATCCAGCCAGCACTCCACACACATACACCTCCCCTGACTACCCCTGGAATTTGGACACCCAGTGTCTGTGAGGAAATGCCACCTTGCTCCCTTGAGCCACACTTCCTGATTCTGTGGTTCCTGGAGTCTGTGGGTTTTCATATACAGACATGTCCACCATGGAGCCCTGGGAGAGAAACTTCCCTTTAACTGAGAAAGGAGAAGGAGCCCTGGAGAGTCATTCAGTAGCAGGACCAAAAAAAGAGCCACACATCTGAGCACAGCACTCCACCATGTGAACCATTCTGATCCAGCACCCCCGGGGCTTACATGCACTGGATGGGAGGAGTATAGGGAGAAACAGAACAAACTGTAACCCCAGAGTGGGCCCAAGGAAGGCCGCTGCCGGCCTGCACCTTCCCACCTCCACCATCCACACACAAAATGAAACACACAAAAGGGCAGGGTACAGAAGGTTGAGTTCTTTCCCCTCCAGCCAGAGAGAGACCTGGGATGAGCAGGGACATCAAGGGCTTGTAAGTAGCTGGAGAAGGGAGGAGAGATGGCCCAAGGTCAACTAGAGGTCACAGGCAGTGTAGCGCCATCCCAGAGCTTTATCAGATTGACAGGCGCTCTGGAGCGGGAGCTCCAGACAGCATCATCTAGGTGATCAGGAGGCCAGCAGAGCGGGCTAGGGAAGGGCAAGCAGTGGCATGAGTTATGTGTGCTGCAACCTCCTGCCACTGCCACTGGGGTATTCCCAGAGATACAGAAGAAAGGCTGAGGGAAGAAGTTCTGTCATTGTGTAGGTGGGGAACGGGCTAGAGAGGCGGATCTTATTTTAGCAGAATTAGGGGCAAACTGCTAAAGAACCTTAACAAAGATCTGTAAGCTAAACGGAGCCAGGGCAGTTACAGAGCTCCCCATCCACATCCATATCTCCACATCCGTATTTTAATCCACATGCCATAGTGGAATACGATGAGCCTTCTACCAAGGTGAACCCAGGTTTAAATTCCACATCTGACATTTCCTAGTTAAGAAGTTTCTTTGGCAAATTGCACGATCTTGCTATGCCTCTTTTCTCTCATCTGTAAATGAGCATGATAATTTTTATAAAGTATCTAGTATATTACCTGCCACATAAGAAGCATCAAAGAAATCAGAATTGCTGTTGCTGTTATTAGTTTATCACTATTATCATCTGATTCCTTGATTTCACAAAGATCAGGGAAGGAACGTAGTGCAAAAAACCTCTTTTGAGTTTTGCTTTTAAGAGCCTACATTGCACCAGATAAGAGAGGAGAGAATATAATCAAATGTACAATGGATGACTTCTGCGAGACCTTGGACAAGTGGTCATTCTTTGTTCACTCACCAAAGTCACACACTTAGGTTGCCATAATTTCTCTGGGGGTATTAGGACAGTCTGCAAAAATGGTGGCATTTGCTGAACTTAAGCAGTGAACAGCTGTGCTGGGCTAGAAATAGCTTTTCAAACGATGAATTCCTTTGCCAAGTCAAAGGCACAGCTCACAGTGAGCTTGGAACCACAGAAACATATAATAGAGAGGTCTCCTTTTGGGGGTGACACCCAGCAATCTTTCACCTTCAAAACAGGGAGATGGCCAATTTCTAGAGCACATTCTTTGGCCTGTTTTGGAACAAAGACACAAGGAAAGATTCAAGGAAAAGAGAAGCCTTCATAATTTATTAAGGTGACACAGGTTCATCAAATCAAAATCCCAGCAGGAACTGTAAGTTATGAAACTTACAAAGCTTCTGGCTCCTACCTCCTCCGTTGCCTGTTGTCAAGGGCATTTGTGGACATAATAGCCAAATATCTGTCCCCAAAACCCAGGCCAGCTAAGGAAAGCAATACATTTGGTGGAAAAGCCATAAAAATAAAGACATCCTAGTAAAGTGGTTGGACTATTCTTGCTGCATTTTGACCAGAAAAGGGAGCTATGGAAAGATCCTGTCACTGTCTGTGATCTACTCACCATAAAATCATAAATCATAGACAATGGCAATGCAAGGACCTCAAAGGTATAGCTCTTCTCCTCTCTCTTGCACAAAGGCTTTAAGCTAATGTATGGCAGCTTCAGAACTAGAACCAGGGCTCTTAACTCCTAGCCAGAACCCTTACCACAACTTAGGCAGATGTCCCAGAGGTGGCAAGAGCACACATTTTCACAAAGTGCTCTAAGCTCATTAATGAAAAGTTGCCATTTAAACATCAATCAATATTTGCATCTGGGGATTAGGAATGAGGATAACAATGCACGTTGAGGCCAAAGGGACCAGGAGGCCAAAGGAATCTAGGCTGCCTCCAACTTCTGATCAGACTGAGCTCACAATTCATCTCCAAGTCATTTTCTTGGAAATTACATTACACTTCCATGCAGAAATGATGGTATAAATGGTGGTTCAAATTCCAAGGTCAGTTTAGAGAAGCTTATTTAACATACAACTTTGCCTGAAGTACCTGACTATTTCTGATATCCCAATTGCAACAAACCACCATTTGTAACTCTTTCATTCAAAAAAAGACAAATTCCAGGCCCCGAAGGCACTCAGATGGCAGCAACAAAGCTTATTCCTCAAGTGGTCACAGTTTCCCTTGCAGTTTTCTGGATTCCAGGGTCTTGGAATCAGGGGAATGAGTGGGAACTCTGGGACCTTGCTAATGATCTACTCTGCTGCCTCTAAACCCAGCCCTTGGATTGCACTTGTCACTGGAAATGGTCTCACTGGTCTAAAGTGAAATACAACATGTAAGTCTAGTTCAGAAAGTTTTTCATAAAGCAAAGTGTATTCCATTTAAAGAACCACCCTTGATTCTGGAGATACTTTTCTCACTTTCTGGTGTTGATAAAATAAAAACTTCAGCTGAATTAAATGTAAAGAAGTTTAATTGAGCAATGAATGATTCATGAATCGGGCAGCCCCCAAAATCACGGCGGATTCACAGAGACTCCAGCACAGCTGCGTGTTGGAAGATTTATAGACAAAAAAGGGGAAATGACGTCCAGAAATCGGAAGTGAGGTACAGAATGACTGCATTGGTTACAGCTCAGCGTTTGCCTTATTTGAATACAGTTTGAACACTCAGCAGTGTATAAATGGTTGAAGTATGGCTGCTGGGATTGGCCAACGCTTAGCTATGGTTACAGGCCCATACTCTTGAGTTAGGTTTTCAATCTTGTCTACCTACTAAGCTAGGTTGCAGTTCGTCCACGAGGATTCAAATATAGAAGTATGGAGTCCTTCTCAGGCCATATTTAGTTCACTTTAACAGTGCTGAATTGTCTTTTTGGAAAAGATTGTAGTAAATGCTATTTGTTTTCTTGGTATTCTTTCTTGGAAAAAATAACATAGTGGCAAACCTATATGGCTGGTCCACAGAACTGCATTCCAAAATTTTGAGAATGCCAGTTCTGAGAACCACTGCTCAACACCTGCCCATTTCTCTGATGAGTGGGGGAAAGGAATTTGCTGTAGTGTTCATTCCTTGGGGCTTTGTAAGGGGTGAAAGGGAACTGAGGAAGCGGATGGGAATTGGATGTCCCTAGTTGTTTTAGTTCAGGCTGCTGTAACAGAATACCACAGACTGGGTGGCTTAAACAACAGAAATTTATTTCTCACAGTGTTGGAGGCTGGGAAGTCCAAGAGCAACGTGTTGGCAGATCTGGTGTCTGGTGAGGACCCACTTCTTGGTTGACAGAGGCTGTCTTTGTATCCTCACATGGTGAAGAGCAGAGGGATCTCTCAGGGATCCCTTTTGTGAGAGCACTAATCCCATTCATGAGGACTCCACCCTCACGACCTAATTAACTCCCAAAGGTTCAACTTGCTAATACCATTGCACTGGGGGTTAGGATTTCAACATAGGAATTTGGGGGGGACACAAACATTCATTCTGTGACACTCGTCTTTTTAGCATTGGTGTATGGAAGCATATGGCTCACTTATGAATTAAATGTCCCAAAAGAGGAAGTGATTGGAATTGTTAACTTTCTCTAATGATTTAGAAGACAAATTCTGGGTGAGCCGAGAATACCCCTCTTAGAGTTTATTAATTGGTTCTAATAAGATATATAGGCTATTTCAGGTAGAGACTAATAATTCTGTTGGGAACTACTATCTCCTGAGGTATGGGTAGAGGTTGTGGGGGTCAACCAAGCAAATCAAAACTAACAACCAATTTACAAGGAAATGTTCAATCTACTTAACAATATGATCTTTAAAATAATGCTTAACTATAAATTTGCATTAAAAAATGCAAATGTTTTTGAGACAGATTTGGGTAGATTTTATTTAGCACTCTTGTTTGTGTTATTCTGGTCTTGAGAGTAAAAAATAAAAGAAATAAAACGAGCCCATGTTCGCCTTCTGTTAGTCACCACCTCCTTTGTGTGCTCCTGGAAATCTCTTGTAAACACCTTCAGTCCCGGTTCTCTCATGGGTGCTGCCTTCAGCCAGGCCCTCCTCTCTCCCGGTCAAAGCATGGTTTTCAGACTTCTTTTTAAAAAATTACAGAATACTTTCTTCAAAGAAAATCTATAAGAAACTCCAGATTATAAATAAAAGAGAGCTGCTTTAGTTGGAGTAGGGCTGGGGGCTGGATCCCTGCTGGCTCACCCCCTGCCTCCCTCATTCATTCATTCATTCATTCATTCATTCATTCGATACATATTAACTGAAGCCCTAGCCTATCAACTTAGCTTCCTGATTGGGTCTCCTGGCTCCAGTTACATGTCTTTATAATCTACTATCCATTATGATAATAGAAATAATTTTTTAAGACTCAGCTCTGATCTGATCACTACCCTTTTCAGGAACATCCAATTGTCTCCTCGTCGTCTTCTGATTGATATTCTCCCTCCTTAGGCCCTTCAAAGTTTGGATCCAGCCTGCATTTCCCACCTCCCCTTCTGGTGCCACAATCTGTCTCCCCGAGACTTTCCCCAACACACCATAGACATTCATGTCCGCTTGCTTTTGATCATGCTGCTGTCTGCCTGGACTGCCCTACTTCCTCCTTTCCACTGTGCTAGTTTATTGTTTTTGTGTGTGTGGCTATTCCTTCCTCAGTGAAGCCTCCCCTGGCTACCAAAGTCCCTCTCCCTCAAACTCTGTATCGATTGTTAGATGCCATGTGTCTGGCTACCCAGCTGTTGCTCAAAGTTGGCCTCATATTTTTACTCATCTTGATATCTCCAGGATCTAATATCATCAATGTGTGGTTGATTAGGAGTAGCAAATTGGTTGTATTTCACAGGCCAATTCCTATGATTAGGTAGTAGTTGCCTGGAATGCTATCTTGAGAAAGACCCTGTCTGACCTAGACTCAGTGGGAAAGTCACTGATTGACTAGCAGTGTTGGCCACAGGAGCGTGAGAGTGAAGACGTGCTTTGCTATGCATCTGTCCTCCTGGCAGCAAATGCACAATAATGTTTTGCTGGTGAATACATGAGTGAATATATTTCTTTAAAATTATGAGATTTAGGCTTTAGTAGTTCAGACAACCTTTTGTTTCAGTTTAGTGAGCTTTTGCTGGTTCAATTTCCATAAGTGACATGAGTATTTCACCTTGAGCTCAAGTAGATGTTCTGGCAAATGTGGGTGCATCTTGAGCTGGGATGCAGCCCTGGGGGGCATCACTTTGTATGAGGTAGTTTGCAGGAGGGCTTCTGATGGTGGCCCCTGGGCAGGTTGGAGAGCTGATGTGGGATGCGGGAGAGAGAGAATGGAAAAGGGGCTGTACAGTGGTGACCCTATGGTGTCAGCCATATCTTACGTGCCGAAGGAGATGTTTTTATGAAAGGGTCAGTGAGACGTGAGCGTGCAAGTGGCGTTACTTTAGTACAAGAAGTAGAGTGAGACACAGAGTCAGGGAATGGGCTAATCACTGCTCAGTACTGTGAAGGGCCCAGGCTGGGTGTGTCTGGGCATGTGTATCCCCTGAAGAGTCAGCAGGGAACCACTATGCCCATGGGGCCTGGCGGGATGTGTATGACTGTGCACCCCTGGCAGAGTGGGGCCATGGCTGAGATGCTACCCAGTGAGAGACGGTGGGTGCCTGGCAGGCATGGTAGTCATGCCAGGAGTAGAAAAGGACTTGTTTGGGAGCATGAGTGAGTCACCTCTGGGGAATGTCAGTACCGGTTGTGGGACACTAATTTGGGGCAAGTCAGGAATGGATAAAAGCCTGTGTAATCCAAGTTAGTACTAGTGCTTTGACACCTTTTATTCCTACATTCTGATGAGATCTTAGGCATGACTTGGGTCAAATGGTTTAAGGAAAACAGTTCCCGAGGAAGACATTTATTTAGAAGAAGTTGTCAGGGCTACAGCATGCATATCCTTCTATTGCCTTTTGCAGTGAATTGAAATGATGTCATACAGTAAATGTTGTGTATCAGGGAATTTTGACTAGAGTAACTAATTAGGGAATCAGATTTAAGTAACACAGAGAACTGAAGCCCTGGCTGGTTCATCTCCCTGAGGCCTTTGCTGTGGAGTCAGCAGATGGATGTTTTTCAGGCAGTTTGTTCCCGTGCTCAGTTTGCAGTATGGGGAGGGGGTGAGGATTAGAGGATCGTCTCACAGTGGTGATTTCTGGAATGGCATATGGTTTGGGGTTCCCTGGGGGAAAAGAGTGGCCTATGTGCAAATCTTAAGTCAGATGTGGCCCCCGGCATCTGCCATGTCACCCAGCTAAGAATTGTTTGACATTTGCAGTAATGAAACCTTCATCCTGGATAGAGCAGGACTAGTTTTGTCCAACTGGCGAGATAACCTTGTATTTAAAATTGTAAAGCCCCGATTCTTGGGGTCCTCCCTGACTTTAGGACCCACATAATCAGGGCCCTCCTAGCCACCCAGTGGGGCAGTGCACAGGCTTCCTCCATTAGTTTGTCATGGGCAGAAATTCAGCTCCTCTCAGGTTGTTAAATGCAGATCACGAACCATCTGTTCCTTGTGTTTTCCCAGGTTGCAAACTTAATCCAGGGAAGACGGAATGTTTTGCAAACTCTGCAGCTATTAGTTTCCCTTCTGATCACACTTCAAGGTTGTGGGATGGTTTTCAAATGGTAAACTCTCCTTAAGCTGGAGTCATTGAAAATGTATGCTATCAGCAGTGTTCAGAGGAAACGTATTTCAACTGACCAAGCAAAAAGGCCTCTGGAAATCTCTTTGCCTCTGCTCTGTGATCCCATTGTCCTATTCTCCCTTCACAAAGAAAGAATTTAACCTTCAAGAAGGATAGTCTGGAAATGATCTCTGTCTCTTATCAACGACTTCACCAGATGCTGTCCTTGCCCCCTCCACTTGTTCAACGGCAGGGGATGCATTTTTTACGTGCATCTCAGGGTGCCAAGGAGGGTCCAGGACACTTTTGGTGTAAATAGAGAAGAGGCAGGGCCTGTCCCCCTCATTCCAGGCGGGGAGAGCTGCTTCAGGATGCTCTGATCGTTGGTCTCCTTTACACAGATGCCTCTTGACACTCTAGGAGAGGTACCTGAAGGCTCTCTGGGGCTGTGTTAGGAAGGAAATTGATCACGAACTCCCTGATGACTAGGGAGGCTGAACTGTTTGTATATGTACTGGCCATTTGGGCATTACCTTCTTCATGTTGCTTGTTAAGATCTTGCCTATTTTTCTATTGTTTGTTTTTCAGATAGCTCATCTTGAACAGGGCTGGACAACCATAGCCTGCTGGTTGGCTGCCTATTTGGGTAAATAATACTTTATTGGAACATGCCCATTAGCTTACGTATTGTCTGTGGCTTCTTTCTCTGGTGCTAGGGCAGGGTCAAGTATTGCGACAGAGGCTGTATGGTCTAAAATATTTACCATCTGGCCCTTTACAGAAAAAGTTTGCTGTCCCCTGCCTCAATGGTCCAACTCTTTCTAGTGATAAAACGACATAACTTACATCCACAAGAAGATAGCACTTCATACACCCAGCAGATTGTCATAGAGCATAAAGTGAGAAGAGAGAAACACCCAGACATACCAACAGAGAGACACACACAAGTACATTCCCTGCAGGATTGTTTGTCAGAATTTAAAAAGTGGGCAATTTTCACTAGGAAAATATGCTACAAATTTTTCTATATACATACACTGGAATACTTTTTTAAGATTTAACATGGTTATAAGCTTTCAAAACAAAGTTGAGCAAAAAAAAAAAAAGCAAGCTGCAGAGTGATACATACAATAATAGCACACTGTTTATATAAAATTTGAAAATATGCAAACTTAATCCACTATATTGAGATTAAGGATACACAATGAGCTAGACCACACTACAAAGACTGGTCCAGGCTGGCTCTGGAGGGCTGGCTGGGATGACTCCCACATTGGTTTACTGCTGGACCCGTGTGGAGGTGAGAGTGGGGAGTCATCTTGCTCGGACCTCCCTTGCTCCTCAGGGACGCATGCCCGAAGCTCTGTGGTCTCAACAGCCCTCATGGAGTGAAGAAATCCCTGACAGTAGGATCTCTTACCTGTGGGCCCACTGGCTTTCATACACTGACTGGGGGCCAATGTATTGTCATACAGGGATTTCTTGCTACACCACAGTTGTAAACACCCACATTTTATTTATTTGCCGAAGCACTGTAACTGCCCAATGGGTTCACCTTGCCCGCTGCCTACATAGAGCTGATTTATCAAGACAGGTGAATTGCAATGGAGAAAGAGTAATTCACACAGAGCCGGCTGTGTAGGAGACCGGAATTTTATTATTACTCAAATCAGTCTTCCCAAGCATTCAGGGATCAGAGTTTTTAAAGATAATTTGGTGGATAGGGGCTTAGGAAGAGCTGATTGTTCAGGTTAGGGGGTCGAAGTTAGGTTTTCTTAATGTCTTCTGTTCCTAGGTGCTATGGCAGCACTGATTGGGCCAGATTACCGATCTGGTTGGTGTCAGCTGATCCATCGAGTACCGGGTCTGCAAAATTTCTCAAGCACTGATCTTAGGCTTTACAATAGTGATGTTATCCCCAGGAGCAATTTGGGGAGGTTCAAACTCTTGGAGCCAGATTGCTGCATGACCCCTAAATTGTAATTTCTAATCTTGTAGCTAATTTGTTAGTCCTGCAAAGGCAGACTGGTCCCCAGGCAAGAAGGGCGTCTTTTCAGGATAGGGCTATTATCAGCTTTGTTTCAGAGCCAAACCATGAACTGAATTTCTCCCCAAAGTTAGTTCGGCCTATGCACAGGAATGAAGAAGGACAGCTTGAAGGTTAGAAGCAAGATGGAGTTGGTTAGGACTGATTTCTTTCACTGCCAATATTTCCTCAGTTATAATTTTGCAGAGGCAGTTTCAGCATCAGTCCTCTTCAAGATTCTGGTTCAATAGGCTTGACCATGTGTAAGATAATATATGTACAATATGTAAATAAATATTGAATTCAGAAGAGTAGTTATCTCTGGGAGGAAGAGAAAAGAAGGAGATCAAGAAGGCATCCCAGAGGGCAATAATTATACCTATAATGTTTTATTTCTTTAAAACATCTGACACAAATGTGACAAAATGTTACGATTTAAGTTGAGAGCAGGCAATGAGTAAGTCTATAGGGCAGAAGGAAGCTGGTGGGTAGAGGAGAATCAGGGTTTGTTGGTGGAAAATGAGAAACATCTATTTGGGGGAGAAGAGAATGGTGGGAGCTAGCACTCAATCTAGGTTGATATGTCTACTGCTCACTATTTGACAAATATTTGTTGAATGGAAAAATTCAACACGGTTTTATGGAGCATTAAATGCCAGACACTACAGGTGGGACACAGGGATGATACAGATCTTTTGTTTGTGTCTTCAAGGTACTTACGACCCCCTGAAAGAGAGTTTATGCCAACAACTGATGACCGTGCAAAGTAGAATGGGAACACTAGCACAAATGCAAGCATTAGCAAAGTACTGTGGGGAGCACCAGGGGAGAGACCACACACATGGGAGGAGGAGGATGGGATCAGAAGATTCTTTAAGCAAGAAGTGTGGACTCAACTCATGAGACAGGAAAGACTCTCTAAAGGAGGAGATAAGGAAAGGGTTCAACCCAGGGAATCCTGAGGGGGTTGAGCTAAGCACAGCCTGGGTGAAAAGGACATGGTATGCTGAGGGAGGACAGAAAGCAGAGCTGGAGGGGTGGAGAGAGACAGAGAGAGAGAGAGAGAGAGAGAGAGAGAGAGAGAGCAGCATCACAGAATGGAAATTAAGGCCAGATGGAAGGGGTTAAGAAGGCTCTGTTTACCTTTCGAGCTTTGACTTCCTTCCACAGACATGGGAAGCCTCTAATTGCTGGAGAGGTTGGGGAGTGCAGTGTGATCAGCCCTGCCAATCACCTGCCAACATGGGAGTGTGGAAGGAATAAGAAAGAATGGGAGGCAGGGAGGCCTGGGAGAAGGCTGTTGAAACATGTCCAGGTGACAAATGGTGCATGCCTCTGCTCAGAGGATGGCTCTGGAAATGGAGAGGTGGGGACACAAATGAGGACCCGTAGAGGTAAGAGGAGTGAGGTGTCACCATCACCCTGAAGGCCTCGCTCCTGGGAGGGGCCAGCCATCATGGCGGCTGGACTTCCACACAGCAATCAATGGCAGAGGTGGAAGCCCAGGTTTGTCTCTGTGTCTCTAGGCAATAAGGCAGCATTTTCCCCTGTGCCATGACCCCTCACATCTTCCCTCAGAGTCTGGTGCAGAGCTATTTTCTCAAGAAGCGCTTAGCAACCCAGGTTCAAAGAGCAGCAGGAAGAAAATGGATTACCTCAGAGACACTGAAGATTCTCCTTAGCTTTCAGCACTTGAGATGAAGAGACAAACTTCCAGAGCTATGAGGCCACCATCACCCAGTGACGGTGGGGCAGAGCTCCTCTGTCTGAACCTTGCCTTGACTGCCAAAGACACACGAGCAGCCTGGTGAAGCAGGAAGACCCCCAGAGAGACAGAGAGACTGGGTGGGTTGAGCTCTTTCTAGCTTTGTTCTCTTCTGCTGTGTGATTCTAGGCAAGACCTAATCTGGCCCTCCAGTTTTCTCATGGAGTGAAAGGGTGGAATCAGAGAAATCCTTTGTTAAAATGCTTTGGTTGGCCAGGCACAGTGGCTCACACCTGTAATCCCAGCACTTTGGGAGGGTGAGGTGGGCGGATCATGAGGTCAGGAGTTCGAGACCAGCCTGACCAACATGGTGAAACCCCAGCTCTACTAAAAACACAAAAATTAGCCAGGTGTGGTGACATATGCCTGTAGTCGCAATTACTCAGGAGGCTGAGGCAGGTGAATCGCTTGAATACGGGAGGCAGAGATTGCAGTGAGCCCAGATAGTGCCATTGCACTCCAGCCTGGGTGACAGACTGAGACCCCATCTCAAAAAAAAAAAAAAAAAAAAAAGAGAAGAAAAAATGCATTGGTTGCAAGCAACAAAAATGGACATTTATAAACTTAAGCCAAAAAAAAAAAAAAAAACAAAACAAAACCAAAAACAAGAGATCAATGATAGATTCCTATAATATTTAGTACTTCACAGAATTGAAGGGAAGACTGGAAAACTGGGTTTGAAAAAGGACCAGAACCAGGACAGCATCAGGGTCCAGTTGACAGGATTTATCATCAGTGGTCTGTTGGGGGACAGTGGTGGGCCCCTCTGGAAGGAATGAGCTCCCATTGCCTCCCCACTCCTCATTTTCCTCATTAACATTCCCAATCTAACTGGTCTAGCCCGCATCACATGCCACCCCTTGGGGAAGGTAGATAAGGGCTCACTGGTTGACATTTTTTTCCCAGCCACGCATAATGGGAAGAAAGGTGGTTCCCTAAGAAAACTGGGTGTTGCAACCCCAGGAAGATAAAACGTATGCTGACTGGCCAAAGTGCTTTTTGAGTTGGAGGTTTCTATGGAGCACTAAAGTCCAGTAACCTCTAGCATGCAGTGGGCCGTGGGCCATGGATGGAACCTCATAATTGTGGACCATAGACCCTTCCCTCTCTCCAGTTGGGTGGAAGGGTGGTGGGTAGTGAGGGGTGAACAGGAGAGGGGCTAGAGGAGGAATGGCCACAGCTTGAGGGATTCTGGGGGGATCTTTCTCGTCTCTACTGAGGGCACCTTCCTTGAATCAAGGGCTGCAGTCTCCGCGGAGGCATTGTGAAATTGCTCGCTGGATCTTTTTTCTTCCAAGGTCAGAGAATTAGAGGTCATTCCAAAAACTTTCCATGGAGTCCCTGCATCTGACAGCCTATACGAAGCTTGATGGGGAAAGGGGCCAAGGAGCTAATATTTTCAGAGGACTCTGGGGGAGGATCCCCCAGAAAAAGTCTTCAAATTCTTGGGAAAAAAAAGTTTTAACAAAATAACTAAAATTGGAGCCTATGACACATTGACAATTGGGAGCTGAGTTCTTTTGAGGACAAGCATGAAATCAAGAATTATTCACAGTTCTGAAGGGAAGAGTCTTTGTGGGCTTCCAAAGAAGCTTCAAGCCCAGGACTGAAATGAGGGCTCTGGTGCCAGGCACAGCTGAGGACATGCAGAGGGTCATTTTAATCACCACATGCCATTGATCCAGGCCTACAATTCCAAGGTTAGGCAGGGCAACATCATAACCTGAGTCCCACCCAACACTGTTTCTGAGGGATTCAAAAGACAGAGACTATTCAGGGCTGCTCAAACCTGGGAACAGACTCAAGCTAAGGCCTAAATTAGGAAATATGGTGGAGGAAACAGGTAGCAGGGTAGTGACTCCCAGTGTAGCTAAGAAGAAGGGGAGCAAGGATAGGACTGAAGAACTTCAATGCACCCACCCTGACCCCTCTACTCACCAGCAGAGGCCAAATGTGAAGCTACCATGGGATGTCACCATAGTGAAAAGGGATCCTGCAGGTTCTCTTCATCAGGTAAGGGGTAGATCTTCTTTACCCTCAATCAATAATTCTTTTTTTTTTTTTTTTTTTTTTTTGAGATGGAGTCTCACTCTGTCACCAGGCTGGAGTGTGGTGGCACGATCTCAGATCACTGCAACCTCCGTCTCCCGGGTTCAAGCAATTCTCCTGCTTCAGCCTCCCGTGTAGCTGGGACTACAGTCCCGCGTCACCACGCCCAGCTAATTTTTGTATTTTTAGTAGAGATGGGGTTTCACCATGTTAGCCAGGATGGTCTGGATCTCTTGACCTCGTGATCCGCCACCTCGGCCTCCCAAAGTGCTGGGATTACAGGCGTGAGCCACCGCACCCGGCCAATAATTCTTATGCACATCTTCACCCAACACATCATTCAACTTGGTGAAGAGACACTACATCTTGACCCAACACCCAAGGATGTCTTTGGACATGTCTAGGATCAGTCAGGATGAGAAGAGAGAACCCAATAGATGGGACTTGAAACTTGGTCCAGAGGAAAGAAGTAGAAAGAAGCCAGGAGGTGGGGTTAATGCTGTGGAAACAGTGAATAAACCCCATAATAAACCAAGTGACAGCTTGGCTGGCTGAGCACAAGAGCCCCATACTGCTAATCATACACCTACATTAACTCTGCTAAGTCCATCTATTTATGCAAACGTCTTTTGTAGACTGGTAGACTTCCTATAAGCCTTTTCCATCTTGCTGTTTTTCTGGTCTTTAGTTACAATGGCCTTATGTCATTTCATCTGTATTAATGTCCATGCCATTCATTTCTATCTGGGCCACTAGATTAGAAGCTCCTTGAGGTAGAGGATGCTGTCTCATTCATCCTGGTGTCCCCAGAATCTGGCATCATCCTGTCCATACTGTCAGACCTCAGTCATTGTGGCTGTGTTTGATGGAAAGCAGCAGGGACATGGGGCTCCTACAAAAGGCACTATCTTCTCCACCCGTGCTGAGTTAGAACCTAGGAAAGTTAGAACCTGGCATGCAGTGACGCTATCTTGGCTCACTGCAGCTTGAACCTCCACCTCCCAGGTTCAATCAATTCTTGTTGTCTCAGCCACCTGAGTAGCTGGGATTACAGGCATGCACTACCATGCCCAGCTAGTTTTTGTATGGTTAGTAGAGATAGGGTTTCACCATATTGGCCAGGCTGGTCTTGATATCCTGGCCTCAAGTGATCCACCTACCTCGGCCTCCCAAAGTGCTGGGATTACAGGCAGGAGCCACTGTGCCCAGCCCAGCTAATTTTTTAAATATTTTGTAGAGATGAGGTCTTGCTATGTTGACCAGGCTGGTGTCAAACTCCTGGCCTCAGTGATCCTCCTGTCTTGGCCTCCCAAGGGGCTGGGATTACAGGGGTGAGTCACTGCACCCAGCACATCTTTGCTAATCTTGAGTGCACATGCAGTGAAGTCCTGAGGAGACTGGGTAGGCCACTGTCCTAGACATGTCCCTTAAGTGTCCTTAAGCCAACTCCAGTGACCAGCACCAATTCTTCCCTTGCTAGGGCATTATGCAAAACCAATTCTTGTTGGAAATAAGTAGGCCTTTGGCTGGGCTTGGAATTATTTATGGTTGCAGACATTCATTGTTGTAAGGTCTCAGTTGTCTTTTGACCACATGATGAAAACTATAGCCAACTCCTTACATGGTCCTCAATTGTGCAGGCTTCAGAAATGGAGCTCTATCTGAGCACCGTGACTCAGGTCCATGACCATCAAATGGTCTTCTGTCCTTCTAAGGAGGAGAGAGAGGTGTCTGCCCTAAACGTAGGCTTGTCAAGCAGCTCCAGAGCCTGCCTCAATTCTGGACATCTCAGCAACTGCCCCCCCTCCCTCCTAAACTACTGCACACGTTTATCTCTTGTTGACAAGCATCTGGCCAGAAAAGGCTCAGTAGTTATCAATGGGAATGAGGAAAAGCACTTTTCCATCCAAGCATTTCAAATTCAGCTGCTTTTGGACTATTGGCAAAGAAGCTTGGGATAACTTTGAGAACAAGTCCAGGAGGTTCAGCCCATCCCCTGAGTCACCATAAAGCTGTCCTCTTCCCCTCCAGGAGACAGTGCTGAAGATTGGCCTTTTGCTGACTGGCAATATGAACTGGACGTTTTAATGGGGGTAAAATGTAGTTTTGAGGAATAAATATTTCTTCCTCTTTATGAAAAAAGAAATGACATTTATTCTTGTCTAGAAGATAGATTTTCACCTTCATCCCTAATCCTGTGAATTCTCAGGCAGCTTCTTCCTGGCTGGAGCCTAATTAGGGATACAGTTGAAGACAGGCTTTGCTTGCACCCTGACTTGGTTGAGCCCTGGGGCTGGTCATTCGGTTCGTAGGGCTGTGCAGAGACAGGCATTAGCTGATGGGCAGTGCTTGAGCAGTCATGGAAAGTGTATACACCTAAATGTCTATGGCGATTCTCTCTAGGAGGTGGCTTGCTGAGGGATATTTAATTCTTTTTTACATTTTTCTGTGTCAACTGAATTTTTGGACAATAAGCATGGATTATTTAACAATCAGAAAAATTATACAGTCATTTTTAGGAAAGCCCAGCGAGGCAGGACCCTTTTGTGTTTTCCAAATACATCCTGTTTAAGGTAGCTCACTCCCCCTCCTGTTCCTTCATTCCCTCAGTGACCCCCCTGGGCCTCAGGTCCCACCCCTCTGCAGAGCACTCCTGATGACCCACGCTGGTATTCTTCCCTCTCATCAAGCTCAGCAACGCCCTCGGACCACAACCAGCCCATATTCTTGTGTCAATCTCTTTATAATTTTTATAACTGATTTTAGTATTCTTGAATAATTTATGTCCAAACACTCCAGTGACAACGTGAATAAATTCTCCTTGGAAAAGTAAAATCACCCCTAGTCTTCTCTCTTCCTTCCCAGAGTTAAATCACTATTACCGGTTGGTGTGTTTCTTTCCAGATATTTTTGTTATGCACTTACTCATATGCACTCATAGATACTATATAGTGTTTACTTTTGCTTTCTTTTCTGTTTTCATTAATAGTGTCATATTTTCAGGCTCTGCAATCTTCCTTCTTTGCTCAATAATGTATCTTGAAGACCTATCCATTCAGTGTCTTTTTCTTTTTAATGTGGCACAGTATTCTAAAGCATATTCAGTAATTCCCTGTTGTTGGATATCTTGATTGTTTCCTGTCTTTTATTGTTACAAGCTGTGAACATCTTGGGCATGCCTCCTTGTGGATAAGGATGAGTATATTTTGGGAATAGTTACTGACAAGTGAAACTGCTGGGTCAGGTGCTATGCAAAATTTTTAATTTTGTTTTAGACACTACCAGATTGGTCTCCAAAGTGGCTATACTAACATACATTTCCACTGGGATTGTGTGAGCATACCCGTTTCCTCACACCCTGGCCATATCAAAATAGTATCAAATGTTTAAATTATTGCCAATCTGATGGGTATACATATTATTGTTTTAATTTTTTCCATGAATATCAGTGAGACTCAGCATGGTTTCTTAAGTTTATTTGTATTTTCTCATATGTAAATTGCCTATTCATATTTTTCTTGATTTTTCTTTTTTTGGAGGGGAGGTTTAGGAGCCATTACCTTATGTTCTAGGTAATAATCCATAGTCATTTATATGCATTGCTAAAATTTTCCCGCAGGCTTTGCCTTGTTTTTTAACTTTGTGAATAATGTATTTTCTGGTACAGAAGTGTGTGTGTGTGTGTGTGTGTGTGTGTGTGTATGTGTGTGTTTTAATGGAGCCAAATTTATTCATCATTTCCTGTATGTATTCATTTCTATTTGCAGATTTGTGTATTTTTGTCTTTTTTTCTCAACTTTCCATGCCTGCTATACCTCACTAATCTTGTTTTTGTCTTTTAAGAGACAGGGTCTTGCTCTGTGGCCCAGGCTGGAGTATAGTGATAACTCACAGCTCTTTGTAACCTTGAACTCCTGGGCTCAAGCAATCCTCATACTTCAGCTTCCAGAGTAGCTAGGACTACAGGCATGTACCACCATGCCTGGCTAATTCTTTATTTTTATTTTATTATATTTTATTTTATTTATTTAGAGACAGAGTCTCACTCTGTCGCCCAGGCTGGAGTACAGTGGCACAATCTTGACTCACTGCAACCTCCACCTCCTGGGTTCAAGTGATTCTCCTGCCTCAGCCTCCCAAGTAACTGGGATTACAGGTGTCTACCACCATACCCAGCTAATTTTTGTATTTTTAGTAGAGATAGGGTTTCACCATATTGGCCAGGCTGGTCTTGAACCCCTGGCCTTAAGTGATCCGCCTACCTCAGCCTCCCAAAGTGCTGGGATTACAGGCATGAGCCACTGTGCCCAGCCCAGCTAATTTTTTAAATATTTTGTAGAGATGAGGTCTTGCTATGTTGACCAGGCTGGTGTCAAACTCCTGGCCTCAGCGATCCTCCTGTCTTGAACTCCCAAAGGGTTGGGATTACAGGGGTGAGTCACCGCACCCAGCACGTCCTTGCTAATCTTGGAGTGCACATGCAGTGAGGTCCTGAGCAGACTGGGTAGCCCACTGTCCTAGACATGTCCCTTAAACGTCTTTAAGCCAACTCCAGTGACCAGCACCAATTCTTCCCTTGCTAGGGCATTATGCAAAACCAATTCTTGTTGGAAATAAGTAGGCCTTTGGCTGGGTTTGGAATTATTTATGGTTGTAGACATTTATTATTGTAAGGTCTTAGTTTTCTCTCTCTCTCTTTTTTTTTTTTTAAGGCAGAGTCTCACTCTGTCACCCAAGCTGGGGTGCAGTGGCTCAATCTCGGCTCACTGCAGCCTCTGCCACCTGAGTTTAACTGATTCTCGTGCCTCAGCCTCCTGAGTAGCTGGAACTGCAGGCACATGCCACCATGCTCGGCTAATTTTTTTGTATTTCTAGTAGAGACGGGGTTTCACCATGTTGCCCAGGCAGGTCTCTAATTCCTGGCCTCAAGCGATTCACCCACCTTGGCCTCCCAGAGTGCTGGGATTACAGGCTTGAGCCACTGTGCCCGGGCAGGTCTTAGTTACCTTTAACTGTCCATTCTAGAAAAAAAACTTTACTATTATTAATCAAGCACATATGGAGTCCAGGGATAGGAGAGAAAAAGAGCTCTTTACTTCCCATTGAGTCAATCAGTCAACAAATATTTGTTAAGTGCCTACCATGTGTCAGATACTTGGCTCTGTGTTAGAATTAAAGCAAAGATCCCTGTCCTTGTGGAACAGACATTCTAGCTACAGATCTCTCTCATTTGTCTCAGTGAATTGGCATCGAATCTCTCCTGGACAGACACCTGGGAACCCCTGGTCGCCCTGTCTTACTTCTATCTGTGGTCTGTGGGCCAAGTTCTCTATTGTCCAAGGTCCTGGTTCTCAGGGATCACATCTTCGGAGATGTTACTGAGATTGTTTATATTTTCCCTCGATGGATCAGAATATTGAGAGCAGCTTTAGCTTCTTCAGGTGCCTCCAAGCAAAACAACTAAAGGCAAACCAACCTTTCCATTAATTACTAGTCTCCCTGTTTCCACTCTCTCCCCCTTCAATTACTCTTAACACGGCAGCAAGCAAGAAAGCCTTTTTTTTTTTTTTTTTTAAAGACATTCTGAGACATGGAGTCTTGCTCTGTCACCCAGGCTGGAGTGCAGTGGCACAATCTTGGCTCACAGCAACCTCCACCTCCTGGGTTCAAGCGATTCTCCTGCCTAAGCTTCCCAAGTAGCTGGGACTACAGGCGTGTACCACCACATCCAGCTAATTTTTGTATTTTTTTAGTAGAGACGGGGTTTCACTATATATTGGCCAGGCTGGTCTTGAACTCCTGACCTCAAGTGATCTGCCCACCTCGGCCTCCCAAAGTGCTGGGATTACAGGCGTGAGCCACCTCGCCCGGCCAAGAGAACCTTTTGAAATGTACATCAGATCCTGTCACTCGGCCCAAAACCCTACCCAGCATAAGCCAGTGCCACCCAGTTTCCTCTCTGAACTCGCCACCTTTTCCTCTCGTCCATGTCCATGCTGTTCTAGCCACCATAGCCAACGAGCTGCTCTGTGAACATTCCAGTCACCATCCTTGGAGTCACGCCTCCAAGCCTGTGCACTTGCTATTCTCTCTGCCTGGAGTTCTTTCCTTAATGATAGCTGCATAATTTATTCCCTCCCTTCGTTTGACTTTGCTCAGCTGTCACCCTCTCAGTGACACAGTCCTAACAACAATTGTGGGTTGAATGTGTCCCCCTCACCCGCCAAAAGATGTGTCAAAGTCCTAATACCCAGTACCTATAAATATGAAAATAGGGTCTTTAGCCAGGAGCAGTGGCTCAGGCCTGTAATCCCAGCAGTTTGGGAGGCCAAGGTGGGCAGATCACCTGAGGTCAAGAGTTCAAGACCAGCCTGGCCCACATGATAAAATACCATCTCTACTAAAAATACCAAAATTAGCCAGAGATGGTGATGCATACCTGTAATCCCACCTACTCGGGAGGCTGAGGCACAAACCCGGGAGGTGTAGGTTGCAGTGAGCCCAGATCGTGCCACTGCTCCAGTCTGGGTGACAGAGCAAGACTCTGTCTCAAAAAAAAAAAAAAAAAAAATAGGGTCTTTGGAGATGTAATTAAGTTGAAGTCATTGGATTAGGGTGAGCCCTAAATCTAATGACTGGTATCCTTCTAAAAAGGGGGAAATTTGGACACAGACACAAAGGGATGAAGGCCATGTGACAGTGGAGGCAGAGACTGGAGTTACTCTGTCAACAAGCCAAGAACATCTAGGGCTACTGCAACCTCCAGAAGCTAGAGGAGGCAGAGAAGGATTCTCCCCTAGAGGTTCTGGAGGGAGCATGGCCCTTGAACACTGTCATTTCTGACTTCTAGCTTCCAGAACTGTGAGAGAATACATTTCCGTGGTTTTAAAGCCACCCTGTTGGTGGTACTTTAAGGCACCCCTAGGAAATGAATATACCATCTATGGAAAACAGGGAACCTCCAACCTCAGTGCTCTCTACCCCTTTCCTGATTTATTTTGTTCCCAACATTTATCATTTAAAACATACCATATAACATACCTTTTAATTTCTCTTTTGCCTATATTCCCCAATAGAATGGAAACTCCGTAAGTTGGGAAGCTGAATCCCAAGTGCCTATAGCAAGGCTAGGCGTATGGCAGGCACTCAACACATATTGGCTGTGGATGAGGTTGCTTCTCTTTTAGCATCACTCTGGTGGATACAATGTTAACAGCATCACTCGCTTTTCTCTGCCTTACCAGAAACCTCTTCTGTTATCTGGGTTTGGTAAAGAAAATGTGCCGGAGAGAAATTGAGTAAATGCTCTGCTTCCTGGGAAGGGTCCTGGCAGGTGGAGAGAAGGCCCATCTTGACACAGTGCTAAATTGTCTCTCTTTATAGCCCATCTGATTCAGAGTATGAATTTTGGATGGATTTGTAGATATCAGAAAAAAGATATCCCAATGTGTGGAAACCTCCAGCCTAGTCGTTTGCACTAAGTCTTTAAACATGTCTTGATACTATTCTGAACTCTGACATGTGAAGATACATTGAAGCCACTATATTTTCAACATGAATTCATTGAGCCCTGAGGTTCTAACGGGGTGGACCAGCACTGCAATGGGCCAGGCATCTTGTCATGGCTCAGCCACCTACCAGGTGAGGGATTGCATTTGATTTTGCCTTTGCCTCTGTGGGGGTTTCCTACTACTTCCCTATTTTCCACAAGCTTTTGGAATGTTCTGAAAAAACAAAAAGGTTTAAAAAAAAAAAACAAGTTTTGGTTTTAAAACAAGTTTTGGTTTTGACTTTAATGTCCTCTAGCAGTATCTATCTATCTAACAACAGATACTTTGAGGTACAGTCATTCAAAGTAGTACTAAGCAGTGGTTATAGATTACTAGACCCTATATATACTGACATGGGAAGAGATAATAAAAAGTTCAAAAAAGTGTGTATTGTGTGACTCCATTTGTAGGGAAAACCAGCATCCCTGTGTGTGTGTGTGTGTGTGTGTGTGTGTGTACTTGCATAAAAACCACATACAAGGATAAATGCCAAACTGTAACAGTGTTGTTGTTGGAGTTTCTCATGGTTAGGGCAGGAGTGAATGATGAGAGATATTTTACTTATTATTGAGTACATTTCAATATTTTTCTATATTATTTGATGCTTACAGTAAAGACATACTATTCCATAGTTAGAAAAAACTAAAGATAATTTAAACATATTTTCTATAGCTTTGGATAAGTCACTTTCGTTTTTGGGAATGGCTGGAATAAATGTACCAAGGATCTAGAAGCAGCAACAGGTCCCTCTGGGTATTCCTGCCTGATCTTAGATCTATTCATTCTTATATTTTCAGTAGTTTCACAGAATCTGAATAAAAGGACTTATATAAAAGATATATTAAATTAACATTTTGTAGTGTTTTGTAGTTCACAAAGAGGTGTTTGTCTTTATTGGTTTATTATTTGATTTCCTTTTGTTAATGCTTTGAAATTATTTAATTTTCACAACAGTCTAGAGAGATAACTTCTAACATCTCCATTTTACGGATGTAAGGGAGAAAAAGTAATACCTTTTCTTCCCCCATTGCAAAGGTCATAGCTAACACTCCCATAATAAAAGTCAGATTAACTAGAGAAAAGCATAACAAACTTATTTAAACAAAGTTTTACATGACACAGAAACTTCAGAAATGAAGACCCAAAGGTCCAGGGAAAACTGTACACTTAGGTTTGGTGGAAAATGGACAGTTGTATAGAGATATGATTGGACTAGAAGAGTATGATCTAATGGTAATAAGCTGGGGGGAACCTAACAAATCCTGTTTGTTCAGAATCTTCTTGGCCTCCCTGTGTAGCAGACAGGCTATCCTCTGAGTATAAGGCAAGACACTTATCATATGAGGGGCTTACCACTCTACTTTCGGGGAAGGTAGGTCAAAGAAGTCCTTTATGGCCTGCTCTCACACAGAACGGTGGGGGACTATCAGAGTGATCTTTCTGCCCCTGCTGTTTTCTAAATTTCCAGGGTGCTGTATTTTGGGGTAGCCTTTTGTGAGCCCCGACACACATAGGAAACAGGCTCTGAGGGGCTAAATCACTTGCTCAGGATTATGGCGTACCTGGGGTCGTCTGTCCTGCTAACAGTGAATCCACCCTCTTTGGAAACTGGTTTGGGTCCATAGCAGCACTGTTTGTCCCATGTTGGGGCATCTTGGTGCAGGAGTGGAAACCTGGCCCAAGTGAAGCCAGTCAGATTTTTTTCCCCAGGAAACTGGATTTGAGACTGATAGTCATGATTCACATGCAGTTGGACCTATAATGCGTATGTCCAGGAGTTGTGAGGCCACAGTCTCCTGCCTGCCTGCCTGCCTGCCACAAGGGCAGGAGCTAGTGAAGAAGACCCAGAGGGAGGTGGTGACAAAAAGCCAAGAGCATGCCCTGCTCTTTCCTGTCATTTCCTGATAAGCTTCCTTCCTGAGGCTCAGCTGTGGTCCTACTCTTTTTTTTTTTAGACAGAGTCTCACTCTGTCGCCCAGGCTGGAGTGCAGTAGTACCATGTTGGCTCCTGGATTCAAGCAATTCTCCTGCCTCAGCCTCCCGAGTAGCTGGGACTACAGGTGCTCACCACCACGCCTGGCTAATTTTTGTATTTTTTAGTAGAGATAAGGTTTCACCATGTTGGCCAGGCTGGTCTTGAACTCCTGACCTCAGGTGATCTGCCCGCCTTGGCCTCCCAAAGTGCTGGGATCACAGGCATGAGGCACCACCCCGGCCTATGGTCCCACTCTTGGATCCCATGAGACACCCCCTTATCTTAACCTTGTTTGAGTTTGGCTACACTTACTAGAAATCAAAGAGACCCAAGACCCTGAGCCAGGAAGTGACAGAACCTGAGACCAAATCCAAATGGCGCATTGCTCCATGAGGCCCCGTGCCCTCCACGCTGTTCTCTCCACCCCTGGAGTAGCTTCTCCGCTCAACAATGCTGTCGCCCAGCCTCTAGGCACTCAAGGATTCTGCTGAGGGTGGTGGAAGGTGGAGAGGCAACCGTGCTGCTACAATAACACAGCTGTGGAAGACTGGCAACAGATGTGCTGCTTGATTCAGCTTTGTGTGTAAACACTTTGCAAATGTTGGTGTGTAGGGATGGGAAGGACACCTTTATTTCACAAAAACAGCAATAGAAGGCTGCATCTCCTCTCCATATCTTGAGGGATTGCAGGGAGGTGTTTGTGGTTGTTATTGGTGAATAATTATCCACAAACACTTCCATCACCTTATGCAAGCTTCATGGTTCTGCCTGTTAGGGGAGCACAGCGGGTGGCAGAGAAGTGAAAAAAAAAAAAGTGTAGTTTTTAAGACTTCTGTGCCTTCCCAAATTCAGATTCACATTTAATAGGAACCTAACAAGTGTAGCATGATTGATAGCTTTAATAGTCCCAATTCTGGCAGCACGTGGTGGCTTACGCCTGTAATTCTAGCACTTTGGGATGCCGAGGTGGGCGGATCACCTAAGGTCAGGAGTTCAAGACCAGCCTGACCAACATGGAGAAACCCCGTCTCTACTAAAAATACAAAATTAGCTGGGCGTGGTGGTGTATGCCTGTAATCCCAGCTACTCGGGAGGCTGAGGCAGGAGAATCGCTTGAACACAGGAGGCAGAAGTTGCGGTGAGCCAAGATTGCACTCCAGCCCGGGCAAGAAAAGTGAAACTCTGTCTCAAAAGAAAGAAAAAAAAAAATGGTCCCGATTCCTTACCCCTCCCTGTGTCTACCTCTTTTGCCTGGTAACTCCATAGCACCCCCTCCCTCTGTTCCTGGACCAAGTTATATGGCTTGCTTTAGTTGGTGGAATGTTAGCAAATGGGAGACTAGCAGAGGCTGGCAAGAGTGTCTGTGCCTTTGCACTCACTCCCTTGCTCCTCAGCAGTCATTACCAGAACATGCCCAAGCTAGCCTCAAGGAGCAAGACCTAGGGGCAGCAGAGCTGAGTCTTCTTAGTCGGAGCTGGGTGAGCAAGCTCAGCAGGGACCAGAAGGACCGCCCATCTGAGCCCAACTTAAATCACCTTGTCTGCAAACTTGTGAGCAAACCTGTGCCCACTGAGGTTTTGTGGTTGGTTGTTATGCAGTTGCTATCGTGGCAGTAGATACTGGATTCATATGGCTAAGAGTATATCTGCATTGGCCACTGTGAGACACACAAACAATAAAAAAGAAACACCTTTTTGTGATACATTGCTTGGGCAATTATCTTTAAGTATTCAAACAGTTTAGGCGGCCCACCAAGGAAATCAAATATAAAAGCAATTCCCCTATCAACCTGGCCTCATCATGATTCTGTAAGAAAGAGAACTTGCTAAATCCTCACTTTTCTCTAATATTGTAATGTATGGCAGAAGCATTCAGCTGCGCTTTGTGGTTGAGGTCCCTTTGCTTCCCTGGAGCTTAATTAGTCTTTTTGTAAACTTCATTTTCAAAGAATGCCAAATGGCTGCCTTCACCAAAGAAAACGATCAAAGGCAGGGTGAGGCATCCTCCAATCAAGCTCAGAGGACATCTGGGTGTTTGTGCCCTCTGGAGGGCCCAGGCCCATTAAGCCCACTGATAAATGGAACTCTAGGCCAGTGGTTTCTCAGACCCAAATTAGTAAAATATAAAAAACAAGTCGAGGCTGCACGCAGTGGCTCACGCCAGTAATCCCAGCACTTTGGTAGGCTGAGGTGGGCGGATCACTTGAGGTCAGGAGTTCAAGACCAGCCTGGCCAACATGACAAAACCCCCTCTCTACAAAAAATACAAAAATTAGCCAGGGGTGGTGGCGCATGCTTGTAATCTCAACTATTCAGGAGGATGAGACCTGAGAATCAGTTGAACCTGGGAGGCAGAGGTTGCAGTGAGCCGAGATCACACCCTACACTCTAGCCTGGGGGATAGAGTGAAACTCTATCTCAAAAACAACAACAACAAAAAACAAGTCAAGAGGGGACCTACATAGGGAGTCAACTTTTAATTTTGCCAAATGACAGATTAACTAAAAACAAAAACCAAAAGCCCCTCTGTCATATCTTTATCATAGCTGAACTTGTTGACCCCAAGTAAGTGATCAAAACATAATCTGGCTTTGGGAGGCTGAGGCGGGAGGATCATGAGGTCAGGAGTTTGAGACCAGCCTGGCCAATATGGTGAAATCCCGTCTCTACTAAAAATACAAAAATTAGCCCGGCATTGTGGCATGCCCCTGTAATCCCATCTACAGGAGGCTGAGGCAGGAGAATCAGTTGAACCTGGGAGGTGGAGGTTGCAGTGAGCCAAGATTGTGCTACTGCACTCCAGCCTGGGCGATGGAACGAGACTCTGTCTCAAAAAAACAAACAAACAAAAAAAAAGAGTTAAGAAAAAGAAAAAAGCATAACCTCAATTGTTTTTTTCCCAAAATGTGTTAGCAATTTCATTCTCTCTCTCTGTCTCTCCCTGTCCATCCATCCATCTACCTATCCTTTCATCCATCTATCCATCTATCTATCTATCCACATATAAATAATTATTCTTGTTTGTCTCACTTCACTTTAGACTTGTAAAAATTTCATCATGAATGAGTCACTACTCCCGCCTTCCCTCTTTGCTGGGTGCATATCCCTGCAGCACTAGTGTTGAAAGGTATATAATTTCATGGGCTCCTGGAAGAACCAGAAGACATAGCACACCCCTGCCTCAATGGAAGTCTGACATCTCCGTGTGGTGGTGGGTGGGGCAGGGAAGGGGGTGGACAAGGGGGAAATGCTAGCACCCTACTCACCATGATGAAGAATCAGCATGGGTTTGAGACGCACCTTATCCCAGGTGCTTGCCTGAAACATTCTCAAACAGCCCACACATTCCTCTTTTTCTCCCACCTACTCTCCAGTTTTCTCTTATCCATCTCCCCACTTCTTCCTGCTCCTACCAGTATAGTGATTCATAGAGCAGTATTTATACTAAATATGTTGTCATTAACAAATCCTCAACCATCTTGGTCTTTGCCTTTAAAATTCAGATATTAAAAATTATATATAGTCTGTTTGGAGAGACGGATAAGCCAAAATTATTTTCTGCAGTTGCAAAGCATGCAACTTCTATTCATCATCTTTATGTTTCTGTTATGTCAGTGGAGTGTGGTCATAATCCCAGACTGGTTACTGAATACACAAAATGATTTAACTTCTGAAGGGATTACCTCAACCCAGAGCTCCGGTTCTTATTAGCAAATGGGAAAAGCTGGAAATGCTAATAAGTGGGATAATTGAAATAGATTGGGACTCTCTCGGGTATTTGCAGGTGTGGAAATATGAACAATGTAATCATTTAATTGTAAGGAAACTGCTAAATAACTTCCACCCCAAATTACTGAGACTACGTAGATAGAGCTGGGGAGAGCTTGAAGGGAGAGCCAGAGAAGGCTGTGGATTTGGTGTGCTGTGGAAACTCAGGCAGGGTTTCACAATCCTCAAGCAGCTGGGGGCTGATGTGAATCAGAAAATGCCTCCACCCTACACCCTAGCACTATTGAGGGCTTGATTTCACACAACTCTTGAAATTGAAATCATGAGGAGAAAGACATCTCTTTTCTTTCTCTTTTTCCTTTTTTTTAAGGTCAGAATTAACATCAAAAGTTCACTTTGTTTAAAAATGGAAACAGTTCCAGTTTTGTTTAGTTTTTTTGTTTTTTTTTTAACAAGCAACCTTGAGTTGAGAGATTGTAATTGGCAGTCTTCCCACTCCTCCTCAAGCCCAGTTTGACCTATTTTAAAACCCTAATTTGCTTCTTTGGAGGCCAGGAGGCATAATATACAGGTGATTTTTTCCTGCTCAGTTTTCCCACCCATCTGCCAAGGTAGTACATGATGGAAGGAAGACAATCGCAAGTCTAGGCTCCCAGGCTGGGCTGGGAGTAGGAGAAACAGAAGAGGCATTAGCTCTGGCTGGCGCTGGTGGGGCAGGGCTGTGCAGCCAGGCCGAGGGAGCAGTAGCGAAGCTAAGCTGTCTGAGGTGAGATCTGGGTTAGGGGCATGGCAGCAATCTATAAAATATGTTAAAAGATTCCTGGAAATGGAATGGGATGGAGAAAATAGTATTTCCCATAGCTCTTTTTCAGGAAGAGAAATGGAACAATCACTTCATCAGCTGCTGGAGGGTAATTAAAGGGGAGATGTTGAGATAGTTAAGGGGCTTTTTCAAGTAAAACTTACACGAAGGGCTTATTGCCCGAGCAGAGGATGCAAGCTGAGGCCAGAGCTGAACTGCTTACACCCATAGATGAGAGGCAGAATGCCACCACCAGGAAGCCTCCATATTCACCAGTCTGCCACACAGAGCTGCTCATTAGTCTTCTTCTCTAAATAGATGTTGAATAAATCTTTCATTGATTTGAAGAGATTCCAAACCACTCAGGACCCACACAGGCCTGAGATGGCCTGGCTTGAAGTTCCGTGGTGGTGGGATGAGCAGAGACCACTGAATCCCCGGAATGGCTGTGAATTCAGAGATGGGATCTAAAGGGAGGGGATTAGTCTGTGACAAGTCAAAATAAGCTACAGAACAAGCTGTTCCAAGGGACAGGCTTAACACATCAAAGTCACATGCCAGTGGCCAGACCTCATGGACCTGAGAGCTGCCCCCTTTCTACAGGGGAGAAGCTTTAATTCATGTATGGGCACCCCAGGAGCTTCTCAGAGATTGTGATATTCTAGTTGGTTCACATAGATTGTGATGTGATGAGCTTAAACCTCTCCATCATTCCTCCAAAGTGCTCTGTCTGGACTCGCAGGGACTGCCCTCAGGTGAATAAGAGGGTTAGTTAAGAGCAGTCCACATTGTATGGAGAGACTTTTCTCCAATGACAGCACCTGGAAAATTTGGGCTGTTGTTCCTGGCTGAATTCACAATTAGGCAAAAGAGCAGACAATGAAGAATTAGTGACAACACCGTGAAGTCAGTGCCATGGTGGGGAAATCTCCGCCACCCTCTCCCTCATCCTCACCAGCATGGAGGGGCAGGGCTTTAAAACTCATTAAATAATCGGATGGAATACATGTTGTAAAAGAGTTAATTTGAATTTGGAAATGGCTCTTATCCACAGTACAAGGAGCAAGATGGCTTGGGTTGGGGCAGGCAGGGCAGGATGGCCGTGTTTGGCAGGAGCACACAGAAGAGAAGGGGGATCTTTGGAGAAAGGATAAGTGTGGTAATCGGTGTGGCAGGCCTTAAATGCCTGGCTAGAAGATCTAGTCTTCACCCTATACATGAATCGTCACTGACCGGTAACCTCCAAGGGCAAAAAGGATGTATAATTTGCATCTTTCAGTATCCAGCATCATGTGGGTGCGGCAAAGCCCATCAACTGCCCTCCGATATCTACTTTCTTTCCTTCTGCTTTAGTAATAAGACCAAGTTTCAGCAAGGCACCCGTAGAGACTCCATTTCCCAGCCTCCATGGCAGCGGGTTGAAGTCATGTGGCTAAGTCTGGCCAGTTGTAAGAGAAAGCAATGTGTACAACTTCCAGATCACATCCTTCAAAGGGAAGCAGCTCATCCTCTTTTCCTCCTTCCTGTAACCAGAACACAGACATGGTGGGGTGGAGCCGGCTCCCACCGTATGGGTGAGCATAACATCCCAGGGAGCAGTAGAGCAACCAGGAAAAGGAAGTCTGTGTCCCTGACTGGCCTCAGGAATAGTGTTCCCCTCCAAACCCTTGACCACCCCTTATCTGCAGACAGGCACGTGGGAAAGAATTGAACTTCTGTCATATTTGGGCTATGGTGTGGGGTGTTTTTGATACAGCAGTTTAATTTGTAACCATTACACTGGGGCTCAATATGGTTACCCAAATGCACTATTAAATCATTTTTGGAAATTCATAAAGGAAAAGTCAATAAATGGCTGTGTAAGTAAATGCAGACCAACCAAATGAGAAAAGCAAAGGTAATTTACTCAGAGCTTGCTATAGCAAGGGAATCAGCAACCATTACTTATGTTTGGGCAAAGACTCAAAGGCGGGAAGAGGAGTAGGAAAGCTTGAGAGTGGAAAAAAGGGAAAGCTTCAGGAATGATTGGAGGCTGTTGGCATGGCAAAACTGCAGGTAGGCCAACTACAAGTGAGGTATCCTATGCGGTTGGTTAGGGGCGCCTATTTGGCTTTCCCCGTTTGGTCCTGAGTTGGAAGCAGGGATAAAAATGAGAAAGCCTGTTGGTTATTCATCAAATCCTAGCCATTTGGGGCTTATTGTTACAGAGGTTATTGTTTAGCTTAGTGGATTACCACTTGAGATAGCAACGTGGCTTCCTATGAGGTTTGACCTACAGCAGGCTGGCTTCCTGGGCTGTTTATTGTAGATAAGGGGTGGATTCCTTGGGGAGGTTGCTGCAGGTTGGGGGTCAGAGTTCAATTTCTATATATGGTTTTGCCATTGTCCATTTGCCTCTGAAGTCTCTCATGGCTAATGAGAACAGTCCTAACACAGTGGCAAAACAGTGATGGTGGGGTAGTGTTTGAAAACAATCTCACCAGCACAGTAGAGTGAAAGTAAATAGAAGATTTCATTTATCCCTGCACTCTTGAGCTGCACTGAGAACCGGCCAAAACACAGTGGTAAGAAGAGAGGTCCCCAGGGCTCTATGACCCAGGCTGACCAGTGGCGGGATTTCTTTGGTGCTCACAGCCAAAGGGCATTTAGGATGTGAGTGGCTCCTGACACTTGCCTGAAAACAAGTGGCTGGTGGTCTCAGTGCTCTTGCATCCCCCAGGCTTGAGCTAGGGGACAGTGCTCCAGCCACTCTCCTTGTCCATCCTAAACCCCCAGAAGCTCAGCAAGCCTCAACACATACTTTGTGGATGTGACACACCAGTGGCCAATGAAGAAATGTGCTTTTCTTAGCACGAAGCCAGTCGTGAGCAGGAGGCTCCTGATTGTAGGCAGATGTCTGAATGGTACTCAGCTGGCAGGCCTGTGCTTGCTTTCAAATCTGCTTTCCATTCCAGTGGCATGTGGGATGAGGGACCCTCCTTCATGGAACTGAAGGCAACGTGCCAAGAGCTGGACGGCTGCTGCTTTCCTGGTTGGGTATCACCTCTCCTCCTGGTCATTAGCCATCAGCGTTTAAGTTCCTGCGCTTTGGTTCCCAAGAACACTGAGTATTGGTCTTTGCTGGAGATTATGCTGCTGTATGCTCTCTTCTCTAGGTGCTTACTCACCACCAGCACTGCAGGCCTTTTCTTCTCAGGATTCCTTGGGGCCCCAAGAACTTCAGGAAATCCCAAGAGAGTCTGGGCTCCGTTCTTTTCTGGGACAGAACCAGGAAGGGAGATGACTGTAGCTGGCTGTCCCACTGCAGGCTTTGGAGTTTCCAAAATGTAGTATTTCCAAAAAGGAACTCTTAGTTCCCTCCTAACGTCCTGCCCTCTTCCCTCAGCCTCTGCCATGTCTGCAGCTGGCATCACCATTCACTTGGTTGGTCAAGCCCCAAACCTAAGGCCAATCTTGAGTCACTCTTTTCCCTGATCTCCCCCATTAATAAGCCCCATCATGACCCCTTCAAAATACATATGGAAGAGATGTCCTTTTCTCTATCTGCACTGTCATCATTTCTTCCAACAGCCTCTAGCTAGTTCCTTGTACCCACACCCTTGCTCCCCTGCAATTCATTCTCTTAGATGGGACGAAGAATGATTCACTTAGGCTGTGTCTGCTCTGCATGGAATGTCCAAGGCTCAGTGTGAACCTTGGACATTCCAGCTTAGCCTCCACCTCCCTCACTCTGTTCCGTGCGCACTGGCTTTCTCTCCTTTTCTTAATGCATCAACATCTTTCCCCCTCTCAAGATCTTTCTTGGTGTGAAACATTTTTGCCTTTCCCATGGCTGGCTTCTACCCATTTTCCAGGTCTCATCTTAAGTTTCTTCTCTTCCTAGAAGTCTCTGATGACTCTGCCTAAATGAGGTTTCCTGCCCACTCTCTCCCTGTTTTGTTTGTTTTTTTCTCCACAGCAGGTTTGATGGTTGTTTAATTATTTGGGCTTATTGTTCATTGCTTATCTTATTGCGTAACTATACAATTTAGTTCACTATTGCCTTTCTAGGCCTGACAGAGTAGTGCTCTAT
This sequence comes from Homo sapiens, assembly GCF_000001405.40. Classification (NCBI taxonomy): domain Eukaryota; kingdom Metazoa; phylum Chordata; class Mammalia; order Primates; family Hominidae; genus Homo; species Homo sapiens. Next base: position 79,931,543 of record NC_000005.10, on the reverse strand, counting down.
AAAAATATATGCTCTATAATATAATAATTTGGATGGTGATGGATAGATGGATGGATCGTTAGATGTGTAGTCTTCTTGGGACTTCAGAAAACCAGACCAAATTTTTCATTAGGTCATTTGTGTGTATAATTCCCAGAGCAAACTCTGCCAGGCCTCAGTCTATACATAATTCCCACAGCAGAGTCAAACCAGGCCTCAGTCCATACACTCAGGCAGATGTCAGTTCAATTCAATAAATATTTGTGGAATACCTACAATGTCCTCGTCCCTGGCGCTACAACCATGGAGGAGGCAGGCAAGGAGCTTACAGGAAAGAGGAGTGGAAGAAAATGAAATACGCAACTGCAATCTAGAATAGCATACATATAATTATGATATGAGAAGTGGAGGGTACTGTCAGAGCACGTACAAGGAGCATCTGCATGTAGTCAAGGGAGTCAGGGAGAAGACAGGCTGCCCTCCTGAGCACTTTGATGGCACCTTGTCTCATCTTCCAAGTTTGAGAAGGTGGAATAATGAAAATTTGATTCTCAGAGAGTAGCTCCCCATGTTTGAGGCCTGTGATTAACCAGGCACTGCTCTAGGTACTCTGCATATCAGTCTGTTATCTCTACAACAATCCTGCCAGGTGGATAGAATTATCACATGACAAATGAGCAAACTGTAAAGTAAGTGCTATGCCCCAAAGCCACTGTTTTAGGACAGATTCCCTGGGAAATTGACTGCAATGGAAATCTGTGCATGGGAATGCTCTTAAAAAACACATCCTTGTGAGGGGCAGGCCAAGGGAGAGGTGAACAGAAAGGCAGGTGAAACAGTGGCCTCAGCTGATACCATGGGGTGCTCTGGATCTAGGGAAGCCTCTCAGAGTTGTTGTAAATTGAGGTAAGGGGGTGGGGCTTTGCACCCCGGATGAGCCAGTCATTGTCTACATACTGTCCCTGAAAGAAGGTAGCCCCCTTCTACTGATAGCTGTCCCTGGAGCAGGGTTCGACTGTTACCTCAGCCTCAGTTCTGACCTGGGCACCCACTGTAGCCACCCAGCTCCCACATGGCAGCTTGCACCTTGCAAGTTGAACTGTCCCAGGGTTGGGTCCTGGAACCTCTTCTCTTCCCTGCCTACCATAAGTCTTGATGATGCCATTGAGTTCCACAGTTTTAAATACCATTTAAATTTATATCCTCCATCTAGGCCTCTCTCATGTGCTTCAGACTCATACATGATTGTTTATTCATCATCTTCCTTTAATATTTCCAAAAACGAACTCCTGGTCCTCTCTCTGTCTCTCCCTACAACCAGTTCCTCCCACAGACTTCCTAGCTCAGTTAATGGCAGCTCCATTCTTCCAGCTGCTTAAGCTGAAAAACTTTGGGTCATTCTTGGTAATTCTTTTTCTCTGACCCCTCATTCAATCCATCAGAAAATTCTTCCAGATATTTTCCACAGCAGCTGACCATTTCACTCAAGGTGAGTGCTGGCAGTGGCTTGATCACCTTTCATTGCCTCTATCAACTGTCTCCTGCCACTTGCAGGCCACCTGGCCCCCTCAAGACACATTGGCTTCTTTGTTCCCTGAACACTCCATGGATGCTCCCCACTCAGGGTCTTTGCATGGAGCCCTTCCCCTGCATATCTCCATAGCTCACTCCTTCACTTCCTTCAAGTCCTTGCTCAGTGAGCCTTCTCTGAGCACACCATTTACACTGCACTCTCCATTCTCCATCCCTGCTTAGTTTCATCCTTCGCACCCATCACCCTCTGACGCACTAGATCACCGAATCATTTATTTATTATCCATCTCCCCCCAACTGAAATGTAAATTTCCAGAAGGCAAGGACTTTCTGTTTGGCTCACCATTGTCTCTTCAGGGTGTAGAACAGTGCCTGGCACACAGTGGGCACACAGGAAATGTTGGTTGACTGACTGAAAGAAGCAGTAGGGAGGGCATTCAGAAGTACATCTGTCTTGTTCCAAAAGTATGTTCTTGCCACTACACCACCTGCCCCTTTCCTGGCAACTCAAACTCTTTCAGGACAGACATAATGCCTCTGAGAGTCTGAAAGCCAATTTTGGCCCTGCACCAGGTCACACAGTGTGGCCGACCAGGGTCCATATGTCAGAAGTGATTCTGGCCAGGCTTCAACGATCAGACCAAAATCATTACTCAGGGTGCTTTGTAGGAGAAAGTCTCGCCCCTAGCCACACCGTGACTGCAAAGTGATGGTGTCAGGGCTTCTGGAGCCCTCTCCGAGTGAGACAGGTGTGAGCTTCTGACTTGCTCAGTGATTTACAAGGCTTTCTGTGGTTGTTCAGGTTCATTGCTAAGTTGGGGAAATTTGAGCTACACACTTATGTAACAGCAATCAACCTTTTCATTCAAACAGGCCTGGCCTTCCCTTCTGCTCAGGCTTTTGACCAACTTATCCATATTCTAATGTTATTCAGAATTTATTGCTAAAGGAAATCTGGGGAAAAGGAGTTTGATGACATTTAATTTAATGAGAGCAACATGCAAGTGGGTCCTTTTTTATTTTTAAAGGGGCATTTTAGGAGCCAGAGATAGCATGGGGCAGGGGATAGGGCTGCATCTGGGAATTAGAAACCTGAGGCCAGGCTGGTCCTGGCTTTTCAATAAATTGCAGTATGACCTTGAGCAATTTATTCATTCTGTCTAAATTTCATTTCCTCCTACATAATGAAGAACATCAGACTAATTAGTGCTGGTAAGCTGGTGTGCTTTGGGTTGAATTCAGCTTGCACTTGATTTTTTTGGACCTCAGTAGTTTTTAAAATGGAATCTGAATACCTCTTAGAAGGGGTTCGAGGTTTCTATTTTACTATAGTCGGCACCACTCCTTGTTGTCTTACACCCAGCCAGACCCACACATCTGTGTTACCTGTCTGGCTTTGAAGGCTGCTAAATTTCTCTTCCAGTGATGAAAGTCTTTCTAATGGTTCTAAGAAATAGAATTCTTCCTGGAAGTCATGGTACCTAGCAGATGATGGTGTGAGAATCTAGCTTTTGGAGTCTAGAATGCAGAAACAGAGTTAATATGATCAATATCAACTTTGTTATATTTTAAGCTGTATTGATTTTGTTGCAATTCATTCCTTAAAGATCAGGCTTTGCACCTACAAGGTCTCTGAATTCAGTGGAATCTTTTTCATGATGTAAAGCAGTTGGAAACAACTTCCTTCAGTAAAGAGAGCCTGAGCTGATGTAGATATGCCCCCTCCCACGGCACATGTAAAGAAGTACTAGACAAAGTATAAACATTAAAAATGAGTTTGGGGAAAAAAGTAATTTCTTCCTTGGATGCCTGAAAGAGAGAAATGAAAACCAGTGCCATTCACATGAGTTGCTATGGGAGTTTTGGACACAGACATGGATCCTAGGGTGGCAGATACCCTCGCCCCTGTGCAAAGTACAGGTGCTGAATGGAGCCTTCTGCATGAGACTCAAAGAGCATTAGAAAGGAGCCCTTCTGTTCAAATGACTAAGGCAATGCAAGGAGAAATCAAAGTCATAAAAAAAAAAAAAGAACAGCACAATAAAAGGACTGCATGTTTAAAAAAGAACAGAGCTTTGCTTGATTTAAACCTCCTCTACTACATGAATATTCAAGTCCTCAAATGTCTCTGAGCCAGTTTATGAAGGGGTGAGTTTTTTTTCTAATTGACAAATAAAAATGATACATATATATGGATGGTAAACAACATGATGTTCTGAAATATGTATACCTTGTGGAGTGGCTAAAACATGCTAATTAATATATGCATTCGCTCATATACTTATGTATTTTTTTGTGGTGGGAACACTTAAAGTCTACTCTTTTAGCAATTTTCAAGTATACAACACATGTTCTTGACTATAGTCACCATGCTGTACAATAGATCTCTTGAACTTATTCCTCCTAACTGAAATTTTATACCCTTTGACTGATCTCTCCCCAACCCCCCTCCATGAATTTATTTTTATAGGCCAATAAAGTGAATATTGATCACTCAGATTTTGAGATTTCAGATCCTAACGGATTATCTCAACATTGAACATTTATTAACTGCCTATGTCATGGCAGGTACCAATAGTCCCACCCTCTAGGTCTTTCACAACCAGCTGGCCTTAGGAAGTGACATGGCCAGGCTGGCCCCTCTGCATGTTCCTAATACCACCTTGATGCCCAGGACTGGCCATGAGAATCTGCCCTATCATGAGAAAGACTGACCACATTTTCCACTTCCAGCCCAGTGTAGCTGTGGCAAAGTCCAAATGGAAACATTACTGTCTTTTTTTAATGGGATAATTTTTTTAAAAAAGATTCCTAATATCATGAACTATTTTATGGGTGGCAGGGGAAGGGACTTGAGGGAGGTATTCTTAGTATAACTCTTCTCCATGAGTATATGTTGAATTAAATTATAACTCAGTGTTTGTGCTGCCCTATCTGTGCTGTGTTATACCAAGATATTCTAAGACATTCAGGATAAGAAGAGGTTTGGCAGGAACTAAAGGCATTTATAATGGGAAAAACAGAACATTTTCTTTTCTTGAGGATAGAATTTCATCATGTATTCTCCAAATCAGATTTTATGACATGTGCCCTTTAATTGTATTCCAGTTCTTTTTTAAGGGGGAGGGGTAGGGATGAAGCATAGATATAGCTCCTTGTCTTATTCTTAGCAAAGATGCCCATCCCCTTGGAATCAACAACATTTGTACTTCAAACCCAGACAACACCACTGTCTCCCACAAGGTATAATACGTTTAACAATAGGGTCACCGAAGGTCATCTCTTGAAGGGTTTCTACTTTGTAAATGGAGACAATATTCCCAGCAGCCCACTGTTCACCTCTCTGGATTCCTCCTTTTTTCCTGAAGGAAAGTAGGGGGAAAGAAGTGGAAGACAGCCTGGAAAGGCCAGAGTCTTCTGGGAATGCATGGCATAGGTATCAAGGATAAAGCTGTTTTATTCATTTCAACTACCTTTGTCACCAATGCCAATTGTCCCAGGCTATGGGATCTGTGTGGTTAGCGGGGCAGGAAGGGAAGGATTGGAAAGTTGAAATCTGTTCCTCTGGCCAGCCTAGGTTTTCTGTTCCAAGCAGGGGAAGAGCTATCTTATTTTCTAAAATCCTTAATGGTGTGATAATTTTCATATTCTGATGTGTATGAGTTGCCTACTACTGTTCGGTTTCTGAAGTTGATGTTATTTTTCTGACCCCGTTAAGACAACTGGGCTTCACGTTACTCATTTTAGCCTTTAATGCACGGAAAACACATTGTCACTATGTTTTATGAAGCACATGAGTCCTAACCTCTGCCCCTCACACCCACCACCTTGCCCTTACTACATTCTCTCACCCCAGTCCACTTTGGTCACTGTTTGGAATGGAAGTTAGACTTCATGAAATGCATTCTTCTCACCGAGTCACAAAGCATTAAAATAGAAGTTTTCTTTCCTTGTTGGGCCGTTTTCAAAGGGGAAACTTTTTAAGTAGTCCTTCTACAGAAGTCACCAAAAAGATAGAAAACAGGAAATTAAATGAATTACTAAGAAAGTCTGCATATGATTCTAATTTTATTCTTCCAACTAATGAAGATAATATGCCCTGAATATAACATAATGCTATTAAAGCAATAAAATAGCGTGCAATAGTCACATTTCTGCCTGTAATTGGTTTAGTATCAGAATTTATATTGTAAATATTCTTTTTTTTTTTCTCTCAACACTTGCGGGGAAAATGACATTTGTTTCTCTTACAAAGAGAAACCAAGCATTTGTATTTTGTTTCTATCACTGGAACAAGCTTTCGAAAAGTTTCTTGTGACCTTGTTGAATAGATTATCTATTTCTGATTCTTAGGATAAAATGTACAAAATAGCAAGAACAAATAGAAATCTGTTTTGACCAGATCATATTGATCAAAATGCTGCTGTTTGATCCAAACACACTGTGGTTTTCCAAAGCTACAGGCACAAAAACAAGCAAACGAACAATGACGACAACAACACAGTAATAACAATACCCCAACATATAATAGATCTCTATGGGAGGAGCTTTGATTTGTGGTAAATACAAGCTCCCCATGCTCCCTGCAAAAAAAAATAGGAAATGATGAAAGCCAGCATCCTGGGGTAACTGACAGGCGACTGATCAACTCTGAGATCTCTGCTCCCCTGTGTAATTTCAGGGGTTGCCAAGGGTATTGCAAGTATCACCACGGAATGGAAACTCTTTAGACACTGGTATCTCTGTCTACATCAGGAGAAAAGTACTTTCTTCAAATATGGAAGCCCACATCAGTCTCCCCCATGTCTTTTAAAGCAAGCCCATTTATTAGTTTGTGTTACAGACTAAAAGGAGCCCAGCACCAGCCTGCAGCCAGCAGGCACATCTCTGCCTCCCAGTGGCTGGCTGCATGAACACAGAACTTGGGGTGGGTAGACAGTTGCTTTTTGCTATTACACTTAAGACACACATTACGGAGCATCCCCTAACAGGTGTTCTCCATTCCTAGAGCTCTCCTCGTAAGGAGCTGAATCAGTGTTGCTCCGGAATGGCCAGCCAAGATTAAATATGATCAGCTTCATTAAGGGGCTTTCTGAAAAAGAAGTTAACTTGGTTTTGCCAATTCTGGTCACCAGAACCTTGACTAACAGTGGTTGGTTGGGGACCATTCAGTCTAGGGTTCTTTCCACCAAGTCTATGTTCTTTTAACTAAGGACTTAATAACCAAAATAATTGAGACTAATTGTGTCTACCAGTAGGAAGGAGAAATGTGTATAGTTTTTCTAAATTATTAAACTAGCTTGCATGGTAGAATGCTATGTAGCAATGAAAAATTGTGTTGTTGGCCTGGCGCAGTGGCTTACATCTGTAATCCCAGGACTTTGGGAGGCCAAGGCGGGAGGATTGCTTGAGACCAGGAGTTTGAGACCAGCCTGGGCAGTATGGTGAGAACCCAACCTCTCTACAAAAAACAGAGAGATGACCTGTAGTCCAAGCTACTTGGGAGGCTGAGGTAGGAGGATTGCTTGAGCCCAGGAGATCGAGCCCTCAGTGAGCCATGTTTGTGCCACTGCACTCCTGTTTGGTCAAGAGAGCAAGAACCCAGTCTCAAAAGAGAAAAAGAAAGAAACAAGAAAAATGATGTAGTAGATGATTTATTGACCTATAAAGATAGTCATGCTATACTATTGAGTGGAATATGCAATAGTAAGTACAGTATAATCCACTTTTTAAAAAAGGTAAATTATTTATATATTGTAATTCAATTTCTATTTAAAGCTCCCATTATCCTGACTGAAGCAAACTTCATCACAGTGAATCTATGATTTCTTCTCATTTCCTGGGATCACATCTAAGTTCCCAGACACTTACAGATCATACTGGCATGAGGCCAGGTTGGGGGATATCTGGTTTCCCATCATTAATCTATACAGACAGGTGTTGACTTGTCTTTATTCCAGCTTTGTCTTAGTTGTTGGGTCCACACGGGTTGTCTTCCTTATCATGACCACAAGGCTGCATCAGGTCAGCTCTCCTTTAGCTACTTCTATACATGGGAAACATTTGACTGATCCCTTAAGCATGCTGGGCTCCACAGAAACTCTGGGATGCTGGGTTAGACCCATTTCCCCAGGCACTCCATGTAGACATCTCTCTTCTACTTCCCCTCCAATACTGTTGTTGAAATTTCATTGCCATTCTAACAGTGTTGAGAGGTGGGGTCTTTAAGAAGTAATTAGGCCATGAGAGCTCCACCCTTTTGAATGGATTAATGCTATTATCTTGGGAGTGGGCTAGTTACTGTGAACGTTTGGCCTCCTTCCCTCTCTGTCTTGGGCACATGCTTGCCATTCCATTTTTTGCCATGGGATGATGATACAGCACAAAGGTCATTGCCAGATGCCAGTGCCATGCTGTTGGACTTCCCAGCCTCCAGAACCATGAGCCAAACAAACTTCTATTGCTTGTTTATAAATTATGCAGTCTCAGGTACTTTATTATAGCAACACAAAATGGATTAAGACATGGTGTTAAAGCATAATTCTCAAACTGTTAAGAAACATAATTCTCATACATATAGATGACAAGCTCATGAAGGAACCAGTAACAAAATAAGAGCTAGTTTGAAAAAAATTTGAGGAACAGGGATTACATGGCTAGTGGGGAAAGGAATATAGAAATAAGATTGCTAAATAGATACAAAACAAGTTAATGCTCTATAGAGTAAAAAAAACCACACGCACAAATGCAGGCATTGGAGTTATCTTCTCTACCAAGCTGCCTTCTCCTCCCTCAAAAATCACCACACCTTATCATTTTTCTACAAGTTCATCTCTGACTTTTCAGGATGAAGACATGTGTAGACCATGGTCAAAAGCACTTTCCCTGAGTGAATCAGATGACCCTTCACAGACTATTTAGAAATGGCATGCAGCCATTAGATTTGCCTTATTTCTAAGTTTTAGATACTTTTTCCTGCATAGTGTCATAAACTTTATGTCCTGGGTCCTTTAGGGTTTATATTTTTGAAATGTCAAAGCTAATATTTGATTCTTGCTCTCAGCTTTTCTGTCATAATAACTCTTCCTTCTTAAACCTAGGAAAGAATAATCTTAAACCAGAGCTGGTATACGCTCAGAATTCAACCGAAAGTCACAGGAACAAGCAGTACCAGACTCTTCTGGAACTGGGGGTGTTAATGGATTGACAGGCACAGTGAGTACCTGAAATAGGGAATTAAGTGACTGTATATTTTCTCAGTGCTGAATGTAGAAACTCCCAGCCCTTCCCTCACTCAGTGCCAGAATGATGACACTCAGACCTTTACCATCTTGGAAGGAGATAGAAAACTCTCTGGCTCATTTTGCCAGTCCAAAGGAAAGACCTAAGGTAGGTCTTCCCCAACAAATGGGTTACTCACATCACCCTACAGTAAAGTGTAGGTTTCTCAAGTTCAAACTACATACTCAGAGCTCCCAAGCAGACTTTCAGTTTTTGTGTTAGTCTGTTTTTGCGTTGCTATAAAGAAATACCTAAGACTGAGCAATTTATAAAGAAAAGAGGTTTATTGACTCATGGTTCTGAAGGATGTACATGAAGCATAGAGCTGGCATCTGATTCTAGTGAGGGCTTTGGGAAACTTGTAATCATGGTGGAAGATGAAGGGGAGCCAGCATGTCACCTTGTGAGAGCAGCAGGACGAGAGAGAAGGGAGAGGTCCCAGACTCATTTAAACAACCAGATCTTGTGTGAACTCAGAGCAAGAACCCACTCATCACCAGTGAGATGGCACTAAGCCATCCATGAGGAATCCACCCCTGTGATCCAATCACTTCCCACCAGTGATTCCAACAATGAGGATTGCATTACAACATGAGATTTGGAGGGGACACACATCCAAACCATGTCAGTCCTCAACTCTAAATCATAAGCAGTCAATTGAAGAATACTAGACTTCTAAGGAAAGTCCTTAATTTGGAAGATATAGATGCAAACAAACAAAAAGAGAAAAAGCAACTCAAAAAATGGGGAGAATACTTTTTATTTTATTTTAGATTCAGGGGGTGCATGTGCTTGTTTGTAACACAAGTATATTGCATACTGGTGGGGACTGGGCTTCTAGTGTACCCATTACCCAAATAGTGGACATTGTATCTGATAAGTAATTTGAATACTTAAAAAACAAACAATTTCCAGGAATGTCATCAGAGAGCTAAGAGAAGATACTGCATTCGTAAAATTAGAACAGGACATTATATGTGTCCAACCCCACCCTCACTCCTGGCAAAGGAACATTCAGAGAACCAAAGAGCTCCTGGAAATTAAAAAGGTGATAGCAAAATGAAGAAGAAAAGTCATTAGAAGGGATGGAAGATAAAGTAGAACCCCAGCAGAAATACACACACAAAAAAGGAGAAAATTTAAAGGATTAGTCTAGGAGATCCAAAAGCAAAAGAATAGAAATTCCAAAAAGAAAAAAAAAAGAAACTGAGAAAACAGAGGGGAGGGGAGAAAATTGCCAATGAAATGATTCAGGGAAAGTTCCCAGCCTGAAGCACATGATTTTCCAGATTGGACAGTGCATCATATGCCAGCACTAGAAGCCAGACAGTAATAAGCAGCACCTTTACCACCCTGAGCCAGCATTTCCAATCTTTCCTTACTAGCATTCAGTATAAGCACAGAATAGACACATTTTGAAACATGCAAGGCCTCAAAAAATTTACCTTCCATGCATCTTTTTTTCAGGACTCTAGAGGAGGATTGTTACACCAAAATAAAGGATTAAACTCAGACAGAGGAAGACTTGGTATAAAGGAAACTGGAAATCCAACACAGGAGAGAAACAAGGGGCTCTCCAGGATGATGGTAAAGCAAGATCCCAGGACATCCACTGGGCACTAGAGGCTGAGGGCCACCAGCCCAAAATACATTAGTGTGACCTGAGACAGGCCTGTTGCTCAGACTGTCACCCATTCCCTCCTACCCTCCAAACAAGAGATTAAAGCAAGAGAGAAGATGTGAAATCAAGAACACAGAGAATACAGCCATGAAAATGGCAAAGGGAATGGCAAGGATAACAACAGAGGGAAGTTCGAGATGACAATTGAACAGTGGCTTAGAAATATTTGATATTTCTCTGTGTACTTATTATTTTTCATAAGAGAAAAAGAAATTTAAAAAATATGGAAGGATATAAGACAAAATATTAACAGCCCATATCTCGGAGTGGTAGCATAATTGATCATTAACTTCTTTGTATGGTATATTTTCTGGGTTTTTAAAAAGATATAAAGTATCTGTGCAATTAAAAAAAAATGGTTTTTTAAAAATTTCCCAACATTTTTATTTTTTAAGTGTACAATTCAGTGGCTTTTTTTAGTATATTTACAAAGTTGTGCAACTATTACCAGTACCTAATTCCAGAACATTTATTTCTCTGCAGAAAGAAACCTGTACCCTTCAGCAGTCACTCCCCATTCCTCAGCCTAATCCCTGGAAACCATTAATCTACTTTCTGTCTCTATAGATTTGCCTCTTCTGGGTTTTTCATGTCAATAGAATCATATAACATATTGCTTTTGTGTCTGACTTCTTTCATGTGCCATGAAGTTTTCAAGGTTCCATCCATGTAATAGCCAGTATCAGTATGTTATTTTTAAAAAAATTAATACTATTGCACTGAATGGATATACCATATTTTGTTTATACACCATTAAGCAGTTGATGCATATTTAAATTATATTCAGTTTTTGGCTATTATGAATAATGCTGCTATGAACAAGTTTTTTGTATGGACATATGCTTTTCCATTTCTCTTGAGTTAATACTGAGCAGTAGAATTGCTGGACCATGTGCTACCTCTACGTTTAACTTTTTAAGGAATTGCCTATCTGTCTTCCAAAGAAGCTGCATCATTTTACATTCCCACCAGCAATGTTTTCAGGGTTCCAATTTCTCCACATTCTTGCCAACACTTATTAGAATCTGTCTGTTTTATTATAGCCATCCTAGTAGATGAGAAGTGGTATCCCATTGGGTTTTGGTTTAAAATTCCCTAATAACTAATGATGTTGAGCTTCTTTTCATGTATGTATTGGCCATTAGTGTGTATTCTTGGAGAAATTTCTATTCAAGTCATTTGCCCATTTTTTTATAAGTTTAGGGGTACAAGTGCAGGTTTGTCACATAGGTGAACTTGCATCATGGGGATTTGTTGCACAGATTATTTCATCACCCAGGTATTAAACCTAGTAGCCATTAGTTGATTTTCTTGATCCTCTCCCTCCTCCCACTCTCCATCCTCCAAAAGGCCCCAGTGTTGTTCCCCTCCATGTGTCCATGTGTTCTCATCATTAGCTCCCACTTATAAGTGAGAACATGAGGTGCTTGGTTTTATGTTCCTGTGTTAGTTTGCTAAAGATAACGGCCTCCAGCTCCATCCATGTCCCTGCAAAGGCCATGATCTTGTTCTTTTTAATGGCTGCATAGTATTCCATGGTGTATATGTACCAAATTTTCTTTATCCAGTATATCACTGATGGACATTTAGGTTGATTCCATATCTTTGCTATTGTGAATAGTGCTTCAATGAACATACACATGCATGTATCTTTATAATAGAATGATTTCCATTCCTTTGGGTATGTACCCAGTAATGGGATTGCTGGGTTGAATAGTATTTCTGTCTTTAGGTCTTTGAGGAATTGCAACACTGTCTTCCACAATGGCTGAACTAATTTACACTCCCACCAACAGTGTATAAGCATTCCTTTTTCTCCACAACCTCTCCAGCATCTGTTATTTTTTGACTTTTCAATAGCAGCCATTCTGACTGGTGTTAGATGGCATCTCGTTGCGGTTTTGATTTGCATTTCTCTAATGATCAGTGTTGTTGAGCCTTTTTTCATATGATTGTTGGCCACATGTATGTCTTCTTTTAAAAAGTGTTCATGTCATTTGTTCACTTTTCTAGGGGGACTTTTGTTTTTTTCTTGTAAATTTGTTTAAGTTCCTTATAGATGCCAGATATTAGGCCTTTTTCAGATACATAGCCTGCAAAATTTTCCCCCATTAGGTTGTCTGTTTACTCTGTTGGTAGTTTCTTTTGCTGTGCAGATACTCTGTAGTTTAGTTAGATTCCATTTGTCAATTTTTGCTTTTGTTGCAATTGCTTTTGGTGTCTTCATCATGAAATCTTTGCCTGTGCCTGTGTCCTGAATGGAACTTCCTACGTTGTCTTCCAGGGTTTTTATAGTTTTGGGTTTTATATTTAAGTCTTTAATCCATCTTGAGTTAATTTCTGTATATGGTGTAAAGAAAGGGTTCACTTTCAATCTTCTGCATGTGACTAGCCAGTTATCCCAGCACCATTTATTGAATAGGGAATCCTTTCCTCTCCTCATTGCTTTTTTTTTTTTTTTTTTGGTCAGGTTTCTCAAAGATCAGATAGTTGTAGGTGTGTGCTCTTATTTCTGGTTTCCCTGTCCTAGGGAAGTTGTGTCTGTTCTATGTGTCTGTTCTTGTACCATTGGCCTATGTGTCTGTTCTTGTACCAATACCATGCTGTTTTGGTTACTGTAGCCCTGTAGTATAGTTTGAAGTTGGGTCGTGTGATGCCTCCAGCTTTGTTCTTTTTGCTTAAGATTGCCTTGGCTATTCGGGCCCTTTTTTTGTTTCCATGTGAATTTTAAAATAGTATTTTCTAGTTCTGTGAAGAATGTCAATGGTAGCTTAACAGGAATAGCAGTGAATCTATAATTTGATTTGGCACTATGGCCATTTTAATGATACTGATTCTTGCTATCCACGAATATGCAATGTTTTCCATTTGTTTGTGTCACCTCTGATTTCTTTCAGCAGTGGTTTGTAGTTCTCCTTGTAGATATCTTTCCCCTCCCTAGTTAGCTGTATTCCTAGGTATTTTATTCTTTCTGTGGAAATTGTGCCTGGGAGTTTGTTTGTGATTTGGCTCTCAGCTTTACTGTTTTTGGTATATAGGAATGCTAGCAATTTTTGCACATTAGTTTTGTATCCTGAGACATTGCTGAAGTTGCTTATCAGCTTAAGAAGCTTTTGGGCTGACGATGGGTTTTTCTATACATAGGATCATGTCATCTGCAAGCAGGGATGGTTTAACCTCCTCTCTTCCTATCTAAATGCCTTTATTTCTTTCTCTTACCTGATTGCCCTTGCCAGAACTTCCAATACTATATTGAACAGGAGTGGTGAGAGAGGGCAGACTTGTCTTGTGCTGGTTTTCAAGGGGAATGTTTCCAGCTTTTGCCCATTCAGTGTGGTGTTGGCTGTGGGTTTGTCATATGTGACTCTTATTATTTTGAGGTATGTTCCTTCAATATCTCGTTTATTGAGAGTTTTTAACATGAAGGGATGTTGAATTCTATCGAAAGCCTTTTTTGCATCTATTGAGATAATCATGTGGTTTTTGTCTTTAGTTCTCTTTATGTGAGGAATCACATTTATTGATTTGTGTATGTTGAACCAACCTTGCATCCCAGGGATGAAGCCTATTTGATTGTGCTGGATAAGCTTTTTGACATCCTGCTGGACTCAGTTTGCCAGGATTTTAATGAGGATGTTTGCATCAATGTTCATCAAGGATATTGGCTTGAAGTTTTCTTTTTTGTTGAGTCTCTGCCAGGTTTTGGTATCAGCATGATGCTGGCCTCATAGAATGAATTAGGGAGGAATCCCTTCTTCCCAATTTTCAGGAATAGTTTCAGTAGGAATGATACTAGCTCTTCTTTGTACATCTGGTAGAATTCAGTTGTGAATCCATCTAGTCCTAGGCTTTTTTTGGTTGGCAGGCTATTTATTATTGCCTCAATTTCAGAACTCATTATTGGTCCATTTGCCCATTTTAAAAATTGAGTTGTGTTTTTACTATTGAGTTGTGAGAATTCTTTTTTATTATTATTATACTTAAAGTTCTGGGTTACATGTGCAGAACTTGCAGTTTTGTTACATAGGTATACACGTTCCATGGTGGTTTGCTGAACCCATCAGCCAGTCACCTACATTAGGTATTTCTCCTAATGTTATCCCTCCCCTAGCCCACTGCCTCCCACAGGCCCCAGTGTGTGATGTTCCCCTCCCTGTATCCATGTGTTCTTATTGTTCAGCTCCCACTTATAAGTGGGTACATGTGGTGTTTGGTTTTCTGATCTTGTGACAGTTTGCTGAGAATGATGGTTTCCAGCTTCATCCATGTCCCTGCAAAGGACATGAACTCCTCCTTTTTTATGGCTTCATAGTATTCAATGGTGTATATGTGCCACATTTTCTTTATCCAGTCTATCATTGATGGATATTTGGGTTGGTTCCAAGTCTTTGCTATTGTGAATAGTGCCACAATAAACATATGTATGCGTATGTCTTTATCACAGAATGATTTAGAATCCTTTGGGTATATGCCTAGTAATGGGATTGCTGAGTCAAATGGTATTTCTAGTTCTAGATCCTTGGGGAATCGCCACACTGTCTTCCACAATGGTTGAACTAATTTACACTCCCACCAACAGTGTAAAGGCATTCCTATTTTTCCACAACCTCTCCAGCATCTGTTGTTTCCTGACTTTTTAATGATCGCCATTCTAACTGGTGTGAGATGGTATCTCATTGTAGTTTTGATTTGCATTTCTCTAATGACCAGTGATGATGAGCATTTTTTCATATGCCTGTTGGCTGCATAAATGTCTTCTTTTGAGAAGTGTCTGTTCATATCCTTTGCCCATTTTTTGATGGAGTTGTTTGCTTTTTTCTTGTACATTTGTTTAAGTTCTTTGTAGATTATGGATATTAGCCCTTTGTCAGATGGATAGATTGGAAAAATGTTCTCCCATTCTGTAGGTTGCCTGTTCATGCTGAGGATAGTTTCTTTTGCTGTGCAGAAGCTCTTTAGTGTAATTAGATCCCATTTGTGAATTTTGGCTTTTGTTGTCATTGCTTTTGGTGTTTTAGACATGAAGTCTTTGCCCATGCCTATGTCCTGAATGGTATTGCCCAGGTTTTCTTCTAGGATTTTTATGGTCCTAGGTTTTACGTTTAAGTCTTTGATCCATCTTGAGTTGATTTTTGTATAAGGTGTAAGGAAGGAGTCCAGTTTCAGTTTTCTGCATATGGATAGCCAGTTTTCCCAACACCATTTATTAAATAGGGAATCTTTTCTCCATTGCTTGTGTGTGTCAGGTTTGTCGAAGATCAGATGGTGGTAAATGTGTGCTGTTATTTCTGAGGCCTCTGTTCTGCTCCATTGGTCTATATATCTGTTTTGGTACCAGTACCATGCTGTTTTGGTTACTGTAGCCTTGCAGTAAAGTTTGAAGTCAGGCAGTGTGATGCCTCCAGCTTTGTTCTTCTTGCCCAGGATTGTCTTGGCTATGTGGGCTCTTTTTTGGTTCCATATGAAGTTTAAAGTAGTTTTTTTCCAATTCTGTGAAGAAAGTCAGTGGTAGCTTGATGGGGATAGCATTGAATCTATATTTTGGGCAGTAAGGCCATTTTCACAATATTGATTCTTTCTGTCCATGAGCATGGAATGTTTTTCCATTTGTTTGTGTCCTCCCTTATTTCCTTGAGCAGTGGTTTGTAGTTCTCCTTGAAGAGATCCTTCTCATCCCTTGCAAGTTTTATTCCTAGGTATTTAATCCTCTTAGTAGCAACTGTGAATGGGAGTTCACTCATCATTTGGCTCTCTATTTGTCTATTATTGGTGTATAGGAATGCTTGTGAGTTTTGCATATTGATTTTGTATCCTGAGACTTTGCTGAAGTTGCTTATCAGCTTACAGAGATTTTGAGCTGAGATGATGGGGTTTTCTAAATATATAATCACGTCATCTGCAAACAGAGACAATGTGACTTCCTCTCTTCCTATCTGAATACCTTTATTGCTTTCTCTTATCTGATTGCCCTGGCCAGAACTTCCAATACTATGTTGAATAGGAGTGATGAGAGAAGGCATACTTGTCTTGTGCCGGTTTTCAAAGGGAATGCTTCCAGTTTTTGCCCATTCAGCATGATATTGGCTGTGGGTTTGTCATAAATAGCTCTTATTATTTTGATATATGTTCCATCGATAACTAGTTTTTTGAGAGTTTCTAGCATGAAAGGCTGTTGAATTTTGTCGAAGGTCTTTGCTGCATCTATTGAGATAATCATATGTTTCTTGTCATTGGTTCTGTTTATGTGATGGATTATGTTTATTGATTTGCATATGTTGAACCAGCCTGGCATCCCAGGGATAAAGCCAACTTGATGGTAGTGGATAAGTTTTTTGATGTGCTACTGGATTAGGTTTGCCAGCATTTTATTGAGGATTTTCACATCAATGTTCATCAGGGATATTGGTCTAAAATTTTCTTTTTTTGTTGTGTCTCTGCCAGGCTTTGGTATCAGGATGATGCTGGCCTCATAAAATGAGTTAGGGAGGATTCCCTCTTTCCTATTGATTGGAATAGTTTCAGAAGGAATGGTACCAGCTTCTCTTTGTATCTCTGGTAGAATTCGGCTGTGAATCCATCGGGTTCTGGACTTTTTATGGTTGGTAGGCTATTAATTATTCCCTCAATTTCAGAACCTGTTATTGATCTATTCAGAGATTCAACTTCTTCCTGGTTTAGTCTTGGGAGGGTGTTTGTGTCCAGGAATTTATCCATTTTTTCTAGATTTTCTAGTTTATTTGCATAGAGGTGTTTATAGTATTCTCTGACAGTAGTTTGTATTTCTGTGGGATCGGGGGTGATATCCCCTTTATCATTTTTTATTGCATCTATTTGATTTTTCTCTTTTTTCTTCTTTATTAGTCTGGCTAGTGGTCTATCTATTTTGTTGATCTTTTCAAAAAACCAGCTCCTGGATTCATTGATTTTTTGTGTCTCTATCTCCTTCAGTTCTGCTCTGATCTTAGCTATTTCTTGTCTTCTGCTAGCTTTTGAATTTGTTTGCTCTTGTTTCTCTAGTTCTTTTAATTGTGATGTTAGGGTGTCCATTTTAGATCTCTCCTGCTTTCTCTTGTGGGCATTTAGTACTATAATTTCCCTCTACACACTGCTATAAATGTGTCCTAGAGATTCTGGTACAGTGTGTCTTTGTTCTCATTGGTTTCGAAGAACATCTTTATTTCTGCCTTCATTTCATTATTTACCCAGTAGTCATTCAGGAGCAGGTTGTTCAGTTTCCATGTAGTACTGCGGTTTTGAGTGAGATTCTTAATCCTGAGTTCTAGTTTGATTGCACTGTGGTCTGACAGACAGTTTGTTGTGATTTCTGTTCTTTTACATTTGCTGAGGAGTGTTTAACTTTCAATTATGTGGTCAATTTTAGAATAAGTGAGATGTGGTGCTGAGACGAATGTATATTCTGTTGATTTGGGGTGTTCTGTAGATGTCTATTAGGCCCACTTGGTCCAGAGCTGAGTTCAAGTCCTGGATATCCCTGTTAATTTTCTGTCTCGTTGATCTAATATTGACAGTGGGGTGTTAAAGTCTCCCATTATTATTGTGTGGGAGTCTAAGTCTCTTTGTAGGTCTCTAAGGACTTGCTTTATGAATCTGGGTGCTCCTGTATTGGGTGCATATATATTTAGGATAGTTAGCTCTTCTTGTTGAATTGATCCCTTTACCATTATGTAATGGCCTTCTTTGTCTCTTTTGATCTTTGTTGGTTTAAAGTCTGTTTTATCAGAGACCAGGATTGCAACCCCTGGTTTTTTTTGCCTTCCATTTGCTTGGTAGATCTTCCTCCATCCCTTTATTTTGAGCCTATGCATGTCTTTGCACTTGAGATGGGTCTCCTGAATACAGCATGACGATAGGTCTTGACTTTTTATCCAACTTGCCAGTCTGTGTCTTTTAATTGGGGCATTTAGCCTGTTTACATTTAAGGTTAATATTGTTATGTGTGAATTTGATCCTGTCATTATGAGGCTAGCTGGTTATTTCGCCCATTAATTGATGCAGTTCCTTCCTAGCATCGATGGTCTTTACAATTTGGCATGTTTTTGCAGTGGCTGGTACCGGTTTTTCCTTTCTATGTTTAGTGCTTCCGCCAGGAGCTCTTGTAAGGCAAGCCCAGTGGTGACAAAATCTCTCAGCATTTGCTTGTCTGTAAAGGATTTTTATTTCTCCTTCGCTTATGAAGCTTAGTTTGGTTGGATATGAAATTCTGGGTTGAAAATTCTTTTCTTTAAGAATGTTGAATATTGGCCTCCACTCTCTTCTGGCCTGTAGGGTTTATGCAGAGAGATCCACTGTTAGTTTGATGGGGTTCCCTTTGTGTGTAACCCGACCTTTCTCTTTGGCTACCCTTAACATTTTTTCCTACATTTCAACCTTGGTGAATCTGATGATTATGTGTCTTGGGGTTGCTCTTCTCAAGGAGTATCTTTGTGATGTTGTGTATTTCCTGAATTTGAATGTTGGCCTGCCTTGCTAGGTTGGGGAAGTTCTCCTGGATAATATCCTGAAGAGTGTTTTCTAACTTGGTTCCATTCTCCCCATCACTTTCAGGTACACCAATCAAACACAGATTTTGTCTTTTCACATAGCCCCATATTTCTTGGAGGCTTTGTCCGTTTCTTTTCACTCTTTGTTCTCTAATCTTGTCTTCTCGCTTTATTTCATTAATTTGATCTTTAGTCACTGATATCCTTTCTTCTGCTGATTTAATCGGCTATTGAAGCTTGTGTATGCTTCACGCAGTTCTTGTACTGTGGTTTTCAGCACCATCAGGTCATTTAAGGTCTTCTCTACACTGTTTATTCTAGTTAGCCATTCGTCTAATCTTTTTTCGAGGTTTTTAGCTTCCTTGCGATAGGTCAGAACATGCTCCTTTAGCTCGGAGAAGTTTGTTATTACTGATCTTCTGAAGCCTACTTCTGTCAACTCATCAAACTCATTCTCCATCCAGTTTTGTTCGCTTGCTGGTGAGGACTTGTGTTCATTTGGAGGAGAAGAGGCATTCTGGTTTTTGGAATTTTCAGCCTTTCTGCTCTAGGTTCTCCCCATCTTTGTGGTTTTATCTTTGGTCTTTGATGTTGGTGACCTACAGATGGGGTTTTGGTGTGAATGTCCTTTTTCTTGATGTTGATGCTATTCCTTTCTGTTCGTTAGTTTTCCTTCTAACAGATAGGCCCTTCAGCTGCATGTCTGTTGGAGTTTGCTGGAGGTCCACTCCAGACCCTGTTTGCCTGGGAACAGCAAATATTGCTGCCTGATCCTTCCTCTGGAAGCTTTGTCCCAGAGGGGCACCCACCTGCATGAGGTGTCTGTCAGCCTCTACTGGGAGGTATCTCCCAGTCAGGCTACACGGGTGTCAGGGACCCACTTGATGGGGCAGTCTGTTTGTTATCGGAGCTCAAATGCCCTGCTAGGAGAACCACTGCTCTGTTGAGCTGTCAGGCAGGGACGTTTAAGCCTGGAGAAGCTGTCTGCTGCCTTTTGTTCAGATATGCCCTGCCTGCAGAGGTGGATTCTAGAGAGGCAGTAGGCCTTGCTGAGCTGCGGTGGGCTCCGTCCAGTTCCAGTTTCTCTGCTGCTTTGTTTACATTGTGAGCATAGAACCACCTACTCAAACCTCAGCAATGGCGGACACCCCTCCCCCCGCCAAGCTCCTGCATCCCAGGTTGATTTCAGACTGCTGTGTTAGCAGCAAGCAAGGCTCTATGGGCATGGGACCTGCTGAGCCAGGCACGGGAAGGGATCTCCTGATCTGCCGGTTGCGAAGATTGTGGGAAAAGCGCAGTATTTGGGTGTGAGTGTACAGCTCCTCCAGGTACAGTCACTCACGGCTTCCCTTGATTAGGAAAGGGAAATCCCCCGACCCCTTGCACTTCCAGGGTGAGGCAAGGCGACACCTTGCCCTGCTTTGGCTAGCCCTCTGTGGGCTGCACCCTCTATCCAACCAGTCCCAATGAGATGAACCAGGTATCTCAGTTGGAAATACAGAAATTGCCCATCTTCTGTGTCCATCTTGCTGGAAGCTATAGACTGGAGCTGTTTCTATTCAGCCATCTTGGAAGTGACTCGACAAGAGTTCTTTATATGATCTGGATATAAGTCCCTTATCTAATGGCTAATTTGAAAATATTTTTTCCCAAATTATGTGTTGTCTTTTAACTTTCTTAATAGTATTACTTGCAGTACAAAAGTTTTTAACTTTGATGATGTTTTTGGTATCATACCTAAGAAACCATTGCCCAATCCAAGATCATTATGATTTAGGCTTATGTTTTCTTCTAACAGTTTTGTAGTTTTTTAGCTCACACATTTAGGTCTTTGATTCAAGTTAATTTTTGTATGTGATATGAGGTAAGTATCTTAGTCAGCTTGGGTTACTCTAACAAAATATCATAAAGGGGGTGGCTTAACAACAGACATTTATTTCTTACAGTTCTGGAGGCTGGGAAGTTCAAGACCAAGATGCTGGAAGATTCAATTCTTGGTGAGGGCCCTCTTGGCTTTCAGAAGGCACCATCTTGTTGTGTGCTAACATGAACTATTATTTGTGCACAGATAGAGAATGAGAGACAGGGAGAGTGAAACAGATTTATTTTGTAATTGTATTAAGTAATTGGCTTAAATTCCTTAATATAATGGTGGAGGGACAAAGCACAACATCTGCAGGGTAGGCTGGCAGGTTGGAGACCAAGGGAAGAATTACAGTCTGAATTCCAAAGGCAACCTGCTGGCAGAATTTCTTCTTGCTTGGGGGAGATCAGTTTTTGTTCTATAAAGGCCTTCAACTTTTTAGAGTCCCACTCACATTATGGAGGGCAGTCTGCTTTACTCAAAGTCCACAGCTTTAAATGTTAATCTCATCTAACAAATACCTTTACAGAAACAGCTAGAATAATGTTTGACGAAATATCTGGGCACCATGACCCATTCAGGTTGTCACATAAAATTAACCATCAGAAGCCTTGCAAATGAGAATTTTCAGGAAACTGACAGATAGGTCAAATAGTGACAACTCTCTGGGGATAGAGCTTTTGGGAAGCTCCAAACCCATTTTGCTCCCTGCAGTGGCTGGCAGTCTGCTAGGTTTCCTGGCTACCATCATTACCAGGCTGTTGATTTTCAAGATTGCCACAGAGCTGGGGAAAAGGCATGAGAAGGGGCAAGTAAAATATCACGAAGCTCACTGTTATTACTGAGATTCAGCCATTCTCTTGAATAAATGCTTTGCAGAGTATTGTAAATAATAGATTAATTTTCAGAGTTCTGAAAATGTTTATTTTGACTTTTTTCTTCCCCAGAGTTTTCCTTGCTTTTATGGAGGAGCAGATATTGGAAGTCCTTATTCCATCCTTCTGGAAATGGCTGGCTCTACACTCCAAATATTTTAAAAATTAATTTAGGCACACATTTCCTTGTAACCTACCATAAAAAGGGTCAGTGTGATTTTGAGGTTAACCTCAATTACCTCTTTTTATGAGGCTACGGTGAAATCCTTAGCCATGTGGTTAAGAAAATATGAACTATTCTCACTTAGGCTTTCACCATTCTATATCCTTCACTGATACTTTTCATTATCTTCCTGGTTCTTTGTGCCATGTTAAAAACATTTGAAATGGTAGATATTTATATCAGGACCTTTATAATAATTACAGAGAACTGTCTCTGTTTGAAATTTCTAAAGGTTTACATTTTTAAAATTCAAAAATGAAATTTGCTTACATGACTCTTAGTGGTGGATGAAAAATTAAAAAAAAGTACAAATAAGCCAGGAGTAGTGGCTCATGCCTGCAGTCCTAGCTACTCGGGAGGCTGAGGCAGGAGGATCATTTGAGCTTAGATGACCATGATTATGCCACTGCATTCCAGCCAGGGTGACAGAGTGAGATACTGTCTCAAATAATAATAATAATAATAATAATAATAATAATAATAATAAGCCAGGTGCAGCAGCTCATGCCTGTAATCCCAATACTTTAGGAGGCTAGGGCAGGAGGATCATTTGAGCCCAGGGATTCAAGACCAACCTGGGCAACATAGTGAGACCCCTACCCACCCCAATCTCTACAAAAATAAATAATAAAAACTTAGCTGGGTGTACTGGTGCATACTTGTATCCTAGCTACTTGAGAGGCTGAGGTGGGAGGGTTGCTTGAGCCCAGGAGGATGGAGGCCGCAGTGAGCTGTGATCACGCCACTGCACTCTAGCCTGGGTGATAGAATAAGACCCTGTCTCAAAAAAAAAAAAAAAAAAAAAAAAAAAAAGAAAAGAAAGAAAGAAAGAATAAAAAGAAAAAGAACAAATAAAAGAAACTAGCTCTTTTTGATTATGAAATAAATCTATATTCATTGTAAAAAAAGAAATCAAACACCTCAAATGTGAATATCACTGGAAATTTCACCTCACAGAATAGCTGCTAACATTTACCAGATATCTGCCCAGGCTTTCTTTTCTGTGCATGTATGTGTATATACACACAGACACAGGCACAAACACACAGACGCACACATAACATTAAAGTGAGAATGTGCTATGCATGCTTTTTGCTACTTGTTTGTTTATTCATCAATGTGTTGTAGCCACAAATAATACGGATATGCATCTTAACTTTTTTTTTTTAATACTTCAAGTTTTAGAGTACATGTGCACAATGTGCAGGTTAGTTACATATGTATACATGTGCCATGCTGGTGTGCTGCACCCATTAACTTGTCATTTAGCATTAGGTATATCTCCTAATGCTATCCCTTCCCCCTTCCTCCACCCCATAACAGTCCCCAGAGTGTGATGTTCCCCTTCCTGTGTCCATGTGTTCTCATTGTTCAATTCCCACCTATGAGTGAGAACATGTGGTGTTTGGTTTTTTGTCCTTGCAATAGTTTACTGAGAATGATGATTTCCAATTTCATCCATGTCCCTACAAAGGACATGAACTCATCATTTTTTATGACTGCATAGTATTCCATGGTGTATATGTGCCACATTTTCTTAATCCAGTCTATCATTGTTGGACATTTGGGTTGGTTCCAAGTCTTTGCTATTGTGAATAGTGCTGCAATAAACATACATGTGCATGTGTGTTTATAGCAGCATGATTTATAGTCCTTTGGGTATATACCCAGTAATGGGATGGCTGGGTCAAATGGTATTTCTAGTTCTAGATCCCTGAGGAATTGCCACACTGACTTCCACAATGGTTGAACTAGTTTACAGTCCCACCAACAGTGTAAAAGTGTTCCTATTTCTCCACATCCTCTCCAGCACCTGTTGCTTCCTGACTTTTTAATGATTGTCATTCTAACTGGTATGAGATGGTATCTCATTGTGGTTTTGATTTGCATTTCTCTGATGGCCAGTAATGGTGAGCATTTTTCATGTGTTTTTTGGCTGCATAAATGTCTTCTTTTGAGAAGTGTCTGTTCATGTCTTTCGCCCACTTTTTGATGGGGTTGTTTGTTTTTTTCTTGTACATTTGTTTGAGTTCATTGTAGATTCTGGATATTAGCCCTTTGTCAGATGAGTAGGTTGTGAAAAATTTCTCCCATTTTGTAGGTTGCCTGTTCACTCTGATGGTAGTTTCTTTTGCTGTGCAGAAGCTCTTGAGTTTAATTAGATCCCATTTGTCAATTTTGGCTTTGTTGCCATTGCTTTTGGTGTTTTAGACATGAAGTCCTTGCCCATGCCTATGTCCTGAATGGTAATGCCTAGGTTTTCTTCTAGGGTTTTTATGGTTTTAGGTCTAACGTTTAAGTCTTTAATCCATCTTGAATTAATTTTTGTATAAGGTGTAAGGAAGGGATCCAGTTTCAGCTTTCTACATATGGCTAGCCAGTTTTCCCAGCACCATTTATTAAATAGGGAATCCTTTCCCCATTGCTTGTTTTTCTCAGGTTTGTCAAAGATCAGATAGTTGTAGATATGCAGCGTTATTTCTGAGGGCTCTGTTCTGTTCCATTGATCTATATCTCTGTTTTGGTAGCAGTACCATGCTGTTTTGGTTACTGTAGCCTTGTAGTATAGTTTGAAGTCAGGTAGCATGATGCCTCCAGCTTTGTTCTTTTGGCTTAGGATTGACTTGGCGATGCGGGCTCTTTTTTGGTTCCATATGAACTTTAAAGTAGTTTTTTCCAATTCTGTGAAGAAAGTCATTGGTAGCTTGATGGGGATGGCATTAAATCTATAAATTACCTTGGGCAGTATGGCCATTTTCACGATATTGATTCTTCCTACCCATGAGCATGGAATGTTCTTCCATTTCTTTGTATCCTCTTTTATTTCATTGAGCAGTGGTTTGTAGTTCTCCTTGAAGAGGTCCTTCACGTCCCTTGTAAGTTGGATTCCTAGGTATTTAATTCTCTTTGAAGCAATTGTGAATGGGAGTTCAATCATGATTTGGCTCTCTGTTTGTCTGGTATTGGTGTATAAGAATGCTTGTGATTTTTGTACATTGATTTTCTGTCCTGAGACTTTGCTGAAGTTGCTTATCAGCTTAAGGAGATTTTGGGCTGAGACAATGGGGTTTTCTAGATATACAATCATGTCATCTGCAAACAGGGACAATTTGGCTTCCTCTTTTCCTAATTGAATACCCTTTATTTCCTTCTCCTGCCTAATTGCCCTGGCCAGAACTTCCAACCCTATGTTGAATAAGAGTGGTGAGAGAGGGCATCCCTGTCTTGTGCCAGTTTTCAAAGGGAATGCTTCCAATTTTTGCCCATTCAGTATGATATTGGCTGTGGGTTTGTCATAGATAGCTCTTATTATTTTGAGATATATCCCATCAATACCTAATTAATTGAGAGTTTTTAGCATGAAGGGTTGTTGAATTTTGTCAAAGGCCTTTTCTGCATCTATTGAGATAATCATGTGTTTTTTGTCTTTGGTTCTGTTTATATGCTGGATTACATTTATTGATTTGCGTATATTGAACCAGCCTTGCATCCCAGGGATGAAGCCCACTTGATCATGGTGGATAAGCTTTTTGATGTGCTGCTGGATTCGGTTTGCCAGTATTTTATTGAGGATTTTTGCATCAATGTTCATCAAGGATATTGGTCTAAAATTCTGTTTTTTGGTTGTGTCTCTGCCCGGCTTTGGTATCAGGATGATCCTGGCCTCACAAAATGAGTTAGGGAGGATTCCCTCTTTTTCTATTGATTGGAATAGTTTCGGAAGGAATGGTACCAGCTCCTCCTTGTACCTCTGGTAGAATTCGGCTGTGAATCCATCTGGTCCTGGACTCTTTTTGGTTGGTAAGCTATTGATTATTGCCACAATTTCAGAGCCTGCTATTGGTCTATTCAGAGATTCAACTTCTTCCTGGTTTAGTCTTGGGAAGGTGTATGTGTCGAGGAATTTATCCATTTCTTCTAGATTTTCTAGTTTATTTGCGTAGAGGTGTTTGTAGTATTCTCTGATGGTAGTTTGTATTTCTGTGGGATCGGTGGTGATATCCCCTTTAGCATTTTTTATTGCATCTATTTGATTCTTCTCTCTTTTCTTCTTTATTAATCTTGCTAGCAGTCTATCAATTTTGTTGATCCTTTCAAAAAACCAGCTCCTGGATTCATTAATTTTTTGAAGGGTTTTTTCTGTCTCTATTTCCTTCAGTTCTGCTCTGATCTTAGTTATTTCTTGCCTTCTACTAGCTTTTGAATGTGTTTGCTCTTGCTTTTCTAGTTCTTTTAATTGTGATGTTAGGGTGTCAATTTTGGATCTTTCCTGCTTTCTCTTGTGGGCATTTAGTGCTATAAATTTCCCTCTACACACTGCTTTGAATGTGTCCCAGAGATCCTGGTATGTTGTGTCTTTGTTCTTGTTGGTTTCAAAGAACATCTTTATTTCTGCCTTCATTTCGTTATGTACCCAGTAGTCATTCAGGAGCAGGTTATTCAGTTTCCATGTAGTTGAGCGGTTTTGAGTAAGATTCTTAATCCTGAGTTCTAGTTTGATTGCACTGTGGTCTGAGAGACAGTTTGTTATAATTTCTGTTCTTTTACATTTGCTGAGGAGAGCTTTACTTCCAAGCATGTGGTCAATTTTGGAATAGGTGTGGTGTGGTGCTGAAATAAATGTATCTTCTGTTGATTTGGGGTGGAGAGTTCTGTAGATGTCTATTAGGTCCACTTGGTGCAGAGCTGAGTTCAATTCCTGGGTATCCTTGTTAACTTTCTGTCTCGTTGATCTGTCTAATGTTGACAGTGGGGTGTTAAAGTCTCCCATTATTATTGTGTGGGAGTCTAAGTCTCTTTGTAGGTCGCTCAGGACTTGCTTTATGAATCTGGGTGCTCCTGTATTGTGTGCATATATATTTAGGATAGTTAGCTCTTCTTGTTGAATTGATCCCTTTACCATTATGTAATGGCCTTCTTTGTCTCTTTTGATCTTGTTGGTTTAAACTCTGTTTTGTCAGAGACAAGGATTGCAACCCCTGCCTTTTTTTGTTTTCCATTTGCTTGGTAGATCTTCCTCCATCCTTTTATTTTGAGCCTATGTGTGTCTCTGCATGTGAGATGGGTTTTCTGAAC
Source organism: Homo sapiens (assembly GCF_000001405.40). Classification (NCBI taxonomy): domain Eukaryota; kingdom Metazoa; phylum Chordata; class Mammalia; order Primates; family Hominidae; genus Homo; species Homo sapiens. The sequence goes on along the minus strand of NC_000005.10, from coordinate 79,904,530 downwards.
ACAGCACACTGATGGGTCTTGACTCTTTATCCAATTTGCCAGTCTGTGTCTTTTAATTGGAGCATTTAGTCCATTTACATTTAAAGTTAATATTGTTATGTGTGAATTTGATCCTGTCATTATGATGTTAGCTGGTGATTTTGCTCGTTAGTTAATGCAGTTACTTCCTAGCCTTGATGGTCTTTACAATTTGGCATGATTTTGCAGTGGCTGGTACCGGTTGTTCCTTTCCAGGTTTAGTGCTTCCTTCAGGAGCTCTTTTAGGACAGGCCTGGTGGTGACAAAATCTCTCAGCATTTGCTTGTCTGTAAAGTATTTTATTTCTCCTTCACTTATGAAGCTTAGTTTGGCTGGATATGAAATTCTGGGTTGAAAATTCTTTTCTTTAAGAATATTGAATATTGGCCCCCACTCTCTTCTGGCTTGTAGAGTTTCTGCTGAGAGATCAGCTGTTAGTCTGATGGGCTTCCCTTTTTGGGTAATCTGACCTTTCTCTCTGGCTGCCCTTAACATTTTTTCCTTCATTTCAACTTTGGTGAATCTGACAATTATGTGTCTTGGAGTTGCTCTTCTCGAGGAGTATCTCTGTGGTGTTCTCTGTATTTCCTGAATCTGAATGTTGGCCTGCCTTGCTAGATTGGGGAAGTTCTCCTGGATAATATCCTGCAGAGTGTTTTCCAACTTGGTTCCATTCTCCCCGTCACTTTCAGGTACACCAATCAGACGTAGATTTGGTCTTTTCACATAGTCCCATATTTCTTGGAGGCTTTGTTTGTTTCTTTTAATTCTTTTTTCTCTAAACTTCCCTTCTCCCTTCATTTCATTCATTTCATCTTCCATCACTGATACCCTTTCTTCCAGTTGTTTGCATCGGCTCCTGAGGCTTCTGCATTCTTCACATAGTTCTCCAGCCTTGGCTTTCAGCTCCATCAGCTCCTTTAAGCACTTTTCTGTATTGGTTATCCTAGTTATACATTCGTCTAAATGTTTTTCAAAGTTTTTAACTTCTTTGCCTTTGGTTTGAATTTCCTCCTGTAGCTCGGAGTAGTTTGATTGTCTGAAGCCTTCTTCTCTCAACTCATCAAAGTCATTCTCCGTCCAGCTTTGTTCCGTTGCTGGTGAGGAACTGCGTTCCTTTGGAGGAGGAGAGGCACTCTGCTTTTTAGAGTTTCCAGTTTTTCTGCTCTGTTTTTTCCCCATCTTTGTGGTTTTATATACTTTTGGTCTTTGATGATGGTGATGTACAGATGGGTTTTTGGTGTGGATGTCCTTTCTGTTTGTTAGTTTTCCTCCTAACAGTCAGGACCCTCAGCTGCAGGTCTCTTGGAGTTTGCTAGAGGTCCACTCCAGACCCTGTTTGCCTGGGTATCAGCAGCAGTGGCTGCAGAACAGCAGATTTTTGTGAACTGCGAATGCTGCTGTCTGATCGTTCCTCTGGAAGTTTTGTCTCTGAGGAGTACCTGGCCGTGTGAGGTGTCAGTCTGCCCCTACTCGGGGGTGGCTCCCAGTTAGGCTGCTCAGGGATCAGGGGTCAGGGACCCATTTGAGGAGGCAGTCTGCCCATTCTCAGATCTCCAGCTGCGTGCCGGGCGAACCACTGCTCTCTTCAAAGCTGTCAGACAGGGAAATCTAAGTCTGCAGAGGTTACTGCTGTCTTTTTGTTTGTCTGTGCCCTGCCCTCAGAGGTGGAGCCTACAGAGGCAGGCAGGCCTCCTTGTGCTGTGGTGGGCTCCACCCAGTTCTAGCTTCCCAGCTGCTTTGTTTACCTAAGCAAGCCTGGGCAATGGCGGGCACCCCTCCCCCAGCCTCGCTGCCACCTTGCAGTTTGATCTCAGACTGCTGTGCTAGCAATCAGCGAGACTCTGTGGGTGTAGGACCCTCCAAGCCATGTGCGGGATATAATCTCCTGGTGCGCCGTTTTTTAAGCCCGTTGGAAAAGTGCAGTATTAGGGTGGGAGTGACCCGATTTTCCAGGTGTCGTCTGTCACCCCTTTCTTTGACTAGGAAAGGGAACTCCCTGACCCCTTGTGCTTCCCGAGTGAGGCAATGCCTCGCCCTGCTTCGGCTCGTGCACGGTGCACTGCACCCACTGTCCTGTGCCCACTGTCTGGCACTCCCTAGTGAGATGAACCTGGTACCTCAGATGGAAATGCAGAAATCACCCGTCTTCTGTGTCACTCACGCTGGGAGCTGTAGACCGGAGCTGTTCCTATTCGGCCATCTTGGCTGCCCTCCCTGCATCTTAACTTTTAATGGTTGTATTTTATTCCATATGCAGGGAATGTACCATAATCTCTTTTAACAAACTACTAATAGATATATTGCATCTATGTATGTAAGTATGTGAGTGTGTGTTTATTTTAGAGACAGGGTCTTGCGCTTTCACCCAGGCTAGAGTGCAGTGGTGTGATCACAGCTCACTGCAGCCTTGAACTCCTGGGCTCAGGAGATTCCCCCACTTTAGCCTCGCAAGTACCTGGGACTACAGGTGTGTGCCACCACGCCTCGCTAGGTTTTTATTGTTTAAGTTTTTTGTAGAGACGGGGTCTCACTTTGACATTACAAATGTCACGACTTACCCTGCCCAGCTGTTTGGAGATTTGCCATTTAACTGCATCGTGCTTGCCTTCACATGTGCCAAACACATACACTCACTCTCTTTAGTCTTTTGGCCATACTTCACAAAAGTCAGATTCTTTATAAGTCCACAGGAATCCAGTTCCAGAAACAATTTCTCACACATGTGGCCTGGCTTTCCTACCAGTTCTCCAAGTCTAGTCATTTCCTTCATGGGATTCTTTTAATTCTCTTTCCTAATGGATAATTTTTCCATTTTCTTTCCCTCCTCCCCTTACTCCATCAATGAAAATAGCAATTTTTTCATTATACAAGTAATACATACCTTTTTATTATAAAAAACTTAAAATAATCAGAAAAAAATCTAAAAATTAATATAATATAAAGAAGTGCAAAGATGAAAGAAAAATAATTATCTATAATTTCACCACCTAGAGATAATTGCTGCCAATAAATTTTGCTACTGGGATTTTCAGACTCTTTTGGAGTCTCTATTTCCAGACATTTAAGAAAACCACATAGACATGTGTTTATGTTTGTCTTAAAAATGGATAATATAATATTTTATAATCTTTTGTGTGTGTGTGTGAGACAGAGTCATACTCTGTTGCCCAGACTGGAGTGCAATGGCACGATCTTGGCTCATTGCAACCTCTGCCTCCCAGGTTCAAGTGATTCTCCTGCCTCAGCCTCCCTAATAGCTGGGATTACAGGTGCACACCATCACGCCCAGCTATTTTTTGTATTTTTAGTAGAGATGGGGCTTTGCCATGTTGTCTAGGCTGATCTCGAACTCCTGACCTCAAGTGATCTACGTGCCTCAGCCTCCCAAAGTGCTAGCATTACAGGAGTGGGTCACCACGCCCAGCCTGTAATCTTTTTAAATTAAAAATATGTCTGAGACACTTTTGGATCCACACATACATATCTGAAGCATTATTTTAAAATAATTTTTTTGTTTACTAATTATGCTGATTATAAAGACTCAAGCAATATAGAAAAGTACAACAAAAAAAGGAATAAATCACCCAAATCCCTTCACCCTGAAATTACCAATTGCTATCACTTGACATTTATTCCCGATATCTCTCTTTGAACATATAAATACACATAGATTGAAGATATGCATAAATAGAAGAATAGATACATTTAAAAAAATTTTTTAATTAAACTTTACTGGGCAAAGGACATGAACAGGCACTTCTCAAAAGAAGACATTCATGCAGCCAACAAACATATGAAAAAAAGCTTGACATCACTGATCATTAGAGAAATGCAAATTAAAACCACAATGAGATACAATCTCACACCAGTCAGAATGGTGATTATTAAAAAGTCAAGAAACAATAGATGCTGGCGAGGTTGCAGAGAAAAAGGAATGCTGTTACACTGTTGGTGGGAATGTAAATTAGTTCAACCATTGTGGAAGACAGTTTGGCAATTCCTCAAAGAACTAGAAGCAGAAATACCATTTGACCCAGCAATACCATTACTGGGTGAATACCCAGAGGAATATAAATCATTCTATTATAAAGATACATGCACACGTATGTTCCTTGCAACCACAATAGCAAAGACATGGAATCAACCAACATACCCATCAATAATAGACTGGATAAAGAAAATGTGGTACATATACACCATGGAATACTATACAGCCATAAAAAGGAATGAGATTATGTCCTTTGCAGGGACATGGATGGAGCTGGAAGCCGTTATCCTCAGCAAACTAATGCAGGAACAGAAAACCAAACATTGCATGCTCTCACTTGTAAGTGGGAACTGAATGATGAGAACACATGGACACATGGGAGGGAATAACTCATACTGGGACCTATAAGGGGTGGGGCATGGGGAGGGAAAGCATCAGGAAGAATAGCTAATGGATGCTGGGCTTAATACCTAGCTGATGGGTTGATCTGTGCAGCAAACAACCATGGCACATGTTTACCTATGTAACAAACTTCCACATCCTGCATATGTACCCCAGAACTTAAAGTAAAAGTTGAAGAAAAAAATTAAACTTTACTATCTATGCTATTTTAAAATAAAAAGCATTATATTTAATTTAAATGTTAAAAAACCTACATATGCACAGCAACATGCACAAATGTTAAGTGTATACCTCAGTGGTATACACTTTGTATGTATATATATTTGTATGTATATATACACACCCATGTGTATGCAACCCACATATAAGACATTCCCAGTGCAACAGAAGGCTCCCTAATGCCTAGCCCCAGTCACTAGTCTCCTACTCCCACCATGCAGGGGTACATTTGTTTCATCTTTTGGATCTTTATATAAATGGAAATAAATAGTATGTATTCCTTTGTATCTGTTTCTTTTGCATAAGGTGAGTCTGTGACATTCATCTGTGTAGTTTTATGTGTTGTAATTTTGGAAATCTAATTTGAATTTAACAGAAGAAAAATATGCTGATGGGAAATGAAAGAAATAGCTGTACTAGATCAGAATTTTTCACTACAAGAAATAGTATTAATTCCTATAAAATTTGTTTAAGGTTAAGATAAAATATTTTAAAAATTAAATGATTAGTCTCAAACTTGTCATTGTTTTTGCAATTTTTTTTTAATTATTATTTTTTAGTAGAGATGGGGTTTTACCATGTTGGCCAGGCTGGTCTCAAACTCCTGACCTCAACTGATCCACTCACTTCAGCCTCCCAAAGTGCTGGGATTACAGGCATGAGCCATCACACCCAGTCTTTTGTCCCAACAGCATTAGTTGACTCCTGACTGTGAAAGGTGAATAAGTCAGTATGCATCTGTTTCTTCTCTCCTTTTTCCCCCGCATCTCTATTTTTTTTGTTAATTATGTTATTCTTACTTTGCTCAAGTTGATAACATTAAATTCTGTATTGCAACCAGAATTTTCCCAGATGTTTAGTTTCATTCTCTACATAACTGAATTAATTGTTTACAACAATCCTTTTTCTATGACTTCTCCATTCCTGGATTATTAACTTTTATTTAGTTCTTGATTGGCTGGATTTCATTGGCAAAATGGTTTTAAAGGACTCACAGATTGTTCATATTTGAAAATGAATGCCTGTCTCCTTGATTCATGATTAACAATTTTTGCTGTGCCAAGTATCCTTGTGTCATTCTTTAACCCTGGGAAATGTCTATACATTGCTCCATTGTCTTCAGTAATAAGTGTTCCTGTAGAGAATTTGGAAGCCATCCCACATTTTCCTTCTTTTGGTGACTCGCTTTATTCTGGCTGAATATTTGAAGAATTCTTTCATGTTCAGCAACTTAACCAGTGTGTCAGTGTCTATTGCTTTATGTCAGTTTTCTGAGATACAGACTATGCCTTTAAGTGTACATCTTTTTATCCTTCACTTCAAGGATATTTTCTGTACTTTCTTTTTGAAAATTTGGAATGCTCCCTTTGCTCCTTCTTTATTGGATTGCTTTATTTAGCAGAGCCAATTATCCTTATGCTTATCTGCCTAGGCAGATAAGGAAGGTATTATCTGCCTTCCTTATCAACTGTAAGTCTATTTCTCTTTGAACTGGTTGATTTTGCTCAAAATTCTCAGGATGAACTGGTTGATTTTGCTCAAAATTCTCAGGATTTCTCTTACTTACAATATTACGCCAGTACTGATTCTGGTGGAGGTGGAGTAGCCTTAGAAATGATGCAGGACTGCACTTGAACTTTCTGTATTTTCTTTGCCCAATACTTTTTGAAGTTTATAGTATAAGTTTGAGCCCCTTTTCTTGTTTGGTTAAATTTGGGGCTCTTTATCCATGTTTTTGCAACAAAAAATCACATTGTTAGATAATAAATTCTGTGATACAGCTTTACTTTACCATCTTTATATGGGAGTTCTGAATCATTTTAACAGCTGGATAAAATTTCGTTGTTTGTATGTATGTGTAATAATTTTATTTAACAACTACCCCATTGATGAACATGTGAGTTATTTGTTTTGTAAAAATATGATTAAAAATAATTGTGCACATACTGATAAGAGAAATTAAAGAAAAACTAAATAAATGGAAAAATATACTGTCTCCATGGATTGGAAGATTCATTTTGTTAAGATGTTAATTATCCCTGGACCAGTATGGTTGTTCATGCCTGTAATCCTAGCAACTTTGGGAAGCCGAGGTAGGCAGATCAACTGAACTCAGGAGTTCAAGACCAGCCTGGGCAATGTGGCGAAACTCCATCACTACAAAAAATACAAAAATTAGTTAGGCATGGTGGCTTGGCCCTGTAGTCTGAGCTAACTTGGGAGGCTAAGGCAGGAGAATTGCTTGAGTCCAGGAGGCAGAAGTTGCAGGGAGCCGAGATTGCGCCATTGCACTCCAGCCTGGGCAACAGAGAGGAAGACCCTGTCTAAATAAATAAATAAATAAATAAATAAGAAAATAAAATTAAAAAGATGTTAATCATCCCAAATTGGTCTATAAATTCTATGCAATCTAAATCAGATACTTTTGTAGAAATTATCACAATTTATATGTAAATTTAAAGGACCTTTATATTTAGCCTTCTTGAGGTTCATGATATTTCTTAAATCTGTGGCTGGATGATTTCATCATTCTTAGAAAATTCCCAGGCTATTTTCTTCAAAATTCTCTTCAACTATTCTTTCTGTACCATTCTCTCTCTTTTTTCTAGCACTCTCACTATAAATCTGTTTTATAATTCTGATTTATCCTTATTCCTAGAATTCAGGCTTTGATGGTTCCAATTCAAAGCATGGAAATATGTTATCTTAGAGGGTCCTAGACTCCAGTTTTCATCCTTTAGCCTCTGAAGCTGCTCAAAATTCTGCTCTGCCTTTCAACAGTCTATTCAGAAATCATTAAGCACTTCCAAGGAAAAAAGCCCTATTTGCCAGGCTCAACTCTATATATTTCTGTCTTTTCCTAGATCATAGAAAAATAATTCTTAACTACCTTATTAGCTCTCTGATATTTTAAAGTGTGTGTATGTGTGTGTGTGTGTGTGTGTGTGTGTGTGTGTGTGTGTGTGTGTGTGTGTATTTTTTCATCCAGCTTTTCTGTTTGCCCTCAGTCAAAGGCTTGGTTCAAATTACCTAGTCCTCTAAAGAAAATGTGGTACCTATACACAATGGAGTACTATTCAGCCATAAAAAGGGATAAGATACTGTCATTTGCAACAACATGGATAGAACCAGAAGTCAGTATGTTAAATGAAATAAGCCAGGCACAGAAAGGCAAACTTCATATGCCCTCACTTATTTGCAAGAGCTAAAAATTAAAACAATGGAATTCAGGAGCTAGAGAGCAGAAGGATGGTTACTAGAGACTGGGAAGGGTAGTGGGGGAGGGGAAGTGGGGAAAGTTAGCAGGTACAAAAAAATAGTTAGAAAGAAAGAATGAATAAGACCTAGTATTCGCTAGCACAACAAAGTGATTATAGTCAAAAATAATTTAATTATACATTTCATAATAACTAAAAGAGTATAATTGGATTGCTTATGACACAAAGAATGAATGCTTGAGGTGATGGGTACCCCATTTACCCCGATGTGATTATTATATGTTACATGCCTGTATTAAAATATCTCATGTACCCCATAAAGATATATACCTACTATATACCCACAAAATAAAAATAAATAAAATAAAAACATTTAAAAAATAAAGAAGAACAAATTACCTAGTCTTTCTTATAGAAACAAAAGTTCCCTGGGTGTTTATTTTTAAAAGAAAATAATTAATTTCCCATTTACCATGTGAAATGAGGGTGCATATTTTCAAAATATCTTGATCTTATGACATACCTCCTTACTTTCATTCTCCGCAGGCTAGCCTCTCAGAACAGTACATGGAGATCAAATTCCTGGAACATTCTGCAGGACGTTTTCTGCAGGCAACTCCTGTGTGTATACCAGGAAGTACCTGTGAATATGGAAGCACTGGCTTATTATCTTTGTTTTGATGGGAAGAAGGAAAATGATTTTAAAAGCTGACTGCAAAATTTTGTTTAAGGAGGGAACTATGTGTTTGTTCAGGAACACAGCTTAATAGGAAAGTTGGGTAGCCTACCTAGATAATGGTCACATGGTAAAACAAAGACAGTTCAATTGCTCCACTTAACAGAAATTTTGGTGGGAGAGGAGGTCAAACTTTTACCGGTTGAGGAAGGAAGGAAGTGAGATAGGGAGAAGGGAATCTGAGTAAAAGGGAATGTCGGTGAGATATAAATGAAAATTCCTCCAGGTGGGGAGAAGACTGACAGATGTGTCGAGATAAGGATGTCTAAGTTGTTTTACACCAGATTTCCGTTTCTGCATTGCCAAGCTCCCTCCATGGCCCTGAGCCTGCCATTACATCTGCCCAGATATAGCATTAGGCAGTGGGTACTTTGGGGCCAGAAGGGACTGTGGCAATATCTGATGTTGACCTGATATAATAAAGGGATTTGGATTATGTTGTAAACCAAAAATAAAATCCTACATCCCCCCACCAATTGACTGAACTGACCTCCCCCCTTGGCCAGGGGACCCCAGAAGAACCTGAAAAACTGAATGAATTCCCGGCCCTGACAGGAAGGAAGGTCGGACAGGCCTCCTTACACTCCCTCTTTTGGAGTTTAGGCACAACTGACCAAGATAGAGATCATAAGACTGACAAAACAGACTCTTCGGCAATAAGATACCAAATTCCAACCTGACTCTGGTATAGCATCCATGACAGATAGCAGACCCTGAAGGAAATCAAAATATTTTACCCCAAAATATATTTCTTTGACATATTTTAAAATGGCTCTGCAAAGTGGTCTTTTGTGGGGAAATTCTGCATCTATAGAGAATCTCCATTTATGCAGCTAGGGCTTTCCCAGATCTAGGAGAGATTAAGCCTAAGCCCTCTTAAGGTCCACAAAGAGACGTTTACTATCTATTTGTCTCTGAAGCCTCCTACCTGGAGGCTTCATCCATGTAACAAGAATGTTGGCTTCCATGACCCCCCTTAAGCATTTCTTCCTACTGACTTCGTGTCTTTAGTTTAACTCTTTCAACCAATGGCCAATCATAGAATTTTTGAATCCACCTATGACCCTTGAATTACACCCCCATGCCCCTGCCCCTTCGAGGTGCCCCGCCTTTTGGGACTGAACTGTATTAATTTATGCCTTTGCTTGTAACTTCTGTCTCCCTAAAATGTATAAAACCAAACTGTAACCTGACCACCCTGAGCACCTCAAGCACACTTTTTCAGGACCTCCTGAGACTGGTCTCCATGCCACGGTCACTTACATTAGCTCAGAATAAACCTCTTTAAATATTTTACAGAGTTTGCTTTATGTTGATTGATAATGTATACATGAGGAAAAACTCCAAGCAGAAACCAACGATACAGTAGAAAGAATTCAGGACCAGACCCTCAGGTACCCCAAGAGAACCCAGATCGATAGGTAGAGAATGATGAGTTTTCACAATATATGGAATGGGAGGTAAAGCAGTTTAACCAAATCCTAACAGACAAGTTGACACCTGCAGTTTGTAGGACTTGCAGGACAATCAGACTGCTGATATCCAGGCTATATTTGTATTCCTCAAAGTTCATAGTATGGTACCTTGTGGCACATAGGTAGGAACAAATGATTTATGAAACAGAATTAAATAGGTATCTAAATCCCAGCAATGTTTATGCAACTTTTTTCTTTTTTAGCCTGCATGTGCCAGGCACGACTCCTCTCCCATTCTCCCACTTCTTCCTAATGTGTATTTCTATTCCCTACTGGCCCCTCCTTCCCAGAAAAAACCTTTGTCCTTTTGTTATTATCTATCTACCAAGGGTGGGAATGGCTTAGAAAAACGAAACAGTCTGGATGTATTAGCTGGGAGGTAGTAAAACATAGTGATTAAGGACATGCTCATTTATCTAAATCCTGCTTTCGTTTTTTCTTGTTTTATTCCTATAGTACTTATTATTCTAAATTATCATATAATTTATTTATTGTGCCAGACAATGCCTTTAGCACACAGCTCCATCCAGGCTTCTTCTCTAATTTCCCTTGTACTGTTGGGGCCGAAAGGCTGTAAACTACATTTCCTGTACTCCTTGGTCAGCTTTGTGCTTGTTAGTATCTGCCCTTGGGAGGCATTAATGAGAGATATGAAGATAAGAAGATGGAGGCAGAGTTTATCTTCTGTTCATTAACACAAGTATGCCTCCAACACTGTGGACTCATGAATTTCAACCATGGGGTGGGAATCACTTTCTGAATTCTAGTGGCAGTGTTTCCAGCAACGTCAGCAATAGTGTCTCCATCAGTGTTAGTAGCAGCAACAGTCTCTCCAGCAGTACAGTGATAAATACTGGGCTTATGGGCATCAGCTAGGGGCAGTAGCAGCTTCCTGATCTCTGAGTAACACCCCTTCCCACTTTTTACCCTCTAAGTCAGGAGTGATGATAATTTCCTGATTTCCATGGATGTAAGTTACCTATTGCCAAAATAGTTCCATGAAACATACAACCATAACATTTTAGTAGCATTCAAAAATAAAAGAATGTAGTGTTTGTCTATCCAGGGTTAGCTAGGTGTTGGCTGGTTGTTGGCTCGGATGGGCTGGCCTTGACTGCGGCCACTAGACTCTGAGACATGGGTTTCTTGTCCTCCAGCAAGAGAGCCTGAGCATGTTCTATGGTGATGGCAGGCATCCGAGAGGCAGCAAGTGGAAACGTGCAGAGCCTCATGAGCCTGGATTTAGAAGTGGCTCATCATCACTTCTGCCCCATAAGTCACATAGGGTGGAGAAATGCACTCCACTTTTATGGGAGGGACTCCAAAGTCACATGGCAAAGGATCTGGGTACGGGGAAGGGTAAAGGATTGTGACCATAAATGCAATCAGTCTGCCATACAGGTAATATTCCCTTTCCTCTTTTGTTCTTCCAGCCCTTCCAGAAATTTTCCCACCAGTTACATGCGTTAAATCTTTTTGCTTTGATTATCGAGAACGGTTTTTCTTTTCCTCATTGGATACTGACTGATATGCTTATTTATTATATGTATTGCTTGTATTCATTTCCTATTACTGTCATAGCACATTACCACACACTTAGCAGTTCAAAACAACAGAGATTTATTATCTTATTGTTCTATTGGTCAAAAGTCTGGTGGGCTCAGCTGCTTTCTCTGGCTAGAGTCTCTCAAAGCCAAAGTCAAGGTGTTGGCAGGGCTGCCTTCATTTCTGGAGGCTCTAGGGGAGAATCTGTCTTCTTGCTTATGCAGATTGCTGGCAGAATTTAGTTCCTTGTGATTGATAGACTCAGGTTCCTGTTTCCTTGTTGGCATTCCCAGTTTCCAGAGGCCACTCATATTCCTTGGCTCATGGCTCCTTCCTTCATCTTCTAAGCCAGCAACAGTAGGTCAAGTACCCCTCATGCTTCAAATCTTTCCTGCCTCTTCTTCCATCCCATGTCTCTGACTGATTCTTCTGCTTTCTTCTTCCACTTCCAAGGGCCCATGTGATTACACTGAGCCCAACTGGATAACCCACGATACTTTCCCCATCTCAAGGTTCATAACATTAATCATAGCTGCAAAGTCCTTTTTGCCATCCAGTGTAACATATTCACAGGTTCTGGGGATCAGGACATGAACATATTTTGGGAGCCATTATTCTGCCAACCACATTGTTTATAATCTGTCCCCCCCTTGCTAGAAAATTGCCTTCAGAGAGCTTGTTTCATTCACTGACGCATCCCAAGTGTCTAGAACAGTGCCTAGCATAAAGTGGATAATAAATATTCATTGAATTGAATGAATGAGGCTTTAAGGGTCCAAAAACCTAAGTTGAAATTTTAGTTTTGCCACTGATACCTTTTAGTCTCATTTCTTCATATATAAAATAGAGTTAATTATACCTACTTCTTGGGCATATATGTTGTTGATGATGATATTAGATAACACAGTTGACACTTGAACAACTCAAGTTTGAACTGTGCAAGTCTACTTACAGCAGCTTTTCTCCAACTAAACATGAATGGAAATTACAGCATTCCTGGGATGTGAAACCCATGTATGGGGAGGGCTGACTTTTCCTATATGCTTGTTCTGCAGGGCTGACTGCGGGACTTGAGTATGCTTGGATTTGATTATACACGGGGTTCTGGAATCAATCCCCTGTGTATACTGAAGGATGACTGCATTCATATAACAGATACACACATTTAAAATTTATGAATGTGTTTTTCTCATTTTGCATTCACCCCGTTCATTCAGAGATGCATCACAGAGAGTTGGGAGTATTACAAAAGGAAACCAAAGAGGAAGTGGGAGGTTATATGTAGTTTTTGACATCCAAAGTAGGACTTTGGAGAGGGAAGGGGGATCACAGAAGAAGAAACTTTAAACTTTTTTAAAAAGGAAAAAAATTCAAATTTTGTTTGTTGCTCATCCAGAACAAGTCTAACTGACAGGATTATAAAGTTTCTTTCAAAGTGTAGAGCAGACTCCCTTTCCATCATTATGGCTGAGCTGTGAGGCTTGGCTTAGAGGCTTCGGAAGGAAAGAGGCTAGAACACAGGAGAAGTTCACAGGAGATAGGAAAATGAAGGAGGAATTCTGCCCTTCTCTGATGGAATGACAAAGACGACGAGAGACAACAAGAGGGCAAAGAGGTCATGTATGAGGAACTGCAAGGCTGGGGAGGCAAATACCATTTGCCTCAGACAGTTTGGCTGGGCCACCAAGTCTCTAGGACAGAGCTGTTCAGTAGAAATCTAATGTGAACCATATATGTAATTTTAACTTTTCTGCTGGCCACGTTTTTAAAGCAAAAAGAAACAGGCGATGCTTAGCTGCAGGAATTGTTGGGAAAGAAGCATTTCCCTGTTCCAGTTTCTAAAGCGGAGGCTGGCAATGTGGAAGAGGATTAGGAATGAGCTGCCCTACTGGTGACATCTAGAAAGAACCACTTCGTGGGGTTGACGTGAACCACTAGTCCTTCATTAGGGAAGCAAGCTGTGGTCTGATCCTTTTGGTTGTTTCTTTTTGTAGCATGTGCAAGTATATTAGATTCAGTGGTTTCAAGGTTTCAAGATACAGATATGTCCTTAGGTTATTTCCACAAATGAGGGTTAATTATTATATAAGGCTACTTAGGAAAATAAAGGAGACAGAAAGTTGTCTCAGGCCACGTGGTCAGGCCTCCATGGAAACAAAAACATGGTCCAGGAAGTGGTTGTAGCCCCATTACTCCAGTAGTAGCTCTGGTGACACTGCCACAACAGTATCTGGTTGGCGACTCTTCAGAATTGGGCATCTGCAGATCCCTGCTCTGGGGCTCCACCATGACAATGATGCATATATTTTGCCTCTGCACCTGCTGCTCCTGACTTTACCAACAGACTTTCTCTGTGTGTCCATATTGAATGCCCTGACAGAGCATCTGGTTGGACAGCCTTCACCATCCAGCTGGTGGAGTTCTTGCTCAAGGTCACCTTCAGGCTCTGGCTAATCCAACAATAGCTTCCTTGTTCTATTAATGTGACGGGGTCATGGGTCATGTACCATCACTCTTGGTCACCCTCAGAAGGAGACTACGGGTGAGGCAGGCTCCCTAAGGCTTTGCAGAAGAGGTAATGAACCAATGGCTAGTCCTGGCTCCCTGGTTCTAGGCCATCTGCTGAGCCAGGCCAATCTGGCCATTTTTTTTTTTTTTATTGCAGCTGCTTTACCATTTACAAAGAGTTATTCATCTAGCTTCATTGGCTCAAGGTTAAAGCCCTAAAAGCTTTCTGCTTTAACTGCTCAGATTGCCAGAAAACTAGGACAAATAAATAAATTAACAAAAAGCCTACTAAAAGAAGGAAAAAAAGAAGAAATAGGCCAGGCGTGGTAGTTTATATCTGTAATCCAAGCACTTTGGGAGACTGAGGAAGGAGATTTGCTTGAGCCCAGGAGTTAGAGCCTGCAGTAAGCTATGATGGCAACTCTGCACTCTGGCTGGGACAACAGAGCAAGATCATGTCTCTAAAAAAGAAAGAAATCTAAAAAAGAAAGATAAAATCAATAATGTATTTTATCTAACTCAATATATCCAAAATATTATCATTTCAACATGCAATCAATAGAAAAAATTAATGAGATATTTTACTTTTGGGGGGGTCAGTCTTTGAAATCTGATGTGTATTTGGTGCAGCACATCTCAATTCAGACTAACCTCTTTTCAACTGCATAAAGAAATTTCTAGAACTCCTGCAAGCCATATGTAGACTATATATTGAATGATGAAACTTTAAGGGAAGCCTCCCCTATGGCCACATCCAGTACAGTATAAATGGTAGCCAGAGGAGGAGCAGAGAGGTGGCAATGTTCCTGATTTCCCATAGTTACATATGATATGCAGGGGTTCTAGAAGTTTCCCTGTGCTTCCATGAGGGGACAGGTGAAGATGAGAGGGCTGGTTTGCTGGCCGAGTCCTGCAGTCAAGACAGAGTAAACCCTGTATATGTGGACTTCATGACTGAAGGTGAACGTCAAGGACCATGGACTCCAGTGATGGATGCCAGTGCATCATTGCAAAGGCCTGACAACTCAGAGGTCACCTGCCCAGGATCTGGATCAGACAAGTCACAGTGCATCAGAAGCCGATGAGGATCCAGAGCAGGGCCCGAGGTGAGTACAAATGCAGCCCCAGCCTGCTTCTATCTCTTCTCAACCCCAACTTTGTCTGGAAGGTTTGCACAGGCACATAGACCCCCCAGGCTGCAGGTCCAGGCTCCTTCACCCCAATCCCATTCTGCTACAGCTTCTCCTTGGCCACCTCTTTGGCCTAAGGGTATGCATACTTGTTGTGGGGTCCACCATCAGGAGATAAACCTAAGGAGGAAGCCTGCAGAGGCCCTGAAAGTGCACTGGAGAAGTTGGGAAGGAAGGGATTCCTGTGTCCTGGGTATCCTGAATATGACGCAGTAGTGGAGGTGCAGACTCTGGTGAGCACATCTCCTTGGCTGCCTGGAGACCCTGCCCCTTGGTGTGGGCTGTGACAAGAGAAAAGTCAGAGCAAGAACTGCCCCCGCCTGCCAAGGGCAGCTCTTGCTCAAGCCTAAGGGCAGCATGGCTCCAAGGATTTGAGTCCCTTTTGCTGACACAGCATTGACAACCTTTAGGCCATGATTCCACCCAAAACTCTAAATTTCACCCTAAAGAGGATTGTGGGTGGGAAAGGAGAGCTTGGAAGGTTGAGTACATGCTCTAAAAAGATGGAGTTAAAAGAGTTTAAACTGAAAGAGACTCTGATGCTATAAATTATCAAATTTAAATTCTGTTTTTCTCCTACTATTCAATGACTGAGGAAGAAAGTGAAGATTGTTAGATAAAATCCATTGTGAGAGCAACATTTTCTTTGCATATCTGAGTATAGTGTATAAATTTGGGGGTCCCATGACATATACAAAGTACCATTTGGTAATAACTCAATAAAGTGAGGCAATGATGATGATGATGACTGCAATGCAATTCTGATACTAACTACTTGGCAATTAACATAGACTCCACAGATTCAAGGGCATGAACCCAACAAGACTCTATTCACTTTAGACATCAGCTGTAAGTTCCAGGACTCACAGGCCCTTTGCACTTTTGACCAACTGGGTACAAATTCAGAAGTTTCCACTACCTCTTCAGGGTTGATAATTCAGTAGAGTGACTCACAGAACTTAAAAAAGTGCTATATTTATGACTATAGTTTTATTATAGAGGATACAAGTCAGGACCAGACAAAAGAAAAGACCCATAGGGCAAAGTCTGGAAGGGCTCATATGCAAAACTTCCATGTCCTCAGGATGTGGCACCCTCCTGACACATCAGCGTATCACCAACCAGGAAGCTCAACCCAGCCTTGGTATCCAGAGTTTTTATTGGAGTTTCATTACATAGGCATGGTTGGTTACATCATTTCTGTATGGTTGGAGTCAATCTCTAGCTCCATTCTCCTCCCCAGAGGTGGGGTTGATATCACGCAGCTCAAAGCTTCAACCCTCTCATCACATGGTTAGTCTTTCTAGCATAGACAGATCCCATCCTGAGCCACAGTATTAGCATAAACTAAGATATGGTCTGAGGGGCCCACCATGAATAACAAAGATACTCCTATCACTCAGGAAAATCCAACGACTTAGGTTAGCTCACAGGGACTATGGACAAAGGCCAGCCATGTTCTTTTATATACAACAACAATGATCATGATGATAATGATGTAATTTCTAGTCTACTGAGCTCCTCCCACTTGAGAAACAAAATGCTCTAGCCCAGTTAAATACCCATCTTTTAACAGCATGCTTAAGAAGTAACTCTCATAGTGAAATATGAGGTACGTGTGTGGATCTGCACTTCAAATCCTGCTGTGGTACGGAATGTATTCATGGCCTCAGCATCAGGGAAGAGGCTTCCTGTTGGGTGATCCTCTCCAGTACACACCCTGAAATCTCATCAAGCCATTAATTTCCTTTCCTGTGAACACTTCTCTTGTTAACCCCTGGGCATTTTCCAGTGGAAAATGGAGTTTCTCGCTTTCCCTGGCTCTTGTTTGCAGCCCAGTGAATTAAAACATGAACGAAGTAATTATCGTATTCCATACTGATGGAATACAGGTGGAGGACTGAAAGCAGGGGAATGTCAAGTAGTCCATTTGAGTCCATTGGGACCAGTTGGAGAGAAAGAAAACTGAAAAGGAGAAAGATGCGGAGACGGCAATAGCAGAAGACACAGCATTTAAATAGGAGCCGTCTTAATGAGAATATGTCACCTCAGAGCCAACAGGAAGTCAGCAGATGGGATGCACCTGTCCCTTGAGAGCCTCACGAAGCAAAATTAAGCACCAGAGCCCAGAATGGAAACAGGAAAACCAAATCAAACCCTTCAGATATGCTTCAGCAAATAAACTTTCGGCTCCCAAAACAACAGATGTTGCCCAGATGGGGTGCACCTAACATTTCCCCACACCTCTACATATTCTGAGGCCAAAGCACTATTCAGGGAATCTTACAGCCTGTTTCTTTGGTCATTCTTAGCGTGATTTTCACCACCAACACTCACTCATCCATTTAAATTAAGTTCATGTTGCTTTGGCTATAACAAACAGCTGGAGTTAGGATGGTTCATGTCTATAGACGCTGCTTTGCAAGAGGATGGTAATTTTAACTCAGGTGATGAATTCACCAGGATTTTGGAGGATGAGGAGAAGAAATCTGGTAGAGCCTTTCCCCCAGCTGTTGTTGAAGGCCGGACCCTAGAGCTCTTGGAACAAAGCAGAATTAGTAAGATGGATTGGCTGGCATTTCATGTCAATCACGTAAACCTAATTCAACCCCCAGTACATAGTGCAAATATTTACTGAGCACCTGCCATCTGAGGATGGCAGCTGGTGAGGAAGAGGTCTGTAATGGAGGCTGTTAACCCGTTTATTCAGAACTTCCCTTCTTCCCAAATAAATTTGTGTTAATCGTCTATTTTTATCATGGAAAAACAATTGGGAAGCCTCAATGATATGGGTGGTGGCCTGACTCTGCACTCCCCAGCTGTGGAGTTGCTGTGCCTGGGGCTGCGTGCAGACCTGAGGGGAAAGTGTATTCCAGAAACATTCCATTTTAGTCTCTAAAGGGTGACAGTCCAGGCATAGGTTTATGCTTTCTGAACGGCTGCTTATCAAGACAGAAGCCAACAGTGACATAAGGAGAAAAACTGAAACATAATAAAAGCAATGGGCAAAGCCAGAGCAGAGGCTGAGCACATTCTCCCCACAAGGTTTGCAACTCCTTTACTCCACCTGAACTGCGGGCCTTTGATGAGATCTCTGCAGCTGCAGCAAAGGCTTTCCTTTCCCCGCCACCCTCCCATCTCCACAGCCATTGCAAATGGCACCACTGGCAAACCCTGGATCTTGTTCCTCCCCTGAGAGTTTGCAAAATTACTCTTGAGGGAGGCATGCTGTTCCTGGGCTTTTTGGGTTGCCACTTAGTCACAAAGATCAATGCTGTGACATAACAAAAAATAAGTGGAGGTGGGAGGTGGTCCACAGACTCTGTTGCTATCTCCAGGGGGTTCCCAGAAACATGTTTGAAAGCAAGCTACGGAAAGGGTGGGAAGGACACTTTTTGTTCGTTTAAGAGTTCAGGGTGAAGGGCCTCCAGCCGAGGCCAGATCCACCCCAGGAAAAGATGTGAAGGAAGCAGCCTGACCTCTGTGGCCTCTTCTCTCTTCCCATTCCTCCCACTTTCCCCCATGTCTGTTCCTCTTCCCATTTCCAGAAATTATTTCTCTGGAGAATTGTGTGACTGGTGTGGCTGCAGTATTACCCATCCCAGAAGTACCTGGGGGTGATCTTTTACTTAAGAAAATACCTCCATCCAGTGCATTTTCTGTTTCATTAGGTAATAGGGACATATTTGGGAGCAGGCTGTAGGGAATGGGGATATTTCACCATTTGTTCATTCAACAAATAATTTTTGAGTGCCTATTATAATGTGGACCCTGGTGGGGGCAAGACGGAGGGTTCTTCATGCCCTTTGGTTATTCAACATCAATGCTATGGCTGGTTTCCTCTTAAATTACCTAGGGGCAATATTTCACCACAGTGAATACTGATTTTCTTTCAAAGTCAACGTGTCCTATTCTCAATGAGGAAAGCATTATGGTGTTAAAAAACATTTGCATTTTCCTGGTTCAGATTATATTACAAGGGTCCCAAATTTAGCTGAGAGTGGCTCTACCTGAGTTGTGTGCAGTTGGCTTAAATGTAAATTTCCAGATCTTTTTCCTGAGTTCCATATGCATATCTCCATCTGCCTATTAATCAGCTCTACTCAGATGTCCTACAGGTACCTCAAATTCTTTATGTTCAAAGTCAAACTCACTGTCTTGGAAACCTGCTCTTCCTTCTCCTGTGTGCCCTGACTCACTGAATAGCTTCACCACCTACCTGGTTACCCAAGCCAGCAACCCGGGCATCAGTCTTGAAGATTCTTCCTTGCTCACTCTTTCAAACCAATCACCAAGTCCTGACTATTCTACCACATACAGAAGAATAAAGATTTGCCATGTGTTTGGATCAGAATTGGTCAAAGGCATGTTTTAATTTCAGCACTTTATAAAGAGAAAATTAAACTAGGAAGTTGGGTGCTTTCTGTGTTACATAATACACTGAATGGTAGTTTAGTTAATACAATTACTTCACCTACAATTACACAAATAATTCACTTTCCCATAACAAATATATTTATGACATAGATAAGCAATTTCTCAAAAGAAAGTATTTTCTTATCCTCTAGGGTTATCACAAGGCTTTAAGGGTTATATTTCCAAGAGGCTACATAAAAGCGCTACAAACACTTGGTAAACCCCTTGCTCTTTCTCAGCATAGAGAGGAACTGAAATAATAATTCATGATTCAGAACATGTACATTTTAGTCTTACTTGAGATCTTTGCCTTGCCTGGATTATTTTTTCATTATACTCTGATTATTGCTAAGATGTAAGTGTTCTATAAACTTGTCTTCCTTATCTCGCTGAGATGGGCAATAAATAACATAGCACTTAATTTCTTAAAGTACTTATGTCAACAGGATGACTTTTCTTTCCAGGGATTTTCAGCAAATATCAAGATGACTTAAGACTTCAGTTTTAACCGAGGTTAATAGAAGTTTGAGATGTCTCATTCTTCGGTCCATATTTGTAAAGTTCTCTTGGATCTATTCTACCTCACAGTTTCCATGGTCATTGTGCTAGTTTAGGCTTCATTACAATTGACCCAGAAGACTGACCAACAATCCCTAAAAGGCCCAACGCTTCCAGTCTTGCTACCTTTCCAACCATTCCCCAGCCTGAATGATGTTTCAAATATGTGCAAGCATGCTTTTGTCATTCTTCTGTTTAAAACTATTTATGGGCTTTTGCTAGCTCATGGATGAACTAGAAACTATTTAGAGTGGTACAATAGGCCTTGAAGATTCTGGCCTCTAAGTGAATGCTCTCCACTATTTGTGACATGCTTAAATCAGGCATGTGCAAATTTGGATGGTTCTTGCCATCCATCTGGCCACGAAACTAGTACCCAAACAGGAAATCACTTCCCCCACATCCCTTATCTAGTAGTTGTTATGACTTCTTATAAAAAATTTGAAATACAAAAAAAGTTGTAGGACAATGAATACTCACATACCTACCACATAGATTCAAAAAGTGTTTGCTTTTTGCCATCTTTTCTTTATATACCTATAGTTTTATTGTTTGCTTGCTGAACCATTTGAAAGAAAGCTATAGACATCATGGTTCTTTACCCTTAAATATGTCAGGATTCATTTCTAAAGAATCATAGTGTTCTCCTATTAAACTACATCTGAGTAACTGTTTCGAAACTCTGGAGTCTATTTGAAGGCTTGCAACTTCTACGGGAAGACTTGGGTAGTAAACTGTGATTAATTTTGGTCAATTTCAGCTTTTGGTGTGAGCATCCCTCTGCCACCCCACCACCCCCAGCTTCGTGGCAGGCAGCTGTGCACAGGTTCCAGGAGCATGCATACAGCTTGTGGGAGCCAGGGTGGTCAATGAGGACCCTCTCCTCCAAATATCAAAGATCTGTGCCCTGATTGCTGTTTATGATCATGGAGGTGCTGATATAAGAGAGCGGCCTTATTGCAACCCTCACTGCCATTGTTACAAGCCCCACCTTCTCTGACTGAAGCAACTTCCAGGAGATTTAAAAGACTAGTGCATTTCTCTGCCCCCTTCATTTTTCTTTTTTTACTCCTTTTGGAAGCCAGACATTTAAATATTAGAACATTTAAAGGCAAACACATTTCTAAGAAAATTTAGAAAGCCACTATCATGCCCAGGGAAAGGTACAGGATAGGGGAAGTAGTTCCAAAGCACAGGAGAATTTTATTATTTAAACAGCCAGTACTACTAACCGTGCAGATAAACACAAGTCGAATGTTAACCTCAGAGCCATACTAATGGCTCTGGATGCCATAGGAAGGGCATGGAGAGCCACAATGGTCTTATGAGATCTGATGTGGTTTTGACAGTGTTTTCTGAATACAATATGAAGGACAAATTGAAGGAAGGCAAGAGTGGAGGCAAAGAAACCAGTTGTGATACCTTTCAGGGGTTCAGGTTGGGATATGAGAGATATTTAATGTGTGTAATTCTCAAAACTTGGTGATTAACTAGACGTGGGAGGTAAGGAGAAGGAGTCATCAAGGATGACTCCTAGGTTTCTTGCTTGGGAGTTTAGACAGATTTTAACATGAAATGAAATTTTAAAATGAAAATTTTAGACATTTTTCATGCCCCCACAGAAAATCAGGAGACAGGCATGTTTGGAGAGGGGCTGTGTTCAGTCTGGTGTTGGATATGTTCAGTTTGAAGTACCTAAGACCTATCTAAGCAGAGATCCAGTAGGCAGTTGGAGATATGTGTACCACACAGAAAGAGGCCTGGCTGGAGATGATGATTTTGGAATCCTTACATATTGCTGCATGAAATTGCTGAGAGAGAGAGAATACAGGTGAGAAAGGCATGGGTTTGAGTCCAGAGTAACAACAACATGTAAAGAACAGGTAGAAGATAAGGCAGCACAGGGTTAGGTGGAAAACCAAAATATCACACTCTAACAGAAGGCAGGAGAAAGGTGTGTTGGGCATGGTGAATGGGCACTTAGCATCCTTTCCTACCTTCTCTGCTGTCTATGTTGTCTTCTTGGACAGCTCAAGATTACTTTCCCCAGATTCCTTTGCAACTAGAGAACTGGATGCAAATTAGTTTCCACCAATTACATGTGCCATTCAAGATTTAGAAAGTGAAACTGAGGCAGAGGCTGTAGTCCCATTGCTTTTGGCTGTTTTCCGCTGGCAAGTACAATGTTGAAGATGCGGAGCTTTTCCCCAGCAGTGTTGTGGTGTCTAGTCATTAGCCTCGTGATTGCTCAGTTGTCATCGTGGTGGTAGCAGTTTCCTAATCCTAGATTGTAGCCATAGTAGTGTGTTCTGATTCCTTCCTGTACCTTCCCGAATTTGGCAAAGGTGCAAAGGTCCCACCTCCAGTTGGCAGGTCAGTTGTGATAGGGGCATTCTCAGAGATACAGCTGCATCTCAAAACCTTCCAACCTTTCTTTTTTTTTTTTTTTTTGGAGATGGAGTCTTGCTCTGTCACCTAGACTGGAGTGCAGTGACACAATCTCAGCTCACTGCAACCTCCGCCTCTTGGGTTCAAGCAATTCCCCTGCCTCAGCCTCCTGAGTAGCTGGGATTCCAGGCGCCTGCCACCACACCCAGCTAATTTTTGTATTTTTAGTAGAGACGGGGTTTCACCATGTTGGCCGGGCTGGTCTCGAACTCCTGACCTCGTGATCTGCCTCCTCGGCCTCCCAAAGTGCTGGGATTACAGGTGTGAGGGCTTAAAATGTCAAGACTGACTTCTTTTTTTTCTTATTGAAGCCTGAATAATACAGAATATTTCAGGGAGGGAACGGTTGACTGTATTAAATACTGCTAAGAGAGCAAGCAATGTAAGAACTGGAAAAGTCCACTGGATGTGGCAATTTAGCTTGTTGGTCATTTTGGTAGTAACTAAAGCAGTCTTATTGAAGGTGAAAGAAATACACACAGCATCTAATTCATCTCCCTACTTCAGAAAGAACCTCAAAACTCTTATAGGTTTACATGGTGATGTTTTGTGGAAGAAGCACTAGAGTCAGGAGACCCACGTTCTAGTCTTAATCTTGTTGCTATCGAGGTGTGTGAATGCAGTGGAGTCACTTGGCCTCTCATCTCCTCAGCCAGGTGTCCATGCCAGACCGTGCACCATTCTTGCTGCCTCCTAATCCCTACTCCAAGCTGACTCTTTACATGTTTCCCTTAACTCTCCAAAGTATAGCAGCACTAGGTGGTGGCGTTTGAGAATACTCAAAAGATTTGAGGATAGCAAAAGAGAATTACAAGATAGAAATGGTAAACTTAAAATAAGATACCAAACTATACTTCTGGAAAATATCAACTACGCATCTTGCAGCGATCTCCAGTGCACTTCTGTCATCGCACACGAACTAACTGACCTGGGCAGGAATTCCTTTGACCCTGCCTAAACCTCTGGGTCCAGAATCCTAGCTCTTCATTTTCCTCAGGAAAAAGGAAGAAATCCTCCCTTAAAATATAATACATTCTGTACCAACATACTTGCCCTCAAAGAAGATGACTCACTTTGTCAGAGCAGTTTCTTTCTTCATTATTTCCATGTTGCTATTCTAGAAAAGGCTTTATGGTTTATCTTGCAATAATCAAAAGGATCATGGGAAGGTTCTGCTCTCCTGACATTCCCAAAGCAATCTTCTCCCAAATTTGAATTTGAACCTAATTTGCATCCAGTCCTGTAGTTGCAAAGGAATCTGGGGAAAGTAGTCTTGAGCTGTCCAAGAAGACAACGTAGACAGCAGAGAAGGTAGGAATGGATGCTAAGTGCCCATTCACCATGCCCAACACACCTTTCTCCTGCCTTCTGTTAGAGTGTGATATTTTGGTTTTCCACCTAACCCTGTGCTGCCTTATCTTCTACCTGTTCTTTACATGTTGTTGTTACTCTGGACTCAAACCCATGCCTTTCTCACCTGTATTCTCTCTCTCTCAGCAATTTCATGCAGCAATATGTAAGGATTCCAAAATCATCATCTCCAGCCAGGCCTCTTTCTGTGTGGTACACATATCTCCAACTGCCTACTGGATCTCTGCTTAGATAGGTCTTAGGTACTTCAAACTGAACATATCCAACACCAGACTGAACACAGCCCCTCTCCAAACATGCCTGTCTCCTGATTTTCTATGGGGGCATGAAAAATGGTGACCTACATATACACCATGGAATACTATGCAGCCATAAAAAAGGATGAGTTCATGTCCTTTGTAGGGATATGGATGAAGCTGGAAACCATCATTCTCAGCAAACTATCGCAAGGACAAAAAAACAAACATCACATGTTCTCACTCATAGGTGGGAACTGAACAATGAGAACACTTGGTCAGAGGAAGGGGAACATCACACACCAGGGCCTGTTGTGGGGTGGGGGGAAGTGGGGAGGGATAGCATTAGGAGATATACCTAATGTAAATGACGAGTTAATGGGTGCAGCACACCAACATGGCACAGGTATACATATGTAACAAACCTGCACGTTGTGCACATGTACCCTAGAACTTAAAGTATAATAAAAAATATATACAATAAAATAAAATAAAAAAATAATAAAAAGAAAAATAGTGACCTAATCTGCCTAAATTCCCAAGCAAGAAACCTAGGAGTCATCCTTGACGACTCCTTCTCCTTCTTACCTCCCACATCTAGTTAATCACCAAGTCTTGAGAATTACACACATTAAATATCTCTCATATCCCAACCTGAACCCTTGAAAGGTATCACAACTGGTTTCCTTGCCTCCAGTCTTGACTTCCTTCAACTTGTTCTTCATATTGTATTCAGAAAACACTGTCAAAAACTTACATCAGATCTCATAAGACCATTGTGGCTGTCCATGTTCTTCCTATGCATCCAGGGCCATTAATATGGCTCTGAGGTTAACATTCAACTTGTGTTTATCTGCATGGTTAATGGTACTAGCTGCTTAAATAGTAAAATTCTCCTATGCTTTGGAACTACTTCCCCTATCTCCTCTCCACCCATTAACCAAAGAGTGAATGCTGAATCTACTCTGGTTGGTTGATGCTTGTGCCAATCAGTTTCCCCCAAAATATGGACTTCTAGGCACTGCCATTGGCTTCCACCATGAGAGGATTGCCTCATGCCCGTGTCTTGGTGTTTTCCCAATCCAGGTGGGTTTTGCTTGAGGATCACTGTGGTGGTGTTCAGCAGGCAAGCCCTATGCTCACCAAGCTCTAGGCCTTGTCCCAGTGAATTCACTTAACCAGAGCATTCCCAAATCCCATGGTAAAGGGATGACATTACCCCTGATAGGGACTCTGGTACCCTCCCAGGCTGTAGTCAGCTACCACAGGCCAGTGCTCCCTCAGAGTCGCCCTCACCTGGCCATATGTGGGAACATCAGCTTTTGTCGAACTTGGGCTCCTAGAGTACCCAGTGAAAATTGAAAGAGCAAATAAGTGCATATTAATATGCTTCCTACAGGTCCTGGTCAGGTGCCGGGCAGAGTTCAGGAATGATGGGCACTCTCGAGAAAGACAGGCACCCATAAGGATGGTCTGGAGACCAGTGAGAAATTCTTCTCTGTTGAATTACTCCTACATTTATCAGAAGAGCTTGGATACCTGATGGTCATCTGTCCTGGGCATTTACAATATTAATTTTATTACTAAAGGGGAGAGCTAATGGGAATAGAACGCCAGCTGTGTTCATTCTAGATGTATATTAATTCAGTGGAACACCACAGATACCATAATTTCCATTTTATGCATGAGAAAACCGCAGTGCAGGGAGGTTATCTACAGCCTGAGGGGCTGAGCCAAAATACTGAACTGGCAGCTCAGTACGTAATTGCCCACTAGAGCCTCTCATCTAGCCTAAGGAGTAGGTGAAACTCAAGCATGTGATTCCAATATACCATTTTCATGACTTAGTCAATATAAAGATATTGAATAGATAAAAATCTAAGGCAGTATTACAAGCGCTAGGAAACTTTGTTAATGCAATGGCTGTTATTTCAGCAGATGCTGAGAGAAAATTAAGCATCTTGAAAAATACCATTGAAGTTAAGTGGATTCTCCACTTCCTGAGTCTGCGTGTTACTTAATGTGCAGCAATTTAATGGGAAAATCATTGGAAAAGTTTTCTCATGGCTCAGGGGCATCATTTATCTAGTGGCAGTTACATCAAAGAAAAAAAAAATCACATCTATAAACAATTTGTAGTATTACTTAAATCTCTTGGAAAGGAAGACATTGAATAATATCTATAATTTAGCAAATTTAGAGAATAAAATGGAACACATTTTATAATTACATTTAAGATAAATGTAATAGTTTATGAAATTATATCCACGTGTCAGCTGTTAAATATTTTTGTCTTGCCCCTGCCTATCTCTCAAGCCTTCTCTGGTGATTCCTCCTCTCATCCTGGGCTTCAGCAATTCTGTAAGCTTCGGTTCTTGAGAGTCCTCCCTTTTCTTGGAACATTCTTCTCCCTACATCCACAATGCTGAGCATCAGCCCAGGCTCACTTCCTCAGGGTGAGTATCTTTGCCCTTTGGAATAAATCAAGTACCCTTACTGGATATTACAGAACCCTCTGGATGTCTCCCAGCAAAACCTTATTGCCACTGGCTATTAATGTAATCACTTATTCTGGGCCTGTTCTTCTTACCAGACTCTAGGTCCCATGAGGGCAGAGGCGACCGCAGTCCTACTCCCTGCTGCATCTCTAGGGCCCAGTCAGGGGCCCTGGACATACTAGCTGCCCCAAAGCTATTTTCTGAATAAAAAGCTGCATTGCGGCCCATCAAAACACTTTACATTTGCCTTTAAGTTAATAGCACGTGTAGGTTGGGCACAGTGGCTCACGCCTGTAATCCCAGCACTTTGGGAGGCCGAGGCGGGTGGATCACTTAAGGCCAGGAGTTCAAGACCAGCCTGGCCAACGTGGTGAAATCCCGTCTCTACTAAAAATACACACACACACACACACACATACACACACACACACACATAAAAGCATGTATAGATATTTTTAAATTGACTAACAAATTTTTGCAGTCAATCATTTGAAAGTTAAGTTCAAATGATTTTCTAAAAAGATGTAAATTGGGGTTGAAACCCAAGGTTCTCGGCTTCCAGGAATTTTTCTCTAGGGATAGTTATTTAACTGACCGAGCAGCACCCCTCATTATTCTTGGATTTTCCCATACTTGCCAGGGTCTTACTCTCCTTTCTCTTCCTACAATTCATCATCTTCAGAATCTCTACATATGGGCCTGAGCAGACCCCTCATATTGGTTTGAGTTGGACACCATTTTGATCATTAGACCTTTGTTTGCTGTTTGGTGGTTTTTTGTTGTTGTTGTTGTTTTTCAGAAACACGCAAATGTTGTGTTTGATCTGTGGTTAAACACTTCTTGAACACTTCAGACCTCGGCTTCTTGGTGATCTCATAAATTTTCCACAGACTGTGTGTCATTCACAACCTAAGGATCTGGAAGGAAACCCAGCTTTAAAATGCACTTCCCAGTGATTTCAGCCTGAAAGGTGATATGTCTGTTTTTCTAACATCTCAAAGTCACTGGAATGTGCATTGGCAATGTTTCTAGACCAGATTTCTGGGGAACTGGCTCATTTGTCTGAGAGACACAGTTAAGTTAAAGACACTAAAATCTCAATTCTCTTGGCTACTTCACTTCAACTACACAGATGGCTGCTTTGGAGACTAGCATATATATTAGCTGAGATAAACAGGAATATGTCCTGGCAGAAGAGTATTGTCCAAGTGATATTAGAAGCAAAGCTTCTGAGAATGTCATTAAGAATATGTCCTTTAAGTGGTGAGACCATTGGTTGATGTAACTCAACATTCATTCCTTTATTCACATGTATTTCCTGCACAGAGGCTGCAGGCCAGCCTCTCTGCTAAGCTACATGAATCAGGCACAATCTCTACCCTGGAGAATTTTATAGTCCAGTTGAGCAGACAAACAATTATAGTGCAGTGGTAGCTTTGTGTGTGTGCTTGGTACAGCAGGCTTTGGGGGCACAGAGTGAGGAGTGACCACCCCTGCCCTAGAGGATTCAAGAAAGGCTTTCTAGAGGAGGCTTTGAACTGGATCTTGAAGAATAAGTGGTAGTTTACCACTCTTGGGAAAAAGTGGCAAGGGAACCTAGAAGCAACGGCATGGCAAAGACACAGACTCAAGAAAGAAGACTCACTGTTCCAGAAATATTTAGGAGCTTGATGTGGCTGGAGCACAGGTCCTCTGGGGGCAGCAGTAACATTTTCATGGGAACATGGTAACTTGCTCTTCATAGGCTGATCCTAGTGACCATGACATCTAATATCTGTGAATTTATCTGACCTATTCTCGGACCCATTTTTTACTTCCATGCAGAACACCTAATGGGGGTAATGGGTTCCACTTACAGGCTACAGGCTGTGTAAAGATCTATTTCCTTTCAGTTGTCCTAAAATACTTCCTTAAATGATCACCAACAGGGTCATTTTTCCCTCTTTTTATAATTGCAGTGTTTTGGCACTCCTACCTAATCCCCAGGCATCCTATAGATAAAGAATGGATGTGAAAGGCACCACTGAAGCCCTGGCTGGGGCAGCCATGCCCACCTAAAGGCCAAAACCCACCCCCGCTCCACCTTCCACCTCACACGCACAGGCCGCATGCTGCCTTTTTGTAACTCTTTTTCTCTCTGATGACCTCCCTTGATGTTAATGTTATTCTTTTATTTTTAAAAAAATAAAACAAAATCCCCAATGCATTAATGTGCAATGAGAACTAGATCTGCCAAGTGACTCACAGCAGCCCGAGCAGGACAGTCTCCCCATGCAGCTGGGAAGAATCTGAGCCTCGGCTGCTGATTAGAAGGATGGAGCTGGTGAGCGGCATCGGGTGCCGGCAGACTGCAGCGTCCATTGCCGCAGTAACAACACTCCTGGCACCTGGGCTTCTCCCCAGTCAGGACTGGGATTGGCCCTGCCAAGGTGACACTCTGGAGAGCCACCTTCTTCTGATACCTGTAAGGATATAAATGTTAGGGAAGGACAAAGCTTTTATAGGTGATCTACAAGATGGCTTTACAAAAAAGTTCCTTTGGGACTTTGTCCTGAAACAGGAAGCTTTTAGCCAGAGCCATTCTGGAATTTTAAAAAGAAGGGACAGGATTCTAATCTCAAACAACCCCTGGAATCAACTTTTGACTCCTCCTGTCTGACTTTTCCTCCTCCTGCTGGGACAATAGAACTTGCCCGGCTCTACCCAGGGCCCTTTCCCTTTTTTCTTTCCTGGCCTCTTGGCTCAGCTCACCTCCCGCTTCTCATCCTCCCTGAGCGATGTCACACATGCCCATGGCAGGCAGGAGAGGAGAGAGGTTGGATAAGGAACACGGTGCAAGCCTGACTCCACATGAAGGAGAGATGGGAGGAAGGATGGAGAGAAACACTGTAGACCACCCAGCAATGTAAAGAAGCTCAGCAGCGTTATGGGGGTGTTCTTGAGCAAAGGTGGCCATCAGAGTTGTCCTGGCTTCCAAGGAACAGGCTGCCCTGGCACTCCCACCAACCTCAGCCATTGCCTTGGTGTAGCCTATGGGAAGCATGGCCTCCATACAGGCATGGTGATGGATTGCAGAGTGCAGCAGCTGGGCTCCTGGTCAATGAAGTTCCTCCATCTTGGAGGTCTGCGAGGCTCATACTCATGGCTGCCACACTGGAGGACTCCATGTCATCCTTGCCTGGCCAGCTTCTACTGTCTTCCAGGTCTTAGTTTAAATGTCACTTCCTTAGAGAAGCCAACCCTGACCTTGGGGTTGCCCAGGCCCCCCTGCTGTCTACTCCCAGAGCGCACACTTCACTAAAAGTTCCTGTTCAACTGACTCCTCCGATGCACTCTGCACTCCAGGAGAGCTAGGCTGAGTCCACAGTACTCGGCAGTACTTGGCCCCTAGAAGCCACTCAGTATGTATTTCTTGAATAAATGAATGACTAGTTGCTGGTGCTTGTGAGACAGCTCAAATTGTGCAACAACCTTGGCTTTAGGGAATATGCTTCTTCTGCAATGGATTGTTCCAGGTAAAAGCTTTGCCTTTATGGGGCATTTACAATTTTCAGGCTGAGTTTTCAGAACAACTGAAAGGACCCCTTGAGGGAAACATTTCAAATCAGGGCAATGTGCCTGAGCCTCTGTGGCTATTTCCCTAACTTTATGCCTTAGAATAGGGTCTGGAGCAAGAGAATTGGGGACAATGGAATCCGGTGAAAATCTACTTTCTAATCCTGCTTCGGGCACTAACAGGGTCTTAGATTTATTCTCTAAAACCGGTGTTCATACTGCTCTTTCTCCTTGGGTTAACAAGAGCCCTAAAAGACATGCAAGATGTAAACATGTTTTGGGCGTTTCTCAATGCCAGCCCAATCTCGGATTGTCTTGCTGTGGCTGTTGCTTGTGGACTACAGATTTCAGGGTGCAAGCAAGTAAGTGAAGCGAAGATGTGGATTGGGACATCAAGATTCCCCAAGATGTTTTGTGGGTGGCTGTGCCTTGGAAAATAACACAGGAATAAAGAGAAGATGGGGTTGCCTAAAGCAGATCAGAACTGTCTGACGAGTAAGGAGGGATGTGTAAGCCATGGAAGCTCATTCACATGATTTTACATCGGGTGTAAAAATAGCTGGAACCCTAGTTCCAGCTAATACTCTTCACTGGGAAAAATGTGGGCAGCTCTGTGGTAAGAAGCAGTACTTCCTGATAAAATCTGTCGATCCGTTTAAGATGCTCGGAACCCAGTCCCTCAAGATGTCTACAATGCCTCAGCCAAGTTGGCCAAGGCCCTAGAAAACATTACATGCTGCGGAGAACAATGTGTATTGGCAGAAGCCACTCTCATGCTCTGTGTACAGCTCAGTTCAACCTCAGATCACCACGGACAACCAGTGGGGGCCCCTCGCTGGTCCCAGAGCACCCACTGGAAGCACCTAGGGCAAGAGCACCTTTCTGGGTCCCCGAAGTTGCGTGGCACACTTGGAATAAATACAGGCATCAGAGAATCCAGAGAGACCCAGGTTCAAGGCCAGACTTCACCAAGTCAGTTCTAGGGCTTTGCACTATTTCCTTAAATATGACTTTTTCATCTGTCAAATGGAGCTACAGCAAAATCCCTCACAGGGTTGTGATAAGGATTTCAGATAATGTATGTCAAATATCTAGCCCACAGAAGAGTTCAATAAGTCAGAACTATTATTATTTTAACAAACTTGTGTTTGGATGCTGGTTTTGCCGCTTACTAGCTCTCTGATCTTGAGAAGTTTACTTAGCCTCATTGAGCCTCATTTTCCTTATTTTTAACAGGAGAAAATAGTACTTAACTTTCAGTAGTGTTATAAGAATTACAGTTAACGTAAGAAAGGTATCTGAGTATGTTCCTGGCACAGAGTAGTACTCAAAAAAAGTTATGTACTATCATTTTTTGTAAATCAAAACAGGAATGAAAATTATTCATGTTGGGTCATATCAAGCAAGTGTGCGCGAGGCTAACAAGCCATTTGAATTGTTCTGTGGGAAATAAACTCTCTTCCAAAACTGGCTGTCTCATTTCCCCAGGTTAGATGCGTTCTGAACCTAAGACTGACCCAGAACTTGGAAGGGTTGGGCCCTACCTACCCTCACTCCCTCTATGGGGCTCTCCTTCCTTTGGCCACTTTCCAAGGAGACATTTTCTCCTCCAGCCCCAGGTCCCCTGAGGAGAGCTGAAGCAATAGGTCACTATCATTTAAACTGCTGCAGAATTTGCAGACCGTGAGACTCCTGTCTCTCCCCACTCTGCCTGGCTCATCCCCAAGAAGAAAGGAAGCCAGAGGTGGAGGAGGTTATAAAACCATTTTATATCCATCCTGTTTTTAATTGATTTCACAGCAGGAGAAGAAAAACCAGAGTGTTTCCCACATAACCTTTCTATGCGGGAGTTCTCTTCTGGTCAGGAAACTCATCTGGGAAGAGCCAGAGTCCATCTGTGTGTTCTCAGTTGTCTTCCTGCAGCCTGTGAACCCTGATTCTGTTAGTGCCCTCCATGAGGGCTGCTCCTGTGTGTCCCTGGGCACCCCCTTTACACATCCCCTTGGGGGCAGAGGCAGCCCTTCCTTGGCTGTAAGCTGCCCTGGTCTCCAAATGGGTCAACCTTTTCCATTTAATGTGCAGTGCACATGCCCCTGGGGCCTCCCGGTCCCTTAGATCTCTTAGATCTCCATGCTCTTGGCTCAGACCCACAACTCATGACCTGCAGGAGCCCAGAGTCCTCCGGAGATTTCTGTGGATTCCTGGGAGGAGGCAGGGGTGGCTAACATTATATAGGCCTCTCAATTTTTCTGCATCTTGGGGCAGGAACTTGGTCCCCAAAATGGTGCATGAAGTATTTTTTGTGAGGACTTGGTTGTGGAGAGTGGTCACAGAATGCACTGCGGATAAAACAATGAAAACATGCATGTTTGATACTTCCACTCTTAGAAAACGGTTCAGCCATCCAGCCATGAGTTGGGGATGCGGAGCGATACTCTGTCTTTGTTAAATATTTTTAAACATAAACGCTGCCTCTAGGGAGGGGAACTGGGTGAGGAGGAACAAGGAGCCAGAATACATATCTTTTTAACTTTCTGGATTTTGCACTATTTACACATATAACTATTATGCATGCATGCATACACACATATACCGTATCCCATGTATATTTATGATATCCCTTATGCTGTCTCCCTGCTTCATCTGCAATGTCCTAGCCCCTGCTCTCTGCTGAACCAATCTTTCAAGGGCTGACTTCAAAGAGTTTTCTCTTCTCATCTACTCAAGCCCTCATCTCTTCTATCCTCTCTGAACCCTGAGAGAATTTCCAGTGGGTCTTGCTAAGCCTGGGATCCACTCACAAACTGCCTCACAGTGTAACTCCGTTTCCTGAGAGCAGCGCTTGCCTCTAGTCATTTCTCCTTGGTGGAGACTCAGCACGTAGCTGAGTGAATGAATGAGAGGGAGAGGCAGAACGCGACAATTCCTAAGGAAAAGGGCACTGCTAAAACAAAATGCCCTTTGGAGCCTGCATGAAGCAGCTGGTATAAGCTCTCCCTACTCCCAGAACCAGTTGGAATGACGGAAGTGAGAAGCTGTCTGTCATGGAGCCCATTACTGTCTCTCTTCTGTTGTTATGAGAAGGCCAGTGGGTCTCTTCCAGGGGATGCATGTTGGACAAAGCCCCTCCAATAGGAACATGTAATTCTATGGACAAGCATGGGCTAGGTGTCTGAAATGAAGACTTTACCATTTTCTAAAAAAAAGATTAAGCAGAAAATATCCTATGAAATGAATAGTCTTACCCAAACCTTTCCTCTAAATAAGAACAAAGATAGCAAGTGAGAGAAAAAGGCCAAGGAGGCGAGAAGATGGAACAAAGGGAAGGTGAGAAGACCCCAAGGACAGAAGTCCTTCATTAAAAAGGCACTTTCCCTGGGTCGTGCAGGAAGACCACTCCTCTGTTTTGACAATAAAGCCCCAAAAGAAGAAGAGCACCCCCTCCCTACAGCTGAGCACCCTCTCGAGCAGGAAAGGTAGGGAGATTCCATTTCCCCTGAAGACCTAGACCTGGACCTCTCCTCCGCCATCATTTCCCACAGCCCCTTCATCTTTAAGTCCTGGGGCATCTCCCCACACTGAAACCTGGATGTCTGCTCTCGTAGCCTAACATAAAGTTTCATCTCTTTTAATGTTCAACCCCCCATCTGCCTGGGACTAGCAGAATAGCTGTCAGCCGCCCAGGTCTCCCTCCACCATGTCTGGGCATCTCCGAGGGATTTCATCATGCATCCCCTTGTAACTCCTTTCTCCAGGATGTGCTTTTCCCATACAGATTCACTGCAAGTGGGGACGTGACCCCCAGCCCCACCCCATCATTGATTCTGGAAACTTAATTCCCCAGCCCAGAGCAGATGGTGATGCTTCCTGAATATTTGGGGCATAACAGAAGTGGCTCACTATGTTCTTCCTGGAGCCCGCAGGCCCTAAAACCCCAGCCTCAGGACCACATCTAGCTCCTCTCAAGCTGTCCCATCTCAGCAAGAATCCTTCGAATAGACCAAACCAACCCTGGGTCTATACCCCCATCCCCTTTACACCAGAAAGCAGGAAGCATTGCCCCTGTCTCCTGGCCTAAGGCCTGCTCATGCTGCCCCAGGAAAACTGGCCCTGAAAACCCCCAAGTCTTTCAAGAGCAACCCTCTCTCTGATTCACCAGGGCCCAGATAAGACAACGACACTATGTGACCTTGCACTTCCCACATTATACTAATATCAACATCATGTGGGCTGTGGAGGCAGAATAATGGTCTCCAAAGATATACACATCCTAATCCCCAGAGCCTGTGGATACATTAGGCTATGTGGCAAACAGGATTTAAGTTTTCAGGTGAAATTAAGCTTGCTAGTTAGCTGACCTTGCGATGGGAAGAGTACCCTGGACTATCCAGGTGGGCCCAATCTGACCACAAAGGTCCTTAAAAGTAGAAGAGGCGTCAAGCGCCATGGCTCACACCTGTAATCCCAGCACTTTGGGAGGCCAAGGCAGGCGGATCACCTGAGGTCAGGATTTCGACACCAGCCTGACCAACATGGTGAAACCCCATCTCTACTAAAAATACAAAAATTAGCTGGGTGTGGTGGTGCACGCCTGTAATTCCAGCTACTCGGGAGGCTGAGGCAGGAGAATTGCTTGAACCTGGGAGGTGGAAGGTGTGGTGAGCTGAGATCACACCACTGCACTCCAGCCTGGGTGACAGAGCGAGATTCCGTTAAAAAAAAAAAAGTAGAAAGCAGAAGACAGAGTTAGAAAAAGACAGTGGAAGCAGAGCCAGAGACATAATGTGCTGCTGGCATTGAAGACGGAGAGGAGCCATGAGCCAAGGAATGTGGGTGGCCTTAGAACAGAGGAAAGAGTCTTACAGCTCCAGAAAGGACTGCATCCCTGCTGACACCTTGACTGTGGTCTTGCAAGAACCAAGTCAGACTTCTGACCTACAGTGCTGGGAAATAATACATTTGTGTTGATTTAAGCCACTAAGTTTGTGGTAGTTTGTTGCAGCAGCAAATAGGCACCTAATACATGGGGGATACGAATAATTCAGTCTAAGTAGTCACTTCAGGAAAACTTTTCACCAGTTCTTCAACATTTAACATCACACTCTGCAGTTGCCACACTCAGGTATGACATCTTCCCCAAATCAACTTGCTTTACTTTGGCTTGACTAGAGGGTTTATCTTGGTAACTTCCTTGAAAACAAGGGAATCTGTGCCAACATTAAAGTGTCCATATCCAGAAACCCAAATGACAAGTTCCTTTTGCCAACGGTCCCCAAATGGCAGTGCCTTTGCTAAAATAACACACACTTTAGGTTGTTTTTCTCTAGGCACCCTGATACATCACAGCTATTTCTCCAAGTCATCTTCCCCGCATTCCCATTGCCACCATTGAGGTTCAGGCCAGCTTGTCACTTGCTTGAAGAATTGCCTTGCCCCAACTTTATTCCATTCTCAACACTAAAGTTGGAAGGCTCTTTCTAGAGTCTGATCAGCCTTCTGTTTGTAAGCATCAAAGACAGCCCACTGCTCTTAGGATAAAGTACACAACGCCCATGGCCTTCAGGGCTCTGTATGATTTAGCCCCTGGCCCTGTCTCCAGCCTCGTTTCCAGGACATGGAGAACCAGCATCAGCGTGCTTCAATCAAACATGCAGCCTCTGAGCACTTGACTGTCAAGCTGTGGAGTGGGTGGTGCAAAGCAGATTGCAATGGTTTTGTGGAATCCGGTCTGTGGGGCATAGCTCTAGCTGTTAAGGGTTGAATTGTATCCTCCCAAAATTCATATGTTGAAGTCCCAACTTTCAGTATCTCAGCATATGACCTTATTTGGAAAGAGGGTTGCAGATGTAGTTAGCTAAGATGGAGTCACACTAGAGTAGGGTGGGCCCCTAATTCAATATGACTGGTGTCCTTATGGAAAGGAGAAATTTGGCCACAGACAGGCATATGAGGGGCACACCACGTGGAGATTGGAGTTATGCTGCCAAGGGCCAAGGAACTACCTGAATCCCAGAGAGAGCCCTGGAACAGATCCTTCCCTAGCACCTTCAGAGGCAGCACGGTCCTCCCGACACCTTGGTCCTGGACTTCCAGTCTCCAGAACTGTGAGACCTTACATTTCTGTTGTTCTAAGTCACCCAGTCAGTCATACTTTGTTGCAGCAGCCCCAGGAAACTAATCTGGTTGAAATGTGGATACCAAAGTAGGGCTATGGGAGAGTAGCGAAGCTCGCATTTTCAGAGGTCCACAAAAATTATTAAAGTGAAGAATGAGAGTCGCTGCTCTTTATACAACATCATACTGCTTCTCAATTTCATGAAAACAAGTTGCTAAGAAGAATTTGTGAAAGGGGTGGGATCAGTCAGTTTGCCTTCTATGGGCCAATTTTGTTCTCCTCCTGAGAGATACTGCGGAGGACTCAATAACAACTCAATATTCTCAAAACATCAAACTTTCTGATGAGAACAAAGCATGGCTTTAATCTCTTTACTTTGCTCCTGATTCTTCTGCACAGTTGACCCTGATCCTCATGTTCTTTTAATTAAGACCAAAACGGACTTGACTCCTCAGTCCCAGTTAACAAGAGGTGAGGTCGGCTTGGCATGTCTGTGTTCCAAAAACTGCCCTGAGCAAAATGTGTGTATGAGAAAAGGCTTTGCCAGGGAAAGAGCAAGCCCGAGCAGCCACCCACCCCTTCCCAGTCAGCAAGACTCTCTTCTATTTGGGACCCAGGAGGCTCATCTGCAGGCAGCTGAGCCATCTCTTGGGAAGAAGGAGAAGAATGGGCCACAAGAGCCCCACTTGGGATGGGAGAAGCTAAAATGAAGCGCCAGGAACTGGGCCAAGGACTCAAGTTAGACTTGCTTATGGGACCGCAATCCCTGAGGGTCCTATTGGTGAGGCTGATGTGGCAAAGGCCTGGCTTAGCGTGAAGAAAGAGGAGGGGGAGAGAGGAGGACAAAAAAGAAGTGAGGGAGAGACCAAAAAGAAAGATGGAGGGAATGAGCCATCCGGTGCCTGATCCAACAATATTTCATCTGCAGGATCCTCCGTCCTCATCAGTCTGGCCACTCAGGAGCGGGCTTGTGCCCAGGCAACGTTGGCTTTCCATGTAGAAGGATTAGCCCGTGCCAGGTAAGGACTTCAGTCAAGGCCAACCCACCCCCCAAATACCATCACAACCACCCTGACATTTGCCTCAATTTTCTTTATTATTTGTTCCTATGGATTAGATCTTTGTCTTGGTACAAAAGTTGCATCTGAGACTTCTTGAATGTTTGCATGTTCCAGGCACTGTTCTAAGTACTCTGCATGAATTAACTGATTTCATCCACAATAGCTTTGTGAGGTAGGTACCATTATCATCATCTCCATATATCAGATGAGGAAACTGAGGTGCAAAGTGGCAGAGTAACTTGCTCAGGGTCATAAAGCTGGTAAGTGGTAAGGCCAGAATTTGAACCCAGTCTGGCTGGCTCCAGAGTTCACATTTTTTCCATTGCACTACACTAATTCCCAAAATGAAATCCAGTACATCAGGAAATTTACCACCAGGGCTTTCTAAACCATGTGTTGCTCCCTAATTGGGGCTCTTACGCTGAGAGTTTGTTTTGAAGATAATTAATGAGAAACATTTGGAACCCTGGCCTCTGAGCACCTCTCTGTAGTCCTCCAAATGGGTTCACTAACAATTAGTGTTCACACTTTTGTGCCTACCCACACACAGCCCTGAGCTGTGACTATAAATCAATACGGTGGATTCCACAAGTCATAAAACTCAGTCCATTATTTTATAGTACAGTGTGTAAAGGCAGGTGATCTAATGGGCAAAGCTGTTATATCAATTACCATTACCTAATAATTTCTGGAAACCAAATTATAACATTGGATGATAGAAAAACTAGTCTGCTTGCCATTTGAGTTTACTGATACTTTTCTGTCAGTAAAAAGACTAAGCTTCTAAAAATCAGTGAGATTATGTAATAGTATTAATAACAAAAACAATAATAACAAATGTCACAAAAATAGCCCCCTCTTGGGCAACTATTACGTGTTAGAGTGGATTTCTGGATCTGGAAATTACCTGCTTCATTTGATACTTGAGGACACTAAGGCACAGAAGGAATAAAGATTAAAATAATTTACCCAAAGTCATCTAATTAGGTGAGTGGTTTTCAGTCCTAACTGTACATTAAAATCACCTACAGAAACATCCAAATCTAAATATGTAGATGTTTGGAGCCCACTTCAGAACAGCTGAGTCAGGACCTCAGGTGGGTGGGGTCTGAAGGGCAGCTGGGGTTGAGAGTCCCTGGACTGGTTAGCAACAAGAACTAGTAGCCAAGGGCCCTAATTCTCTGCAATGTTCTCTCTCCTACTCCCTGTGGGCTGCTTTCCCACTCTTACTCATTATTCCCAGGATATGCAAAAGAAGACAAACACATGGTCATATCTGTTTCACATTCATACACAAAATCTTCAAGCAACAGGCCAGGTGCAGAGGCTCACACTCGTAATCTCAGCACTTTGGGAGGCCGAGGTGGGTTGATCACTTGAGGCCATGAGGTCAAGATTAGCCTGGGCAACATGGTGAAACCCCGTCTCTACTAGAAATACAGAAATTAGCCAGGGGTGGTGGTGCACGCCTGTAGTCCCAGGTTGAGGTGGGAGGATCGCATGGAGCCTCGGAGGCAGAGGTTTCTGTGAGCCGAGATCACACCACTGTACTGCAGTCTGCGTAACAGAGTGAGACCCTGTCTCAAAACCAAAACAGAAAACCAAAACACAGAAACAAACAACCTTTAAGCAACATTTCCCTGTAAATGCATTGCTCCTAACTCTATTTCAGGTACTTACTATAGTGCACAAAAGTTGGCCCCTGGCTCTGTGCCATAGAAAGTGATGTCTTTCTTACAAGGAAGGGATCTCACTTCATTAAGTTTTCTATGCCAGATAACAAGCTCAGTTCCTTGCAAAAAATAGATGCTCAACAAATGTTTGTATTTAAAAGAGTAGAAAGGAGGGCATGGAAAAAGTTGCTAAGTGACCGAATGTATAGAAACAACTGGAATATTTTACTTGCTGAGGTCCAAGATAGTCTGAAGTTAAGTATTCCTGTCTATGTCAGGAAAGAGCATGTGTCAGAATCACTTAAGGGGCCATCAGGAAATCCTGGTCAATGGCACAGGTTGAACTGATGTGGGAAGTTCCCATTATGCTGCAAACCCATATAAAAGCTGGGTAAACTATAACAACAAAAAAATGTTACTTTTGTCGTTGTTATCGTTGCCATTTCATAGCCAAATTCTAAACTAAGTAAGAAAAACTCCTAGGTCCAAAAAGGAAGTAGAAACGCAAACTCATAAAATTGAGCAGGTGTTAAAAGCAAATGGTCCATAGGGATATCAGAAACCGGTGCTAGCATAGGTTTTAAAACCCACAGGAGCAGAGGATTAGGCCTCAGGCCTGCAGGTGATAAGAAGCTGAACGGACCTCTTTGAATAAAGCTAAAAGCCAGAAAGTAATCTTCCTTCCGGAAATAAGGACTAGAAGAACTCTGCCCACTGGTCTAAGGATGCATCAGGAAGTTGACCATCTGTCCAACATTGTGGGTGGTGAAAGAGTAGACCTCCAAAAATCAAACTTCCAAAATTGCACCCTGTGTGGGTGTTAGTCAGAATTCCTCCAAACCATAACTAAAGGAAGTTACAATTAAAAAGTAAACATAAAAATTATCTAAGAATGAACGCAGCAAAGGCAAATAATGAACCAAATGACACATATGCCTGCACAGTACAGCCTCATGGGACACAGCAGGAAACTATTTCTCCTGAAGATGAGCTCATGGTAAAATATCTCTAATTCCATGAAAAAAGGAATTATCTTAAAATACCGTCAACAGATGAAATAGTTGGGAAAATTTACACCCTATAAATTACAGCAATGGAACAATATGAAAAGGTTTTTAAATGGGTATGTTTAAGATATTCAAAAAGAAAGGAAAAATAAAACATACAAAAGCAATATTAGGACATTATGAAAAAGAATATGCAAATTCAAGAAAGCACCATTTTGGTATATTATATACACCTGAAAAATATAGTAAGCAATGACTGGGAAACAATGATGGAACACATTAAGTGGTTGAGACTAGAGAAATCAATAGTCTTCCTATATAAAAGCAATAACCCCTGAGAACATATAATAACAAGGAGACCTCATTTATAATAGCTGCAACAACAAAAACACAAAATATTTAGTAATAAACAAAGAAATATTTAAGATCTATATGAAGAAAACTTTAAAATGCCACTTAGGGATGCAAAAAACTTGAAAAAATTGTAAAGACTAACCCTGTTTTTGCATATTTAGCTCTGACATAAGAAAAATGCTAATTACCCCTAAGGTAATATATATGTACAATTTTTAAAACATCAACAGAATTTTCATTTAATTACATACCAACTTTAAACTTCATTTGAAAAAATAAACAAGAATAGACTGAAAAGCAGAAGTATTAAGGGAGAACTAACCCTTCCAGATATTGACATATATTAATCTATAATAATAAAAATTAATGCGGTTCTAGAGCATAAATACACAAATAGATTAATGAAACAGAATAAAAAGCAAATTAAACACAAACACCTATGAAAATTTAGTATCTGATAAGAATAAAATTTAAAATCATTAAGGGAAAATGATACTGGGCCAAGGAATGGGTTGTCTGAAATGAAAAATTTGTTGGTTGGCTTAAGGAGGACTAGACATTACAGAAAACAAGAACAGTGAACTTTAGGCATAACAATTGAAACTATCCAGACTAAAGCATAGAGAAAAAAATAAGCCTTAAAAAATAAACACAGCCTCAGTGACTTGTGGGATAATATGTGCAAATGGAGTCTCAGGAAAGGTAAGGGTGGGCTGGGGGAATTAAGAAATAACATTTGAAGAAATAATGACCAAAATTTTTCCAAATTTGATGAAAAGATACACCCACAGTTTCAAGAAGTTCAGCAAAACTGAAGTGAGATAAAGACAAACACACTAAAATGCATTATAATCAAATGGCTGGAAATCAGTAACAAAGATGAAACCTCAAAGGCAGCCAGAAAACACACACATGCACACACTATATATATGAACAAAGCTGAAAATTTGACTAACTTCTCATTAGAAACAATGAAAGCCAAAAGAAAATTAAATGACATCTTTAAAGTGCTGAAAGAAAAAAAACTATTAGTCGAGAATTTGTATCCCAAAAAAATCCCTCAAAAATAAAGACAAAAATTAAAAACATTTTAGGCAAACAAAAGCTGAGTGCATTCATTGCCAGCAGACCTGCACTAAAAGAAATAAAAGAGGATATTTTTCAAGCTGAAAGAAATAATATCAGATAGAAATTTGGATCTGCAAAAGGAATAAGGAAAAACAGAAATGATAAATATGTGATTAAATATAAAATACTTATTTCTAATTTTTAAACTTATTTTAAAAGACATTTAATTGTTAATAACAGTGTATATGGGCCTTACAACATATGCAGAAATAAACTGTATGACGATGATAATACAGAAGACTGGAAGGGAGAAGTAGAAATATGCTGCTGTCAAGTGGTATAATATTATTTGAAAATAAGTTGTGATAAGTTCAAGATTCATATTGTAAACTGTAGAATGACCCTATGAAAATAGTTTTTAAAATGAGCTATGGCCAATAAGCCAACAGCAGATAGAATATTAAAAATACTCAATAAATCCAAAAGAGGGTAGGAAAAGATGAAGGAACAAAGATCAATTGAGACAGATAGAAAACAAATAGCATATTTGAACCCAACTATATTAATAGTTGCATTAAATACAAATGGTCAAACACTCAAATTAAAAGGCAGAGATTGTCAAACTAGATAAAACAGTGAGACCCAACAAGTGTTATCTGCAAAAAAATCTACTTTCCCACTTTAAATACAAAAATTCAGAAAAGTTAAATGCTGGAATAGAAAAAGATA
Organism: Homo sapiens; assembly: GCF_000001405.40. Taxonomy (NCBI): domain Eukaryota; kingdom Metazoa; phylum Chordata; class Mammalia; order Primates; family Hominidae; genus Homo; species Homo sapiens. The sequence goes on along the minus strand of NC_000005.10, from coordinate 79,862,139 downwards.
TACTAGATAAAAAATAATAGGAAAATGGAAATGGCTATATTTATGTCAAATGAAATGGATTTCAAGACAACGATTATTGTCAAAGATGAAAGAAACATTTCATAGCAATACATAATAATACATCAAGAAGGCATAAGACTACATGAGTGTACATCCAAAAACAGAACTTCAAAAACTTCATGTAAAGCACAAACAAAACTGAAAGAAGAAATATAAAATGTTAATACTTCTGTCTTAGTAATTGATGCAAAAAGAAATCAGTAGCGATATAGAAGATATGAACCACAGTTGGTCTAAATAATATTTGTAGAACATGACACCCCAAACCAGCAGAATAATGCCTTCTTTTCAAATGGACATAAATATTCACAAGGATAGACAATTGCATTGGCCATAAAACAAGTCTGAATACATTTAATAGGATTGAAATTATACTTAATATACTCTGTAACCTAATTAAATTAGAAATTAATAATCCCCATGGGGTCTGTTATCATGGAGGAAAACCAAAGGAATCGATTGCTGGCAGGTATGCCCTAAAAAAAAAAAATGCTAAAGGATGTTCTTCAGGCTGAAGATAGACGATATCAGAGGAAAACCTGGAAATTAGGAAATGAAGAAAAAGCAACAGCAGTATAGTAAATATCTGTGTCAATAAATACTATTTCCCTCCTCTTCAGTTACTTAAATTGTGTATGACTACTGAAAGCAAAAATCATTAAATTATATAGTGGAGATTTCAATGTATGTAAATGTAAAGGAACCAATATGATTGGAAGAGTCTATACTTTAGTTGAAGTGGGAAAATACTACCTGTAAGTAGAATGTGGAACTTTAGGTATGTATACGGTAACCCCTAGAGCACCTATAAAATTTTTAAAAACAAACAAAGATATAGCCAGGAAGCCAGTAGCTAAATTGAGATGGAATGCTAATTATTCAAACAAACATTAAATAATATTAAATGTTCAAATAATCCAAAATAAGGTATGAAATAGAAAACAGAAGAACAAAAATTAGAGGTGAAAACAGGATACAAGATATATCTTTAAATATATTCTGTATTTATTCAGATAGGTTAAAAGTAAAAAGATGGAGAAAAATGTACCATACTGGAGTGGCTATGTTATTATCAAAGCAGATTTCAGAGATAAAGAGGGACATTTCATAATAATAAAGGGTTCAATTTGCCAAGAAGACATAATCTTAAATGCATATTCACCTAACAACAATATTTCAAAATATATGAAGCAAAAACTAGAAGAACTGAAAGGAGAAACAGACAAATCCATAATTATAGTTGGAGATGTTAACACTCTTCCCTTGGTAATCAATAGAAAAAGTAGACATAAAATCAGCAAGGTTATAGAAGACACGAACAACACTATCAACCAACTTTACCCAAGTAATTTTTTTGTTTTTGAGATGGAGTTTCGCTCTTGTTGCCCAAGCTGAAGTGCAGTGGCGTGATCTCAGCTCACTGCAACCTCTGCCTCCCAGGTTCAAGCGATTCTCCTGCCTCAGCCTCCTGAGTAGCTGGGATTACAGGCACCTGCCATCAAGCCTGGCAAATCTTTTGTATTTTTAGTAGAGATGGGGTTTCACCAGGCTGGTCTTGAATCCTGACCTTAGGTGATCCGCCCCCCTCGGCCTCCCAAAGTGCCAGGATTACAGGCATGAGCCACTGCACCTGGCCCCAAATGATTTTTATACAGAACACTTCACCTAACAAATGCACATTCTTTTCAAGTACACAAGATAGACCACATTCTGTGCTGTAAATAAACCTTAGCAAACGTAAAATAATTGAAAGCAAAGAAAGTATATTCTGTAAACATAACTGAATTAATTTAGAAATCAACATAAAGATATTAGGAAAATGCTAACACTTTAAATTTATTGTGTATTTTAAACATTGCACAATAAAAATATAAAATAAAACTTGAAATGTTTAAACTAGCCCAGAATGAAAGCTTGGTGAGAATAAAAGTAACGATAGTCCCTCATTACTAGACTGTTATCAGAGACTCTGATAAGACTAAAAGTGGTGAGGGGGCGTATGGGAGGGAAATGAAGTCCCCTCACAAGTTTCCAGAAGGAAAAATCCACAACGACAAAGAACATGATAGGATCGTCCAAGGTAAATGAAATCTGCAATGTAAATCATTAAATTGTGAAATGTAAGTCATGGTTCTATACCTTCTGTGACATTTGATCAAGGTAGAAGAAAAATTCTGAGAACCTTGCTGTTTCTCCAGCAGCCTGCAGTTGTCACTCCTCCCTTCTCTCTCAACTTTTTCCAACTTTAGAATTTCTGGCAGAGACTGGACCAAAAGTCACAAGGTTTAATGAGCAGTGTCGTTTCAGGCCACGAATTTGTGAGTGCCTGTTTCTGCTCACAGCTCTGCCCACTTCTCTCTCTCTACCATAAAGCTTTTTGGTCAAACTCCACTTAAGCTTAGCAGCTGCCACTATTTCCAGGATCTGGCAACGAGAATAAACTGGTTGAATCCCAGCTGTAGGAATTTGGGCAACCACCCGACGGCTTAGCCTCATTTTCCTTAGCTGTGAAATAAAGGCAATTAACCCACCTCACAGGAGTTGTGAGGATGAAATGGAATAATTAAATTATTAAATAGGATAATTTAAATGTAAAGGTGTAAAAGTGCTTTGTCAAGAGGAAAGGCACCTTCCAAGGATTTATTGCTAAAGGAACCCAGTCTCAGGACCTCGCTGTGGTGTTCACCTGGGGTAGTGGCCAAAGGTGTGGCTTAAATCAGTGAACCATCCATCATATTTACTAGAGAGAGGGCAGAGGTGGCCCTTGACCACCAAAATCCCTGCCTCCCCTTTCATGATGTGGCACTGGTGCTGGAAAGAGGCTGACCAGCCAGAGACAGCATTTCCCAGCCTCCTTTGCATCTACGTGTGGCCAGAAGAATAGTTCTTTCCATTGGCCTGTGAGCCACAGCTGTTTTTTAAGAAGCAGGAGTGCCTTCTCCTTGCTCTTTTCTCTTCTTCTGGGTGGCTAGATGTGTATGAAAATAACCAGACCCAGATCATGGTGGAGGAGCCACAAGCCTGAAGGAATCTGAGTCCCGGAATTGCAGCACCTGGAGGAGGAGAGGCACCCAGTCACAAGAAACACCTACTTGGGACCATTATAGAAGCACAAAATAAAACATCTATGATGTTAGAGCAATTACGTATTTTGGTGTCTATGTAATAAAGCAGTTGGTATGACCTTAACAAGGAGGCTGTATAGTAAGTTCTGGGTGTAATCTCTTTCTCTGCCAAGATTTTGTGGCCTTGGACTCTTTTATACCTGTTACCTCATCTATAAGTACAGATGATAATTGTTCTTGTCTTATTGGGTTGTTAGGAAAGTTAGTTGATGTAATGCACAGAAGATGCCAATAACCATATATGTTCAGTAAATGTTGGCCATGATTATTAACAGCATAGAATTATCAGACTTTTAAAAAATTCATTCATTGACTCCAGGAAAGATTTCTACCTCTGCAACTTGTCTCCAGGTGACTGTATCCATTACATGCACACCCAAATATTTTACAAAGAAATTATTCAGGGACTTCGTGTTTTTCCTAGGCAGTTGCGTCTTTATTTGAATATAGTTAACTGGAAACCTCCAAGCCTAAAGTTTCAGGCTCAGTTTGTACCTGAAGAGTCACACATGTGGACTTAATGATAGTGTGTGACTTGACCTACAATGACTCGGAAGCCCAACTAACCTGTCCTCTTTACCGTAAAATCCAGAAGTCAGATGCTGTTGCCTTACAGCTGCAGGTCTGATTCTGACCAGCAGAGGGCAGTGCTGCACACAAACTCGTGCAACTTTTGAAGGTACCCAGTGCCTTTTCATTGTCAAGTTTCCGTGTGTGTGGGGGTGGGTTTTCTCCCCAGTTTTATTCCTTGCCTTCAGAAGAATGGCCATGATATTTCAGAAAATCATGATTATCCTCAGCTCAGCTTTGATAGTTCTTAGTCTGTTGTGTGCTCACTGGCAAATCACATTTTGTGACCCTGCATGTTGATGCTGGTGGCCCACAGGCTAAAGTGAACATCAAGGGAAATACTGAAGGGGAAATAAAGTTATAAAAAGGGCAGCCTGGGAAGGGTGGGGATTGGCCTAGTGATGCTTGGGAGAGGCGTATCTGCTGAATGTGAGAATAGGAGCCCCCGCTCCTTCCCGTATCTGCTGGCACAGCCACCTCCTCCTTGTCCTCCTTTCCTGAGTCACTTACACCCACCTAGCTTCTGCAAATGATTCCACCCCGTCTTCTCCCACAACATGGCAAATTCCGGGACTCAGTCCTATGAACCTTAGTAATTCTAAGTTGTGTGATACATTTCAGAATCTCTCCTATATGAGATTTTCTGGAAACACACATGCCCATGGCTCACTCTAGACCTCCTGAATCAGATGCTAGGGTGGGTGAGAGTTTTAAGGAGCTCCCAGGATGATCAAGGTTGGTTCAAGCACCCCACACCCACCCTGAGAACCACTGGTATAGTTAATGAAGACCTGGGAGAGGCAAATGGCAGAAGAATGGAGAGGAGGGGACAGCTGGGGTGGAGTTGATGTGATTCAGTGATCCATTGCTTCTGTTACTATCCCCATTTTCCCCAAAGGGAAATTTGCAGCCCACATATAGTGACAGGTGATCTCACTGCTTTCTTTTTCTTTTTTCTTTTCTTTTTTTTTTTTTTTTTTTTTTTGAGACGGAGTCTCACTCTTCACCCAGGCTGGAGAGCAGTGGCACAATCTTGGCTCACTGCGGCCTCCGTCTCCTGGGTTCAAGCGATTCTCCTGCCTCAGCCTCTTAAGTAGTAGGGATTACAGGCCCCTGCCACCACGCCCAACTACATTTTGTATTTTTAGTAGAGACGGGGGTTTCACCAAGTTGGCCAGGCTGGTCTTGAACCTCTGACCTCAGGTGATCCGCCCACCTCGGCCTCCCAAAGTGCTGGGATTACAGGGATGAGCCACCATGCCTGGCCCTCACTGCTTTCTTCATGGAGAGAAGGAAAGCTCTTCAACTGTTCTCCTGCCTCTCTCACTCTTGCCCTGGGTTCTTATCCATATTCTCCATCTTTCCTCCTCTCTGACTGCTTGGCCTCTCTCCGCCTCCACCCATGCCTGAGCCCACCTTCTCTGCCTCCTCCCATTACCCGTTTCCCACCTGCACCTCTGGCGTCACCCTCTCCAGGGATGCATTTCCTCCTGCCCTCAGCCCCATCACCTGTCTTCAAAGCTTGCCTCCCTCTCACTGTCTTACGGGCTCTCCCCTCTCCTGGTGCTCCTCTCACTCTTTCCCCTCTTCCCTGTCCCCGCCTTCTTTGTGCTGGACTTGGTCACTCCTTTACATGACTATCAACACATCCTCTGAACTGGCCCCTCGGTCTCCCCCAGGCTTCCCTCCAGACTGAGTCCAGAGAGGTTCTTCTAGCACGCTAATCTGACATTGCCTTGCACTGACCTAAAAACCCTTCACTGCCCCTGCCCCACACCCCTCAGCATATCACACAGGCCTCCCTGCCTACTCTTCCCATCCTCTGGAGTTTTCCCTGTAGCAGTACGCGTCTGTGAACCTCTTAAGGAATGTTTGCTTTTGCCTGGCACTGCTTTCCCCATCTTGCTTCCTAAAATGAGCTCCCATTCATTCTACAAAACCCAGCTCAGGTACCACCTCCCCTGAAAAGCCTTTCCTTGTACACTCAGACTGATTTCATCATTCTGTCTTCTGTGATAGCTCTGGCTTAATATCAGCTTCTCATTGTTGTAACTTCCCGCTCTGAAACCTTGGAATCATGACGTATTCCTTCTCCCCATAATTTATTCATTTACAATTATCTCTTCCTTTCCAAGCGTTGAGCTTCTTGAGAATGTAGACTGGGAATTATTAATCTTGGGGCTCCAATTCCTAGCACGGCGTCTCGCTCAGTAATTGTGGGACAGAATTGGGGGAAAGCTAGTCTGTCTGCTTCCTTTCACGGATGGACTTCTTTGAAATAGCAGATGCCTGCCTGCCTTTGTAGTGTTTCTACTCCCACCCATCCCTTCACCCACTAAAATCTGTTTTCCTCACATATTTACAATCTTTGAAAGAAACAAATGACTCAGCCACCATGTCTGAAGTCTGTGCCCATTCACTTCTCTTCGTCATCCTCTCCGCATCATTTGTCACTGTTGACTACAACCCTCCCTGAAGTTCTTCCCTTGGTTTCTGTAGTGGATAGTCACTGTCTTGGTTGTGTCAATTCTACCTTCTTCTGGGAGCAGCACCCCAGTGTTCCTCTAGGGAACCAACCCTCTCCCACCCTCAGCATCCCATTTTCAGTGTCCAGGTTGAGGTGCTGCTCTCTCCAAGACCAGCAAGTCAGAGCTGAGTGTGGCTTCACATCCGAGCATAGCCACCTCTTGGCCCCAGAGATTGGCTCAGAGGTGAGCATGTAATGGCAACCATTGGAACTGTTTGTTCCTCCTGCGGCAGAAGATAGAATGGAGTTCCTGACTGCTATTTTGTCACCATAAAGAGAAGAGTCCTGAGCCAACAGAGGAAAGTAGAATACAGCGTAGGAGTAAAAATAAGTCTCAATGTCTTTGAGCCACTGAATGCGTCTGAATGTGGACTACCCTGGACTTACCAGTTATATGAGGCAATATATCTCTTTTTTTATTAAACCAATTTGAATTGTTTCTTATCACTTGCAAAAAAAAGTCTTGACAAATTATGGTTATGATGATCTGCAGTATCTCAGATTTCCACCTACATTCTCTTTCTCCTTCATTGGTTTTTTATTCTCCTCCTATCTCATGCATGGGATCCTGATGCTAATGATAGAAATTTCCATTGCAGAATACTTTATCACTCGCAACTTACCTGTCCACAGCCCTCACCAGCATTCACATTCTTCCATATTGAACACACCAATTCTGAAGCTTCAATTCTTATTTCTATATAACAAACCAAATTGTCACCTCCAATTCCAACTTCTCCACAAATGCCTGCCCTCATTTTTCTAACCACCTGCCACTCATCATCAGAATCCCACCAATACTACCGACTTACCTAAAGTCTAATTCTTCCTTCACAATTTCTCTTTTTCCAAATCCATTGCTCTTTCTGATTATTCTAATTTTGATCCAGGTATTAACACTTTCCAGTTTCCTCTGGTTTAAAACCCTAGGGTTATCTTTAATCACTCTTTCTCTATACCTCCCAGTTCAGCCCCAAAACACACACAGTTGCGAAGTCCTTTTGAGTTGATTTCTGGAATGCCTTTTCTCTGTTCCCCCACCCTATCCTCACCACCATTATGTCCTGATTAGGGACTTTAACTTCCTTTATGTAGATTCTAGTCTGCTACTGTGGCCTCACTCCTCCCTGCCCAGCAGCCCGGGGTATTCCTATAGGGCAGTTCCGAGTCCATCAGGCCTCTGCTCCAAACGTCTTGAATGGCGGGCTCCTCACTGACACGCAGGCCCTCAGGGTTCTCGCCGTCTGCTTATTCCCTACCTGTTCCCTCTCTTCAGGGGCTTCTCTCTCAAGGGTGGCTGCCTTTCCCTCTCTCATGTTTTATATGTGGAGCTCTGACACCTAGAAATCGCCCCCAGTCCCACTCCCCATCTCTATTGAAATTCCAGCCACTTTCACCCCAGGCTAAAGGTCATCTCCTTTCCTCTAGTGACCAGATAGGGAAGTACAGCATAGATGGCAGCACAGTTTGCGAGCATCAGAGCTGGTCATCCACAGATGCTCACACTGGTGCCAACCCAAGGTGAACACTCTAAGTGTGTGCTGAACAAGGTGAGCACTCTACGTGTGTGCTGTAGCCTTGGCTCGGTCCTGTCACCCTCCCACCTATGACTCACACCTGGGTCAACGTGCTTCTGACTCCCATTGAGTCAGAGAGCTGACACATGCGTGGCAGTAGGGGGCTCTACACCATCTCTCGGGCTGGAACTAAAGCAAACCAAAATGGAACAACCAGAAAGCTTAGTCAACATGCATGTGATATCCTGCAATATCCTGCATTGAGGTTCAAATTGTGAATTCAGTGGTGTGGAATGGGGGAGGCTAGGTGTTCTGGGGAGGACTTAGGCTTTTGGGAGTTTGGGTGGACTCTGGGCTCTGCATGAACCAGCAGAGGGCCAGAGCTGCCAAGAGAGTGAATGTCATCAGAGGCTTTGTGAACAAAAGGTGGTATGCGGAGCAAGGGAAATGGCAGCCCCCTTTTGCCCATCCACACTATCAAGGATTGAGGTCTGATCCAGGCAGCTCATGTCAAGAAGGAATGGACCAACTGCAGCCAGCCTCAGGCAGGATCACGGCCATGACCCAGTGGGTCAGGAAACCAGAACAACTGAGGCACAGGTAGAATACTGGGCTGAAAGGAAGACTTGGCAGGGACATGAGAGCTGTCTTCAAACATTTGGAGGGTGTCTTCTGCTTTCTAAAAGGAGTTAACCTTTGCTATGTAGCTAAGGAAGGTGGAGTTAGGGTCATTGGATAAGAACTGTAGAGGGGCATTTTAGCTTAGGAACAGGAAAAAGGTTTTGAATGCAAATATGTTCATTATATATACGCTGTGGGATTTGGGGGGGAATTTTTACCTTTTTACTTTATTTTTCCTATGAATTGTTCTTCTGATTTATAGATGTATGTGTTTTGTACTGAAGGGGACTTGGGTTGTTTTTGACTGGCCAGAGCCCATTGCCCCTTCTGGTCTCAGTCCCCAGGTTTTGTTTTGGGGAGCAGCCCCATCCCTACTCTCAATGATTTGGGTGGAGCTGTGTCCGCTGTCTGGCCCCAGGGGTGTTTCTGTAGCAGGCCTGGTCCATTCGTGTCCTCCATCCCTGGCCACAGTGATTAGTCTAGGCATCAGCCCTGACTCCAGCTGGCCTGAGAGTTGCCCAAGGCTAGCAGGAAAGAGCTGCCCTCTTCCGCCTGGGTTGCTGAGCAGACAGGAGCTTTGGGCAGGTGGTGGCTGTCTTGCCTTCACAAGGGGAAAGCCTGCCTAACAAGGAAGCAACACCTGAGGGAAGCAAAGCTGAGAGATTCAGAGTAGATGTCATTTGAGCCCCTACATTCAGTCTCGACTGAAGCCAGGACTATTTTCTGAACATTTCAGTGCTATGAGGCACTCAATTACCTTTACCTTTTTTGCTTCAACCAGGTTGTCAATTTCCTGTCTCTTATAACCAAAGAAGTCCTGATGGATATCGACAGATACAGACTTTGTCTATCATTTGTCTTTGGGATGCTGACCTGTCTGGCAATTGAATGACTACAGATACTGAAGAAAGGTCATAAAACCACTGACAGTTTAGGATCCCATAAGGGACCCTGGATAAGTTGGCCTTAGATGGCCTTTCAGATTCTGAGAATCTGTTCCGGACTCATCTGTGAATGCTGCTTCTCCTCTTTCTAAAACATCTTGTCCCCTTTGCAAAGCTCCCTTCCCTTTGGGAGCATCTCACATTCTACCCTGGGCCGGAGCTCCTGATGCCACCTCCTGTCTCCCCCATTAGATCATGACCATTTTGAGTAAATGTGATGGTAAGTTTTGCTTCTCAGCTCAATTAGTGTTAAGAAAAGGAAGGGAGGGAGGAAAGAAGAGAAAGGAAAAAAAGCAGAAGGAAAAGGAAGGCAAGAAATTTACTTTTTATGGTATTTTAAGCGCTTAATTGTGATGCTTCATCCAGTCTCAATCAAATTCTTGATTCATAATTCCTCCCTGTTGTGTTTGCTTCCTTTAAAATTCAAAATGCTCATCATTTTTTAAAAATAAAGTCTATGGATGATAGTGTTATTTAGCAAAGACGGCTTGTATTGGAAGGTTTCATTCTAAACTCCAGTTCCACCCTCTCTTGACTTGTTCTTCTTACTTACCTCTCTATTTTCTGGTGATTTTGTTAATTTCCTTAATAAACCTTCTTTATCAATGAAGTGGTCAGACCCGCAGGTACTTGAATCATAATGGTATATCTAGATAATTGCAGAGGATCCTTCCAGAAGTTTTTAGACAAGGGACACTATTGTCTTGTCTTACTTCCCTAAGGAAAATCAGATAATGAGATAATCCTCCCCAGCAAGTCACAGAAGGAAATAATCTGCCTATGATGAGGCTTCTCTGTTTTCTTTACCTGAGACTCGCCAAAAACAAAAATTAAATATATACATATATATATACACCCTAAACACCTTCTACCTTTCATTGCCTGGAAGGTTTTTCTGTCTAGACATTTCTTCAGCAGTTACAATGGTGCTGAGTGTAATTGTGGCAGGGCCAGCTGGCCCAGACATCCTTAAAGGGGCCTCTGCATTGCAGTGTATTTAAAATAGTTGTCACTGCCTCAAGTGGATGAGATTTCTGAGAGAGTAATGCTGTTTGCTCATGCATCCAAGCATTTGTATTTAAATGCTTATTGAGAACCCAAGGTGTACAGCACTCCATTAAACCCTGCGGGAGAAGATGCCAAACACGGGGCCCCATCCTTGCTCTCCAGGAGTTTATCATCTAATTAGAGAGACAGGACACAGTGCACACACAAACTCTCTTTTCGGTTGAGGACCTGAAATCCGAGTGTCTCAACCCTGGCCAATTAACGTCAGCTAAAGAGATTTAGAAACAATATTGGATGTCTGAGCCTCACCCCAGACAATTACATGAGAAATGTCTGGATAGATCCCACGCGTTAGTTTTTTAACTGCTCTGCCCCATGCAATTCTAAGCTGCAATCAGATGTGAGAAATGTTGGCCTAAATCCCACCTTTCCTTAAAGATAGGGATCAGTTTGCTCTCCCTGATTTCCCCAATCAGAAGGAATATTACTGATTGATTTTCAAAGGTCCCAGTGCTTCCATCAAAGAAACACACGGGAAACCTCAAACCAAGCCCTTGTCCCCCGACATCTCAAGGGGGAGGAGAACACAGCAGGAAAGTCCGTACCCTGCAGCCCCAGCCCACACCTGGAAGGTTTCTTTACTCGGTGTTGATTAAAGGCAAGGTCCCATCAGCCAGGCTCTGGTGATGCCAGAGAATTTAAAAGGCCACTGTCAACCCAAACACAGTTCAACTCTGAGACCAGCCATATTTCTTGGAAGCCCCTTGGCTTACTGCAAAGTATCTATGTTCGTAAACTTGGGGTCCAGTGGTTATCTGACCCCAAATGAGACAGATGTCTCACTTCATAAGACTGGAATCTTCTGGAAGCAACAGAGGTTGGCTTAGATTTTCTCCTCTTAGGCCTCCAAATTTGGACCATATTCCTGTCCAATGCAGGTGCAGCGTCCCGGCTAATGAGGCAAATTGGACCCTGCGTCCCAGAACAGACATTCCTAGGCACTGACGATGGCTGCCTGGCTGGGAGATGCAGCTTAGTCTTGATGAAAGTTGTCTTTTATTTCCCTTTGTCTGAGTGAGCCCATCCAGTCAGCACTAATCCATTTGTCCAAAGGATTCTAACTTAATCGCCAGCACTTGCGGCCAAAGCCTCTGATGCTCTGACCCATCTCTGTAATTGTCTTGACCAATATATCTGCCTCCGCTCACTGATGGCTCAGGCCAGGCTCCAAGCTGTACCTCAGAATGTGATTAATCAAGAACATCAGAGGAGGGGAGATGCAGACTGGAAACTTTTTATATGCTAGGGGGAAAGAAGCCAGACTTTGAGCAAAGGAGACGTCAGCTTCCAAATAAGGTTCCTAAGTGTGCATGCCGATGCATTGCTCAGTAGTCGCCGGGTTTTCAGTCTCCAGAAGCTTACTCAGGACTTATTGCTGCAGAGGTAACAGAAGCTTTCTCACCAATAGAAAAGACCGGTCCTCAGGCCCACATGGATACCCAGTTTCAGAGCAGTGCAGACCTTCCAGAAAGAACTTTGGCACCAGAAGTTCTTCTCCCTGGGTCTCAAGCTGTGTTTTCTGGGAAGCAGTGACACCTGGTACTCTAATCCCTCAACTGCCTCCCAGGCCCTGGGTCTGGGTGAGATCAGACCACATGACCCCCTTCTGCTCTCAGCGCTTCTGCCCCGTTTCTCCAAGGGTTATCATTTTAAATGCCGCCTCAAGAACTCCTCTAGTCTGTGCTGCTGATTAAGCCCACCCTTCTTTCTACGTGCAGCCTCTGCACACAGTAGCCCCTCAGAGGTGTAGCAGTCTGCTGTTGGTATGAGTTACTCCGAGGGACCCTGGAGACGGATCTTTCCAACGGATGCTCCTATCTCTGACCCCATGCTGTCCCCACCTTCGGCTCCAGAGAGGCATGTGGGGGGGGTCTTTGGAGAGCCCCAGGGCACAGTGGCCAGGGTTCACCTCAGCCACATTGCCGTGTCCATCGGCACCACACTGCAGAACAAGGAGCATGTGATCGAGGCCCACATGGGGGTCAACTTCAAGTTCCCTGACTGCCAGGCAATCCACATCTCCAAGAAGTGGGGCTTTACCAGGTTTAATGCAGATGAATTTGAAGACATGGCTGAGAAACACCTCATCCCGATGGCTGTGGGGTTAAGTCCACCCCCAGTTGCAGCCCCTGGACAAGTGGCGGGCCCTGCTATCCTAAGTGCTGCCATTGCACCGCCCCCTCCTTACTCATGCCCACTGAGAAATCCCACTCCTCGTAAAACAAACAAACAAACAAACAAAAAAAACCCAAAGAGACTGAGAGAGCTCTTCTAGTCGATTTTGCCTTCTGGTGCCATTTTGGGTTTTTAGTTTTGTTTCAGACACAGGGCCCCACTCTGTCGCCCAGGCTGGAGTGTAGCGGTGCCGTTTCAGTTCATTGCAACCTCCATCTCCCGGGTTTAAGCGATTCTTCTGCCTCAGCCTCCCAAGTAGCTGGATTACAGGTCTGCGCCACCATGCTCAGCTAATTTTTGTAATTTTTGTAGAGACGGGGTTTCACCATGTTGCCTAAGCTGGTCTCAAACTCCTGGCCTCAAGTGATCCATCGGCCTCCGCCTTCCAAAGTGCCGGATTACAGGCGTGAGAGCCACGGCACCCGACCGTGGCGCCATTTTGAACAAGCTTGGGAGGGGTTTGAAAATGCCTTTCTTGAACCTGTCCTTGCAGAGGGTGTTGCCACTGACATTGCAGCAACAGGAGGTGGGAGCTGCTTTTCTGAGAGAGGCAGGGAGTTTTGCTCATAAAGTCACCAGCAACACTAGCTGCATCTAATCACTCATTCCAACACGTTCACTTAGTTTCTATAATACTACAGGTTAGTTTTCACTTCAGTAGGTGCTGAACTGTTTGCCCTAAAGGATGCAAAGCTGAGTAAGTATCCCACTGCAGGGAGCTTCGGCTCTAAGGAGCGCAGGGAGGGCAATGATGCTGAGGATTCCTGGGCTTGGGTATCAACGGCAAGTGAGGTGATATTGACATCAAGACCTCATCTCAAATGAAATCTCATTGCTTCTTTTAGATCAGTCATGAAAGGAGCAATTCCTCATCCCAATGCAGTCTCAGAATGAGGAAAGTGATTTTTTTTTTTAATCATTCTTATCCCAGGTTGTCTCAGAGCGCAACCCCTCATTCATCCTCTTCCTGCCAACTTCCTCTGGTCTTGTGTCTCATCACCTTTGTGGTGACTGATGTGGGTTTCCTTGTGTGTCTCCTCGTGTGTCCTATTCACAGCCACAGCATTTTCCTTCTTTAAGAGGAAGAGTCACGCCTGTAATCCCAGCACCTTGGGAGGCCGAGGCGGGCAGATCACGAGATCAGGAGATGGAGACCATCCTGGCTAACACGGTGAAACCCCATCTCTACTAAAAATACGAAAAACAAAATTAGCTACTCGGGAGGCTGAGGCAGGAGAATGGTGTGAACCTGGGAGGCGGAGCTTGCAGTGAGCTGAGATCGCGCCCCTGCACTCCAGCCTGGGCAACAGAGCGAGACTCCGTCTCAAAAAAAAAAAAAAAAAAAAAAAAGAAAGAAAGAAAGAAAAAGAGGAAGAGAAGCTTAGGAGTTCTACCTAAGAGTGTGCTCCCTCAGGTGAGTATTCCTCCCATACCGCTGCTGTGTAAGGCAGAGTAAGGCAAAACCCAAACAAATTGGCAGATTTAGCGCCTTTTCCCAGCCCTCAAAATGTTTTATTTAGAAGAAAGATTAATTAAATACAAAAAGGCAGAAGATGTTCTTACACTAAACTTTCCAGGGAAGTCCCTCAATTCTCTCCTTTATCTTCACCCATGGAAAGTCAGTCAAAGAGAGACCATCTTCAACCACTGCGTGCCCAGCGTTCTGTCCTCGTGAGTCCCTGCATCTTTTGTCCTCAATCTGTTTTCCAGGGGAAGGTTTTGTTTGGCTACCCTCAATCTCACGTCCGAATTTTCCCATTTCAGTGCTTCTTCCTTTCCTCAGTCAGCCTTTTTGGACAAATCTCTTAAAGAAGGTACTTAACCTTGACTGCATCCTAGACGCACCCCAGGAGCGTTAAGTACTGATGCCTGGGTCCCACTCCCAGGATTCTGACTCCATTGTTTGGGGTGGGCTTGGGAATTGCATGTTTAAAGCTTCCCTGGCGATTCTGATGGGCAGGGAGGCTGAGCACCCGTTAGAGGGCTGTGACCGGTTTCCTTCTGCAGGCTTTCCCTTGCTCTTCATGTTCTATGCTCTCCATAGTCATTATTGCACCTTATTATAAAGAAAGAACTAAAGCCAGGGCAATAGGCTCATTCTAGAAGTTAAAACATTATAGCATCACAAAGAATTATCTCCCTGGTTTCAGGCCAGTACTACGGGACCTCTGGCTCCTGGCTCAAATTTTATCCTCAGTGTCACCAGGTCACAGAAGTACTGCCCATATTTCTGCGTACAGTTGTAAAAACATGACCACACTTTTGTATCCTAAAAAAGCCACACTATGGGGCTGTTACTCCCTGTGAGCCTTGGGCCTGTATGGCACTACAGCATGTCTTTTTCTGTTCCTTTGTCTCTACTTACCTCTGCCCCTCAGTTTTTCTACCTTTAAAAAAAAAGAAAAAACACCTTGACTGTATTATAAAATAGAATGAAAATACTTGAATTTTTTACATTTATTTATACAATTTTTTTTTCTTTGAGACAGAATCTTGCTCTGTTGCCCAGGCTGGAGTGCAGTGGCGCCATCTCAGCTCACTGCAACCTCCACTTCCTGGGTTCAAGTAATTCTCTCTGCCTCAGCCTACCGAGTAGCTGGGATTACAGGTGTCTGCCATTATATCCAGCTAATTTTTTTGTATTTTTAATAGAGATAGGGTTTGGCCATGTTGGCCAGGCTGGTCTCGAACTCCTGATCTCAGGTGATCCACCTGCCTCAGCCTCCCAAAATGCTGGGATTACAGGTATGAGCCACTGCACCAGCCTCATCTATTTATACAACTTTTGATCCTCATTCTTTTAAAGCTATGTTTCTTTCTGAAAGAAAAATAAATGAATTGCTACTTAACCTGCCTCCAGTTTGTAAAGGCAGGATGAGGTGGAGAGAGCACTGTACTAGGAGTAACCAAAAGACCTGAGTCTGTCTCAATCACTCACTCTCATGTACCCTGAGATGCAAGTCACTGATGCCCTCCCTCCCTTCTCTCAATTATAAATTGGAGAATAATGTCTTCACGGCTCATATTCACCGCCTATATCCACAGGTTAACATGAGAATCAAATAAGACAGTATTTGTGAATATTTTTTGAGAAAAAAATGTAAGCTAGGATTCCTTTTAATTGATCACATTGTGAATTTGAATCTTTCTACAAAGAAATTGTCAATGCTCATTCTTCAAGCTATCATTTTGATTTCTTTGGAAACCTTGCTTGCAGTCATGTGATCAGAGCTGTTGCTGGTCTACAGACGGCTTTTCTTTTTCTAGGAAGGATGTTCTGTGGTCTGTCTGCTGCTTTCTGGAAGTTTCATTTCAGAAGGAAGCCCTGGTGAGGTTCCATCTCGACATCTGCAAGTCATATCCACAGGGAAAATATGACTCACTTGAGTGACTGTCTTAAGTTTTCATGGATATTATTCAGGGAGTAGGTGTTGTCTTTGGGCCAAATCATGAAATGGCCCAAAGACAACACCTACTCTCTGATTTCACCACTTGAAATCATCATGACATCAGCCCTGTCACAGAAACTGACTATGCACCCACAGGAAGCAGAAAGAAGGGTGGGCGATGGGGCACAAGGTTACTCCAAGAAAGGCCACTGTCCTAGCGCTTCTGAAGTTTAGCGATAATGCAGTCAAAGAATGCAGCAGAGTGCCTGGCGTATGATAGGAAGGCAATAGAGGGTAGCCAACCCGCTACAGTGCTTTTATGAATAACCCCATACAAAATACAACAGCTGAGATGACTCAACCCCTTGCAGAATGAGAAGAGACACAAACAAACCATAGTTTCAGCTGCATGGATGGTAAGTGCATGACATACTTGCTCTCCACCTCCTTTCTTGGCTGTATCTGACACCACTAAAATTGATCATTGCATAGTTTGCTGATGACCCTGCATGTGACTCCAGAATCCTTCTTGACCCAGCTTGAACAAACTGATACCAGTCAAGCTAAAATGCCAATTGTTGTAAAACTGTGGAGCATTCCGGTATAAAGATTTCAGTAACCTAATCAATGCATGCATGGCACTTGGTCAGGCACTCAAACCACATCATTATAGTTGACATTTTCCTCTTCTTAGTCTTTGTCATCAATATCATCATTATACATGTCATCACAGTGCAAATTTAAGCTATTTTTATTGAAAGGGCTTTAGTTTTTATTTAGGACTCCACCAGGGTTGTAGAGGGCTTTCATTCCATACTTTTATATTTCAGCCTCAGTGACTAAACCTATTTCCTAATGATTTCAGCATAATCTTTTCTTTTATTGTCCTTCCAATCATAAAAGAACATGTTTCAAAAAAAGAAAAAATGCTACATGCATTGCCCCTTTTGGTATAGGGTTTTCTCTCCTTTATAATAATAGAGTGATCCTGCAAATCCAGTTCAGAATTGTAATGAATTATTGAATCCATAAGAATAGACTACTGACATTGATGTAGACTTTAGGGGAAAACATCTGGCAGGCAGAAGTTCTACAATACATTGCAAAGGATCTTAGCCAAAAAGAAAAGTTAAAGGGAAGTACCTGCAAGGAGGGCAACAGTCCATACTGAAGGTGGAACACATGCAATAGCAAAAACAGTCCATGATCTTTTGATTTCTCCTGGGCCTCTTTGTGCAGTAGCTTGGAAAGGAGCCTTTACCCAGGTCCAAGGTGCCTCCTCTTCTTGGTTTAGTGATCTCAGTTCTGGGAAGCTGGGCTGCTCCAGAGAGTCTGCTGAAAGTGTGCAGATGAGAAGAATAGGCTCTGAAAGGGCTTTCTGGCCCTCAATAAACAGGATACTCGGCCCTACCTCCTGCAGTGCCAAGCTCTTCTAAGGCAGCTTAATGGGCCCTAGATAGTGCAACCATCAGAGCTGGTGGGCCAGAAACATGACCACCTGCCCTCCTGAAGAAGATTCATGGGAATCTTTCCATGACAGGCTGAGGAAGACATCCCACCCTTGACTCATACCAAGGCTTCTCTAGTGAACCAGTCAGAAACAACTATATTGTTAAGGCCTGTGTAGAAGACAGATATAAGACAAAGTGAAACTGCAACGAATAGGATAATAATTCTAAATTTGAATATAATAATAATAAATGAAAGATAAAAATCCTAAATTTGATTATAAGTCATCACTTCTAGTTACCCCCGGAATTGAGTGCTAGAGAGAAATAATGGCCTCAGTCAATTAGAAAAACCCAAGAGGCCTCGATCCATTAGTAAACACAGGCTGCCATTTTGAAATGAGTGAACTCACCATGGACCACTCATCCACTTCCCACCAACAGCCAAGCTGACATGGAATCGAACCATCCAGGGTGCTAACCACATGTGTGGGCAGTATGCGTACACATGGTAGGCAGCTTGGTCCAACACACACCTGAAGGAACATGACAAGACTCCAACTCAGATGCACCTTTTAGCTCCCAGTCTCAGCAACTGCCATGGCCAGCAATGATTCCCAGGGCAGGGAGACTCTAAAGCCAGAAAAATCAGAGAGGCCAGACATTATCTCCGTTTCAAGAGTAGCATGTGATCAACCAAGAAGCAGGTTGTGAGCAGACTCCCTCCTACTATTGAAGGTCCTTCCCCCAGCTATCTGAGAAACGGCCATGAAGGGGGGACTTAAATACTCTATGCTTGCTCCCCGGAGCTGCCCATGTGGGGGTGTGGAACTCGGACTCTGACATCCTAGGCCAAGAGGCAATGGTGACTCCCAGCCCTGGCTTCAACAGGCTCTGTATTATAGACGTGTTGGAAATCAAGGCAGAGGTGCGAGAAGAAAGGAACTGAAACGATCTTGCGACTGGGCCGAGGTCCTTACTTATGTTTATGTTTTGGATGTGGGAGGAGACATAGAGTAGAGAAGGGAGGGACAAAGCTGATGAGACAGGGTGGAAATGCAGTTGACATTTCTTCACTCCCCAGCAAGAGGAGATTGGCTCTGTAGTTAGCTCTCCTTCCCCAAGTAAACAGTCAACACATTCCGACAGCCTGGGTCTGTACTTTCCTGAGTATAACAACCCCATTCCACACACAACACTGTTAGCCCGCTGAGTCTCCTGAGTCCTCAGGAACACGGTGGTACTCCCAGAATGTGAAAACTGTTGTAAACTCCCACTCATATGTTAAGGAAATATTTCCAAATATTAAGGAAATGTTTGTCTCCCTGACCTGATTCCATGCTAATCCGAACAGACTTCCTAATCCTGATGCTCTTTGGTGTCACTTCCTGCCCACTGTGCCGCGTCCATTAGACCGTGAGGTTGCTGAGGGCAGAAGCTGCACCTTGCTGCTGCTGGGTCCCCAGGGTGTCGTTCAGGGCCAGGCCTACGCCATAGTTCATTAAATATTTCTAGAAAGGAAAAGAGGCATGAAATGACCGACTTGTGCACATTTGCCTGAGGCATCTCTGGTTTTAGCATTGAATGTCCTGTGTCCTGGGAAACCCCTCAGACTTGGCAACCTGAGACAATTGGTCACCTTGGCTGGAAGGAGGGAGGGAAGAGTGAAGTACATTAGTCCAAGCCCACCTGGGGCAGAACCCTGCATGCTCTGACTTGCTGGCATAAGGAATGGGCGGCTGAGTAGCAGGTGAGCTCATGGGGTCCCTAAGGAGATGCGGTGAGCCCATCCCTTTAAAGAAGCAGAGGGACCATGAGCCAGACTTTCATCCCATCATCACTGAGTCCTGAAAATAGAATTATTATATTCATTTGGGAAACATCTGTTGTGAACCTACCCTTTGTCGGGTTCTGTGCCAGATCCTGAGAGTACGGAAGAAGCAAGAACAGGTCTTCCTTCCAGGAGTGCAGAGGAAGCGGGGCGTGCTGGGGAAGTGTCCCGTGGGCTTCCTGTGTCATGCATGCGAGTAAAGATCTGCACGCACAGTTGATGGACAAACTCATACGGGGCAGTTTGCCTGCTGGGCTGGCACACACGTGGTCTACCTTGGGAATCCTAAAGGACAAAGAGTTACAACCTCCACGACAGGCCTTTGCCGTGTATCCCCAGGTCTGTAGAACCCATGGTGACAGAGAGCTGTTGGTTTATTTGTTTTTCAGCAACACATAGGCCTTCCCAGTGGGCTGTGGAAAGGATCACCAGGTCCCTGGCTTAAATAGACCTGACATCATGGCCAGGTGGACATGAGGCTGCCAGGGACTGCTGGGGGCAGGCACCAGGATGAGGCCCAGGGAAGAGGAAGGATGCACGGTTTCCACTGCACTCAGGGCAGATGGAGCTAATCCCCCAGATATGAGCCCTGCCTGCTCCTTCTGTGGCCCTGTGTTTTTAATGGCCCAAGGGCCAGTGGCCAGGCAGCTGTCTCCCAGCCCAGAGACATGGCACAACCAGGGCTGTGCAACTGGACATGAGGCCAGTCCTGCCCTCTTTTTGCTTTACTCCTGACTTGCCACTCTCAGCAATAGGTCCTGACCCCTCAAGAACTGTTTTGGTGACTTTCTATTAGGGCCCACAGAATAGAGACTCAGCAAATGTTGAGTGGAGTTGACCATTTAACTCTTGTTGGTCTCAGATCTATCCTTAGGTTCAATTTCCACAGATCTGACACTGTGTCCTTTTGGCTCTTCATAGCTGCTGACTGATTTTCTTTTTTAAACTCCCACCCTACCCTTACCCACTACAGTACGTTTAGGAAATGTATTGTCTTATGGCAAAGAGAAATATCGTCTTCCTGAGTTGTGAAACAACTCAGAAACATTGTAGGAGGCATTTTGTTTTACAGACCAGAGGGAAACAGACATGGATTAAGTCTTCTCAGAATTAAGTTGAAATCACCAAGCTGATAAATAATGTCTCTCCCTCTCCTCTGACCTGTTTATAGAATTTGTCCTCCCGTTGTTTTCTCCCTCCTTCCCTTCCTTGTTTCAGGCCATGGCCTGTGCATGTAACAGTGAAGCAGCCCTTGTTTTCTGCCCTCTGCGAGCTCTCAAGTAATGGGGCTTGATTATTATCACAAGGCAAGGACTGGGAGCTCAGCTTCTTAATAAGCAGACTCACAGAGAAAGCCCTCCCTCAACCACCTGCCCCCTGTAGCTCATGTTAACAAATTATTTAAACATAGTATGCTCCTTAGAGAGGGAAATAACTGGGAGGGCCTGAGGGAAGAAAGGAAAAAGTAATCAGGAAGGCTTCATGGAGGAAGTGATATTGAACTGAGATTCTGAAGAGTGAATAGGAGTACACAATGCCATTAAACTTTAACAAAAATTCTCAGTAACCCATGGTTAAAATAAAGTTAAATCCCTAAAATAAAGCTAAATCATAAAAACATGAAAAAGCAAGTTTATATCAGGGATTTAGCTTTTAGGATAAACAGAGGAATTCAGCATATATTTAATCCAGGTTAGGATACTTCCCTCCACTATGCAACTGGTCTTCCTGTCCAGACTTCTGCCCTTTGAGATGCCGTAAGATCTCATAGTCCCCATCTGTAACAGAGATAAGAAAGTGAAGTCACATTTTGTGGAAAGCTTTTCTAAATTAAGGGGTTAAGACAAAAAAGATTTTGGCTTCATTCACAGTTAACTAGAAACTTCCATTAACCATAATGACCCATTCCCCAAGCTGGCTGGCTAATGGAGGTCCTGCTGCATTCGTCTTTTTGTTTTGCTTCCTTCCTTTCCTTTGCTCCCAGGCTCTCTATCAACTGTGGGTTCCTGTGCTCCTGTCTCTGCAGCAGCCTTTTCTTCTCTCCTCTTCCACCCTCTCAGTTGTCAGTGCTTGACTCAGCCGGGGCTGTGTGGGAATCGGCAGGGAGTGCATCAGGGAGTCAGGGCTCAGAAGGAGACTCATTGTGGATTTACCTTCACTTGATGGAGAACCCCCAGCTCCTGCTAGGCTGACCATTCCATGGAAGCTATTTTTGTGGGTGAGCCCCTAATCCTAGACTCTAGAGTATGAAAAGCAATGCACCTGGGGTGGATGGTCAGAGAGATTTCTGTTTCTCAGGGAGGAGGTTGGAGCTTTGACAAGACACAGCTGGTTGAGGGAGGGAGCTGGAAGATTCAGCCCTGGGGTGAGGAAGAAGAGGAGGAGGGTGCCTTTATGAAGCAGGTGGCTTCACTGTTTCTATAAATGAAAATGGCACGTTTTCACTGAACACTGATTATGAAAATGGTCTTTTATTAGGCAGCTGTACCAGCCCATAGGACAGCCCTTGAGGCTCTAGCTGGGGAACTCTCCCTGCAGTTCATAAACATGGTTGGCTGCAACTCGCTGCAGAGCCAAGAGTGTTTGTTATTTCTTTCTACTCAAGGACTGCACAGGACAGGAATGAGCGCCTGTGGAGGTAGAAGGACAGAAAGAGGCCAGGGCTTTACCTCAAACACTGCCAGATTTAATTATCCCTGCCATTTGTGTTTTTATCTGGGAGTCCTTCATCCTCCTTTTGAAGAGACTGAAAAAGAGACCCAGTCTTCTGTCTAACGAGGTTGGGGAGGAAGGTGCTGGAATGAGGCTGGGCTTGCAAAGACACCGATGGGTCTCCTCTCCTTGCAGCAGAGGTGAATGTAATTGGTCTCCCTTCTCTTTAATTAACAGAAAAATCCCCTCTGAAATGGCGAATGAATAGGGCAGGAGACTGAGGAGCACTTCAGCCCTGAGCAAATCACCTGCCTTCCAGCCTCCTTGCTTTTAGGAAGCTGAACCCCATGTCTCATGGCAGGTTAAGCAGTCCACTCCACTTGCCCAGGTCCCTGGAAACATGGTGGCCCAAGTTGTGGGGAAATCACAGGGAGAATCCAAACCTCACTGGTCAGGTCCCCACACAAAGCCAGGGGTTCCACTGTGGTTTCCCAAGGAGAGGTAAATAACAACAGCTAGTATTTATTGAGCACATACTATGTGCCAGGCTCGGTGTTACTCATTTAACACTGTGTTTTCTATTAACTAATTTAATTCTAACAATTCCATGATGTAGTTTTTATTTTCAGATGAAGTCACCAAGACTTGCTCATGGAGACACAGCTGGAAAGCAGAAGCACCAGGATTCAAGCCTGGGCCGGTGGGAAGCCTGAGGCTCTTACCCGCCCTCCCTTCAGTGCTGCCTCCCTTCATGCTGCACTGCTCCCTTCTCAATGTCCCTGCTTCTCCTGCCCTCATTTCAACTGCTCATCCGTCTTTCCAGACTTTTCTACAGACGTGCGGCATTGCAGTACTGCTCTTGCTACAAATGTCAGATTTCCTTGGTCAGATTTGCTTATTGTGGGACTTTCTGCTGAGATATATCAGAGATGTTACAACTGCGAGAAATGCAGGCAGTTCTCTGCGATCCATCTGCCATGCAATGACAAGAGATGCTTAAAGGCTGTCTGGTAGAACTGCCTTCTTTAGAAACCTGAGGGCCGGGCGCAGTGGCTCACGCCTGTAATCCCAGCACTTTGGAAGGCCGAGGCAGGCAGATCACGAGGTTAGGAGATCGAGACCATCGTGGCCAACACGGTGAAATCCCGTCTCTACTAAAAATACAAAAAAAAGAAAAAAAGAAAAAATTAGCTGGGCATGGCGGTGGGCGCCTGTAGTCCCAGCTACTCAGGAGGCTGAGGCAGGAGAATGGCATGAACCCGGGAAACGGAGCTTGCAGTAAGCCGAGATCGCGCCTCTGCCCTCCAGCCTGGGCGGCAGAGCGAGACTCTGTCTCGGGAAAAAAAAAAAGAAAGAAAGAAAAAAAAGAAACCTGAGAGCACCAGGAGCCCATAAAAGGAGCCAAGACTACCCCTTCGAATCTAAGCCCCTCCGAGAGCGCAGTGTCAAGAGGTGCATCATTCAAGAAGTCTCCTGCAGGGTGAAGTCCTCTCCAAAATGAGCACTATGTGAATTCATTTCAGCAAAGTGAGGAAAATTGATTTCTCAATATGAAAGGATAGCTTTGACAATAGCCCTGGGGTGGGGGACAGGGGGAACTAACTAAAACACTAGGTCTTGGATACTTAATCAAATAAATCAACCTGGAGGCTCAACTGGATTCCCCAAGCAAAGAGTGCATGTGAAGCTTATAAAACTTTCCTTCTCCCCCTCAGAGGGACAGTAGCCTGGCAAAAACCCAAATGTTCCAGGAGCAGGACTCACAGGCATCTTGCGGTGCGTCCATTCCCCAGAGGGAGCAAAAGGCGAGCATGCTCACTTCCCAGATGGCTAGTTTGGGAAGACAGGGGCTGGCTGCTCCCCAAACCCTTCCCTAATCACCTGGCCTTGGCTTAGGGAGCTGGAGTGGAGGCTGCTCCTCTGAGAAATACATTTGCCCTTTGGTTACAAAACATCTCCAAATGATTGATGAACCAGTCTCAGGGAAGAGAGAAATGTCACCAGCACATGAAATACAGCCACCTTGAGAAAAAAGTATTTCACCCTTTCTGGAGGCCCTAAGCCACAGGGACATTCATTAGAACAGGAGTGAAAGAGGATCAGATTCAGTTGCAGTTGCAGGGATGTGAGGCAGGCTGACAAAGAAGTCATGGTCCCATGTAACAAGATGATAAATTTGCTCACAATAAACTGTGACATTTGTTTTCTCCTTTGGCTAAGTGCCCCTAGTACTGGATCCAGCCCTTAGCTGGGGCCATAACTCTTCCTCAGCAGATGGTGTCCACTGGCCTTAGGAATCTGGGTGGAGGCCCTCCAGACTGCAGGTGGAAATGTCGCAGGCCATGTTGACCTTGGGCACACTCTGGCTCGGGACAGAAGCCGGTTCAGAGTTAGCCTCTCTTGGGGAAGCTACCAGCTTTGTGACCACATATTATTTCACCTCTCCAGGGCTTTGATTCTTCTTGTATAAAAGGTAGGGATCAGACTAGGTATGTTTTTGTAAACTAAAAAGAAAATCCTAAGTGTCTCACTGACTGAACAAACCCCTTGTGGCCAAGGGGACTCTAGAAAAGCCTTAAAACTCAGTTCCTGGCCATGACGAGGCAGGGGGTCAGACATGCCTCATTATTCCCCCTCTCTTTTATGGTTTTAACACAACTGACCAGCGTTCAGGTTAAAATAGAGACCATAAGATTGACAGAACAGACTCTTTGTTACAATAAGATACCATATTATACACAGGATCTAAGGCTATGCCAGGCAAGGGTTAAGTCACACACGCCTTAAAGAATAAACTGTGGGCCCAGTGGGTGGCTCATGCCTGTATTCCCAGCAATTTGGGAGGTCAAGGTGGAGGGATCACGTGAGGTCAGGAGTTCGAGACCAGCCTGGGCAACATGGCAAAATCCCATCTCTACAAAAAATAAAAAAATTAGCCATGCATGGTGGCACATGCCTGTGGTCCCAGCTACTCAGGAGGCTGCGGTAGGAGGATCAATTGAGCCAGGGAGGTCAAGGCTGCAGTGAGCCATGATTGTGCCATTGCCCTCCAGTCTGGGTGACAGGGCAAGACGCTGTCGCAGAAAAAAAAAAAGAACATGTTCTAACTGCCACGAGATTTTATCCCCTCCTCTAGCTGCTGAACAAGAACTGGACTCAAGATAAGCAAGATTAAAACAATTACAGCTCATCCAGCTCGCAGACACTGACTAACTGATCCCCTGTTCTACCAGCTGTATCGTATCTGTGATTGAATAAGAGACTGATTTCTGTAACTTTCTCCTGATAGGAAGACCACCAAACATGGACTGGTCCCGGCTGGCTTACAGAGGCTGTGCACTTAAGTGCCATCATTTGCTAAAAAGACCTTTTGACATATAGGGCCTAGCTGTAATACATTTCAATGTTCAGTCTCCATCCCAAGGTGAACATGGGTCATATGTTATATACATATTGTTTCAATACGCCCGTGTCAGGACTACCTTCATGAGTATACATAGCACTTCCTGCAACCTATTGAATATGTATGTTTAGCCAGCCGGGTTGGCATAAAGCTCCTACCCCAACTTCTCTTCCTTCCAAGTGCCCGTCTCTCTGGTCTTGGCTGGAGGCTGTGCTTCCCAGTCTGTGGGATGGCTACCTTGCGGACTATAACACCTTATAAAAAATAAAGTCTGCTTTCCTTTTCTTTTTTTTTTTTTTTTAATTTTTTAAGGTGGGGCGGGGGGGTCTCACTATATTTCCCAGGCTGCTTTTGAACTCCTGGGCTCAAGCAATCTGCCCACCCCAGCCTCCCAAAGTGCTGGGTTTACAGGTGTAAGCCACCATGCCCGGCCTCCTCTCCTATTCTAAATTTATAAATGGTGTGTGTGTGTTTTTAAGTTAATATTTTCAAATTTGTATTAGCAATAGAATACATTCTGTAGACAAGGCCCCCAATAACAGATAAAACAAATATAAGTGGAGCTTCTTCAAGGTTAGCATGACGTAATGGGAAGGAGTTTCAGAATTCGAATTCCAGCTCTGCCACTTATGAGGTGTGTGACCTTGGACAAGCTACTTACCCTCTGAGCCTTAGCTTTCTCATTCGTAAAATAGAGATTGTAATAAAACCTACTTCAGGCCAGGCACGGTGGCTCAAGCCTGTAATCCCCACACTTTGGGAGGCCGAGGCGGGCGAATCACGAGGTCAGGAGATCGAGACCATCCTAGCTAATATGGTGAAACCTCGTCTGTACTAAACATACAAAAAAATTAGCCGGGCGTGGTGGCGGGCACCTATAGTCCCAGCCACTCAGGAGGCTGAGGCAGGAGAATGGCGTGAACCCGGGAGGCGGAGCTTGCAGTGAGCCGAGATCGAGCAACTGCACTCCAGCCTGGGCGACAGAGCAAGACTCCGTCTCAAAAAAAAAAAAAAAAAAAAAAAAGAAAAAAAAGAAAAGAAAAAAACCTACTTCATAGGGTTACAGTAAGGATTAATGAGATAATGCATGTATAGTGCCTAGTACAGAAGGGTTTAGTGAGCATTTGCTACCATGATTCACCATTATCAGGTTGCAGCAGGGGTGGGGGCCTTGAGTTTCGCACACTCATCCTTCCTTCTCACTTTTATGCCACACCTGTAGTGTTGAAGAATCCTTGAGAGACCTCAGGGCTCTGTGGGGTGCAGCTTGAGAACCACTGGGTAGAGGAGTATTTCCTAGACTTTCCTCGGGTCAGAGTCACTGAGTAGCTTGTTAAATACCCCCCGCAACCAAGCTCAGGCCCCGGTGCTCTGTGCTTAACAAGCACATCAAGTGTTTCCTATCTTCAGGCACTTTGTGGGGACCTAGGAAGAGGATCCTAAAAGTCCCTCAGGTCTGATAGACCCAGATTTCATCTCTGCCTCAAGCAGGGGCAGGACCCATTCCCAGATGACCCCTGTAGCCTCGAGGCCACCTGGACCAGGCTGGTGGGGAAATGGCCTGTGCTCGCCTCCGAGGTGCCTGCCTGGCAGCTGGAACAGCTTGGGCCTGCCCTCTCACTGACCCCCTGGACTCTGGATCCTGGCCTCTCAGGCTGTCCTCCCAGCCTCAGCTGACTTTCCTGGCCCTCAGCAGGTGGCTGCCCGGAACTAAGGGTCCTGCTTCGCCTCCCTCTGGCCTGCCCGTGTCTGTGATTGCCAGCATCCTGGTGGGGCAATTTCATGGGAAGATGGGATCAGTACTTTAGAGTAAGAAATCTAAAGAGATGCTATTTTCTGCCTAATCTGTTTCTCCCCATGGGTCAATTTGGCTGCACTTTTATTTTGAAATAAAAGAACCTAGGAACAAATGAGCAAACACCTTATTATTAAGAACCATCTGCAGAAACTCCCGTGGAGCAGCTCCAAGGTCAAAGCTATCTGTTCTGCCTCATACACAAAACAGCCGACAGGCAGGCAGAATAGGAAATCATAGAATCATAAAAAGTTTGGGCAAACCATAGTACCTTCTTTTCAACTGAATATAAAAGTAAGAGTTCTCTCTGCAACGCAGAGACAATCTTCAAACTCAGAACATTTGTGTGTGTTTAACAGAAACAACAATGATCATGTTGAGTTGGCTGGGGCGGTCAGGAAAAATCAACAGCAGCCCTGAGACTCATTCTTGGCACTTTCCTTCTCTTTGATCCCAGATTTTCATTTTTCAAAAAGTGCCATCTGTTCTTCCTGTAACTTTCATGTTGGAGAAAAATAATTTCAATTCTTGAAATTGTGTGTTTTCTCCTTCTTTCCCCCTGCCTGATCCCTCTGTCTGCGCAGATGAGGGAGGGATTCAAGAGGTGAGTTTCTATTAATAAGCCTGTGTGACTAACTCCCACCAGGAGAGGATGGGCCTGTGATGCTGGGCTATTAAGCAAAGTTATAAGTAAGATATACCATGGGATTTGCTTTAGGTTGCCAAGAGACCTCTCTGTGGTGATGGAAATGCTCTCTGTCTCTGTGGCCCAATACTGTAGCCATGGGTGATTACTGAGCAATTGAAATGCAGCTAGTGCAGCTGAAGAACTATGTTTTTAGATGTATTTCATTTTAATTAATTTAAATTTAAATGTAAGCTACCAAATATCTAAATAGGTGTCACAGTTTAGGGGATTAATTGTGCATGTGCGTGTGTGTGTGCACGCTCTCTTGCGCACCTGCACACACACACTAGGGGAGGCTTCAGGGGAGATGAGCAGCAGGCTCAGGGATCCTACAGCAGCAGGCTCTGACCCTCTCCCTCCTCTACTGGTCTTCACTTGGTCCATGGTCCTTCCACAAACCACCACCAATTGCCCAAACCCCTCATGAAGCAGTTTCTTCCAGCATATGGCCACAAAGCTTTTTTTTTTTCCTTAATGAATGTAGCTTCCATGTACTCTTGTTATGTGGGCTCTCCTGATCTAACTACAGTCTTCAAGCCTACTAGCTTAAAAAAATTAGCTTCGTCTAAGAGGCTACCTCCAATCCAAACCATTAAGCATTTTGTTGAGAAGGAATGGGAGGTCAAGTGTCAGCCCAGAGAGAAAGAGTGCTATAATCCATTAGTAACGTCTGCTGTGGCTGCAGGCAAGGGCAAGGGCAGGGTGAATAACTGCCAACCCCACAGTCAATCCTTGCTGTAGCTTTGCTTCACAAGCTAGTGAACTAATTAGCTTCATTTATCCAGTCTATTCTGTATTGGGACTGCTGGGCCTACATGTTTGGATTTATTTTACAGCACGTAGCCTCTGATTTTCTTTCTCTTTTTCCCTGAGTGCCTTCCCACCTAGGCAATCCTTCGCCATACCCCACCCCCAGTATCTGTGACATTTTTAAGTCTCTTGGCAAGATACCACTAAGGTATGTAAGTAATTCATGTAAGGTTTAATCTTTTGCTAAAGAAAGTATAAACGAGGCCAGGGAGATGTAATTCGGGAAATGGAAATCAACTCTCCCACGAGTTTACCACTCTGGGCTGAAAGAACTCAAAGCAATCGACTCCTGGTTTTCCCCAACTCAGCATCATCTATGACTTTACACCTTTCAAAAGTGCTTGGTCATCATCTCATTGGATACTCATTGCTGACATAAAAAGGGCAAGTCACGTTTTCTAGATGAAGAAACAAAGGCTCAGGATGGACAAATGCTTCACTCTTAGTCACAGGGTCAATTTTATGTTTGGAGGAAGACTCCCAGATAGGATCCAGCACTAGGGATCATGTCTGGTTGACTGACAGAGGCCCTGCTAGGAGATGACCTGAATGAGGATCATTTTTGTTGAAAGAATGGGGAGAGGATACATTCCTCTTGGAGGACAGCATGGTGTCTGTGTCATGTGTTAGCCCTGGAGCTGACTCCATGGCCCTGTGTCCAAAACTTAGGGAGGAAAGGGCTCCAGGAAGAAACTCAGGAAAGGGCTCAGCACACTGTTTCTGAGTGCAGGTAATGAAATGTGTCCACAGTGCTGGAAGTAGGTGTTCTTCCCAGATTTGTGTGGAACTGAGGGAGCTTGTTTGCCCCCTCCACCATGTGAGTACTCAGCAGGAAGGCATCATCTATGAAGCAGAGAGTGAGCCCTCACCAGACACTGAATCTGTTAGCACTTGGATCTTGAACTTCCCAGCCTCCAGAACTGTGAGCAGTAAATTTCTGTGGTTTGTAAATTATCCAGTCTCAGGTATTTTGTTAAAGCAGCCTGAATGAACTAAGACACACAATAATAAACAGAAACATGAAAGTCAGAGATTAATTTTAAAATGTCATCCAAGCTCTTCCAAGAGGATCCTACCTGCTGCCGTTGAGGCTGTGTAATCAGACCTGCAGCATGGTCTGAGGCAGAAGGATGCAAGTTAAGGAGTAGATATAAAGCACAGCACTTCTATAGAATCCCCACTTGCTTGCGGTAATGATATCTTCTCAAAGAAAAACAAAAACAAACAAACAAACCTGGATGCCTTAGTAGTGGGCCAAAGAGAGATCCTAGAGGAACAAGCATCCACACACTATATTGTTTGGCTATCAGACTGATGAAAAGTAGGTCACAGTAATGAACACCAGCCTGCACTCAGCTCGTGGCCCTCTGTGCCCAGCTGAGGCCAGGAAGTCTGTCTTCATTGCTTCCAGGGAAGCTTGCCAGGCTCCCAACACAGGATACTCAACAAATACTTGTTAGCTGATTACCTAATTTTAAAGTTTCACGCATTTACATTTTTCAAGGCAATTTGGCAAAGGAAATCAAGTAACTATTTTTGGTTTCTCTTTAGGTTACACTTTATTCTGCACAATTTTGAGCCAATACAGTAAGAATATATAATTACATATGGGATAGTTTTAGCAACTTTGCAGAAGATGAACTTCCTGCCACTGGTATTCAGGTTCTGATGCAGAAGACACAAAAAGAAGGCGTTTGAAGTGAACGGTTCACAGTTCTAGACAGTGTACCCTCAATCCATGTTTGATTTTCTCTCCACCCATTTCCATGTCTTCTCCTTTTTCCTGTGGGGAGGCGGGGCCCAGCAGGATCTAAGACAGTTTCCCCTGACTCATGGCTGCAGCAGCTCTGAAAAATTATTTTCCTTCTGCACCTCCATGAATGGAGGAGCAAGGAGAATTACCATCAGAGTCAGACCAAGGCGTGAGCCTCTGGGGACGATGTCTAGGACAAGGAGGGGGAGAGGAGCTCTTGATTTCCTGCCTCTTGACTCTTCACCCCACAAAATAAATGACCCCCCATTGACCTGGAGGCAACTCCCCAGGAGAAGCAGGAGTGCCTGGGACCTGCACGCCGTTGGAAGGCGTTGCCTGCTGCTTGGTCCTCAGCCTGTTGGTCTTTTACCCTCTCTCCAAATTTAAAAACTCTTCACTTTCACTTTATCTTGGATTTTTTTCTTTTTATTTTATAGTGTTTACAATTCTTACGATATTGTTAGCTTCACTTACTAACATGTTTTTAACTTTCGCCTCAATGGCTCTTGGTTTTTATTTTAATCATGTATAGCTTCATTTTTAGGTTTTTAATCTTTATTGGAGTCCAGCCATTTATCTTATTTTAAATCTCATCTAGTTGTATCTTGTCTTAAAAAAAAAAAAAAACTCAATGTTCTTTCATTGGGATTTTAACTCTTCTTCCAACTTCATAGATTAAAAATTTCTTAAATTTTACTTTTTGAACTTGAGGCCTTTTATTTCTGTCATTTTAAAAAACAAACTTATTTTTAGGTTTTTTTCTTCCTTTTTTATATTGAAATATTAAACAAACTTGCTTATGTTAAAGCTTATTTTTAAATGTCTTTTCTTGTTTAAAATGTTTGGCTTTCAGCCCATCTTAACTTCTTAGTTTTCTTTGATTATAGGATTTAAATCTTCCTTATTACCTTTGAGTTCTTCTTTTTTTTTTTTTTTTTTTTTACGTTCCATGATGTCTCTTTCAAATGGTGGGCAGAAGGTACAGCCTCTGCAGTGTCGATAGTGGGGAAGCCCCAACACAGAAAGCCACTTTCCCTCCAGCTGACTCTGCAGGCTCCCCCCATTCTCCTAACACAGCGACCAACCCAGTTCAGGGGACTTGACCAAGTTCCTCTCCCCGCTGGCTGGAGAGACCCTCAGGTTATTCCCCCACCCTGCCCCCAGGCAGGAAGTCTCATTGTACAGATGGAACCTCAGGAAAAATAAGCCCATGGGCCCCCTTTCTGCCTCTCCTGTGAGGATCTATGGGGCATGGGATTGTGTCTGACTCAACTTCCCCAATCTTCTCTGCTCTGCCAGGGTTGAATAAAATGACTGGGTCAACTCTCAGAGCCCTACTGGACTGATAAGATGTTGACCCTTGGAGAGTTCCCTCCAAATCTCCTTTGAGTCCCTTTGAAGGAAAGCCCCAGGGAAGGCTGTAGTCTCTCTGAGGGGAATGCCCTCAGAGAGGGCAATCTGCCTGATTTGCAGAATCTGCCCCACGATTGCAAATCAAACACTCTGCTCTCCTGCCCTATTTCAAGAAAGAGTCTCTTCCTTAGACCCCGAGACCTTAGAGACTGGCCATTCAAACTGCCCTTCTCTCCTGTCTAAATCCACTGTCCTGGCAGTGACCCTTGGGAATTCTCCTTGGGCTCTTTTACCAGTGAGCCCTACCCTAGGGCATTACCTGGCTGGGAAATCCTATAAGCCCCCTTAATTCTAGACACTGCTTAAACATAAACTGCCATAGCTTGAAGGAGCTTAGCCCATCTGTGAGCCATCTAACCCAGAACAGTCCAACCAAATTCTACTCTAAAACACTTGACCTGAAGCTCCCAAGAGGATCTCTACCCCAGTGGAGAAGCAGGTAAACAATAAGTTGTGATTTGGGCATATTAAGCTCCTGGAATTTTCTACTTAACCTGGGTAGAAGTCACCCCGCTGAGAGATGTCCTCAGGATCCATTTTGTTTTGGTACATTATTCTCTGGAGAGCCAAGAGTTGAAAAGATTTTTTTCTCTACTAAACACCCAGGTTTGCATTTGCGACGGTCCAATCTGCTTCTGCCCATGGTTCTGAGGAGCGAGCTCATGGTGCTCCTCCCCAGCAGAGTCCCCTGCCTATACCCAAGGACCGAGCAGATGGGTCGGAATGGGGACGGGTTCCGTGGAACCACTGCCATAAGCAGCTCTCAACAGAAATGAGATCTTGTCTTTCCTCCAGCACTTAGTGCTGCCTGTTCCAGAGTAGCTGCTGCTTAAGATGTGCTGCGTGGCACCATCCAACCCAGGCCTGCACCTCCCCTTGCCGCCTCTGGAGGGCTCGTTGGAGACCAAAACACAGCCCAGCAACCACATCAGTGATGCTCCTTGGCCTCCAGAGGAAGCAGGTCCTTCCAATCCTGAACAGTGGGGTAAAGAGAGAGAGAAGGGGGTGCAGGGAGGGACAAAACCAGCATGCTCCAGGCATCCAGACAAATGCTGTGCCTGCCACTGCCTGGGCAGTGCTCGCTCCGTGGTGCCTCCGTGCCATGGGTATAGACAGAGGGGAGGCTGTCTGTGGGCGCTTCTTTGCCTGCTTTGGCTGTGGGATTGTCTCTCACCTAGGCAAAACCACTCTCCACATCAGCCAGCCTAGCCTAGCAGCGCACTGTATGGTACTGTGTTGGATCTGGTGGCAAAGCTTGGTGACAACAATGAGCATGTGTGTGCTTGACCCTGTCCTCTGCGCTTGTTCATTTTCTTCCAGGACGCTCTGGACTGAACTTGAAGGAGGGAGGGTTGACAAGGAGTGACAGGATAAACATGAAGATGGACAACCTTTGAATGTGTAAAAAGACTAGCCACCTTATAACAGAGCCCTATCATATTCAGAGCTGCCGACTGTGCTGAGAGACAATTCTCAGCACAATTGCCTAAGAGGATTCTCAGGCAATACCGATGAGAAGTGAAGCTGGATAACTTCTTTGAGGGACAATATGGACATAGGAAGCCAAGAGATTTAAAAAGGCTAATATGCTGAAGTGGAGGACCTGTTATTAAGGGGAAGAAATCATATTTGGAGCAATGATTTAGACACAAGGAAATTTATCTACAATACTAAAACAAAGCAAAACAACAACTTAAATGCCAAGGAGTAGAGATGAGTTGAGTGTATTCTAGTACATCCAGATGATGAGATATTTTGTAGTTATTATACAACAAGTCTTCACTACTTATTGGCACAGGAAGATGCGCTAGTATAATAGCTATCTTTTAAGAAAAAAATTAAATTTACCATATTTCTTTATTTCCAAGATACTAACAACTCAAAGAGGCACTGGATGCTTAACAAAAGTCTTTTAAGAAGAAATAATAATAGAACATTAAACATGCATCAATTATAAAACCTGTCCTGATTTAAGAAATATGATAAAGTAAGAGATATGTGCCTTAGAATAGAAAAAATATAGTATATCTTACAATTTGTATTTTATTCTTTTACTTTTCATGTATTTCCCAAAGCTTTTAACAGTAAACATGATTGGGTTGGGGGAAATGCCTGGATTCAAGTCTGATGTTTCCTGCCTTGGGAAGGTAACCCTGAGGTTTTTATAGGCCCCTGACTCACTCTGCCCTGAGAGGCTGAAAGAGTTACTAGTTTGGTGGTGTAGGAGAGACACTGGGATTGCCCAAATCCCGCCACTCCCCTTCCTCTAGGGAGTCAACCTACCAGCCAAGAGCAAGTCTTCTGGATGGTCTTAGCTCGTGGTAGTATTAGAGGGTAGGGCCCTGCTCTGTGGGAGACGGGGAGGATTGGAGGGGCTGTTGTTTAGGGGGTTAAATTCCATTCTGGAGTTCAATATTAAAAAGCCCCCTTGCCTGGAGATACAAACCTCATTCTGCAATATCAGCTTTATTAGGGAACTGGTCATATTTACTTTGCCAAATGCCTCCTTTTTGGTCTATTTCTCATTACAAAACCCAGGCATAGAAGAAGATGCTATTTATTGAACTCCCTCAAAACTTTCAACAAATAGGTTGAATTTTATACTTAGAAAAAACAGTTGTACAAAGAAGCAATCTAGTAAAGCATAGCCAGGCCCCTTGGGGAACGATGCTTCCAGCACGGTGAGCTCTGCATGGGCTCTGGGTAGGGGAGAGGGGCTGGGACATTCAGGACCAGTCTCTTTGGAGACCAGAGAACAAGCAGTAGCCCCTAGGCAGGGCTGTCCCCTCTCTCCTCTCTGTACTCCAGCATCTCAGTTACAAGACACCGCTGCTGTTTTCTTCTCCTTGCAGCATCTCTTGGTTGCTAAGCAGATCCCTTGGGTAACTATGTGGGCATAAAACCTTTGCAGAACTGCCAGGAATCTGCTTCACCCAATTGTCAAAGTGAAAAATGAAATCATTCCTCTCACCTGTCACTACTTTGCACAAAGCTTCCATTATTGAATGGTGATGGCCCAGAATGTTATTCTCACCTACTTGTGGGAATATAAATGAGTTTTGCATATTTTACCCCTGAGAGAGTAGGAGGGGAAGAAGGGGGTGTTGGGACCTCTCAAGCTCATACTCCTGTGAGTCAATGATTGGGGAGAAGCGGGTGGAACAAACCAGCAGTGCCCTCTGTCCTTGGCAAAATGGTGCCTCACTCAGGTAAAGACAGACCTTCTTTAGCATAAGCTTTCCTTAGGCTCAGGAGTGTCTGTGAAACCCTCTGATGCCAGCCTACTGAAGCAGAATCTTTGAGGGTGAAGCCAAGGAATTCTGCATTTTAAAGAAATTTCTTGGATGAGTCTTATACACTGGATAAGTCTCAATGCAAACTATATGCATTAAAGTTTGAAAACCACTGATTTCTCTAACATAAATTTGTATATAAATAAGTGCAATAAAATATTATAGGTGTTATGATAAGTGTGCAAGAAGGAGTGAGACATCATCATAGGGATGATCAGTTTTAACCGGGAGTATGAGGAAAATCTTTTTTTTTATTAAATATACAGATGGGGTCTCCCTATGTTGACCAGGTTGGTCTTGAACTCCTGACCTCAAGTGATCCTCCCATTTTGGCCACCCAAATTGCTGGGAGCCACTGGGCCCGGCCTGCTTTGAACCTCGAGCATTGAGGTGAAGTTCTCTAAGTAGAGAAGGAAGGGGAGAAGGACATTCTAGGCAGAAGCGAACTGCTAGCAAAGACACAGAGATGAAGTGGCCTGATGAGCTAAGGTAAGAAGCAATCATTAGAGCTTGAATGTCTGTTAGGAGGGGAACTACTAGAGAGAAGGACAGAGAAGAGGACAGGGATGCTAAGGAGTTTTGAATCTATGCTGTGGTCAGTGAGTTGCTACCAATAGTTTCAGCAAGAGAGTGATATGATTAGGTTGTATTTTAGAGAGGTCACTCTGAGGCATAGTGCAGAAGATGGATTGGAAGAGGGCAAGACAGGAGGCAGGAAGACCAGCTGAAGGCTCTCATAGCAGTCCAAGCTAGGCCCAGGCTAGAGATGAGGGTGGCAGGGGTGAAGGCCCTTGTCTTCATTGGCCCTGATCCATTCTGCCTCTGGTATATAGCATTGAACTTGCATGTCACAACACTGTTCAACTAGCATATCTATTTTTTAAAAAATTAAAATGTATGGAACTTTTGATTAAGCACCAAACATGATGATCTTTCTTTCTTTTCTTTCTTGTCTTCCTTCCTTCCCTTTCTTTCTTCCTTCCTTTCCTTCCTTCTCTTTCTCTCTTTCCTTCCTTCCTTCTCTCTCTCTTCCTTCCTTCTTTCTCTCTCTCTCTCCCTCCTTTCTTCTCTTTCTTTCTTTCTCTCTCTCTTTCTTTCTTTCTTTCCTCCTTCCTTCCTTCCCTTCTTTCCTTCTTTCCTTCCCTTCTCCTTCCTTCCTTCTCCCTTCCCTTCCCTTCCCTTCCCTTCCCCTCCCCTCCTCTCCCCTCCCCTTCCCTTTCCCTCTAACCCACGCTGGAGTGCAATGATGTGATCACAGCTCACTGCAGCCTTGAACTTCTGGTCTCAAGAAATCTTCCCACCTTGGCCTCCCAAAGTGCTAGAATTACAGGTGTGAACCACCACTCAGGGCCATTATTTCTTTCAAAAGACTTTAAAACAACATTTACAACAATATCTGGCTGGGCCCGGTGGCTCACGCCTGTAATCCCAGCACTTTGGCAGGCTGAGACAGGTGGATCACTTGAGGTCAGGAGTTCGAGACCGGCCTGGCCAACATGGGGAAACCCTGTCTCCACCAAAAATGCAAAATATTAGCTGGGTGTGGTGATGCACGCCTGTAATCCCAGTTACTCCGAAGGCTGAGGCAGGAGAAGTGCTTGAACCCAGGAGGCAGAGGTTGCAGTGAGCTGAGATCGCACCACTGTACTCCAGCCTGGGCGACAGAGCGAGGCTCCATCTCAAACAAAACAAAACAAAACAAACAAACAAAAAAACCAATTTCAAGAAACAAGCTGTGGCCTGGGGCAAGATAATGAAACTGGTGCTTCTCAAACAGAGATCTGAGGATGCTAAGTGTTACATAAAACCACGAGATTTGTTAAAAGCGTATCTTCTAGGACTATACAATTTCTTTGAAGATTGGGGACATTATCTTTTTTTTAGTTCAAATACAAACATATTATACTTTGGTAGACTAGTCTGGACCCATGGCTCATTTTTCTCAGCTGTTGGCCATCCATAAAACACAGGGTGGGTTCTGCAATCTCTAAGGTCTTTTCATACCCCAATCTGCAATGACTTTTTTTTTCCTAACTAGCTAATATCCTCATCATTTTTCTGTAGATTTTAGAGAGAGGTCATTCTTTCTATTTCTGTAAGGTCACCCTCCTTAATTCATATTCCTGCTGTTGGCAGCTTTTTGCCCGGTTCTCAGACCCTTTTAGCCCAAGTTGGGGCCTCTCGGCCTCTGCCCCTGCAGCTCTTGCTCAGCCACAGATTGCCCTGCCCTCCCTCCATCTATCTTCTCTAGGCTTTATCACCTTCCTCGTCCCCAGTTTAAAAAGGCGGGAGACTGGGGGAGGCAATAAAGACAGAGCAGCCCTTTGCTTCTGAGAAGGGAGACTTCTACCCTCCATTTGACTTTTCCTTCAATTACTGCTGGTTTGACATTTTTTTTTCCCTTCATTCTGAGAAGTCCCTCCTGAACTCTCTCACTTGGAGTTTGAATTATTTTGCATTCAATGACTTTTCAGCTTTTGATTTAACATTTAACAACTTTGCCTGTCAGCCTCCCTTCCTTTTCCTCCAAAATGCTATAAGATAGTTTCCTCCACTTAAAGTCATATCATCATTTAAAGTGGAATTTTGCTGAAACTTGAACAGAAATTTGACTGGTTTCATCAAGCAAGGGAGGCAGGAATATAAACCTAATGTTGCATGTTGCTAAGTGAGTTCACGATTTGAACTTTCCCAACCCATTGACCTAGTCACACACACACGCACACCCCACTCTTAAAGATTGTATTTTTAGGGGTTGTGGTTAGGAATTGGAAAGTTTTGTCATGAATAGAACACAAATTTAAGAAAGCAAACAAACGATAGAGACAAGTAAATGTATCTCTCAATGGAGAAGAGGCCCCAGCAGGGTCTTGGGATCACTGCAGGACAACTCTTATTTAAAAATCTAAAAGGGAGTAACCAGGGAAATCACTGGTTCTGAAAATGAGGAAATCTCCAGTTTTCGGGTGTCTTTTCAGGTAATTAAACACTAATTTGATCAGGGCAAACCACAGAATGCTCTCTCAAAGACAGGTGAATGGGCAAGATCCTTGAAAAAAAATCAGTGTGAAAAGGGTTCAGTTATATAATTAGGGAGAAAGAATTTAAATTACAATAATAATATCTGAGTTTTCTATTATGTCCTAAGAAGTGTACAACATCATTATAATCCACATCATTAATCATCAGGGAACTGCAAATTAAAACCACAATGCGATACCTCAATGCATCCACTAGAATAGCTAATATGGAACCTAGGAATCATTGTTAAATTTATTGAAGAAGTTAACGGGGCATAATTGCTGGGACCAAAACTAGAGTGAATGGCTTTATATATTTTGGAAAGATGTTGGAAAGCAAACTGCATTTGCATCAATGACAATGACAATAGTAAGAGGAAAAGAGGCTACTCTTTCTGTGCTCACTCATGTGCCAAGCACTGTGCCTTACATCCATACACACACACGCATGCACACACACACACACACACACACACACACATATTACACACCCAAAGAAAACACATCCAGAATAGAAGCAATGGAATAAAGAACCACTAAAATAATTATCAAGACTCTAGATAGGGAAAATGTAGAAAAAAATCAAGACTTCTCAGTCTATAGAGACAAAGGCTAGATAGGGTTTCCATTAAAGTTTGCAAAATTCTAAAAAATTTGGGGGGCCAGGACAGTGGCTTATGCCTGTAATCTCAGCACTTTGGGAGGCTAAGGCAGGAGGACCACTTGAAGCCAGGAGCTTGAGACTAGCCTGGCCAACATAATGAGACCCCGTCTCTACAAATAAAATGAATGAACCAGCCATGGTGGCTCGTGCCTGTAGTCTCAGTTACTCAGGGGGCTGAGGTGGGAGGATTGCTCAAGCCCAGAAGGTCAAGGCTGGAGTGAGCTATGTCATGCCACTGCATTCCATCCTGGGGGACAGAGTAAGATCCCACCTCTCAAAAAAAAAAGAAAAAGTTTGGCAGCCTTCATATAAAAAATAATTAGAGGAACTGATTTCAAATATTATAAAGTAATTAAGTAAAGTAACTATAAAGTTTAAAGGTAATTTAAATCATGTGGTACTGGCACAAAGATAGACATAGAGATTAATGGAACAGAATGGAGAATCCATACATATATGGCCAATTGACTTTCAACAAAGATGCCCAGACATTTTCAATGGAAAAGGATAATCTTTTCAATGAATGATGCTAGAACAACTGGGTAGTTATATGTTAAAAAGGAACCTCAACATTTATCTCACACCATATACAAAAATTAACTCAGAATGGATCATAGACTCAAACATAAGAACTAAAATTATACCATTTCTAGAAGAAAATACAAGAGAATGTCTTAGTAACTTTGGATTATTAAATGGGATATAAGTAGGAACTATTAAAGAAAAAATCAATAAACTGGATTTCAACAGAATAAAAAACTTTTGCTCTTTAAAAGATACTGTTATGGCTTGGCACGGTGGCTCATGTTTGTAATCTCAGCACTTTGGGGGGCCCAGGCGGGTGGATTGCTTGAGCCCAGGACCAAGCTCAGACCAGCCTGAGCAACATGATAAAACCCTGTCTATACAAAAATTAGCTGAGTGTGGTGATACATGCCTGTAGTCCCAGCTACTTGGGAGGCTGACACAGGAGGCTCACTTGAACCTGGGAGGTGGAGGCTGCAGTGAGCTGAGATCACGCCACTGCACTCCAGCCTGGACAACAGAGTGAGACCCTGTCTCAAAAAAAAAAAAAAAAAAAAGGATACTATTATGAAAATGAAAAAGACAAGCAACAGATTGGGAAAATAATATGTGAAAAACATATCTTGGACAGAGGACTTTTATCTAGAATATATAAAAGAAACTCTTACAACTTAATAACACCCAAATAATCCAGTTTAAAAATGAACACTTCACCAAAGAAAAAAAAAAAAGCAAACGGCACATGAAAAGATTATCGACATCGTTAATCATCAGGAAAAAGCAAATTTAAACTATACGTCTATACATCCACTAGAATTTCTAAAATACAAAGACTACTGACCAAGTTAAGTGTTGGCAAGAATATGGAAAAACTGGAGCTCTCATGCACCACTAGTGGGAATCTTAAATAGTTTAACCACTTTGGAAAATTTGGCAGTTCCTTTAAAACTTTAAGCACACATCTATCACATGATCCAGACATTCTACTCTTAGGTATTTGCCCAGGAGAAATGAAAACATCTGTCTATGCGTAGATTTGTACGTGAATGTTCACAGCAGCCTATTTGTAATAGCCCAAAACTAAAAGCAACCTACATGCTCATCAGCAAGTGAATAAACAAATTGTGGTATAGCCACACAATGGAACACTACTCAGCAATGAACAGGAATGAACTATTGGTACACACAATGCCAGGGATGGCATCTCCATGGAATGAAAGAAACTAGGCCAAAAAAAAAAAAAGAGTATATATTGTATGATTCTGTTTATATTAAATTCTAGATAATGCAAACTAATCTGTACTGATAGAGGGCAGATCAGTGTGGACAGGGTTGTGTACGCAGTGAGGATTCATTATAAAGAGGCACAAGGAAACTTTTAGGGTAATGGATATGTTTACTATCTTAATTG
Organism: Homo sapiens; assembly: GCF_000001405.40. NCBI lineage: Eukaryota > Metazoa > Chordata > Mammalia > Primates > Hominidae > Homo > Homo sapiens. The sequence goes on along the minus strand of NC_000005.10, from coordinate 79,821,437 downwards.
TGGTGATAGTTTTACAGATACGTCAAAACTCATCAAACTGTATACTGTAAGTATGTGCAGTTTACTATATGTTAATTATACCACAATAACAAAATGCAAAAAAACAGTGGGAACCTTTTGAAGCTTCTAATAGGTGGTCCTCTGGACAAATGTAGTACTATATACTACATAGTTGATAATAAACCAAGAGAATTCTTTATATCCAGGCTAAAACTGTAAGTCCTTCAGGGATCTGAATTAGTGCATTCTTTGTTATTAAGGAGAACTTGAGACTGTTGCACCTTCGTCTTCACCCACCATCCTCACTCATGCCAGGAAGGACAACGATGCCCCATGACAGTGACTGCTGCTAAAGACAGAATATTGAGTGAGACGGACAAAGGTCCTCACACAAGAGGCGTTTATTGTGGTTTTGTGGATTTTTAGCTCATCGTGGCAGATAACTTTTGCATACGATTCACACGCCAAAGACTTATTCTATGAGTTATAACCCAGAGATACTACAAATCAAAAAATAAGCTGCACTTGTCATGTTGAATTGCAGCCAACCTCCCAGCAATCTGCTGTGTACTCTCAAAAGGCCATCTCCCTAAATCTTGTTTTAGACATGAGAATCAATGATGTTAATGAAATCACTCCTATGTGTGGGGTCAGCATTTTCCAGGTCTACTCTAAGACTTAGTTAAGGCAGAAGCAGCACAAGAACAGTGCACTTGGAGGAAATGGGGAAACTCAAGATCCGGCCCCAGCTTTGAGACTGGCCAGTGGCTGGACTAACTTCAATCACATGTTCTTTCAGGGATGCTTTCCCTTCACCTATAAAATGGATGAGGTCTGTGAGTTCTTTAACCATCTGAACTCTTGAGGATAAAGATGTTATATACATGTAGGTAGGACTTGATATAATTTACCTTCCAAACCAGAACACTTTTGAAAGCATTATTCATAATTAGACTGGGTAACAGGTGTATTAATCTGTTTTCACACTGCTAATAAAGACATACCTGAGACTGGGTAATTTATACAGGAAAGAGGTTTAATGGACTCACAGTTCCATGCAGCTGAGGAGGCCTCACAATCATGGCAGAGGGTGAAAGGCACGTCTTACATGGCGGCAGAGAGAATGAGAGCCAAGTGAAAGGGGAAACATCTTATAAAACCATCACATCTTGTGAGACATATTTACTACTATGAGAACAGTATGGGGGAAACCACCCCCGTGATTCAGTTATCTCCTGCTGGGTCCCTCCCACAACACGTGGGAGTTATGGGAGCAACAATTCAAGATGAGATTTGGGTGGGGACACAGCCAAACCATATTTACAGGTATATGCAAAGACTATCATGGGCAAACTAGGAGAAATGGTCAGTCTGAGAATGACTAAAATGAGTGCCAGCGTTGGTGGGTGAGGGATGTGATTCCGCACCAACAACGTGAGCTAGGGCATGGTTTTCAAATGCTAGCCCAAGACCAGAAGAAACTTCCATCAGCCCATGGCAAAAACAGAAAACTGAGGGTGTGAAATGTTACATATTTTTTTAAAAATTATAAAATAGTTAATGCAAACAAAAGGAGATTTACAATTTATGCATAAGGTATAAAGAATAAGACAACAGCTGAAGCCCTCATAAACTCTTTCCTGAACCCATTCTCCCCTCTTCCCTTATAAAGAATGAAATAAGGCCAGGCCTGGTGACTCACACTTGTAATTCTAACACTTTGAGAAGCTAAGGTGGGAGGATGTCTTGAAGCCAGAAGCTCAAGACCAGCCTGGGGAACATGGCAAGACCCTGTCTCTACAAAAACATTTAAAAATTAGGCCGGGCATGGTGGCTCACACCTGTAATCCCAGCACTTTGAGAGGCCGAGGTGGGTGGATCACAAGGTCAGGAGATCGAGGCCATCCTGGCTAATATGGTGAAACCCCATCTCTACTGAAAAAAAAAAATACGAAAAATTAGCTGGGCCTGTAGTCCCAGCTACTCAGGAGGCTGAGACAGGAGAACCACTTGAACCTGGGAGGCGGAGGTTGCAGTGAGCTGAGATTTCACCACTGCACTCCAGCCTGGACGACAGAGAGAGACTCCATCTCAAAAAAAAAAATTAAAAATTAGCCAGGTGTGGTGATGTGCACCTGTAGTCCCAGCTATTCAGGAGGCTGAGGCAGGAAGATCACTTGAGCCCAGGAGTTCCAGGCTGCAGTGAGCTGTAATTGTGCCACTGCACTCCAGCCTGGATGACAGAGTGGAGACCCTGTCTCAAAAAAATAAAAATAAAAACCAGAATAATAGTTGAAGCCCCCAAATATTCTGACATGGTTTGGATGTGTCCTCACTCAAATCTCACCTCATCTAGAATTAGCTCCCATAATCCCCACATGTTATGGGAGAGACCCGGTGGGAGGTAACTGAATCATGGGGATGGGTTTTCCTGCACTGTTCTCATGATAGTGAGTAAGTCTCACAAGATCTGATGGTTTTATAACTGGCAATTCCCCTGCACATGCTCTCTTGCCTGCCACCATGTAAGAAGTGCCTTTGCTCCTCCTTTGCCTCCTGCCATAATTGTGAGGTTTTATAACTGGCAATTCCCCTGCACATGCTCTCTTGCCTGCCACCATGTAAGAAGTGCCTTTGCTCCTCCTTTGCCTCCTGCCATAATTGTGAGGCCTCCCTAGCCATGTGGAAATGTGAGTCCATTAAATCTCTTTTTCTTTATAAATTACCCAGTCTCAGGTATTTCTTCATAGCAGTATGAAAATGGACTAATACATACTCCTTCTGGAAGTATGTATTCCTCTCCTTTCCCAGAGCTTATCATTATCCTGAATTTGTATTTATTGTTCCCTTGTTTTTCCTGATAGCTTTACAAAACATTGTTTCGTATTATATGCTTTTTTAACATTAGGTAAATGGAATCGTTCAGTATGTATTCTTCTATAGCCTTTTTTGCCCAAGATATTTATTTTTCAAAGGACAGCCACATTGATTGATTTTCAGCCTGTTGTTGCTCTCTTTCTTCCTTTTTGGTACTGTATAATATTCTACTGTACCACTATCCTATAATTTAAGAATTGTTGTCCTATTGATGGACACTGAGGTTGTTTTCTGTGAATATTCTTATACATGTCTCCTGGTACATGTGCATTTGTTTTTCTAACAATGTATCCAGGAGTGGAATTGCTGGTTATAGCGTATGCACATTTTTAAATTACTAGGGATCGCCAAATTACTCTCTAAAGTTATATCATATTATGTTCCTCTCAGCAGTGTAAAACAGCTTCTCTTGCTCCATATCCTTGCAAATATTTGACATTATCAGACTTTTCCATGTTTGTCAGATAGGTGAGTTTAAAATCGTATCTCATCTCAATTGAGTGATCAAAGTTAACATCAATAATGGAACAAAATCAAAATTGTGTGCCACTTTATAGAATACATCCGGAAGAATACAGCATTGCTTTTGCAATATTCCTACCAAAAAGGAAATAACTTGAATGGAATCATATGAAGACATAATGGAAATCCAAATATAAAATGAATCTATAAAATAACTTGCTTAAAAGGGTCAAGGTTATCAAAGTCAATTCTATTGGACCAACGTAGAATTTAAAAAAAAAAGATTATTGGCCAGGCGCGGGGGCTCACGCCTGTAATCCCAGCACTTTGGGAGGCTGAGGCGGGCAGATCACCTGAGGTCAGGAGTTCGAGACCAGCCTGTCCAACATGGCAAAACCCCATCTCTACTAAAAATAGAAAAATTAGCCAGGCATGGTGGCAGGCACCTGTAATCCCAGCTACTCGGGAGGCTGAGGCAGGAGAATCGCTTGAACCTGGGAGGCGGAGGTTGTAGTGAGTCAAGATTACGCCACTGCACTCCAGCCTGGGCAACAGCAAGACTCCTTCTCAAAAAAATAAAATAAAATAATAAATAAGTAAATAAATAAATAAAAGATTATCAAAGACAAGAAGAAACTTGGGAATTGTTCCAGATTGAGAAAGACTAAAGAGACATAACTAAATGCAATGTATGATTCAGAACTGTATTCTTTTGCTATAAATGACATTATTGGGACAATTAATGAAACTTGAATGGGAATTTGAGCATTATTAGATGATAGTAATATATTAATATTCATTTCATAATTTTGGTGGCTGTATTGTGGTTATAAAGGAAAACAAGTGTTCTTGCTTAGATTAAGTATAAATGAGAACTTTGTAGGATCTAATTTTTTTTCCAGATAGATAAATGTCCTAGTACTATTTATTGAATAGGCGATCCTTTCCTACTGCCATCAATGCTACTTTCTATCATATTTCAAGTTTTCATATCGGGTCAATTTCTGGGCAGTTGATTCCACGCCATTGGTCTGCCTGTCTGTCCCTGAGCCAAAAGATCATTTTCATTCTTCTTGAAGAACATTTTGGTGTAAGAAAAATTAAAAGACACTTACAATCCATTGATATCATGATGGAGCCACCAGGTCTCAGAATTGCTTCCCCCACCTCGAGCCTTGGCTCCTGCCATGAACTTTCTTGATTGTGATGCCCCCATTGCTTGGTTCCAGACCTCCTTCAGGACATTTGATGCTTGGAAATAAAATGCTAGAGAGTTCTTTTCTCAGCATCTTTGAAAATAAATATCTGTTTGCCCTCTGTTAAAATAGTGCTCAGCAATAAGAGAAACATGTGAGCAAGGCCTCTCCACACAGGAGCTGATATGCCCTGGGGCATGGATGAGGTGCTTGCTCGAGGGGCTCCCTAACAGCCTAAGGCAGTGGTTCTGAAATCACTCAAAGTGTGGCCTCCTGACCAGCTGCATCTGCATCTCAGCATCACTTGGGAACTTGTTAGAAATGCAACTTCTCAGCACACATCCCAGACCTACTGAATTCTTATAATTCTGATGCACAAAAAGTCTAAGAACCTCCAGCCTAAGGGTCTTCAGCATAGAGATGATCTCTAAACCTCTGGTGACTACATGTGGTCTACTGTGTTATTTTTCACAAACATTCCATGCTGCTCTCTGGGGGAGGATTATCTTTCCCCACTCCACTGACAGCAGATTTGGCCACATGACTTACTTTGACCAATGGAATCTGAGCAGAAGAACCTTGTATCACTTCAAACAGAAGTTTTAAGAGCCAATAAGTGGTTCACTGAGCTCTCCACTGCCCACCCCCCACCCCTTGCCTACTGCCATCACCTTGCAAGAGATAGTGATGTTCTGGACGGAGCCTGCTCTATCAGCCTGGGTCCTAGAGTGAGGATGACATGAGACAGAGCCACAGCCAACCCACAATGGACGTATGGCAAAAGTAAGAAAACAGCCTTTGGTCTGTGAGCTATTGAGTTGTCCAGGGCTTTGTTGTTGAAGTATAACCTACCCTATCCTAACTAAAGAAACAGGGACTTTTTTCCCCAACATACTTTAAATAGAACCAATTAGCTCTTGTTGGCATCACTGAAATCAAAAGCAGTGGGACTGGAAATACAGGGTGGGGGTGTCTCATGTCATGAGAAGATGCTGGACCTGACTATGTCTTGGTCCCTCCCTGGGCAAGTGACTAGATATAACCCCATCTAGTCAGGCCACAGTCTAGACAAGTAATCATTATCCCACCCACCAATGCCGTGTCCAGGAGCTGAGCATCGTCTATGAGATGTCTTACCAGAGGAGATGATAGAAGAGTGCAGGTCTGTGTCTGTGCTGCTTACTTCCAACAGGCCCTGGCTGATGAGCCTCAGTGTCAAGAACTCCAGGCAATTGACTGAGGGGGCTCAGACAGGAAGAACTTGGTATGGGGAGAGAGGAGAGGAGAGGAGAGGAGAGCCGAGGGGAGGGGAGAAGAGGGGAGGAGAGGGGATGGGGAGGAAAAATAAGGAGAAAGAAAGGAAGAGACAACAAAAGAAAGCTCAGACTCAGAATGCTGAGCAAGATTGAGAGCCAGGGGACCTCTCCCTGTCCCCCTCCATACCTATCTTGGTTTGTGAGGTTCTGTACACCAACTGAGATGGAGCTCAGAATAGGCTGCAAGAGTCCTCCTTGATCTGGGGCAGTTTATCTGCTGGCTTCCTCAAGAATGCCCACTTGTGCTTTTTGCCTAAGTCCTCTGATCCAGTGATCTCCTCTGCACTTTCTATAGTAGCCAACCCAGGATTGCCTACAACAGCATAGGACTTCTTCCTGAAGGTCAACATTATTAGCACTTCCTCCACAAAACCTCTCTTCATCCAACTGTCAATTCTTTCCTCAGTCTAGAAAGCAATCGGCATTGTGCCAAATTGATTGAATTCTATATCCCATTGTCCACAGCAGAATCCTTGAGAGTCACAGCATTTATCATAATGGAGCAAGAAGTTCTACATGGCCTCTATTTTTTAACCTAGCATTGATTGACCAAAGTCAATTTAACATACAATTGCAAATGAACACATGGCATTAGCTTCAAGCGTAGTTGCTAAGAGATGATCTCATTATAATTCCAAAATCCAAAAGCTCGTACTAACCTCTTTGATTCAATGTAAACCTTGTACCCTGAAGAGAGAGAGAATCATTCACTAAGACTCAGGCTTGTACTCAGTGTTTAGGGAATGAAGAAAAAGAACAATTGTTTGACAGTCACTTTAAGAAAATGACAACAGCAAAAGAAAGGGGGAAAAAAAAAACTAATCTATGAACTAAAAGAGAAAGCAGAAATAATGTGTGGCATGTGAAAACAGCCTGCCTCCAGTGCTCACATTCTCAGCTTCAACTACAAGAAATAAATAGTCAGGCATTTATATTGAAATTGTTTTTGGTATCCCTGGACAGCCAATCTCACTTTTAGGTCAAGTAATTTCCGATCTGATGACTTCGGTTGTCATTAGAAAGGAAAAGAGTAGAAAAATTCACTAAAGTTGTTTGAAAAAAGTCAAATAAATATATTTATATTTTAAAGTGGTATTATTGGCTTCTCAGCTGCAGAATTAGGCACTTCAAGTGCACATTCTCCCCATTTTTTCAGGTAGTGTTTAACTCTATGCTGATTTGGCAGTATCTACCAAAAGCCTTTAACATTTTGTACATTTTAACCCATAATTCCATTTCTGAGAACTTAATTTAAGGAAGATGAGATGCCTGTGCAAATATTTATGGACAAGGTCATTCATTTTCAACTCATAATAACCAAAAGTTGGAAACAACTTAAATATTCAGCATCAGAGTATTTGTTAGATAAATGATGGTACATCAATACAAGGAAACATTAAGCACATATTAAAAACTATATTCTTAAAGAATATTGAAGGAATGAAGGAGAACATATGTGTATACACACTCATACACATACATGTACACATAGAGAAAATATGATTATCTGGCTGCCAGTAATAACAAAAAACTATTTGAATAGCTGAAGCATTTGTGACAAAGGTGACATTAAGATGCACTGGAGAACAGGTGTCTTTTTATAAATAGGATCAGATCAATTTTTTTCCATGAGGAAAAAAAATGCATTTTGACCTCTACCTCACACCACACACAAAAATCAATTATATAACTTTTATGTATATCAATTATTTATGTATATATACATACAATATATAAAACCTAAATGTGAGAACTAAAATAAAATATTTAAAAGGAAACACATGAAACTATCTTCATGACCTTAGGGTAGGCAAACTTTCTTATATTGAACACAAAAGTTTCTAACCATAAAGGGGAAAAAGGATAAATTGAATTTTACTTAAAAACTTCTTTTTATCACAAAAATTATTGAGAGTGAAAAATTAAGCTACAGAAAGGGGAGAAGATAATTGCAAAACATATATCCAACAAAAGACTCATATTCAAAATATATACAGAAACCCTACAAAAAAAAAAAACCCAGATAACATAATAGAAAAATGGCCAAAATATTTGAACAGGAAATTTTTAAAAAGATATCCAAATGGCTGATATACATATGCAAAGATGTTCTACTTGCATAACCATCAAGAAAACACAAATTAAACTACAATGTGATACTACTACATATCATCAGAATAGTTAAAATGAAATAGACAATTCGTATGAAGTAGTAGCAATGCTATGAAGCAACTGAAACTCTCATACACTGCTGTTTGGAGTGTAAATTGACACAACTTTGGAAACTATTTGGATACCTGTAGTATCTACCAAAATAGGACATACCTATGTCATGATCTAGGAATTCTATTCCTGGTTACTTATCCCACAGAAAGTGTACATGTATTCACTAAAAGATATGTACAAGAGTGTTCATAGCAGTACTACTTGTAAATAGCTCCAAGCTGGAAACAGCTCAAATGTCTATGAACAGCAGAATAAATAAATATATTGTGGTATATTTATAAATTATACTATCACACAACAAGCAGAAGGAACAAATAATGTTATACACAGCAGCATGAATAAATCTCACAAATAGAATGTTAATCAGAAGAAACCAGACAGAAAGGGAAACCTATGTGATTTGGTTCACATAAAGTTCAAAAACAGGCAAAACTAATCTATGGTCATTTTCAGATGCTGGTTACTTTCAGAAGTGGGAGTGACAAGAAGTCACTTCTCAGGGATGATAATGTTCTTTTTCTTAATTTGGGAACTGTCTACACGTGTATTAGCTATGAAAAACTCCATCGTGCTGTAAACTTGTGATGCACTTTTCCAAAAGTATGTTATACTTCAATAGAAAGCTATTTTAATGGCTTCAAATGATAGAGGTTTATTTAACTCAAGCAACAGAAAGTTTAGAGGTAGCAGTAGAGAACCAGAATGGTACTTCAACAATGTCTTTGAGAACCCAGGCTCCACCTTCATGCTCCTTCATGCTCAGCCTGTGAATTCTGTCTTCAAGGTTGTAAGATGCCTGTGACATTTCTAGGCATTACATCTGCATTATGGGAAGAGAGGAGGCAAAAGGCCAAAAGCCAAAGAACATGCCAACTGAGACTAACTCTGTGGAATTGAGGGTACTTTTTAATTTTAGGCATCACAATTTTCTAGTTTCCAAATGTTCCACAACGATATGTATTAATGTTATTTTAAAAAGAAGGCTCTGCTAAATGGATTGCAACAAAGCAAAATTATTCTCTGATTCTGAACTTCAAGCCCTGTAGAGGTCCTGTTGGGCTGAATAATTGGAGAACCCTTTCTATGCCTATAGGGGCAGAAAAATAGCCCTGGTCTTATACTCGAGAGGGTGCAGAACAATGAGCTGCTCCCTGATTCTCATATCATAAGATGCATAGAGACCTTGTGTGTGTGGGCCCCTAAGCAGTATTCTTTGGGAGCAGAGGTGTTTCTGACCTGAAATGACTTGGGGAAAATGGCAGCATCCCACACAGCCAGGGTTTGGTGTGTAGGTGTCTGCCGCTGCTGTTCGACACTCAAATGCATATTTTATCCATTTTCTGGAGCTCTGCAGGGTAGAACTTAGCTCAGAATAATTAAGGAGAAATGTAAATCAAGAAATAAGCTTGGTTATAATTTAATTCACTGAAAGAAGAGAAAGTAAAAAGAAGTATAAATTATATTTCAACACAGTTGATTGCCTGAAAGATATCATTGATCAACATTTTTTCTAAAGATAACGACCTTTGAGATATCTTGTGCTTTGAACAGAGTCAAGTTGATTCACCCTATCTAAAGGATAATTCTTGGCCCTAGGCTTCAATCCCTTACTCGCCTTCAATTGTTACTATCTGGGAAAACGTGGTTAGCAGCAAACAAACTCTATGAGAGCTTCTACATGAAGAGCCCAAAAGAGCTCTCTCCCTCTGATTTCCAAGTCGAGAACCACTTGAAGATGGACCTAAAATTTTCCAGTGAATAAAAGCAGGAAGTTGATGCATGATGGTTTTAAATTGTGAGAAGGGAAATTGTGTTAAAGAAGAATGAAAAACCTACATAGTTTGTAGACTTCACTTTCAACAATGTTTATTTCCTGCCCACTTTCTATGAGGCCCTGTGTTTAAGACCTGCCCTATTCAGAGAAGAACCCTCACACCACAGGCACCTCCACAATTCCACAGTTACAGGCACACACAGTTCCCCCCCAAAGACATTTATCTCCACTACCAGCCCCACAGCCACACCCTCCACAGTCACCCCCACAGATATCTCCACAATCACCCCACAGCCCTCCCACAGCCACCACCCAGAGTCACCTCCCACAAGCACCTCCGCAGCCATAAAGATCCATCTTTAGTTCCTCCAAGACATCAGGCTCTCACCCCGTCACCTTTACTGTATATCAGAAACACTCTCCTCTCCTTCCTCCTGCCCTTACAATGCACTTCCCTCAATCTGGCCAACTTCTACTCAGCCATCTGGCCTTTGTCCAGACATTTCTTCTGAGAAAGATATGCCACCTGAGTCCTCCTGAGTTTCTCTGCCTACATTTTTATTTAGAACTTCTCCCCAGAATAACCTTTAAAGGACAAAGGAGACAACAATAAAATGTCTTTTAAGACTATATCTAAAGAGTCCTGCTTAATCAACATGCTGATGACATAAAGCAAACATTTAAATACATATTACATGCCAGGCATCGCTCTATGTGCCTGGGGGGTATTAAATAATTTATTCTTCACAACAGCCCTAAGAGTGGGATGAGTAGGCCTTCTATTGTTGCAGTTTTACAGATGAAGAAACTGAGGTATAAAAAGTTAAATAACTTTTCCCCAAGTTCACAATGCTGGTAAGGGAGACTTGGAATGCAGAAAATGCCCAAATATGGACCCCTGACCTTGAGCTTGTCCATGAGCTTGAGACTTGATGAACAGCTCCATTTGCATGACCCCAAACTCAACTAGTCCCAGCTGAAATGATGTCTCTCCCCACTAGCCCACTGTGTGTTCTTTGTTGCCTCTTTTGCTGGTAGCACAGTCATGCTCCCAGGAACCCAGGTTCAAAAGTCTGTGTACTCTGGGACTTTTGCTTTTCATCTCCCCTTCTGGCCTCTAGATTCTATACCTTAGTCTTCTGGGGTCTATTCCCTGCTTTCCTTTCCCTTAGCCAATATTCCACTTCAGAATTTCATAACCACATAACTATCCTGCTAGTTGGCAACTCACATATATAATCACTCCTACTTCTTCCACTTTATTCACTGGTCAAAGATCTTTAATAACTCCCCATCGTGTACTGTGCTAAGTAAAAACACTCCTGCCTGTTTTCTCAACAGCTATTATCAACTGGGCTCAAGGTACCTTCCAGGTTTGCTGCTCACTGCTTCCTTACTTGTTTCCTGTGTCCGATTGGATGGTTCCCCTCCTGTTTCCCATTTGTCTCATACTCTTGCCTCTGTCCAGACTTCCCTAATCCTCACCACCACCTACTACAATAAAAGCATGTCCCAAATGCCCTGAACTCTGCACAACCTTTCATGAGAACACCAAACCAATATGTTCTCTCTCTACTTTGAAATGTCATGATTCTTCTGACCTATATACCGTATCACAGATGTCTGTGTATCTGTCACGGCCTCCTTGGAGACAAGAATTATGTCTTACTCATCTTGGCTTCCAGCAGGAGCCAGGGTGGTGTCCTAACACGGTGAATGTTAAAAATATATTTCAGTTGAATATGATGACATTGAATTGACTATAAATGAAAGTGGGCACCAAGCTTGCCCTATGAAAGAGTTCTACTCAATCTTCCCTGCTGGCTTTATAAAAACTGATTAAAGTTCATAGTAAATATGGAAACAACATACACTTTCCCATGATAAAAATCAAGATAAACTCGGGGCCAAATAGTGAAGTTGGTGCCTTTAAAACCAAAGCATTTTCATAGAAATGAAAACTTGGGATGTCAGTTGGACATGTATTAATCAGTGAGGGAGCAGTTGGAAGGTTTAAGGTTGACCTTTTCAGTGGACTATACCTGGGCATGAGAATAATGATGTGAATCTGTGCTTGTTGACATGAGATATTCATAACAGCGTTAAGTGATCAAAGCAGATTAGATAGCAGGGAGTTTATTTGCATTTTTAAAAACATGTGATGTGTGTCTAAAGAAAAAAGAAGAGCCAGGGAAAATATACATCAAATGTTAATACCAGTTATCTCTGAGTGGTGAAATTAAGGATAATTTATGCGTTGTTCTAAATACTTTTCCTGAATTTTTGCCCTAAGCAAAAATAGAAAAATATTCAACTTTCATTGGAAATACAGTGGTCATGGGTAGCCTAACTACATGCTGAGGTGTGTGAGAGGACATTGTGCTATTCTGAGGGGTACACCAAGCTCTATAATTGTAGTTGAATTAGTAAGAACAGCTAAAATGTTTGCTGTCGTTTTATGCCAGGCACTCTGCCAAGAATTTACATACATTAATTTTTTCATTTACTTGTCATAACAGCCCTTTTCTGCTTTATTTTTCTTTACAGCATATGTCACTTTCTGATATTAAACACTTTATGTATTTATCTCCTTCTTTGTATGCTCCTCTCACTAGAACATAAGCTACCTGAGGGCATGAATGTTGGTTAAATTTGGTCACTGCTGTATGCCTAGTACCTACTGCAGTGCCTGGCATCTTAGTAATTGATTAATATTTGTTGTCTGAATGAACCACCTATCTTAGTCCATTTTGTGCTGCTATATAACAGAATATCTGAAACTGGGTAATTTATAATTGAATTATAATAAAGAAATTATATAATTTTTATATATAAAAATTATATATTTATATAATTATATAATTATAAAGAATTACAGTTATATAATTCTTTATAATTAAAATAAATTTATTATTAATTATTAATTAAAATTATTGGCATTCAGCTCTTGGTTCTGGAGGCTGGGAAGCCCAAAATTGAGGGCTCACATCTGGGGAGGGCTTTCTTGCTGCATCATCCCATGTCAGAAGGCAGAAAGGCCAAAGAGTTCACAAGAGACAGCAAAAGGGGGCCAAACTCACTTTCATACTAAACTTGTTCTCACAATGACAAACTCACTCCCAAGATAATGACATTACTCCATTCATGAGGCCAGAGCCCTCATGAAGTAATCACTTCTTAAAGGTCTTACCTTTCAACACTGTTGTACTGGGGATTAAGTTTTTAATACAACCTTTAGAGAACACATTCAAACCATAGCAAGTATTATTCCTATTTTACAATGATGACCCTAAGAGACGCTAAACAGTTTGTCTAAAGACGCATAGATATGAACGAGCAGAGCCGTGTCTCAGCCCAGATCTTCAAGTGGTTCTGGTTCTGAACTGCTCTCTCTCATTAATTACACCAAATCCTTGAATGAAAATCTCCTCCTCCTCCCACCTGTAGTCAACCCATGGGAGATGGTGAAATGTGACATGTGCATTTGCAAGAATGGTTTTCTTTTGAGTATTAAGTTAGCACGATCTTCACATAATAAATGAAGTTCTATCATCCACAAAGGTTACCATAACAGGCACAATAGTTTTCAGATCAAAAGCAGGAGGGGGAGGGCCCAGAAATCTAATCAAGTATTCACTAAATAAAAAAGAAAACTATAGTCTGGGAAATAGTCCTCAGACATCTTTTTTTAGGGAATTGTGAATGTAAGAAGTCAGACTGAATAGACAGACCGCGGCAAAGTATCAGGATTTCTCAGGGAAGCCCAGTGCTGATGCAGGAAGAAAGTACTCCGACCAGCAAAACCAACTATCTGGGCCACACGGCTGGCCGTGCAGTTCAATAATGTTGGCCATTCACACCATCCACGTGCCTTGCCTTGATCACCAAACAATCTTTTTGACTATCACAGGCTTCCCTCGTGAAGATACATCTGTTCTCTTGAGAATGTGGAGTTTGACAGGTAGGCAGCCTCAAGCAGTCTGTGCAGCCCAGCCCCAAATGTGGGTGCCTGCAGGGCCTGGAGCTCAGGGTCCTAGCGAAAGAATCCCCTGACTAGCAGATATGCATTCCCCAGCCCCCTTGGCAATTTGATCTCTCACTATAAATTAAGCAAATGGCATTCTGAATTATTAATTAGTCTTTTGTGAGCTTGATTAATGTGACTGAGTACCATGGATCTGACAACCTTTAAACGCTCTCCCAAGTCCAGTTTTGGACTCTTCAGTGGGAAAACCATCCCTGAATTGTCATGATAATTTACCTCTTCCCATCCCTCTACCTCCCCACATGAATGCACACACGTATACATATAGATACACACAAACATGTTCACACATATGAAATATATACACACACTCACATGCACACATAGATACACACATATGAGGCCTGTTTGGCCAGATAGTCTCCCTAGATTATGTCATTATCTCATCTTCTCTGTAACTGTAAAATCACACAGTTAAAAAGATACGAAACATTCAAATGTGCTTGTATTTTTCTCCACTCTTGGTGGTTGCCAACGTTTCATAGTGGACAAACAGACTCAATTCAGCCCAAAGTCAGCCCGGGTAAAATAGCAGGGTTTTTTTTCCCCCTAGTTTGGCTCTAGGCTGGTCCTAATAGCAACCAATCAGCAGCAGCTGCTCCTCTTGAAAGCAGGAAGTGAGCAGGGCCACAGGGATCCTGGACAGAGCTGAGAATGAGACAAAGAATGCCTGTTCTTCTCTCCCACCCATACAGCCCTTTCAGCACTTTTCTGCAGAAGCTGAAAATGGCAAAAGGCCAGGCCAGGAGGCCTTTATAAAACCCCCCATTTGATATTGAAAAACATGATACCCAAACACTGGAAAAGCAAATTCTTTGACTGCCATTGCCTCTGCTCCTCATGACTATAACTTCTTTCCAACTCACTCAGAATATAACAGAAAGATTTTACTTGGCCTTCAAGGCCATTGTGAACCAGTCCCCAGCTACTCTCGGACTGTATCCACTACCATTCTCTCCCCCGTGTTCCACTGCAGCCCCACTGGGATCCTCACTCTTCCTCTAATGCACCCGCATCCTGCTTCCTCAAGACCTCCTTCCTTTCTATTCCTCCTGCATGGGATGCTCCTCCCTCACACACATCCACAGGGCTTGCTCCCTCACTTCATTTAGCTCTTTAGCCAAATATCATCTTATCAGAGATACTTTCCTACCATACTTAAAATATACAGCACCCCCTACCTGCTATTACTTTTTAAAAATTTTTTATTTTACTTTATTTTATTATAAAGACAGGGTCTCACTATGTTGCCCACACAGTTCTCAAACTCCTGGCCTCAAGTGACCCTCCCACCTCAGCCTCCCAAAGTGCTGGAATTACAGGTGTCAGCCACTGTGCCCAGCTGGTACTTCTTATTATTCTTTATTCTCTTCTCTGATGTATTTTTCTTCCTAGTTCTTATTCCCCACTGACATACAATACCTGTATTTATTGTCTGTCTTCCTCCACTAGAATGCAGGCTCCTTGAGAGCAGGGATTTTGTTTGATTTAATGACTGCCATTTCCTTAAGGCCTAAATGGTGCCCAACCCATGGTGAACACAACTACAGATGTGCTGAATGATTGGTGCTTCTCCTTCACCACTTTTTCTTTTTCTTAATTATTTTAACCCCTTCCCCCTAAGTTATAAAATCTTAAAGTAGCATGTTGACTCTAGACCGGTATCATTTCTCCTTGAAATCCTTCAAAGAATAAAGTTCTTCATGGTATTGGGGCAACCCAAAATGAAGTCCAGTTAGGTTGAAAAAGAATTTCTCATCATTGGCTACTTCTACAGAAAACCACAAAAGGGGAGATGCTAAGGGGATTCTAAAACCATCCTCGGAGGTAATGACCAAATTCATCTTGGGAAGAGGAATGTGCTTTGGTTGGGAGAATTGCTTTAATGGGCCTTTTAGTTCTGCAGAGAGAAGCCTAACACTTGGGAAGGATAGCAGAGACACAGATAAGGGGTGCAAAATTTTGCTGTCATAAAATTATGAAAGATGTCTATACTGGTAAGAGAGGTGTTTTTAATGTTTGGTGTTTTCTCATTTCATTGCCTGCTCTGAAAAACCAAAGCTTGAGCAGAGGCTAAAACTTACAGAATAATATAAAATGGAGTAGTCTGTTCAATATGCAGGAAAATGGGGTGAAGAAAAGTTCAGAAGGGGCTCCTTACAATGCTGGATGTTTTCCATCGAGCTTCATGTTTATGTATGAAGTTTTATGTATGAAAACTTGCCCTCAGTCACCCCAAGTCTTAAAGAAAAGCCATGTTAACCACTAACGATGGCAGCCTTGTGTTAGCACTGCCTTAAGGAATCAAAGGAGCACCATGTCCATGTTTTGGGATGATGCAGACCAAATGGGCCTAGGGGAACATTAAGAAGTAATGATGAGATGGCTAGGGGTGAGGAGGAGCATTTGGAAGCAGGAGGTCAGAGGTGTTAACCAGGAAAATGTAATTGCCTACAGGAATTCTTGGAAATTTGGGATAGGAAACAGAATGTCTTGCAGTCAACATCACATCAGTATTTAAATAGTAAAAGAAAGGGGACCCTGAAAGAATGGAGGACTTGTAGGCTTTGGGATCACCCTGGGTCACATATTCAGACTTGAATCTTAGAGGTTTTCTAGTTTTCAAACATTATTTGACCATAGAAGGTGTTTTATCAAATAAATTATAATATGGAATCCAATGTGTAATATAGATAAAAATTGAGCTAGTGTGATGAAATGAGATAGGGGTTTGAATGTATGCCCACTTGGCCTTCCTGTTGGATCCCACATTGACCTTCAGGCACCTCCATGGAATTCCAGTACTCAGAAACACAGTTTAAACACCATCTATCTAGAACCTAAAGCAGGAATCCACTCTTTGATATTCCAGACAGTTGATCGTTCTGCCTGAGTGCTCATAACCCACTAAGCAACATGCCCCTTAGCCAGCTGTCACTGATGGGTGTTCTTCCTTCTCTTCAACTGAATTCCTCAACTTCTACCCATTGGTGGGACGTCTACCCACTGCTCTTAGTAGAAAAATCAAACTAAGCTTAATTCCTTCCATGTAACGGCTCTTCAAATCTTTGAAGACCTCTTATATCCTTCCCTAAGGTGTTTTTGTTCCAAGCCAAATAGTCCTCATTCTCTTAACTATTCTCAAACTATTATAAAGCTCATATGTTACTTGGGGATCTGAAATTACTGATATTAATAGTAAAAACAAGTTCAGCATAGAAAGACAGTTCACTTAGGACAAAAACAGGGGCACATGAAAGAGAGGCACACTTCAAGGGTAGTAAAGGAAAATGAGATGCATTATCTCCTGCTCTAAAAACAGCCCAGGATATATGTTCCCTCACGAGCACTGTGACGGGTGGAAATCAACTCCAACTTCACTCAGTTCAGGGATGTGCCTGGACTCACACCCTAGCCCTAGAAGTCACCAAATCAGGGACCTAAAGAGGATGGCTATTGGCAGCAGAGGCATTCAGCTCTTCCTAGTAGTATTCTTGAACCACCCCTTAGCAGCTGGGCTCAGGAATTCAAGCCAAGAAGTACTTAGCGTGAGTTAATTTCACCTGATGTTAACTGGCAATTTGCATGCCTAGAGAGCCACTGAGGCTTGGACAATGACACAGAATCCTTTTTTTTTTTTTTTGAAACAGGGTCTCATTCTGATACCCAGGCTGGATTCCAGTGGCACGAACATGGGACTACAGGTGAGTGCTACTACACCTGGCTAATTTTTTTGTATTTTTAGTAGAGACAGGGTTCACCCCATTGCCCAGGCTGGTCTCAAACTCCTGGGCTCAAGCAATCAGCCTGCCTCAGCCTCCCAAAGTGCAAGGATTATAGGTGTGAGCCACTGTGCCCAGCCCATGGAATCTATTAATTGGCAATAAGTGACATTCTATATTATGGATCCATCAGTTGTTTCAGAGCAGGATATATCTGCCTGTTAGCACTGTTTAGTAAAAATCATTGGATTGATGTTGCACCTGGTTTTGGTAGAGCCTGCAGGAGTGAGGAAGGTGATTTTCAAAGGTTACGCCTATCACATAGCTAGAAAGTGTCTGTGACCAGCTCACCTTCTATGAGAGACCATCACCACCACAGACAAAAGTTGAGCTTCCTGGCATCAAGCTGCAACACACATACACTGCTGGTAGTTAGAGGCCTGGAGACAATGTGCACACTGTGCAGCCCAGTAGTGGGAGGCCAAAGAGGCCTGCGCCTGAGATCTCAGGACCCCTTTCCATGCCTATCCTTCTTCTGTGTGGCTGTACTGTTTCCTCTGCCTGTAATAAAGCTGTTCCACCAATGTAAACTGTTTTGAGTCCTATGTAAACTGTGTGGGTTCTTTCAGCAACTCAACACTTGCGATGATTAATGGGCAATGAGCACAGTGAGGATGAGAAGGGACTTCAGATACAGCCCTCAGAGGCCTTAAGGATGCTTCTGATGGGAGAGTGTTGTGTTTGGACTTTAAGCACACATCTTAGTAAGTGTGTGTGATGAAGTACAATACTTTAATTCTGTTGGACTTTGAGGAAGTACCTCCAGAAAAACAACAGGAACATGTTCTGGTTTGCTCCAGTAGAAAAATATTTCCGACTTTAACAAAGAATATGTCCATCTAATGTTGCCAGGTGTGTTTGCAAAGAGAAATGACCCCAGTGTTAATCCTCATTTCCTCCCCCCCAACAAACTCCTTTATTTTGACCCCATATCTTCTAGAAGCAGAATTGTGTTTCATGTATGATAAAGTATTTTCTCCACAAACAATGTTATAGACTCTTTTGAACTCTCAAACAACCATGTGAAAATAGTGCTGGGCATACATGAATTAAGGTCACATTGCTATTGAAATAAAAATCAAAGTAACCCCATGTCTTCCAAGAGTTATGACAGCACCAACAACAAAACAGAAGCTTAGGAAGGAAGTCAGTTCCGGGGGGGGAAGGGAAAGTGTATATATGCATGCAAGTGTGTGCACACACATAATTCTCACACACCACATATATGTGGGGAAATGATCTATGTAAGGAATGAAGCAAAATATAATCATTCTAATCTTAGGTCAGAATTTGAGCTGTATCTAAATCTGCACTCTGCCACCTGCCAGCTGTGACTGTGAACAAGGTAAATTACTTAACTACTCTGAGACTAGTTTCCTCAGCTATAAAATGGCAACAATTTTTATTCTGCAAGGTTTTGATGAGGACTAAAAGAAAGAATTCATGTGCTGTACCTGTTATTAAATTAATAAACATCATTGACAGATTTCCAGGGGAGCAATTTTGACCAAAATTTGCTGACTTCCTTCCCTCCCTCTGAGGCTCTGTGTTATATGAAGAGGAAGGAAAGAAGGAAGGGAAATGAAAATCAGAGAAGGGCCAAGGAAGAAAAACATTGCTTGACAATTCTCTAATAGAATGTGGAAATTGTATTAATTTAGTTCTACTTGTCTGTACTAGAATAATGCCCAGGGACCAACCAAGAAATCTCCTATCACTCGGCAGACAGAGGCTGTTGACACATGGATCTCCTGACCCCAGAGCCCTACCTTCCACCGTCCCCTTGCCACAGAGTCAGAGACAGGAGGGTCACTCACTGGGGAGTGGAGGGCTGGACTTAGAGGATTTCTGGAGTCCTTTGTCATATCATATAAACTACAAAATGCTGTGCCATTCCACATGCTCATTTAACCTGGTGTTTATAATTATCCTGAGAAAAGACATAACTATAGGATCTGAATTGCCCAAAGCGATTATCTATTAGGGGATCAATCAAGATTCAAACCTGGTTCTTTCCATTATGGTGGTTTTCTCCTTTATTCCAGAGCTGCTTCCAACCTGACGGCAGATGCTGCTGGCACTTGGTCCCCTTCACCCGCGGCTAGCGAGGGTGCATGCGCAGTTGCATTAGACAGTTTTCGACATACCTTCTCAGGTGTCTGTGTTTCTCATTTACTCTTGATGAGGGCTTTCTCAGGACCAGGAAATGCAGCTTGGAAAGTTGGGGGATGGGAATGACTCCAGGCCACCTTCAACAATAGGGGTTGGACAGGAGTTGAGTGTCAGCTTCTGGTATGTTCTGTGTGGTTTCCAGAGGGTCCTCTGGCACAGGAGAGCCCAGCTGCCCACAGTGGTAATAACCCACTCATAACACATGTCCTTTAATGACTTTACCCACTTCCTCAAATGTTCTTCCTGGAATCACCTCCTAGGTAAACAACAGGCACTGAGCCTTGCAGTTGGTCTACTTTTGGAGAAAGCCAAACTGAGATAAATTCTAAAATTCACTTGGTTACACATTCACACCAAAACAACAACAACAACAACAACAACCAGTAATAATGAGCACGGCTGGCTGAGCAGTCAGAACCTGAGGATAACATTTTCAAGGATTGAGAAAGTGAAACTAACATTCTCCACAAAGCAGCAAGTTACTTCTCCAGTTTCACCAAGACTCCATCTTGCCAGCAACTGCTGGAACTGCAATCAGGGTGGTAATGGCCTCCAAGGGCTCTAGTAAGGCAGTTACAGATCCAGTTCAGATTTTCTAGCTATTAAACAAGAGATTTTAGAATATATTCAGAAAGAAGGATATTATTTCTCAATTCAAGAAAATATCTGGGCGGGACACAGTGGCTCACGCCTGTAATCCCAGCACTTTGGGAGGCCGAGACGGGCAGATCAACTGAGGTTAGGAGTTCAAGACCATCCTGGCCAACATGGCAAAACCCCGTCTGAAAAAGAAAATATAAAAATTAGCCAGTTGTAGTGGCGCATGCCTGTAGTCCCAGCTACTCAGGAGGCTGAGGCACGAGAATCGCTTGAACCTGGGAGGCGGAGGTTGCAGTGAGGCGAAATCATGCCACTGTACTCCAGCCTGGGTGACAGCGTGAGGCTCCACCTCAAAAAAAAAAAAGAAAACATCTGAATTCAAGTTTTGAAGTATTTTTTAAAAACTACAAGTATGATCAACACATTTACATTATAGAAGACAAGCACAATCATCTTGACATACATTCTAGATTTATCCACTTTGCACACATATTTTAGAAAGATTTTGAGGGATTCAACATAATATCTTAAAATGACCACTTAATTTTAGTAAAAATAGATTCCCAGCTTCTGTTAATTGACTATAACTATGGTCTGAGAGTGATTAGATTTTAAAGTGTGTGTGTGTGTGTGTAAAATTCTCACAGGAAAATCAATAGTAGTGCACTGCACTGAAGTGTAATGAGTTTTACTCTGCAGTTTGTCCTGCTCCAGAGATGCCAGGCCAGTAAGTTACATGGAGTAAGTTCACATAACACGACTGGCTTTATAGACTCTAACCATTTATTTAACAAAATGGAAATTTCTAATATATAGCACTTTTCTACATTTAAAATTTTAGGGAGGAGAGACTCATGTTCTACAGTATACATTATTACAAAAGAGTTCATTATAAATTTAAATCAGCTGAAACAATTCCTTTAATGATTAGGATTCATCATCCTTTAGTGCAGCGAGGTGACATTTTGTGGAAAGCATCCATGGCTCTTCGTCAGAGATGTCTTACCAGCACAACCTTCCTTCACTCTGACCTGTCCATCAGAGGATTTCCTTTACCAGTAAAACAGATGGAAGTCCATTTTTCTCTTTCGGTTCCCAACTCAAGTGTAGATCTTTTAATTTAGGAAAGAACTCAAACTTATATAAACTAAAGAGTGGAGGTTGTTGTTTTCATTCTGTTTACTCACACACTGCTCTGTAAAGTCAAGGTTTTCTTGTCGATTTTGCTCACATGCTGATTGCTATGCATGCAGCCATCATTAGTGCAAATGCGCGGGAGACTTTTTGAATAATGTATAGCACCTAAAGGAATGAACAGCAGACCCCCCCAAAATTCAAATCGCTGTTCTTGCAAATTCTGAAAGCCAAGGATCACTTGTGCCTTACAGAATCCGGGGGCTCTATCCCCAGGTGCAAAGTACATTTTCCAGGTTTCTCCAGGGCAAAGGCAGGGTGGACACCCTCATTAAACCTGTGCCTGATGATGAAGAGCAACTGCTCGCTCTCTGCGTTGATGAAGATAAGTCTCTGGTTGTTGTAGTCCAGCAGGATGCCCACTCTGGCTGGACGCTCAGTCACATGAACATCACTCACAATACCACTGTAGAAAAATGTGTATCTGAAATGAAAGCGAATGGGAAACATAAAACTCTGGAAATCTCAAGGAATTTGAAAAGGAAAGTCACTTGGGAATAACCAATTCTTCAGTTATTAACTCCACTTCACAATAAGGAGTTGCAATAATGCTGTCCCAAATACTTCACTAGATTTCTTCTAGATGCTAAAATGCAGAGCTTATCCCAACAGATGAGCATGTTTAATAATTTTGCTCCTCCTACATTAGGAGGCAGTCCCAGAATAGCCAACATATGCCTCCCTTGTGATTTATCTCCACATTCTAATTCTCTCCCAGCTGCCCACATGTTTTAACTACCGCATTCATGGCGTGTCATTCTTTTGAATAAAACTCCTTTGAGGCTGCCATGTATTTTTAAAAGTACCGTAAGCTTGCCTTCCATACAATGTATTAATTTTACAGTTTTAAAATTTTATAGGTAACTTACATAAAGGCCTTTATGAAGTTTAAGGAATATTTCATTATTTTGCCAACTTCATCCTTTGTTTCTGCTCCCCCTTCCCCAAACCAACTCTCCTTTTCATTTTCTCAAGGTTTTCTGCAGCCTTGCCACCAGCGGGGTTGCCTTTGATTCCTCTCTTTAATTCAGACAAATTCAACTCAACAACTATTCCTTGTGCATATCCATGTATCCAGCACTTTACTAGGCACTCTGGGGCATGTGAAGGACATGAAGTGCTGTCCTTGCCCTCTGGGATCCCATACTGTATGGAGCAGGAAGGAAAAACTGCCCACATTTGAAACTCGGACCACGGCTGGGAATGCCTCTCAGGGTGTAGATCTTCAAGTGTTTACTAGACACATTTAATGAAGCTGTTTTGGTTGTGAAGGGAAAGGTTCAAGGCCAGGCTGGAAAGGAGAAACTGCTGACCAGAAAAGCTAAATTGCTCTATGTAAAAAAGTAACACAAGTTTGGGGTTTTCTCCCAGTAGTCTTAGAAACTGAGAATGGGGCCCTGAAAGTAGCGGAAGGAGTGGAATGAGAGATGGAAGAAGAGAGATGAGGGAAAGGTCGACGGATGTGTAGGCTGGAGGGGTGGGAGCACAGCAACACCAGGGCAGTTTGGACCTAAGAATCTGGGTAAGCGACGGGTCTGGCAGGGAGGGCTGAGGATCTTCAAGACTTGCAACAACTGTCTTAAGGCTCAGAAGCTCAAGTGCAAGTATTTAGGGGATGGCAAGTTGGCAACTTCATTGCAGAAAGAAGCTCACGTGGAAGGGCAGAGGTTCACGGTGGTGGGGAGATAAGTGAGACTTTTGAGTTGATAAAGGACCTTTTCAATGCCTTGCTAATGAGAGAGATGCCAGAATACTATGATGTTCTGGAACCTGCAAGACAGACTAAACGTTTCAGGTAGCAATGATGGGGACTGGCAGTGTGAGCTGGGCTCTTACAGAAGGCTTTGGGAGCACAGGGCTCACACTCAGCCAGAAAGGACAGGCAGGACTTGAATAGGTGAAAAAGAAGGAGAAAAATCCACACAGTAAGGGCAGCAGCAGTGATGGTAAGGTGGCTGAAGAAGTCCGTATGTGGCAGAGAACATCACCATTGGCCTCTTGGGTTTGGACAGGACATGGGGGTGACTTTTAGGATGTTACGTGGATAAGTAAGTCAGGGGCCAGGCTCTAGACTTGCCCTGTCTAATATAGTAGCCACTAGACATGTGTGGCCACTTCCATTAAAATTAAAGTTAATGGTGGAGAATGGGATAGAGATACTCAGATGTGGAGATAGTGTGGTGGCTTCTCCTTGACAATGAGATAGGAAGGTGCCAGCAGCCAAGAAGGAAAAGGTGACAGACAAGACCAGGAGGGCCATTTGAATAGGGCCTCATATTTCACAGAGGGCTTTATAAATTTGAATTTTTGACATTTCTTTCAGATATGGGCATATATAAAGTCATTGCCTTTGTCACTGCAATTGTGTCTGTTAAAAGAATTACTATGTGAAATGTAAGTCCTTAGAGTAAATTTTAATAACCCTGTTAACTGGCATTTCTTTATTTTTTATAATAGTATTTTGAGAGTTCCCAATTAGTAGAAGAGTCTTGGGTCTCTTTCAACTTCCAAGAGGCCCTAGTCCTGAGAGACAAGGGTGAAGGAGTTCTAGAGGGTCTCACTCCAGTGGTTCCTAGTACATATTTGTGCAATGAATAAATGGATGGTTGGTGAACAGTCCGACAGCAGAGAAGAACCAAAGGGCAAGTGCAAACCAAAGAGTTGGGAATAAGGAGGCATTAAGGTTGGAGAAAATGGGAGCTGTAGTGATCATTAGTATGTACAGGTTGTTAGCAAATTAACCATTTCTAGATTGGAAAATACCTGCATTTTTTATGTTTTGTGCAGCTTATATGAATCTATGTATTCTTACATTTGAATAAACATGAGACATATCACACTTTTCATATATATTTTATCAACATTGCATAGCTGAGAAAATGGCTACATATTAAATTAAAATAAAATATCCTAGTTTTTAAATTTTATTGATCCGTAACGTTGACATGTTTATTTAAATGTAAGAATGAATGCATAATACTAATTGTTGAATAAATGATATAAAATAATGACATCATTTATTATATATTAAAACATGCTCTTCTTATCTTTGTCAGTAGACTATTAGCTTCATGAAGGTAAAACTCTTGGTCTGGGCTGAGTGTGGTGGCTCAGGCCTGTAATCCCAGCACTTTGGGAGGCCAAGGCAGGCAGATACCTTGAGGTCAGGAGTTAGAGACAGACTGGGTAACATGGTGAAAATCTGTTTCTACTAAAAATACAAAAGTTAGCTGGGGGTGGTGCCACGTGCCTATAGCCTTAGCTACTTAGAGGGGTTGATGTGGGAGGATTGCTTGAGCCCAGGAGATCAAGGATGCATGGAGCCATGTTTGCACCACTGTATATACTGTCACACACACAGAACAGAAACTCTTGATCTGTTTGGTACTCTGGTGTATCTCTAGTGCCTAAAAGATAACCTGGCACAGGACAGGTACTCAATAAACATTTGTCGAATGAAAAAAAAAAATTAAAGTTAAACAAAATTTAAAATTCAGTTTTTCAGTCCTACCAGCCACATTTCTAGTGTTTAATAGCCACGTGTGGCACCATTTTTCTATTATTGCAGAAGGTCCTATTGCATAACGCTGGTCTGGAGGGTTCTGAATGCCTAAATGTGTCATTTCTCCTCCCCTGTTTGGAAGGTCCCCGGTCCCTACAGGCCCAGCGTTGGTCATTCCTTGAGCCAATCCCTACCTGGGAGGCCAAGTAGGGAAAGGTATTCCCTGAATCCTTGTCTCCACCAGTTCTGCAGGACACAGAACCTGACCAGCCCTGCTTCTGTCTCCATTTCTGGCCGAGCACACATTCCACTAACCTCAACTCTGGCCTGAAGCCAAGCCTGCCTGCGTGGGGCCTGACTCTCTGCCTGGCTGGCTTTGAACAGAGACCTGGCTGGTCTCTTCAAAAAATAATCATCCAGAAGCCTGGCTCTAAACACTTGCACGATCTTGGAACTGCCTCCCCTCCTCCTGGTGGACTGAGGACCCTTACTCCCTTGAGTCCCACCTCTGGCCCACACTCAGCCCAGACCCCTTTGGACTCTGGTGGTAACTCCCCTCAGGACTCCTTGCCCCAGACTGGCCACATTCTTCCTGGCTGCCCCTCTTCACTGTGTCCTGCAGGTGGTCCCACCCAAGTTCTGACACCACTGTAGATGTTTGTAGATTTTTGAGCAGAAAAGGCAGGGACATGATGAAAATGATGTTTTAGAAATATTTCCCAGTTGCGAGTGGGTAGAGACTAGAAGTGAGGGTGCAGGCTGGGTGGCTGCTGCTGAAACTGCAGAGGAGGTGCGGAAGCCTTGAGCTAGCATGGCAAGTTTAGGAATGGACAGGAAGGAAACCAGCAGACTCTCCTGAGATGATCTTCACGCCTCCTTCCCAATTGTGACATCTGAAAACCTAGATTCTGTGAGTAGAATCAAGAGTGATGTAGGTTGATTTAAAATCATTAAACCAGAAAAAGTAGAAGACAGGAGGGGCTGCCACAGGAGCGTTCTCAGAGTCCCAGAGGCCAGGGTGCCCCATGTGAAGCCCTCGAAGGATGACATGAGGGCCCTGAGACCCTACCTGTCAGTGCTGAGACCACACAAAGGGACACACTCTTTCTCCCAGAATCTATGGCACCCACTCCAAGCCTGAAAGAGCCAAAGGCCAAAGCTGTAGGTTGAACTGGTCAACAAAATACATAATTTTGTCTTCTAGAGCCTAGGAATTTGTTATTGGAGGTTAGCCCTTGGTGTGGGCTTTTTAAAGATTTGAGGGTGTACAGACATTTTCATGAAATTAATATGTAGTTTCAGCTCTGAATCTACTAACTGTAAACTGAGTTTGAGTGATTTCAAACTCTGGGTAGGGGCTGGGTCCTTATGCATTGCACAGCACTGAATATCAATTAATCATAATTGCTCTGACTTGACGAAACGTGACTTTAAGTAGTGCTTGGAGATGGTGTCCTTATGAACCATCTCAGAGAATCAAACTGTCAAGTAGGATGCAGGGAGAAATGTGCAGCCAGAGATATGCAAAATCCCAATCTGTGGGCCTTTTCTGGGAACTTGCAAGCATTGAAGGCTTCTTTTTAAAGGATTACATTTGAATAATGCCTCACATTTGTATGATACTTTACCGTTCCTAAGCTCTTCCCTGTACCTGATTTCATGTGATCCTCACAGCCCCACAAGGTAGCAAGCCAGGCATTACTGTCCCCTGCTGAGCTAGATGATTTAAGGTATGCTCAAAGGGTTAACCCACTTATGGCAAACAGCCAACAGGAGGCTAATTGAGGATGGAGCCAGACCTCAAACTGGATTCCTGGCTCCTAGTCCAGTGTTCTTTCTATTAAACCATACTGTGAGCATATTCAGATCATAATATACCTGCCTGATCGCTCTGAGACTAACACAGGCTAACGGCTTTTTCACATCAACCAACCAAACAATACAGGTAATATAGAACAGAGATTGGCAAACTTTTTCTGTAAAGGGACAGATGTAAATATCCTAGGATTTGACAGACATCTGTCACCTCTGCCACTGTAGTGTAATACAATACATAAACAAAAGAGCATGACTGTGTTTCTGCAATTTTATTTACACAGACAGGCAGCGGGTTCTATGTGGCCTATGGGCTATAGTTTGCCAACCCCCGATATGGACCAATGTGGAGGGAGGTGTTGGAGATCCACTTCTTCCTCACTCCTGTTGATTCCTTCTCTGTGGAGGGACTCCTTTTAGCATTACCCTTGTGGTCTCTCTCCACCCTGTGGTGAGTTCAGAAGGAAAAACTGTGATGCAAAACCCAGCTGCCCCTCCCTCTTCCCTATCTCTTACCCACTAGCTACCAGGGAGACATACATCCTTCTCTGCTTCTCCAGGCACCAACTCTGCCCTGCAGAGCAAGGAAGCTGACCTGGCCCAGGCTCTGGTTGGGTAAGTCTGCCTCATAATAGGGTTTAATATAAGAAACCCTCTTCAGGTATGATTCACACACTCTAAAATCAGCTTCCTCAGTAATCAGAGTCAGAGTTTCATCTCCATATACTTGACTCTTGTTTTCTTTCTTAGTTGGCTCAGAAGTTGAGCATGGAAGTGGGTGCTATTTATCAGGTCCCTCAGAGAGCCCTGCCTGGACACCCAAGCATAATATTTTGATGAAGAGGGGAGGGGAAGGGCTCGCTTACCTCTGTGGCTCAGAGCAGTGCATGTACCATGAGGTCTCCCCTTGTCCTAGGGCACCTGCCTGCACAGCCGAGCTGGAGCAGATGCCGAGTCGATATGCTGGGCAGTCTGTGACTGTGGTTTCCCAGTAATGCTGGCCACAGGAAGGCAGCTCCTCACCCAGCACTGACGGGATTCTGTGGGTGAAGTCAATCAGAGTATGCTCAGTGCAGGAATCGCCGGCCTGTATCTCATAAGCATAAACATTCACAAACTCACACAGTTTAGGCAGGATTCTGCCCTTGGAAACTGCTGGAATTTAACTAAAGATACTCTGTTCATTGTATCCCTAACCTTAACCAGATCACCACAGAACTCTCCAAACTCTCAACAGGCATTTGACATATTGCCAGTCACATACATACAACATGCATGTTGTACACTGCAACTCTTAAAAGAGCTGGGAATCAGGAAATAACTAGAATAATGGTAGGACAAAAAGAAATGCTGCAGTCTCTGCCTTTAAGGTGACTTCTCTTCATAAATACAAGGGAAGCAGGTAGGAAACATAATTTGCATAGTTTTCTTCCAAAACTTGCAAAAAAAGAAATCTCCAAAACTTTAACCATGAGTTCTATGCCTCCTGACCTTACTGGACACAGCCACCAAATGAGGTGCAGCTCTTAAATGACAAGGTAGCTAGTGCTGGCCAGTGCCAAGTGTGGAATTAACTGAGTATAATTAGCGGTCAACAGTCTGCAAGATTCTGGCCTCTTTGAACTGTAGTAGGTGCCCTTAAGAGGTTGGTTGAAGGTTTCTTTTTGTCTCACCTTA
Organism: Homo sapiens; assembly: GCF_000001405.40. Lineage (NCBI taxonomy): Eukaryota > Metazoa > Chordata > Mammalia > Primates > Hominidae > Homo > Homo sapiens. Next base: position 79,792,799 of record NC_000005.10, on the reverse strand, counting down.
GCTATTTTTATAAGCACCTTAGTGAAATGAACCAAAAGCACTTTCAACTGCTGATGGGTGACCTTGTTTGCAAGAATTGCTCAATTTTGCTTGGAAATGGCTGAGACAGCAAGGAAGCATTTTTAATTTAAGCAGTGTTAATATTCAGTCAGCACTCTCTCCCTCTCCCCTTTAACAGATGAGAAAATGATTAATGCAAGGGAATGTATTCCACTTTTCATGTCTTTACTCAACCTCATTTCAGAGAGGTGGCTACTGACAAGCCCTCACTCTGGAGCAAGGCCCAGCTGTCTGATATTTATGACCTGATTTTCAGGTTAATAATAAATAAAATTCTATAAAACACATTACAGTTATCATCAGTTATTATCTGTGAACTCTTACCCTCCTCCAGTCTATTTATTTTCTTTTTGATGTTTTGAGGAATCCAAAAGACAGAAAAGCTCAATCTATTTCTTCAATCTATTTTTTCCCTGAATTCACTCATTTGTATATTTTTTAGCCCCTGCAATGTTCCAGGCCCCATGCTAGATTTGAGGGATTCAAAGATACACAAGACAGGGCTGCTGCTTGAAGATGATGATGAGTAAGTGGCTGACAAATGACCCCACAAGTTATCTGTTCTTTTACACAGGTAAGATCAAAGGGTGCCAGGGTCCAGAGAAGCCTTGGCCAGAACTAGGAGCAGGTAACACCTGAGCTTGGCCACAGACAGGCAAGTAGCAATGTGACAGGGAAATAGTGAAAGTCACTGCTGGCTGGCTCAGTGCCTTCTTGGGAGCACCTGCCAGCCACCGACACCAGGGCACAGCAGCACCATCAGCAGCCTGTGTTTCCCGTGTGTTACAGTTTTCAAGAGTTTCACATACCTTCTCCCATTTTGCCATTTTGTTCTGCAAAATAACCCCCAGAGCTTGCAGGCAAATTGCAGGGCAGTTTCCTCCACCCTATCCTCCGCCTTTGCCTCTTCTTTTCTTTGATGCTTCCTTTTGCGGGAGCTACTACGGAAGCAAGATTCTGTGGCCAGAAACTAGGAACTCAATAAACTGTCCTTCTCTTCTATGCCTTTTTTTTTTTTTTTTTTTTGAGACAGAGTCTCACTCCCAGGCTGGAGTGCAATGGCACAATCTCAGCTCACTGCAACCTCCACCTCCGAGGTTCAAGTGATTCTCCTGCCTCAGCCTCCGAGTAGCTGAGATTACAGGCGTGCACCACCACACCTGGCTAATTTTTGTATTTTTAGTAGAGATGGAGTCTCACCATGTTGGCCAGGCTGGTCTCAAACTCCTGAACTCAAATGATCTGCCTGCCTTGGCCTCCCAAAGTGCTGGGATTACAGGAGTGAGCCACTGTGCCCAGCCTCTTCTATGCCTTTTCAAGAGGGTTGATAAAATATCTGGTTTGCTATAGAAAAATAATAAAAGAATTACTGGACCCTTTTTTTCCCCCACTGAACCAGAGATCATACCTTAAAATAGCCAATGTTTTAACCAAACCATCTGTGCTTATATTTCCAATAAAAATATTGACACTTGCTCCAAGTGATGAACTATCGCTCGGTAGGGAACCACAGCCGAACAGTGTGGATGTGCACACATTGATATTTGAGACCACATCCCGACATGTTCACTGCACCATGAATATGCTCAGCGGAGGCCACCCTGAGGCGACACACCCTAAGACCCTACTGCTGGGCCATCAGCCCACTTGTGCTTTCTTCTTCTACTTACTCCGTCAGCCGTCTCCTCTCACCAAAGCTGATCACTGTCCCACTTGAGGAAATGTGTAGAGCAGGATGAGCTGTTTCTCTCAACAAGAGAAATCTGGTTCCTATTGCAGGTGAGAAAATAGTATTAAAACATTGCCACAAGGACCAGTGCTGTCCCTAGGCTAAGCCCCACATTTCAGACCCTAGACTCTTTCCCCTGACGTCAAAATCCCCCACGAAGTGTCTTCAGATCCACAGCTGAAAACTTCACTCATGATAAGGCCTTCGTGGATGCCGGTGGCTGGTTACCTCTACGTGGTGCCATAGGCACGTCCTCACGGTGTACCCTCTATTAGTGCTCATCTGCTGTGCAGTGTGCTCCTTGCACCAGCAGCATCTACATCACCTGGAAACTAGTTACAAATTCAGACTCTCGGACCCCACCGCAGCCCTCCTGACTTCAAATCTGTATTTTAACAAGATCCTCAGGAAATCTGTGTGCATATTAAAATTGGGGGATACAGGCCGGGTGAGGTGGCTCACGCCTGTAATCCCAGCACTTTGGGAGGCCAAGGTGGGCAGATCACAAGGTCAGGAGCTCGAGACCAGCCTGGCCAACATGGTGAAACCCCGTCTCTACCAAAAATACAAAAAATTAGCCAGGCATGGTGGTGCGCACCTGTAATCCCAGCTACTCAGGAGGCTGAGACAGGAGAGTAGCTTGAACCCAAGAGGCAGAGATTGCAGTGAGCCGAGATCGTGCCATTGCACTCCAGCCTGGGCAACAGAGCAAGACTCCATTCGAGAAAAAAAAAAATGGGGGATGCACCGATATAACCTAAAGGAGAGACTCTAACAATGGAAGGACAGGCACCATATTGGGACTGTGGGGAGAACACTGCTGGGAAGACAGCCCTCGCATCTTCTCTTCATAAACATCAGGCTGGCCCTGACTATCTTACAAACGAGGCAAAAGCACAAGATGTTTCTGGGTAAGCCGATCGCTTGTTGCGCCCACTCAACCTTGTGCCAGCTCTGTGTCTAGGATAAGATAATAAAATGGTCCTCTTTCCATTCCTCACTTCCTTTCACAAAAATTGCAGAGACAAACATTTTTTGTTGGCATCATCTAGGTATTTTCCCAAAAATGTCATTGAATAGTTTTATCACTTCCTTGAATTACTCTTTTGGTCATTCATTCAACAAACATTAACTATCACAAATTATGTGCCAGGCATCAAGAATAAACAGAACAAGGCTGGTAACTTGTTCACAGAGTTCAAAGAATATCCCCAACCTACCACACATACACACACCATATCCACAAATTATAACACATTGTGAGTCTGATAAAAATCATCTGGAGAGGCCAGGCATGGTGGCTCACACCTGTAATCCCAGAACTTTGGGAGGCTGAGGCGGGCAGATCACCTGAGGTCAGGACTTTGAGACCAGCCTGGCCAACATGGCAAAAACCATCTCTACTAAAACAATCCAAAAATTAGCCAGGCATGGTGGACGTGCCTGTAATTCCAGCTACTTGAGAGGCTGAGGCATGAGAATCACTTGAACCTAGGAGGCAGAGGGTGCAGTGAGCCAAGATCATGCCACTTCACTCTAGCCTAGGCGACAGAGTGAGACTCTGTCTCAAAAAAAAAAAAATCATCTAGAGAGATTTCTAAAAACATAAATGTTTGAGCCCATCTCCAGATCAATTAAATCAGGATCTTCAGGAGTGGAGGCAGGGAAACAGTATTTTTTAAGCACCCTGGCTGATTGCTAACAGGTAGCCAAGGCTGAGAACCTGTAAAGCAGAAAAACAAAAGAAATATCTTGACCTTTGACCAACCTTGGGTCCTCATGACAAAAACCTACCACTGACAGTAGGTTGGGAGTTTATAAAGTTGCCCTCTAGGACATCTTCTCTGAGGGGTGGAAGGGAAGAAATAGCTTGGAAATAGCTCACTGTGTGCAAAGGAGAAAGTACCTCTGGTGGAGATGAGAGCAGCTTCACTCTGTTCACTTGTCCCAAATGCATTGATGGCCCTCACATAGAAAAAGTAGTTATCATTGGGTTGGAGGTTAACTTTCAGCTGGAGTCCTTTGATTCCAGAGAAAGATCTAAATACAAGAGGAAAATAATAATTTTAAACATAATGCCACATGCTAAATGATTCCTATTTCAATTTGGTAGTGAATGAACATCTTTTATTAGCAACAAATAACTTATTTTCTTCCCCTTTTATGACCACTGGATTAGCAAGCCAGGTCCTACAAAATGGCCATTGTCCACTAAGATTACTTTATCAAATAATTTCTATTATGTGCCTTCCAGAATGCTCTTTGCAACAGAACCAGACACTTAAAAAAATTCAGAAAACAGACTACTCTTGTGGTTAGTGAATCTCCAAGAATATATCATTTTCTTTATCAATTTCTGGCCAGAGGGCACTTTTGGATTAAGATGATATTAAACCAATCTACGATGATTTTGTACATGATCATCATGCTAAAGCCACCAAAGTTAATAGAAACCAAAGATCTTTAAAGAAGATGAAATCTTTTAAAGCAAACTCGATCTTGGCAAGAAAAGAGAATTCTAATTGCAAAAAAAAAAAAAAAAAATTCTCAAAGTTGCTGTTCCTAAATTGCCTATTTAAATTAAAAGAAAAATGCTGATAGTGGTGTCTAATTGGCAGTGGGCTTGGCAAGTACACTGTTAACAGCCCCACCACTTAATACAAATGGACTTGCTGGATTTGAAGACGGAGCTCTCTGAATCTGCCAACAAGCTAGAATAGTTTTGTGCTTCTTTCCTATTCTCTTTAATCTGTTTGATATCATAGCCTAGAGCATGAATTAAGAAAAAAAAAAAAAAAGCAAGCAGGGCTCTTTCTTTAAACCTCCATTTGGAGAGTCCTTAGAGTTACAAGTTAGATTCCTTGCTAATGAAAGTTCCTAACCTGGGTGCTGGAGAGCCAGAGTCCTGCAAGGAGATATAATTGTCAATGAATACAATAGTACAATAGCCTTCATGTTCATTCTCAGAAGGGTAGGGTTTTTTGTTTGTCTTTGTTTTTTTTTGTTATTGATGAATATACCACAAAAGCATCAGAATCCAAGAGTGGTCACTGTTCATCCACAGATGAATTTTTTTCCAGGTTATTTCTACTTTTGCTGACTTATTTCACTTCCTAATACCTGTCTTAGAGAATAACATGGAGAACCAGAAAAACGAAAAAATGTTCTTGGCCCAGAAAACAAACAAATTTCAAACTTCTTAAAAGCAAAACATTTGTACAGAATAACCACCCCACCCTGACCCCATGTCTAAAAGGACAAAACTCATGTTGTGCTCCTCAGAAGGCAGGGGTAAGGGGACACCCTGGACCTGCTTGTGTAACTGCTGTTTAGTGCCAATGTCTGGAAAAGGTCAGTGCAAACTCCTTGAATCATATTGGTTGTTATTTTAGAACTGATCACCTGACCAGGCCCTCAGGAGAGGACTGTCCTTAGATACACTCAGACTGGATCAATGACACTGAGTCCCACGTCCACTGACAACTAATTAGGCTTCAGTTAATTAATGAAAAACCATGTCCTATGATTGAGAATGTAATTTCTGACTAATATCTAGAATATTATTCTGGGGTAGATGTATTGCTTATCTTATTGGAATTGATGACTGAAGAAATGTTTTAAATGAACATTAATTATAATTAGTAACAAAATTATTGTCTCACTAAGCATAGTCAGCCTGAACTGAATTTCAGACTTCATTTGCTCCCTAAATAAATATGTATTGATCACTTATCATGTGCCCAGGCCCTGTCTCTGCCTGTTATTCTGAGGGCTTGTTGAGGAGGCGGGGGTGGGAAGGGGAAAAGTGACAAGGATTGGTGGGGAAATTTTAGCTTTAGAGACAAAGACAACACACTGGCTTCATTTTATAACAACACAGTTGTTAAACAGCAAGGATACTGTTTTGTAGGTAAGTGTTTGCCCTTAAGATGATGAAGTCTGTCAAGGAGAAAATTCCACATATATAGTCAACTGCATGCTCTGTCTCATTGCTCATTTAAAGAATAAAGGTTTACATGGTACTGAAGTCAAAATATGGGATCCGTCCTGCTTTCAGTGCATGAAACAGGTCAGGCAGATTTGACAAATGTGCACAATGTCCTCATTGAATCTGTGAAATAAAAGCAGCAGGCACGCAAACAAAAGTAATACGAAATGTGGTGGTGTTTTATTGTATACAAGTTGCCACCTTATGCTCAAGCACCAAGAACAAAGCAAAAAAGGTTAGAACAAATGGTTCGTTTCCTTGTCTACTTATTCTGACTCCACTCAGATGTCACCAAAGTCTTCATGTCAGCTGTCCCTGCTTTTTAGCCTAACAAAAACTTCAAAAATTCTGGAATTTGAGATCTAAAGAGTAGCACTCTTCCAGAGATTATGATTTTTTTAATTTTAGAAACAAAAATTTGTCCTAATTGTAACTAAGTCCATATGACTTATAACAAGCATTGCATAGTTTGCAGTAGAATTCAAGTTCACAGAATACCCAAACTAAGGTGAGTGATCAGACAGCAAATGAGGCCACGATTGTTGGTACTTAGTTGGTGCTTAGGGATTTTATACCAGTAAATAACACGACTGATGTGACTATGATTGGAAGTCTACAGCCAATAATAAAATTTGAAAGACAATTAGAAATTTGACTCAAATGGTCTCATTTTGGGCCCTAAGTGTGGGATCCTCCCTACAAGTGCCATAGTGCAATGGAAAGAGATGGCTTTATGTGTGGAAGTCCCAGAGACGTGAGGGCAGTGAGCAGCGCAGCACCTAGAGCCTCTGAGCAGCAGCCATGAAGTCGATTGCTGGTGGATGATAAGCTCCAGTGGAGCTGAAACTTATCACAGAGCATTGTGCCCAGCAGGCTTCAGAGGCCTCTCAACCTGCTCATCTCACCCTTGGTAGCTCCACTGCTACAAAGCAGAGAGAAATGACTTAGAGGAGACTCACTGTCTCCTCAGAAGGCCTTGGGCTGCTCTGCGAATGAGAGATGGTCTCTTTCTCTGTTGTTTCAGAGGAAAATGAGTGGAAGCCCCCAGCAGCTGATGCTTGTGAGGACAGCCTCTCTAGCTTGGGCCCTTTTATTCTTGAGTTTTGGCAAGGAGCAACTGGAAAGTTTGCCATGACTAAGGTGCACAATGGGGTCAGAATCATTTTTGGTAGGAATTGAAAAGGATTTTTACGAAGTAAAAAATAATTGGGGTCATAATGGTTAAGGGGGATATTAAAAGCATTCCCATTAAGTCAGAGAGAAACATGAGGTTAAAAACACTGGGAGGGAGGAGGTAAAATTACTACCATTTGCAGATGATGGGACCATTTATCTAGAGAACCCAAGAAAATCAGTTGAAAAACTCTTACATAATAAGAGAATTCAGTAAGATGGCTAGATATAAAACTGATACAAGAAATCAAAAGCCTTTATATACAAATAACAACTAGATAGGAGATAAAATGAAAAATCTTATTTAGAATAGTGACAGACATAAAAATATATAAAGATATAAGATCTATATAAAGAACATTTTTTAAGATGCTACTGAGGGAAACAAAAAAAGACTTGAGTGAAGGGAAAGGCACATCAGTTCTTGGATAGGAAAATGCAACATCATAAAAATTTCAATTCTCCCTAAGTTAATCTATAAATTTAACATGATCTCTAAAAATAACAAATAGTCAGGAGCAGGCTGATGGAGGAGGCTACGCATCCTGATTCTAAAGATCATATCAAATACAAACTAGCAAATAGAAAAAAAAAGTCAGGAAGCGGCAACCTAATCTACCAGGAATTCTAAATTATAAAGCTACAATAATAAAACCAGTATGGTCCTGGGGCATAAATAGATGGATCAATAGACAGATTATAAAGGTCAGGAATAGACCCAAACATATAGTCTCTTGAGTGTATAATAATGGAAGTATTTCAGATCAGAAGGGAAAATGATGGGTTTTCCTGATGGGACAGCTAGATAGCCATACTAAAAAAAAAAAAAAAGTAGGATTTCCTACTTCACACAATCTACTGAGATAAATTCCAGATGATAAAATACCTAGTTTTTAAAAATGAAATTACTGGGAGCCAAGATGGCCGAATAGGAACAGCTCCGGTCTACAGCTCCCAGCGTGAGCGACGCAGAAGACGGGTGATTTCTGCATTTCCATCTGAGGTACCGGGTTCATCTCACTAGGGAGTGCCAGACAGTGGGCGCAGGCCAGTGTGTGCGCGCACCGTGAGCGAGCCGAAGCAGGGCGAGGCATTGCCTCACCTGGGAAGCGCAAGGGGTCAGGGAGTTCCCTTTCCGAGTCAAAGAAAGGGGTGACGGACGCACCTGGAAAATCGGGTCACTCCCACCCGAATATTGCGCTTTTCAGACCGGCTTAAGAAACGGCGCACCACGAGACTATATCCCACACCTGGCTCAGAGGGTCCTACGCCCACGGAATCTCGCTGATTGCTAGCACAGCAGTCTGAGATCAAACTGCAAGGCGGCAGCGAGGCTGGGGGAGGGGCTCCCGCCATTGCCCAGGCTTGCTTAGGTAAACAAAGCAGCCGGGAAGCTCGAACTGGGTGGAGCCCACCACAGCTCAAGGAGGCCTGCCTGCCTCTGTAGGCTCCACCTCTGGGGGCAGGGCACAGACAAACAAAAAGACAGCAGTAACCTCTGCAGACTTAAGTGTCCCTGTCTGACAGCTTTGAAGAGAGCAGTGGTTCTCCCAGCACGCAGCTGGAGATCTGAGAACGGGCAGACTGCCTCCTCAAGTGGGTCCCTGACCCCTGACCCCCGAGCAGCCTAACTGGGAGGCACCCCCCAGCAGGGGCACACTGACACCTCACACGGCAGGGTATTCCAACAGACCTGCAGCTGAGGGTCCTGTCTGTTAGAAGGAAAACTAACAACCAGAAAGGACATCTACACCGAAAACCCATCTGTACATCACCATCATCAAAGACCAAAAGTAGATAAAACCACAAAGATGGGGAAAAAACAGAACAGAAAAACTGGAAACTCTAAAATGCAGAGCGCCTCTCCTCCTCCAAAGGAACGCAGTTCCTCACCAGCAACGGAACAAAGCTGGATGGAGAATGATTTTGACGAGCTGAGAGAAGAAGGCTTCAGACGATCAAATTACTCTGAGCTACGGGAGGACATTCAAACCAAAGGCAAAGAAGTTGAAAACTTTGAAAAAAATTTAGAAGAATGTATAACTAGAATAACCAATACAGAGAAGTGCTTAAAGGAGCTGATGGAGCTGAAAACCAAGGCTCGAGAACTACGTGAAGAATGCAGAAGCCTCAGGAGCCGATGCGATCAACTGGAAGAAAGGGTATCAGCAATGGAAGATGAAATGAATGAAATGAAGCGAGAAGGGAAGTTTAGAGAAAAAAGAATAAAAAGAAATGAGCAAAGCCTCCAAGAAATATGGGACTATGTGAAAAGACCAAATCTACGTCTGATTGGTGTACCTGAAAGTGATGTGGAGAATGGAACCAAGTTGGAAAACACTCTGCAGGATATTATCCAGGAGAACTTCCCCAATCTAGCAAGGCAGGCCAACATTCAGATTCAGGAAATACAGAGAACGCCACAAAGATACTCCTCGAGAAGAGCAACTCCAAGACACATAATTGTCAGATTCACCAAAGTTGAAATGAAGGAAAAAATGTTAAGGGCAGCCAGAGAGAAAGGTCGGGTTACCCTCAAAGGAAAGCCCATCAGACTAACAGCGGATCTCTCGGCAGAAACCCTACAAGCCAGGAGAGAGTGGGGGCCAATATTCAACATTCTTAAAGAAAAGAATTTTCAACCCAGAATTTCATATCCAGCCAAACTAAGCTTCATAAGTGAAGGAGAAATAAAATACTTTATAGACAAGCAAATGCTGAGAGATTTTGTCATCACCAGGCCTGCCCTAAAAGAGCTCCTGAAGGAAGCGCTAAACATGGAAAGGAACAACCGGTACCAGCCGCTGCAAAATCATGCCAAAATGTAAAGACCATCGAGACTAGGAAGAAACTGCATCAACTAATGAGCAAAATCACCAGCTAACATCATAATGACAGGATCAAATTCACACATAACAATATTAACTTTAAATATAAATGGACTAAATTCTGCAATTAAAAGACACAGACTGGCAAGTTGGATAAAGAGTCAAGATCCATCAGTGTGCTGTATTCAGGAAACCCATCTCACGTGCAGAGACACACATAGGCTCAAAATAAAAGGATGGAGGAAGATCTACCAAGCCAATGGAAAACAAAAAAAGGCAGGGGTTGCAATCCTAGTCTCTGATAAAACAGACTTTAAACCAACAAAGATCAAAAGAGACAAAGAAGGCCATTACATAATGGTAAAGGGATCAATTCAACAAGAGGAGCTAACTATCCTAAATATTTATGCACCCAATACAGGAGCACCCAGATTCATAAAGCAAGTCCTGAGTGACCTACAAAGAGACTTAGACTCCCACACATTAATAATGGAAGACTTTAACACCCCACTGTCAACATTAGACAGATCAACGAGACAGAAAGTCAACAAGAATACCCAGGAATTGAACTCAGCTCTGCACCAAGCAGACCTAATAGACATCTACAGAACTCTCCACCCCAAATCAACAGAATATACATTTTTTTCAGCACCACACCACACCTATTCCAAAATTGACCACATAGTTGGAAGTAAAGCTCTCCTCAGCAAATGTAAAAGAACAGAAATTATAACAAACTATCTCTCAGACCACAGTGCAATCAAACTAGAACTCAGGATTAAGAATCTCACTCAAAGCCGCTCAACTACATGGAAACTGAACAACCTGCTCCTGAATGACTACTGGGTACATAACGAAATGAAGGCAGAAATAAAGATGTTCTTTGAAACCAACGAGAACAAAGACACCACATACCAGAATCTCTGGGACGCATTCAAAGCAGTGTGTAGAGGGAAATTTATAGCACTAAATGCCTACAAGAGAAAGCAGGAAAGATCCAAAATTGACACCCTAACATCACAATTAAAAGAACTAGAAAAGCAAGAGCAAACACATTCAAAAGCTAGCAGAAGGCAAGAAATAACTAAAATCAGAGCAGAACTGAAGGAAATAGAGACACAAAAAACCCTTCAAAAAATCAATGAATCCAGGAGCTGGTTTTTTGAAAGGATCAACAAAATTGATAGACCGCTAGCAAGACTAATAAAGAAAAAAAGAGAGAAGAATCAAATAGACACAATAAAAAATGATAAAGGGGATATCACCACCGATCCCACAGAAATACAAACTACCATCAGAGAATCCTACAAACACCTCTACGCAAATAAACTAGAAAATCTAGAAGAAATGGATACATTCCTGGACACATACACTCTCCCAAGACTAAACCAGGAAGAAGTTGAATCTCTGAATAGACCAATAACAGGCTCTGAAATTGTGGCAATAATCAATAGTTTACCAACCAAAAAGAGTCCAGGACCAGATGGATTCACAGCCGAATTCTACCAGAGGTACAAGGAGGAACTGGTACCATTCCTTCTGAAACTATTCCAATCAATAGAAAAAGAGGGAATCCTCCCTAACTCATTTTATGAGGCCAGCATCATTCTGATACCAAAGCCGGGCAGAGACACAACCAAAAAAGAGAATTTTAGACCAATATCCTTGATGAACATTGATGCAAAAATCCTCAATAAAATACTGGCAAACCGAATCCAGCAGCACATCAAAAAGCTTATCCACCATGATCAAGTGGGCTTCATCCCTGGGATGCAAGGCTGGTTCAATATACGCAAATCAATAAATGTAATCCAGCATATAAACAGAGCCAAAGACAAAAACCACATGATTATCTCAATAGATGCAGAAAAAGCCTTTGACAAAATTCAACAACCCTTCATGCTAAAAACTCTCAATAAATTAGGTATTGATGGGACGTATTTCAAAATAATAAGAGCTATCTATGACAAACCCACAGCCAATATCATACTGAATGGGCAAAAACTGCAAGCATTCCCTTTGAAAACTGGCACAAGACAGGGATGCCCTCTCTCACCACTCCTATTCAACATAGTGTTGGAAGTTCTGGCCAGGGCAATCAGGCAGGAGAAGGAAATAAAGGGTATTCAATTAGGAAAAGAGGAAGTCAAATTGTCCCTGTTTGCAGACGACATGATTGTTTATCTAGAAAACCCCATCGTCTCAGCCCAAAATCTCCTTAAGCTGATAAGCAACTTCAGCAAAGTCTCAGGATACAAAATCAATGTACAAAAATCACAAGCATTCTTATACACCAACAACAGACAAACAGAGAGCCAAATCATGAGTGAACTCCCATTCACAATTGCTTCAAAGAGAATAAAATACCTAGGAATCCAACTTACAAGGGATGTGAAGGACCTCTTCAAGGAGAACTACAAACCACTGCTCAAGGAAATAAAAGAGGACACAAACAAATGGAAGAACATTCCATGCTCATGGGTAGGAAGAATCAATATCGTGAAAATGGCCATACTGCCCAAGGTAATTTACAGATTCAATGCCATCCCCATCAAGCTACCAATGACTTTCTTCACAGAATTGGAAAAAACTACTTTAAAGTTCATATGGAACCAAAAAAGAGCCCGCATCGCCAAGTCAATCCTAAGCCAAAAGAACAAAGCTGGAGGCATCACACTACCTGACTTCAAACTATACTACAAGGCTACAGTAACCAAAACAGCATGGTACTGGTACCAAAACAGAGATATAGATCAATGGAACAGAACAGAGCCCTCAGAAATAATGCCGCATATCTACAACTATCTGATCTTTGACAAACCTGAGAAAAACAAGCAATGGGGAAAGGATTCCCTATTTAATAAATGGTGCTGGGAAAACTGGCTAGCCATATGTAGAAAGCTGAAACTGGATCCCTTCCTTACACCTTATACAAAAATCAATTCAAGATGGATTAAAGATTTAAACGTTAGACCTAAAACCATAAAAACCCTAGAAGAAAACCTAGGCATTACCATTGAGGACATAGGCGTGGGCAAGGACTTCATGTCCAAAACACCAAAAGCAATGGCAACAAAAGCCAAAATTGACAAATGGGATCTAATTAAACTAAAGAGCTTCTGCACAGCAAAAGAAACTACCATCAGAGTGAACAGGCAACCTACAACATGGGAGAAAATTTTCGCAACCTACTCATCTGACAAAGGGCTAATATCCAGAATCTACAATGAACTCAAACAAATTTACAAGAAAAAAACAAACAACCCCATCAAAAAGTGGGCGAAGGACATGAACAGACACTTCTCAAAAGAAGACATTTATGCAGCCAAAAAACACATGAAGAAATGCTCATCATCACTGGCCATCAGAGAAATGCAAATCAAAACCACTATGAGATATCATCTCACACCAGTTAGAATGGCAATCATTAAAAAGTCAGGAAACAACAGGTGCTGGAGAGGATGTGGAGAAATAGGAACACTTTTACACTGTTGGTGGGACTGTAAACTAGTTCAACCATTGTGGAAGTCAGTGTGGCGATTCCTCAGGGATCTAGAACTAGAAATACCATTTGACCCAGCCATCCCATTACTGGGTATATACCCAAATGACTATAAATCATGCTGCTATAAAGACACATGCACACGTATGTTTATTGCGGCACTATTCACAATAGCAAAGACTTGGAACCAACCCAAATGTCCAACAATGATAGACTGGATTAAGAAAATGTGGCACATATACACCATGGAATACTATGCAGCCATAAAAAATGATGAGTTCATGTCCTTTGTAGGGACATGGATGAAATTGGAAACCATCATTCTCAGTAAACTATCGCAAGAACAAAAAACCAAACACCGCATATTCTCACTCATAGGTGGGAATTGAACAATGAGATCACATGGACACAGGAAGGGGAATATCACACTCTGGGGACTGTGGTGGGGTCGGGGGAGGGGGGAGGGATAGCATTGGGAGATATACCTAATGCTAGATGACACGTTAGTGGGTGCAGCGCACCAGCATGGCACATGTATACATATGTAACTAACCTGCACAATGTGCACATGTACCCTAAAACTTAGAGTATAATAAAAAAAAAAAATTAAAAAAAAAAATAAAAATAAATAAAAATGAAATTACTGTATTGGCTACTACAAAAAAACATGAGTGAATAAACATACACACACACACACACACACACACAGAAAGAGAGAGGGGGGCAGGCGGCATGGGGGCATTTTAAAATATGCTACCCAAGTTAAAAGCTATTTTCAAAAGAGATTGATAAATCCAACTCAATTATTATAAAAAATATGCACGGTAAAAAATTTTTAAAGATTTGAAACTTATCTCTTAATAGGAAAGCTAACTTCCTTAAAAAAACAGAGCTTCTACAAATCAAAAAGAAAAAATACCACAATCCAAGAGAAAAAAAATTGCTAGGAAATGATCAGTTTATAGAAAAAGAAGTACTGTAGTGGCTCTGAACCATATGAAAAGATGTTCAACCTAATAAAAGAAATGCACAGTTAAACTAAAATAAGATTTCATTTTCTACAAATTGTCAAAAGATCAAAAGTTTTATCATCCAATGTTTAGGCAAGGGTATAAAGAACTAAGCACTCTTATACACTACTAGTCAGAGTCAAATAAACAACTACAACCTCTATAGAGACAGTTCAGTAATATCTATCAAAATTCACAATGTACACACTTTTTAACCAGTTATTCCACTTCTAATAATTTAATTTACAAATATATTTGCACATGTGTGAAATGATATATGCACAAGGTTTATTACTGCAGCATTGTTTGTGATGGCAAGAGAATAGAAACAACTTCAATGCCTCTCAATTGGTAAATAAGTTAAATTATATTCTTTTTTTTTTCTTTTTAGATGGAGTCTTACTCTGTCACCCAGGCTGGAGTCCAGTGGCATGACCTCAGCTCATTGCAACCTCTGCCCCACCCGGGTTCAAGCGATTCTCCTGCCTCAGCCTCCTGAGTAGCTGGGATTACAGGTAACTGCCACTGCACCTGTCTAATTTTTGTATTTTTAGTAGAGATGGGGTTTCACCATCTTGGCCATGCTGGTCTTGAACTCCTGACCTCGTGATCCACCTGCCTCGGCCTCCCAAAGTGCTGGAATTACAGGCGTGAGCCACTGTGCCCGGCCTAAATTATATTCTTAAAACAATAAAATAAAACTTAAAAAAAAATTTATTTTTATTATTTTTTTTAAGATGCAGTGTCACTCTTGTCTCCCGGGCTGGGGTGCAATGGCACAACCTTGGCTCACTGAAACCTCCGCCTCCTGAGTTCAAACAATTCTCCTGCCTCAGCCTCCCAAGTAGCTGGGATTACAGCTGCCTGCCACCACGCCCAGCTAATTTTTGTATTTTTTTAAGTAGAGATGAGGTTTCACCACGTTGGCCAGGCTGGTCTCAAACTCCTGATCTCAGGCAATCCACTCACCTCGGCCTCCCAAAGTGCTGGGGTTACAGACATGAGCCATCACACCTGGCCTAAAATTTTTTTTTTAATTGAAGTAGTTTCATATGTATTGATATGGGATGCTCACCAAGGAATATTTTTAAGCAAGGAAAGCAAAGTGGTGAAACATATATAGTATGCTACCATTTGTTAAAAAACTGTAGATGTTTGTATGTGCACAGACTATCTGGAAGGATCAATATGAATCAGGTAACAGTAATTGCTTCTGGGGAGGAGAATTGGGTAGGTAAAGGATAGGTAGAAAGGAGACTTAATTTCCACTGTATTCTCTTTTGTATCTTTTTAATTTGTACCATAAATACATATTCTCTATCCAAATTTAATTAAATATTTTACTTTTAAGAGCTATATTACCAGCTCAGAAGTTCAGGAGTTGGTTGAATGTGTTTGCACAATCTCAAAGGGGACATTAATTTGAACCCTGTAAAGTAGCTTCTCCAGGAATTTGATAATTCAGCAATTTGTATGGGATGGAAAAAAAGGAAAGGAGTATGTATGTGCTTAAGGTAACTTGAGGGGTTGGCAATTACAGGGTGTGGTTGTTCTCTGTACCACCATGTCCAACCCCTGGATCTAAGTATGCTTTCTCCCCAGGGGAGCGGGGCGGCCTGTGTACAAACAATATGGAGGAATCCAGTGCCGTGATTCCTAGGAGCAGCCTACAGTTAGTGTCGTCACTGCAGTGTACCACAGATGGCTAAATAGGTATTGTTTTTTAAAAAACACAGTTGGCTTTTACTGACATTCACATTGACAGCACCAACATTCAGGCAGTCAGTCGACACCACATAGTGTGAACTGTGAACAGAGTACATGGCTGGGCCCTGAAGGACCAGCTGGTAAGGCAGTGTTCCCCAAGCCTGCCTGGGCATATTAGATCTTCTGAATCGGAATCTTAAGAGGGGCCTTTGAATCTAGGTGTTTAGTAAGCATCCCGGTTGATTTTTATGATCATTTAGGTTGGGAAAAATAATCATAAGATAATGCGGGGTAAGAAGGGGTGGGAAGGAAAAAAAAACTACTTGAGAACATGAGCAACATTAAATATAAAAAACCAACTGAATAGCCATGGCTGTGTGAAGCTACTTATAAAATCTTAACTAACTGTCAATATGGAACTTTTTGTTTAAGGTGAAACACTTGGTTAAATCAGGATTGAGAAGATTTTCCTTCTTAAAAAGTTGGTAAATAAAAATTTTTGAACAGAACTATTTTTCTTTTGATAAATGATGATATTATGAGACTCGATGGTAAGCGTCTCACTCTTAGTTCATAATAGTGTGGAAAATAACATGGGGGCTGAATGGCCAGGCTGGTCTTGAACTCCTTGGCCTCAAGTGATTCTCCCACCTCAGACTCCCCAAGTGCTGAGATTACAGGTGTGAACTAACATCACTCTTAGTTCACAACACTGTAGAAAAGTAACATGGGGGCTGAATCCTGACAACCATGGGGCTTAGGCTTTCCTATAATTAAACATTCTTGCAAAATCAGCATAAGCCAAAGGTCCCAGCAGAAAGATTCTAGATTTTTGTTTTCTCTATAGTTACCCTCCAAAGGCTGAATGGTATCATTTATATTCCAGGCAGAGAATCCCAGGAGCTTAGTAACATTCATTCCTCTGGATTCTCTAGGCCCTCCTTTACCCCTCCACAGTCACACAGGCAAACAATTCCTTGAGATCCTCATAAAACTGCCTGCCCAGAATGGTGGCTTCACATTATGCTTTCAGATCCTGTTTAAAATAATGGTTATACAGAGAACGTTTTTGCAGCTTTTGTAAAACTGCTCTTAAAGGCAATCACTATTATCTTGTTCAATAGCCCTTATATAAAGATCTACATGAAAAATTCATCTTAGAGCTGAATGTCAAGAAATATAATTGTCTCTCTTAGTGAAATGTGCTTCCTTTTAAAAAAAGAGATGAGTTATGTAATCTCTTTTTTTCCTCTTGCTGTCTCCCCCTCTCTCCTGTTTTCTCTTTAGCTGCCAGTAAGTTCAGATTTAAATTTTGTGTTCCATTGAGGTTCAGTTCTTCATTTTCAGTCTCTTCAGTCCTGCATTATTTGGCTCTTGTTCTCACAGGATTGTTTTACTGGTTCTACTATGTCTGGGTCTTTCATTGTGGACAACCTGAATACTTTTGGAAATTGACAGGCCTAAGTTAGAAGTGAAGGAACTGATTGGGTTTCCATTGACTGAGGTTTTACTGTACAACTAGGAGGTGTTGTACGTGATCAAAGTCAAATAAGGTCATTTGGGAAGAAAGATTTCATTTAGGAATAGCCAAACGCGAAGACACTGGGGGATGCGATGGGGAATCATCTTCTCATAACTCCCTCTCCCAAAGGCTCCCTACAGAGGGATATGACAACTGGATCAGGAAAACAATTTCACATACAGATTGGTGACTAGCTTTTAATTACTCAATAAGAACTTTGGCCCAATCGTGTCAGTGACCCTCCTGTCACCCTGTGAAGAAGCAAGGAGCAGGAATGACTGCCTCCTTTAGCCACAGGGTGCAAGGAAGCTCCAATCTCTTGCTGTTGACCACTGGTCAGTCATCACCTATCCATCTGAAGGCTGAGGAAGAAAGATTTAAAGAAAAGAAAAATGCTGGGATTCCTCACTCTGCACTAAGTTCATTAGGAAACTTACCCTTATTTGTCCTTATTCTACAGACAGAGCAGTGGGTGTCCCCAGCTGAAAACACCCACCTATGACAGGCAATTCTGTTCCTGCTCCACCAGGTGGGGCCCCAAAAGCTGGAAGAAGGAGGAATATGAGCTCACAGGCCCAGCACCCTGAGCCCAACTCCCTGGAAATGCTTGCCCTGGAGGATGGCCCCGGGAGTGTCTCCCCAGCCCATAGCCTCAGCCAGAGCCAGGGAGCAGGAGACTCACTCCCAGCTACTTTCTGGCGTATTGACTCTCACAGATTTGTCATTCAATACACGGCTTCTCTCGCTGCAGCCCACACAGCTAATCCCTGTACTATATTTCTCTCAGTTTTCCCTCCTCCACCCACACTTCTTCTGACTTCTCTCCACACAGGAGAGACAGAACAGCTGAGGAAACAGCAGAACGGTGGAAAATTTTTGAAAGTGTTTTGAGCCCACCCAACCTGAGGAGAGCATTCAAAGAAAAACAGGAAGAAGGTGAGTAGGAGCTCCCTCAGCCCCCGCGCACAAGCCGGGGATTGTCACTCCCGCCTACCCCAAACCCAACAGGGGCCGACTGCTGGGACCGAGCCTCCTCGGTGCCCACACGCAAAAATATGCAAATGTTTTCTGTGAGGATTATGGAATGGAGGCAGTTGCTCAGCTATTTCAGACACTGCGTCATGTAACTTGGGGGCACAGTAGGCTCATTCCATTCAAACGCCCACCATAAAAGTTCAACTAGCACCTTTGGTCTTAAATTGGAATCGCCAGAGGCCATTATACCTGGGGAAGGACTGCAGGTCTGAAGATGGATGTGTTTCTATTCTGGCAAGCAAAATTAGATTCTCCAATCTAGAGGACAACCAATGCCCTCTCTCCATGTGTGCGTGTGATTTAATATTACTCATCTTTTTTTGCCTTTTTGTTTTTCATTTCCTTTCAACTTGTCTTCCTACACCATACCAGAGCTTTGAAGCCTGCTTGTTTTATCGGGGATTGGGGGTGGAAAAGAAATGTGAACTCATTTAGCTCTTGCTCCCTATCTTGTTTGCTGGAGATCCAGCCAGTTAGATGGCTTGAAGTGGGCAAGGACAAAAAGAGATTGGTTAATCCCCTTCATTCATTCATTCATTCATTCATTCACTCATTCGTGAAACAGACATTTATTGAGTATCTACACAGATAAGTTCCCCGTTCATACCCCATTTATGGTCCAGGCTCAGTTAAACTAAACCACAACAAATGGAAGTAATCTTTGATCCCCCTAATTTCCCTCAGGGACCTCTGGATCAATTTTTGGAGCTAGTTTAGTACTATAGAGTTTTTGCATGAAATCCAGAACCTATGTAAGGGTTATATAACCAATGGATAAATAAGCTTGTAAAGTCCTTCCCTATGAGTTACCCATGGGAAGGTTTCCAGTCCACAGATTAGACTAGTCCTATCTCCTGGTTAAATATCCAAGCACTACAATTAATTCATCCATTCTTCTTTACTTTGCTGGCACAATTTATTTTTTTCCTCATTTTAAATAAGAGATTATCCTCAAAGCTAGACTAACTTTTCTTACTAGTCAGTGTTATGTGTTTGATGCTAATTGATATTTACTCATTCCAGTAACACATATTTATTGAGTAGTTACAATATGCCAGGCACTGTCATAGGCACTGAGATGACAACTTCACACAATGATCCCTTCATGGAACCAACAAAGGAGTGAGATCAAACAAATCTTGGCTTGCTGTTCTTTCTCAGAGACCAAGTAACTTTATCCATTGCTGTGCAAAGAATCAAAGTGAAGAATGGGGTTCTAATATAATGGACAAAAAGGAGGAATTGTTTGTATTTATTGACTAGAGATGATCAAGTTTTGAGCTTCTTTATACATCAATTCTACTGTAAGACTTGTTCTCCACAACTGACATCTTAGAGATTGAACTACACAGATCGTAGTTAAATAGTTAATGTTTTACAGAATTTTGAAGCATCGGACCGTGTAAAGAATGTTTTAAAGTTGGTTGTGAAAACCAGATGGTCAAAAGAACCATAACACATGGCCACTCCCAAAGAGCAGAATTTTCCTTCCGTCTTGAACTCTTACATTAAAGAACCAAAGAGATAAAAATGAGTTTTGCAGTCCTGGGACTCTGCGATTAAAGATGAATTATTTCAGTCTGTTGATGCCAACCTAGGGAATAAGATATTGAGGCCTGTATTGATGGGGGATGGCTCTGATGCAGTGTGTCAGCAGTAGACTTAGCAAATGAACAGGATAGTAATTTGTGGCCAATAAATTTTTTCCTGCCTCAAAAAATTATCTATTGTCAGACTCAGCAGGGATCCAGAGGTTGGAGAGTCAAACCTGGGCTATGGACTGAACATATCGTTGCACCTCCTGGCACTGAGGGGCCTCTTAGTACCTAAATGGAAAGCAACTCCAGATCTAACCCAGCATTAAACTATCAACAGGGCTTCGCATGTGCAACTTCCCTTTATTTCTAAATTTGCTGGACTATAACCACTCAATAGCAAAGAACCCCTTGTATTGTTCTATTATAAATTTTTGCTTAGCCGGCCCCTAATATGCTTGCCTGCAACAAGAAAAATAAAAATGAATTGATTGGCAAGATCTCAAATAGAATAAGCTAATGACAAGCCTTATGTTTTAATAAGCTCGATGTTGGTCTTAATGAAATTGGTGGATGGTCTTTTTTTTTTCCTACAAATGGAACTGTCATTGGTTTCTCTGGCTTTCGCAAAGGATTTTCTGGAATGCATTGTTGTTATCAGAAAGAGTCTTTTCTTTTCTTTTTCCTTTTTTTTAGTTGCAAAGTCCCCAGGATAATCAGGGAAGGGAAAAATATTAACGAGAGGGGATTTGAATGGTAGTGCATTCTCTCTTCATATCTATGTTTCTCATGGGACAGAGAAAACTAAGGATGCATGGTACCACCCAGTCATCAGGTTATTGAGGGATGCCTCAGTCTATTCAGGGCTGCAGTCTTAAAACTAGTTGAAAGAAGAAGACAGGCCTGGGTTTGAATCCTGACTCCATACCCTCACTCCATCATTTCATACTTTGGCCAGATTATTTAACCTCTCTGAGTCTGATTTAGTGGAGATCACTAACTGCCTCATAGGATTGCTGAGAAGGTTCACTCAGAGTAGGCAAGTTCCTGGCCAGCTGAAGGCCCTCAATGGAACGCCATCCCCCCATCCCTTCTCCTTGTAGCCATATTTATGAGATGACATCACTGTTCCCTAGTGAGATGGCTACTAGGTCTCAGGGTTTCCAGATTTCTGCTGATTTAAGTATCCAACTGTGCTGATGTGATTTATGCAAATGCCAACTGGGGACGGATGCCATTAAGGGAATGAGTCATTTCAGAGACTTCATTAGCAGGCTGATCTTGCCTCTGAAAGAGCTGGGTTTTCCTTACAGATGGTAGAAAATGGTGGGAGAGATTACTCTGGGACTCTGGCACTTCTGATACAGGGTTCTTCTCATATAGCATCAATGAGTTTTCACAGTTAAGGTCCAGGACTCCCCTAAGTGACGTAAAGCAAGGGTTAACAACTTAGACTTTGAAATCTCACAAAATGAGGTTTAAATCCTGACTGCTAATACGAGCTGAGTAGCCTCTCAAAGTGTCTGTTTTATCTTAAGAGTTTTTGTGGGGATTAAATGAGGCAACATACCTAAAGTACTTGGGCTAGTGATTGGCACATAGTAAATGCTCAATAAAAGTCTGGTTTTTTTTTTTTTTTTTTCCTCTCTCCCTCTGTTTTGGCCAGAGTTCACCTCTAAGCTATTTGCTAATACTGAAGCCTGCCTTCCAGCAGCTGGCACATTAAAAGAGATGTTGTTTCTTGAACACTTATTATGTTTACGCTTCTGCTTAAATGCCTACATCCCACCAAAACGTCCCCCACCCGATATTAATTCATCCTTTGATCATTATTTTGTGAAGCCTGTCTTCAACTTGAAAGAAACTATCATCATTGTTCAGTCATATAAAATTTCACATCATAACTAAATAAATAGTTGTTGATCATGAAGATAAACAAGAGCTTAAATAACACACTTTATTTAAAGCTGTCTAGAGGTGGCTGGCAAGATGGCCGAATAGGAACAGCTCTGGTCTCCAGCTCCCAGCGAGATCAATGTAGAAGGTGGGTGATTTCTGCATTTCCAACTGAGGTACCCAGCTCATCTCAGTGGATGCAGCCCATGGAGGGTGAGCAGAAGCAGGGTGGGGCATCACCTCACCCGGGAAGCACAAGGGGTCGAGGAACTCCCTGCCTTAGCCAAGGGAAGCCATGAAGAACAGTGCATTCCAGCCCGGATACTACGCTTTTCCCATGGTCTTCACAACCTGTAGACCAGGAGATTCTCTCGGGTGCCTACACCACCAGGCCCTGGGTTTCAAGCACAAAACCGGGCAGCCATTTGGGCAGGCACTGAGCCAGCTGCTGGAGTTTTTTTTTCATAACCCAGTGGCTCCTGGAACACCAGCAAGACAGAACCATTCACTCCCCTGGAAAGGGGGCTGAAGCCAGGGAGCCAAGTGGTCTAGCTCAGTGGATCCCACCCCCAAGGAGCCCAGCAAGCTAAGATCCACTGGCTTGAAATTCTCGCTGGCAGCACAGCAGTCTGAAGTCAATCTGGAATGCTCGAGCTTGGTGGGGGGAGGGGCGTCCGCCATTACTGAGGCTTGAGTAGGCAGTTTTCCCCTCACGGTGTCAACAAAGCCTCCAGGAAGTTCAAACTGGGTGGAACCCACCGCAGCTCAGCAAAGCCACTCTAGCCCGACTGCCTCTCTAGATTCCTCCTCTCTTAGCAGGGCATCTCTGAAAGAAAGGTAGCAGCCCCAGTCAGGGGCTTATAGATAAAACTCCCATCTACCTGGAACAGAGCACTTGGGGGAAGGGGCAGTTGTGGACACAGCTTCAGCAGACTTAAACGTTCCAGCCTGCCAGCTCTGAAGAGAGCAGCAGATCTCCCAGCACAGCACTCAAGCTCTGCTAAGGGACAGACTGCCTTCTCAAGTGGGTCCCTGACCCCCATGCCTCCTGACTTGGGAGACACTTCCCAGCAGGGGTCTACAGACACCTCATACGAGAGAACTCCAGCTGGCATCTGGCGGGTGCCTCTATGGGATGAAGCTTCCGGAGGAAGGAACAGGCAGCAATCTTTGCTGTTCTGCAGCCTCTGCTTGTGATACCCAGGCAAACAGGGTCTGGAGTGGACCTCCAGCAAACTGCAGTAGACCTGCATCAGAGAGGCCTGACTGTTAGAAGGAAAACTAACAAATAGAAAAGTATAGCATCAACATCAACAAAAAGGACGTCCACACAGAAACCCCATCTGAAGGTCACCAACATCAAAGACGAAAGGTAGATAAATCCACGAATATGAGGGAAAAACCAGTGCAAAAAGGCTGAAAATTCCAAAAACCAGAACACCTCTTCTCCTTTAAAGGATCATAAGTCCTCACCAGCAAGGGAACAAAACTAGACAGAAAATGAGTTTGACTAACTGACAGAAGTCGGCTTCAGAAGGTGGGTTATAACAAACTCCTCCAAGCTAAAACAGCATGTTTTAACCCAATGCAAGGAAGCTAAGAACCTTGAAAAAAGGTTAGAGGAATTTCTAACTAGAATAACCAGTTTAGAGAAGAACATAAATGACCTAATGGACCTGAAAAACACAGCACGAGAACTTCTTGACGCCTACACAAGTATCAATAGCCAAATTAATCAAGCGGAAGAAAGGTTATCAGAGACTGAAGATCAACTTAATCAAATAAAGCATGAGGACAAGATTAGAGGGAAAAAAATGAAAAGGAACAAACAAAGCCTCCAAGAAATATGGGACTATGTGAAAAGGCCAAATCTACGTCTGATTGGTGTAGCTGAAAGTGACAGGGAGAATGGAGCCAAGTTAGAAAACACTCTTCAGTATATTATCCAGGAGAACTTCCCCAACCTAGCAAGACAGGCCAACACTCAAATTCAGGAAACACAGAGACCACCACAAAGATACTCCTTGAGAAAAGCAACCCCAAGACACATAATCATCTGATTCACCAAGGTTGAAATGAAGGAAACAATGTTAAGGACAGCCAGAGAGAAAGCTCGGGTTGCCCACAAAGGGAAGCCCATCAGACTAACAACGGATCTCTTTGCAGAAACCGTACAAGCCAGGAGAGAGTGGGGGCCAATATTCAACATTCTTAAAGAAAAGAATTTTCAGCCCAGAACTTAATATCCGGCCAAACTAAGCTTCATAAGCAAAGGAGAAATAAAATCTTTTCCAGAGAAGCAAATGCTGTTTGTCACCACCAGGCCTACCTTACAAGAGCTCCTGAAGGAAGCACTAAATATGGAAAGGAAAAACCAATACCACCCACAGCAAAAACATACCAAATTGTAAAGACCGTCGACACTGTGAAGAAACTACATCAACTAACAGGCAAAAGAACCAGCTAGCATCATAATGACAGAATCAAATTCACATAAAACAATATTAACCTTAAATGTAAACAGGCTAAATGCCCCAATTAAAAGACACAGACTGGCACATTGGATAAAGAGTCAAGACCCACTGGTGTGCTGTATTCAGGAGACCATCTCATGTGCAAAGACACATATAGGCTCAAAATAAAGGGATGGAGGAATACTTACCAAGCAAATGGAAAGAAAAAAAAAAGCAGGGGTTGCAATCCTAGTCTCTGATAAAACAGACTTTAAACCAACAAAGATCAAAAAAGACAAAGAAGGCCGTTACATAATGGCAAAGGGATCAACATAACAAGAAGAGCTAACTATCCTAAATATATATGCACCCAATACAGGAGCATCCAGATTCATAAAGCAAGTTCTTAGAGACCTACAAAGAGACTTAGACTCACACACAATAATAGTGGGAGACTTTAATACCCCACTGTCAGTATTAAACAGATCAATGAGACAGAAAATTAACATATTCAGGACTTGAACTCAGCTCTGGACCAAGCAGACCTAATAGACATCTACAGAACTCTCCACCCCAAATCAACAGAATATACATTCTTCTCAGCACCACATTGCACTTATTCTAAAATTGACCACATAATTGGAAGTAAAACACTCCTCAGCAAATATAAAAGAATGGAAATCATAACAAACAGTCTCTCAGACCACAGTGCATTCAAATTAGAACTCAGGATTAAGAAATTCACTCAAAACCACACAACTACATGGAAACTGAACAACCTGCTCCTGAATGACTACTGGGTAAATAATGAAATTAAGTCAGAAATAAATAACTTCTTTGAAACCAATGAGAACAAAGACACAACATAGCAGAATCTCTGGGACACAGCTAAAGCAGTGTTTAGAGGGAAATTTACAGCACTAAATGCCCACAAGAGAAAGTGGGAAAGATCTAAAATTGACACCCTAACATCACAATCAAAAGAACAAGAGAAGCAAGAGCAAACAAATTCAAAAGATAGTAGAAGACAAGAAATAACTAAGATCAGAGCAGAACTGAAGGAGATAGAGACATGAAAAAACCCTTCAAAAAATCAGTGAATCCAGGAACTGGTTTTTTGAAAAGATTAACAAAATAGACCACTAGCCAGACTAATAAAGAAGAATAGAGACAAGAATCAAATAGATGCAATAAAAAATGATAAAGGGGATATCACCACTGATCCCACAGAAATACAAACTACCATCAGAGAATACTATAAACATCTCTATGCAAATAAACTTGAAAATGTAGAAGAAATGGATAAATTCCTGGACACATACACCCTCCCAAGACTAAACCAGGAAGAAGTCGAATCCCTGAATAGACCAATAACAAGTTCTGAAATTGAGACAGTAATTAATATCCTACCAACCAAAAAAAGCCCAGGACCAGAAAGATTTGCAGCCGAATTCTACCAGAGGTACAAAGAGGAGCTGGTACCATTCCTTCTGAAACTATTCCAAACAACAGAAAAAGAAGGACTCCTCCCTAACTCATTTTATGAGGCTAGCATCATCCTGATACCAAAACTTGGCAAAGACACAACAAAAAAAGAAAATTTCAGGCCAATATCCTTGATGAACATCGATGTGAAAATCCTCAATAAAATACTGGTAAACCAAATCCAGCAGCACATCAAAAAGCTTATCCACCACAATCAAATCAGCTTGATCCCTGGGATGCAAGGCTGGTTCAACATATGCAAATCAATAAACATAATCCATCACATAAACAGAACCAATGACAATAACCACATGATTATCTCAATAGATGCAGAAAAGGCCTTCAATAAAATTCAACACCCCTTCATGCTAAAAACTCTCAATAAACTTGGTATTCATTGAATGTATCTCAAAATAATAAGAGCTATTTATGACAAACCCACAGCCAATATCGCACTGAATGAGCAAAAGCTGGAAGCGCCAGGCGCGGTGACTCACCCTTGTAATCCCAGCATTTGGGAGACCAAGGAGGTCGGAGCACAAGGTCAGGAAATTGAGACCATCCTGGCTAACATGGTGAAACCCCGTCTCTACTAAAAATACCCAAAAAAATTAGCGGGGCTTGGTGGCATGCGCCTGTAATCCCAGCTACTCGGGAGGCTGAGGCAGGAGAATCATTTGAACCTGGGAGGCAGAGGTTGCAGAGAGCCGAGATCACACCACTGCACTCCAGCTTGGTTGACAGAGGGACACCCCGTCTCAAAAATAAATAAATAAATAAAACAAACTGGAAACATTCCCTTTCAAAACCTGCACAAGACAAGGAGGCCCTCTCTCACCACTCCTATTCAACATAGTATTGGAAATTCTGGCCAGGGCAATCAGGCAAGAGAAAGAAAAAAAGGTATTCAAATAGGAAGAGAGGAAGTTAAATTGGCTGTGTTTGCAGATGACATGATTGTATATTTAGAAAACCCCATCATCTCAGCCTAAAATCTCCTTAAGCTGATAAGCAACTTCAGCAAATTCTCAGGATACAAAATCAATGTGCAAAAATCACAAGCATTCCTGTACAACCATAATAGACAAACACAGAGCCAAATCATGAGTGAATGCCCATTCCCAATTGCTACAAAGAGAATTAAATACCTAGGAATACAACTTACAAGGGATATGAAGGACCTCTTCAAGGAGAACTACAAACCACTGCTCAAAGAAATAAGAAAGAACACAAACAAATGGAAAAACATTCCATGCTCATGGATAGAAAGAACCAATATTGTGAAAATGGCCATACAGCCCAAAGGAATTTACAGATTCAATGCTATCCCCACCAAGCTACCACTGACTTTCTTCACAGAATTGGAAAAAACTACTTCAAATTTCATATGGAACCAAAAAAGAGCCTGCATAGCCAAGACAATCCTAAGCAAAAAGAACAAAGCTGGAGGCATCATGCTACCTGACTTCAAACTATACTACAAGGCTACAGTAACCAAAACAGCATGGTACTGGTACCAAAACAGATATATAGACCAATAAAACAGAACAGAGGCCTCAGAAATAATGCCACACATCTACAATCAGCTGAACTTTGACAAACCTGACAAGAACAAGCAACGGGGAAAGGATTCCCTATTGAATAAATGGTGTTGGAAAAACTGGCTAGCCATAAGCAGACAATTGAAACTGGACCCCTTCCTTATACCTTATACAAAAATTAACTCAAGATGGATTAAAGACTTAAACGTAAGACCTAAAACCATAAAAACGCTAGAAGAAAACCTAGGCAATACCATTCAGGACATAGGCATGGGCAAATACTTCATGACTAAAACACCAAAAGCAATGGCAACAAAAGCCAAAATCCACCAGTGGGATCTAATTAAACTAAAGAGCATCTGCACAGCAAAAGAAACTATCATCAGAGTGAACAGGCAACCTACAGAATGGGAGAAAATTTTTGCAATCTATCCATCTGACAAAGGGCTTATATCCAGAATCTACAAGGAACTTAAACAAATTTACAAGAAAAAAAAACCCCATCAAAAAGTGGGCAAAGGATATGAACAGATACTTCTCAAAAGAAGACATTTATGCTGCCAACAAACATATGAAAAAAAGCTCATCATCACTGGTCATTAGAGAAATGCAAATCAAAACCACAATGAGATACCATCTCACACCAGTTAGAATGGCAGTCATTAAAAAGTCAGGAAACAACAGATGCTGGAGAGGATGTGGAGAAATAGGAATGCTTTTACACTGTTGGTGGGAGTGTAAATTAGTTCAACCATTGTGGAAGACAGTGTGGCGATTCCTCAAGGATCTAGAACCAGAAATACCATTTGACCCAGCAATCCTATTATGGGGTATATACCCAAAGGATTATAAGTCATTCTACTATAAAGACACATGCACACGTATGTTTATTGCGGCACTATTCACAATAGCAAAGATTTGGAACCAACCCAAATGATAGACTGGATAAAGAAAATGTGGCACTTATATACCACGAAATACTATGCAGCCATAAAAAAGGACTGAGTTCATGTCCTTTGCAGGGACATGGATGAAGCTGGAAGCCATCATTCTCAGCAAACTAACACAGGAAGAAAAAACCAAACACCTCATGTTCTCACTCATAAGTGGGAGTTGAACAATGAGAACACATGGACACAGGGAGGGGACCATCACACACTGGGGCCTTTTTGGGGGCAGGGGGGTAGGGGAGGGATAGAATTAGGAGAAACACCGAATACAGATGACAGGTTGATGGGTGCAGCAAACCACCATGGCACGTGTATACCTATGTAACAAACCTGCATGTTCTGAACACATATCCCAGAACTTAAAGTGTAATAAAAAAAAAAAAGCTGTCTAGTTTCATACCATTATTCCTAAGTTCCATATCCTACCAAAGTAGTTTATCTCAATAAACTTGGTTTAAAAGAAAACCTAAAAACCTCTCTATCAAAATATGAGTATTAAGAATGATCTGAATATGCATCATGGTACATGAAGCTGCTCCACAGCAAGGAGGTGGGAGGCTAAGAAAACACCACCTCGGTAGATAAGTTAACATTTACCAAATGCCTAGTGGATGCACAGCTGCTTATTGATGAATGTCAGCTTCAGCATCTTGGTGAGAGTGCGTCACATTTCTTTTTTCCTAGAAGAATCTCTTTACATATTTCATGCTTTTGGAGAGGCAGGTATGTCTCCATGATAATATACATGTAATTAGCTCCTTAATGTTACCAATCTATCATGGAGACATTCCAATTTACATTATACACAAGCTCACTATTAGTTTCCTGAGTTAGGTGGTACGGATTCTGATATAGCTAGTAAAAAACCCATAAAATATGCATAAATCCTGTCTAATGACTGAAGTTAAATATACCTCAAAGAATGTTCTATCATTAAAATTCACATACATTTTTCTTACAAGGGAGTTATTCTGCATTGTAGCCTGTGTTTTATTACAAACTTGGAGTTCATTGGTGAACTGTGATAGAGCTGCAAATCAAGTCAGCGGCTTCATTAGCTCAGCAGGATTTTAGACGGCATTTCTCCCTTGGTGAGCAGAAGTTAGAGGGTAGTTTAGGACCCAGAGCTTGGTTACTGGGCTCTGGGCAGTCTCTCCCATGGAGAGGGCCCCTCACCTGAGGCCCTCTCCCTCAGGAGAGTGCTGTCTGCAGTACTCCAGAGTGTAGGTCTCCGTGGCCTCTGGGGTGGTGGGCCGCCATCGGATAGTGGCTGTGTTCCAACACACAGTACAGTCCTCAGCGCGGATCACAGGGGTGGAGGGTGCTGCAGAAAGAGAGTCAGGACAGTCGTGGAGCAATGCCAGCTTGCTTTCCTGGGACCTGAGAAGCACGTGATCTTCCACGGCTTCGGCATGATTCTGTTTTCAATTTTTCATCAGAAAGTGTATTCTGTGTTAAAAACCCAAAAGGGATCAAATATAGATGGTGATGTCTCTCTCCCTTCTCTGCCTTCCACATTGCCCAGTTCTCACCCATCCCCAAACAGCCCCTAATAGTAGCTTCCTATAAATCCCACTAGACTTTCTTTATACATATACAAGCAAATCAAAATAAAGATTCTTTCCCCTGTCCCAGTACA
The DNA here is from genome assembly GCF_000001405.40 of Homo sapiens. NCBI lineage: Eukaryota > Metazoa > Chordata > Mammalia > Primates > Hominidae > Homo > Homo sapiens. The sequence continues at coordinate 79,762,746 of NC_000005.10, read as the reverse complement.
CACAAGTTAGCCATGATCTTGTCCTCAGTAGGTGCTCAATAAAGGCTTGTTTTAAAAGGCAAGAGGAAAGGATAAAGGGTAGGAGTAAACTATTTCTTCCCCTGAGGCAGGTTACCATTATCTTAAAGGCAGTGCAGCCTTGGTTTAGGCTTCTTACCCTGTGAAAAGATTTCATCGTGAGAATGCATTTCCAGTTAAATACCACTGCTTAAAACCTTTTGGGGGTTCCCAGCACCCACACGCAGCCCAAGCTTCTTACCTTGCAAACACGGCCTCTCTATGTTAGCCTTTCTTATCTTGTCTTTCCTTTGTTTAAGTCTAAGAAATAATACCAAACTTCTTACAGTGTCCTGCACACTCCATACTGTTTCTTGCCTTGATGCCTCTGCTCATGTCTTTTTCAAGTGGAATATCCTCCTTTAACGCATTACTTCCTATTGATCCTTTAAAGCATTTTCTGCAGGCATCAGTTCTAGGAAGCAGTTCCGATCCTGCCCCTGCCCCAGGCCAACTTGGGTGCCCCTCTGGAGTGTTCTCATAATAACCTGTGTATATCTGGATATGGCCCTTACCACACATTTTCTATGATCCTCTGTTTTTCCATCTCCCCACCTGAGCATGAGCTTCTTGAGAACAGGACCCCAGGCTTAAGTCATCGTTGTATAACCAGCACTTTGCACAACACTCAACACACAATAGGTGCTTAATAAACACTTACTGGCTGATCTCAAGAGTCTGTGAAGAACTGAGCGTTGTCTTCTAATGCACCCTTAGCATCCATCTCCTTACCTGTCCTAAAGATGGCCCTTTCACTGGGCAGGCTACATCCAGTGAAGTTCACAGCCATCACCCACACTTGATAGCATCGGTCAGGTTCCAGATCTTCAAAAATGCAGTAGCTTTCTTTCACTGTCAGTCTGTATTCTTCTACCAACTCTAGCATAAGACACAATTAAAATCGAAGACATCTTCCAAAGTTAATTAAAAGTTATAGTTACTGGAGAAAGTCATCTATGATTTTCTTTCAGTGGAAAATGCAAACTGATAACCTTACAGATACCATTATGTGAAAACCAGCTCCTTAGAATACATGTGAAAGCAACAGCATTCTGAAAAGAGATACTTAGGATGACATAGTAATACTTGTTAACACTTCTCAGAAAATAATAGCATATTAGTAAGATTCTGAGCTTCATATACCACAATTAAAGTAACTTATTTCAGTAGCGAATATTAAAATTACATAATGTATATGTTAGCTTAAATCTCAGTAACACATTCTCAAGAAAATCTTAAGAACCAGTGCCAATATTTCAGAAGAGTATGTCATAAAAAAAGGACAACTTCATGGTTTTTAAACATCTTTACAGATTAGTAAACTATTTTGGTATTCAGTATGACCTTCCAGGTTTCAAATCCTGGTTTCTTCTCATGAATTCCAGAATTCTTTCCACTAGGGATTTCCACAATTTATAGAAATACTTAAATAACTTTGATAGGTCATAAGCTACTCTAAGAAGTAACTTTGTCCAATTAAGACATTTGCCTTCAAAAATTTTAAAAAATATCTTACTTTGAATATTTTAATAGTAAACATTATCCAATACCATTCTGAACAAACCTACCAATTTGGGCCAATTTGATTATTCTCACTGAAATTTTATCTCCTTTAAAACATATGATTTTCTTTGTAAATTTTGCCTATGGTAATTTCAGTTTCCCCCCCTTATGACTCTTGAATGTCACATCTTCAAAACTTTTCCACTTAAGAACCCAGACTGTTTCTTTAAAAGAAAATCGGGAGCTCTTCAACTTAGCAGGCTTCTCAATTGCCTCTCTCCTTTCCAATGAGCTGTACTTTCTGGACAGAAAGTTCAGTTTAAAGAACCTCATAAGGACCTGTACACTGAAGAATATTTCTCCCATATCCCAGAATCTGTGTCTGCAATTTTCACTGGAATCATTCTTTTAGGCAAGGTCCTATGATATGGTTTGGTTCTGTGTCCCCACCCAGATCTCATGTTGAATTGTAATTCCCAGTGTTGGAGGAAGAGCCTGGTGGGAGGTGATTGAATCATGGGGGTGGACTTCTCCCTTGCTGTTCTCATAAATGAGTTCTCAAGAGATCTGGTTGTTTGAAAGTGTGTAGCACTTCCTGCTTTACTCTCTCTCTCTTCCCTGCCAGCCATGGGAAGATGTGCTTGCTTCCCCTTCACCTTCTGCCATGATTCTGTCTCCTAAGGCCTCCTCTGCCATGCTTCCTGTACACCTTGTGGAACTGTGAGCCAGTTAAACCTCTTCTTCATAAATTACCCAGTCTCAGGTATGTCTTTATAGCAGTGTGAGAATGAACTAATACATCCTATTACCCTGGCACTCCCTTTAACAGTGTACATAACATATGTGACTAGAGACCCTACTAAACATGACATGGTATCACAGACTAGATTATCAGATTAGCTAACTGTTATTAACACAGTTCAGGGCACAGAAACAATGAGACACAGGATAGGGAAGTGTTTGGGGTGGGGGTGAAACCCAGTAAAAAAAAAAAAAAAGCAGGCCAAGCAACAACTATTTGATAAGAAGGGTCTCAGAGAGCCATGAAATAGAGCTAGAAATAGATGGAGATGAAGTATGGTGTAACAAAACACACACAGAGACAAACAAACAAAAGAATAAACTTTGGAGCCTGAAAGATGTGTGTTTGACTCCTGCCCCCGGTCATGTACAAGTTGCAAGGCCTTGAGCAAACTATGTAACCTCACATTAGTTTTCTCACTTGCAAATAGGGATAGTAACACTTACTTGGTTGTGCTGTGACAGGCATATGGAAATAGGTCAATAAAACAGGAGTCATGACATTACAGACAGATTTAGCCAACTTTACACCATGCCTATAATTGCTTTTTTAAACTTTTTTCTAAATTAATTATCACATGACATTTCAAAAGACTTAAATATTAGTAATAGTATAATATATTACCATTCATTCCTGATTACAAATTGGGCACCTGAGTTAGGACGCCAAGCCTGCCACATGCTCATCTGTTTTCCATAGTATGTGGGTCTGTCTTCAACAAGCAACACAGAATGGCAGCACTCCCAGCTCTGATTCATCAGGAAGCACAACCTCAAACTGCCTGGCTTCCAGGGCTTATTAGAAGTCCTTCTGAGCTGAGAGATACTTACAGAGGCTCAGCTGTAAGACATACCATCCATTCACCCTACTAAGCACTTTCATTTCTATCCACACATTAATTTGGGACACAGGAAGACTACACCATACCTAGGCCCACGCCCTGGGAACTGTGAACACTGAATGAATCTTGTGGCTTGTTGGTGGCTTTTAGCAAAGACAGACCTGAGAAACTGCCACCCATGACATCCCATGCTTCATTTGCATTCAGGTCATTGTGGAGCACACTGTCCTCTCTATGGCTTCTTCCCTAAAAGTGGAACACGTGACACTTGTCTTTCAGGCTTTCGTACTGTTAAAAACTTTATTTTCCTTGAAACTCTGGTATGTTACCTCCTTTCTCTAAATGAGAACCACTTCATTGCTCCTGTTATTCTGAGAGCTCAAAGCCAAATGTGAATCTCAATTACAATATTTGTGTTGACTATTATAATATTTATGCCATTTTGTTTTCCCTGATCTTGATTCCCAAATTTTGCTTCTGTAGTTATTATTTCATTATATGGTTGTTGGGGTTTTGTTGTTGTTTTGTAAATGGCTATAAATGCTTTGTGGGAAGAGTCATAATACAGGTGTATATTTAAATACTTCACATGAAGATGCATGAATATGCATATGCATTTGTATTTGTGTTAGCAATCCTACCATTTACTTCTTGATCATCTTGTGGCTCCTCCATGCAGTAAACCTGAAATGAATCAATGACATCTTCCTTGTTCATGCTCCAGTAAACTGCAATTGTTGTGCTGGTGGCAGAATTTGGTTCCTGAGGTTCTAATCTAGGAGGCTGTGGAACTGGAATATAAACAAGTTTTATTGTAACTAATGCTGTTTTTATTAATTTTTTGGGCACAAGTTACTTATGCTTGTTGAAAAATATTCAAAGAATACAGAAATACATAGTATAAAAGTAGAAGGGCTCTCTTGTTCCCCCAAACCCCCAACCCCAATTATATTTTTTTATTTTTTATTTTATTTTAATTTTAACTTTAATTTAATTTTATTTATTTATTTTTGAGACTGAGTCTCACTCTGTCACCCAGGCTGGAGTGCAGTGGCACGATCTCGGCTCACTGCAACCTTTGCCTCCCAGATTCAAGCGATTCTTCTGCCTCAGCCTCCCAAGTTGCTGGGATTATAGGCGCCTGCCACCACACCTGGCTAATTTTTGTATTTTTAGTAGAGATAGGGTTTCATCACCTTGGCCAGGATGGTCTCGAACTTCTGACCTCAGGTGATCCACCCACCTCGGCCTCCCAAAGTGTTGGGATCACAGGCATGAGCCACCACACCGGCCAATTTTTTTTTTTAATCTGTTGAGATGGAGTCTTGCTTTATCACCCAGGCTGGAGTGCAGTGGCGCAATCTTGGCTGACTGCAACCTCCGCCTCCCGGGTTCAAGCAATTCTCCTGCCTCAGCCTCCTGAGTAGCTGGGATTACAGGCCTGCACCACCACACCTGGCTAATTTTTGTATTTTTAGTAGAGGTGGGGGTTCACCATATTGGTCAGGCTGTTCTTGAACTCCTGGCCTCAAGGATTCCACCCGCCTCAGCCTCCCAAAGTGCTGGGATTACAGGCGTGAGCCACCGCGCCCAGCTGTATTCTTTAGATGCAATCACTGTTGAATGTGTATCCCTCCACAATATTTTCTATGCATTTGTACATGTGCACATATATAATACACACAGAAATAAACAAAAATGTATTCCAAAATGGGATCACTTGAGAATACTCTTCTACAGTCCTATAGTTGGAGCAATAAACTCATGTAGGTTAGAGGAGGCAACAACTGACTTGCTTATCCTTCAAAACAAAACACATGCTTTGCTAGATAGCCAAGGTTGTATCATTCTGTATCAATATAGATTCTATATTCACGATAGAGGCAAATGAAACCCTTTTAAGATATAGTTGGTGTATCTTCAAGCCAGAAAAATACTTGCAAAAATAAAATATCAAAATACACTTTCTGAAACGACTATCCCATTTTTTCTTTCCAACATGGCTAGCCCTATCAATTTTTTTAATTACTAACTTTTTAAAAATTAAACAAAATATATAAAAACTACAGAAAAAGTAGCCTACTGATTCAGCATACATTTTAGACACCTAGTATAACTCCGTTGTTCTGAATTTTAATGACAACAAAATCCTTGGATGTTTTCCTAGAAACTTGTAAAGTTCATGATTATGCGTACAAACATTAATGGTATATGCAATGCCATAAATCAAACTTCTATGCAATTCTCCCCCAAAACTTATGACATAAAATCTTTGAACATATTTTACAAATTAGAGGAAAAGGTTATTCCCATAGTTGAAAAAATAGCATGCTTTTTTTTTTTTTTTTTGAGATGGAGTCTTGCTCTGTCACCCAGGCTGGAGTGCAGTGGTGCAATCTCAGCTCACTGCAACCTCCACCTCCTGGGTTCAATCAATTCTGCTGCCTGAGCCTCCCTAGTAGCTGGGATTACAGGCGCCCACTACCACGCCCAGCTCATTTTTTTGTATTTTTAGTAGAGATGGGGTTTCACCGTGTTGGCCAGGCTGGTCTCAAACTCCTTGACCTCAGGTGATCCGCTCGCCTCGGCCTCCCAAAGTGCTGGGATTACAGGCATGAGCCACTGCACCTGACCCAATAGCATGTTTTTACATTTATTTTTTATGGGTTTTTTTTCCAGTCAACAATTTCCTGAGAGATAAGTTTACTGAAATATTAATAATATGGGCCAAATTTTATGAGATTACTTTATTAAAAGTGGACACCAAAGGAAAAGAAAAATAAAGATCAGTTCAGCAAGAAGGTACAAATGAGAAAAACACAAATGGGTCTAAAGAATGTAGCAAAAAGAGACAAACTGAGAAGATGCAACAGCGATAAAGAGCTGAAAAAATACACAGTTGTGAAAAACGAGAAGCAGAAGAGGAGAAGGGTCAAGTTCATGGACTTCAATGCAGAGTGGCTGGCCCAAGGTTAAACACCAGATCCATCCCCTCTGTTATCTCAGCCTCAGTTTCCCCATCTTTAAAATGAGAAAACAATAATAATAGTATTACCTCCCAGTGTCATTATAGGAAGCAAATAATATCTATCGAGTGCTTAGCAAAGTGGCTGACAGATAACCAGTGCTAACATTCAGAAAGCAAAGGGGCCTTGGCAGGAGCACAGGAAACAGAGGGGCAAGGCAGGAAGCTCCTGAAGATGAGGGCTGAAGGAGGGACCCATCATCTGGAAAGCCACAGAGGCCACAGAGGTAAGACCTGAGGAGCGAACTGCATGCTAAGGCAGAGGCCGCTGGTGAGAGCACCTCCCCAGGAACTGATCACGGGTCAGAGACCCTGATACTGTCTTGGAATTTATTGCTTGTCTTCCCAGCAGGAAATGGATGTCACATTCTAAATAAGTCTGTCCAGAAAAATGTAGTTCAGTAAATTTTCATGTTACCCAGGTCTATGAAAGGACCAAGCAGAATGTTTCAAGGATTGTCGATCATCTTTGAAGCAGTATTTGAGAATTACTTGAGGCATGAACAGTGAAAATGCTCCCCCTTTTATCCTATGAATTATACATGGAGCTGTATCTGCTTTTTAAAAATGAAAACATCTTTCACATTTCTCTCTCTTTCTCGGGTAAATTAACAAACTTAAAAACTGATTAATTGATCCAAGAAAATCACTTAATTTCAAGGAAGAAGCAAAGTATGTAGGTTAGAAATTTTGTTTTAATGTGCTCCTTCCCCCAAAAGCATTAAAGGTAAAACACCTTTTTTCAGAAACAGGAAATACTTTTACTTTTCAAAGAATTCTAAAATGAAAAGGGAATAAGAATATTCCATAGATATAATCTAATAATAATGGCTGGATTTACAATTCTTATGTGGTAGAACAACATCAGAGACCCGGAGTTTAGCAACTCTGTTTACACTTTTACAGTAATAAACTTGAATAAGTATGATGCTGGCCGGGCGCAGTGGCTCATGCCTGTAATCCCAGCACTTTGGGAGGCCAAGGAGGGCAGATCACTTGAGTTCAGGAGTAGGAGACCAACCTGGCCAACACAGCAAAACCCCATGTCTACTAAAAATACAACAATTAGCTGGGCATGGTGATGCACGCCTGTAATCCCAGCTACTGGGGAGGCTGAGGCATAAGAATGGCTTGAACCCGGGAGGCGGAGGTTGCAGTGAGCCGAGATGGTGCCACTGCACTTCAGCCTGGGCGACAGAGTGAGACTCTGTGTGGGGAAAAAAAAAAAGGTATGATACCAAAAAATACCAAAATGAAAGTTTAGGGCTTCATTATAAGAGGCTAAGGAATTGGGTAGAAGAATCACCCCTCTGCCTGATGAAATGTGCCCAAAAAGAGCCACCACACTGGGGGAGTTAAGCATTAACCAAACTGGACTTTGGAATCTGTGACCAGATACAGATTTCCACTCAACCTGGCCTTTGGAACGTCCTCAGGGGAGCAGCATTATTCACAATAGCCAAAAAGTGGAAGCAACCCAAGTATCCACCAATGGATGAATAGATAAGAGGAGGAAAAGTTTCACGTTACAACATGGTAAGCTTTGAGGATATTACTCTAAGTTAAACAAACCAGTCACAAAAAGAGAAATACCATATGATTCCACTTAGATGAAGTACTTAGAGTAATCAAATTCACAGAAACAGAAAGTAAAATGGTGGCTGCCACAGCCAGGAGAAGGGGAGAATATGGAGAGTTAGTGTTTAATGGATATAGAGCTTCTGTTTTGCAAGATGAAGAGTTCTGGAGAGGATGGCAGTGATGGTTGTACCACAATGTGAATGTCCTTAATGCCACTAAACTGTACAATTAAAAATGGGCAAGATGGTAAATTTTGTTATGTGTATTTTACCACAATTAAAAAAAAAATCCCCAGGTGCCAGCATCAAGGAAGCCTAGATTCATGTTTGTTTATCATGATCTGTTTCTCTCATCTTTCTCAGCAGCACTCTGCCTTTTCGCTGTGGGGCAGACTCTGAAGCCAAACTCCCCTGCCAAACACACCCCAACCGGCTGTGTTTTCTTGAAAATAGAACATTTTTCTGTTCCTCTCTTTCCTCACCTTTCCTCACCTGTCAAATGGGAATAACAAAACCTACCTCCTTGGGTTATGGTGAGATTAGATGATTTGATATGCTTAACGGTTTCCACAATGCCAGCCATCGTATAAGCATGGAATAAATCGTATGGGCTGCTACTTCTCATTGGAAAACTCACATCCTTTTCTCATTGTATCTGCTTAGTTTAGGTAGGGGGTCATCAGATCAACTTTTCAGGTCACAGGTGAGGACTTCTGAGAGGTGTCACCAAATGCACAAAAACTACTTAGCAGCAAGTCAACACCCTGGGCTCCAATTTTGTGAAACAGACGCACAAAGTAACATTTATGGCTCTGAGATCAGTCTCTCCATAAAAGGCTTCCAGCCACAGGGACCGCCATGTGCACTTGCTGAGTTAATTGTTAACACTTTGTGACATTTTAACTCTGTGACCTCTAAAATATATTAAACGTCCTCTCATTGCCCATTAAGTATTGAAAAGCATATCCTCCTAAATGAACAGTGGCATATAATGAATCCCTTAAAAGCAAAAGACCAGCTCTGTTAATCAAACTTTCTTAGTTTGCAATCACTGTCCTAGTCTAATCCCTCTTAAAGACATTACAAGAAAACACTTTGAGACATTTCTAGAGAAAATCCATTAAGATCAATGATTGAGTTTTTAATTTTATAAAGGGCTGGTGGGGTTTTGGGTTTTTGTGTGTTGTGTGGTGTCGTGTTGTTTTTGTCTTTTTAGACATACAGTAGCCTTTTTAGTAGTTACTAAATTAAAACTCTTTGTACAGGAATGAATGTTAATCATCAATTTAAACACAACAGCCATCTTTTTTGTTTTTGTTTTTTGGGGTTTTTTGTTGTTGTTGTTGTTGTTTTTAGACATGGGGGTCTTACTATGTTGCCCAGGCTGGATTCGAACCCTTAGGCTCAAGTGATCCTCCCGCCTCAGCCTCCTGAATAGCTGTAATCTTTGAGGTGATTTTGGAAGACTACAGCATCTTTTAAGGAGGACACCTGAGCATGTTGTACAGTAAGAAAAACTTGGTAACTTCACTGAAACATGGCAGCTTTGAAAAATCTAAATAAGTTTCATTGTCCTGTTTGTTAAAATAGCACATTAAAAAATATTGTGAAGAGCTGGCAGGATGCTTCTGACAGCTGAGTGGGAGGCTCCTGGCTACAGACCATGGTGCTGAGCTGATAGTTCTCTAAGCTCATCTGTTTAGTTTGAAAAAAGGGGAAAAGAACTGAATTGAAGAGGGGAAAACCACTCATAAAGAGAAATCTGTTTGACACGTAGGAAAACATTTGACTTCTTTTTTCTTCTATACCTGGCTGCTGGTATGAGGCAAATGAGAAGAGAGGGAGAGAAATCCTATTTTTAAATTAAAGAAAAAAAAAAAGAGGAGACCCTTTGGTTCCATGGCTCCTTCCACCTCCTCAATCTCCAAGCAAGTCATAAAGCTTCAGATGGAAATGCACAGAAATGGGATGTTCCTCCCATGCTCAATTTCAGAGTCTAGCTGTAACATTTTACAACTAATACTTTTCTTTTTCCAGTTACATGTCTTTACACTCAAAATCTTTTGTATATATCATTACATACAAAACAAACAAGCAAAAACTGCCATATTTCATCTAGGTAATTAATATATTAAAATGCTTACCAGCCACTTGTTTTAACATCTGGTCACTTCTTGCCGAGCTGTCATCATAATGTTCGAAAAGGGAAAACGCAGCAGGCATTTTCTCTAAAGAAGCAGTGCTCTCCATTGCAGAAAGCAACCTATCGGGGAATAGAGCTCTACATAAGTTAAAAAATTATTAACATACAGAATGAAAGTGAAAAAAATTGTTCAAAATGAAGCTGGTGTTGGTAGTGGTGGTTTGCATAAGGCAGGGCCTCTCACTCTATCCAAAAAAGGATTTAAAGCTTTAAAGTCTTGAAATATATGTCTAAAATCTATTCTTAGGCAACTGGTAATATTGGAAATTTCATTCCTATATCCTCTAGTTAGAAAGATTCTATCAAGCAATACAGTCTTAAGTGTTTTACCTATAAAGTTGGTCCTAAAAATTACTTCATTTTAGGGATTATTTTCTTTATTTCCTAAAGGGAAAGGATTTATATCCAAAGCCTTTCATACCCACTGAGGCTTCAAAGGATAAAAATGCTAAGAGCACATCTAGAAACTTACACACTGCAGATGTCCTTGTTCTCAAACCTCGATATTAAGCTTCTAATCATTTTGTCATTCAAAACATGTTTATTTACTATGTCCCAGGCATTGTGCTAGGTACTGGGGAAAGAGCAATGAGAGGATAAAGCCTATCATTCGTAAAAGACTAAACAAGCCACAATTTCTAAATCAACAGCTTTATGGACTCAACACCCTCATTAGCTGGAATGCCAACTGATGCTAAGTCTAAGTATTTGTATCCAGATGAAATGTGGATTTAAACAAACAATGACAAAAAGGCTTCATTTCCATGGATGTCTTGGTTTTCCCAGCAGACCCACTGCACTTGCTGTTGGAACTTTGTTCTCCCAGACACTTGCTCAGCTCCTTCCTTGACTTAATTTAGATCTCTGTTCAAATGTCAGCTCCTCAGAGAGTACGCTACTAATACAGCCTTGCCTGCCCCCTCCATTCTTCACTAGGCTTTGTTTTCCCCAGACTTATCACAGCCTCTTCGGTTTTTGTCCGTCTGCTTCACCAGAATACCGTTTATATGCAGGAAAGGACTTTATTTTGTTCACTACTGTATTCTAATGCATTACTTGGCACATGGTGGGCATTTAATAAACATATTTTGAATAAATAAGAGGCCAATAGTTTTGTGGGGGTGTGGATATCAGGATCTCAGTGATGGTGGATTTATGGTCAGTATGAAGGAAAAATATTATAAAATAAAACTGAATATTTAAAGAGTGACTTCTACACTTACTACTGTCAGAAACAATAAAATTCACTATCATTTGATTTAGGGGAGGTGGTTCCAGAGGGGCTTCAAAGAGGAGGTAACATTTGGGCTGGGTATTAATGAGTGGGAGTTTCCTAGGCAGAAGAGAGAACAAGTAAGGGCATTGCAGATAGAAGAAGGGTATGAACCCAGGCATGGAGATGCGGCCAAGTACAGCACATTCGAGGGCCAGAGGGCACCGTGGGAGTTGGGAAACACAGACAGTCAGGGATGAAATAGAAAAGTCGTTTGTGGCTTGACTATAAAGAGCCTTTCATACCCACTGAGAGTTCAATTTTGTCTTTTAAGGCAGGGAGAGCCACAAAATTGTTATAAAAGGGAAATTTAGATGACTGTCTTGGCAAGTGTCTAAGGAAGGATCAGGGTAAGCAGAGGAGGGAGGTCTGAGGTCAGGTGGGAGAACCCCATAGGGTCTAGTGAGGGAAGACAGCACGAGCCTAAATTAAGACTGTGGGGATGGAGAGGGCGGAAATGATAGGCTCAGAATGAACAAAAATGGTGCCCCATACATGCACTAAGCCCTCTAAAAATACACATCACTGATGTGTATTAATGTAGGACATTTTGTAGCACAAAGGCTCTGATGGTAGGTACCACAAGCAAAATGTTAGAGTTTTCCCTTATGCACCGAACCTATTCCAGTTTAACATCAGCATATGAAAAGGCAGGCAGACATCCTTTTAGAAGCAGGTCTTACAATGGTTGCAACTCCTTTCATTATTATAACACAAAAGAGCAAAACGGAGAAAAAAAATGAATCCCCTCAACAAACAGCATTTTCTAAGCAAATGTGTTTTTCAAGATATGTAAATGTTTAGTCTAAATATGCTTGACAGCATTCCTTAATTTAAGCATTTTTAGTGTTGAGAAAAAGCATTTAATATACAAGCACTGCCTTTAGAGATGTAATATGAAGGGAGGGAGAAAAAGTGGCAAGGTAAAATAAACCACAACTGACTCTTGAGCAAGATGGGGTTTAGGGCACTGACTCTCTGTACAACTGAAAATCCATGTGTACTGTTTGACTCCCCAAAAACTTAGCTACTAATAGTCTGCTGTTGACTGGAAGCCTTACCAATAACCTCAAGAGTTGATTAACACATATTTTGTATACATATTATATACTGTATTCTTAAAATCAAATAAGCTAAAGAAAAGAGAAATTCCTCAGAAAACCATAAGGAAGAGAAAATACACTTACAGTACTGTACTGTATTTATTAATACCTTAAGTTTACATCATCTCTTCACAAGATGAATCACCTGAAATGCTGAAATGGAAGGCAACGGTGGCTACAGACCTCAATCTACTGAAAAGATCAAACAATTCAACTTCTTCTTGTAATGTCATGACTTTTCTCTGTTTCTGGGGAGCACATCCAGGATCACTAGTGCCACTTCCTATGGGTATCATGGCGTTATTCAAGGTTTATGGTATCACACCGAATATGGTAAAAAAAAAAAAAATAGGCAAAAACCTTAGGAGATCACTTTTTACTGCAATATACAATTTACTGGAGAGACTAACTGCTCACAGGGAGATGATTAGCGTGACACAGTTTTTAAGCAGAGATTCACAACACTTGAGCTCATCACAACAGCAACAGGAGGTGGTTACAAAATTATTAAAGTAGTATGGTAGCAGTATAGTTGTAGAAATTATTTGAGTAGTACAGTATTACTACAGTTAATTTTATGCAGTTATGATTTAGTACTGTATCTTTATGTTTGTTTACATTTCTCCCAACTGCATATGGTGCTATGGACGGTGGTGTTTGTGTGCATAAATGTTGATGTTCTTAATTTTTATAATAGATTTGTGTATATTTTATGATAGTAAATGATAAAATAGACTAATATTTACATATATTTTATGTACTTGTGACATACCTAACATTTTCTTAATTTTTCAACATTTCTGGGCTATGCAGTTCATCTTTGAGTTTTTTTCAAACTGTCACAAATCTCAAAAAAATTTTCCAATATATTTATTGAAAAAGATCCACATATCAGTGGACCTGCACAGTCCAAACTCGTGTTGTTCAAGGGCCAACTGTAGATAATTAGCACTTCTTATAGAAAGGAACATCAATAACATTGAGACTTTGAGACAGAAGTTTTCTTGAGGACATGGAAAGCTTTTCAGTGATGGCGCCCAGCTTCATCAAGTGTGTGCACGTGTACATGAACGTTTGACAGCGGTTTCTTTAATTGTTCATCTTTCTTCACCAAATCCCAGAATTTTGTTGTCTTTTTTCTTTACAGGAAAATAATGGTTAGCCCAAGTGTACTCTCCTTTAAGAGACAGGCAGCTTTAGCAAAAAATTAATTCACTGTCAACTGGACAATGAAATAGAAATTAATTAAAATGACACACAGATGAACATATTTAAGCACAAAACCGAAGAAAGAGTATTTAGTATTAAGTGGATGTCAATTTATATTTGCAATATTCTGATGGTTAGAAAGGTAAAAACATTCTATTGCATTTTTCAACTTTTCACTCACCAAATTTTCTTACTGAGCAGTAACTTCCATGAATGGATAAAATATAAGTAAGCAAATATGCATCTACACTGTCCAGTATAGATGGAATGGCACTGTAAATCCATGTGCTTTTTGGATAAAAAGAAATGTCAATAATATTTAGAAAAAATAATTTGTTTAAAATAAAGGAAACTGGAGGTGGGCAGATCACTTGGCCTGAGGAGTTCAAGATCAGCCTGGGCAACATGACAAAACTCCATCTGTACTAAAAATACAAAAAATTAGCAGGGCACGGTGGAGCGCACCTGTGGTCCCAGCTACTTCGGAGGCTGAGGCAGGAGAATTGCTTAAACCCGGGAGGTGGAGGTTGCAGTGAGCCAAGATCGTGCCACTGCACTCCAGCCTGGGTGACAGAGTGAGACCCTGGCTCAAAAAAATATAGATAGATAGATAGATAGATAGATAGATAGGTAGATAGATAGATAGATAGATAGGGAACTCGGAATAAGGCCTGGGTATCAGTTTCTAGACCTGATTGGTGTGTCTTAGACTCGTCTGTGAGAATTGGTAACAAGCAGATGCCTGGTCTCACTCTGGAAATTTTGATGTAGTGGATCTGGGGTGGGACCAAAGGATCTTTGGTTAAACAAATTGCACAGGTGATTTAGGCACAGCCAGTGTGGGGAATTACTGGGACGAAGGATAGATTGTATAAACCAGAACTTTCAACCCTGGCTGTGCATTAGAATCATCTAGGAAGCCTTAAAAATGCTCATCTACACCCCAGAGCAATTAAATCAGAATCTCAGAAGATTCAGGCATCAGCATTTTTAAAAGCTCCTTGGGGAATTCTATTCATAACAGAGCCACTGTTATAAAACACTTATTGATTAATGTCAATAAGTCAAATTATTTTCAAAAACTAACTGGTAATATTCTGTTGAATAGAATTTGTTTTAGGTAAATAGGATTCATCTGTGTGATTTCAATTACCTAAAAAAATCATATTTCTAATCTAAATCCTTTTTTATATTATAATACATTATAGATACAAATTTCTGATTTTACTCTATGCTGTATCACAATTTGAATTGGGATGGAAGTAAACTGAAGATGGTATTTACAATTTAGAAATTTACATTTAAAATTACACTAAAAGGAGAAAACATTAGGCTCAAACCAGAAGGAAAGACCTCAGGTCTTGCTATGGGGCAAAAGGAAGAACGTGTCAGATCTGTTGGATAATTATAATATGAAATGCTCTGAAAGATAAACATAAATCTGATGTTACATGTTTTTATAGACAACATGTTTTCTTGTTGAGTGTTTTGCTTTTGGAAAGAATGAAGAATTCTCTTAGATGAAGTGTTAAAAACACCAACAAAACAAAACAAAATCAAAGGAGGGAGATTCATTTAGGTTAGCTGAGCAGAAAGAGAAGATAAATGCATGACTATCTTTTGAAGAGAAAATGATAGAACAGTTCATTAAAATTACATAAATCATAAAATTACTCAAGGCAGATATGAATGATTCTTTCAAATACTCATGTTTAACCAATGCATCTAAGCATCTACAAAATGTTCTATATGCAGTGACAGGAAAGATGGCCTAGATTAGGCTGAAAATGCAGAATACATCTTGAGGAAGCAGTTAAAAATCTACATTATGATAATTGTTATTTAACTAAAGCACATGCAGTTTTCTTTCAAAGCTGTCATTTAGCTTTTAAAAGCACTGTGTCTAAAAGTGAAAATACTGTAGCCCACTAAATGCATTTTTTAATTGGCAGCTCATTTTCCATAAAGCACCAAAATATTAAAAAGCAAGCATCCAGTCATGCTGTTTGCCACTACATTGTATCATGTTTTATATACCTTTCATTGATTTCCTCAAACGACTTAGGGAGAAAGAGAGAGGAAGGAGGAGGAGAAGAGAGAAAAAGAGAGAGAGAAAGAGAGAGAGAAGCTAATTAACAACAGAAAGAAAAAACAACCAGGAGCATTAAGATTACCCACGTTTGAAAATCATAACCCCTCAGCTTCCCTGAGGTTGTTTTTGTCTCAGTCTGGGCAGCAAGGACATAAGTGCTCACAAGGCGGGGTGCAGGGGAGGGGGAATGGGTGGGATGGGCAGTGTCAGGACAGGGATGGAGGATGGTTTCATTTGCAGTTGGCTCTGTCTCTGTGATCAGCGGGACTGGCAATGAGTTGCTTATGCTCTGCTTCTCTCTATTCATCAACCAATGGCTTAGCTTCCAGAATAGAATTCTCTAAAGCAGGAAAAATGACTTAAATGTTTTCAATGAAGGATAGAGATCAAAACTGTAATCAGTATTTATCTGAGTGATATTTTGTGTGCTTTTCTATATTTTCCAATTTTAAAAAATGAGTAATATTACTTTTATAAGTAGAAATGCCTTTTTTTTTTTTTTTTTTTTTTTACAGTTTGCTCTTCTAGAAAGAAGTAAATTATTCTTATTCTTACAGAACAAAGATAAGGTTCTCAGGGAACAAAAAGCACTTAATTAACATTATGCTTCACAAACAGTGCCCAATTTATGAATAAGAAGCTTTGCCTTAATTACACACAAAACAATGTAATGAGTTTAGTTCTCTTTGAGAATGGCCATGTCCACTTCACCAAAATTTGCCCTGGCAAGAGCTGTCCCCAGAGGCAAATCAAAAGGCTAACATTGTTCCGTTTTGCCTTGCTGTATCTCCAAAGTTTTCTAAAGGGTAGGAGGATGGGGAACTTTGAAAGGGAGGTTCCCAGTCATCCTAAGAGCAGTGCTTCTTGCTGTGTGACAATTAGGCTTGGAACTGCCTTCAGGGAAAACATCTCCACTATTTCTGCTTAATCCTGGCTTCATGGAGACCCAGCATCTCACTGAATATTCTAGGGAATTGCAGGGAGCACAGAGGTGTCTCTGCTGGTGCAATGTGAGGAGCACCCAAGGGAATTTCCATGTCTACAAGTTACCTGCTTGAATTAAGGAATCCTGTCCCCAAGAAACCCCTTGTAAAAACACCAACATATTTATTACCTGAGAGGGGTACCCCATTATGTCATCCTTTTGCACACCCAAATGTTACTCTCAGCCCCTTGGCCAGGCTCAGAGGGGGAACAGCCCATATGAGTGGTCACTTCAGCTTAGAGAGTGAAGAGGACGGCCCCAGGAGCCAGGCTGAGGATGCCAGCTGGCCCTCAGAGGGAAAGCATGGCAGGAACAAGGCTTCTTTCCCTCCCTCTTAGACAGTGACCAATGAATCCAGTGGGACGCAATGGATGATGATGCTGCAGGCTGTCTCTTTCAGCTGTATCTTTCAGCTGGATCTGGGCATTGAGGCTTTCAGGGTTTGCTGGGCCTTTTCTATAGGCATCAGGCATGCCCAAATAATGTTTAAATGCCAGAATTATATAAATCCCACACAGAGATATAAATAATCTTAAGGAATAGTGAAAAATGAAGCTTTAAAAGTAGATGTGCCAGAGTGGGCGCAAGGTGTTTGAGCCCATTTTACTTGGCACTTACAGTCAGGAAGACGGCCTCATCAAGCTCCTCTGCTTCTCTCACGATGGTCTCCAGGGTGTCTTTGGCAGTGTCCATGCTCTGCAGAAAGTGGACCATCTGCTCATGCAGGAACTCCATCTTCTTCTTCTTCACTTCCTCAAAGCTCTGGGCTTTCTCATCATACTGTGCTAAAACCTTCTTCATCATTTCCTCATTCTGTTCTTCTAGCCTTTTCTCATTTTTACTACAGTTTTCCTGAAAACAAACAAGCAAAAAAGCCCACTTCTGAATGAAACAAGAAATGCTGCTTTTTTTTTTTTTTGGAAACACCAGCCTTTTAAAGAATTGACCTCTGGCATCCTGATCAGAGAATCAGACATCACATGCACAGTTCAAATTTCTAACCTACCAATCCCTTTCCCACAGTTAGTTTTGCAATAAAGCAATAGAATTTACTGTAACAGTATCATCAAGAAAGTTTTAGCTACCATAATACAAAATATATATATTTTCATATGGAAGTCTTGCCCACCTGCACTCACACATGATGAAACTTGAAAATGGCATCACGTTGAGTGAGCATCCCTGGCCTTCAGATGGTGGAAATGCATCAGTCCACTAAAATCACAGTGCAAGGCAGAAAGCCCAGATATGGAATGGGGGCTACCTCCCCAAATGTTCTCCAGTGAGATGGCAGGTTATCCCACAGTGGGAGAAACTTCGTTGCCTGTCCAGACACATCCAGATGCCTGGCTATCCTCACTAGTGGGGCTAGTAATAAGATGATCCCATAATTTACTCCCTAAAAAGGACACCTGGGGAAGGTGACACCCGAAATAACTAGCATGTACTAGTTGATCCACAACATGAATTAAGCAGACCTCTTACAAGCAAACCAGCATGTGGAGCGGCCCCAGTAGTAGGGAAACTGTGCAGCAGCCTCTGCAGTGGCCTCAGGCCCTCTGCCAGTCCTGATTGACTGGTGAGGGTGCCTGGGCCATCTCTGTATAAGGATGGAGCATTGCTAGTCCCTCTCTTCCCTGCAGAAGGGATAAGAGCCAGCAGCTAGGAGAGTATGAACTCATCAGAGATAGTCGTGCTATGAGAGGCACTCACTGGCCCTGGGCATGGGACACTGGGCAGTGACTCAGAGCATTTCTGCAGAGTTAACCCAGTGAGAGGCATGAAAATGAGGAATGTACTCTAAGACTTGGTTTCTTATCTATACAATTGGAACAATAATAACACCTATCTCATATAATTGTGAGGATTCAGTCAGGTAAAGCATGTAAAGCATTTGCCCTATTATAGTAAGTGTTAATAAATGCATGTCTGTCGTTACCGGCAAATCTTTTATCCATAGGCAGAAAGGAATCTCACTCATTATGCACAGAGAGAAGACTTTAAGCATTCTCGCTTTGAATGGAACCGAACCAACAATGGCAAACAACACATGCGCATAAAATCCCCAAGTCAGATCCCTTCACCTCAGAATCATTTACTTCTGATACTGTGAACAAGCCAGGTTAAGGTAAAATGGGTGTGTTAACTTACCTCAATGGTATTAAAAAAGGATTCTATCTCACTAACAAAGGCTTCAATCCTCAAGGACTTTTCTTGTAAATTTTCTAGAAATTCTGCTAATTGAACCTGAAGAAAAGAATTAAGATATCCTTAGTATATGACATTTAGGAAGAGAACTTCAACCAGTGAGCTCCAAGTTCCTTATAAATTTAGTATGTTTCGTAGAGACTTACTATACTATATCCACTAACAAATCAATCCTTAAATTTTCTTTACTGCCTCATCTGACTATAGATAATTCTGTATGATAATTAGGAGGTTTTGAGTGAAAACCTCAAAACAACTACACAAAGACAGTATATCTTCGTAAGTGAAAGAATGGACTTTCTTGATAAACTGATGAGCTCAAAACATACCTGTTTTAATGAACTATAGATTTGAATGCGTTCTCTCTAGTAAGACCTTGGTTTTTATATGTTCTGAGAGAGGAGTCTTTTTGCTAAACTGGTCCAATATACCTGAGTAATTTCTTCACATTTATACTAATGGCCTGAGAAGGTGATCAGAGTGCCACAAGGCCTGAAATTTAGCATACCAACTGAGAGAAACTGCCTACTAAAGGGACCTAAAAGTTCTAATGACCCTCAAAGGGTTAAAATACTCAAGGGGTAATAGCCAACTAGAAAACGTATGGGGTGATAGGGGAGCATGGTACCCACTTTAGCCGTAATTATAAACCTAGCAACAGCCAATCTTGCTAAACTTAAAAAATAACAAAGCAGAAAAAATAGCAGAGCTTCAGCTGTCTGATTCACTACCACAGACTGATGGAGATACAACATTGATGGAGGCCTCTTCAGGATCTGGTCTCTACTTCCCTCTATGGCCCTTACCTCTTCTCCACAGCCCCCAGGCTCCAATCACACAGGCTTCGTCATTGCACTCTTTCTCATCTGTGTGCCTTCATATGGTATTCCTTGGCTCTAGAATGTTGTCCCTGCCCTTGACTGCTAGAAGAGCTCTATCTCATTTAAAGCTCACCCAAGCATCACCTTTTAGAGACACCTTTGCTAACATTCCCCTTCCTACCCCACCGTTTCACTCCCAAAAGGTTAGTTTCTCAGAACATTGGGCTTTCGCAACATTGTATTGATTTTGGGAATCTACAAGTCCATCTTCCTTTTTTTTTTTTCACTCTCAATGATTGGCACAGTTCCTGACACACAATGGGAGATAAATAAACACTGAGAATGCAGGAAGGGAGTGAGTAAATGAAGAAAATAAATAACAGACAAAAGATAAGCACATGATGGGGATGGACTGGGGAGGAGACACAAGGACTTGGGTGATCTGTAACTGCAGCCATTGGCTCCTGGAACAGGCACAAATGCCTGCCCTTAAGATGCTAGAAAATTCTCAAGCTACAATTTTTTAAATTGATTTTTATTTTTAAAAAGTTGCCAACTGGCCAGCTGCAGTGGCTACTGCCTGGAATCCCAGCACTTTGGGAGGCCTAGGTGGGAAGATCGCTGGTAGCCAGGACTTCGAGACCAGACTGGGCAACATACTGACATCTTGTCTCCACTAAAAATTTAAAAAGTAGCTGGGTGTGATGGCATGTGTCTCTAGTCCCAGCTAGTCAGGAGGCTGAGGCGAGAGGATTGCTTGAGCCCAGGAGGCTTCAGCGAGCTATGATGATCACGCCGCTGCACTCTACCCTGGGCAACAGAGTGAGACCCTGTCAAAGAAGAAAGAAGAAAAAAGGAAGAAGAAGAAGAGGAGGAGGAGGGGGGAAAGGAAGAGGGGGAGGAAGAAGGGGAGGAGGAGGAAGAAGAAGAAGAAGAGAAGAAGAAAGAAGAAGAAGAAGAAGAAGAAGAAGAAGAAGAAGAAGAAGAAGAAGAAGAGGAGAAAGAGGGAGGAGGAGGAGGAAGGAGGAGAAAGGAGCAGTAGGAGGAGGAATTGCCAACCAAACAACTCTTACTAATCTTCATGGCTGACTTAATGAAATGAAGCTAGCTGCTTGGCTTTAGTCAACTGGGTTCCCACCTTCTCCTTCTCATACTGTTTAGAGAAGATCAAGAATTAAAAAAAACTTTAAAAATGATTTTAAGGCAGGAGACATCATATCTCTCTACTTATAAAATTTGTTTTAAATTGATAATACTTAGATGATTATTTTTTAATATCTAAAACTCATAGAGATAAACAAAACATATTAAGAAGACCAAAAAAATTCAGTCTTCTTTCTGCTGGCAGTGCTCAGTAGTTGTGAGTTAAAACAAAGTATCACCGCAGAATGGGGCCCACTTCCACTGTAGCTCATGCATGTGACGTCTGAGATTTCACAAAAGAAGTTGCCCTACTCCCTAACCCCAAACTTTAACAAGTAAAGTTTCAACAAAACTATACCCTGGAGAACTAGAACCAATATCAGACAAGTTGAGAAGGATTAATTTGGGAGTTAAAAAATGCCAAGATTCTAATATGTTATCTGTTGAATCAAAATGAGTCTGATAATTATTTAACAAGGACCTAATTGAATGATCATATTGAAAATCACTACCATTATCAAGGTACTGAGCCAAGCAGTATGCGTATATAGTCAAGAACATGAGCTCTGGCATCAGAAAGATCTGGGTACCAGCCCCAGTTTCGCCTTCCATGACCTTGGGCAAATCATTTAAACTCTCTGAGACGATTTTATTATCTGCAAACTAATGACAGTGACAGAGCTGTTAGAAAGACTAAAAGATATCCTGTATATAAAGAACTTAAGACTGGGCATTGTGACTCACACCTGTAATCCCAGCACTTTGGGAGGCCAAAGAGGGAGGATGGCTTGAGCCCAGGAGTTCTAGAGCAGCCTGGGCAGCACAGGGAGACCCTGTCTGTACAAAAAAAATTATAAAATTAACCCAGTGTGGCAGTGCATGACTATATTCCCAGCTACTTGGGGCTTGGGAGGCTGAGGTAGAGGGATCACTTGAGCCTGGGAGGTCAAGGCTGCAGTGAGCTGTGATTACACCACTGCACTCCAGCCTGGGTGACACAGGGAGACTCTGTCTCTAAAAAACAGAAACAAAAACAAAAAAATAGTGCATGGCACAGAGTAAATCCTCAATCGTTATTGTTATTTAGTAATTTTAAGATAATTCCAGCTGCCCTATGGAGAATGGATTAAAGAGGTGAGAATGGTGAGACCAGTAGGAGGGCTATGGAAAGGTAGAGGAGAGTCTCAAAGACTACATTCCAATAGTATCTCAGGGAAGTGGAGTATTTATAGTTACTTACAGGAGGATACATGTTGGGACTAACTTATCTGGAACACTGGGGTCCTACAGACATAGCCAGAAAGAATGCAAAAAAATTTCTGCTTCTAACATGAATTTTATAAATTAAAAGGAAATACAAAGAAAGTAAAATCTTAAACTGTCTTAATGTATTATTTACATATAACTTGCAATGAAATGTCTCAATGTATTGTAAATGTGTCTCTTTAAAGGATGATATTGTAGATAAATAGGAAGGAAACTGCTTTTTGCAGTTTTTTGCTCAAAGGTAATTTTTTAAATTTCAAATTATTTGGCATTTTTGGTAATGTTAAGGACTATTGCCATAAAATACCAAGCTCCTCAAGGGCAGTGACCCTGTGTTGTCTCTCTTGCTAGCCCCTAGGCCTAGAAAAATGTGTGGCACACAGTGTGTACAGTTGTCTTCAATATCTGCAGAGGACTGGTTTCAGGATGTCAGCAGATACCAAAATATGAAGATGCTCAAGTCTCTGATATAAAATGGCATAGTATTTTCATATAACCGGCATACATCCTCTCCTATACTTTAAATAATCTCTAGATTACTTATAATGCCTGATACAGTATAAATGCTATGTAAATAGTTGTACTATATTGTTTTTATTTGTATTATTTTTATTGCTGTTATTTTTATTTATTTTTTATTTTATTTTATTTTTGAGACAGGGTCTCACTCTGTCACCTAGAGTGGAGTGCAGTGGCGGGATCTCAGCAAACTGTAGCCTTGACCTCCTGGGCTCAACTGATCCTCCCACCTCAGCCCCCCAAGTAACTTAAACTACAGGTGTGCGCCACCATGCCCAGCTAATTTTTGTATTTTTAGTAGAGACAAGGTCTCCCCATGTTGCCCAGGCTGGTCTCAAACTTCTGGGCTCAAGCAATCCTCCCACCTCGGTCTCTCAAAGTGCTGAGATTATAGGTGTGAGCCACCACACCCAGCCCCCTCTTATTGTTTTGTGTGTGTGTGTGTGTGTGTTTTTCCTGGATATATTTGATCTGCGGTTGGTTGATTCTAAGCATGCAGAACTCAAGGATAAGGAGGGTGGGCTGTACTCAATGAATGTCTGTCAAGCCTACCTTAACTAAATTCTTGGAGAAATATTCTTAGTTTGCTTTCAGACCATTCTGCTTAAAGATCAATGATCAAATATTAATCATCTTTAAAATTGAGAAAATGTAAAAGCAAATTAAATGTGTATATATATATTATTAATTATGTGTGTTCAACATCTATTTACCTTTACAGCACTTATAGCTGTGTCAAGCGTTGAAACTTCATGGTCTTTGTGGGTGCCAAACACCTTGTCAGTGGCAGAAATTGGACATTTGCAGGTGTAACAGTATGTGTCAATCTGGGACTTTTTCAGCTCTTTTTGTGCCTTTTCAGTTACTACCTCAGATGATAATTGGTCTTCTTCTTTCCTCTCGCTGCCCAACTCTTTTTGTTCAGCAGGTGTACTTTGTTCTGCCTCACTCGCAAATTCATTTTCACTGATGTGCTCAAAGGATTCCTTTCCTTGAGATAAGACATCTTCAGGTGTGGATTCTGAAGACAGTTCTTCTGATAATATGTCTTGAGGAACCACTTCATTATGCAGGGATTCTGTAAATTCATACTCATCCTGAACAGGGCTATTACGGAGCCTCTCTTCACTTGGCTCAGGTGGGACCAGGATTTTAGGTTCTTCTAGTGATGTTTCTTGAACATGAGTTGCACCAGATGCAAATTCTTCCTCCGGGAAGGACACTTGTACTGGGACATTCAGATTGACCTCTGGACTTGCATTTCCGACTTCATTACCGTGACTGCCTGCTTCATCTGCACGCTCCAGAACATGATGGGTGTCTTCAAATGGAACCGCATAACTTATTTTCTGGGTAGCCACTCTGACGTCCTCTGTGATGGGAGCTTTCTTCTGCATCGCTACGTTACCAACGGTCTCCACATGGTCTACTGATTCTCCTTCCCCATAAACACCTTTCTGTTCTTCCAGACTCTTCTCCCTGCAAATAGTTCCAAACTTTCCCCAAATTTCCCCTTCTGCAGCTATCGGTTGGTATGAATCATCCTTACCAACTCGTTTTTCTTCCAGACCTTGGCCCTGGTCCTTTTGAGTTAGAGATGTGTCATGGAGAATGTCATCTTTGAGTATGTACTTCTCAAAATATATTCCTGTTCCATCATCAGTGTCAGAATTTCTGCTGGGAAATGATGCCTCAGAATTCACACTGTCACCTTCAGAAGCTGTCTCCTCTTCCTTCTTTTTCTCTCCAACTGCTTCTTCATACAGATCCTTATATAAAAATGCAAGTGCAGGTGGCTCCTCCAGAAATTCTGGATCAATGACTTTAATAGTGGTAGGAAATATCTGGGTTCGTGATAGAACTCCTTCCTCTGCTTCAAATAAAGGCATCCCCGGTGACTTTGAGTCCACATCTCTCTTTGTGTCCTTTGAAACATTCCTGTCAGCTGAGTTTTGGCTTTGGGTCTCTGGATGAGATAATATGTTGTGGCCCTTTTCTGGTCCATAAAAACTTTCATCTAATTTCACCAAGTCATATTCATGTTCTAGTGCACTTTCCACTGAACTTACTGGGAAAGAGATAGTTTCTTCTGTAACTTCCTTTGAGAGTTTCTCTTCAACATTTAATTTCTGTGGAGCTTTCTGTTTTTCTGGGTCTGGGGAGATGTTATAATCAATCAAAGTATATTTTTCAAAATAATCCTCTTCACTGGGAATTGTGGGCTGAATAAATGATAAATCAGTTTCTGAATCTGTGGATATCTCTTCTTTTGTCTTATGAGTTTCCTTTTGTTTATTTTCTTTCAATGGGGTAACTTTTTCATCTTCTAACCTGCTCTTTAATGTTTTATGACAAGCAACTGTTTCACTATCATCAGGGAGTGGTATGGTTTTAAATGAGGCTTTCTCTTCCAAATATTCTAATTTATCTTGCATTTGTTCACTTTCTTCCTGATCGATTGAAGAAATAAAGGCCGGAGCATGAATATTCAATATCTCACAGCCTTCAGAAATGATACTAAAGGCAGTCTTCTGATCTTCTGAAAGTCCGGCTGGCTTACTAGTCACTGTAAAGTCTTCACCTTTTGCATATGTGTCTTCAGGTTCCTTGGGCATTTCTTTATTAGAAACCATTTTATCAGCATTGCTTGCTGATGTATTAGATATAAATTGAGCATAGTTGCTTTTTGCTGAAGACAGTGGTTCCTTTACACGGGTATCTTCCGCAGCCTCCAAGTGGTGCTTTGAAACAAGAACAGATTGTTTAGGCACATCGGATGTGTCATCTTTAGATGTCTGAATAGTATGAACTGTATGCCTTTCTGGAGTCAATTCTGATCGTGGCATTTCTTTTTTCTTCACTGCGTTAATTTCTGGAGAAGCTCCTGAAGCAAGAGTTTGTGGTTTTACAGGTGACAGCAAATATGGCGGTGTTTCTGAGCTCTTAGTTTCATCAAAAGGACGAGCTAAAGTCCTTTCGGATTCTTTAGATGGAAATCCTTCTTTCATACTTTCTTTTGTGATATCTACTGAACCACCTTTCCATAGCTCTGACTCTTTGAACTGTTCTTTTTCTTCACTGTGATCTGGCATATCTCTGCTTGACTTTTCTAACACTAGATTTCCTTCCTGAGACAAAGAGTGGTTCTCTATTTCATCATGACAAGAAAGAACCACTGGCAGGAAAGTCTTAGTTTTCTCCACCAAAACTTTACTTTCTTCTAAAGGACGTGGTTGGGTTCCTACTGCCTTTTCTTGAAATCCTTGTTTCACAGTTTCTTTTGTGATATCTACTGAACCGCCTTTCGATAGCTCTGACTCTCTGAACTGTTCTTTTTCTTCACTGTGATCTGGCATATCTCTGCTTGACTTTTCTAATACTAGATTTCCTTCCTGAGATAAAGAGTGGTTCTCTATTTCATCACGACAAGAAAGAGCCACCGGCAGGAAAGTCTTGGTTTTCTCCACCAAAACTTTACTTTCTTCTAAAGGATGTGGTTGGGTTCCTACTGCCTTTGCTTCTCTGATTTCTGGGTGAGCCTCTGCGAGCATGGCTTCTGATTTTTCAGTAACTGATGTAGCTTTAACTAATGAAAATGATTGAGTTTCACCCAAAGAATGACCTAAAGAGATATCTGATTCTCTACTCATAGACTCGGCTACATTCACAGAATAAGGCTGATGTTCCTGCTGCTTCTTTCCTTCTGAAAGCACATATACCTGATTTTCTTTTTCTTCACCTTTCTCCTTTTCAGAACCAACAATGATTTTGGGTCTTTCATTGTAGTCTTCATTTTGATAGAAGTGCTGTGGCATAGCATCGGCTTTTGATTCTTTCAGTTCAGTAGATCTAGATCCAAGTGTAATTTGTGTCTTCCCTATTTCATTACTATCTCTAAGCTCTAATGGGGCCACAGAGTTTTGTTTTTCTGCCAGCACCTTCTTTTCTGCCAAGGTATATGATCTGTTTTCCAAATTATCTTTCTTCTCAGTTGGACTAACAGACCTGAGTTTTGTTTCCTCTTCAGAAATTTTCAAGGAAGTAGGATTTTGCATTTCTTTCTTGAGTCTGTCTTCACTGAAATCAATTAAACTGCCTTTTGATTCTTCTACTGGCAAAATAATTGACTCTGGTTTCTCTGATTCCTTTGTGATATTTTTACTTGCAAAGTTGGAGGAAGCTGATTTTGGCTGTTGTGGCACCTTATCTACTACATCAAATGAAAGGAGTGATTTTTGTTTTTGATCACTTCTTGGCTCTTCCTTAAAAATAGAAATATTCCATTTAGATGGAGGAGCGATTGCTGGCTTCTGGACTCTTTTACTATCAGTAACATGAGGAGGAACAATAGTTTTGGCTTCTTCCATAACCAATTTCTCACCGATTAGTGAATAAGATTGAATTTCAAGGTTCTCACCATCAGCAGAAGTAACTACTGAGTTTATGTTCATTTCCTCTGAATCGCCTGAGATTTCTTTTTTTCCATAATCTTCCCTAGACACCTCAGAAATGAATTTTGGCTGTTGTAAATCTTCTACATTTGATAAAATCATGGATTTTTCTTTAACGTTTTGACCGTCACCAGATTTTACTAAAGTACCTCTGGGTTCATCAGCAGTTTTAAGTTTTACCTCTGATAATGAATGATCAGCTGGTTTCTCAGCTACATTAAAATTGGTGGGAATTGTACCTTCAGGATCTATCACAGTCACTGCTTTTTCTACGGATGGACTTGGCTGTGTTTCTAAGTCTTCTTGTTCAGCAACTTTGTTATCTGGAGTGCTCGATCCAAAAAACAAGCTGGACATCCACGATTTGAAAGATGAAATTCCTTTCTTTCCCTTTTCCTCAGGAAGGTCCGGCTTAGCCACCTTTGGTTGTGTAGGTGGATTTTGTGTCACCTCAGGTGACTCTGGGGATTGAGGCTCTCTTGCATGGATTGAGGAGATGGGTTTTCTTTGTGTGGGTATTTTTACTTCAGGTGATGGTTTCTTTCCCTCATCAGCATCATCAATAACCTTTGACTGAACCATTTTTGATTCTTCCAATGGCTTCTCTTCAGGAAAAGGAGGTGTGCTCCTGTGTGCTTCTTTTTCATTGCCCAATGCAGGTTCCACACCTTCTGCCGGGAAATGGGCTGTT
Organism: Homo sapiens; assembly: GCF_000001405.40. Lineage (NCBI taxonomy): Eukaryota > Metazoa > Chordata > Mammalia > Primates > Hominidae > Homo > Homo sapiens. The sequence goes on along the minus strand of NC_000005.10, from coordinate 79,734,974 downwards.
TTGACAGAAGAGGAGATTGTTTCTGACTTCACCTGTTCCACTGATAGGCCAGACACTGGTTTCTGGAAGAATCTTTCAGGAGGTAGTTTAATTTTTTCCTGGCTATCTTCTTTGGAAGGCCAGGAAAGCTCTGTGTTTGCTTTCTCCAATAGCAAACTTTCACTCTCCATCAAAGAATGAATCTCCTTCCCCTCTGCTATGTTTCTCTCTACATTTCCAGCTAGGACTAAAGACTTTGGTTCTTCAGCCAGCTTTACTTCTTCAGAAGAGTAACTTTTACTTGATAAGGTCTCTGTATTACCACTGGAAGTATCAAGAGCAGATACTGCTTCTTGTGATGACAAATGAGATTCTTCAGCAGAATGCGGCAGGACCTGCTTTCTCACTTCACATGTATGGTCCTTACTGGACACAGCAGCCTTGAGCTGCCCTGGCCTCAGCTCATTGCTGCTAGAGGAATCCAGCTGCACAGATCCTGCTATTCTCTGTTCGTGTTGACTAGCCACATTTTCTGGCTTTCCCAACATCCAGTTTTCATCCTTTGGAGAAATAAAGAATTCTTCCATTTTTGTTTCTTTGACATCCGCAGGCTTGGTTGTCATAAATGATTTTGATTGTTCCAAAGGCAAATTCTCTCTCATAAGTGAAAACTGCTTAATACCCAGATCTTGTTTATCTTCAGAAGAGGTGCTTACATCAGGTAATTTAACAGTTTGATCTGAATGAAGTGCTTTTTCTGTCTTTTTTTGTTCTACAAGGAGGTCAGAAGGAGCAATCTTTGATGGTTCTGTTATACTCTGGAGTACCTGGGATGAATTTGGGTGGCCTGTTTCTTCACTTAGCTTATCTAAAATATCTCCCATGACTTGTGCCTTCAAATTTCCAGTTGGTGGTAATGGGCCTATTTCTTGATTTCCTCCCTTTTTAAAGTCGGCTGGATGGCTAACCTCCTCTGATAATCCTTTTAAAGAAAAAGTAAATGGCTGAAATTCTTCTGGGTTGCCTCCTTCAGCTACAGAGGCAGGTGGTTCTTTCGACTCTAGGCTGATGATCTTGGGAGAGAAAGGTTTAATTTCTTCATTCTGAGATTCCTCCCTAAGCAATGATGAAAGCTCTGAAATTGCAGGCATCGTAGAAGATGCACAAAGCTCTCTATTTTCTTCTTTTCCTTCTCTGCTCCTAAGCTCAGCTGGGCCTTTTTCTAAAACAGAATCCTCTGTTTCAGTTATGGGAGACTTTGCTTGTTTTGTACCTATGGATCCACTTTGTCTACCTAAATCACTAGAAAATTCTGACCCAGCATTTGGTAATTCCAACGGTTGGTGTGGCTTGTCTTTCTTCTCAGGTTCCAAAGACAGCTCTGCCAAAGCAACATCTTGTTTTTCTGATGGGAAGTCTCCCTGAGCTGTAGAAGATACCTCCACTGCCGGTTTGTTCTTATCATCACTGAGGAGCAGTAATGTTGGGGCTAAACCTGATGCTAAATTTTCCAACTCAGGAGATGAACTTGCTGTTTCCTCATCTTTGCCTTTTGGGATTATATGTTTGGATGCAGGTGACACATTTTGTGATGAAGGAAGTTCAGTTTCTTTCTTCTTTATCTCACCCCATAGGCTGAGTGGAAGCTCATGTTCAGGCTCTAACACCTCTGAGGTAGACATCAAGCTCTTCTTCTGTGATGAAACCAAACGTTCAGAGTCACAGACTGTAGAAAATAAAAGATCTTGTTTGTCTTCTACCCTTGCTTCCTCAGATTTATCTGAATGCTGAGAAGATGATGTTTTGATTACTGGCAACCCAGCTTTAACTTCTTTGGCTTCTACTTCTGACAAAACAGAATGCTCTGCTATAGAGGAGACACTTGGAAGTGAATCAAATTTAATTTCCTTCTCTGCTTCTGACCAAGCTAAATGTTTGGATGAAGTTTCAATGGGAGAAGCACCTTTAATTGCCACCTTGTCTTCTTCTGCAAGAACTGAATGTTCATCTGCAGATGTTACCAGTGGTGGCAAACCACTTCCTAATTCACCCTTTCCTACTTTTGTTAAGACTGGACGATCTACAGGAGTGATAAGAGATGAATCTGTTGGGATTTCTTCTTTTACTGCTCTGGTTAAGTTTGAATCAAGCTTAGTTACAGATGCTGTAGTTGTTGAGGAACTGGGTTCAATTTCTTTTTTAATTTCTTCTGACAAAGCTGAAAATGCTAGTGCAGGTGGACCATGTTCAACTTGCTTTTCCACTCCTGAGGAAGCTGAATGAAGCACTATAGGTGTAGTTGTTATTTTGGAATCATGTTTCATCTCCATTTTCACTGCTGATAAAGCCTCAGGTCCAGATAAAGATGTTTCCTTTAGAGGTGAATATGGTTTTATTACTTCAGGCTCATTCTTGGACAACTTTCTCTGTTCTAGTTCAGAAGTCACATTTAGAACTAATTTGGGCTTGACACCCTTCTTTGGCTCATCTACCATGTCAGGCAAAACTGAATATTTCATCTCAGACTCTGGAACATTTGGAGGCTGAGGCTCCATTTTTTGATCCTGTGATACATGTGCTGTAGCTTCTTGAGAATCAGGCACAATTTCTTCCTTTCTGACTTTTGACAAAGCCATCTGTTCATCTGCAGCTTTTAGAGTGAGTGCTGCTGTGGGTTCCTGTTCTTTCTTGATTGCAGGGACTGAATCAGGTAAAACTGAATGTGGAGATGCAGGTTTGGTTTCTTCCTTTACTATAGATGATTGTGCAGGTAAAGCAGCAGGTATTGCAGCTACTGATGAACTTGCCTCCCTTTCTCCCTTCTCCACTTCACTGGTTAAATGTGAAGGAATCAAGTCTTCAGACTCAGGCTCTAAATATGCTTGAGTTTTCTGCTTCTGTGCCAAAATGAGATATTCAGATACAGATGTTGAGGTTGTTGGAATCTCTGGCTTAATTTCTGCTTTCTCTGATTTATCTGTTGAAGGCGGCAGACTTAAGTCTTCAAGCGGAGACATCAAAGGGAAAGTTTCAGCTTTTTGCTTCTGTGATGAACTGAACTGCTCAGATACAGGTGTAGCAGCTGTGGATCCAATGTCTTCCTCATCTGCTTCTGAAAAGCAGGAATAACCTGAAGCAGACACTGCAGTTAATAGTGAATCAGGCTCAAGTTCATTTTTCTCTGTTTCTGAGATTCTAAAGGGAGGGATTGAAACTTGTGATGCTGAGTCTGGAGAGAACAGTTCCGCTTCTTCAGTGTCTTCATCTGACAAAATAGTGTGCTCAGATGGTGATGTTAAACATATTGGAGAATCGCACTCAAATTCTCTTTTCTCTGCTTCCTGGGTTGCATACGGTGGAAATGAGAATTCTGACACAAATGCAGAATCTGGAGAAAAAGGTCCAATGTCTTCTTGATCTTCTTCTGATAAATTCATGGGTGAGGATGCACCTTTTAGATTTAGAGATCTATGGACAATTTCTTCCTCCTGTGCCTCCGGTGTTGCATATGGTGGTACTGAAAATTCAGAAGCAGATGTAGAAGAGGGTGTGTATCGTTCCAACTCGACTGCCTCTTCGTCTGATAGAACAACATATTCAGATGGGGTGGCTGAAAGTGGTGGGGCCTGGCATTCAGAAGTCATCTCGGTTGTGTGTGGTGGGAAAGAGTGTTCAGATGCAACAACCAAATCTGGGGAAGATGGTCCAATGACCTCCTTGCCGTCTACTGACAGAACTGTGTGCTCAGAAATACCTTTTGGTTTGAATTGGGATGCCTCATTGATTATTTTCTTTTGAGATTCCTGTGTTGCATTGAGTGGGGCTGCATATTTGGAGATCAACTTTGAATCCGGTGTGAAACGTTCACTTCCTAGGTCCTCTCCTTCTGATGGGACCACGTGTTCTGATGTGGCAGTAGAAGGCAGTGGTGACTGGCATTCAGAAGTCTTTTCGGTTGTGGATGGTGAGAGAGAGGGCTCAGAAGCAGGGGCCACAGCTGGAGTAAACGATCCAGTGTCTTCCTTCTCTTCTGATGGAATCATGTACTCAGAAACACCTTTCAATATTAACGGGGACTTACGGTCAATTGTTTTCTTCAGTGACTCTTTTGTTGCCAGTGATGGAACTGAATATTCAGAAGCAGATGTGGAGTCTGGTGTGTAACACCCACTTTCTGAGGCCTCGTCTCCTGATAGGACCATGTATTCTGGTGTAACTGTTGAAAACAGTGGAGACTGGTTCTCTGAAGTCTTCTCAGTTGTGGATGGTGAGAGAGAGCTCTCAGATGTAGGGGCTGCAGCTGGGGAATAAGCCTCAAATTCCTCATTCTCTTCTTCTGACAAAACTGCATGTTCAGCTATAGCTTCTACATTGGATGGGGGAACTGGCTCACCTTCTTGCTCCTGTAATTCATGGTTCAAATCCTGTGGTACTGAATACTCTGATACAAAAGCAGAACCAGTAGAAACAGATGCAATTTCCTCTCTTTCTTCCTCAGACAAAGCAACATGTTCAGGAGATGATGCTGCCAATAATGGTAGAATAAGCTCTTCTTCTTTGTGCTCCACTTCAGGGGACATATGTGGTGGGAAGGGCTTCTCGGAAACCAATGGGCTTTCTGGGTAATCAAGTTCTACGATCTCTTCTTCTACTAAATTAGAATCTTCAGGTTCAGGGGTAATAGCTATGGGTAGGGAAGTTTCTATTTCTTCTTTCTCTGGTTCTTCTAACATTAGAGGTTCAGAAAGAGAAATGGATGGCTCAAGCATGTTTTCCTCCTTCTCTCCTTTGACACTGGGATGGGTAGGGGTCAGTTTTGCGGAGACTGGTTCTGCCCTTTCTATTGAAGTCAGGTCCGGCTGTTCTTGGTCTGGGTCCAAACCATCCTGGGTAGATGCTGCCAGACCTGGTGACGCTGCCTCCAGAGAAATGGAATGGTGAGCAGAATACACATCTTCCTTCTTTACCTCATTAGCAAATGATGGTGAGACTGAAGAGTCATTCTCTGAAGCTGCAGTTCCTGGTGAAGCAAGCTCACATTCTTCCTTTGTTGTTCTCAGGAACATAGTTGCAGGTGTGTCGGGTGTCACAGATGGAGGTTCCACTTCATGTGGTTTTGCTTCATCTTCTGGCTGTTGTGGCACTGACTGTGAATGCCTGAGCTGTATTCCTTGTTCTGCTCTGCCACTACTTGAATAAGAGGGAACTGTGTGCTCCAATGCAGATGTGGCATTTAGGGGAGAATCAGCATAAATTTTCTTTTGATCTTCATGACTGAACATTAAGGTTAGGGACTCTGATCCTTTGGAGAGTGCGCCTCTCCAGGGTGGAAAAACCTCTTTTACTTTATCCTCTATGCTTTGGGCTACTAATTTGCGTGTTTTGGACACTGTATTAGAACCACTATTGTCCAAATCTGGCTCTAGACTAATGGATGCATCTTTCCCTTTCCTATAATGTATTTCTTTAATTACATAACCCTTTGGCAATGTTCCATAAAATTGTAGAGGAATTAATTCTTCTTTAACCGAATTAAACATCTTAATTTTATATTGTACTGTTCCTATGTAGACTGGTCTTAACACTAATGGCTTGTGTTCTTTGTATATTGCCCCAGTAATCGGAGGTGTATTTGAAGTGGTCTTCTTTTTTCTTGCTTTATCATAAATGCCAGTATATGACTTCTCTTTCTCCGTGGTTAGTACCTGGCTTGCTGAAGTTAAAGGACTGCCTTTTTTGTTTGTTGGAACATCTTGGGATTCAAAAGAATTTCTTTTTCTGTTGCCTTTCCGGCGTAATGATGGTGAACCATGCTTTGACTTATGAGTCCTTTTCCGAACCTTTTTCACTTCATCCACAATAAAGGAAACATTTCCAGGAGGAGAATTCACAGTTGACCCTTCCCGACTACACACACCAGAAGTCTGACTTTCTTCTGAAGCCCAAGGAGTAGAAGATCTACTTGAATTGGTTTCCCAGGTTATCCCACTATCTTCCCTTTGGACTGTCACCATGGAAAAGGAGGGGTCAGATATGATATACTCCTGCTTGATCTTTCCCTCTTCATCCTGGTCTGATAACCTATAGCAAATAACAATATTAATTATATATTATCATAATAAAATAATACTAATTAATAGAATAAGTAAATACATTTTTACCAGGTAAAGGATTAATGTGAAATTAAAATACAGACATCAATATTGCCTTCCATGTCAAAAAGAGGGATGTATATCAAATAAAGTTTAAAAACCAAAGTCAGGATACCCAATACAATGACACATCCCAGGCTGGAATGACTCACTATTCCACAAACTCAAAAAAGCTAAAGTTAAATTTACCACCTTCTCTCATCAGGATTGCCTTCCTGATCTTGTCGGGACTCAGCAGTCACTCAAGCCCACTCTAGTCACCAGCATCTTCATAATAACTCTTGTATCTGTGCTCTCTCTGTTACCACGATCGCCACCTCACCCAGCTTTTCACCACTTCCCTCCTAGTCACTGCCATTAACTTCCTAACTGGTCAGCTGGTATCACAGGTACCTCATTTTCCCCCACTCTTAACCCACTGTGCCGCATCCTCCCAGACTGGCTTTACTAACCAGCTCAGTATGCCACCCCCTGCTTTAAAATCTCAGCAAATTCTTCATATCCACAGAAGAAAAAAAAAAAAAAGATGTTCAAAATCCTTAGCTCTCTAATCCCTATCTGACATTCTTTCCAAGTGTGTACCTGCACCCTACCCCTACAGGTAAATTCCTGTTTTAACAATAATTCACTGTTCGGCAAATAGATCTTGGGAACTCTGAGTCATGATAAAGAGAAAACAGGTCATTGAATAGAGAGAGGTCACAAAAAATGTCAACCTACTGTGCTTCACTTTCCTCATCTATAAAACAGGGATAATAATAGAACCTATCTCGTGAGCTTGTTGAGAAGATTAAATTAGTTAACTCATGCGAAATGCTTAGGGAATATTCCTGGCATGTAGTTAGTGCTCACTCAATAAATGTTATCTGTAGTCAGGCCTTCCTGATGACACATGATGAAAGGCGCCTGGGCATGATCACTTGCAGCTGCTACAGGATACAGAAGTGTGGAAAGGCTGTGTCCGTGGACTGGTCTCTCATCCCTTCCGAGATGGCTGGCTTTGGCCGCTCCTTCATTTGCTATTGGGCCCCCATCTTAGACTCTGTAGCGCTCTTCTCTGAAATTGTCTTCTACCTCTTCCTCACTTGTACTTACGCTGTTCCTCCATTTAGAATGCAGAGCCCCGACAATACTCCACTTCTGCAACTGTAAATTCTACCTACTCCTTAAGGCTGGGTTTAAATTCCTCTGCGGTTATCATTCCTGACCAATGCAGCAGCCGCGTTTGCCATCACTTCATAAACATATTTCCTCCTAGGAATATGCAAGATGAAGCCCAGCTACTGACTGGCTTACATCTGTCTACAACAATAAAAACAAAAAACCTTCTGTTAAAAACACGAAACATAAGTGTTAAATTAAGACAATTGAAAAAAAATCTACAGTTAGATTTATGTCCCTTCGTAAACTGTTTTTATCATCAGTCTCTGCATATATCAGAGGTCCTTAACTCTGAGACATTATAAAAACCACCTGTGGAAACTTTTTTAAAAATACTAATACTGCCCCATACCCTTCTCCACAGAGATTCTGATTTAATTGTACGAGGGTCTGGTCTTCACATTGCTATGTTTTTAGATTTTAAAAGCTGCCAGGCGACTACAATATGTATTCAGAATCACTGGCCTGGCCAGGCACAGTGGCTCACGCCTGTAATCCCAGCACTTTGGGAGGCCGAGGCGGGTGGATCACCTGAGGTCAGGAGTTTGAGACCAGCCTGGCCAACATTGTAAAACCCCATCTCTACGAAAAATACAAAAATTAGCTGGGTGTGGTGGTGGGTGCCTGTAATCCCAGCTACTCAGGAGGCTGAGGCAGGAGAATCTCTTGAACCCAGGAGGCGGAGGTTGCAGTGAGCTGAGATCACGCCACTGCACTCCAGCCTGGGTGACAACAGTGAAACTCCGTCTCAAAAAAAAAAAAAAAAAAAAAAATCACTGGCCTAAACAATCCTAGCTCTGACACTTAAATAGCACATATCTTTCTTTCTCACTGCAAACCCTTCCTGGTTTGTTAGGTTGGGTGGGGACCAGGACCATAAGTCCTTGCAGGTGCACTCAACTTCCCTTATTAAGCTTCAGAGTTTCCCCAGCAGTCTACTGCAAAGGGGTTATGGCTGTCCTGAGATCCTGGTCTCCTTAGTTCTCAGCACAGCCATGGGGAGCCTGGGGCAGCCAGGCCCCTTGGGCCACTAGCCTGCAATAGCAAGCAGCCAGATCCATTCACCCTAGTGTGCTATAAATTATATCATTTTCTATACATGCCATGAGTGAAGGGTCGGGAAGAAGTAGTCTCTCCACTTCCCCGCAACTCTGCTCTCACTCATTTGCTTGGGTATTAAACTGCTGAACTTAATTAGGAATTAATACTGTATCTTGGTCCTGAACAGAATCTTATTTTAAACTGTTTTTTCAGGCTCTTTTACATACCTAATTAAAGCTATTCCACAAAACTTTCAACTCATCCTACATCTTCTCTCTTCCATGTCACTTAGAAATAGGATGAAATTAAAAATTAAGGTTATGACATGCATCTGGGAAGTCAGCATTTTGAATGCCCATGAATGTAGAAGCATTATAAAATTCAATTATAAGTTCAATTTAGAGTTAACTATTGATTGTAAATTCTATGTGCCCAACCAGAGAAGTTTTCATTACCAGCTAGAATGAGTTCATGAGTGCTGAGGAGAGAACACACGTGGTGGTCACAAGACAGGAGAGCCCTACTGATTCACTCACTCAATCGTTGCTTACTCATTTTCATTCATTCATGTATTTCTTTACTTAATAAACTTAATAAACTTTCATTGAGTTCAAATACTAGGAGTACAAATATAAAGCACTTAGAACCTTCTTCTAAGAAATTCAAAATCTAATATGGAGAGACAACCAAACATTCTTTTTTAATTTCCAGTTTTTAAAATTTATTATTTTATTTTATGAGACAGAGTCTTGCTCTGTTGCCCAGGCTGGAGTGCAGGGTTGCAGTCTTGGCTCACTGCAACCTCTGCCTCCTGGGTTTAAGTGATTCCCCTGCCTCAGCCTCGGAAGTAGCTGGGATTACAGGTGCGTGTCATAACGCCCGGCTAATTTTTTGTATTTTCAGTAGAGACGAGATTTCACCATGTTGATGAGGCTGGCCTCGAACTTCTGGCCTCAAGTGATCTGCCCACCTCGGCCTTCCAAAGTGCTGGGACTACAGGCGTGAGCCACCGCACTCTGCTTCCATTTTTATTTTAGATCCAGGGGGAACATGTGCACATTTGTTACATGGGTATACTGTTTGATGCTGAGTTTGGGGCTTCTATTAATCCCATCACCCAAATAGTGAACATAGTACCCAGTGTGTTTTTTAGCTCTTACCCCTCCCTCCTCCCCACTTTTGTAGTCCCCAGTGTCTATTGTGCCCATCTTTATGTCCATGTGTACCCAAAATTTAGCTCCCACTTATAAGTGAGAACATGTGATATTTAGTTTTCTGTTTCTGCATTCATTTGCTTAGGACGATGGCCTCCAGCTGCATTCATATTGCTGCAAAGGACATGATTTAATTCTTATTTATGGCTGCATAGTATTCCATGGTGTATATGTACCATATTTTCTTTATCCAATCCACCGTTGATGGGCACTTAGGTTGATTCCATGTCTTTGCTATTGTGAAGTGCTGCAATGAACATAAGTGTACATGCCTTTTTGGTAGAATGATTTATTTTCCTTTGGGTCTATACCCAGCAATGGAATTGCTGAGTTGAATGTTAAGAACATTTTAATACAGTGTGATAAGTACTATTACAGAAGATAGGCAAGATACAATTAGAACATACAGAAGGGAAAACTTCAGAGGGAAAATACTTGAGTTGGTTTGTAGAAGAAGAAATAGGAGTTTGCTAAGTGAATGAAGATAGGAGATGGTGTAAGGATGGGGAGGTCATTCCAAGAAAAGGTCATAGGATATAAAAAATGTAGCATGAATAAACAGTCTGGCTCACTGAGAGATCCAAAGTTGAATGACAGAGCCAACAGGAACTAGAGAATGATTATACAGTATTAGCATGTGTAAAGCCATGGCAGTATTACACTCAGTCTAAAGAAACAATGTATTAACAGAAGAGAAATGGTCACCATACCATTCAGTGTTCCCATCTATGTAAATATCAGCTTTTCATAGTTAAAAGATATTGGCTATGAAAATCATCTCATCCATTCCCCTCTGACTGCATTCTCACAAAGCAACCTTCTGATTATCAGTTAACATCCCACATAGATTTATCTATAGGAGTGTAGTGAGACAAATAATGTCTTGGGAAGCTCACTTCCTCCACACTTTCAGCGTTGAGCAAGAAGGTTCAGCTGATCTGAGTTAGATCAAGCAAACAGACTGATACCAGAGATGTCAAAGGCTCCCCTTTCATTTGGAGGATAACCCTCATCTGATGAAGGAAGTTTCCTTCTATTCCTATTTGCTAAGGCAGTTTTTTAAAATGATGAATGTTAAGTTTTATTAAACAATTTTTTGGGTGGGGGATGGAGTTTCGCTCTTCTTGCCCAGGCTGGAGTTTATGGTGCGATCTCGGCTCACTGCAACCTCCGCCTCCCGGGTTCAAGCAATTCTCCTGCCTCAGCCTCCCAAGTAGATGGGATTACAGGCGGGCACCACCACGCCTGGCTAATTTTGTATTTTTTTTTTTTAGCAGAGATGGGGTATCACCATGTTGGTCAGGCTGGTCCCAAACTCCTGACCTCAGGTGGTCCACCCACCTCGGCCTCCCAAAGTGCTGGGATTACAGGCCTGGGGTACCACACCCGGCCGATTAAAAAATTTTTTATGAAACTATGGAAATGATCATATTTTCTTTTCTATCCTGTTAATGTGATAAATTACAGTGATTGATATCCAAATAACAAACCAATCTTGAACTCCTGAACTGAACTCAACATGGCTGTGATACATTATACTTTTATATAATGCAAGATTTTCTTGTTTGCTAATACTATGTTTAGAAATTTTTCTCCCATGTTAATGAGTGATATTACCCTGTAATCTCCTTTTCTTTTCTTTTTTTTTTTTCATTGTTTTGTTTTTGAGACAGGGACTCGCTCTGTCACCCAGGCTGGAGTGCAGTGGCACGATCATAGCTCACTGATACCTCAAACTCCTAGACTCAAGCAATCCTCTCTCCTCAGCATCCCACGTACCTGCAAGTATAGGTGTGCCCCATCACACTTGGTTAATATTTTAATTTTTTGTAGAGACAGGAGTCTTGACATGTCACCAGGTTGTTCTCAAACTCTTGGCCTTAAGCCATCCTCCTGCCTTGGCCTCCCAAAGTGATAGGATTACAGGTGTGAGCCACCATGGCCAGCCTGTAATCTCCTTTTCTTTTCTTTTTTTTTTTTTTTTCCTTTGAGATGGAGTCTCACTCTGTCACCCAGGCTGAAGTGCAGTGGTGTTTTCTTGGCTCACTGCAATCTCTGCCTCCAGAGTTCAAGCGATTCTCCTGCCTCAGCCTCCCGAGTAGCTGGGATTACAGGTGCCTGCCACTGCTCCCGGCTAATTTTTGTATTTTTAGTAGAGATGAGGTTTCACCATGTTGGCCAGGCTGGTCTCAAACTCCTGACCTCATGATGCACCCACCTCGGCCTCTCAAAGTGCTAGGATTACAGGCGTGAGCCACTGCACCCGGCCTATGTAATTTCCTTTTCTATAATGTGTTTGTCAGGTTTTTGTAGCAAGATTATGATGCCTCATAGAACAAACTGGGAATTGTTCCCTCCTTTATTCTCCTCTGGAAGAGTGTGTAAAATATTACATTATTTCTCCCTTAAGTGTTTGGTAGACTTAGTGAAGCAGTCTGGACCTGGAGTCCTTTTCGTGGTAAGGTTTTTAGTTAGCAATTTAATATTTAATAGTTATATGACTTCAGAATTTCTTTTTGTTTTTAGTTTTTATTTTGTACTTTTCTAAGAATTTATCTATTTCATCTAAATGTTTAGAAATCATTGAATTAAAGTTGTTCATAATATCCATTTAGGATCTTTTAAATGTACACAAGACCTAAAATTTTACTCATTTTTTTGTCATTCTTGATACTGGTTGTGTCATCTCGATTTTTTATTTAATATTTATACTATCTTTTTCAGATAGATTTTTTTTTTTTTTTTTTTTTTGAGACAGAGTCTCACTCTGTCACCCAGGCTGGAGTGCAGGGGCACAATCTTGGCTCCCTGCAACCTTCGCCTCCTGGGTCAAGCAATTCTTTCACCTCAGCCTCCCAAAGTAGCTGGGATTACAGGCATGCGCCGCCATGCCAGCCAATTTTTTGTATTTTTAGTAGACATGGTGTTTCATCATGTTGGCCAGGCTGGTCTCGAACTCCTGACCCCAAGTGATCTGCCCAGCTCAGTCTCCCAAAGTGCTGGGATTACATGCATGAGCCACTGCACATAGCCAAGATAGATTCTTATGTCATTAATTTTCAAACTGTCCCTTTTTCTAACATGTGAAGTCAAGACATGTGCTTCTCTTTAAGCACAAATTTAGATGTATAACCTAAAGGTTGATATATAGCATTTTAAAAGTTATTAATCTCAAAATGTTTTAAAATTTCCTTTGTGATTTCATATATGGCCCATAGATTATTTGAAAATGTATTTTGCAATTTCAAAATACATGAGGATTTCCTAGTTATCTTTTTGTTTACTTTCTAGTTTAATTGCATTGTGATCAGAGAATTTATTTTGTATGAAGTTATACTTCAAAATTTGTTGAAACTTCATGGCTATATGGCCATTTTAAGAAAAATGTTTATGGGTTCATGAAAAGAACATATGTTCTGCAGTTTTTCAACAGTGTTCTATATATGTTAACCAAGTCAGGCTTATTTATTGTGTTATTCAGATCTTTTTTAGCCTTAGTAATATTTTTTTGTCTGCCTGTTCTAACACTGAGAAATGTGTTAACATTTTCTAACACAATTGTGGATTTGTCTCTCCTTATGGTTCTGTAAATATTTGACTTAAACATTTTGAATCTATGTTAATAGGTAATAGATTTAGAATAGTTATATCTTTCTGGAAATTTTAACTTTTAATAATAGTGAAATGTCCCTTTTATCTGTAAATAAAGATTTTTTTCTAGAGTCTAGTTTGATACTATTAAAGCTTTGCTTTGATATTAATAGCATTATGCCAGCTATCTTTTGGTTAATGTTTGCATTATCCATCCATATATATCATTTGCATGAAATATCTTTTTGCATTTTTACTTGGAACCTTCCTATATCTTTATACTTTAGATATGTTGCTTATAAGCAGCATATAGTTTTTAAAAAATCCATTCTGACCATTTAAATAGAGCTCTCTAACTTTTAAATAGAGCATTTAGTTCATTTAAATGTAATATAATTGCCAATATGTTTGGAGTTAAATTTGCCATCTTATTATTTATTTTCTATTTGTCCTACCTATTCTATATTCCTTTTTCTCTCCTATCTTGCCTTATTTTGTTTTTTTATTTTTTAAAAATAGACATGGGGGTCTCAATATGTTGCCCAGGCTGGTCTCAAACTCTCACACTCAAGCAATTCTCTCACCTTAGCTTCACAAAGTGAGCCACCACACTCAGCCTTGCCTTATTTTGGATTGAATTTTTTTATTATTCCATTTCCTTTTCTATTAGCTTGTTAGCTACATTCTACTTGACTATTATTTTAGTGATTACCCTGGAAATTACAACATACATCTTTGACTCATTAATGTCTAATATAAATTGATATTTTTACCTATTCCCAGACAACACAAAGACCATGAATCCTTTAACTTCAACTTACACGTCCTTATGTATTTTCAATCTAAATGTTAAGCCACGTGAGATATAATTATTTTTATTGTCAATATTTATTTAGATTTACTTAGATACAGAACCTTTTTATTGTGCTTCATTCCTTCCTGTATCTCTAAGATTCCATCTGGAACCATTTTCCTCCTCCCTTTAGTATTTCCTCTGGTGTGAATCTTCTGGGGACAAGCTCTTCCTACTTTTTTCATTAAAAGTCTTTTTACATTTTCATTCTTGAAGAATATTTTTTCAGGATATAAAATTCTAGATTGGGCCAGGCATGGTGGCTCACGCCTGTAATCCCAGCACTTTGGGAGGCCGAGGCCAGCAGATCACTTGAGGTCAGGAGTTCAAGACCAGCCTTACCAACATGGAGAAACCCTGTCTCTAGTAAAAATACAAAATTAGCTGGGCATGGTGGTGCATGCCTGTAATCCCAGCTACCTGGGAAGCTGAGGCAGGAGAATTGCCTGAACCTGGGAGGGGGAGGTTGCAGTGAGTTGAGATTGTGCCACTGCACTCCAGCCTGGGCAACAAGAGCAAAACTCCTTCTCAAAAAAAAAAAAAAAAAAAAAAAAATTAGATTGGCAGTTATTTTTATCTTAGCACTTGAAAAATATCATTCCATTGTCTTCTGTCTTCCATTGTTTGTATTGATAAGTTGGCTGTCAGTGTAACTGTCACTTTTTTGAAGATGATTTGGACTTTTTTCCCCCACTACCTCCCTACAGCTGTTTTTGTGATTTGGTGGTTGTCTTCAGTTTTCAGAAGTTACTATCATATTCTTAGACATCTTATCCTGCTTGGAGTTTGCATGGTTTCTGGAATCTGTAGATTAATGTCCCTCAGCATTTTTGAGAAATCCTCAGCCATACTCTGTTCAAATATTGCTTCTGCCTCATTGCCTCTCTTGTCATCTGAGATCCCAGTTTTTCACAAATTGAAACATTTCACTGTATCCTGTGTGTGCTTCATTTGGATGTTTCTTCCAATTCATCAACCAGCATACTAATTCTGTATTCAACTGTGTCTAAACTGTTTACTAATCAAATGTGTCATTTTTTATTATTGTATTTTTCAGTTTTCGAATTTCCATTCTTTTCATTGCTTTCAGTTCTCTGACAAAGTTCCATTTTGTCTTTTATTTCCATATCCGCCATCCCTATAAATAAGTTAAGCATCACATAAGCATCATTCTTCTACATAAGCCCTTCCCTTCCCATAGTAGTCCAGCTATGCCCTGAGCAAGCATTACTCTTTGTGAGATGAGAGCTTATAGGATTGTGTGTGATCTACTACTTCTCCATTTCTGAATTTTCCCTGATAAACTCTAATTTATATTTTCATTGTGTGTTCATGTCCCTTTGCACGGTAGGAAGGAAATGAGATAATTTATGAATGGAGCTTTAATACATTTGCTGGTGATCTTCTTATCTCCAACTGTTAAATGGACATATTTTTCTAAATGTGTTTTTTGTGAGTTGTATTAGTATAAACCAGCTCTCAAAAAATGAATTTCATTAAATGTGCTAAAAAATATAACATCTGATATTTCAAAATGAAGGATCAGGTTCTGGAATATGATGACCATGCCAAAAATTCCTGTTTCCTGTTTAGGCTGTGATCAACCTTCCTAGGCACACCTATTTCATCTTAGCTCAGAAACCAGTAACTTATTGAAAATTAAGTTATTAGAATCATGAGTGGAAAGAGCCTTGTGGTTTTATAATATTTCTCATTTTATAAGTGAAAAAATATGAGGGAGGTAACATATATGTACAAATTGAACTTTTAAAGAGGGAAATGGGTAGCCATCATAGAGGAGCTACCAAAATAATAGTTTCCCACATTTCTTCATCAATATCTTTGTTTTGAATTGATTCTCTCATTCTTTCCTTAAAAAAACCCCTACACTTCTGAAGAAGTGAAATGGGTTCTCTATTTTTATCTGAAGGTTAAGTTTGTATAACACGTGTCACTTAACAACAGGGATACATTCTGAGAAATGCATCATTAGGCAGTTTCATCATTGTGTGAACATCATAGAGTGTACTTACACAAACCTAGATGGTAGAGTCTATTACAGAGAGACTATATGGTATAGCCTATTGCTCCTAGGCTACAACCCTATACAGCATGTTACTGTACTGAATACTGTAAGCAGCTGTAATGCAATGGTGAGTATTTGTACAGCTAAACACAGAAAAACTAAGTAAAATATGGCATTATAATCTTATGGGACCACTGTTGTATATGCAGTCTGTCATTAACCAAAATGTCATTATGCAGCATGATTATATTATTATACTTTGTTTCTACTGAGCTCAAGATTTGTATTCTAGGAACTTGTAGTTCCTTCCTCTGATCAGCAGTTAAAGTAACATTAAAGTTCTTTATAGGAATATAATTATGAAAAATACCTTAGATTTGCATGATGCTTTATTCTCTCAAGCAATCACAGTGCACTAACGGGAAGTATATAAAACAAAAGAATGTAATAGGTCGGATATCTTTCTCATGAAGTCTTTTAGAATGCATTAAATATCAATTGTTATTAAAATGGGAAAGTCACCTATGATCCTGCTTATATTACAAGCTTTGAAAGATATATTTTAAGCCATAAAACACCAAGAAAGCTTGTGATCTTTTAATACAAACTGTTAGTGTTTTATATGAGTCTTTTAAAAAATGGAATTCTTAAAAGCAATCATTAACTCTACAATTAATATTTCACCAAGAATTAATTTAATATTAATGTGTTTAGCTGAAAAAAATATGCATTGCTGAATAACAGTTCAGCAAACTATAATATAAAATAGCTGGCCGGGTGCGGTGGCTCACACCTGTAATCCCAGCACTTTGGGAGGCCGAGGCGGGCGGATCACGAGGTCAGGAGATCGAGACCATCCCGGCTAAAACGGTGAAACCCCGTCTCTACTAAAACTACAAAAAATAGCCGGGCGTAGTGGCGGGTGCCTGTAGTCCTAGCTACTTGGGAGGCTGAGGCAGGAGAATGGCGTGAACCCGGGAGGCGGAGCTTGCAGTGAGCCGAGATCCCGCCACTGCACTCCAGCCTGGGCGACAGAGCGAGACTCCGTCTCAAAAAAAAAAAAAAAAAAAAAATAGCTTAGGTTAAAAGGAACTTTTATGCCATTAGGGAGTTAAGAAAAAATTTCATGAAACCATGAATGAATAAATTGTTACACAGCATAATTATGCCGTAATAGAAAGTGTTCATTTTGTAGATATACTAAAGGCCATTCAACATCATTGTGGATGGAAAGAATAAGGATCCTGTTATCACAATGATCAGGTACTTTAGAAGCCTGGAAGTTAGGGCCCTCTACTATTTGAAACCTGGTTATCTTCCCATTCATTAACTCTATAATCCAGCCAAACATAGGCTTCACTCTTCATGCCTTTGCTGATATCTTTCTTTTCACTTAGAATGAATCATCTTTGTATATTTTATCTCTTATTTATTTTAGAGACCAGCTCATATATCAACTTCTCCATGTATCCATCAATGATGCTGCAAGCCAAAAGTAAATTTCTGCCTCTGAACTTCTGGAATCTTAATGTAATATTCTCCTGTTCATCCTACATTCAAGTTATTTGTATGTATATCTTAGCTCCTTTATAAGACTGTAAACTTTCTGTAAGCAGGAATCAATGTCCCTTAGTGTTTCTTTTGGTGGCTCTCCTTATAAAGTCTTTCTAAAGCATTCACCTTTGTTTTCAGAGGAACAACAGCTCTTTTACTTTTGTACTCATATTTCATCAGCTTAAGCAATATTTAATTAAATCATGTTACAGCAATAACAAGTATAACTAGTATAAAAAGGTCCTGGAACAATCACAACTGATCCTTAGTAAAAATACAACTCAAAAGAGTGAGTATGGTTATTTGAGAGCAGCCTGCTAACAGGAGTGGTTTGCTTGCCTGGGGCATCATCTGTTTTAAGTCAAGATTTATTCACTCAACAAGTATGTAATGAGCTCAAATTATGTACTAGGTAGGCACTATGTTAGGTGTGGTCTTTTACAGCAAGATTACCATATGGTGCAAATTTTTAAAAGGTCTTAAAAGTTCACTTCAAATTAATCAATTTGGTCTGCACTATAGATTTGTGATATAAATATAAATTAACGTTGCCTTATTTTAATCATCTGAAATCTAGGATGTATACGGATGTTGCTACTGAAAGTAGCTCCACCGTAAAACAAACTGAGTGCTTACCTAAGCCCTCACCTGTACAACAGCGTCACTAGACACAATCAGTGTTCTCCCAGCTTAGTTTTAGTTGTTGTTTGTCAACATTTTCCTGTGTCATCTATACAAGAGTGTAGGAGTAAACTATGTGATGTAAAGATTCATATCTTTTAGCTTGTTAAAATTTCTTAAAATGCATGATAGTAATTTACTTGTTAGTTGAGACACTAACTTCTCATCTCAGATGTTTCTTCTCAAGTAGAAGGACATCTATTAGTAAAACAATGCTGGCCTAGCTTCTCTTTATCACTCTTCCCCATTCTACTGTGGCAAAAGCCGCAATTACTTTTGCACCAACATTAAATATTCCTTGTGCTATGAAGTATATGAAGAGAGGCTGTGGTTCTTCACAGCCTGTGACTGGGTATATAAATCTGTCTATTTCTGAGATTCAGGAGATTCAGTAGTAGAAATCACATTGTTGTCCTGTATCTAAGCCACATTCTCTGATATCAGCTCTATAAATGATGAAGTTGATATTTTCATCTCTAGCTACCATTCCTTTATCTATCAATTGTTTCAGAACTTCATCAAAGAAAAGAGAGTAATTCTACTAGTCAAATCCTAATACAAATAAATGGCCACACATACCATCTATTAGCTGGTAGGAACTAAAGGACACCACTTGATAGTAAGAACAGATATAATAGATAATCTACGTGCTTGTGAGTATCCACCACAAACTGACCTATGGACCTAATCAGACCAAGAGAAATCCATCAGTTAGAACTCAGCGATGCCACGATCCCATACAGATCTCCCTCAGAAGCACACAGCATGTGCACATCTGTATTTGCATAAGCTTTAAGCACTCCAGAACTATAGTGGTTGACACAATGCTCTGTAAGCAGCACAGAACAGTTTTAGAGGTATATTACCAGTGAGTGATAAGTCATATTATATCTACTGCAAAAATGTCTATGAGTTGGAAAAATAGGGTTGACAATTTGAACCAGATTATGCAAAAAAGATAAAAGTTGGTATTCTTAAAGGAAATGCCTCAGGTTACTTTAGCTTCAGGCCCTGCCAGCTCTACAGCTGCTTCTGTTACCATCTGCTAACAGGAGTAAGGAAACCTGGATTCTAACCCCTGCTCTGACACTCACCAGGCGTCTAGTTTCCAGAGACAGTAATAATAAGCTATAGTTGGCTGGGCACGGTGGCTCACGTCTGTAATCCCAGCACTTTGGGAGGCCGAGGCGGGTGGATGACGAGGTCAGGAGATCGAGACCATCCTGGCTAACACAGTGAAACCCTGTCTCTACTAAAAATACAAAAAATTAGCCGGGCGTGGTGGCGGGCGCCTGTAGTCCCAGCTACTCGGGAGGCTGAGGCGGGAGAGTGGCGTGAACCCGGGAGGCGGAGCTTGCAGTGAGCTGAGATCGCACCACTGCTCTCCAGCCTGGGTGACAGAGCGAGACTCTGTCACAGAAAAAAAAAATTATTATTATTAAAATAACAATAAGCTATAGTTTCATATCACTTAATGACTCTCCAAATACCTGCACATATATTATTGCCTTTGGCTCTTAGATTCATTATTTGATTTAGTCAACAAATATTTAACACCCACCATGGACCACACTGTTCTAGGCAATGAGCATACAGCAGCAAACAAAACCTCCATATACACATACATAATTCATTTTAATTACAAAAGTAAATAAAAACATTCTTGTTATAAAAAATTAATCTACATAGTCTCCCTTAATTACCATCACCTCTATCTCTGTCCCATTACCAGAGATAACCCAGTTAATTAGTAACATTTCACAAATTTTTTAAATGAGCCTTGCAAAATAAATAATAAGAATTCTGTTTTTAAGTTCTAAGAAGTACCCACAATATGCAAAGCAATGGGAATATAAAGAAGAGTAACACAATTCCTACCTTCCAGGAAATTAGAGACTAGCATAGAGATATACCTAAAAACAGACTGTTATCATATAGTGTGACATATGCTTCAATAGAATGTGCAAAAGGCGTCCCATGTGAGGCTGCGCATGGTCACTCATGCCTGTAATCCCAGCACTTTGGGAGGCCAAGTCAGGAGGATCACTTGAGCCTAGGAGTTTAAGACCAGCCCAAGCAACATAGTGAGATCCCATCACTACAAAAAAATTCTAAAAACCAGCAAGGCATGGTGGCACATGCCTACAGTCCCAGCTACTCAGGAGGCTGAGGCAGAAGGATGGCTTGAGCCCAGGAGTTCAAGGCTGCAGTGAGCCATGGTCAGTCACAGCACTGCACTCCAGCCTGGGAGACAAAGCGAGACCCCATCTCAAAAAAAAAAAAAAAAAAAAGAAAAAGAAAAAAGATATCAGATGTGGTACAGAGAAAGACATCTTTAAACTTTGGGATAGAGTGGGGCATGCTGTTTGAATACGTGTGTGAGAGGAGGGTCTGGAATATAATCACAGAGTATGACAGACTGATGTGAGGTTTTGCAAGATAAAAATGAGTTTTCCAGGAAAACCAGGATGCAGGTGGTTAGAAGCAATTCAGGTAAAAGGAACAACATGTGCAAAAGAAGAGGGGTGTGAAACCACATGGTGTGTCTGGCTATTCTTTGGGGCACCTTTGCAAGTCTGTAATCTTCTTGAAAGTTGTAAAACCCAGTGATACATATGTTAGTATTATGCAGATGCTTCCAAATGCTACTCCAACCTCCAAGCAGACTGGAAAACCACCATCATTCTGTCTTTCCTAGGGCTTTGGACAGTCCTGATAATTGGCTAACGGTGGGATACACATAGACTTGTTATTAACAGCCAAGATAACTTGAGTCATTGAGTGACTAAGACATGTGCCTGTCCTTACAACCAGGACAAGATGAAGATGCGATCCATGTGAAGGTAGGAGATTTCGAAGTAGTGAGTATCTTCTTTCCTACCCCTACTCCTCCCGAACCAAAATACTACATGTGGGCCGCATGCATAAACTCCATTTATTCCAAGTAGGAAGTATCTACGTAGTAGTAGGTAAAGGTGTTAACATGACCCATCGAGAACTCTGGAATTACAAAAATCATTTCTCTCCAGAGTTAAAAAAGAGCCATTTGGGCTTTAGCATGCACAATCAATTTATAAATATTTAGGGAGTATCTATCTATTCAGGTCTTGGCCATGAGCTGGGGCTGTTATTCAATTACATAAACTGCAAGCACACATCCGAGTCTGCCAGCGAAAAGCATAAAACTCAACCACTAAATTCTCCACTATTATAAAAAACTAAGGACAAAGAGACGCCAGGTCCAGAGAACCAAAATAAATAAGCTATGGTGTGACAGCATTGTTACATAGCTTAGTGACTGCTTCAGACCAAAACATAGGAAACTCAATTATTTGTGGTCTTGGGAGGTGGGCATTCCTCCACAGTGACACTATTGACATTAGGAGCTAAGATAATTCTTTGTGACGGCGGGTGGGGGGTGGGGGCGGGGTGCAGCGGGGTGGGGACTGTCCTGTGTGCTGAGAATGTTTAGTGGCCTCCCTGGCCCCCATCCACCAGATGCCATTAGTACCCCATCCCAGGTTGTGACAATAAAAAATGTCTTCAGATATGTAATAGCTGAGAACCACTGGTGAAGGCAGACTCAAGAGTGAGAAAAGACACTCAACCATAGGCAACACCAACCTTGGCTGAGGATACAAGTGAAAAACCATGGAGGATGAGAATGTTCAGGTTCCTGGGACTCCCAGCAAAGGAGTTAAATAGGCTTAACTGTTTAGTGCTGGAATTCTTCAACAGCTACTGAATATTAGCACAGAGCAGAAGCCAGCCACTGCTGTCAAATTCCCATGAATGTTGAGTGGTGGTTACTAAGAGACAGAGCACTTCATCTGAATAGAATATGTCAGGTTGGGATCTTTTTTAAAATAAACCAGTGAGCCATGATAGACTTCTCCCCACCTGTTACACTGACTTTTTTTTCCTAATACAATTATAACTCCATAAAAACATGAAGTATGAGGGCAAATCAGTCCAAAAAGTAGAAGAAATCTGATCAGATTTCCTTCATGGCCTTCCAGCAATTTTTTGTATTAAATTTGCAACAGAGAAAGAGCCCTTACATTGTAGCCTTGAAAATAATAATAGTAATACATTTAAAAATAAAGCCCAGCTCATCTATTAGATGGAATCGGGGTTTGTCCATATACCTAATATAGTGTTTGGCAACACTTTTTTTTTTCTCTGTCATTTTTTAAGAAGAAAAAAAATAGGCCGGGTGTGGTGGCTCATGCCTGTAATCCTAGAACTTCGGGAGGCTGAGGAGGGTGGATCATTTGAGGGCAGGAGTTCAAGACCAGCCTGGCCAACATGGTGATACCCCATCTATACAAAAATACAAAAATTACCTGGGCATGGTGGTGCACACCTGTAATCCCAGGTACTTGGGAGGCTGAGGCAGAAGAATCGCTTGAATCTGGGAGACTAAGGTTGCGGTGAGCCGAGATCACGCACCACACTCTAGCCTGGGCAACAGGCCAAGACTCCAACTCAAAAATAAATAAACAAACAACAAATAAATAAATAAAACACCAATGTCTCACTCCAGCAGATGCTCCTGGGATGAACAGGGATAGGTGAAGTACATCCCAGCCCTGGAGTTTCAGGAGAGAGGACCCCTTTGCCTGGTGCCAGCAGACAGACTTGGGTGGCAGTGTGTTGGTTCTCCGGGCCTGTTTGGATAAACCTAAGAGAGAGTCCTCTGGAGGCCCAGTGATGGCACTCTCCAGCTACGGAGAGAAGCATCCTTGAGATACTGCTGTACCATATGCGAAGAGGGAGTGAAGATGGAAGGGGATCATACTGAAAATTGTGATTGAAAAACAACCATACACGTTCTCTTCAATTTCTGGGTGCTCCTCCACTGAATTTCAATCTAGGCCCACAATTAATGCTGCCAATAATTCATCAAGAAAAATTAATCATTATATTATGGTTACTGACAAATCCTCAAATATTTTCTGCTGGATCAGCTCTGGATGATAACTTATTAGCGCCATTAACTTTGTGTTTTCTTCAAGTACAGTATTAGAAAGTATGTTCTTTTGTGCATACATAAAATGTTTAGAAAATTTCCCAGCCCCCATTTTTTTATTTATTCTCAAACCAATGATCTATAAGGGTATATGGGAATCTTTATCTTTTTTTGAAAGTGGTTAATTTCTTTCTCCAATGTAGCCTTTGCGACCTGAAAGATTCATTTCTCAAGAACATAATTTACAAAGTCTGCTAACAAAACCTATATTGACAATTAAACTTTGCCTCTGTCCTCTTCAACTTTCCAAGCAATTGTCTACGTAGTTTACATTCTTTTTCTCTCTGTACCACCTTTAGTGGCTATTCCACTTTAGACAAATTCTGCCAGGTACGGTTGGTGGCAGGGGTGCCTGATCCCTCTGAAGTTGAAAGCAGATCAGCAGCAGCCTGGCTATTGGTGGAGCTGCCAGTGAAAAGCACCCAGACGACCTACCTGATGGACCCATCATCAGGCTCAAACAGCACCACCAGAAAAACACAAGAAACCTCTTACCTAAAACATAACCAACAGTAAAATAGAACTTATAAAAAGAAGTCTCTAAAATTCCACAGGGGGAAAAAACAAAGAGATTAAGTAAAATCCTTACTGATACATTAGGAAATAACTTGCTAGTAGCCTTTTGATTTCTGACTTGTAAAACCTCAGAATTGGAGATTCAATAGCTTTGTTTTTATAGAGGACTGTATTGGAATAAGTTAGATTATTGGAAAACTTTGCATCCCCAAAATCATTGTTATAAGACTATAGCACTTACATCTCTTCAGGAGTTCTAAAAATTAAGCTGAATTTCCCATAAGATTCTCTTATTAATCACCCACAAAAGAGAAAGACAGAAAAACCCACTAAAAATGATGTGCATTTGATCCAGTAAAATGTTTTAAAAACCATAATACAGACCACCCTTGTTAATACATTTTGCCCCATTCCTCAGTTGAACTCAGGGGAAAGTTCAAGATTTTTAGGTCCTACCTGTAAAAATAAAAAATTTTTCTAATAACCAAATATAAATTTCACTGTAGGATATATAGGAAAACAGAAGCACACAAAAAAAGAAAATTAAAACAACCAGTAATCCCAGCACTCAGATGACCACTTTTAATATATCAGCATTCTTCATTCTTAATCTATCCTGAGATGTGCCTCTTTTACACAAATGATATGTTTTGTAATGTGCTTTTTTTAAATTAAAAAATACATTCTGAACATTTTTTCATGCTATTAAATATACTTTTCCACAACAACTATTCTCAAAACTTTTGGTCTCAAAACTACTTTATACTCTTAAAAATTATTGAGGACCTCAAAAAGCTTTTGTTCATGTGGGTTATATTTATCAATATTTAGGGTAGTAGCAATTAAAACAGAACTTTTAAAATTTTTATTAATTCATCTAAAAATCGTAATAATAACCTACTACATGTCAACATCAATAACATATTTTATAAAAAGTTATTTTCCAAAACACACAAACAAAAACATTTAGTGAGAAGAATGACATTATTTTATATTTTTGCAAATCTTTTAAATGTTTGGGCTAGCAGAAGACAGCTGAATTCTCACATCTGCTTCTGCATTCAAAATGTGAATATGTACTGTTAGTAGGAATATATAAAGAAAATCTAGCCTCACAGAGATATGTAGTTGGAAAAGGAAGGAGTAATTTTTAGATAATTCTGGATATTTTCTTTTTCTTTCTTTCTTTTTTTTTTTTTTTTTTTTTTTTTTTTGAGATGGAGTCTCACTCTGTCACCCAGGCTGGAGCTCAGTTGCATAATCTTGGCTCACTGCAGCCTCCGCCTCCCGGGTTCAAGCAATTCTCCTGCCTCAGCCTCCCAAATAGCTGGGATTACAGGCACACACCACAAGGCCCAGCTAATTTTTTTTTGTATTTTTGTAGACACGGGGTTTCACCATGCTGACCAGGCTGGTCTCAAACTCCTGACCTCAAGTAATCGGCCCACCTTGGCCTCCCAAAGTGCTGGAGTTACAGGCGTGAGTCACCACGCCCAGCTGATATTTTCTTTATACCACACCAAAACTTAAAAAGTAGTCGTTTTTTTAAAGATTAGTTGCAATGTGGACTCTGAAAAAAAAAAAAATCAATGAGCTTTTCATCCTCTATACAGTCATGAGAGAATGAAAGTGGAAAATGCAAATAATGTCTTAGAACTACTATAAAAATAGTTTGGATCTTGTGGATGCCCTGAAAGAAAACCATACTTTGATCACTGATCACTGCAGTTCCACAACTTCCTATTTAATAGTTAACATAGCATTCCATCATGTAACACTTTCTTTACCCAGTACCCTGTTGTTGAACATTTAGATTGTTTCCAAGTTTCCTCTATAATAACTCTGATAAACATCCTTACAGATACATCTTTCAGCACATTTTTTTTTCTTAGAATAATATGGTAGTAGAATTTGAGACTCAAAAGCAAAATAATTTTTTCAGGCTTTTTACACATATTGACAGTTTTCCCTCCAGAGAGGTTGATTAATTTGCATTCCTATCAGTAGTGTGTACGAGAGCCACACATTCTTACCCATACTCTTAGCAACACTGGGTACCATGTGAGCCCTGCCTTGATACCTGTTTGTAGAAAACCAAAGTGTCACTGAGCCGGCTCTTACCTCACTTTCTTCTCTGAAATACAATACTTCAGATTTACTGGAATTCAGCAGAGTACTTCTCTGGTAACTACCATTTTTAAAAAACTAAATTAAATTAAATTTAAAAAAAATTGAGACAGGGTCTTGCTCTGTCACCCAGAGTGACAGAGTGGAGTATGGTGGCGTGATCTCAGCTTACTGCAACCTCCGCCTCCCAGGTTCAACCGATTCTTGTGCCTCAGCCTCCGAGGAGCTGGGATTACAGGTGTGAGCCACCACGCCTGGCTAACTTTTTTCTGTTTTTAGTAGAGACAGGGTTTTACCATGTTGGCCAGGCTAATGTCGAACTCCTGTTGATCTACTCACCTCAACCGCCCAAAGGGCTGGGATTACAGGAGTGAGCCACCACACCCAGCTCCATTTTTTAAAATGTTACTTTCTTTTTTTTTTGAGATGGAGTCTTGCTCTGTCGCCCAGGCTGGAGTGCAGTGGCACAATCTCAGCTCACTGCAAGCTCCGCCTCCTGGGTTCACGCCATTGTCCCGCCTCAGCCTCCCAAGTAGCTGGGACTACAGGCACCCGCCACCACGCCTGGCTAATTTTATTTTTGTATTTTTAGTAGAGACAGGGTTTCACTGTGTTAGCCAGGATGATCTCAATCTCCTGACCTCGTGATCTGCCTGCCTCGGCCTCCCAAAGTGCTGAGATTACAGGCGTGAGCCACCATGCCCGGCCAAATGTTACTTTCTATTATTATGATTAGTATTTGCCATGTGTCTTCTACTTAACAATAAGTTTCTTGAGACAGAAACTATGTGTCATTATCTTAATATACCCCACAGTGCTAAGTCCGTGGGATAGAAACAGCATGGTAGAAATAGCATTTTTGACTTCAGAGCAGCCTAGGTTTAAATCCTGGCTTCATTACTTATTAGCTATGTGCTATGGTCTGAATGTGTCTCATAAAATTCATATATTGAAACATAATCACTAATGTGATAGTATTAATAGCTGGGGTCATTAGGAGATGATTAAGTCATGAGGATGGAGGCTTCACAAATGGGATTGGCAATCTTATGAAAGAGGCTGAAGGGAGCACTCTAGGGCCTTTTGCCCATCCACTGTGTGAGGACTCAGCAAGGAGGTTCAAGCCCTCACCAGACACTGAATCTGCAGTGCCTTGATCTCAGACTTCCCAGCCTCCAGAGCTCTGAGAAATAAAGTTCTGTTATTTCTAAATTACTCAGTCTTAGGTATTTTGGTATAGCAGTACGGACAGACTAAGGCACTGTGTGAGCTCAGGCAAATTACTTCCCCTTCCTTTCCGGGGCTTGAAGGTCATCATTAGTTCAACAGGTGGCTCATATCTACTTTATAAGGTAGTTATGTGGAAATGATATGTAAAACATCTCGTGTCATACTAGGCAAATGACAAATGAAAATATTTTTCTTCTCTTCCTTTTCCTTTTCAGTGTTGAATTAACCTTGTGAAGTCCAAATTTTGAAGATATGTAAACTCACTTTAATTTATTAATAAGCCTATAATTAAGCCAAAAGGTACCTCTTTAATAATGATTACCTCTGGAAAGTGTAACTAAGCAAAATTAATATGTCTTCTAATTATTCTTCCCTGTATCATTCATTATTCATTGAATTCATTGATTCATCATCATTTATTATTCATTAACTTAGTCAACATCTTTGAGTGTGTATTATGTGTTCAAAAGGCAAGCTACACACAGTCCTTAAACAAATAGAAATGTAAAATGAAATCCTTTCTAGTGCTAGAAACATTCATAAAGTTATGCTGAGTGGGCCGTTCCAGTTGTATGTCTCAGTGGCTGCAGGTGCATCATTCCTGGCTCTATTCTGTTCAAAGCTGACAATTCTTGCAGTGGGGCTTTAACACTCATCATTTAGGACCCTGAAATGTATTCAAATACTAACTAGAAAGCTTTAACATTTTCCAACAAGCCACACCAAGAAAATTAGAGAAAAGACACTAGTGAGGATAGGTGCAGTCCACACTGGAGTTCACACCTAGTTTTGATTTAAAATTAAAACGAAGCAAAAAAACTAAGAAGAGTTATTTGTACATCTAGGAGTGCAGCTCAACTAAGGGTGCAGGGTAAGGAGTGCTGGCTGAAGAATAGCATTGCTAGAAATGGCAACATGAACCTAGGAAACAACTCATGTTCAGTGTAGGGAGACCCCCTGAAACTATTGCTACAGAATAAAAGATGAAATGCTCCTGATTATTGTAAATACAAAATTGCATGCAGGACTGTGTAAAGACAATGCCAGGTTGCACTGCCAGAATGAGCCAACAGCGCGTGATGTGCTTCCCCCCACAGAGAGCCTATGAATGGACGTGCAGTCAGGGAGGTTTCACATCACCAAGATTCCTATCCCAGAAAAGCAGATGTTCATAGCTCTGGGAATGGAATGAGACCCTTGTGGAGAGCCTATAAACGGACGCATGAGGGGCACCTGTTCATATGGATAAGATAGGGCTATAAACGCCCTGATCTTGCCATGACTCTTCTAGGCCTCTTTAGGGTTAAGGCGTACTCCGTTCTGAGAATTTCTGGTCTAACCGGTTGTCTAGCTTCACGTCCTGTTTCTATGGATTGTTTGTAACCAGCTTTTGCTGCAACTGTTACTGCTGATTAATATCTTGCTAATCACAGGTTATGGAAAGACTGTGCTTCTGTTTTAAGGCTCTGTTAGAAATTACAGATGCACACACTATATTGTAAATTCTTATCTCTGTATACTGTACTTCTGCATACAGATGTTATGTTAAAGAATTACTTCATCCCCATGTGACCATCTCACCTCATAATCAAATGACCCTAAATCCCTCACTAACCTACCCCCGCCCTCACTAAACTTAATAATAAATGCTGGTATATCCAGCACATTGGCAGCATCGCAGGACCAGAAGGCGGTGACTCCCCTGGACCCAGCTTTCATTATCTTGCGTGTGTCTATTATTTCTCGACCTGCCGATCCACCTGGGAACAAAGAAAGAGCCCTGTTGCATTGCGGGCTGCTGGCCAGATCCTGCAATAGTTCAGGGTACTAGTAGATGATGGGGAAGGGAGAGAAGAGAAAACTGACACTCGTCCATGTCCCACTCTGTGCCAGGAACATATGATGTCCTTGTGTATCTCCATTCTCATTTACCCCCACAGGTACCTGTGAAGCAGGTAGCAGTACCTGCTTCTTTCAGAGTCTGAGGCTCAAAGAGGTCAAGTGGCTATCAACAGTGCATTCCAGAGAACTGCTAGTATTCAGTTCTCCAAGAGAACTCCAGGAGAGATTGAAAGAAAGTCCTAGACGCTGATTGGTGAGATCAAACTGAAATTGATCAAGACTTTTTCTCTACCAGCTCCTGGATGATATATGCTTAAGTTGGTGTTAGGTCAATATAGACCTTTCTTCAGGTCTGTAGCTCTGTTCAATCAAGTTTAAAATATTTGCAGTGGGAAGATGTGTGGGTGGGAAATAAAAGTTCTTTCAATTCTGAAGCAGGTTTTTAAAAATTTTCTGCAGGCATGTTGTGGTGATTAAGGACTAATGGTAGCTTTGGGTTTCAGTGTTAGGGTTATTATTGATGTCCAAAACATTCCTGATTGTAAAAAAAAAAAAAATACTATATCTATCTATCTATTTATAGTATTTCTGGACATGTTGGGCATAACTCCAGTTTTAAGGGGTTCTTTTGGCTAGCTCTGGCTTAGAGCACATGTGTTGCCAAGGCCTGCAAGAGAAAATTATTTTATTTTATTTATTTATTTGAGACCAAGTCTCACTCTATCACCCAGGCTGGAGTGCAGTGGCACGATCTCGCCTCACTGCAGCCTCCGCTTCCCAGGTTCAAGAGATCCTCTTGCCTCAGCCTCCTGAGTAGCTGGGACTACAGGCGTGCGCCACCACGCCTGGTTAATTTTTGTATTTTTAGTAGAGACAGGGTTTCACCATACTAGGCCCGGCTGGTCTCGAACTCCTGACTTCATGATCTGCCTACCTCGGCCTCCCAAAATGCTGGGATTACAGGCGTGAGCCACTGCGCCAAGCCAGGAGAAAAATGTTTAAAAGCTGTTAGAAATGTTAAGAAGGGGTTAAGGCACTTGTGGTGGTAAGGAACAAACTCTTTCAGGCTAGGTTAAATAGAGGGTTTTTATTTTAAAGAAATAGAGACTTCTCATAGGTTCCAGGGGCCAGAGGTATATTTAGGCCTCCCAGTGAAGGGGAAACAGGAAAACCATCAGGAGTCAAGGGAGCTACTCTATCTCTGATGTGTCAATTTGGCTCTGGTCTCTCCTTGTCTCTACAAGTATTTTCTCTCTCTCTCCCTCTTTCTCTCTCTTTCTCTCCCTCTCTCTCTCTCAACATAGCTATCCCCAAATGGCACCCTCAGTAACAGAAAATTATTTCCCAAAGAGATTAAGAGATCAACCAAGAACAAAGGCAGGGACTCCTGGCTTTCAGAAAAGATATTTTATTGCTTTTCCCTCTTCTAATATCTATATCCAAGAGAACAAAAATAAAGGGGTAGGAAAACTTCTGCTTGTTGGCATGACTTGCTTTGATGAAGGATGGAGCCTCTCCTGGGTGATAGGACCAGTTCGAATGGCTTTCAGACCCTTGCACACAGGGTCTGCTCACAGGATTCTGGTCGCTCTACTTTGGGTGAACTGTTTTAAGGTTTCAGAAACACACTTGAGTGTGATACAGCATTCAGACCCACAGTGGGGGTCATACCCTTTCCCTATGGATTGTCACCTCCCCACCCTTCTACACTCTGGGATTCCTGCCTTGACAGAGAGTTTTTATTTAGCATTAAATACCTTTTTTTTTTTTTCCTGGACACCATCTTAGATACCAAATTATGCTCAGCAATTTTAGCTAATATTCTTCTTTACCACATCTTGGACAGTTTGGACAGTTTCACAGATGTACATTTAGAATTTTTTTTTTAACACAGTCTCACTTTGCTGCCCAAGCTGAAGTGCAGTGGTGCAATCGCAGCTCATGGCAGCCTTGACCTCTGGGTTCAAATCGTCCTCCCACCTCAGCCTCCCAAGTAGCTGGGACTACAGGTGCGCATCACGATGCCCAGCTAATTTTTTAATTTTTTGTAGAGATGGGGGTCTCCCTATGTGGACAAGGCTGGCCTCAAACTCCTGGGCTCAATCAATCCTTCTGCCTCAGCCTTTCAGTGTTGGGATTACAGGCATGTGCCACTGTTCCCGGCCCTAGAATATTTTTTGACTGACAGAAAAATTAATAATTTTCAAGAAAAGATCAAAATAAAGTTGACTAGATCTCCAAAAAGTTGAGAAATGTCCCCCAAACCTCCAAGCTAACTAAAGAGAATCTCTGCCTCCATTTCCAACTTACCAGAGAAGACAATCTGACACTACTGGAGTCTGATTTCTCCCCTGAACCAGGGTCATACATACACTCTATTATAGCCCACCTGTGAGATGGTGACAATTCTCCAAAGGAGGATTACCCTAGGCATACAGACCAAAAGGCTTTAGAAGGAATTAAATTCCTGATAATAGCAAACAGTGATACGATCTCAAAGGAGTTTTGAAACCTCAAAGCAGAAATACCAAGGTGTGTAAGACAGGTCATATTGAGGCCAGAGTGAAAGACTTTTTTGTTCTTATTGTAAAATGGAATGTCCATGCTGGAATAAACAGTGAATACTCAGATTCAGCTGATATTTAATGGGGGAAAACTTCAACCTCATATGGTTTTATCTGTTCACTGACCTATGTTGTATTTTCAATTAAATTTCCTTGGGAAATATTAACTAGTTTATTCTATTGCTTAAACAAAGTGTTGTACATCCACAGAAATAGCAAAATATACTGCATCCTGTGTTAAATGATCTGAGGGTCAGGTAACAAAATCTGAAGAAAAGCCTAGCCCGGGGCCCCCTGCTGGTCCAGCAGACATCTGACATCCAAAAAGACAGTTGAGCAAATGATCTCTCTTCCCAGTTGGTGAATTCCCCACCTTGGGGGGCCTGGGGAGACAGAGCTGACAGCACCAGATACTCTCCTAGTGAAGACCTTCACATCCGTTTTTAGACCGACTTGAGAGCTACTGAGGAAAGAAATAGATGTGCAGCTCCTTGTTCTCTCTGGCAGTAGCAGGGGTCCCAGTTGCTGCAATATGGAACTGCTGGTGTGGATGTGGCAATAGCACAAATTGTGACATCTAGTGCCCCAGCCATGGCAACAGTTTCCTCACCAGATGATTTTTTAAAAACTGCTTTATTGTAGTATGATTCACATACTATAAAATTCACCCTTTTAAAGTGTACCATTCAATGGCTTTCAGTATATTTACAGAGTTGTGCAATCATCACCACAGATAATTTTAGAACATTTTCATCACCCCAAAAAGACACCCCATGCCCCTAAAGCATCACCCCTAATCCCTTCCACATCTCCCTTCCAGCTCTAGGCAAACACAAATCTACTCTGGGTCTCTACAGATTTGCCTATTCTGGGCATTTTATATAAATGAAACCATACAATATGTTTTCCTTTGTATCTGACTTATTTTACTTAGCATAAAGTTTTCAGGGTCCATTCATGTATCAGTACTTCATTCCTTTTTATGGCCAAATAATATTCCATTGTATGAATATAACCCTTTTTTTTGAGACAGGGTCTTGCTCTGTTGCCCAGGCTAGAGTGCAGTGGCCGATCATAGCTTGCCATAGCCTCAAACTTCTGGGCTTAAGCAACCCTCCCATCTCAGACTCCAGAATAGCTAGAACTATACCATGCTCAGCTAATTTTTAAATTTTTTTGTAAAAACAGGGTCTCGCCATGTTGCTCCGGGTGGAAATGATCCTCCTGCCTTGGCCTCCCAAAGTATTGGTTAGGATTACAGGTGTGAGCCACTGCACCCAGCCCACATTTTCTTTATCTCTTTTTATTGAGATGGAGTCTCGCTCTGTCACCCAGGCTGGAGTGCAGTCGCAAGATCTCAGCTCACTGCAAGCTTCACCTCCTGGGTTCATGCCATTCTCCTGCCTACAGGCGCCCGCCACCACGCCCCGCTAATTTTCTGTATTTTTAGTAGAGATGGAGTTTCACTGTGTTAGCCAGGATGGTCTCCATCTCCTGACCTCATGATCCACCCGCCTCGGCCTCCCAAAGTGCTGGGATTACAGGTGTGAGCCACCACGCCTGGCCTCTTTATCTCTTCATTAGTTAATGGACATTTGGGTTGTTTCCATTTATTGGCTATTATGAATAATGATGCTATGAATATTAATGTACAGATTTTTATGTGGGCAAATGTGTTCATTTCTCTCGAGTACATACCTAGGAGTGGAACTGCAGAGTCATATGGTAACTCTATGTTTAACTGTTTGAGAAACTGCCAGACTGTTTTCTAAAGTGGTTGTACAATTTTACATTCCTACCAGTGTTATATGAGGATTCTGATACTTCCGCATCCTCTCCCAACATCTGTCTTTGCCATCTTAGAAAGTGTGAAGTGGTATCTTATTGTGGTTTTGTGTGTGTGAGATTTTAATTTATTTTTATTGATATGTAATAGCTGTACATATTTTCTCAGTACATGTGATCATTTGAGACATTTTACAATCAAGTCAGGGTAATTAGGATATCCATTACCTTAAACATTTATTTTTTCTTTACCCTAGGAACATTTAATTTATTTTCTTCTAGATATTTTGAAATGTACAGTCAATTAATGTTAACTACAATCACCCTACTGATCTATCAAACACCAGGTATTATTTGTTCTAAGTGTATTTGTTTGTTTGTTTGTTTATTTGAGACAGAGTCTTGCTCTGGAGTGCAGTGGCGCAATCCCACTCACTACAACCTCTACCTGCTGGGTTCAAGTGATTCTCCTGTCTAAGTAGCTGGGACTATAGGCATGCACTACCACACTCGGCTAATTTTTTTTTTTTTTTTTTGTATTTTTAGTAGAGATGGGGTTTCACTATGCTGGCCAGGTTGGTCTTGAACTCCTGGCCTCAAGTGATCCGCTTGCCTCAGCCTCCCGAAGTCCTGGGATTACAGGTGTGAGCCACTGCGCCCAGCCCTAAGTGTATATTTGTACCCATTAATCAATCTCTCTTCATCCCTGCCTCCCTGCTACCCTTCCTGGCCTGTAGTAACCACCAATCTACTCTCTATCTTCATGAGATCTACTTTCTTAGCTCCCAATGACTGAGAACATGTGATATTTGTCTATCTGTGCTTGGCTTATTTCCCTTAACGTAATGATCTCCAGATCCATCCACATCTCTGCAAATGATAGAATTTCATTGCTTTTTATAGCCGAATAATATTCCATTGTGTCTATATATCCCATTTTCCTTATCCACTCATCCATTAATAGACACTTAGGCTTTGTTGTGGTTTTATTTGACATTTATCTGATGGATAATGATGTTGACCATCTTTTCATGTGCTCACTGGACATCTGTATATTTTCTTTAGAGAACTTCTATTCAGATCCTTTGCCTATTTTTAAATTGGGTTGTCTTTTTAAAATTGAGTTGAAATAATTCATCAGACCAGTTTTAAGGCATGGTTTGAGGGGCTGTTCCTGTTTAATGACTAGTTCTCCAACCTTCCCATGATTTATGAGCTACCAACCAATTTTCTGCTTAAATTGAGCAGTTTACTTCTATTGCAAATCAAAACTAACTGGCGAAGATTCTGGAACCCAAGGCAGCACCTCTCACCTACAGAAAATAACTTACGTAAGGCTTTCCTAGCAAACTGAAACCTGTTTGGTGGCAGTGTTGTCACTAAAGCCTGGGTTTCTGAATTCATGATTCTAAAGTGTTAAACTATGCAAACTCAGTCAAAGGAAACTTATGAGATTGACAAGTGAAAACTGTAGCAGGTTGAGCAGCAAGTATGAACTGAACAGAAAGAGAAAGAAAAATATAAGAGTGGTTGCCATTTCTTGCCATTTCTCTCTAAGGTAAAGTAGACCACTGATTCCAGTCAGTTATTCAGATAAATAAGGCCTGATCTTCAGATGCCAGCATTCCTCTCTTGGGCTTGGCCCTCCAGCCACAAAGGCTGTATTATCCTGCATCTCCCTGACCACCTAGGATGGTGTCCAGGGACTCCACCAGAATTTTCTTTTAATGAGTCAAGTATGTAAATGCACTAGGGGTCCTAACTCTATCAGATGCTTTAACTCCACATTTGGTTTCAGGCAGTTCTAGTTTATAAGTCAACACGGTTAACTCTGTCCATGCTCAACTTCTCCTTCTGTTTCGGATTCTCTGAGGAGTCAGGGAAATAAGAATGTCACCCCTTCCTGCAGTTATCAGTGACTGAGGCCAGTTTGTAGCCAGTTTTCTGCAGTTTTCTGGGTGATACCCTCGGTTCACTCCTGTTAGCAGGATAGACTGAGGCACAACTATATCACCCAGTCTGCTCTGGATGCCCTCTCCTCTTCTAGGCACCCACTTCCCTCTTTCTACTTTCTAGTGTCCTCTTCTCTCAGGAAAGTAACCTAGATCCTGTATTTGAAAGGATCTATTCAAAAATGGATTCAATTTAAAGCAGATGCTGATAGGCTTAAACCCTCTCAAAGGTGTCTGCATTTCTATTAGTTATTCATCTCTCCCTATGGACTTGCATTTTGCCAGATTCAATGACCACTGCTCAGTTTTCATTCTCCATGCCCTTTATTATCTTGGCACAAGGATAATAAAGAACAAGATGATTTGTTAGGAGGGTGGTAATATGAATGGCGTTCATCAGACAGAAGGAGCTGAGATCCTAGGGATAAAATGTTATAGTGAAACCCAGTACTCATTCATTCAACATCCATTTCTTTTCTCTTTTTCTTTTCTTTTTTTGTTGTTGTTGTTGTTGTTTGAGACAGAGTCTCACTCTCTCGCCCAGGCTGGAGTGCAGTGGTACCATCTCAGCTCACTGCAACCTCTTCCTCCTGGGTTCAAGCGATTCTCCTGCCCCAGCCTCCCAAGTAGCTGGGATTACAGGTGCACGCAACTACGCCCAGCTAATTTTTGTATGTTTAGTAGACATGGGGTTTCACCGTGTTCCCCAGGCTGGTCTCAAACTCCTGATTTCAAGTGATCTACCTGCCTCAGCCTCCCAAAGTGCTGGGATTACAGGCCTTGAGCCACCGTGTCCGGTCACAACCACCACTTATTAGGCCCCTACTGTGTAGCAGGCACTGCGTTCTAGCTGTTGGCAATGCAACAGAGAAGCAAGGCCCCTTCCCTCATGGAATTTACATTCTGGTGGTGTCAATAATAAATAAAATTGCAGATAACGATAGGTGCTATGAAGCGCAATGTGAAATAATGAATGATGTGACCACGGAAGACAAGAAGGGAGTGAACTAAGCCCATGTGGCAGGGCAGTTGAGGAAAGCCCCTTTTATAAAGCGTCATTTGCACCAAAACCTGAAGAGTGGATTTAAAGAAGCATTCCAGAGACAGCAGACAGCAAGAGCAAAGACCTGGATGAGGAACAAGCTCATTAGCCTGCTGGCTTGCATGTAGTGAAAATGGCACAGTGGCTTGAGATGAGCTGAGAGAGGTAGACAGGGGCCAGTCAGGGAGAAAGTGGGAAAGCTGTGGTAAAGACACAGACAGGTGAAGTATCCTGCCCCACGTCACACAACTAGTAAGTGGCACAGCCAGGATGATAATCTTGGTCTTCTCAGTTCTATCAGGTGTTTTTTTTTTTGTTTTTGTTTTTTGTTTTTTAATGCAATGTAACCTGATTTATGCCCAAAATGGTGATGGATGACTAGGGGATTTATTGAAGCTCTTCTTGGAGCTCCCAAAATTCTAAGAAGAGCCGAAGTCAGTTGTCTCAATCTCTTCTCATGTCCTCTTGGAAAAAATAAATAAACAGAAAAACTTCAAAGTTCATGACCCCAAAACTAATATAAATTGTCTTTTAAACAGAGGATCTGAATTTTATACATATTATGGTAAATAACTGTTGCAAGTTTGTTACATGATCCCATACAGCATATAAGGAAGTTATTTGGGTGCTACTATCTTTGGCCTTACGAAAATGCAATCACACTGGATTGCCTAATGTCTATTTTTAAACATAAGACCTACTCTCCTTATTACACATCAGGAAACTTAATATTGCTAAGATGCTAGTCAAGATTAGCTACTATGTAGATTTTTTGGGTCTTTGATGCTTCTGCCTTTAAAAAAGTTTGAAGTAAATTGAAATGATTATTTGAAAATAGCAAAATTGTACTCAAATATAAAAGAAATAAATTGGCTAATAAAAACAGGTGTGTATTATATATATATTACATAATATTGAGGTGAGCCCTGAAATGATGATGGTTCCAGCACAGGCCCTGCCAGTAGACTGGAGTTAGAATGCTAGCTGTGCTACTTACCAGCTGTCTGAAATTAGGTAAATTACTCAATATGGGAATGAAAACAATGCCTATATCAGAGAGCTATTGTAAAAATAACTCAAAATAACAAGTGATAGTGCTTGGAAGAGATTAGATATTCCTTGACTAAGTGACGGTTTCCCTCCTCTTATCTGGGCCTCTGTTCACTCATCAGAAGCATGAGGGTAAGGGAGATGACGTCTGAAGTCCCTTCTAGGATAAGAGTCATCAGCAGCCAGGCTGTCTTGCCAGACTCTCATTACAAGACAGTGAAACCTTTTGCTGTAGGCAGATGGAGGAGGACTAACAAGAGGGACCCAGAGGCTGACTGAAAACTCCCAGGGGAATGAGCAAGGAGGCTTCAGCGACTGGGACTTGAGGGTCCTAGCAGGCCCCTACCTTGGCTTCCTAGGTCTGATTCATTGTACCAATGCATTTGCTGTAGCTAATTACTTATGAGATTATTTATTTAATACCTGCCCTTCCCAGAGGCTAAACTTTGAGGATTAATAACTTCACCTGTTTTGTTCACTACATGTTTATATTGCGTGGCACACAGTAGGCCCACAGTAAATATCTTTTGAATGAATAAGTCTCTTTTCTTACAGTAAATACATTTTTTTTTTTTGAGATGGAGTTTTGCCCTTTTTGCCCAGGCTGGAGTGCAATGGCATGGTCTCAACTCACTGCAACCTCCGCCTCCCGGGTTCAAGTGCTTCTCCTGCCTCAGCCTCCCAAGTAGCTGGGATTACAGGCACCTGCCACCATGCCCGGCTAATTTTTGTATTTTTAGTAGAGACGGGGGTTTCGCCATGTTGGCCAGGCTGGTCTCGAACTCCTGACCTCAGGTGACCTGCCCGTCTCGGCCTCCCTAAGTGCTGGGATTATAGGCATGAGCCACCACGTCCAGCCAATAAAAACATTTCTTTAAATGGAAGAAATTAATTTTATTTATAAACCAACAATTTAAGTGCCCTAGTGAAATCAGCCATTAGGAGGAAATTTGCAGTGAATGTAAATTTCTTTAAAAGTTTTTTAAAATCAAAATTGTATATATTTATGGTATATAACAGTGAATGTAAATTTCTATTTAGCAAGTGAATTTTTCTTAAAAGGAGGCATACTTACAGGAAGAAAACACATTAACAGCTCCCTGAGAGGGCTCTGAGTATTTAGTTTGGTGGACTGAACAGTAGCATCAATTAATCTTCCCACATATCTTGGACTTTATCAGATTAGGATGAAGAATTTTGGAACTGAATCCACTTTGGTTGTCTTAATAGAAAAATTTTCTGAGCAAAAAGCAAAGCCTATTCTTATTTTTCCGTCTATGATCTGGCTGAAGGGTCAGTCTAGGGATGGCTTTCTGACAAGTCACAGAAGGCGGCACTGATGACTGCAGACACCTTAACTGAACAATCCTTCAGTACTTATCACTGTTCCCTCCAAGCTACTGTCTTTCCAGATTCACTGGGCATTGTCAATCCCTGGTAAATGAACTGTCAACAACCAACAAAAATCTTACCTGATCTAACAAGTTCAATATTCCAACTAAACTTGCTTCTTGTAGAAGTCTGGAAGGCTTGCCCTTTACTCAGGCACTCATTTATTCATTTATTTATTCGCACCATTCACTTATCCGATCAACAAATATTCTCAACCTTAAAAAATCCTGAGATGATTCTGGATAATAACAAGAAAGTTTAGACAAAGCAGCAATCAGCAGCACAAGAGCTGGAACCAGGAACTAAAGGAATACCTAACCACATATTGTGCCTGGAATATCTTTCTGCCCAACTGCAGTGTCACTCTACAGGAATCTTTCTAAATCTCATTTTAGGAAGAATGTCTTTGGATATTCCTCTATTAATATCCTTAGTGTAATGCTTATGATATTACATTGAAATTAACCGCTTCCACTCACCAGACTGAGCTCCTTGAGGGAAAACAACTGTGTCATCCAATCCTCTTTGTGTCCCTGGTATCCAGCACAGGGCCTGGCATATAGAATTTATTACCAATGCAGCAGTTCTCTAGATTCCAATGAAGCTAACAGATTTCTAGGTATTATCAGACCTGCATTGTTCAGTATGATAGCCACTAGCTACATGTGGCTATGAAGCACTCGAAATGTGGTTAGGCAGGATGAATTGAGGTGTGCTGTAAGTATTTAAAAAACATCAGAGACTTAGTACAAAATAATGTAAGATATCTCTAATAAGTTTTACACTGATTACATGTTGAAATGGTAATACTTTGGATATTGGGTTAAGTGATTACTAAAATTCATGTCACTTGTTTCTTTCTGCTTTTTAAAATGTGGCTATTAGAAAATTTAAAATTAAATATGTGGCTCACCTTATATTTCTATAGGATAATGCTGGGCTAAATCAAAGGTTATTTTCATGTACAGCCACAACTGGTCTCTTGTACTTGATTCTCTTAAGTCATGTTGGTAGGAAGGGGAATTTGGTTTAATGACTAAAAAAAATTAGGTTTTCATTAAGCCTGTTTTCAGAATATCCAGGGACTATGGACTTTTTTGTGTGTAAAATTTTATCAGTATGTCCTACACTTTTTAGTAAGTTTGCCTTTCTAAAGAAAAAATAGTAATAATTCCAACTCTTGCTGAGTTTAACTCTTCGTTGAGTCAAAGTCTTACCAAGGACATAAAATATCCATGCAGCCAACACTTAAATAGCTCTTCAGTTTCTGGCTACAAGTGACTCTGTTATCTTCTATCCTCCCTCAGCCTCTGGCATCCTGAGCAGTCAACCCCTCCCATTCTGAGCTCTTTCCACTGACCTCAGAAGAAGGCTGGCTCAAATAACACACTTGTCAAAACACCTAGGTAAGCACATCTGTGGGAGACACCATATAAATAGATATATGGAAACAGAGTGCTCTGTACTGATAATGAAAACCATTTACAAATTCCTTGCACCTTCCAAAAGGTTTATTCCTGCAAGGACTAGTTAAATGTGAATGTCACTAATAATTTTAATTCTGTCAGCTTAGACAGACCTGTTTTATAGAAGCACTGGCAAAGCTGCAATTGAAGGTGATTTTTAAGTTTTGGGTACTGCTGTGGCAAAAATCCTCTGTGCTTAAATAGAGAAATGAAAATTGACCAACAGAGAATGACCGAAAATAAAAATGCTGAAAAGTTTCTAAGTGATCTGTGGGAAAGGCTGAAAGAGTTGGCTTTCACTGGTCTACAGCAAGAGAAATACAAAAGTAACAGTCCTATTTACTTCTGTCTCCTCTCCATACAGGAAA
Source organism: Homo sapiens (assembly GCF_000001405.40). Lineage (NCBI taxonomy): Eukaryota > Metazoa > Chordata > Mammalia > Primates > Hominidae > Homo > Homo sapiens. The sequence goes on along the minus strand of NC_000005.10, from coordinate 79,694,356 downwards.
CCATGAGTTTGGCACATGGTAAGTGTTAAATAAATATTAGTCAAATGAAAATACAAATGTATAGGTGCTTATTATTTAAAGGAATATTGCAATCACTGTGCTTTCCTTGTTTTTTGTTTGTTTGTTTTTATCCTGACTGGTATAGTAGACACAACATAGCTTCCAATTTTACTCAGAATAAAATTCATAGTCCTTACCATGGGCTACAAAGCCCTACATGATCTGCAACCCAACTATCTCTTAGCTTTGACTCTGACCACTCGCCCCATTACCTTACTCTGTTCCAGCATCCTGACCAACTTGCGTTCCTCAAATAAGACACATATCCCTCCCTCAGTGCCCTTGCAGCTGGTCATCCCTTTGCCTAGAAACTCATTCCTTCAGTATCTGCTCAAATGTCACCTCATCAGAGAGGCTTTCTTCACTACCTCATCCAAATATACCCCACCCATTTATCCTGCTATATTTGTCTTCATAATTTCTTACCACTTGACATACTATATGTTTTATTTGTCTCCCCAAACTGGAGTGAGTTTTAGCAGGGCAGAGACCTTATTCATTTTGTTCACAGCTGTATTCCTTGTGCCTAGGAAGTCTCTGGCACATTGTAGGAGTTCAATAAATATCTGCCAAATGAATACATTAATGAACATTAAATTGGAGTCCAGACACCTGGGGTCTACTCCTAATTCTGTTCCAAAAAATTCTGTGGCTGACCGGGCACGGTGGCTCATGCCTATAATCCCAGGATTTTGGGAGGCTGGAGGCAGATGGATTGCTTGGGCCAAGGAGTTCAAGACCAGCCTGGGCAACACGGCAAAACCCTGTCTCTTATAAAAATACAAAAAAGTAGCCAGGCCTGGTGATGCACACCTGTAGTCCCAGCTACTCAGGAGGCTGAGATGGGAGGATCACCTGAGCCTGGTTAGTCAAGGCTGCAGTGAGCCGTGATCACGCCACTGCAATCCAGCCTGGGCAATCAGAGTGAGATCCTACCTCAAGAAAAAAAAAAAAAAAAAATTGTGTGACTTTGAACAAACGACTCCTGACAGTTTCTGAATCTAAAATCAGATCGGTTGAGAACAGATACTTCCAAAGCCTCTGCTAGCTCTAAAATCCTGTGAGTTTTATAATCTGCCTTTCACAAAAGTTCTCCCATGAAGTTTTAGAAACATAAAAATCTTTTTTGATATCCACAAACTACAAGCACTATGAGGCATTTTATTATGATTCAAAACACTGCTCCAATGATGAAGGCTTCTCCAACCCTTCCAGGTAGCATGTATCCCAAGACTTTGAGGTGCTTCATACACACCTTTTCTTCCTTAAATCTCTTCTAACAGCTAATGACATAATTACGTTTTTCTGTTTCTCCAACTAGAAGGTGAATATGAGGACAGTAATGGATTCTTATTTTTGTATCCCCAGCACCTCGCATTGTCTATGGCAAATATTAATAGTAGGCACTCCATGAATGTTTAGTGAATGAATGAATACAAAGTGAAATAGGATCATTATTTATACTGAAAGCTGAGACCATCTCTCCCTTCATGGATGAATGGTGGGCAGAAGGTAGAGCCTTCCTGCTAATAATGACTCATCTGATGGAATAAAAGAAACTAAAGCTTAATGGGAACCTACTAAGAACCAAGCACTCCTACACACATTCACATAATTTATGCAATCCTTATGACAACCTTATGAATTAGGAATTCTTATTATTTTACAGATGAGAAAATTGGGCTCAAAGAGGACAGGATTTTCCCATTATGGAACAACTAATAGGATTCACAGGCCTCTTGATGTTACATGTCACATTCATATCACTGGATGATATATCAGAAGGATAGTTCTCTGATCCAATATCCATGTTGGTGTATGTAAATGATGAGCTTTCCTGCACTACAAAAGCATTTTATAATTAAAGAGAATTTTTCCTCAATTCAGAAAGGTAACTATAGATAATTATATATATCATACCTGAAAGGGTAAAGGAACGTTTACAGATTACTTTGTGTCTTTTGAATTTTTAAAAATGAAGGTTTGCAAACCAAAAATAAAATTCTAAGCCCCCGACCATCTGAGTGGACCCCTCCTTTCAGCAAGGGCATTCCAAAGCTAACCTGAAAAACTCACTCAGGCCGTGATGGTGGAGGTGGGGAGATGGAACATGCCTCACTACACTACACCCCCCTCCCTTTTGGAATTACTGATAGAACAACTCTTTCAGTCTAATAAGAAACACTTACAATCTATTCTCTCTCCAGCTGGCTACCTGGAGGCTTCATCTGCATGATAAAACTTTGGTCTCAACATCCCCTTATCATAATGCAGACATTCCTTTCCACTGATTCCAAGTCTTAAGAGAATAACTTAACTCTTTCAACCAATTGCCAATCAGAAAAAACTTAAACCTACCTATAACCTAGAAGCCCCCATGCCCTTCAGTTTTCCCACCTTTCTGGACCAAACCAATGTGCATCTTACATGTATTTGATTGAGGTCTCATGTCTCCCTAAAATGTGTAAAATTAAGCTGTCCCCCAACCACCTTGGCCACATGTTCTCAGGATCTCCTGCAGGCCGTGTCACAGGCCATTGGTCACTCATATTTGGCTCAGAACCAATCTCTTCAGATATTTTACAGAGTTTGATGCTTTTTCGTCGATACGTGTTTTTCCTAAATCCAGAAGTTTTGCTGACTTCCTGTTACCCTTGTCATCCAATAAAAAATAAATTGGATGCTTTTTCCAGGCCTCCATTTTCCATATTCCCTCATGTGTCCCTCCACTCTATTTATTCTGACCTCTTTCCCTGGTGTCCACCTTACTGTCTGTAGTCAGAACAGGCTGAAGTTTACTGCAGACAAATCACATCCTTTTCTGAAGGCCTTGACCTTTGTCAAATGGCAATGCAACCCCAGAGTGAATGGTCAGCTGCTCACATTTTAGTGTAAATGAGTTTTCAGATTCTCTTGGTTGTAAATTGTGGTTGGGCAAGGATATGAGGATCCCAGACAACAGTAAGGGAAAGGTTATAAAAGCTGAGTTGACAGACTTCCCCTTCTCAACACTGCCAAGGGATCACAGGTCCCCTACTCCCTGATCCACTTCCTACAGGTGCCTTCTCCTCTGCTCTTCCTGTTTGTAGTCCCTGCCCACTACTTCAAGGCAGCTCCAGCCCAACACTCCCTCTTCTGCCCTTGCACAGTACCCATAGTCCTCCCTTCCACCTCTATATAGTCTCACACTCCCCATGTTAGGGAAACGTTTCCCCATAGGGGAAAAAGTTAGGGAAACTTTTTCCACAAGGTCCTTGAGGCCAGGGACTGTGCTTGCTTCCCACTTGGCAGCTGTTTGATAAACAGGTGACATACATTCAGGACTTCTTGTCTGACCATCCATCCTCCTCAATGCCCCTCTATGGGCTACTTCTTCAACATCGGCTCTGCTGGCTTTGATTAGGTAAGCTGGGCGTTCTGAGATGGTACACACCCACCTGCCACCTTCAAAGCCTTTCTACTGTTATGAACAGACTGAGGAAGAGACATCACTGACTGACACACAGTCAGGAAAAAACCCAAAACTCATACTCAAGGAAAACAAGTGAAGGTAGAAGCTAATCCAAATAGACATTAGATGATTTCTATTATTCTCATTTTAGGGCCTTCTTAAAGGGACGGAGGGTGGGAGATCGAAGGGTGGGAGGTGCATCTTTTGTACATAGTATTACTTCATCGCATTCACGGAAACTGATATTTGGGATTTGGGACCAGGACTTGAAGAACAGGGATTACTGAAACTCATGCTTCTTTTCCCCCAAAGAATTTATGGGCCTTTGTATCAAAATAAGGTCACCTTATTGCAGCCTAGCCTACTGCTAGGCCCCCGGGGAGACCGCCATTCATCGGAAGGTACCAGTGCGCCTTCACCGCCTCCACCCCACCCCCTTCTCCTCTAGCGCAGGATTTCGCGATTGTTCCTGTGCCTCGGGCCAGATGTACGTGTTCCAGCACATTTCGGCAGTTATGCAGGACCTAAGTAAATCCTCAGGAATAAACAAGAGCAGCGAGTCACAAGGAGCTGGGGGCGGGGGTAATGAACTCTGCTGCAGGCGGGCCTGTCACTCCAGCTGACAGCGAGCACCTTCACCTTCAAGTTCTTTTAAACGACAGTGCACCCAGAGAGAAAGTGCCTAGCTCGAGGCAAACGAACCCCAGAGCTTAAAAACTTAAAGCAAACAAGCAAGGGTGCTGCTAGCTGCCCTGCAGGCCCTGGGCCGAGGAGAGAGGCTCGCGCTACCTGGAGTCCGGCTCCTCCTCCGACTCCGCCGCCGTCTCGTCCTCCTCGCCCTCCGACTCCTCCTCGGTCTCCAGCTCCCGGGTCGCCTCCTCGTCCCCGTCGGAGCCGAGAAAGCTCTCGCCAGCGTGGTTGCTATCGCGGCTCGCCATCGCCTCTCCCGGGCCTGGGCCGGGGCCGGAGCCGGAGCCGCCCGCGCCGCGCCTGGTGTTCTCCCTCCGACTGCTCTGGCCCCTGCCCTCCCCAGCCCTGCCCCTGCGGGGGCGGCTCGGGTTCCCGGCGCCGGGGGCGGGCGAGCCCCGCGACTTTAAATAGAAGGCGTCAAAGTTTCGCCACCGAGCTTCTGGGGCCCGGGCTCAGCTTCTCCTCTTCCCTGAGCCCTCCCCCGCCCCCGTTTCGCCAGATCCCTGGCGGGCCTTTCGGACAACTGGAGATCACTTTAAGGGGCGCGGGCTCCGGCTGCACCAGGGGGTTCAAAGGAGGAAAGGCAACCTAGCCCCGTCTCTTATTTCCTCCAGAGTGAGTCTTTTCGGTTTTGAGCTGAGCTACTTTCTGGACCCTTTATCCCAAACAATACCCTGAGCTGGGCACTTAACTACCAGGCACTCTGCTAAGGGTCTCGCTTTCATTACCTCGATTCTGTGGTGGTACCTGTAGAAGGTTTTACTGTAGTGCTGGTTTCCCAGATGAGGAAACTGAGACTCCGAAGAGCTCCAGCAGCTCAGGCTGTCATTGCTAGTAAAATGACCCAATGAGAAACAAAGCTAGGCGTGCCCTGCTCAAAAGCCCAGTTTTGAACCAGTGTTCCGTCCCGGCTCTCTTTATATCGCAAGTCAATATACTGTGTATTTTCTTGCTCAGTGGTCCCTGTTATTGAGCCAGGAAACTTTATCTCCACTCATCTTAAACCTTGAGGAGGAGCAATTTCCCCCACGTTAGCAAAAAGCTAAGTTTTGTCTGAAACTGGCCCAAATGCCCCAAACCTTTCCCCGGATCAAGTTGTGGTTAAAACCCCTCAATGGCTTCCCACTGCTCAAAGACTGAACCCCAACACCCTCACAAAGGTAACGGTTGCCTAACAGGCCATGTTTTACCTGTCTACTCTTTTTTTTTTTTTGAGATGGAGTCTTGCTCTTGTCGCCCAGACTGGAGTGCAATGGCGCGATCTCGGTCCAGTGCAACTTCCACCTCCTGGGTTCACGCGATTCTCCTGCCTCAGCCTCCCGAGTAGCTGGGACTACAGGCGCGCACCACCATGCCCAGCTAATTTTTGTATTTTTAGTAGAGACGGGGTTTCACCATATTGGCTAGCCTAGTCTCGAACTCCTGACCTCAGGTGATCTGCCCACCTCAGCCTCCCAAAGTTCTGGAATTACAGGTGTGAGCCCCCACGCCCAGCTGGTCAGGTGTCTTTAGAAGTCAGGAGTTCCCAACATTGTCAAGTCACTCCACTGTGTCTTTATTAACACAATTCCTTCTGCCTCAAAGGTTGGTCCCATTTTTACCAGGATACCCATCATTCAAGATCACCACCTTTCACTGAAATCCCAAAGTTAAACTCAGTACCTCTCTTCCAGGTTCCCACATAATCCTATATTCAAATTATGTTTGTATCTCCTTCCCCAGCAGACTTCGTAAGTTTACTACTCTTCTTTGTCCCATCATCCCCATCTCTTACAAGCCTACACACTAGCAAAGTAGCTAGCACATAGCAGGTACATATAATGGATGCTCCCTGAAGAGAACAGAACCAGAACTGCTATGTACAAATGGAGGTAACTTTACAATAAAGATATTCATTTCATGAGAATGATTTGATGGCTAGAAGAGTTAACATTTATTTTTAATTATAGCAAGTCACAGAGTTGTTAAATATGACTGTAAGCTGGGGATTATTCACCAGTTACACGAGCTGGTATGCATGCATTATGTCTGGAGGTAATGAACTGTAAATCATTGAATTACAGTACAGATACATCAGCTAGTGGGGCATAAGGAGGGAAAACAGCAGAGTCAAGGCTTCCACAGCTCACTAAACCAGGTTTAGCATCAGCAATATTTATTCTCTTAACACCAGCTAGACTTCACCATCAGTAATCCCAAATGACCATGCTCATCCAGTACAAAAGGAATTCAATCACAGCTGTGGCAATCTGTTAAACACTAATCAAAATCACAGGTAGCCATTCTATGTTCCTTCCATCATTTAATTAAAAATTTCTTACAAACATTAATGTCTATGAGATTTATTTGCAAAGATCCTAGTTCAAATCAATCCAAAATTTAGAATTGTAGTACAGATTGCACATTTTAAACACCACTTTAACAACATATGCAAATACAGTCAACCCTCCGTAACCATGTAGGATTTGTGAATTCAACCAGGATGAAAAATATTTGGGAGGGGGTAGGGAGGAGGCAGAATGGTTGCATCTGTACCGAACAGGTATAGACTTTTTGTCTTGTCATTATTATTCCCTAAACAATACAGTATAACAACTATTTACATAGCATTTACATTGTATTACGTATCAGGTAATTTAGAGATGATTTAAAGTATCAAGAGAATGTGTGTAGGATATATGCAAACACTACACCATTTTATATAAGGGACTTGAGTATCTGTGGATTTTGGTATCTGAAGAGGACGGGGTTGACCTGGAATCAATCCCTCAATATACTGAGGGACAACTATATACAGAAATGGACAGATCAACACAAACAGAAAATAATTTAGTACTCACCACACAAATAATTGAGATTAATAACTTAAAAGTCCAGAAAATTCTCTCATATATTAACAGTTCACTTATCTGATATTTGGCCAGTTATGTGTGCATAATTTCAGGCCTCAGTCTACTGATATAGAATTGGGTCTAAGTTTAGTGACTTCTTGATCTGTTTTTCGTGGTAAAACAAAGAAAAGCAGTAGTAAGTGTGGGGCCACTGAAAACTGAGAAAACAGTGACAGTGAAGGAACCCACACCATGGTAAATTCTGGGGTTTTATTAGGAAATGTCATAATACTGTAGAGGCAGAGGGTACATACTTACCCATCCCTGAAAGTTGCACAGTATTACTGAATAGTACTATGACTAATGCTTATAATGATTACCCAGTCATCACTAGAATATTAACTCTACTCAGTACATTCTGATTAAGAGATGCACAGTGTAAATTTTAGGAAAAATTCCCCCCCAAAATATGAAAAGCTCAAATGCATAAAAAGTGTTACACATCAGGAATCTAAAAAATTCACTATGTGTAAACTTTCATTCCTCATAATGCCAGAGACATAAGATATTGATGTCGTTAGCTGGCTAATAAGTAGATTTAGTTCAGTTCTAGATGATAACTACAGCCTCGGTCTCATCTCAAAGCAAAGATTTTCACAGAAAAAAAAGGCACCTCAACAATGTCCATATATAAATTTTATTGCATTTGACATCATACAAAAATTTGAACTTAAGGAAGAAAATGAAAATGTGCACCTTTTACAAGTCAAAGAAAAGCAAAAGTTTTAGCATTTGGTCTGCAAAAAAAAAATACGTTAGAGGTACAAAACTGTACTACAGCAGGTCTAAAAAATGTTGGACATAGTTCTTTTGAAAAAGTTAAAACTGTTTTCAAGGTTACTTTTTATATTTAAATTTACAGGCACTGACCAATTTACAAATATTTACATAAATCAAAAAGACCCTTAATAAACACTGTAGCTTTTTTTTTAGCAGCCACCACTTCTTTCATGTGAAAAAAGAAATACTAAAAAAGAGATTTTTTACAAACATTAAGCTTTTATTTATAATAATTTTATTGTGTCTTATCTAAAACATTTTGTGGTGACTTACTGCCTAAAAATTCCAGTTTAGATTACAATCCTATAATTGTACACAGAAAAATATCTGATACTACAAACAGGATATAATCTTAACTTTGATCTCAGTTTCTGTTGCTTCATGTCACAGAGAAAACAGAGCAGGAAAATGGCAAGTAAAACAGAAGTGCACATTGCACTAAGCTATCGTAAAGCACAGGAAACAATCTTTTCAAAATGTCTACACTGAACTGATTCTTTAAAACGATTCACTAACTGTTGTAAGAGTTAGTGCTCCCATTACTACAGTGCAAAATGTATTGTTGTTTCAATACAAAATTTAAAGCAATCTCAAGAGTACATCAAAAGCATGTGAAGTACTAATGAAATGCTAATACAGACACACCCAAAGCCTCAGTCTATCCCAGTGAGTCAAGCAAAGACTTAAGGCAATTGTTCAGTATTTCATGACTGCAGTGATTTGACTGAAATGAAAGATTTCGTTTTGCTTCAAGTAACTGAACAACTGACTTGAATCTTCACTTTACTAGAACAGACTTTGACAACAAACTATCTAACGTAGGTTATACTTTAAGCATGTATGAATTAGACCCTTTCCAAAATTCTACACATCTCTTCAGGATTAGCATGTGGTACAATTAATTGAAGTTATATCAAAAACTTTTTATTTGTTCAGTTAATTTCCCAAAATATATTTTATCTGATCACCTGAAAACACATGCAATATTACTCATCATCAATGTAAACATTTTTAAAAATACATTTTTAAATCAAAGGGGTTTATTAGGAAATGTCATAATAAAATATGCAATCTTTATATGTCTTTTTAAAAATAAAACATGAAAACAAGAACTATGAAAAAAGCAACTATGATGGAGGTAAACATAATGTATTATGATGAAACTATTGTTCTTTATTTCTTGGAAGAATTTATTAAGAAATAGAGGCCAGTTATCTTTTCAGGACAGCAGCTCTTACAGGTAGTATACTGTTCAAATCTCTCTTGTTTTTCAATCTGTGCCATGACTGGGAGAGAAAGAAAAATCATTCTTAAAACCTAAAATTTATGCAGAACAAAAGACTGAGAGTTTAAAAGAATGTTAATAGTTGGTTCTCTCTAGGTGATAAATTTTGAATAATTTTTTCCTTCAAATTTTTTCTTTTTTTGAGATAAGGTCTCACTCTGCCACCCAAGCTGGAGTGCAGTGGTGCAATCTCGGCTCACTACAACCTCCGCTTTCCAGGCTCAAGAGATCCTCCCACCTCTGCCTCCTGAGTAGCTGGGACTACAGGCGTATGCCATCACGCTCAGCTATTTTTAAATTTTTTTGTAGAGACAAGGTCTCATTGTATTGCCCAGGCTGGCTAAGTTTTTATTTTCCAAGTTTTTAACACAGTGTAAGTATTGTTTCTGTCATCAGAAAAGAAAATGTTATTTAAAAACTCCATATTTTTATGGTTCCAATTCATTAATAAAGAAATGGGCACATAGGTGGTACTGAAAGATACAACTGACAATATTAATATTTATTCACGGATTAATTCAATCTAAAAGTAGCAAGGTAATTAAGACAAAACCTTTGGATTTGAGAAGAGAGGATTATTTCAATTATTTGATTGACTGTCTTACATCTTTACTAGCTTTTTGCATTAAAAACAATAATTATGAGACTGGGTATAGTGTCTCATGCCTATAATTCCAGAATTCTGGGAGGCTGAGGTGGGCAGATCACTTGAGCTCAGGAGCTGAAGGCCAGCCTGGGCAACATGGTGAAACCCTGTCTGTACAAAAAATACAAAAATTGGCTGGGTATGGTGGCACACGCCTATAGTCCCAGCACTCAGGAGGCTGAGGTGGGAGGATCATTGAGCGCAGGAGATTGAGGCTGCCTGAGTCTGGGTAACAGAGCAAGACCCTGTCTCAAAAAAATATATAGTATTTATGAAGGAGAGAGTAAATTTACAATAAGGCACTTTATGTATGCCTCTGGAAAATTCAAATGGTGATTTGAATTGATAAGGAGAAGAAAAGAAACTTGTTCACAAGCTAAAAATCTGTCTCACTACTTGGTGACTGCAGATCTTTGTATTCTAGTCTCATGTCAGTTATTCGATTGTCTAAAAGTATTGGTTTTACAACTAAACAATCCTAAATGAAAGCTCACTCATCAATAAGAACACCAATGTAGCATTGCTAATTTTGAGTTCTCAATTTAATCTGATAAACAAAAATATTCTCTCTTGAATATTTGTTTTAAAATTAAAGAATTTCTTTTTTTTTTTTTTTTTTTTTTTTTTTTTGAGACGGAGTCTCGCTCTGTCGCCCAGGCTGGAGTGCAGTGGCGGGATCTCGGCTCACTGCAAGCTCCGCCTCCCGGGTTCACGCCATTCTCCTGCCTCCCTCAGCCTCCCAAGTAGCTGGGACTACAGGCGCCCGCCACTACACCCGGCTAATTTTTTGTATTTTTTTTTTAGTAGAAACGGGGTTTCACCGTTTTAGCCGGGATGGTCTCGATCTCCTGACCTCGTGATCCGCCCGCCTCGGCCTCCCAAAGTGCTGGGATTACAGGCGTGAGCCACCGCGCCCGGCCAAAATTAAAGAATTTCTATAAGACAAATTTTCTATTCTGGTTGCCAAATTAAGAAAGTCTCATTTGAACGACAGCTTGTAATAGAATACTTATATTTTATCTATTTATTTATTTATTTGAAACAAGGTATCACTCTATTACTCATGCTCAGGCTGGAGTGCGGTGGCACAATCACAGCTCACTGCACCCTCAACCTCCTGGGCTCAAGGCTTTTCTCTCCACTCAGCCTCCCCAGTAGCTAAGACACAGGTGCATACCACTACACCCAGGGGTGGGGTGAGGTGAGGTGGGGTGTGTGTGTGTGTGTGTGTGTGTGTGTGAGCATGTGCGTGCATGTGTGTGTGTGAACTATGTCTTGCTATGCGTTGCCCAGGCTGGTCTTAAACTCCTGGCCTCAAGCAATCCTCCTGCCTTGGCCTCACAAAGTGTTTGGATTACAGGTGTGAACCATTGCACCTGGCCATTATTTTTATTCATTTTTTTTTTAGAGGTGGAGTCTCTCACTCTGTTGTCTAGGCTTGAAGTGCAGCAACTTGATAATAGCCCACTGCAGCCTCGAACTCCTGGTTCCAGTGATACTCATGCCTCAATACTTGCATTTTAAATTATCATTAAAATAAAGTCCACTTGAATGTCTAGATAATGAAAAAGTATGCCTCTAAAATGATCTTTGCGGTTCTCTCATCTTTTTCTTCTACAAAGCTTTCCCTCCCCTCCATGTCTCAATACATATATCAAGGCATTTCTACAATGTGTTGTGAAGTCCCTGAAGATTAAGACCACATCTAGCAACATCACTGATGAATAAATTCATACTATAAACACAGACATATACATAAATTTTAACTTTCCTAAATATAAACAAAGATAAAACAGCACTCTAATTCCTGTGACAGTGGGGTATACATTAGAAAAAGCATGGATCAGACATCAGCTTCCTTCTAAGGCCACAATAAATTCCCCAATACACTAAGGAAGGAAAAGAGTCCATTAGGTTTTATTCACTTATTTTGGAAATTTAATAAGCTCACTACGAAAATGCTTATTTCGGTAGGGCATGGTGGCTCATGCCTGTAATACCAGCACTTTGGGAGGAAGACGGGGGTGAATCACCTGAAGTCAGGAGTTTGAGACCAGCCTGACCAACATGGTGAAACCCTGTCTCTACAAAAAAAAAAAAAAAAAAATTAGCTGGGTGTGGTGGCACTCGTCTGTAATCCAAGCTATCTGGGAGGCTGAGGCAGGAGAATCCCTTGAACCTGGGAGGTGAAGGATGCAGTGAGCTGAGACTGTGCCACTACACTCCAGCCTGGGCAACAAGAGTGAAACTCCGTCTCAAAAAGAAAAGAGAAAATGCTTATTTCTATGAAAGTGAAAGCAATGTGAATAAAAACAGAGCCAGATCTCTTTGAAGGAAAAGTTTAACTAAATTCAAATAATAAGTTCTCTATCATGCTATATTAATGGATTCACAGAAGAGAAACCATTCTGTCCTACTACACACGTATTTTTTCCTGTTTAAAGCATACTAGTCTACTAATGTTTCTAGGGTTGATCTAATGCATTGTTTACCTTTAAAAATTGATCCTTGATCATATCAAATTTCTGCTTTTCGTGCACTGCTCTGGCTGTATTTGTTCCATCAAAAGGTTCTGCAATGTTAAATGCAAATGTAAAGGAAAAATTATTAAAATGAGAGCTACAGTTTCTTTTTTAGGTTTGATACTGTCAATATGTTAACAGTTTTTAACCTACAAAAATTGCAATTTCAGATGGGTCAGCCTAATATCTTTATTAGATTTATGTATACAGAAAAGCTTGATATACTATGAACTGCCTAATAAGGTAGATAGAATTCAAGGGAGAGGGTGATCAAAAATGAAAGTCATCAGCATAGGTGTGTTAAGTCTAAATCATAAATGTGGATAAGGTTTCTGAAAAATTACAGAGGGTCAAAGACCTACCCTTAGGAAAATAATAAAAAGTCATCAAAAAGAAGAAAGCATTATATCGAAGAGAGGCAGTTAATGTTAAATATCACAGAAAGGTAACTTTAATTTTAACTTAAAAGCTGATTTGTCCTTTGAAGGTAGAGGTTCAATACTGGAGAAAATGGAAGACAATGCAGGGAGTTATGGCCCAAGTGGATGGTTTAGAAAAAGATACAGTGAAGTCTGGCCAGACACAGTGGCTCACGCCTGTAATCCCAGCACTTTGGGAGCCTGAGGTGGGTGGATCACAAGGTCAAGAGATCGAGACCATCCTGGCCAACATGGTGAAACCCCACCTCTACTAAAAATACAAAAATTAGCTGGGCATGGTGGTGCGCGCCTGTAGTCCCAGCTACTCGGGAGGCTGAGGCAGGGGAATCACTTGAACCTGGGAGGTAGAGGTTGCAGTGAGCCGAGATCACGCCACTGCACTCCAGCCTGGCGAAAGAGAGAGACTCCATCTCAAAAAAAAAAAAAAAAAAAAAAAAAAAATCAAAGAAAAGAAAAAAGAAGTAACTTGCATGAGAAATTTGGCAGAAAAAGAAAACAGAAAAAGAGAAAAGCAAACAGAAGACAGGAAAAAAACAAAGGAACAGTTTTTATGTATGTGTGTCTCCAATATATATACTTTCCATGTTCACACCACCATCCCACTCACCTTTCACCCACAAAAGTGAAGAATCCATATAGAGAGACAGGAAGAAACCAGAAGAGTACGAGGAAACTGAAGATAATAATGAGAAGACAAGGATAACTAAAGGCATCAGGAATGAGATGAAATGTCTTAAATAATGCCAGCAGTAGGTAAACATTACTAGAAATTAAGAATTTTAGCATGGAAAAAGGAGGAAAAATGCACAGAAGAACCAGTAGGACCAAATAAAGAGTATTTTTCAAGAATGAGAAGACCTATGTATGTCTTAAAGCTGAAAGCGAAAGACTGGAGGCAGAAAGAATGAAGTTGTTGGTAAGAGGAAAGGTAACCGAGGGGAAAGACCTAGAAAAAGTACGGAAGAATAGGGAGTCTGATGGAAAGGTCAAAACTTTTAGATTTGTCATATAATCTACACAGGCCCATAATTTTAAATACTCCTCTTGCTTATTTTTTAGTGCTTAGAAAGGCTATGTTAAAAAGCAGTTTACCATCACAGTATCGTGGGGTTCTTTTCCTTAACAGAATAAGGTCATATGCCAAATTATACTGAATTGCATCATCATAGCACTTTAGAACAGGGTTTAGTATTCAACTGAACACAAGTAACTAAAATAATGCCCACCCAGTGCCATTTATTAGCACACCAAAGCAGGAGATTTAATTTCATATTCACAAACTCTTAAAATACTGCATATAATTCAAGATTAAAACATCCAAAATCTGATGTTTTCTACAAATGCTGATTCTCAACTATTTATACTTTTTAACCTCCAGATTTACAAAGGCCTTCAATTTAGCATCTATGAGAATAATTTTGTCCCTTGAAGTCAGTTTTCTACTCACTCAAAGTGTCTCAAGGATATATTCAACTACATGTAAATTAATTTTAGAGAAGAAAATTTCTTCAGATCATTTAATTTTTAAAGCAACATCAATTTCTATTAATAAAAGTCCAACTTGCACTAATATTTTAAGTATAAAAGAATATAACTCATTTTATGTCAATATAAGAATCACATATAAAGATTCTATTTTCTTCCATCTGTAAGTCATGAAATTATCCATCAACCACAAGTAAGAGGGATAAAGACAGCTCGAATCTTACCAACTAGAAAGGGTGAATGCCTAAAGTTTATGTTTATTATTTCTCATACCTAAAAAATTTTAAATGACTTTTTAAAATTAAAAATTTTAAACTAAAAGACTTACAAATCACTTCAGACATAAATGTATTACTTTTAACTGAAACACAGCTGAAATTACTCAAGTAATTCTCTTAGTACCATGATGATACGTAGATGGTAAACAGAAAACTACCTTCTACACAGATGTATTTATTTCTCCATTCAATACCATCAGGCCTTGGAATGGCTTTGGCTTCACGAACTGAAATCATTTGACTATTCCAGCTATAAGAAGAAAAACAGTAACCATGTTAACTATTTTCATAATTTCTCTTATATTATTTTTATTGTATCAATACTAAGGCCTACCCCAATTTTCTTGTGGAACACTGAAACCTGTGCCCCAACCCTCAGCACCACAATCCCTATTTCCCACCTCTATATTTTTTTTTCCACAACACTTATCATCTTCTAAGAATTTGTTTCTTACATTTACTATTTATTATGTTATTCTTCATTGTGTCTCCCTCAAGTAGGATGAAAGCTCCAAGATACTGGATATTTCTTTTTTTCACTCTTCACCTAGGTGCATAGTACATACCAGGTTTTCAACACATATTTATTGAAAAAATGAAGTAACTGGAAAAATAAGAAAGTACAGGCTGGGCGCAGAGGCTCACTCCTGTAATCTCAGCACTTTGGGAGGCTGAGGCAGGTGGATCACGAGGTTAAGAGTTCAAGACCAGCCTGGCCAAGATGGTGAAACCCCATCTCTACTAAAAATACAAAAATTAGCCAGGCGCAGTAGCGTGCACCTGTAGTCCCAGCTACTCAGGAGGCTGAGGCAGGGGAATCGCTTGAACCCAGGAGGCGGAGGTTGCAGTGAGCAGAGGTCATGCCACTGCACTCCAGCCTGGTGACAGGGCGAGACTCCATCTCAAAAAAAGAAAAAAGAAAAGAAAAGAAAAGAAAGTACAAGTAAACAAACAAAAACAACTATGGTCATAGTTAACAACGCAGTAACAATCTGTTATTTGTTAAGACAGAAGTAATCTTCTAGTGTTATCTTCTTGTGTTATTAAATAGTTTTTGTTCAGGTACATCTTTATGTGTATGATTTGGGAGAAAATTTTGAAATTTTCGATAGAAGTGGATGCTGTTTTAGGAAAGCAAAATTAATACTCTATGAAAATATACTTAATGGCTGTATATCAGATGCAGCTGTTAAGAGTAAAATTTTATTCAAGTAAAACAATCTCATCAGCAGGCCTGTCCAGTATTTAGTACATACTAACTTTACATTTTTTTAAAAAGGTTTATCTAACAGTTATTACAAGTATTTTCTTTTTTTTCAAGGAACATTTTAAAGTATATGACTACCCAGCTTGTATATGAGAGAAAAATAAATTTGAGGAACAGCTGATACCATTTTTTAAGTAGTATTTAACTTTCTCTACCATTTAAGCAAGCAGAGAAAGACTATCACTTGGGACCTTCCAACACTTACCCTACACTTCTCCTCTATTTATCAAAAAGAGAATTTCTAAGAATATAATCATGGGTCCTGTATGGCATTTGTTTATAGAAATTTGATTAATTTCTATATTAAATAAGCATGAAAAATCTTGCATCTTGTGAATTTTGATTCTTGTAAAGCACACTGAAAGTATAATTTATTTTTGTTCCGATCAAGAGGAGTTTGTGAAAGTTTTAAGTTCTTTAAAAATATATATAACAGGATTTGTGCTTTTTAAAAATTAAGTGGGTTGTCAAATGGAAATAGTATTGGTTACAGGAAAATGTTTTAGATCCCTCATGTATTGCAGTTCATTAGTACAGACTCCAAACAGAAAGACTACTCTGCTCTATTGTTTCAAATGTCTCTACTAAAAATCCAAAAAGTAGCAGGCGTGGTGGCGCCTATAGTCCCAGCTACTCAGGAGGCTGAGGTGGAAGGATCACCTGAGCAAGGGGAGGTTGAGGCTGCAGTAAGCTGTGATCGTGCCACTGCACTCCAGCCTGACTGACAAAGTGAGACCCTATCTTAAAAAAACAAAAAACAAAAACATCCACACAAATGTTTCCAACAATTTTCTTACATTGTTTCTTTACAACAACAATGTGAAGAGGGGAGTTATATAGCCACAAACCTGAAGCAAACAAGGTTACATACTACAGTTTGCATCCCTTCACTTTATACTAGTTAAGTCAAATTTATTAACAAAATGAATTTTCCCTTGAGACTATTTGTTTTCTAATAACAGATTATAGGACAACTAAATCTGCAGAATTAAAACTGTAAACATTATTTTTATAGGGCATAGATTGATTTTTAACTTTCAGAAGAGTTTGGAATATTGAAATACAATATCTTGCTGTTAAATTACAACTTTTATTTCCTTAAATCAAAAATTCTATCTTTACCACTGTATTTCTATTAAAACAAATCCTGATTTTACACTACATGCCACTACTTGGTTCTAAACTGGGTCACAGAAACAGTATGAGATATATGTTAATAGATATATTCATTTTATTATAATCCCTTACCAGATATCATTTAAGTTTCAATGTACAATAAACCCAAATAATGCAGTTATTAAAATGATTATATCATTTGAAGTGCTTCAAAAAGAAAAAAGAATATTTTGAATCACTACTATTTGGACTGATTCAATCTACTGCATTTTCAAAGAACTTTTAAATATTTCTAGATTGTTAAACATTTCAAATCATTAAAACGTGACATATAATTGTATACTCTTTGTACTCTAAAGGTAGATTTAGTTATATATTTTTTGAGACAGGGCTTTGTCGACAAGCCCAGGCTGGGGTACGGTGGCACAATCATGGCTCACTGCAGCCTCAATCTCCTGGACTCAAATGGTCTTCTCAAGAGTTGAATTTAAATGGTAATTTAGAAATATCTTCCCTAAATATTTCATTCTTTAAAACACAGCCCATAACCTAAGCCTTTTATCATACTAATCTACTCTCTAACATAATTTGCTTAGCATGTAAAAATTGTTATCGTCACTCAATAATTAAAGTGTAAAATAAGATACAGAATCTACACAAGAGAGATGTTTCAGAAAGAAGAACAGATATGGGGCTTAATTTAATCTAAAATACACTGATAATACATGATCATCTTTTAAATATAAAACTGAGACAACCAATTATATTAGAAGCAAGTTAGGTACTTGCTTCTTTGGTAATGTTAACAGACTGGCATTCATCAATAAACTCTCTTTAGCCATTCTTTTTATTTATTTATTAGTCAGAGTCTTGCTCTGTCACCCAGGCTGGAGTGCAGTGACGCAATCCCAGTTCACTGCAACCTCCGTGCCTCCCAGGTTCAAGCAATTCTCCTGCCTCAGCATCCCGAGTAGCTGGGATTACAGGCGCCCACCACCATGCCTGGCTAATTTTTGTATTTTTAGCAGAGACGGCATTTCACTATTTGGCCAGGCTGGTCTCAAACTCTTGACCTCAAGCGATCTGCCCACCTCAGCCTCCCAAGGTGCGTGAGCCACTGTGCCCAGCCCCATTCTTTTTGTGACCACAGAAAGTATTTTGAGGCAACTGATTAAACTGGAAATGCTGTCTTAAGCGACATAAAGAAAAATTCAAGTCTAATAAAGTCAAAATTATGAGTCTGATACCATATGGCTGTGTGTGTGTGTGTGTGTGTGTGTGTATACATATATATGTATATATATATGTATATATACTAGTAAAATTAAGTGAACAAATATATATAATTTTGTTTTATTGTTATGGGCTGGGAAGCAAACAGAAAGAAAACTTGGTTAAGAATTTCAAATGTCGTAGGTAGGGAAAAAATTTTACTCTAATCCTAGAGTTCTGTTTTGACTGGCTTCTCATCTTCTATCTGAACCTTTAAATGTTAGTATCCATCAGGGCTCAGCCTCTTTGAATCTTCTAATGCTAGAGTACACACCTTAGGCTCCAATAATCTGATGTTTCTTTCCCAAATCCTTTTTCCAGCTCTGACCTTTCTAGTAAGTTCCAGGCTAACATTTACAACCAGCTATTGGAAACTGTCACCTGGATGTCCTATAGGCATCTCTGTGCCCACATTTTCAAGACTGAATGTAATATATCCCATGCATGGTCAGTTATTAAAATCACTCCCTTTCACATACTCTCAACTCTTACCCACTCTTGCTGCATTGAACTTAGTTGGCTGAAACACAACCCTGATTAAATCTACTCCCCAATTCTTTCCCACGCAGCTGAACATGGGTGGAGAGATGCAACCATACAGAATGATCACACTTTAAATTAATGATCACTTAGCTAAAGAGGGCTCTTAATGTTACTACCCCCAACCGTACTGTCTTTCCATAGTTAATCCACCCTTTTACTCTAGTATATGACAATTCATACTTTCGTCTTACTTCTCAAATTTCCACCTTCACAATCATTACCTGCACATGTCCCTGACTCATTTCACTAAAAACCTAAAACAATCCAAAGATAATTCCTACTAGCTCCAACCACACTGATTCAGCTACATTTACCTGTGTCCATATATTCTACTTTTAATCTTTATTAATGAATTATCTGTGCTCCTATTCTATTTGTGCTCTAGATTCCAACCATTCTTAACTCAAACAAGTTTATTTCCAAAAATTTACTATACCTTTCTCTGGTATCATCAATTTTTCATCAAGATGGGTTATTTCTCCTCTCCAACAATAAAAACAAAAACTGGACTCCACTTAACACTCTAATTTTACCCTGTTTTTTTCTGCTCTAGAGAATGAGTTACATTATCCATATTGAATTATTCTCCCTCTGTCTTCTCGAGTCCACACCAATAATGCTATGCTTTTTATCCCCATTATTCCACAGAAACTGTTCCTGTCAAGGGTCCAGAGGAGTCCATATAGCTTCTTACTCAATCTATCAAAAAATAATGACACAGATAATCACTCCTTCCTCCTCAAAACATTTTTTTCTCCTCTGGATTCCCAAGATACCACATTCCATTGGATTTCCTCCTATCTCAATGATTCTTTCTTCCTAGATAGACTCATATATTAGTTCCTTCTCATCCCCAATCTCATTTTTATATCATCTATGTATTATGAAAAATTTCAAATACAAAAAAAATTAAAAGTATAAAATTTAAAAACAATTCAACAAGTGTTAACATTTTGCCACATTTGTGTGTGTGTGTATTTTGAACTGAACCACTTAGTAACCGGTACACATCAAAGTTCATTTCTGTATCCTTCAGTATATATCTCCTAAGAATAAAGCCATTCTCCTTTATAACACCAACAGCAATTAGAAAATTAACAGTAACTCAAATACCTTTTATAGTTCCCCCACCCCAACTGGATTATAATAAAGGTTCATGCATTGTATATGACTGTTCTATCTCTTTAAATCTAATAAAGTTCCCCTCACATTTTGTTTGTTTGTTTTTTAGGAGGGGGTCTCGCCCTGTCGCCCAGGCTGGAGTGCAGTGCCCAGGGCTGGAGTGCGGTGGCGCGATCTCGGCTCACTGCAACCTCCAACTCCTGAGTTCAAGCGATTCTCCTGCCTCAGCCTCGTGAGTAGCTGGGATTACAGGTGCCCGCCACCACACCTGGCTAATTTTTTTATTTGTAGTAGAGATGGGGTTTCACCATGTTGGTCAGGTTGATCTCCAACTCCTGACCTCATGATCTGCCTGCCTCGACCTCCCAAAGTGCTGGTATTACAGGCGTGAGCCACCACGCCCGGCCTTGTTTGTTTTTAATGATACTGACTTTTGAGGAGATTAGGCCAGGTATTTCCCAGAATGCCTACATTCTGCATTTGTCTGTCTCTCTGTTTATTGTGTCATTTAACAATACATATTCCTTTATCCCTTGCATTTCCTGTAAACTTCTTAACTGTAAACTGTAAACTTCTTAACATTAGAGTACCCAATGCTTGGCCCTTTTCTCTTTTCCATCTATATATTCACTCCCTTGGTTTTTTTCAAGGAGTTTCATAGCGTTAAATACCATCTACCTGGTGACAACTCCCAAATATTTAGCTCTGTGGCCTGTCTCCTGACTCTAGGCTTATATATCCAACTGTCTACTCAGTATCTCCACTTGAATATCTTGAAGTTATCCCAATCTTAAAATGATAAACAAATTCAGTAAAGCTGCAATCAAACCAGCATGGGACTGGCATAAAAACAGACACATAGACCAATGGAACAGAATAAAGAATGCCAAAATAAATCCATACATCTACAGTGAACTCATTTTCAAAAAAGGTGCCAAGACATACACTAGGGAAAGCACAGTCTCTTCAATAAATAGTGCTGGGAATACTAGATATCCATATGCGAAAGAATGAAACTAGAACCCTATCTCTTGACATATACAAAAAACAAACCAAAATTGATTGAAGAATTCAATCTAAGACCTCAAATTATGAAACCACCACAAGAAAACATTGGAGAAACTCTCCAGGACATTGGTATGGGCAAAGGTTTCTTAAGTAATACTCCACAAGCACAGGCAACCAAAGCAAATGGACAATGGGATCACATCAAGTTAAAAAGCTTCTGCATAGCAAAGGAAACAATCAACAAAGTGAGGAGACAAACCCATAGAATGAGAGAAAATATTTGCAAACTACTCATCTCACAAAGGATTAATAGGCAGAATATATAAGGAGCTTAAACAACTCTATAGGAAAAAATCTAATAATCCAATTAAAACACGGACAGAAGATCTCAACAGACATTTCTCAAAAGAAGGCATACAAAGAGCAACGAGGTATATGCAAAGCTGCTCAACATCACTAATCATCAGACTTAGGCAAATCAAAACTGCAATGAGGTATCATCTCACCCCACTTAAAATGGCTTTTATCCAAAAGACAGGCAACAATGAATGCTGGCAAGGAAACCCTCATACCCTGCTGGTGGGAATGTAAATTAGTACAACCATTATGAAGAACAGTTTGGAGGTTTCCCCAAAACTAAAAGTAGAACTACCATATGATCCAGCAATCCCACTCCTAGGCATATACCCAAATGAAAGAAAATCAGGATACTGAAGACATATCTGCACTCTCATGTTTTTGTAACACTATTCCCAATAGCCAAAATTTAGAAGGAACTTAAGTGTCCATCAACAGAGGAATGGATAAATAATAGGTGGTACTTATCCACAATAGAGTACTATTGAGCCATACAAAAGAATGAGATCCTCTCATTTGCAACATCATGGATGGAATTGGAGGACATTAAGTGAAATAAGCCAGACACACAAAGACAAACTTCACATGTTCTCAGTTATCTGTGGGATCTAAAAATTAAAACAATTGAACTCATGGAGATAAGAGACTAGAATGATGGTTACCAGAGGCTGGGAAGGGCAGTGGCAGGGAGAGGCGGAAGTGGGGATTGTTAATGAGTACAAGAAAATAGAACGAATAAGATATATATTTGATAACACAACTGGGTGACTATAGTCAATAATAATTTAATTGTACATTTAAAAATAACTAAAACAGGATAACTGGATTGTTTGTAATGCAAACGATAAATGCTTGAGGTGATGGATACCCCATTTACCCTGATGTGATTATTATGCACTGTATGCCTATATCAAAATATCTCACATACCCTATAAATATACAAACCTATTATGTACCCACAAAAAGTAACAAAACAGAAGTATTTCAGCAGCAAGGTGTGAGTGAAGTAGGTAAGAAAAATAGTTTTTTGTTTTTTTTTTTGAGACAGGGTCTCACTCTATTGTCCAGGCTGGAGTGCAGTGGAGCAATCTCAGCTCACTGCAACCCCCACCTCCCTGGTTCAAGCAATTCCTGTGCCTCAGCCTCCCAAGTAGCTGGGTTTACAGGCATGTGCCACCACACCTGGCTAATTTTTGTATTTTTAGTAGAAAGGGGGTTTTGCCATGTTGCCCAGGCTGGTCTCAAACTTCTGGGCTCAAGTGATCTCCCCTCCATGGCCTCTCAAAGTGCTGGGATTACAGACATGAGCCACCACACCCGGCCGAAAATAGTAATTTTTAAATGACCATATAAAACTTCTGCAACATTTATACCATATACTCAAGCATCCCTTAACAGTCACTTAATGTTTTGTCTTTCAGAAAAAAGAACTTTTGGCTAGGCGCGGTGGCTCACACCTGTAATCCTAGCACTTTTGGAGGCCGAGATGGGTGGATCATTTGAGGTCAGGAGTTCAAGACCAACCTGGCCAATATGGTGAAACCCCATCTCTACTAAAAATACAAAAAAATATTAGCCAGGCATGGTGGCACGCACCTGGAATCCCAGCTACTCAGGAGGCTGAGGCAGGAGAATTGCTTGAACCCATGAGGCGGAGGTTGCAGTGAGCTAAGATCGCACCACTGCACTCCAGCCTGGGCAACAGAGCAAGGTTCTGTTTCAAAAAAAAAAAAAGAAAAAGAAAAAAGAACTTTTTAAATGATTACCTCAAAGTTCAGAAGAAATCCTTATAGACATTTTTAACAATTGCCATAATTCTTTTATACAGCTTCTAGTTTATTACCATGACTACATTCTTGGCTGTGATCCCCACATTTCAAATTTCTGAAAATATCTCATATGAAATGACAAATGTACTAGATGGTGAAGTTCTGAAACCTCTTTCCAAGCATCAGTATCATCTGACCCAGCAGACTAGTTTCCTTTAATATTAAATTAACATACAAACCTACACATCCACTATCTTGTTTCTGTTCAACAAAGCAGGTGATTTTCAAGGTATTTGTATACAGATGCTCTAATCCTACACTATACATGGGAAAAAAGTTATCTTTGTTCTGTGAATCCTTTTCCCCCTCCACAAACATCCCCCAGTCCCTAATTTATATAACATAATAAACAATGTCAATACAGTCTAACAATTAAGAATGTAGTTTTGGAGTCCAGCTTGAAAGTGAATCCCAACTCTCCCACAATCTAGCTGTAGATTGCCATGGGCAAGTTTCATGTACACAAATTCCCTAAGCTTGACAGAGGTTATTATGAGGATTAACTGAAATCCATGGGAATCACTCAGCTTACTACAGCACACTAGATAAATTCTCACTAAACATTAGCTATTGTTATTGCAATATCTTAAAGAGAACTCTAGAATAACCATTAAACCTTCACAGTCTATTTATGTACTATGTCTCATCCAGTCTTTAATCTTTCTTCATCTTAATATAAATGAAAGCTCCGTGGCCGAGCACGGTGGCTCACACCTGTAATCCCAGCACTTTGGGAGGCTGAGGCGGGCAGATCACTAGGTCAAGAGTTTGAGACCAGCCTGGCCCATATGATGAAACCCCATCTCTACTAAAAATACAAAAATTAGCCAGGCGTGGTCACGGGTGCTTGTAGTCCCAGCAACTTGGGAGGCTGAGGCAGGAGAATTGCTTGAACCAGGGAGGCAGAGGTTGCAGTGAGCCGAGATCACGCCACTGCACTCCAGCCTGGGCAACACAGTGAGACTCCGTCTCAAAAAAATAAATAAATAAATAAATAAATAAAAGCTCTTACCTTTTTATACTTCTCCAGTATGACAGTTAAGTGTGAATTCTGTGTCAAAGCTATCTGAAATCCTTTTTTCTTTTTTTTTTTTTGAGATAGAGTTTCGCTCTTGTTGCCCAGGCTGGAGTGCAATGGCACAATCTCAGCTTACTGCAACCCCCACCTCCCAGGTTCAAGCGTTTCTCCTGTCTCAGCCTCCCAAGTAGCTGGGATTATAGGCATGCACCACCATGCCCAGCTAATTTTGTATTTTTAGTAGAGAAGGGGTTTCTCCGTGTTGGTCTGGCTGGTCTCGAACTCGCGACCTCACCTGCCTCGGCCTCCCAAAGTGTTGGGATTACAGGCATGAGCTACCGCGCCCGGCCTGAAATACTACTCTTATTAGCTATGTGATCTTGGAGCACGTTACTTCCCCTCTCTCTATGCTTCACTGGTAAAATGGGCATAATATACCACACACCAGATAACAATTATGTAAACGGAATGAAATGATAAATATAAATAATAATATAATAAATATATGTTTAGAACCATTTTCCCATCTAGTAATAGCAATTTATTATTATTATTACTATTATTATTACCCTATGCAAACTTCTTCAAAGTGGTATCCAATGGTAACTGTACCTGCCTCTAATACTGTACAATTCCTCAATCTTCTCTCTTCCCCCCTCAAGCTTTTCCAGATTGATCAGAAGAGCTGCAAGTAACTCCTAACTCCACTCTCTCTGGACTTAGAACTCACATAAGAACTTTCAGTTCTGTCCAGCCTGATTATACATTCTTTGTTTTATGTTTACATATCATCTTCAAAAAAGAAAAGAAAAAAGGAAAAGACACATTCCTCAATTTGTATATCACACTAACACAACTATTTACGAAGATGCCAAGTATTAAATAGATCTTCATTAGTCTTTCTTAGCAGTGTTTTTTTACTATACATTTTAAGTGTATAGAAAATGGATGTTCCAAACTACACAGCACCTGCACAGGACCAACACATAGGGCCTACCACTATTGAAATCAACTAAAACTGGGCCTACTGAACTATAAATGTATTTATTAGCTAAGAATATAAAATCTATCTAGCTTCCAATAATTCATTGTCACATAGGAAATTTTATAAACTATACATTTCTGGACAACTTTACAACACTGGAAGTGACAAACACAGCTCCTGACTAAATCTGTAGCATTTACTTATATATTCGTATTCATATATATACATACATACACACACACACACATATAAGTGAACAAACACAATTTAAAGTTTTACTTACTCAAATTCTGTAGCATAATATTTAAGAAAGCCCAGTAAGAGGTCCCCAAGGTTTGATTCATTCTTTGAGAGGTAAGGAGGAACATTACATGGAGCTTGATGTACAAGGTGCAGCTGTATAGCAGGACTAAAAGACTCCTGTCAAAAAGAAGAAGGGGAAAAAATGTAAAGCCATTTAAAACACACACTAAGAAACTTTATAAATCCTGAACTAGGCTCCTCTTTGAAAAAGAGAGAAGAAATTTACTCTATTTGGCAATTTGGAAACCTGAAATTTTTCTTCCACTAAAGACTTCACCAGTATTTGCAGTAGACCAGAATGTACCTGAAAAACTAACATTCTAATCCTTGGCTTGAGTATATCACTCAGTTAACCAAACAGATCGCTATTTAGCAGAAGATTTTCTAACTCATAAATAAAACCTTACTATACAAACCAAGATCTACCCAATACCATATAGATTTCTTCACAAAGGTTATCTCATTCTTAATTATTCCTACAAGGAGCAGTTATACTTCATGTATAAAGGCTATATCAAGCACAAAGTAAGAGTTTTTTCTGTCACTTCAAACTTCTCCCAAAGGCCGTAAGAGTAACTTTAATATAGAAATAGTACTTATACTAATTTTAAGATTTTATAAATTTTGCTTTCTTTTGTTTCTGTATCTTAGATGGAAAAGAAGAGAGATGTTCAACCTGAATTAAGCTTGAAAAGACAAAGAAGGCAGGGAAAATGAGACAGGAAACATACCAACAAGCAATATTCAGCAAGCTTTTACCATAATATTTATAAAAGAGGATATTATTTGCCTGAAATCCAGGAACAAAGACGCCTATTAGAAAGAATACTAACGGGTACTTATTCTGTTTTCCTATGTTATCCCATTCATTTTCATATCCATTTTTCCTCTATTAACAGCAAGTTCTGGCTCTCGAATATACTAAATGTACTATCAAAATTATTAAGTCATTTATATACATCAATTAGAAAATAATGCAAGGTAATTTGCACAGTGCCATCAAGGATGGTTTTCTGTATTTCTCCACTGCCGTCAGAATAGAAATGGATTTTTTTTTTTCGTTAAAAAAAAAAAAAAGCAATTAGTTAAGGCAGCAGAATGACAACTACGGTTAAGATTCCAAACCCCTCAATCCTGGGCTTATAGATACTAATGTAATTAAAGACATCTAAATAATGCCAAGTTAAAAAATGGAGACTCTCTAAATAATGGTAGTAGAGAAATTGCATAGTGCATCATTTAATGCTAGTGCCCCCAAAATATGAATAAAAACAAAGGAGCAAGAAAACAAAAATATCTCCTCCCTTGTTCCATTACCTATAATTCTATCAATAATTGTTAACTACTATGAAGTGATTACCTTTCTCTCAGAATAAAAATTCTATTCCAACCAAATTCATAAAGTTGATACTCCTCAACATGGGACTTTCCCCTTACATTTCTAACAGCTGTAGTATTAATTACATTTTAAGATTCAAGTAGAAATTTTAATGTCTAAAAGTGGAGGGGGTAGGAAAGAAACCTCAATTAGTAAAGACTAAAGGCAGAAGGAAGAATAGATGCAGTGCCTCTATTCCCCTTTAACTCTTACTTGTTAGGTATAAAATTGAACTTAGGGTGACAATATTTAAAATTATAAAATTTAAATGTTATTTTCTGGCAAATCAAACAAAAGGTATAATGTAGATCAAATAAGTAGGTCACTGTTTAATAGCTCCCGCTCTGAAAGCTTCTTACTAATTTTGATTCCTAGCACCAAGCACAATTAGCATTCAATTTATGAACTGAATATGCTAAAACAGAAGTCACTTTCTTATCTGAAGTCTAAAAATGATTGTACTTCCTTTAAAATCTTTATTTTGTTCAGTAATTTAAAGAAAAAGGTCAGCAATTATGACATTAAGAACTGAAGAGTCGTGAGATCCACTCCATTAAAATGCTGAATGACCTGAGACCGACAATTTGGCCAGTCTTCTCTTAGCTTCACTGTTCTTTTTCACGGTCACACACAAAGAGTCAGGTCATGCTTATTGAGGGAGAACTGAAGCAGAAATCCAAACCAAAACTGAAAAAATGAGGACACCTAAAGGCAGCTACCAGTAAACAGTAATTCTATCTATCCTTAAGAAATCCCCTAAGCCAGGCATGGTGGCTCAAGCTTGTAATCCCAGCACTTTGGGAGGCCAAGGCAGAAGGATCAATCTTTGGACAATTAAGCACTTTCTGAAGTAAGTTAGACTGGCTAATCTTCTATATGGAAACTGTTTTTCAAAATCTTAAGTGAAAGATGATCACTTTCCATCTCCAGGCAAACAGAAAGAAATTTAGGTTATTATCAAATAAAACACATTAATTTCATAGCAATATGAATTATGAAATCCTTGAGCCCAGGAGTTTGAGACCAGCTTAGGCAACTTACTGAGACCCTATCTCTAAAAAAAATAGAAAGATTAGCTGGGCATGGTGATGCCTATCTCTAAAAAAAATAGAAAGATTAGCTGGGCATGGTGATGACTGCTGTCGTTCCAGGTACTCAGGAGGCTGAGGTGAGAGAAGCAGCTGAGCCCAGGAGGGCTCATCATTGCACCACTGCACTCCAGCTTGAGCAAGACCTTATCGCAAAAAAAAAAAAAGAAAGAAAAGACATCCCCAGTTTTTAATGATCATTCACATTACAGAAAGATTCTTTGCTTTAAAATTTCAACAAATAATTTCTTTAAGGCCTGACACAGTGGCTCATGCCTGTAATCCCAGCACTTCAGGAGGCCGAGGCGAGCGGTTCCCTCGAGGTCAGGAGTTCGAGACCAGCCTGGCCAACACGGTGAAACCCCGTCTCTACTAAAAATACAAAAATTAGCTGGACATGGTGGCGGGCGCCTGTAATCCCAGCTACTCAGGAGGCTGAGGCAAGACAATCGCTTGAATCCGGGAGGTGGAGGTTGCAGTAAGCCGAATCCACGCCACTGCACTCCATCCCAGCCTGGGTAACAGAGCAAAACTCCGTCTCATTAAAAAAAAAAGAAAGAAAAAAAAAAAGAATTTCTTTAAAAGGGTGCTTCCCCACTTTAGTTATGTATTTAAGAAAAATACATGCTACTTCAGATAGGACAAGGGGGTTCAGAACTTAAACTAATATTTTAGAAAGTACATAAAGAACAACCAAAAAGTCAAAGAGAAAAAAAGCAGCCTTAAAATTACAAAGTCAGTCCACAGAATAGCAATTAAACTGATAACATCCACCTCTTTAATAAATAAATTTTTGGGTTACAAATTTTTACTGTTGCTTGTGTGCCTATATAGAGGGAAGATTATATTTTTTAGGTTGGTATCTTATTCTGGGCTTCTGATAATCAAATGTATAACCTGTTAACTCCTGAAAACATTTTCCAAATGATTTTTAAATGTTGATCCTTTAGAAGACACGTAATCTTTCATTTCTCTTCAAGTTAAAAAAAATTAAATAGAAAATCCCTTGGAAAACATCTGAGAACTCTCACCACTTCTGCTCATAGAACTGTCTATAATAATGGCAAAAATACCTTTTGCCAGATTCCATCATTTTTTTCTGAGACTGTCCCATGATATCTTACGTTACCTTCAAAGTCTGAAATGTGGACAATTAAGCGCTTTCTGGAATAAGTTAGAATGGCTAACCTTCTATTTGAAAACCGTTCTTTAAATGATGAAAGGCTTAAGTCAAAGATGATCACTTTCCATCTCCAGGTAAACAGAAATTTACGTTATTAAAAGAGATTAAGCATAATTTCCTAATGATATGAATTATGAGATCCTAGAAATGTATGTTAAAGAAGGTTACAAGGAAAAGAAAAACTGATAGGGAATACTTCTGCCTGAAAAGAAAAAGAACTAAGTGATACCTTGAAGTTTCTGCAAAGATATCTGAATTGCACGCAGGTAGGTCATCATTAATCTGGTGATGTATGTTAAAGATTCACCATAAAATTTCCTTTAATTATATCTGACTTTAGTAGATTTTACAAGTTGTGAGATCAAGGTAAGTATATAACATAAAGTAGAGGTACTATAATGAAGTGACTAAGAGCATTAGCTTTGAAGTCAGACTGAAGTGTGAAGCATCACCCTTCTATTAGCTGCAGGCATTTAATCAAGTTACTTAGCGTTCCTCAGCTTCATCATTTATAATACAAGGAAAGGAAAAATACTCAGATGGTTGTAAGGATTTATTAACTGTTTAGTATATGCCACATATCATTATTATTGCACATTTATACAATACAGTGTGGTTACCTCCTGAAAATTTTCATGTATTATTTCCAAATTAATTTTTCTACGTTTTCAAAATTCAGGTAGTGCCAACTTTAAAACAATGTTTTATAACCATTAAAAAAAATATCTCCACCAAAATTTGTTAACCTCTTTTTTTTTTTTTTTTGAGACAGAGTGAGACTCTGTCACCCAGGCTGGAGTGCAGTGACGTGATCTCAGCTTACTGCAACCTCCGCCTCCTGGGTTCAAGCAATTCGCCTGCCTCAGCCTCCGGAGTAGCTGGGACTACAGGCGCGTGCCTCCACACTCGGCTAATTTTTGTATTTTTAGTAGAGACGGGGTTTGACCATGTTGGCCAGGATGATCTCGATCTCATTACCTTGTGATCCACCCGCCTCGGCCTCCCAAAGTGCTGGGATTACAGGCATGAGCCACCACGGCTGGCTAAATCTTTTCAAAAGTATTCATTTATAGCCTGTTTCAGGTAATTGATGGATCCCTTCCTTACATTAGGTCAATTTTTAAAATGAAAAAGTTGCTATATATATGTGTGTACAGTTGTCCCTTGGTATTCCTAGGCAACTGGTTCCAGGGCTCCAGGGGATGCTAAAGTCCCTTATATGAAATGGTGAAGTATTTGCATATAACCTATGTACACCTTCTCATATACTTTAAATCATCTCTAGATTACTTACAATACCTAATACAACATAAACTCCATCTAAATAGTTGTTATATTTTTTATTTGTATTACTTTTATTGTTGTATTTTTATTTTTCCTGAATATTTTTGATGTGTAGTCGGTTGAATCTATGGATGCATAACCCACATACAGAGCGCCCACTGTATATATACAGGCACACCTCGTTTTGTTGCACTTCACTTTACTGTACTTCGAAGATACTGCAGTTTTTACAAATTGAAGGTTTATGGCAACGGTGCATCTAGCAAGTCTATCAGCAGTGCCATTTTTCCAGCAGCGTGTGCGCACTTCAGGTCTCTGTGTTCCACTCTGGTAATTCTCATATTTCAAACTTTTTCATTATTATTGTATCTTATGGTGATCTGTGATCAGTAATATTTGATGTTACTACTGTAATTGTTTTGGAGTGCCACAAATGGTATCCACATAATACTGCAAACTTAATCAAAAATGTTATGTGTATTCCAATTGCTCCACTGACTGGCAGGCAATTCCCCCATCTCTCTCCCCTTCCTTGGGTCTCCCTATTTATTCTCTGAGATGCAACAATACTGAAATTAGGCCAATTAACAACTCTACAATGGCCGACCAAGTGAAAGGAAAAGTCACACATCTCTCACTTTAAATGAAAAGCAAGAAATGACTAAGCTTAGTGAAGAAGTCATGTTGAAAACCAATACAAGCCAAAAGTTAGGTCTCTTGCACCAAAGACAGCCAGGCTGCGAATGCAAAGGAAAAGTTCTTGAAGGATATTAAAAGTACTACTCCAGTGAACGCATCAATGATAAAAAAGCAAAACAGCCTTATTGCTGATATGGAAAGTTTCACTGGTCTGGATAGATCAAACAAGCCAAAATACTTCTTTAAGCCAAAACCTAACCAGAGCAAGACTCTCTCTTCAATTCTATGAAGGATGACAGAGGTGAGGAAGCTGCAGAAGAAAAGTTGGAAGGTAGCAGAGGCTGGTTATGAGGTTTAAGGAAAGAAGCTATTTACGTAACATAAAATTACAAAGTGAACAGCAAGTGAAGAAGCTATAGCAAGTTATCCAGAAGTTATCTCGCTAAATTAACATGGCTACACTGAACAACAGATGAATGCAGCTACACTAAATAGCAGATTTTTCAGTGTAAATGAAACAGGCTTCTATTCGAAGATGCTATCTAGAACCTTCACAGCTACAGAAGAGACATCAATACCTGGCTTCAAGGTTTCAAAGGACAAGCTGACTCTTGTTAGGGGCTAATGCAGCTGGTGACTTCAAGTTGAAGCCAATGCTTATATACCATTCCAAAATCCCAGGGCCCTTAAGAATTATGCTAAATTTACTCCGCCAGTGCTCTATAAATGGAAAAACAAAGCCTTGATGACAACACATCTCTTTACAGCACGGTACACTGAATATTTTAAGCCCACTGTTGAGACCTACTACTACTGCTCATTGACAATGCACCTACTCATCAAAGAGCTCTGATGGAGATGTACAAAGAGATTAATGTTTTCATGCCTGCTAACACAACATCCATTCTACAGCCCACGGATCAAGGAGTAATTTTCATTTTCAAGTATTATTATTTAAGACATACATTTCACAAGGCTATAACTGCCACAGATAGTGATTCCACTAATGAATCTGGACAAAGTACATTGAAAGCTTTCTGGAAAGGAGTCATCATTCTAGATACCGTTAAGAACATTCATGATTCATGGGAGGTCAAAATATCAACATGAACAGAAGTTTAAAAGAAGTTAATGCCAACACTTTTGGATGACTTTGAGAGGTTCAAGACTTCAGTGGAGGAAGTAACTGCAGATGTGGTGGAAACAGCAAGATAATTAGAATTAGCAGTGGAACCTGAAGATGTGACTGAACTGCTGCAATTTCATGATAAAACTTTAACAGATGAAGTTCTGCTTCTTATGGATGAGCAAAGAAAAGTAGTTTCTTGAGACAGAATCTACTCCTGGTGAAGATGCTGTGAATCTTGTTGAAATGACAACAAAATACCAGTACTGCTTGGAACAACCATGTAACTTTTCTAAGACTTAGTTTTTTCATTAGTGAAAGAGGGATAATATTTCTAAGTGTATAAACAAAGGATTTAGAACATTACATAAACTTAGCTGGTAAAGCAGTGGCAGAGTTTGAGCGGACTGACTTCAATTTTAAAGGACGTTCTACTGTACGTAAAATGCTAGCAAAGATCATCATACACTATAGAGAAATCTTTTTGAAGAAGAATCAATCAATGTGGCAAACTTTACCGTTGTCTTATTTTCAGAAACTGCCACAGCCACCCCAACCTTCAGCAACCACCACTCTGATCAGTCAGGAGCCGTCAGTATCAAAGCAAGACTCTCCACAACTGGTGCTGAAGGCTCAGCTGATTGTTAGCATTTTGTAGCAATAAAGCATTTTTAAACAAAGGTATGTACATTTTTTAGACATAATGCTATTGCACACTTAAGAGACTACATGATAGTGTAAGTGTAACTTTTATATGCACTGGGAAACCAAAAAATTCATGTGACTCACTTTATTGTGGTGGCCTGGAACCAAACCTGCAACACCTCAAACGTATGCCTGCACAGGCTACACACCTGTACAGCATGTTATTATACTGAATACTGTAGGCAACTGTAACACAATGATAAGTATGTGTGGATCTAAACATATCTAAAAATAGAAAAGGTACACTAAAAACATGGTATAAAAGATAAAAAACAGTATACCCTTACCATGAGTGGGGCTTGCAGAAGTGGTAGTTGCTGGGTGAGTCAATGAGTGAGTAGTGAGTGAATGTGAAGGCCTAGAACATTACTATACGCTACTGTAGACTTTATAAATACTGTACACTTAGGCTACCTTAAGTTTATTTTAAAATTTTTCTTTCTTCAATAATAAATTAACCTTAGCTTACTTTATTTTAAAAACTTTTTAACTTTTAGGCTGTTTTGTAACAACACAGCTTAAAATACAAACACATTGCACAACGATACCAATATTTTCTTTCTTTATATCCTTATTCTATAAGATTTTCTCTATTTTAAATTTTTTTTTTCCTTTTAAACTTTTTTGTTAAAAACAAAGGCACAAACATACACATCAGCTTAGGCCCACACAGTATCGGGATCATCACTATCACTGTCTTCCACCTCCACATCATGTCCCACTGGAAGATCTTTGGGGACAATATCATGCATGGAGCTGTCATTTCATATAACAATGTCTTCTTCTGGAATACCTCTTGAAGGACCTATCAGGCCATTTTATAGTTAGCTTGTTTTTTAAATAAGCATAAAGAGTACACTCACAAATAATGATAAAAAGTATAGTACAGCAAAAACCAAGTGACAGGAATATTTCAGCTCTATCACCATCTTATGAGACCACTATCATGTATGTGGTCTGTCATTAACCAAAACATCATTATGCAGCACATTACTGTATATGTATATATGTATAATTTAAGGTGTTTTTTAACATTTAACTACACAGAAGAGCTATAGAATTCTTTATTTCATAACTATTAAAAAGAAGAGGGTTATTTTCTTGCAACTGTATTAACATAAATGTTTCCTAGAGTACAAAGATACTTTTAGCGAAGGAAACAAATAGCTAAAAAACACAAGTTGTATTGATAAATCTACCTAGCATAAATTTAAGTTAACCCTCATAGTAATATGCTTGCATTAAAATAAAGATTCCTTCATAAGCTCAATCTGTTTATATATTTAACTTTCTCAGCTTCATTTATTCAACTGAATAACGTACCCCTCCATCAGCTACGTTAAGTCAATAAGAATTTAGTAATAAGCAGTAATTCTATACTATAATACAGTTTTTAGAGACAATGATGTTTATAGCCTTTTATCCCTTTCATATCACAACTGAACTGAAATATACCAATTTTAAAAATATTTAAAATGTTATAAATTTTGAAAATATGAAAATGACTAAAAAGCATAGTATACTGAACAAATTTATTCCATTCCAAAACTGTTTTCTCTTATTTTAAAAATAAACCCTATTTTGTATTAGAGAAGCTAGAAATTTAAAAGAACTCCGCGGTTTCCTTTGTAAAGTAACAAAGTTGTTTTTTCGTTGTTGTTAACTTATCTTAAACTTATTTATACAAGCTGAAATTCTGCCGTAACTGCTGCCCTTAAAGGTATATCTGTATATGAACAATCAGATGTATACAAATAAAATGTAATAAGCAACAGAAATTAGATAAAATGTTAGTGAATACTACTGTAATTTTGCCTTCCCCCAAGAAAGAGTATAATGGAAAAATTGTTAGTACCACTTGTATCAATCATGTAACATTTCTAAAACAGTTTCTTCATTAGTGAAAGAGGAATAATACCTTGCAAGTTTATTTGTTCAGGATTTTTTAAATTGTGTATAAAATGTACAGTATGCTGACATATATAATGGATACTAAATAAACGATGGCTATTATATATATATATATATATATATATATATATATATATACATTTTTTTTTTTTTTTTTTTTTTTGAGACAGAGTCTCGCTCTGTCGCCGAGGCTGGAGTACAGTGGCGCAATCTGGGCTCACTGCAACCTCCGCCTCCCAGGTTCAAGCAATTCTCCTCCTCACCCTCCTGAGTAGCTGGGATTACAGGCACCTGCCACCATGCCCAGCTAATTTTTGTATTTTTAGTAGAGACGGGGTTTCACTATCTTGGCCAGGCTGGTCTTTAACTCCTGACCTCGTGATCCACCCACCTTAGCCTCCCAAAGTGCTGGGATTACAGGCGTGAGCCACCACGCCCGGATGGTTATTATTAATAATAGCAAACAAGCTGACTTGTTTGTTCCATCAGACGGACCATTAAAAATGTGTTCTGCTGACCAGCCTACAGGTTTCATATAAAACAAAAAATCTTGTGTGAGAACAGGTAGTAAGTCCCTATCCATGTAAACAAAAATCTTATAGTAAAGGTAAATTAATTAAATATTTATGATGGCAATGTAACCATATGTAAATGCAAATTAGGAGATTCCTAATCTCGCAGGTCTTGCTATTAGTATTTTTTAAGGCCTTGGGGCTAAATCTATTTCCCCATTACAGGTATAGAAATAAGCTTACAAGCAAAACAGATGGAAAGCATAGGGCCAGAGGTAGTGGATATGAACAGAAGTCAGGACTCTGTCATGGGAGAAAGCTAATAAGAAAAACAGAACACAGAAGTGAAAATGGGGCCGTCAGTAAGAATCTGAGTATTATGAAAGCATTCCCTCTGACCCCAACCACAGTACACTGATATTTCGCCAGTCTCCTATATTAGTAAAAAGAGCTTCATGTAGCATAGGGTTTTAAGTGAGACTGCTGCAGAAGCATTTTTCAATACACAATATTATTTTGGGATAAGTTTATTAGCTCCTTTGCTAAAGAACATATGCAACTCTTTCTACACTGACACCTGTGTCTTAAAGCAAGATGAGGTTGGGTCAATAAAATGAAATATGACCTTTCAGTACAAACAAGAGAGTCAATACTTTATGGAGAGAGAAAAACATTCAAAATTAAGGCCAACAGGCTGGGTGTAGTGGCTCATGCCTGTAATCCCAGAACTTTGGGAGGCCAAGGTAGAAGGCTCGCTTGAGGCCAGGCATTTGAGACCAAACTGGGCATCACAGCAAGACCGTCTCTAAGAAAAAAAAAAAAAAGAATAAATAAAAAGATTCAAAAGAATAAGGCCAAAAAGTTCAAGTTACCTCTATTTCTGTTCTTTCTTTCATTTTTCATAATGTTTAAGAGACCATAAAGACTGATCCTTAGCTATACTGGAAACTCATTATAATAATTCTTCATAATAGCAGAAACTAGTTTAAAAAAAGGAAGATGAGATAGCAAGATTCTAAAAGGCTCTTGTTATACAGTCTCTCCTAGCAGATGACCTTCCACAGAATGTGAGATCTCCACCACAGCAGGGCTGTATTAAAATGAACGTTTATTATCCAGCACCTTGCATGTGTGCATTACAATAATAACTTATGTTCAAAACCAAGAACATTGGTTCTTCTCAATTATCAGATATTAAACTATATTTAACTGATGTTCCATGTCAAGTAAATTTGTTATATTTTGTGTGACACAATAAATAAGTTTTTTGAAAATTAATCATCTAAGCTGGTGATATTTCTCTTTGAAATATGACCATTTAGTAAGTTTAGAAGACAGCTCTTCTTATAAGTATATGAAACCAATATGTAAAAATTACGTGGTTTCAGAAGAGTAGTCAAACATTCTAAACAAGTAGCTTAAATATTATTTCCAAATAAATGCAGGAAAAAGAATGACTATGGAGGAAAACACTAATGATATAAAACAAAGAAACAGAGAATTCTGGAGAAAGAATACATGAAAACTGAAAAAGAAACACAAGGATTCTTATAGATTATGAATACATACATAACCTATGTGTCTCTAAACTCAAACTAAGTACATATTAAATTTTTTCTAGTGGCCACACTTCATTTCTTGAATGTTTCCAATTAATGTCAGCAGGATTCATAGTATTATGCAGACAAGAACCATGTACTAATATTACCTGTTGTGGTGTATTACTTAGCAAGATCAAATTAAAGATAGAAAGATTATCCAATTGTCCAACTTCTTTCCCCCTGCTTTTCAAAGTATAAATATACTGGGCCAAAAAATTTCTGAGTTACTAACTAAAGAAATGCTGTGAAGCTATATTTTAAAATAGTAGGAAGAAAACTGGAATAAGGCCAAATGGGCAACTGAGTATATTTAATCTCCATTAGTGATAATCTTGAGCATCATGCAAAACAAATTCCACCATTAACACAACTGACCAGACTGTCTGCCAATAACAAAATAACAAGTAAGAGAGTTTTCTGAAACAGTATATGAAACATTTTAAATGTTCTCTTGGTATATATAGAAAATGTTATCATGTACTTAGCCTTACTACTTTTATAATCACATTAATACTACTTATAATAGTTCTACATACACTTGACATAAAATGTATTATAATAATTTATAAGAAACACTTACTGGGTAAATTTTTTGGAGGGATGGAAGGATGGGTTCAGGTAGGGCTATAAAAAGAAAAAGTTTAAAGCTTCCGTGATTCACGTGACTCATTTTACAATGCAATAATTTGTCAGCTACATCCCAGGTATAAGACCATAAGGGTTTATGCTAAAATTCAACAATTTTCAAATATTTCATGAAATTAATTCTTATCCCTAAGTTTGTATTTAAAATATATTTAAGTTGACAAACTAAGGTTTTATTAATAAACTACATATATCCCTATGTAAATCAATGTTCCTCACATGGTTTTAGAATAATAGGCTATCAATAAAGGGACATACATAATTTGTCCAACATCAGACATACACACACAATAAGCAAGACAAGGATTGCTCTACAGATACTGAATAGACATTATTAAGATGGATGTAGCAATCAAAAACTACAATTTTAAAAATACAGTTCAATGACACTAGGAGATAAAAATAGTTCTTTCATAATTGTCCCTTTATTATTTAATTTCCACTAACAATACCAAAATTGAAATCGTTCAGGAAAACTGATATACTGCAAATAACAACAAAAAAAATCAAATAAAAATGAAAGAAAAATCTTTAACCTCATTAGTACATTTTTAAAGAATGCTCAGCAAAAGTCAGAAAACTAAGGGCACAATCTGCTATTAATAAAATTTCATACAAAGAAATTATATCCTCATGTTATCACCATATTTGTGTCATCCTTCACCAATCGTTTTAAACAAATCCAATCTCATTAATTAACAGTAATTTTACATTGTTTTAATATGAAAAGAACAATATAAAAAGGTAAAGTGCCTAACATTCACAATATAAGAAATAACTGTAAAATATAATGTCATGAGTATGGTAAAATACAAGTAATACATTTTCAAATTTAAGAATTAGGAAGGATTTAAGAATTAGGAATACACTATGTATAACAACTACATAAACTCAATAACAAAGCATATTAATTCACTTTTAATGTATGATTTAGCAAAAACTTTAAAAAATGACTTCTGAAATCTATTAATGTAAATGTAATGAACCATTATGACCAACTTACACGGTCTCCAACTATAATTAAAAGGGTATAAATTTTTACCACGCAGTACAAAGTAGGATGCTTTATTTAAATTTCCTTTATGTATCACATTTCATCCCCATGTTGAAAACTGGCATAAAATAAAATTCCATGGTATGTGTGCATGTTCTCAGTACATGACTGAGAATATTAGTAAAAAAAAAAAAAACTCAATCATTACTTACCAGAATCACTCTTAGAAAGTAAGGATATATATATTCCTTTCCCCTAAGAGGCATTCAAATACTCAACATTCTAGAAGACCTGCCAAGTAAACTCAAACCCCACTCACTTTAATTCTAAATGTCTCTCTATTTGTATAAGACTTTTTAATAGCTTTCTAGTAATTTTGGTTATAATACAGAAGTCAAATTGGAAAATCTTACAATAAATTAGCTTACTTAAAAACTTGAATACCTTTCCCATTCAATACTCTAGTATACTAAAAATATAATAAAACAAAGGATGAAGAGAAGATTATAGAGAATTAGAATAAAAAACCTTTATCTCATTCTGGTACCATAACTAGAATGCTAGGAGACAAAAACAAATACTAGCCACTGGTTGAGGATCTTTCAATGGACAAAAAAGCTTTTAGAACTCAGTAATTTGGAAATTTTTGGAGGCAGGGTTATCATTAAGTAAATTCTTTATGTTACAACTTTAAAAGATTTATAAACACTAGTCATCAGAGAAGCAATTAGTGTACTGCAGAAGTTATTTATTAACAATATCCTGATATTAGTCTCAATGAGTTTAGTAGTTTTTAAAATGTTTATCTTACTTCAAGCAATGTAAATTCTGGAAAAATCTGACTATAACAACTATTTTAACTTCAGAATTCTGGACTACAGGTTCAGTCTTTTAAATTTCTCTCTCAAAGGCAAAGTAAAAACAAAACAAAAGCTCATTATCAGAATACATGATTAATAGGTAATGCCTTGAATACAGCTAATCTACAAAATTTTACTTTGCCCATAGTTTCCATAACAGCTTGCTGGTAGAGACCCCACAAATTTATACCCATAAACTTTCCATATAGATGTACCAAAAATTTAAATTTTAAATAGCAGGTCTTCAATCACACTAAGAATCATTAATTTTGAAAGCGCAAGAACAACTTTATTTACTTATTTATTAATTTTTTTTTTTGAGACAGGGTCTCGCTCTGTCACCCAGGCTGGAGTACAGTGGCACGATTTGGGCTCACTGCAGCCTCCACCTCCCGAATTCAAGTGATTCTCATGCCTCAGCCACCCCACTAGCTGGGATGACAAGTGTGCACCACCACATCCAGCTAGTTTTTTGTATTTTAGTAGAGACAGGGTTTCGCCACGTTGGCCAGGCTCTGCAAAGACAATTTTAAAATGTCTACCAGAAAGCTCTGTATGCCTAGGAATATGGTAAACATTCCATGAATATTCATTAATGTTATTATTTCTAGCCAATTGATGATCTTACCTTTTTCATTACTTTTTTTTTTTGAGACAGAGTTTCGCTCTTGTTGCCCAGGCTGGAGTGCAATGGCACAATCTAGGCTCACTGCAACCTCCGCCTCCTGGTTTCAAGTGATTCTACTGCCTCAGCCTCCCAAGTAGCTGGGATTACAGCCGTGCACTACCACGCCCAGCTAATTTTGTATTTTTAGTAGAGACGGGGTTTCACCATGTTGGTCAGGCTAGTCTCGAATTCCTGACCTCAAGTGATCCACCCGCCTCAGCCTCCCAAACTGCTGGGATTACAGGCGTGAGCCACCGTGCCCGGCCTCCTTTTTCATTAACTCTTAAATTATAATTAAAATCCTTTCTCAATTCCCCCTCATGCTTTGATGAGTCATCTTTCAAGTATCTGTAGTCAATTATTGACTACTGGAATTTATTCTAGGAAATGTGTTAATCTTTTTAACCTTTTCTACATACAGAGGACCTATTTCCTTTCTCTGCTTATGGCAGAAAAGATATTAAAGCATTTAAGAAGTTAAACAAAACGTAAAGGTCATTTAATCCAACTGTTTGTGTTACAGGTGAGATTAAGGCCAGTGAGGTACAATAACTTCACCAAAGTCACAAAAACTAGTTTTTTGTGGCAGAGCTGTAACTACTCAATACACCTTGCAGACTCTTGTTTGCCCTTTTCCCTCACAGTAATGTGATACTGCCAAGAAAAGCAACTATTTTAATCATCTCATTTCTTCTAGGGAGGAGTAGCTTAAATTTGCCAGTATAGAGATACACATTAGCTCTGGGTAGCTAATGTCCTTCAAGAAAGACCTAGGAATGGCTGAATGCAGTGCCATTAATTATAAACCACTTCAGTAAATGGGACTACTCTGTCAAAAATAAAATGTTTGGCAAAGTCTAAACTAAATTTTAATATGATTTGATCAGACTGGCAAAATAGCAATGTTTAATTTTTTTGTTTTGTTAAGACACAGTCACTCTGCTGGTCAGGCTGAAATGCAGTGGCATAATCATAGCTTACTGCAACCTCAAACTCCTGGGCTCAAACAATCCTCCCACCTTAGCCTCCTGAGTAGCTAGGACTAACGATATGTGCCACCATGCCCAACTAATTTTTTTCATTTTTTATTTTTGTAGATGGAGGAGTCTCACTATATTGCTCAGGCTGGTCTCAAACTCCTGGCCTCAAGCAATCCTCCCACCTCTGCCTCCCAAAGCACTTGGGATTACAGGCATGAGCCACTGTGCCTGGCCCTAATTTAAAATTTTTAATTTGCTTTCAATACCACATTGGGGCATCTGTGATTTACGTACATTTTTCTAAAGAAGTCAGTCAAACTTAAAATTTCTAAGGTAACCAGTAAGAATTAAGGAGTAGGGCACATATTATGGATGATCATGTATGCTAAATGCTTTAGTCAAATCTCATTTTTAAATCACAACTAAAATATAAATAGGGAATGGTGGTGCCACATATTTTTTATATTTTATATATATAAGAAATCCTATTCCATTTTTAATGAAAGTAAACTGTAACCCACAAGAGAACAGAGTTCACTGAAAAAAATATGTTAAGAGTTCACCTGAACATATATTATAAAGTAACATATATTATAAAGTAATATATGTTCAAGATTGACATATATTTTGTAAAATTGGACAAAAATGATTAATGACACAAAGTATTATCTAAAACAGCCAATGTCATATGTTTCAAATTTTTTTAGAGGGGCAAATCAATCATCAAACCAGTATATATTCAAGACTGGTCAGCAATAAAAATACATGTATTAAGATTAGCCTGAACTACTTTAACATTAAAGAAGATTATCAAACCTCTCTAATGACTGATTCATAAAATGATGGCCCATTTAAACTATTTTGTCTCTCTCGATAAGTCAAAAAAATCATTTGAGACCAGCATCCAAAGGAAAATATACTCTCATATATTATAAAACATCTGCAAGTATAGTGAAGTACAGAGAACTTTGCTAAACTGTCCACAAATAACCCTGATACAATTTTGGCACCTACCTTTTCAGTATTTGTATATATACAAATATATATACACAGTTATTATCTTTAAATAAAATTGGTATTATGATGTATGAGAATATATCATGAACATTTTCTTGTATCATTAAATATATTAAAAACATGATTGTTGGTGGCTATGTAGATCTCATATTAGGGTATATCGTAATTAATTTAACCATTCCCCTATTCTAGAAAATTTAAGAGTACTTCTAATCTTCTATTATTTACGTAACACCATAAAAAAATAGCTTTACATGTACATCCATATATGTACCACTCATTATTACGTTAGGATAAATTTCTAGAAATGAAATAACTGAGTCAAAGGACATGAACACAA
Source organism: Homo sapiens (assembly GCF_000001405.40). Lineage (NCBI taxonomy): Eukaryota > Metazoa > Chordata > Mammalia > Primates > Hominidae > Homo > Homo sapiens. The sequence continues at coordinate 79,652,078 of NC_000005.10, read as the reverse complement.
ATATACAACACTGCTTTCTAAAAGAGTTGTACCAAATCAACACTCTCAGCATGATTGTGTATTCCATTTTGTCATTATTAAAAACTGCCAATTTAAGAATATTAATCCCTACATCTGTAATACATGTTCAAGTGAAATTCTGTAAGTAACAGGACAGAGTATAAGATTATATTCTGTCAAGAATGTAGAATGCCAATTTCACCCTAGGAGTATACCATAAAACTTTGATTACCAAGAACGGACAAGGTTGACACACTATGAAATTAAGAACATTAACATAAACACTTTAGTCAAATAATGGCACCCTATCTCCAGACAAAGATGGGATGAAGATGTGTCTAAAGGTAGAATCAAGATTTTCTTGAGAACTAGCTAGCTCTAAGACTACTTCAATTAAGATAAATATGAAAAAATGCTCCCCAAATTCTCCACCATAGAGGAAAGGTTACTAAGCTGTCATAAACAAAAAAAATCAAAATGTGTGTGTGTGTGCCAAAAGTGGAAAGGGTGTAACAATCAGACTGTTTTGTGATGGTCTGTCCATTATTCTGAGATTATATCATTGCTTTTTTGGTATTTTATGCACCATCTTTTATGAAGTGATGGTAGTAATTGGTAGCAGTTTTTTGGTTCTAATACTTAACATAGCAAAATAAAAACTCCAGTTTGGTTCTTTTTTTTTTGGATATTACTTTCCTTGAAATCTAAAAGTCTGAGAATCATGTAATGAACAGGTAAAAGAAAATGTAAGAACATTATTTAAGAAGACCATGTTTTTGTAGAGGAAAAAAGAACATCCACCCTTTACAGTTATTTATTTGTCCCCAACTTTTGGAATTAAAAGACCTGAACTTGACATTTATGTATTTATATTTGGCTAAACATCTTGAAACCTTTGCAAAAAAAACAAAAGCCAGAAAAAATAAAACAAATATTAACAATAACAATTTTTGGGTGTGAAAATTCATGGGAAATGTATTTTTTTTCTGTCCACTTTAGTATATTCTCAGGATTTTCTATGAAATGTATACACAACTTATTCAAAATGAATTTTAAAATGTAAAATAACTTTTAATATCACTACGTTTTAAGTATTATTTTAAACATAATAATTCTGAAACAAAATAGAGAATTCCTGACAACCAATCTCACCTCTGAACTGCTCTTTTTTAAGGCATTGGTAAGACAATCTTTGTTTTTGTCCCAACCACTTCTATCTATCCTCCTATACTAGTAAAAGTGACTCACTATAAAGAAATTCTCAATTTGGGTATCATCCTCCAATCCCTATCCAAAGAAGCCCAGTCTACCAGGAATTAGGTTAACAAAATTGTAATCCCCAACCCTAACCATTTTTGATCTATAGCATAAGGAAAGGTGCCTTCTTCTTTTCCCAGTTCCCAGTATCCTCAGTACAGAAACACAGCTATAAGGGCATCAAATCATCTCAACTTTCCAAGCCCAAGCTGCTGTTGACAAAATTGCTAATATTATCTGTTATCCCTCTCAGAATCTAAATACAAGGAGCACCAAACAATGCAATAAAAGGATATTTTTCAATACTTTTTTTTAATGACTACACTGTAATAATTATTATTGAGCATATCACATGTTGATAGTGCTCTATCAGCAGCTCAATTCACAACCGTGGTAAAAATGTCACATTTTATTAGTAATCTGTGAGTTGTTTAATAATTCACGTTTTGGTAGGTAACAGCTATGAAAATGTGACATTTTACAAGTCAAAAATGTAAGCTTCATGAAGAAGGTAATTGTTTTTGTATGTTGTTCACTGCTGTATTCTCAGATCCTAGAATACCTAGCATTTATTTGGTAGGTATTCTATACATATTCATAGAATGAAGAAATGAGTATTATATATGCTAAAATATGTTTTCTCCTATTATTGTAATCTTTGGAAACCAAGACTCTAAACTGTGGAAGTATCACCAACCCAGAACAGATCAAGCCCCAGACATCCTGGCAAACGGTCTTCTACTACATTCATACCAAGTCTTTCACTCGGTCTTCATGTCACCACATATTCATATGTTCAGTTGGTTAGTTATTAAACATCTCAGTCTCCTGGTCTAATAACTACAAAACAGTAGATGCATCCATCTTTTAACAACTCTTGGTGTCAGGCTAAGTAGAAAGTATAAAGCAGCTTAATGTTTATTTCTTGGATTGCTACATATGTAAGATATTTTTGAGAAATATGAAAGTAAGGGTTTCAAATAGATCCAGTCAGTCTGTCCTATACGTCTAGGAAATTTTCAGTACCGTAAAAATTCTCACACTTATGAATGGTCCAAATTACAAGTGTTCACTTATTACTGTTTGCCACTATGCATGCGACAAAAGTATAGCTTTTACCAGAATGGCCTCATAAACAATGACTAACCAGACAAAATTAAAATTTGGGAGCCAATCTGATAAAACAGCCCTATGAAGATAAAATCTAGTTAAGGAGGGCAACTCAGAGATTAAAAGCTTCTTTAACCAACAGGAAAATAATTTAATTCCTGTCTCAAATTCAAAATTAAAAATATGATGAATAGTACTTGAGCTAACTTTTATAGGCCTTTTGAACATTCGTCTGCTTCAAGATAATGGGTCCACAATACAGTGGTGAAAGTTCTTTGAAAACAAAAGTGACTATAGAAAAACTTCCAAAAAATAAAAAAAAAAACAGTGAAACTTCTATATTTTCCAAGGAATAACACTTCTGAAACATTTGTCCAAAGCAACAAAACAGGAAATGTGTTTCATGGACCTTAGAAAGAACTTTTAAAACAATACTATTTGAAAATAGGGTCAACAGAGAAGACACCATAATAAAGCTGTCTTTTACTTTTAAAAATTGGGTAAAACCCCATTATACTTACTTTGTAAATAGTGCAAAACCATCAATACAAGACTATAGCTGCTTAAAGTACCACGACTGGCATCATTTATCTGATGGTGACTTGCCCACTTCTTAATCACCAGCACTAACGGACGAACTCGATTTTCAACTGAAAGTAAAATTAAAACTTAACATGGTAAGAGACGTTATAGTTTCTTTGAAAGTTTACATCATTTCCCAGCTCCATACCAAAACAAAGAACACTGTCTCCGTGTATATTAAACACTGTGTCTGTTCACTTTGTGTCTTATGTCTAAAACTTACCTTAGTTACCTTTTAAAAATTATCAATTATTAAAATGCCACTTGATTCACCTATAACTGACAGTATATGATTTTAGTGTAGCAACATATACAAATAAAATAAGATACACTATACTTAAACACAACTAAAGAGATGTCACTATTTATGCCAAACATCTTTAAAAATGAATAAAGAAAAAAAGGCTAATTTTTAATAAACAAACAACAAACTTACGGTATGCATAAGTTCTGAGAAGGAATGTGTTTCTTATTCCAACAATATTGTTTACATTCAAGTCAAACTCCACACAACTATTTAAGAAAAAATAAATAAATAAATAAACTTTAGCTGAAGAACAAAAAAACTTCCTTCCTAATAACTAAATTAATGCTCATCCATCCCATGATGCAAAATAGTATGGGCCCAAAGGCCATAGATCTGTGTTTTTAAAATGACACACTAAAGAAATAAGAATGAACAAATACTCAGTATGTTATTTCAATGTGATCTGATGAGTACTGAAAATATAAAATAAGATTCCAGTGGAAAGATCAGTAACATACTGCTAAGGCTCCAATTACCCCAAATAAAATTTTTAAATCTTTTTTTTTTTCTTTAAAGAGATGGAGTCTCGCTCTGTGGCCTAGGCTGGAGTGCAGTAGCACAGTCATAGCTTACTCCAGCCTCAAGCTCCTGGGCTCAAGCAATTCCCCCACCTCAGCCTCCCAAATCACCAGTATTATAGGTAGGAACCACCATATCCAGCCGAAAATTTTTAAATCTCACAAGTTTCCAGATAAACAAAACTATGTGACCAAAAACATTTCTGAGCAAGTTATCCCATTAAGTTATACACTCTCAAATAATCTGGAATTATAGCATCATATACTTTAAAACAACAGGAATAAAAAGCCAAATTAAATACAGGGGAAATAATTTAAAAGCTCTGTCTACACATTATATTTCCTCTAAAAAGGCTAGTAAATTACAGTATCATGTCAAATTTGGCTATTGATACCTGGGAAGAGCTATCTATACTACTCAAACACATAATGATTACTTCTTTGAAAGCAAATATATGCAGTTCATAATTTAGAAAATACGGCAATAATGATGCAATGTATAAAAAATGGCTAAACTCATAAAAAATTAAGGATTACTTTATGTAAGTCAGTTCTACTCATACCTATGCGAGATCCCAACTTCTAAATACTAATTTTTTCTGTGAAAAGACTGTCTAAAATAAAAACAAAATATTTCTATATTAATTATAGCTTTTAAGTATAAAATTTGAAATCTACCATTTCAGTCTTTCTTATTTGGTGGAACAAAAGAAAATCTTACAATCTTTCCATTATCCATGCATATTAATAAAAATGGATAGTAGTATTAACACTTCAGATATTATACGTTATTTGGCTTTGGGAAACTTACAGTAATAATAGAGTTATTCTTTGTGTTTGTGTAATTCTAACACTGAAGCCAATTTGTACTACATCCACATAGTAACTCAATAGAAAAGAAAAACACATAGATGGCAACTAGTCTGCAGTTAAAAATTTTTCCAAAATTGAATTCAGGGCTTTAAAAATATCCACAGTTCCTGCTTCAAACACTACTTCTAGAAATACTAAAAAAGTGATCCTCAATATGGAAAGCATTTATGCACAAAATACTTATTTATATTATCTAAAAACCAGAAACACACCAAATGTTCAAATACAGGAGAATGGTTAAGTTAATGACAATTTATTCACTCAATGAAATACTATAAAGCCATTAAAAATGATGCTGTAGAACACTATTTAATGATATAACCAAATATTCATGAGATATGGTTCTGTTGGGAAGCAGGATTTGGCCAGGTGCAGCGGCACACTCCTGTAATTCCAGAACTTTGGGAGGCTAAGGTAGAAGGATTGCTTGAGGCCAGGGGTTCGAGACTAGGCTGGGCAACATGGCGAGACCCTGTCTCTACCAAAAATACAAAAATTAACCAAGTGTGTTGGTGTGTGCCTGTTGTCCTACCTACTCAGTAGGCTGAGATGGGAGGATCACTTGAGTCCAGGCATTTGAGGTTACAGTGAGCTATGATCATGCCACTGCACTCCAGCCTGGGCAACATGGTAAAACCCTGTCTCTTAAAAAAAAAAAAAAAGCTTAGGAACAAAAAAAGTTTGCAGGATGATCTTAAATAGAAAAAGAATAAAACTACCTTTGTAACTATAACTACAACCATATATTATTAAAAACTTATAATTAGCTAATATTATAACTTTATGTTTTATCTCCCTATATATTTTATATCTGCTTTAGGAAAATCTGACACAATTTACTTGGCAGAAATTTAATAAGTATTTATAGATCTGATTGATGTTTAGATATATAAAGGAATGGCTTGAGCCAGGCATTAAAGTTTGTTTAAAATATATATATTCAGTCATCATTCATAGTAGCTACGTTCTATAAAGTTGCTGCAAACACTGAATTAGTGAATACTATACCATTGCTCCTAGGGTAAGCACAGGGTTAGGTATCTGCCAGCCTGGTCACATTTTCATAAACTCATCAATACATAACCAAGTTTTATGTTGTGCTTCTATTTGAAGACATTGTATTTAATATATACGGTTGATTCATTAACAGTGGACTCATGGCCAAGAGTACTATAACTCATGCCTGAGCGAAGCCTACCTAACACATATTTTCTCCATAGGGCACCATCACAGCCTTCTTGCACTTGGGGACACTAGAAAGTAACTCCACACTATGCTTGGGGGCCATTCTAAATAGCAAAAAAGCACAAAAATGTGAAAAATATGGCATTAATTAGACTGTGAGAAGGTTATTTGTTTACAGTATGAAGCTGAACAAGAAGACAGTGTGTCACCTAATTCTATCTCAGCTGGAAACATGGTATTGGGTGATCTGAAATTTTCATTACTCTGTGTATGTCCACGAAATGACCACAAAAGCGTATGAATATTCATGTAGGCAGTTACAAATAACTTTTAGCAAGTAGGCAAATTCGTGAAAACACAAACTATGAATGATAAGGATCAACAATGTGTGTGTGTGTGTGTTTGTGGGCACAATTTCAGTATTAATTTTGTAAAACTGGACAAATTTTATGAAATCTGTCACAATTCTATTTTTAGAAAACAGTAACAAATCAGTTTAACTAATGAAATAATCAACATCTATTTACAAAACAATTCCAATGCCCATAAGACATTCAGAACCCAAGCTGGTAGAATATATAAATGTAAATTTTGAAATGGAACAAGTATATTTTGCTGTTTTCCTTTCATATCTATTACTCTAGGTATTATATGTATCTTTCATAAAAATGAAACACAACTTGTTTAATCATAACTGTATTTAAAACAAACCCCTTGATATTAGTACATGTCAAATTTCATTAATTATATTCTTCAGAATGCATTACACTTCCAAAAGGCAAGAGATCATTTAAAAATCTAAAATACAAATATGTACTCTTTAAATTAGATAGTCTCACATATTCAAAATGTCAAGCAGAATAGCTAAGTACAGTTAAGCATAAAGTATTGCTCAATTTTAAAAAACCATTTCAAACACCAAGTCAAATGATTTCTAAAAACTGATTAAAATAAACTGTAATGCTACAACATACACTTCTTAATTATCTTTATCAGATGAGTATCTAAAAATGATCTAAAGGAACTAAAAAAAGAAAGCTCATTAATTATTTACCTGACTTTATCCCTGAACTTCACAATTGGCACTTTTGCTCGAATCAGCTGAGGTCTCTCAATGTAGCCCGCTGAAAGACAAAAGATAATGTGAATAGCTGCAAATGTTTCTAGAATTCACAGTGTTCCAACGCACATTTTTTAAAAAATAGTATTTACTAAGCTAAAATAATTTAAGAAAACGTCTTTGAAAAAGAATACAAGTGAGGACATTATCAAATTCTTCTAAGGTTGGAGGCTCCAGTAATACCATTTAGGGGGCTTTATATTAAGGTTATTTTCAGGAATGTGATCTAATATAGTATCTATAGAGAAGTTCATTAGACCACTGTAAGAGTGAAAATATATCTAGGCTAGCAGCAGAGGGAATAGCTAATTTTGGTACAGCACACAGTAAGGTATCATGGTAACTGTAGAAATCATAATTACAGAGTCTTATGTGTGGAAATGCTTTGCAACATGATACACGGGGCTTGGATGCATTCGATAAGTGTGATCTCTATGAGTGAAAAATACATATATTATATACATGATCTCTACAAGTGAAAAATTCAGATCAGCTTAGTGAACACCAATTATTGTGCTATTATACAAAGGAGTATGAGTTGATAGGAAATTCAAATACACATACAGATATGTATTACATACATACATATATCATATACAACATATAATAAAATGTACATACATATTTTTATTCCATCAAACTAAAAAATTAGAGTTGAAAGTAATATATACTTATCATAGAAAATTAGGAAAATACAGAAGTGTGTAAAAATGAAATTCTGAAAATCTTTCCCAAATGAGCAATTTTCTCATTTTTTAACTACAGAAAAAGTAGTACCGGGATTTTTTAAAACCTGAAAATTTTCTGTTACAATGTTTTACCATCAAAATTACAGAATATATATCAGCTGGGCTTGGTGGTTCACACCTGTAATCCTAGCACTTTGGGAGGCCAAGGTGGATGTATCACTTGAGGCCAGGAGTTCAAGACCAGCCTGGCCAACATGGCGAAACCCTGTCTCTACTAAAAATACAAAAATTAGCCAGGTGAGGTGGCACACACCTGTAATCCCAGTTAATCAGGAGGCTGAGGCATGAGAATCGCTTAAACCAGGGAGGTGGAGGTTGCAGTGACCTGTGATCATGCTACTGCACTCCAGCCTCGTGATAGAGCGAGACTCTGTCTCAAAAAAAAAAAAAAGAATATATCAAGCTTCAAAATAGAACTTATGAGCAGGAATTCAGAAAAATAAAATTAGGAGTTAAAAGTTTTGAGTAATAAGTACAGGTTCTGAGACCAACAAACTATACTCCAGGCAAGTTACTAAATCCATTGATCACCAGTTTCCTTAACTATTAAAAATAACCAAAAGAAAAAGAAAAAAAAATTCATGTGAATTACATGATCTTTAAGGGCCCTTCCATTTTTAATATTTTGATTCAAATAGCTATTAAAAATTCAAGTAGGTATGAATTATTCTTTATTTTACAGAATAATTCAGAATGCAGAAGGTCCACTGAAATAAATCATTTATTTCTCTCCTAGAACAGATGTAAGTTATTCAAAGACAGTGACTTGTTACTTGACTTGTACTTTCCAGCTCAAAGCCTGGCACATAATGAATGTCTGTTCAACAAATGGACAAGTGTCTTTCCAATATCACACAGTGTAACTTCAACTTTCTATAAAATTCTATGGAAGTTTAAAAGAAATTATTTGAGATGGCTTAACATGTGGATTAAAATATGTTTAGAGTCAGTGTATTCAAAAAGTAAAATCGTAAAATAAAATGGCTTAAGTCAACAATTAGCTTTCTGTTGAAGTAATACATTTAGGTCTCATGTTCAGTGATGATATTTTTAAAACAAGTAAAGATGCATATCATTGCAAGCCAGATGAAATTCTCTCTCACACATATAAAGTCCTATAGGGCTTTTAGCTTTTCACAGATACTCTGTATTACAACTATTTATATTCATGCTTTAATTTCCCTAACAACCTATAAACTTTTGAGAAAAAGAACTAAAACTTACATATCTTTGAATCCCCCCCACTGCAGCAGGTGGTATATTTTGCAGTAAGTGCAATAAAGATATGTTGAATAAATGATCACTCTTCTTTTTCATCAAAAGTTAAAAGAAATTCATTTGGAAAAAAGAATTCATATTATACTGATCCTGACCAGAATAAACAGTTCTTACCAGAAGATAATGTAAGAGGCATTTTAAGTAAAGTTACGTCAGGTGACATACAAACTTGAGGCATGTCAGACTTACAAAGTCTAGTACAGAAGTGTTTATGGACTAAGGTGAGTATATGCCGTGCTTCAGTCTTCTGATTTACCTGAAAAAAACACTGAAAAGTTAAAAATAAAGTGTTTTTTCATTATCTTTCTAAGTTTAATGTTTCATTTTCCTAAAGTATCTCAACAAAAAGAAAACATACAAGATATACTTTCCTTTGGAGTTATTTTTCAATATACTCAAAGTATATTCAATTTATTTTTCTAAATAACAGAAAAAGTCAACCTTTAATGCTATCTTTCACATCTACATTTCTAAATCAATTCCTGATTTTAAGCTTAAAGCACAATTTTCAAAGAAATTCTGAAATAGCCATCTATGTCATTTTCCCCTTCAGCATAAATGTACAAAAAGCAACCTCCAACAAAAATAAACAGAATTTTAGCCCTATTTAGATTTTAAGCTGCTCAAGGATAGTTTCATATCTATGGTGCCTCAGTTTGTGTAAAAGCTATGACATCATGATTTAGATATGTGAATAACACTAGAGGATGAGTGGGATGTGCTTGAGTATAATCTAGCAGCACGAAAAAGTTTTAATTACAACCCTTGTACTCTCCACTGTTTATAATGTGAGTTTTTTTAAACTTTCTCTTTATATGATTTCAAAGCCTAGAAAAATATCATTCTTCCTGGAATAAATCTCTTTCTGACTTGCAGTAACTAGAAGTCATTTTCGCTAGTGGAATAATATGAATAGTAAAAATATACATTAACACTCAATAATTTTTTGTATTTTTAAAGATGTAAAACATAATAAGGCATATTAAAATTACACTGAGCTTAATTAATCATTGGTAGTTCAGAAGAAACCTCAGCATCTTAAAAAGGCTGCCTCAAGTCAGCTTAATGAATACCAATTACTACAGTATTATACACAGGAGTATCAGTTAACAGGAAATTCAGGTAAACATACTACAGGTTGAGCATCCCTAATCCAAAAACCTGAAATCCAAAATCTGAAACTTTCTGAGTGCTGACATGATACTCAAAGGAAATGTTCATTGGAGCATTTCAGATTTGCATCAGGGATGTTCAAATGTTAAGTATAATGCAAGTATTCAAAAAAAAAAATCTACAATCCAAAAAACTCTAGTCCCAAGCATTTTAGATAATGAATACTCAACCTGTACTAAATTAACACAATATTGTTGCTAAAGAAAAAGAAAAAAAAACAAAGGCAAAATGTCATTCATAGAGAAAAATATTTTAAATTTAATAAACACGAGTCTTATTTTAAATTTTAGTGAAATCTATTTTCCCTTAATAAGCATTTTCAAAGAGAAAAAAAGTAAAGATTAAAAATAGAATCAGTGAGAATTCAAATGGAAAGGAAATACATCAAGAAGATAATATTGCCACATACTCTTCTTTGCTGCATCCTGGTAACATATCCAAACTAATGACATTTCAAAACAGAGGTAGAGCTCTTGAAAAAAAAAAAAACACATAGTGAAGCCATCTCACTTTAAAAACTTAGAATTAAATTAATGCTATACTTCCTATTATGCTTATTGTGCACATGCCTTAAAAATAAAAAATTACCTAGGTTTCCTGCAATTATGGTAAACAAAATTCAAAGAAGTAATCACAACAAAGCAAGTTTTTTCCCTCAATGACTTTTATGTAAAATTTCTTAACTCATTAACATGAGAAACACACTTGGAATAAATGTTTCCTTACTTACTGGTTCTTCCTTAACAACTAGGCATAAATCACCATCACTGCTCCGGGTACCAAATCCATTTAAAGAGGACCCAACCAAAAAAAGTCTGCTTTCTAAAGAAACAGAAGAAAGTAATAAGAGTATTTAAAATCTAAAGTAGGTGCATGGTTCTGTGCCTATTAAAAAAAAAAAAGATAAAATTTAAAATAGGAATGCATATACCTAAAGGACATGCAAAATAGGGAAACATACGTGGAAATAACAGCTGAATTTCTCTCTGCAGCTGTGTTCGACAGAGTTCTTTCTTCTTTAAATCACTTATTTGCTGCTGACATGTTTCAAATAACTCCAGTATCTGCTGACTCAACTTGAATCCACCGCAAAAAAAAGTAAAAGTTTTGTTCAGCAATGTAAAAGTAATTGCTATATGGAGAAGCATAAATCAATTATACTGACACTATTTTAAAAGGGAGTATGTATTATCTTCTTAATATTTCCCAAAACAAAGCTACTATTACTCAAGTACAGGAAGAGAATGGTCTGAAAAACCACACATAAATTTTACAAAGTAAAATATACAAGTCACAGAAAAGTACAGTCACAGATACTTCGTAATAAAAATAATCCATGGGTCAGCAAACTGTTTAACACTTGCTCACTTTATTAGTATGGCCCCTGAGAAAAGAATTTTTTTATATTTTTAAAGGATTATGAAAACAAACAAATAAAAATATGCAACAAACAATATGTGAGTGGCAAAGCCTGAAGTATTTACTATCTGGCTTTTTAAAGAAGTTTGCCCAATCCCTAGTATTCACACCCACAAATACCAAATATAAGAGATGTCACCAGTCCCCGGTCTTCCAGGCTCATGCAAACCACCCTCCATCCCATTCTTCTAACAATGCCCTAAACCCTAACTTCATGTTGCCATCGACTTACCACCTTTTTTTTTTTTTTTTGAGACGGAGTCTTACTCTGTCACCTAGGCTGGAATGCAGTGGTGCGATCTCGGCTCACTGCAACCTCAGCCTCCTGGGTTCAAGCGGTTCTCCTGCCTCAGCGTCCCAAGTAGCTGAGAATACAGGCATGTGCCACCACACCCAGCTAATTTTTCAATCTTTGTAGAGACAGGGTTTTGCCATGCTGCCCAGGCTGCTCTCGAACCCCTGACCTCAAGTGATCTGCCTGCCTCAGCCTCCCAAAGTGCTGGGATTACAGGTGTGAGCCATCACACCCGGCCCTACCACCCTTTTATCTACTGATCTGGTTCACACTTTTCCCTCCAGCCCAACTCTTGCCATCAACATAGGTGATTTCCCTATCTGAAATGGGCTACATATCACAACATACTCCCTTTCCGGACTTTTATTTCCTCCAGTATTCTTCATCAGTATACACTCCTATAATGTGGTCTTTACAATAAACTGGAACTGCTCTAGCTCTGAAATTTTAAATTCCAATATAATATCTTGGCTTCAATCTTCTATCCAGTTCACACTTTCTCACTCTCCTCATACCTGCTCTAGAACCACAAGAGATCTAGATTCCCTTGAATCCTCCATTTTCTCCCAAGCCATCAGCATAAAAATGGTGTTATTTCTTTCCCTATGCAGTCTATACTACACAGTGCATCCCTTGAACCACTCTCTTATCGTGCCTCAACAACATTATCTCCTTGTCATGTTCTAATACTTGTCCTACAAAACCCTAATCTTAGGTCAATATAAAAAAAAAAAACCACCTTCACTGCTCTTACATCTAAGTTGCTAAGAAACAAAACTGAAAAAAAAATTAAAAATCATAAAATTGGAGTATTTCAAGTTTATAGTCTTAGGTTGGCCCTTAGCATCACTTAGCAATTACTTCCAAGTCTTTGGTTAGATATCACTTCTGTTTTTCATACCATTCCAAAATGTTTACTACCTTTTTCAAGCCCTCTAAACTTATCTCCCTTTCTCTAGCAAATACAGTTAAATTAAAGTTTACTAAGAAAATTGAGAATACCAAATGTGATATTCCTCAGCCTCTTAACCACAGACCTAAAAATGAACATATCTGGGGAAAAAAAAAAAGGCGTCCTTTTCCCCTGTTCAAAGCTAATCTCTCTACCAATAATTTTGTATTCAAGCCTTCTGGTCACCTTAAGGGCACAAACACGTCTACCAGTATTTCAGTCCTGCTCCTGTATTTTTAATCTCTCCCTCTCTAGGACTGCCTTATAGTCCATAATGAGGCAAAAGTATCACCCATCACGTAAAATGTTGTCTTTCACATATTTAGAATCCTCATTTTAAGAAGGCAGAGGCATTCTGGGCAATTTGGCAATGAAAGAAGCATAACATTTTTTTAAATCTCTGAATACTCACCCCACAAAAGACAGAGCAACTAGGAGAATAAATCAAAGAGATCAAACCAAACCAAAATGTGGCCACAAAATAAAACACAATTGACTGACCGGGTATTCATCATGAATACTCAGGAGTGGGACAAATACCAACAGCAGCAAGATTCACATGGTATCAGACACAATAAAAAAGGGAATGGGATTTGAAACAGTCTTAAAAGCAGAACATGCAGAAATCAAATTGCTTATAGGTAATACCTTCTCCCCCTCACTCACCAAATTCAGCAGCCCACATCAATGTACCACAACCAAAATAGGCAAGCAGCTTCATAGGCTACAATTCATAGGTAAATGCAAGGGGACCACAGAAAGATCAGAGACCTCCAAACAAAATGAGGTTCCCTTCCAAGAAAAAGCAACAGCAGAAACTGCCAGGAAGAGAAACCTAAACTGCACAGTACAGAGCCATCAGGAGAAAAGGAAAGGTGTAAAATGATTCTGACTCTCAGTGGACATATGAATATGAAAACATTTTTTATTATAACAGGACCAGGCAGGGCAGGTGAAAGGTCCCTGGCATCTAGTAGGTAGACGCCAGGATGTCACCGAACATCCTACAATGCAGAGGACAACTCTACCACAGCAAAGATTATCTGGCCCAAAATGCCAATAGTACAGAGGGTAAAAAATTCTACTCTAGATAAAAGTGGGAAAGGAAAAAAGCAAAGGCACTAAGGAAGTATATTTCTGAATACTATGTAAGAACAGAAGAAGGCTGGGCGTGGTGGCTCATGCCTGTAATCCCAGCACTTTGGGAGGCCAATGCAGGCAGATCACGAGGTCAAGAGATCAAGACCATCCTGGACAACATGGTGAAATCCCATCTCTAATAAAAATACAAAAAAATTAGCCGGGAACAGTGGCACGTGCCTGTAGTCCCAGCTATTTGGGAGGCTGAGGCAAGAGAATCACCTGAACCCGGAAGGCAGAGGTTGCAGTGAGCTGAGATCATGCCACTGCACTCTAGCCTGGGTGACAAAATGCGACTCCGTCACAAAAAAAAAAAAAAAAAGCAAAAGAGGAGAAGTCCTAGAGCCACAAAGCTAGCCTGCTCAACCCTCTCCACATAAAAGTAGCACACGGCTGGGCATGGTAGCTGAGCACACCAATAATCCCAGCACTTTGGGAGGCCAAGGCAGGTGCATTGCTTAAGCCCAGGAATCCGAGACAAGCCTTGGTAACATGGCAAAACCTCCCTTCTACAAAAAATTTAAAAATTAGCTGGACATGGTGATGCGTGCCTGTCGTCTCAGCTACTAGGGAGGCTGAAGCAGGAGGATCGCTTGAGCCTGGGAGGTCGAGGTTGCAGTGAGCCATGATCACACCACTGTACTCCAGCCTGGGCAACAGAGGGAGACCTTGTCTCAAAAACACTGAAATAAAATAAAATGAAAGTAGTACAGAAAAAGCCATCTCAAAGACAAATAACAGGAGGAAAGAAATGGAATCTCGAAAGAGGTAAGCATGGGAAAGGACAGAAAAAAAATTGAAGAAATAACGCCTGAAAGTATTCTAATCAATTCCCATACAAAGTATTTGTAAGAAAAATGAGAATAAACTGAGCAACAATTTTTTTTTTTTGATACATGGTCTCACTGTGTTCCCAGACTAGAGTGCAATGTCGCAATCACAGCTCACTGCTGTCTTGACCTCCTGTCAAGCAATCCTCCCATCTCAGCCCTGCAAGTAGCTGGGACTAAAGGTGTGCAGCACCACATCTGGTTAATTTTTTTTTCTTGAGAGATAGTTTCTCACTATTTTGCCCAGGCTGCAGGGTAACATTTCTACAGACAATAAAGCACACCAGAAGAATGTGTAAACAAAACTAATATTTTTAACATAATATAAAAAACCAAGGCCTTTTCTCTCATGTTTTAATTTTCTAAAAAGATAATTCACTACTTAAAGCATACATACTATCAACAAACAATTAAAAATTTACTTTTTAAGAACTTCACAATAGCAGCAAAAAGCATGAAATATTTAGAAATCTATGTACCAAGAGATGTGCAGGATTTGTATACTGAAAACTAGAAAATATTGAGAGAACCTAAAGACCTAAATAAAGGGAGAGATACACCACATTCATGGATCAAAAGACTATTGTCAAGGATGTCAATTCTCCCAGAATTGACCTTTAGATTCAATGCAATCAAAATCAAAAGCCCATCTGATATTTGTTTCACAAGAAATGAAAAAGAAATCAAAAGCCCAGAAGGCTTCTTTCTAGAAACTGACAGAAGAATTTTAAATTTGACTTAGGCAAAAGTCCAAGAATAGCTGAGAAAAAAATTGGGGAATTTAACCTACCTGACTTCTATACTTAATATAACACTACAGTAATCAAGATAGTATGGCCCTGGCAGAAGGATAAACAAAAAAGATCAACTGAATATCAGAATACTGAAATATTTACAAATAAAATAACTGCAATCTGATTCAAACTAATGAGGGAGGGAGGTAAAGGTGAAATAAGATTAGTCATATGTTGTTAATTGTTATGGTCATATGTTGGCAATTGTTAAAGTGGGCAACATAAGGATTTATGATACGTTTTTCTCTCTAGTATATGGTTTGATATTTTCCATAATAAAAAGCTAAAAAGAAAAGTGTCCAAGTTTGTAACAAATGTGAAAAAGATCTCCAGTAAAAGTGGCTAACATAAAATTTTACATGATACTTGAAGGATTAAGTTTTACTGACCTAGAGCAGGGTTGGCGAACTATTTAGGCCAAGTATAGGCAGCAAGCTAAATAATTTCTACTTTTAGTCATTGTTAAAAAGAAAAGAAAAAAGAATATGCAACAGAGGACCTACATAGCCCACGTGCCTAAATATTTACTATCTGGCCCTTCTGCCAACCCCTGATGTAGAGAATCAGGCAGATCAGATCAACATAATCCTAGAATTCACCGTAGGTACTCAGTATTTGTTGAATAGCAAAATAAATTTCTTGGCTGGGCAAGGTAGCTCACGCCTGTAATCCTAGCACTTTGGGAGGCCAAGGTGGGCGGACTGCCGGAGCTCAGGAGTTCAAGACCAGCCTGAGCAACAACGGTTAAACCCTGTCTCTACTAAAATACAAAAAATTAGCCAGGTGTGGTGGCATGCACCTGTAGTCTCAGCTACTCCGGAGGCTGAGGCAGGAGAATCGCTTGAACCCTGGAGGCAGAGGTTGCAATGAGCCGAGATCGCGCAACTGCACTCCAGCCTGGGCAACAGAGCAAGACTCTGTCTCCAAAAAAAAAATTCCTTCACAATGCCCAAGTGAAATGTTATTATATTTATAAAGTTCTTTCATCTGAATGACCTTGTTAATGTAGAAACAGTCACATGTTAAAAAATTTACAATGACTGGAAAATATGAAATTCCATATTCTTGTTCCTCTCCATTTTTTACATGCATGGAAACACTTTTTCTTTCCCAAGGACTACTATAATGGAGATTTAATGAGTTTTTATGTGAAAGAATTTTCGTCATTATCTACCCATTAACTTGGGGATTCACATTATCAAATCATATTACTTTACCCTAGAACAAACATTGAGAGTTCAGATGAGACAAAAAGAGAAATGCACATATATGTTGAAACAACATTTCTGGTGCTTTAATTTAGAGAAATATTCCAGGAGATGGCTCACTGTTGTTATAGTTCTTAAAAAAATAGAGAGGAGGAATGTATAATATGAAATATCCTTGGCTAAAAATCATATACGATTTAGATCATATATGTAATAACAAGCTGACCATGCATAATGGCACTCCAAAAATATTCTTTAATTCTGGGGTAAATTTTTCCTAATTTTTAGTTTAAAAAAACTATTCCAAGCCAGGTACAGTGGCAAATGCCGGTAGTATCAGCTACTGAGGAGGCTGAGGCAGCAACATAGCTTGAGCCCAGGAGTTCAAGAATAGCCTGGGTAACTTAGTAAGACCCCATCTCAAAAAAAAAAAAATCCCTCCAACAACATATATATAAAGTGGATTATTCTTAAACTTGTCTAAATCACTACAATATTATCTGCTTAGGCTACCTACCAAGATCTATCATTATAAAATTAACTGCTTAGGCTATCTACCAAGATCTATCACTATAAAATTAATTAGTCTATTTCTCACTACACAAAAAATTTACTTATACGTAGCCTAAAATATTAAAATAAATATTTCTGGCCAGGCGCAGTGGCTCACATCTGAAATCCCAGCACTCTGGGAGGCCAAGGCGGGCAGATCACTTGAGGTCAGGAGTTCGAGACCAGCCTGACCAAGATGATGAAACCCCATCTCTACTAAAAATACAAAAAAATCAGCCAGTCATGGTGACAGGTGCCTGTAGTCCAAGCTACTTGAGAGGCTGAGGCCGGAGAATCACTTGAACCTGGGAGGCAGAGGTTGCAGTGAGTCAAGACCACACCACTGCACTCTAGCCTGGGCAACAGAGCAAGACTCCATCTCAAAAAATAAAATAAATAAATAAAAATAAATATTTCTTCCAAATGTGAATGTTCATTTTTCCTAAAAAATATTGTAACTTGTCCTCAAAGTCAAGGTCAAATTAAATACCAATAAAATTGCCATTGTCTGAAGTCAACACAAGCCATAAGGACACGTGAAGTGCTGGCTGGGATTCAGAAAGTTTTTTTTTTTTTTTTTTTGAGACGGAGTCTCACTCTGTTGCCCAGGCTGGAGTGCAGTGGCACGATTCGGCTCACTGCAAGCTCCGCCTTCCAGGTTCATGCCATTCTCCCGAGTAGCTGGGACTATAGGCGTCCGCCACCAGGTCCAGCTAATTTTTTTTTTTTTTTTTTTTTTGTATTTTTAGTAGAGACGGGGTTTCACCATGTTAGCCAGGATGGTCTCGATCTCCTGACCTCGTGATCTGCCCGCCTCGGCCTCCCAAAGTGCTGGGATTACAGGCGTGAGCCACTGCACCCAGCCCCAGAAAAGTTTTTATATGTACCAATATATAAAGCTCTCACATGGTATTTAACACTGTATAACCTTCACATGGTATACTCAGCAGTTCACCACCTGTCCCTGATAGCTGGGCCCTTGAGTAAAAGAAAGTGGAAAAAAAAAAAAAAAAAACTTTTTAGCCTGGCACAGTGGCTCATGCCTGTAATTCCAGCACTTTGGGAGACTAAGGTGGGTGGATCACCTGAGGTTGGCAGTTCGAGACCAGCCTGACCAACATGGAGAAACCCCGTCTCTACTAAAAACACAAAATTAGCCGGGCATGGTGGCGCATGCCTGTAATCCCAGAACCGTTTGAACCCAGGAGACGGAGATTGCAGTGAGCTGAGATCAAGCCATTGCACTCCAGCCTGGGCAACAAGAGCGAAACTCTGTCTCAAAAAAAAAAAAAAAAAAAAAAAAACTTTTTAGCTGGAAATACCGAGACCTAATCATATACTACAATGTAAATTTTTTTTGCCTAAGTGCTATCTACAAACACAATCAGCAATGAGCTTTCAAAATGGGAGAAATAAAATTAAACTATGGTCCAGAAAACAGGTCATTATAGCATATAAACATTGCAATAAAAACTGGCAATTTCTCAGGCTCTCTCATTGCCTTAATCTTTGTTACGTGTAGCTATAGAAAGAGCTGGTATTAATTTTCTGAGGAAAATAAAGCCAGATGTGTAATAAAAGTTTAAATTCATTCTTCACAGTCAATTCCCTTTCCCATCAAATTAAACAATTCTG
This sequence comes from Homo sapiens, assembly GCF_000001405.40. Taxonomy (NCBI): domain Eukaryota; kingdom Metazoa; phylum Chordata; class Mammalia; order Primates; family Hominidae; genus Homo; species Homo sapiens. Next base: position 79,633,101 of record NC_000005.10, on the reverse strand, counting down.
AAACAAAATAGAACTAGAAAAATGTCATGCCTAAAACAACCCACTTCTTGTGTGTTAAATTACTATGTTTTTGTGTAAGGACAAAGTTGGAGTATTCTTAATTTATAAACTGGTGGGTTGAGAAGGCAGTTTGGATTACTGATTGTTTTCCCCCTGAAGTCTGATTACTTTAGGCGCCTACTATTACCTGAACTTGGCCAAAGAATTGCCCAAAAAAGAAAGATAGGAAAAAAACAAGTTTTTATTTGATCTCTTTTGTCTGAGTTCTCTCTTAGGTGTTCTATGTAAATTTATATCTCAGTGGTTTTTGAATTTTTCTGACAAACACATAAATTAAAAAGACAGAGTCCTTTAGAGATCTGTAAGATAACTATCCCCAAACTGTTCTTCCAAGGATGCCAAGAAGCTCCATAAAATTTGCCCCTTCTCAAATTTAACATTACACAGGGAATTTAACAATTCTTTAATAATTGTCTTTTTATTTTACAATCAATACCAAGAAAAACCTCAGCCTAACCTCATTTCAACTCAAAATTCAAAATCAAATAAGTCAATTCACATAATACCTTCTACTAACCAGAAATTTCAAAGAACAATTTAATACTGTAGATGGAATTCAGGGGCTTAGATAACTGATTACATTCTCATTTTTGTGCAGAAAACCATATATTCTTCTAAAACCTAGAGTAAAAACAAAAGTTAAAATTCAGGAATAACTCAGATTTCTACTTTAAAGAGTTGTTAACACAGTAACTTAAAAAAGACAAAAAAAACTCATGAAAAAATTTAAACTCAGAGGGTATTCATTTTCAAAATTCAATTCTTTATGTTTATCCTCAAAGTAGTTAAAAAAACTTCTAACAAAATCTTTCCCTGGAGCTGGCAGATTCAGCTGACTGACTCACTATTATTATTAATGAATTCATTATTACCAATCTTAAGTGAGCCCTCTATACTACCCAGAAAATGTTTCAAACCTTCTGCACTCTGTTTCTCTGGTCAGTTTGATTCCCTACATTCAGTAAATGGTATTTCAAACATTCTCCACTATTCTCAAACCTCTGATATCCTACTTTATCTTCTCCAGTCTCAACAGATTATCTTGCATAGTAATTGAGAGAGAAAACGGGAAGATGCCATTCAACTCTGGAAACTCCACTAACTTCTCCCTACCGTATCTACAAATTTCCCTGTATCTATACCTATCCTCTCCTCCTATCAGCCAGTTCAAAAAAGTTTTTCTCTTACCTAAGGCCAATCACTCCACCTATACACAGGACTCATTCCCCTTCCACCTTGTGGGAAACCTTATTCATGATTGTTCTTTTCTTTCCAGAGTGGTCAACCTCTTTCCTCTCTATGAATCTTCCCCACAAACATTTATTTGTGACCAGAGTTTCTCCCACCTTACCAAAAAAAGCCTGTCCTAACTTCACACCTTTTGCTCCTCCCTTTCACTGCCAAATGTCCCAAAACAGTTGTGTATAATCTTAGTTTGCATTTGTTCTCCTATTCTTTCCTCAACCGATTTCAACGAGTCTTGGACATAGACTCTCTTCCTGGGGCTTCAATTACCATCTGTATGCTGATGATGGCCAAATACACATTTCTAGCCAATGAATAACCTCTGAATTCCAGATCTATACACAGTATATTCAACTATCAATGCTAAATATCCACTCTGATGCTTCAAAAGCTTCTTAAAGGCACATGTCCACAGACTCATGAGTCAATCCCTATTAAGCACACATATAAATCTTCCTCCTCTTCCATTCTATTCTGTCTCAGCAAATGAGGCCACCAGCTGTAGAAGCCAGAAACTTGAGTGTAATCCTCAAAACCTTCTTCTCAATCGAACCCAATGGTTTTCAACTAGGGCAATTTTGCCCCAGAGGATGACTGGCAATGTCCATAGGCATTTTGGGCTGTCACAACTGGGGATTGGTGGCAGGAATGCTACTAAATGTAGTAGGGTACACAGGACAGCCCCTCCACACCAAAGTAAGCTGGCCTAAAATGTCGATATTGTAGAGGCTTAGACACTGTAATCTAATATATCATCAAATGTTATGGATTCCACCTCTAAAATACAGCTTAAATCCATCAATTTCTCTTCATCTTAACTACTAGCATTTCCTAATTCAAGTACCATTGCCTCTCACTTGAAATACTACAGTACAACTTCCCTACATCCATGCTTGCTCAACTTCAATCTACTCTCCATAGTGCAGTGAAAATAAACTTTTTAACTCATCTGTCCCCTGCATTAAAAAAAAAAAAAAAACCTGAATAGGTTACTGCTGTTATTAGGCTAAAGATCAAAATGGCCTAATAGTCCTTGCAAAATATGCCCCTCTTCCCATCTCCCCTACCACACCTTCAACCACTTCCCCTCAATTCACCAAACACTAGCCATCTTGACCTCCTTTCAGTTATTTGTACACTCCATTCTCCTTTCTGCATCAACACCCTCAAACATGCTATTTCCTCTCTCTAAAGCAGTCTCCCCATCCCCACTACTTTTTGAGACAGAGTCTCACTCTGTCGCCCAGGCTAGAGTGCAGTGGCGTGGTCTTGGCTCACTGCAACCTCCACCTCCTGGGTTCAAGCAATTCTCTGCCTCAGGCTCCCAAGTAGCTGGGATTACAGGCACCTGCCACGAAGCTAATTTTGTATGTTTAAAAGAGATGGAGTTTTGCCATGTTGGTCTTGAACTCCTGACCTCAGGCGATCCACCCACCTTGGCCTCCCAAAGTGTTGCGATTACAGGCATGAGCCACTGCGCCTGGCTCCCACCACTCTTTAACTAGTTAACTCATTCATCTTTCAGATCTCAACTCAAATACTGCCTCCTCTAAGAGGCTTTCCCTGAGACCTCAAATGCATTCTCTCAGCACTCACTAATTTCCTGCACAGCATTTATATAAATAAAATTGTGATCTGCATTTTTTTAATTTTTGTATTTTTGAGACGGAGTCCTGCTCTGTCACCCAGGCTGGAGTACAGTGACGCGATGTTGGCTCACTGCAACCTCTGCCTCCCAAGTTCAAGCAATTCTCCCGCCTCAGCCTCCCGAGTTGCTGGGACTACGGCACACGCCACCACGCCCAGCTAATTTTTTTGTATTTTTAGTAGAGACGGGGTTTCACCATATTGGTCAGGCTGGTCTCGAACTCCTGACTTCAGGTAATCCACCCGCCTCGGCCTCCCAAAGCGCTGGGATTACAGGCGTGAGCCACTGTGCCCGGCCTATGTATGGTTATTATTTTTTTTTTGAGACAGAGTCTCACTCTGTTGCCCAGGCTGGAGTGCAGTGGCACGATCTCGGCTCACTGCAAGCTCTGCCTCCTGGGTTCACGCCATTCTCCTGCCTCAGCCTCCCAAGTAGCTGGGACTACAGGCACCCGCCACCACGCCTGGCTAATTTTTTGTATTTTTAGTAAAGACGGGGTTTCACGATGTTAGCCAGGATGGTCTCGATCTCCTGACCTCGTGATCCACCCGCCTCGGCCTCCCAAAGTGCTGGGATTACAGGCGTGAGCCACTGTGCCTGGCCTATGTATGGTTATTTTTTAATGGCTCCCCCTCTCACCATGCTGTACCTAAATGGTAGAGACCATGTATGTTTAGCAAAACAGTGTATCTCCCACGCCTAGAGCTCACAAATATTTGAATGCTAAATAAATTAAAAATCTTATCTACTCTAGGGTGTTTCAACTGTCACTTTTGTTTCAGATCTCTTAAGAATCCGTATCTCTAGCCTGACCTCACTTCTGAACTCCAAACATATACTGTCAATACAGTTACATTTTTCTACAATACCAATTAACTTATATGTGATTGGTAAACAGAGGAATGGTATCAATATAACATAGAAGTTGGGTTTGTACGTGATTTGTACATGGAGCTATAACTGTAGAATTATAACTGTCACAACAAAGAAAAAACCCCTCAGTATGGAGTCCTTTCAGATCTAAAGGAACTAAAAGCATTTGCATCCAAGATTTCTGCTCAAGAAAGCATACTCCTAGCCTCAGATAGCCCTGTGCTGGTGTATTTCCTTTTGTCTCTACCTTAACAGCAGCCTCACTGACTCAGAGCTCCATTTTTAACTGCCTGTGTCAATGTCCAACACAAGCCAGCATCTCAACTCTATTTTGTGTATTTCTAATATCCCCTGCAGCAGCATCTAGCCGTGCCAAACTGCCTGCCTATCCAAGTTATTTCCCAAGATATCAATTATTATTTTTGATAGTGTTCTCGTTACAAAATTGTTTAGGTTTTGAGTAGTCTGTTCCAACCCTATTTCTCATAAGCCCTATATGATTAGTGTGCAATTTGCAGAACATGAAGTTTCTGAGGAGCACAAATGTTTTATAGTAGATTCTCTCATAGTTCAAAAAACTCGAGTACTTCCTCAATCAGCCTATACACCCCAAATCTAGGTTCTTTATCTCTACTGGTAACCCAGTATCAAATCACTGAAGTCATTCATGTCTCTTTCACCCTCTCTCTTCTACACTCAGTTATTCCACACATTCTCTAAATTTTCCTTATACATTATCTCCCACATCTTTTTCACTACCATCTACTGTAACTGAAAGCTTCAGCACCTCTCATTAGGATAGCCTTCAAGGGGATCAACCATCTTCAGGGTGAATTTAACAGCCTTCAAGATGATCACCACCTTCCAAGCCCACTTCATTCTAAACCAAACTCACTAAACAGCAAGGACTTTCTAAAAATACAAATCTGACTGTGCTATTTCTCTACTTTAAAACCTTCAACAGCATTCTACTGTGCATTCAAGGCTTCAAACCACTGCCCCACTTTATCTCACACTGAACCCTTCACTCACTTTATACTCTACAGAAGTAAACAGAGGTAAACCAAACAAACTGTCGAGCACAATGCCAGTAATGACAGATACTCAATAAACATTAGCTACCACTGTCACAGATTACCTTGTATTAGAGTTACAATGTCATCTGCCTACCCTTGATTTTAAGTATCTTAACCTCCTTCTCTTCATATTTTTAGAGACAAAGATCAAATCTTGGTTTTACCACTTACTAGCTGTAACCCTGAGCAAGTTATTTAGCTTTCTGAGCCTCAATAACATTAGGATAATATCCATGTCATGGGGTTGCTGAAAAGACTAAATGAGATAGCATATGTAGAATGCCTACAAGAACCATCAATAAACGTTAGCTTTCTTAAAAAATGTTCACTTAAAAAATAAACGCAAAACTGACTGCTTGCCTTCTTTCTCCCACAACTTGGCAGGTAGAGAGTGGCACTCAAAGAAATTGGTTCCAGCCAGGCGTGGTGGATCACACCTATAAACCCAGCATGATGGGAAGCTGAGGCGGGTGGTTCACCTAAGGTCAGGAGTTTGAGACCAGCCTGACCAACATGGTAAAACCCCATCTCTACTAAAAATACAAAATTGGCAGGGCATGGTGGCACATGCCTGTAATCCCAGCTACTTGGGAGGCTGAGGCAGGAGAACTGCTTGAACCCGGGAGATGGAGGTCGCAGTGAGCCATGATTGTGCCATTACACTTGAGCCTGGGCAACAAGAGCAAAACTCTGTCTCAAAAAACGAAAAAAAAGAAATTGGTTCAATTACACAATCTTTAGCCTTCTGAGATAAATCCCTAATTCTAAATATTTAGGAGTATCTCTTTCTACATAACTAATTTTAAAATGTTATCGATACAGAACTGTACTTTACCAGATGGTTTATGCTGACACTAATATGAATTGTTATTAAATTTACTGAAATTGAAAATTTGCCTACTCCATATGCAGAACTAGCAGTTAGTTAGTTCTAACAGTTAACTATCACAACATACAAATACAAGTAAAAATAGAGAGCTTTCAATAGTTTATCATTATAAATTCCATAGAAAACAGGGCTACCAGCATACATACCTTAAAAAAACAGTAAAAGATTTTTTTTTTTTTTTGAGACGGAGTCTCACTCTGTCGCCCAGGCTGGACGGCAGTGGCATGATCTCGGCTCACTGTAACCTCCGCCTCCCGGGTTCAAGTGATTCTCCTGCCCCAGCCTCTCAAGTAGCTGGGACTATAGGCGCCTGCCACCACGCCCAGCTAATTTTTGTATTTTTAGTAGAGACGGGGTTTCACCATATTGGCCAGGCTGGTCTCGAACTCCTGACCTTGTGATCCGCCTACCTTGGCCTCCCAAAGTGCTGGGATTACAGGCGTGAGCCACCACACCCAGCAAAAAGGTTCTTATACGTTCATTCAAAGGTCTGATTTAATTTATACATAGGCTTTCATATCCACGATAGTCTTTAAAATGAGTAAAAATAGCTAGGTGCAGTGGCTCATACCTGTAATCCCAGCCCTCTGGGAGGCCAATGAGGGAGTATCACTTGAGGCCAGGAGTTCAAGACCAGCCTGGGTAACATAGCAAGACCCTGGCTCTACCAAAAAAAAAAAAAAAATTAAAAACATTAGCCAGGTGGCCGGGTGCGGGGGTTCACGCCTGTAATTCCAGCACTTTGGGAGGCCAAGGAGGGTGGATCACGAGGTCAGGAGATCAAAACCATCCTGGCTAACACAGTGAAACCCCGTCTCTAATAAAAATACAAAAAATTAGCTGGGTTTGGTGGCAGGCGCCTGTAGTCCCAGCTACTCGGGAGGCTGAGGCAGGAGAATAGCGCGAACACAGGAGGCAGAGCTTGCAGTGAGCCGAGTTCGTACCACTGCACTCCAGCCTGGGCGACAGAGTGAGACTCCGTCTCAAAAAAAAAAAAAAAAAAATTAGCTGGGCATGGTGGCCCACACCTATCGATAGTCCCAGCTACTCAGGAGGCTGAGACAGCAGAATCACTTGAACCTATGAGTTTAAGGCTGCAATGAGCTATGATCCCACCAATGCATTCCAGCCTGGGCATGACAGCAAGAGCCTCATCTCTAAAGTTTTTTAAAATACAAAAACTAGGCCAGGTGCAGTGGCTCACACCTGTAATCCCAGCACTTTGAAAAGCCAAAGTGGGTAGATCACGAGGTCAGGAGTTCAAGACCAGCCTGACCAACATGGTGAAACCCCGTCTCTATTAAAAATACAAAAATTAGCCAGACGTGGTGGCACACACCTGTAATCCCAGCTACTCAGGAGGCGGAAGCAGGAGAATCGCTTGAACCCGGGAGGTGGAGGTTCAGTGAGCCGAGATCGCACCACTGCACTCCAGCCTGGGCGGCAGAGCTAGACTCTATATCAAAAAAAAAAAAACAGCTAACTAAAAAAACCCAAGTTAATCTTTTCTCAGTTTCCTTTGCCTTTTTCCTTTCTCCCACTGATTTTGCCTGATTGTTTTTCCTATTTCAATATGGTTAAAAAAAAATTACAGAGGAGAAAAGAACAGTTTTTTCAATAAGCTGCTAGGACAACTGGACCAACAGCAAAAGAATAAAGCTGGACCCCCTACTTTACATCATATACAAAAATTGACTCAAAATGGATCAAAGTCCTAAATATAAGAATTAAAACTATAAAACTCAGAATAACACATAGGCGGGGCAGGGAAAAAATAATAATAAAATAAATAAATTTTAAAAATTAGCACATAGGCATTAATCTCTGTGACCTTTAACAATGGTTTCTTAGATATGACACCAAAAGCACAACCAACCAAAGGAAAATAGATAAACTGGACTGCATCAAAATGAAAGGTTTTTGTGCTTCAAAGGATACCAAAAAGAAAGTAAAAAGACAAGCCACATAATGGGAGCATAAATTCACAAGTCATTATCTGATAAGGGTCTAATATGTAGAATGCATAAAGAACTCTTACCAACCAACAGTAAAAAGACAAACAGTCCAATTTAAAAATGGGCAAGAGATCTAGATGAATAGACATTTCCCCAAGAAGATATACAAATGTCCAATAAGCAAATGAAAAGATGCTCAATATCATTAGGCATTAGGGAAATGCAAATCCAAAACATGATGAGATACCATTTCATACCCACTAGAATGGCTATAATCAAAAAGGCAGACAATAACAAGTTTTGCAAGTTCAAAAGCATGTAAAGAAAGTGCAACCTATACGCTGTTGATAGGATGCAAAATGGTGCAACCACTTTAGAAAACACTTCAGCAGTTCCTCACAAAGTTAAACACAGAGCTACCATATGACCAAGCAATTTCACTCCAAGAGAGGTGAAAACATATGTCCATGCAAAAATCTGTACACAGATATTTATAGCTGCACTATTCATAACAGACAAAAAGTGGAAACAACCCAGAAATTCATCAGCTGAGGACTGCATTAACAAAGTGATGTATATTCATACAATAGAGTATTATTCAGCTATAAAAAGGAATGAAGTACTGATGTGTATGCTACAACGTGGATGAACCTTGAAAACATGCTAAATGAAAAAAGCAAGACACAGAAGGCCACATATTGAATGATTTCATTTATATAAAATGTCCAGGATGGGATAAAGACAGAAAATAGATTAGTTGTTGCCAGGGAGCAGGAGAAGTGACTGTTATTGGGTACAAGGTTTCTTTTGGGGGTGATGAAAATGTTTGGGAATCAGATAGTACAGTTGCACAACTTTGGGAATATATTTAAAAACCACTGAACTCTACACTTTAAAAGGGTGAATTTTATGGTACAATTATAACTAAATTAAAAAATTAAAGAACAAAAGAATAATAGAGGAATAAAAAAGCAGCACAACTAAGGAATGAAGCAGATGTTGCTTTTCTGACCCAACATTTCTGTACACTTACTATGTTTCAGACCCATGCTGGTTGATAGGAACCCAAAGATGAGTAAAACAAAGTTGCTATATTTTCTTCAAGGTCCTTCTCCTTAGCCTACAAATGTCTTATTTCTCAAGAGTGTGGCAGCTTTGAAAATGCAAAAACAGCAAGTATAAACCACAGACAACCCAAGAGAATACAGATATTTACATTATAAACCCCTCTCAATTACCTAGAAGGTGATTTTTTAGGTTTCACTAAATATGGGGGAGAGGAGAGATATGTTTCTATTATTAGATATTAAATAACTCATTGTTCCCCAATGCTGACAATGTCATTTTCCAAGAATTATTATTTAAATAGCTTCATTTCACTTATTTGAAAATTTTTATAAATGTTTTTGATAAATCTTTCTTGATTATATCACTTTGAATGTATTGTTTTTCTCAGTGACTCCTGGATTCTCTATTTTTGACATTCAAAAAACCTCATGTTATAACACAAATATCCCATAATAAAATGTGTTCTAACACTGTATTACAATAGCTATATGACAACTTTTTTTTTTTTCAGTAAAAACAAGTAACAAGACAGTTCTCTAAACTCAGAAAGTGTCTGGGTTCTAATAAAATTTTCATATATCAGGGAAAATCTGATTTCCTGATGGCTGCATTTCTATAAAAGAATAGCTAACAAAAATCAAAGTAATGTTTGGACAGAAAATTAGGCTGAATAGTACTTTAAACATTGCAACAAAAAAAGGCACGTTCTACTTAATCCAGGATATTAAATATTTTTGATTAATACATTATTTATACTAAATTCCCAAAAGGCAAAACTAAAATCTACATTATTATTACCTTATCTTTGGCCTCAGGCAGTGTGATTTCTCTAGGTTCTAAAAATGCAATTTCTCGAAAAGGTGGAACACATCTGACTATATCTGGTACATAATGTGTATGAAACAATGGTGGCATTGAGTATCTTCGTTCACCTGATAAAGGCACTATCTGGTTAACTACAGTTGGCTCTTGGTGGGGTGAATGGAAACGTTGCCGTTTACCGTCAAGAGGAAGGTTTTTTTCATCGCTTAATCTCCTGAAAACAAGCAATATACCTTAGTAATTAAAGATACAACTTTCTGATAACAAATAAAAAGCAATTAAATATATATAAATATCATAAGAGATAATGACAATATGATTCTTTCAATAAGGTCACTTTATTAGCTTTATATGGATCTTAAAAATATTCATGTTCAGCACAAGAAATGCCTCTCAACACCTTAAAAAAAATAGTAATAATGGAGACAGAAAAAACTACATGTATATATTGAGGTTAGTCTCCTGTATTTGAACTACCCCAATGTTTCATCTCAGTAGTGAAAACTTTGTAGGAAAAGTTCTATTTATAGAATTACTAAGAAGATCCAAACTATAACATAAGGAAGATACGATTAAGTGAGCTGAGTGCTAGTTATAAAAAAGGGCTCTTTGAATACACCTATGTTCTGACTCATCAGCAGGAAAGACCAATTAAGAAACACTTTTCAATAAAGCTATAAAGACATTGGACAACGAAGAAATTCAAAAATGAGCTGCAACTCAGATAATAGTATTTTATTAATATTAAATTTCTCAGGAATAATCAATGTATTTTGGTTATATAGAAGAAAAGCCTTGTTTTGTAGGAGGAATAAGCTGACATGTTTTAAGGTAAAATGGTGTCAACAACTTTCTTTCATATGGTTCAGGAAAAAAAGCAGGTGGGCAGAAAGAAAAAGAGAAAGAAATCAAATGTAAAACTTTTAACTCATGAATCTAGGCAAAAGGCATACAGATATTCACCATATTATTCTTTTTCTGGAGGTTTTAGTATTTGCAAAATAAAAAGGGAAAAATCATTAAAGAGTAAGTATTTGTTGGGAAAAAAGACATTTACTTCATTGATATATTAAGTTGTTCATGTAGGTAATACTTTATGCCACAGAAAATGGCCCGATTCCTTTTAAGCCTGAAAATTCTATGGGTCATAGAAGGTTTTTTTTTTGAGACAGAGTCTTCCTCTGTTGCCGGGCTAGAGTGCAGTGGCACAGTCTCAGCTCACCGCAACCTCTGCCTCCGGGATTTCCAGGTATTCTCCTGCCTCAGCCGCCTGAGTAGCTGGGACTACAGGCGCCCGCCACGATGCTCAGCTAATTTTTGTGTTTTTAGTCGAGATGGGGTTTCACCATGTTGGCCAGGCTGGTCTCGAACTCCTGACCTCAAATGACCTGCCCACCTCAGCCTCCCAAAGTGCTGGGATTACAGGCATGAGACACTGCACCCGGCCCATAGAAGGTTTTTTAACACTCCTTTGGGATTATGTCAATTTCTCTCTCCTTGATAGATCTGCAAAATAAGTGGAACCCCTACTCACAGGTAAAATATACAGTGCTAAATGCATAAAAGTATATTTAATATTTTTAAACATAAAAGTATTTTAGAGCTATATATGCTGAATATCTTCTAATGAGAATGCCAATTTTAATTTTAAAAATATGTTTAACTACAAATTAATGGAGTTTTGTTTTTTTTGTTTTTTTTTTTTTTTGAGATAGAGTCTCGCTCTGTTGCCCAGGCTGGAGTGCAGTGGGGGGATCTTGGCTTACTGTAAGCTCCACCTCCTGGGTTCATGCCATTCTCCTGCCTCAGCCTCCTGAGTAGCTGGGATTACAGGTATGTGCCACCACACTCGGCTAATTTTTTGTATTTTTAGTAGAGATGGGGTTTCACTGTGTTAGCCAGGATGGTCTCGATCTCCTGACCTCGTGATCTGCCTGCCTCGGCCTCCCAAAGTGCTGGGATTACAGGTGTGAGCCACTGCGCCCGGCCTAAGGGAGCTTATTTTCATTCTTAATTCACAAATTGGCTATAAAGGCAATTTCTAAAAAATAAAATCTGAATAAAGTCAATACTATTAGAATTATTATAAAACTTTTCTCAATGACAATTTTGAAGAACAACCTGTAGTGCTTTTAAGCATATGACTCAGAGACATACAACATTTCAAATCCTAGCTATGTCACTTCTGAGTAAGTAGTTACTTAACCTTTGTGTGAGTCAGCTTTCTCCTCAACAGGCAAGGGATAATAGTATCTACCTCAGTGTTACGTGATTTAATCAAACCGTTAGTTGTAAAGGCTTAAAATAATGATTACTACATAATAAGCAATAACTCCTAGCTAGTGTTATTTTTTTTTTTTACAGCACCTTGTTCACTGATAGTGTTTTTTTTAATAGGACATAAAGGTTATAGAATGTTTATATAGGTTTTTAAGTAATAGTGGTATCTTTCAAATATTGCCGAATGTTATTTCAATAACTACCTCTCAAGTTCTGTTTTTAAATAAATGAATTTCTTTTAATCAAAGATTAAAATTAATTGACTCCTGACTTGACTATAGGAAGTTTTATGTCACACAGAAATTTTCACTACAATATTTGTTATCATGGAACCTTACCTGTGTGAGATGTAGATAAATCAAAAGAAAAACATAAAGTTTACTAGAAAGAAAATGCTATAATTGTGTCCCCCTAGAAATTCAGATGTTGAAGTCCTAAGCCCCAGTAGCTCAGAATGTGACTGTATTTGGAGATAGGACCTCTGAAAAGTTACCTAAGTTAAAGTGGGGTCTTTAAGATGAACGTTAATCCAATATGACTGGTGTCCTTAGAAGAAGAGATGAGGACACAGAAAACACAGGGCAACGGCCATATTAAGACACAGTGACAAAGCAGCCATCTACAAGGCAAGAAAAGAAGCCTCAGAAGAAACCAACCCTGCCAACACCTTGATCTAGCCTCCAGAATTGTAAGAAAATAAATTTCTGTTGTGTAAGCCACCCAATGTGTGGTACGTTGTTATGGCAACCCTACCCTAGCAAATGAATACAGGCCATCTCATTTAGTTAAAAAATCTCAATTAAAAAGTGGTTTTCTGAGGAAACAGCTTTATTCTAGAAAAAGAAAACCTGGGATATAGAAAAGGGGAGATCTGATGTAGGGCAGAAACAAACATACAATAAAGCAGGAACAAATCAACAAAAGAACACCTAAAATTTTTAAACGCATAAAAATGTTAAAATTCCATGACTCATCTGATCGTACAGGTCCCAGAAAACAAAACATAGGGCTTAGGGTCCATACAATATTAATTCAAGATACATCATTACAGAGTTCTCAGAAATGCAAAAATATTCTTTTAAAATAATTAAGAAGTACTTACTTCCTTCCTCGAAATAATGGGGAAGCTGAGGTCTGTATTGGACTGACATTTCCATATGTCAGCTGCTGTAATGACACAGCTCTAGACAAGCTAACAAAATCAAAGAAAAGAACAGTAATTTATACATATTTTTTCTTTAAAAACAAAACCAGTCTCTGAAAAAAAATTAAATACATCCGTATCAAAAAAAAATGTGACGACATATTCTCCATGTTCAAAAGTTTCATACAAAAAGGGTTTATGTCAAATAGAAAATGAAATTTACCAACAACATGGGCCAAAATATCACCATACTCACTCTGCATTCTGAAAGTTGAATTGTGCATCTATAAGCTGCTGGTGTGAATAAACAGTAGGTGACAGGGTAAAGAAGTTATTATGTTGTTGATGATTTGGAGTGAAGGGTGGGCGACCCAAAATTGAGTTTGGGAACATGCTCTTGTTCACTGGAAGTGAACATGTATTCTTCTACCTAGGATAATTTAAAAAGACAATATTAAATTATCATAGCTTAAAGACACTAAACACTTTGATAACTATTATCCACTAACTTAAAACAATTAGTTATCAAGTTACAAATTTTATTTGCAAAGTTAAATAGGTCTCCTAAGTGCCACTGTAGGTAACAAAAGAAAACTAATAATAAATTCCAAATCTAAGATTAACATAATTCAAACAGCAAGATATATGCACATTTCTAATTTTCTGATTAATTTACCCTAATACTTTTACCCTCGTATCAACAAATCTTTTAGAAATCCAAGTTATCACCTGACATTAATAAAATCCCACAGATTATTACATTTATTCTCAAACTAATTTATACAAAGGTATAAACCATCACATGACATCCTGATTCCTAGAATTTGGATCTTACAGGTCTGATCAAATAAGGAATGGATTTTATATTGTCTTAACAATTTATAAGATTCTGAGATTCCCCTCAAAGTCTACATAATTTATATAAAAGACTTCCAATAAAAGAGGGCTATGTTCCACAGGAATAGGGAAAAATTGTACAAAGCAATCAGAATCCTTCACTGATCCAGGGAGGAGAGTAGATATTTATTCTTTGCAGTGACCAATATATCAAGGCTGTAGTCTTGCAAAGGATAGGATAAAGTAATAAACTGAAAATGAGGATCAGGTAAAGTCTACAAAGAAAAATAGGACCCCTCAGCCCACTTTCTCAAAGCAAGCAATTAGAAAACTCTTATGAAAAAACAAAATGAGAGAGAAACTATGTAACGTAGTAACAAGAGAACATAATAATACTTGGGAGTCCATCAAGAAAATGTCAAGGTAGCTAACTAATCAACTTAACATGAAGCCAACTAGTTGACAGGCCCTACCCACATACTTTTAGAGTTTCTAATTAGACTCCTGATATTCTCACTTAAAATAGGCATCCATGGATCACCAGAAGAAAAATAAAACCTGGGAATAAACAGAAACGATGTCAGGAACAAATGAACACTCAAAAAAAAAACTCAGATTAATGAAAAGACATTGCATATATAAAACAAGAATATGCTATTTAAAAAGAAAGGGGCCGGATGTGGTGGCTCACACCTACAATCCCAGCACTCTGGGAGGCCGGGGTGGGAAGACTACTTGAGCTCAGGAGTTCAAGACTAGCCTGGACAACAAAGTGAGACCCTGTCTCTATAAAAAAAAAAAATCAAAAAAATTAGCCAGGCACAGTAGTGTTTGCCTATGGTCCCAGCTACACAGGAGGCTGAGGTGGGAGGATTGCTTGAGTCCAGGAGGTCAAGGCTGTAGTGAACCATGTTCATGCCACTGCACTCCACCCTGGGACACAAGGCAAGACCCTATCTCACAAAAATAAAATAAACAGGCTCTGGGAAATTATAAAATTGAAAGCAAAACTACCCAGCAGAAATTTAAAAGATAACTTTGAGGAAATGTATTAGAAAGAACGAAAAGGAAAAGGTGGTAGGGGCAGGAAGGAGGCAAGACAACAGAAGAGAAAACAAAAAGTATTAAACTATGTGATCTAACATTGTAACAGAAGGTCCAGAAAGAACAGAAAAAATACAGGACATTACCTAATAAATAAAACAAAAAAAATGCCAAAGACTGAAAGACACCAATCCCCAGACTGAAAGGATCTAAAGGGTACAAAGCACAGTAAAAAAGTTACATGTCAAGGTATATTATATTGAAGTTTCAGAATATCACACAAAAAAAGGAAGTTTATAAAATATTCAAAGAGGGAAAATGTTATAAACAAACGGCAAGAAATCAAAATGGCTTTGGACTTCTCAATAGCACAGGACATGGACTCATGACTTCAAATCTCTGACGGAAATGCTCTCAGGCTGTAATTCTATACCTAGCTGTACTATCAATGCAAAGGCAACTAGAAACATTCTTAGACATTTAAGTTATCAAAAAAGAAAAAGAAAACCTGGAATCTAGAAAAAGGGAGATCTGATGTAGGGCAGAAACAAAGTAAATTACCCGAGATGACAGTGATGGGAAGCTAACAGTTCAAATTAGAATGGGAGGATGCAGGGCTTCAAGAAGATATCTAAGAAAAGAAAAATCAACTGGTGGATTATCTGATGTATTTGACCATAGAGATAAGTTCTGTTAACAGAGTAGAAATAATTTTAGAAATACAGAAAAGTAGCTAGTTAAAAATAAATTACCAAAGAAAAAAACACTCAATAGGTAATATAAAAAAGGCAATATAATCAGTTACCTGATTCTTACAAAGAATGAATATACTGATTTTTTTAAAACTGAGTTACTATATAAAATTTATTATATATTATTTATATATGACACTACCTTATACATTTGTGTTTATATATCACAAGTTTTATATGGAGGATGACAAGAGGGTACAAAAAGTGCTAAATTCTCATTTTCAGTAAAAATAAATCAAAAGAATGAACTATAGAAGCTTTATTCTTTTTTCTTTTCTTTTTTTTTTTAAACAACAGAGTAAAGTAAAACTAGGTAGCCAGAAGAATTGAAGTAGCTGCCTCTGGGGATTGTGACTAGGAGGGCTGGAAAAACTATGAGAGACAACAGGGGAGAAAAAGAAAAATCTGGGAAGAAATTAATAAATCCCTCACAAACATTGTTCCTTGTTTTTTCAATTCCATAAGATTAAAATTCCCTAGGTTGGCCACAGATAACAAGGCTCACCAGTCCAGGGTTCATAACAGATTGTGGACAAAATTCTATGAACCATCATCAGACCTCATCCTAAATGCCTGACTCTAATTTGGACCAGAGACAAGGTTAACCTCCAGAAAACAAGAGTCTGTCAACTTTCTTTAGCAGACCCTTATGTCTTTTTACAAGAGATTTTTAAAAAAGAAAATAATCCTGTCATATTTCCTCACCTGTACACCCTAGCTTCTTCAGAGGAAATGGAAATATCTTGAACTAAGCAGCATTCCAGGGAATCCCCTAGCAAAAATACATACAATAATCCTGGGCTGGGCAGTTGCTCATGCCTGTAATCCCTTGGGAGGCTGAGGCAGGCAGATTGTTTGAGCCCAGGAGTTAAAGACCAGCCTGGGCAACACGGTAAAACCCCATCTCTACAACAAATACAAAATTAGGCTGCACGCCTATAATCCCAGCACTTTGGGAGGCCGAAGCAGATGGATCACCTAAGGTCAGGAGTTCAAGACCAGCCTGACTAACATGGTGAAATCCCTACTAAATACAAAAAAAATCAGCCAGGCGTGGTAGCACATGCCTGTAATCCCAGCTACTTGGGAGGCTGGGACAGGAGAATCGCTTGTACCTGGGAGGCGGAGGTTGCAGTGAGCCAAGATCGCGCAATTGCACTCCAGCCTGGGCAACAAGAACAAAACTCCATCTCAAAAAAAAAAAAAAAAAAAAAAAAAATTAGGCCGGGTGCAATGGCTCATGCCTATAATCCCAACACTCTGGGAGGCCGAGGTGGGCAGATCACCTGAGGTCAGGAGTTCGAGACCAGCCTGGCCAACACGGCAAAATCCCGTCTCTACTAAAAATACAAAATTAGCTAGCGTGGTGGTGGACACCTGTAATCCCAGCTACTTGGGAGGCTGAGGCAGGGGAATCGCTTGAACCTGGCAAGCAGAGGTTACAGTGAGCAGAGATCGCACCACTGCACTCCAGCCTGGGCGAAAAAACGAGACTTCGTCTCAAAAAAAAAACAAACACACAACAAAAATTAGCCAGGTGTGGTGGTCTGCATCTGAAGTCCCAGCTACTCTGGAGGCTGGGGTGGGAGGATCGCTTGAGCCAGGGAGACGGAGGTTGGAGTGAGCCGAGGAGACTGTGCCACTGCACTCCAGCCTGGTCAACAGAGCAAGACCCTGTCTCAAAAACAAAAAAAAAAAAGAAAAAAGAAAAATCTTGGATTGCCAGATTCAAGACTGGCAACGAACACTTTTCACCCTTTGCTCAGGCTCACACTCCTTCTTGGCCTTTTTTACTCTGGTTCCCTAACCTAATTTCCCATAAAACATAGGATCCTACTTCATAGGATTTATGAGAAAATGATATTAAATACAATTCACTGTAACAAATTTTGCTTGATAGTTCATTTTGTTGGAATAGACACTACAAATCTAGTGAATGGAAGAAATATGTATTCAGAAAAACTAGAATTAAAATCTTGTACTTTCAGGTTTATTTAAATCGGTTCATAGCAAAAAGCCTAGATACTTTTGTTTATACCTATAAAAAATATGCTGTTTTTCCTCTATAACTGAATAAGGTCCATGTATATTAAGATTTGAAGATGCAAAATGACATCAAGAGCCCAGGCCTCACCTTGTTTTCATCTCTTACACAGCCAAATCCAAACTAAGTCTAAAGATGACTTGTGGCTCAGAACTACTCTACCAAGTTAATGACCAAATTATCCCCAGCTTAAAAACTTAGATTGAGTCCACAGCCAGATGTTTAGTCTAGGGCAGAAATCTAGTTTAGCATATTCCAAATTCCCAGAAATATATCAAGCTCTGGAGCCCCTGCAAAACAAAGGATCTGTCAGCCTCTCCTCAGTATGAATTTTGGCCCTCAAGTCAGGCTCTTTTTAAAGAAGGTAGGCTTCAAGTAGAGGAAAATCATTCCGACGCATTCGTTCTATGCTCACCAATATAGGTATTCTGAAAGACATCTAGAGTTGAGGAAGTAAATGAAACGCCTATGAATTTCTATGCCTTTTTCTAATACATTTCACATTGATTTTGATGAAAATAAAAATGACATCAAAACAATTATCATAAACAACATAATCATTTTTTTAAAGAGACTGTAGAGTTTCACAAAATACAGTAAAACTATTACTGTAACAGAAATAAGGGGACCTCCACAAAATTTTAAATCATTTTCTTCATACTCTGAATGAAAGGTTTCTTAAGTAGAGATTAGCTATATAAAACGTTACTCCACATTAACTATGGTCTTCTACCATCTCCTATGTGACAAATTTTATGATAGATACATAAAATCCAGATATTGGCAATATCCAATTTTCCTTACCTTAAAAGTTATCAGTTCCACAATCTGTACTTGACCATGAAAGAGTATACTGGTACTTTCTTTACGGAGAAAACCTTAAAGACGGTTTCCTAAGGTGGACCCAATGGGAAATTACACAGGTTTACATGAGACAAGGTAGTAAAAGAGTAGATTAATTCGGCCGGGCACAGTGGCTCACGCCTGTAATCCCAGCACTTTGGGAGGCCGAGGCGGATGGATCACCTGAGGTCAGGAGTTGGAGACCAGCCTGGCCAACATGGTGAAACCCTGCCTCTACTAAAAATACAAAAATTAGCCAAGCATAGTGGCACGTGCCTGTAATCCCAGCTACTCGGCAGGCTGAGGCAGGAGATCGCTTGAACCCAGGAGGCAGAGGCTGCAGTGAGCCAAGATAGTGCCATTGCACTGTAGCCTGGGTGACAAGATCAAGATTCCGTCTTGCAAAAAAAAAAAAAAAAAAAAAAAAAAAGATTAATTCCTAGTAATTTCTAGTTATAAAGTATTTGGTCCTGGAATTTGCAACCTGGAATTTCTGTCCTCAACTTGACCTCTCCTCCAACAAATTAGAGAACACTCAAGGTTATATATAATTCCTTCATCAGGATTCTTTAGAAAGCAGAATATACCTAGAATGAAAACCAGAAATTTACTGGCTAAACCAAGATACTGTCCATTTTGTCCAAATACCTTTGATATCTCAAACCCACTTTTCTCCACAATACGAAAAATCCAGTTCCTAAATCCTGCCAACCCACTGTGAAAACTACTTCCAGGTTTTGAACAGGATATTCCTTTTGGTTAAGAATTAAATTACACCCAAGTGTTCAAAAAAATAATCTAGTCACATGGCTCCAAATGGGCATTTCTTAAACAACTCATAAACGGCCTATTTCACATGGAACCTGTTACAGGACATTTCCAGAACAGACATAATTAGGGCTATTCACACCAACAAAGTAACGTCACTATTACTGGCTATTAATCAGTATAAATTAATAGCCTTATGGCTGTTAATCAGTACGTGTTAGAAGCCTGGTGGTACTGAACCATACAATATGAAGATATTTACAAAAGTTACTATGTTACCTGTAATATAAAAACACAGATTTAGTAATCAGTTACAATCTCTTTCTTCACAAAATCATACACTGCACATGTGTTATTTAGCTTGTGTTTTACAGTTTCCCTTTGTTTCTTCTCTGTTCACCCTAATGAAAAATATCTGCTACTTTAAACAAAGAGTTGAAAGAGATAAGACAAGTAATTTAGAGAATCCATAAGTTTTGAGACATATAAGCCTTTCGTGTTCTCACCTTGAGAGACGAAGAGCTTTTCTACAAAGGCTGAACAAGAAAAGAAACGCACACAACAGTCTTAACCTGTGCATTTTCCTATAAAGTGAAAAGCTGAAGCAATTTCATGCCATTTAATTAAGGCTTAAAAGATAAATGCCTTTTAAATTTTTTAATTAATCCAGCTACGTACCTTAGTTCTTCACCACCCTTTGAAACACCATGCAAGGGTCCCAAGACTATCTTCCTCTTTTGGTCCTGGAGTGGTGGACGAGGCAGTACGCGAGGAATAGAAAACGAGTAAGCAAAGTAAGCGGTCCTAAGATTCTTCAAAATGTACAGCAGCCCAGATGCCGCCCATAAATTTGGAATAACCAAGAGATACTGCTGGAACCTCCCACGCAAAACAAAACGCTACCGTTTCGGAAAAGTTTCCCGTGCCCCGCCGCCGACCTGGGCCTACACTGCTGCGTTCCTCTCCGAAACCCCCTAAACTCACAGGTGTCCTCCGGGAAGGGCTAAGCAGGGCCTACCCGCACTGCCCGTTCAGAAGTTCTAAGGCCCGAGCTGGGCGTACTTGGTCGTAGCTTTCTCCCGAACCAAAGGAGGTAGTGGTGGCCCGTGGGACAGCTAGGCCCAGCTCCGGCTCCGGCTGAGATCTAACCCCCCTCACGGCTGCCAGGGGAGGAGCAACACAAGAAAAGGTAGGGGCTGCAAGGATATAGAAGGTTGGGGGCGGTGGCAAAAAGCGGAAGAGCAAAAAGTCGCCGAAAAAGCGGCGTAGAAAACCCTGTCAAAGACACCCGGAAGACCGACGTGACCCCGGATGAGAATAGGCAGCGGGGAGCGAAAGGTCACACTTCCGGTGGCCGCCTCCCTCCCACCCCCCAACCCCCCCCACCCCCCAACCCCCCCCACCCCCCCCACCCCGCCTATGAGCGCTTTGCTTGAATGCGCAGGCGCAAGACAGCCGGATTTGAAAGGAGTTTCTTAACTGCTGCCAGCACAAGTTGGGAAAGGGTTAGGACTGCACTAAGAGGGGTGGAGCAGGCAGTCGCCGGAGGGCCACTTCTGGGCCCCTTGCCTGAACTCACGTGCAGCCGTTCTAGCTGTAACAGACGTTTTCTGTGGGTCCTTCGTGTGTTGGCCGAGTGACTTGTCCCCAGAGAAGCCTTTCTTTAACCAGTGTTCCCCTAATCTTCTCCCCCGGAGCAACATTAAACTTTATCTGTTCTTTTGCCCCTCCAGTAACCTGAGAGCTTCTTTGGAAGGAAAATGCTTTCTTTGGCCGGACGCGGTGGCTCACCCCTGTAATCCTAGCACTTTGGGAGGCTGAGGCGGGCGGATCACGAGGTCAGGAGTTCGAGACCAGCCTGGCCAACATGGTGAAACCCCATCTTTACTAAAAATACAAAAATTAGCCGAGCTTGGTGGCGTGCGCCTGTAACCCCGCTACTCAAGAGGCTGAGGCTGGCGAATCGCTTGAACCCGGGAGGCGGAGGTTGCAGTGAGCCGAGATCGTGCCACAGCACTCCAGCCTGGGCGACAGAGCAAGACTTTGTCTCAAAAAAAAAAAAAAAAAAAAATGCTTTCTTTCTCTCTAAAGCCTGGACTTAGCGCCTTGCCCATAGTAATAGCTGGTATTCACTAATTCAACAAATATTTATTGATATCGCCTCTTGAGTGAGCTTTAATAATTTGTAGAAATGTCTAAATTGTTTAATAATGCAAATCTGTTAGCTGTATTCCTTTATTGTCCACTTAATGTCTATAAAATCTGACCCCTCAGGTTCTGAAATTGGTAATTTGTGTGTCATCTTTTTTTCTGATCGATCTGGTGAGGGGCTTCTCGGTTTACGGATCTCAAATCTCAAAGCCCGTTTTTGCTTTCTTGGATTTTCTCTACTGGTTTTCTGTTTTCTATTTTATTGATTTCTGCTCTTATGTTTATTGTTTCCTTTACTCTGCTATTTTTTAATTTTTAAATTTCTTGTTTTGTTTCTCTAGTTTCTTAACTCAGAAACTGATGACCATTAATTTTAGATGTCTCTTGTTTGTACAGGCATTTGGTGTGATAAGTGTCCCTCTATACTGTTTTAGCTACATTCCACATATTTTGATATATTGTATTTTCATTTTCCTTCATTTCAAAATACTTTGTAATTTCCCTATTGCTTTCTTTTTTTGACCATGGGTTTTTTGTAAGTGTTGGTCTGCAAATGTGGAGGAGTTTTCCAGGTAGCTGCCTGTTACTGATTTCTGATTTAATCCCATTGTGATCAGAGAAGGTACTTCGTACACTATTAATAATTTTAAACTTATTGACACTTGTTCTGTGGCCCAGAGTATATAGTCTGTCTTGGTAAATACTCACTGTGCATTTGAAATGAATGTGTTTTTTGCAGTTGTTGCATGGAGTGTTCTATAAATGTCAATCATGTCAAGTTGGTTGATATTAGTGTTCAAATCTATATCCTTTCTGATTTACTGTCTACTTATTCTACTAATTATTGAGAGTATTGAAATTTCTGACTATTACTGGTTTTTTTCAATTGTAGTTCTATCAATTTCTGCTTCATGTACTTTGCAGCTCAGCTATTAGTTGCATAAACATAGTTATTCTCTTATTTGTATGAATTTATCCTTTATGAAAGTTTCATTATTATGAAATTATCCACTTTACAAATGACCCTCCTCTTTGCTGATAATGTTCTTTGCTCTGAAGTATATTTTGTCTGATAGTATTACAGCTACTTAGGCTTTCTTTTGTAGGGTGTTAACATGGTATATATAAGGAAAACATAATTCCAATTCTAGATAAAGTCCTCCAAAAATTGAAGAGGAGGGAATACTTCCCAGCTCATTCTGTGGGGCCAGCATTACACTAATACCCAAACTCTAGATATTAAACAAGCAAACTATGGACCAATATCTCTCATAAACATAATATGCACAATTCTAGTCACTTTTATTTCACAGTATATAAAAAAGATAATACATTATATCCAAACAGGTGCTTATCCTAGGAATGCAAGGTTGAATTAGCATTGTATTGACCATAAAAGAGTATACTGGTACTTGCTTTACGGAGAAAACTTTAAAGACTGTTTCCTAAGGTGGACCCAATGGGAAATTACACAGGTTTACATGAGACAAGGCAGTAAAAAGTAGATTATATAAAAAAGATATATAAATATATAAATACATAAAAATATATAAAAAAGATAATACATTATAACCAAACAGGGGCTTATCCTAGGAATGCAAGGTTGAATTAGCATTGGTAAATCAAGCAATGTAATTTACCATATTAACAAACTAAAAAAGAAAAACCATTTGATAATCTCAATACATGCAGCAAATGCATTGGACAAAATCCAGTATCCATTCCTAAGATTACAAGGAAACTTCCTCAACTTGATAGAGAGTGTCTATAAAAAGCATCACACTTAATGGTGAAGAACAGTGCTTTCAACTTAAGATCAGGAACAAGGCAAGGATTTCTGCTCTGACAACTTATGTTCAATATTGTACTGGGGATTCTAGCCTGTGCAATAAGGCAAGGAAAAAAAAAAGGCATTCAAATTAGCAAAGAAGGAAGTAAAACTGGTTTTATTTGTTTTATTTATTGAAAACTCTGGCACAAAATCTACAAAAAACTATCAGATCAAATAAATGACCAAGACTACAGGTCGTAAAATCAATACACAAATGTCAATGGCATTTGTAGTACACCAGCAATAAACAATCTGAAATTGAAATTTAAAATACCATCTACAACAGCATCAAAAATTTGAGGCGGGCATGGTGGCATGCACCTGTAGTCCCAGCTACTTGAGAGGATGAGGCAGAGAATCACTTGAGCCCAGGAGTATGATGGCATTATGATAGGTCACTGCAGCCCCAGAAAGAGAATGGAAAGACAAGCCAAAAACTGAAGCAGCTATTTGCAAATCACGTATCTGATAAGAATGTGTGTGTGTGGTTGTTTTTTTTTTTTTTTTTTTTTTTGAGATAGGGTCTTGCTGTGTCTCAAAAGAGCTGGAGTGTAGTGGCATGCTCACGACTCACTGCTACCTCGACTTCCCAGGCTCAAGTGATCCTCCCACCTCAACTTCCTTAGTGCTGGGACTACAGGTGTGCACCACCATGCCTGATTAATTATTGTATTTGTTATAGAGGATGGAGTTTCCCCATGTTGCCCAGGCTGGTCTCGAACTCCTTGACTCAAGCAATCCACCTGCCTCAGACTCTCTAAGTGCCGGAATTACAAGTGTGAGCCATCATGCCAGGCCCTGGTAAATAATTTATATCCAGGCTGGGCAAGATGGCTCACGCCTGTAATCTCAGCACTTTGGGAGGCCGAGGTGGGTGGATCACAAGGTCAGTAGTTCGAGACCAGCCTGGCCAATATGGTGAAACCCCGACTCTACTAAAAATACAAAAATTAGCCTGGCATGGTGGCAGGCGCCTGTAGTCCCAGCTACTTGGGAGGCTGAAGCAGGAGAATCACTTGAACCCGGGAGGCAGAGGTTGCAGTGAGCCGAGATCACGCCATTGCACTCCAGCCTGGGTGACAGGGCAAGACTCTGTCCACAAAAAAAAAAAAAAAAAAAAAAAAAAAAAAATTTATATCCAGAGTGTCTATTTTTTGAACTCTCATACCTCAATAGTAACCCAAAAAAATGGGCAAAAGGTTTGAAGAGACATTTCATCAAAGAAGCCATATATGGATGACAAATAAAGGCATGAAAAGATATGCAACATCATTAGTCATTAGAAGAAATACAGATTAAGAGAAAAATATAAATTAAGACCTCAACAACATACCCTACCTATTTGATGGTAAATTCCAAAAGACTAGTCATACCAAGAATTTGTCAGAACATAGAGCAACTGAAACTCATACACTACTAATGGGAATATGAAATGGTACAAGCACTTTGGAAAAAACTTAGGAAGTTTCTTAAAAGGGTAAGCATACATTTATTTGCATATGATTCAGACATTCCATCCCTAGGTATTTACTCAAAAGAAATGAAAGCACATGTCCACAGAAGGACTTGTACACAAATGTTCATAGCAACTGTATTTGTAATTACCTGTAATCCCAACCCTTTGGGAGGCCAAGGCGGGAGGATTGCTTGAGGCCAGGAGTTGGAGACCAGCCTGGGCAACTTGGCGAAACCCTGTCTCTACTAAAAACAAATAGCAATCTCAGCTACTAGGGAGGCTGAAGAAGGACAATCGTGTAAGCTTAGGAGGTGGAGGCTGCAGGGAGCTGTGATTGCACCACTGCTGCACTCCAACCTGGGTGACACAACAAGACCGTGTCCCAAAAAAAAAAAAAACAAAAAAAAAAACCTAAAAAACCTGTAACACAAATACCCATTAACAGGCAGATGGGCTGAGAGTGGTCACACCTGTAATCTCAGCACATTGAGAAGCCAAGGTGGGAGGACTGCTTGAGGCCAGGAGTTGGAGACCAGCCTGGCAACACAGTGAGACCCCCATTTCTACCTATACCAGGAGTATCCAATCTTTTGGCTGCCACACTGGAAGAAGAATTGTCTTGGGCCACACATAAAATACAATAGCTGATGAGCTAGAAAAAACAAAATTGGAAAGAAAATATCATAATGTTTTAAGAAAGTTTACAAATTTGTGTTGGGCTGCATTCAAAGCTGTCTTGGACCATATGCAGCCTGTGGACTGAGGTTTGGACAAACTTGCTCCTACCTCCTAGGGAGGTTGAAGAGGGAGGATTACTGGAACCCAGGAGTTTGAAGCTGCAGTGAGCTCTGATTCTACCACTACAAGCAGAGTGAGACCCTATCTCTAAAAACAAAACTAAAAATAAATTTAAGATAAAAATTAAAACCAGACCAGGCACGGTGGCTCACGCCTGTAATCCCAGCACTTTGGGAGGCCAAGGTGGGTGGATCACCTGAGGTCGGGAGTTCGAGACCAGCCTAACCAACATAGAGAAACCCCGTCTCTACTAAAAATACAAAGTTAGCCGATCAGGGTGGCATATGCCTGTAATCACAGCTACTCGAGAGGCTGAGGCAGGAGAATCACTTGAACCCAGGAGGCAGAGGTTGCAGTGAGCCGATATCGCGCAATTCCACTCCAGCCTGGGAAACAAGAACAAAATTCCGTCTCAAAAAACAAAAAAGAAAATTAAAACCAAGTAAATGGATAAACAATTCATGGTATATCCATACAGTACAATACGGCTCAGAATAAAAATAAATTATTGACACAAGCAATGATACATGGATTAATCTCAAAGTAATTGCAATCGGTGAAAGAAAAAGATTTTTTGAAAAGTATATATGATCCTATTTATATAAAATTCCAAAAAATGCAAACAAATCCTTAGTGAGAAAAGGCAGGTGAGTGGCAGCCTGGAAGATGAGGGTGTAGGGGATGGGGAAGGGCAAAGAAGGGCAGGAGGAAGAGGTAAAAGGAATACAAAGAAACTTTTGGGAGTGATACCCATGTTCATTATTTTGATTATTCTGGTAGTTTCATTTGTGTATTTATAGGAAAAAACATGTACAACCTATTATGTCTCAATTATACCTCAAAGAAGCTGTTAAAAAGAAAAAAACTTTTGGTCCATGTTGCACTTTGGTTTTTGTGTTGGTTTGGTTTGATTTTTTTTTTTTTTTTTTTTTTTTGAGACAGTCTCACTCTGTCGCCCAGGCTGGAGTGCAGTGGCACAATCTTGGCTCACTGCTACCTCCACCTCCTAGGTTCAAGCAATTCTCCTGCCTCAGCCTCCATTACAGGTG
The DNA here is from genome assembly GCF_000001405.40 of Homo sapiens. Taxonomy (NCBI): domain Eukaryota; kingdom Metazoa; phylum Chordata; class Mammalia; order Primates; family Hominidae; genus Homo; species Homo sapiens. The sequence continues at coordinate 79,606,468 of NC_000005.10, read as the reverse complement.
CCCACGACCGAGCCTGGCTAATTTTTGTATTTTTAGTAGAGATGGGGTTTCGCCATGTTGGCCAGGCTGGTCTCAAACTCCTGGCCTCAGATGATCTGCCCGCCTCAGCCTCCCAAAGTGCTGGGATTACAGACACGAGCCACCGCGCCTGACCGCGTGTTGCACTTTGAATAAATCTCTCAAACCATGCATGATTCGTGACATGTTACACTTGTCATTTAGAAATATTGGTTCACTGAGTTATGCAGATCTTCCAAATGTTGACACATTTTACCCTACATTATCAAACACATCACATTTGTTAATATCACTTCCAATCTCATCAGAAGAAGAGTCTTTAAGTTTTTTTTTTTTTTTTTTTTGAGACGGAGTCTCACTCTGTCGCACAGTGGGGAATATAGTGGCACGATCTCGGCTCACTGCAACCTCCACCTCCCGGGTTCAAGCAATTCTCCTGCCTCAGCCTCCCGAGTAGCTGGGACTACAGGTGCGCACCACCATGTCTGGCTAAATTTTTTTGTATTTTTAGTAGAGATAGGGTTTCACCATGCTGGCTAGGCTGGTCTTGAACTCCTGACCTCAAGTGATCCGCCTGCCTCAGCCTCCCAGAGTGGTAGGATTACAGGTGTGAGCCACCACACCCGGCCAGAATCTTTAAGTATTTGGAAGCAATCAAGATCACAGTGATGATGCAACCTTTACCAAATTGTTATTTTTGCTTGAAAGTTCAGTTATATGAATGTCAACAAATAGATGTTATTTATTTTCATGAAAATGTTTTCCAAGTACCTAAGTGTGAATAACCAGCTTGTCAGTCAATAGATCTTTTAATTAAAATGGTGTTTCATGATAAAATCAGTGAGTTCAGCCTGCAACTCATTCCCACAAGTGCTTAGAGAAAAGCACTTGTTTGAGAGTTCTTTGGTATGCAGCAGAAGTGCTTTATAAATGCTTCTTTTTTTCATACAGAATATTTTAAAAGATGTGTATTCACGGGTGAAAACAATCCAATTTGCAATTTTCATTGCTTCATTAAGAACATTCTTAAATAAAACTGGAAGTTTTTTAAAACTGCAAGTGAATGGCAGTGAAGAATATAAGGACTATTAATTTGTATCAGTGGTATTCAACTGGAGGTGACTTTGTCCTCGGGACATTTGGCAATGATATTTTTGGCTATCACGACTTAAGAGGAGAGAGTTACTACTGACATCTAAGGAGTAGAAACCATGGATTCTGCTAAACATCCTAACAATGCATAGGACAGTGCCCCCTCTCCCACCGAAAAGTATTATCAGCCCAATATTCTATTATAGGGTATAGCACACTTTGTTTATCCATTCATCAGGTGATGGACATTAGCGTTGTTTCTACTTTTTGGCTATTATAAATAATGCTGCTATAAACATTGATATGGTTAGGCTTCCCTCCTTCCCCCACAAATCTCATCTTGAATTATAATCCCCAGTTGTTGAGGGAGGAAATTGCTGGGAGGTGATTGGATCATGGGGGCAGTTTTTCCCGTGCTATTCTTGTGACAGTGAGTGAGTTTTCATGAGATCTCATGGTTTTATAAGTGTTTGGCAAGTTCCTCCACTCACTCTTCTCTCTCCTGCCAGCACATGAAGAAGGCTCTTGCTTTCCCTTCACCTTCCACCATGAGTGTAAGTTTCCTCAGGCTCCTGCACCCATGTGCATCTGTGAGGCAATTAAACCTCTTTCCTTTATAAATTACCCAGTCTCAGGTTTATAGCAGTGTGAGAACAGACTAATACAAACATTCATGTATAAGTTTCTGTTTAAACATGTTTTCAACTATCTTGGGTATATACCTAGGAGTTAAATTTTTAGGTCATAGGGTAACACTATGTTTAATTTTTTGAGGAACTACCAAACTGTTTGCCAAAGTGGCTGCACTATTTTACATTAACATCAGCAGCCTGTGAGTGTTTCAATTTCTCCACATCCTCATCAATGCTTATAACTGTCTTTTTTCTTATAGCAATCTTGGTAGTTGTAGAGTGATATCACATTGTGATCTGCAATAGTTTGCTTTTGAACCATCAAAGCCAATTTTAACACGAAAAACAGTAAATAAACTCTTAGTGTTATTTTTTTCTTTTTTGAGACGGAGTCTCACTCTGTCACCAGGTTGGAGTGCAGTGGCTCGATCTTGGCTCACTGCAACCTCTGACTTCCTGGTTCAAGCGATTCTCCTGCCTCAGCCTCCCAAGTAGCTGGGATTACAGGCATGAGCCACCATGCCCAGCTAATTTTTGTATTTTTAGTACAGATGGGGTTTCACCATGTTGGCCAGGATGGTCTCGATCTCCTGACCTCAGGAGATCCACCCACCTCGGCCTCCCAAAGTGCTGAGATTACAGGCATGAGCTATCATGCCTGGCCAATTCTAAGTATTTTTATATAGTTTTTGACATCATGATGCCTGAAAATGTATGTGGATCACATTTTGAAAATGGCTTAAGTAGGTAGGGTATTGCAGATGCCCTGAAAAAATTGATAGTAGAGAGATTTACTGGGAGCTTACTATATGCCAGGCACCTTGCTAAGCATTTTACATCAATTACCCTTTATAATCTGATTAACAGCCCTCTAATAGAGCTACTATAATTATCTCCAATTTATGGGTGAGAACACTGAATCTCCAGCCAAGCAACTTGTTCAATGTCCCACAAATAATGCCAAAGACAAGCTTTGAATTTAGAGATAGCCTGACTCCGGCGCTCCATGCCTTCTCCCCCAGCAGAGCGTAGCCTCCTCCCACACTCAACCCCAAACCTTGGGGCAGAATCAGCAAAGAAGGGTAGTAGTGAGGGACTTGGGGACTTTTGATGTGGTTTTTGTGATTTTTTATTTTGTATTTGGCATGCAAGCTCTTCTGTGATTTGCAATCATTCTACAGCTAATTCTAGGTTCCTTCATCCTGGATTTGTTAATTTACATCCCTATTCCTGTATACCCAACATGCTTCTGTTATGTCTGCTGAAAATGTTGCTTTTTCAAAAGGAGATGGGAGTGGGGAGGCAGATTGTTTAGAGAGATGCTAACCAGCCTACAGGGCTCTCTTGGCCCAGAAGAGAGAAGGTAGAAGAATATGCCCACTGAGTAAACTGGAGGGAATTTACAAGATCTGGGAGTTCTACTTCCTTTGTGCATGAGTGCGCATTGGTACATTCATACGTCCATGTCTCTTCTTGGCATTCACTTCATGGAGAACCTGAACTAACTGCACTAACTCAGAGGGTTCAGGGGAACCTTTCCTTGAAGAGTAGAAGTTAGGTGAAAATTTGAGATAAGAAAGAAAGCAGTACTGAGATAAGCAGGAGCTTGGCACAATGCCTGCCACAGGGTTGGTACTCCATAAACACTGCTCGACCAAACGGGATGCAAAGCACTTTATGTACACATGTCATTATTCCTCACAACCAATTTTACAAAAGGAGTTCCATTATTTCCCCTGTTTTGCAAATGGCAAAGCTGAAGATAAGAGCTATAAAGTAAACTGCCCAAGGCCTGACAATAATTTAAAGCTACAGCTAGGATACAAACAGGTTTGTTTGTTTCCAAGCTTGTTATTTTTAACTGCTTAACTACCAAGTTATACTGGCTCCCTTCAGAGCAGTTGAAAACAGTCTTTTAAAAGAAAATGGCCAGCCTCAGTGGTCCATGCCTGTAATCCCAGCACTTTGGGAGGCTGAGGGGGGTGGATCACCTGAGATCAGAGTTCAAGACCAGTCTGGCCAACATAGCGAAATCCCATCTCTAAAATACAAAAATTAGCTGAGCGTAGTGGTGGGTGCCTGTCATCCCAGCTACTCAAGAGGCTGAGGCAGGAGAATCGCTTGAATTGTTGTCCAGGCTGGAGTGCAATGGCACGATCTCAGCTCACTGCAACCTCTGCCTCGGGAGGTTGCAGTGAGCTGAGATCGTGCCATTGCACTCCAGCCTGGGCAACAAGAGGGAAGCTAGGGAAACTCCGTCTCAAAAAAAAAATGCCGGGCACAGTGGCTCATGCCTGTAATCCCAGCACTTTGGAAGGCTGAGGCGGGCAGATTACCTGAGGTCAGGAGTTCAAGACCAGCCTGACCAACATGGAGGAACCCCCTCTCTACTAAAAATACAAAAAATTAGGCCAGGTACAGTGGCTCACGCCCGTAATCCCAGAACTTTGGGAGGCCGAGGTGGGCGGATCACAGCGTCAGCAGATCGAGACCATCCTGGCTAACACGGTGAAACCCCATCTCTACTAAAAATACAAAAAATTAGCTGGGCGTGATGGCACGCGCCTGTAGTCCCAGCTACTCAGGAGGCTGAGGCAGGAGAATCACTTGAACCTGGGAGGCAGAGGTTGCAGTGAGCCGAGATGGCACCACTGCACTCCAGCCTAGGCAACAGAGCAAGACTCGGTCTAAAAAAAAAAAAAAGCGTATATATATATGTGTGTGTGTGTATATATATATAATATGTGTGTATATATATATGTGTGTATATATGTATATATATACACACATATACATATACACACATACGTATATGTATATATGTACATATACGTATATATACATATATGTATATATGTACATATACGTATATATACATATATGTATATATGTACATATACGTATATATACATATATGTATATATGTACATATACGTATATATGTATATACGTGTACACATATATGCGTGCATACATATATACACGCATATACGTATACATATATGCGTGTATATGCGTGTGTATATATACACGCATACACACACACACACACACACACACACATATATATATATATATATATATATATATATATATATATATATATATATCTAGCCAGGCATGGTGGCACATGCCTGTAATCTCAGCTACTCAGGAGGCTGAGACAGGAGAATCACTTAAACCCAGGAGGTGGAGGTTGCAGTGAGCCAAGATCGTGCCATTGCACTCCAGCCTGGGTGACAGGGCAAGACTCCATCTCAAAAAAAAAAAAAGTGTTCATAGGAATTCAAAACATACTGTTGCACAAGCTATCTCTAATGAATTTATTATATAACAATCTCAGCTAATGATACTACAGTATAAGAGCTAAGATGCAGTTTGGCAACTATCTGTACTCCTCATTTTACATGTTAAAAAAAGATGTATTAAAGATAGAAAAGGAAATAAATTAATATGCACTACATCATTTTAAGTATGTCAGCATGTAATTTCAACTTAGATATTGCCTGAGAATAGACAACACAATCAAAGAAGGCAATTGCAAATTCTACATGACTATACTGTGAACGTAGTTCTCTGTTCATTCACCTGGAAAGAATCTCTGGAAATTTCAAGTTGAAATTACTGCTGTCAGGAATTACTGTAATAAAGTATAAATTTGAGTACTCATTTGTATGGAGTGATTAATGGCTGATTAGGTGGGGTGGGGGTTAAATAGAATTTATTGTTTTCTAAGACTGTAAGAATGAAGTCTTCTTAGAGAAAAATTGGAAAATACAGAAATGTATTAAGAAAAAAAGTAAATAAATAAAATTCAGTCCGTGTGCAATGGCTCACATCTGTAATCCCAGCACTTTGGGAGGCTGAGGCAGGATGATCACTTGAGGCCAGGAGTTTGAGATCAGCCTGGCCAACACGATGAAACCTCATTTCTACTAAAAAATACAAAAATTAGCTGGGCGCAGTGGTACATGCCTGTAATCCCAGCTACTTGGGAGGCTGAGGCACAAGAATTCCTTGAACCCAGGAGGCGGAAGTTCCAGTGAGCTGAGATTGCACCACTGCACTCCAGCCTGGGCAACAGAGCAAGACTCTGTCTCAGAAAAAAGAAAAGAAAAAAAAAAACAAATTCAAAAGATAATTAGAAACTACTATAAGCAACTATATGCCAATAAGTTAGAAAACTTGGAAGAAATGGATAAATTCCTAGGCACATACAACCTACCAATGTTGAACCATGAAGAAATCCAAAACCTGAAAAAAACCGATAACAAAATAATGAGATTGAACCCATAACAAAAGTCTCCCAGCAAAGAAAACCTCGGGAGCTAATGGCTTCATTGCTGAATATTACCAAATGTTCAAAGAACTAATACCAATCCTATTAAAACTATTCCAAAAAACAGAAGCAGAGGGAATACTTCCACACTCATTCTACGAGGCCAGTATTACCCTGATACCAAAACCAGACAAAGACACATTAAAAAAACAAACAAACAAACAAACTACAGGCCAATATCTCTGATGAACATTGATGCAAAAATCCTCAACAAAATGCTAGCAAACCAAATTCCAAAACACATTAAAAAGATCATTTATCATGACTAAGTGGGATTTATCCCAGGGATGAAAGGATGTTTCAACATATGCAAATCAGCCACTGTGATACATCATATGAACAGAATGAAGGACAAAAACCATATTATCATTTCGATTGGTGCTGAAAAATCATTTTATAAAATTCAACATTCTTTCATGATGAAATTCTTCAAAAAAAACGGATGAGGAAGGGACATAGCTCAACACAATAAAAGCCATATATGACCTAGTATCATTCTGAAAGGGGGAAAAAAAACTGAAAGCCTTTCCTCTAAGACCTGGAGTACAACAAGGATGCCCATTTTCACCACTGTTATCCAACATAGTACAGGAAGTCCTAGCTAGAGCACTCAGACAAGAAGGAAATAAAGGGCATCCGCATTGGAATGGAAAAAGTCAAATCATCCTTGTTTGCAGATAATATGGTCTTATATTTGGAAAAAAACTAAAGACTTCACCAAAAAAATTATTAGAACCAATAAGCAAATTCAGTAAAGTTGCAGGATGGAAAATCAATATAGTATGCAAAAATCAGTAGCATTTCTACATGCCATAAATCAGTAGCATTTCTACATTCCAACAGCAAACAATCTGAAAAAGAAATCAAGAAAGTAATCCCATTTACAATAGCTACAAATAAAATACCTATGAATAAATTTAACCAAAGAAGTGAAAGATCTCTAAAATGAAAGCTAGAAAACATTGATGCAAGAAATGGAAAAGGACACACACCAAAAAATGGAAAAAATATTTCATCTTCATGGATTGGAAGAATCAATATTGTTCAAATGTCCATACTACCCAAAGCAATCTACAGATTCAATGCAATCCCTATCAAAATACCTATGACATTCTTTATGGAAATAGAAAAAATAATATTCATATTTATATGGAACCACAAGAGACCCAGAGTAGCCAAAGTCATCCTAAGCAAAAAGAACAAAACTGGAGGAATCACATTGCCTGACTTCAAATTATACTACAGAGCTATAGTAACCAAACAGCATGGTACTGACATAAAAACAGACACATAGACCAATGGAACAGAATAGAGAACCCCAAAATAAATCCACACATCTACAGCGAACTCATTTTCTGCAAAGGTGCCAAGAACATACACTGGGGAATGGACAGTCTCTTCAATAAATAGTGCTGGGAAAACTGGACATTCATATGCAGAAGTATAAAACTAGACCCCTATCTCTCACCATGTACAAAATATCAAATGAAAATGGATTAAAGACTTAAATCTAAGACCTCAAATTATGAAACCACTACAAGAAAACATTGGGGAAACTCTCCAGAACATTGGTCTGGGCAAAGGTTTCTTGAGTAATACTCCACAAGCACAGGCAACCAAAGCAAAAATGGACAAATGCGATCACATCAAGTTAAAAAAGCTTCTGCACAGCAAAGGAAACAATCAACAAAGTGAAGAGACAGCCCACAGAATGGGAGAAAATATTTGCAAACTATTCATCTCACAAGGGATTAATAGCCAGAATGTATAAGGAGCTCAAACAACTCTACAGGAAAAAAATCTAATAATCCGATTACAACATGGACAGAAGATCTCAATAGGCATTTCTCAAAAAAAAGGCATACAAAGAGCAAACAGGTATATGAAAAGGTGCTCAACATCACTGATCATCAGACAAAGACAAAACTACAATGAGGTGTCATCTCACCCCAGTTAAAATGGCTTTTATCCAAGACAGGCAGCAACAAATGCTGGCAAGGAAACCCTCATACGCTGCTGATGGGAATGTAAATTAGTACAGCCACTATGAAGAACAGTTTGGAGGTTCCTCAAAAAAACTAAAAAAGAACTACCATATGATCCAGCAGTTCCATTCCTAGGTATATACCCCAAAGAAGGGAAATCAGAATACCGAAGAGATATCTGCACTCTCATGTTTATTGTAGCACTATTCACAGTAGCCAAGATTTGGAAGCATCCTAAGTGTTCATCAACAGACGAATGGATAAAGAAAATGTCGTACATATACACAATGGAGTGCTATTCAGCCAAAAAAAAAAAAAAAAGAGATCCTGTCATTTGCAACAACATGGATTGAACTGTAGGACATTATGTTAAGTGAAATAAGCCAGAAACAGAAAGAAAAACTTTGTATGTTCTCACTTATTTGTGGAAGCTAAAAATTAAAACAAATCAATTCATGGAGATAGAGGTAGAATGATAATGATGGGTAGGAAAGAGTCTGGAAAGGGAAGTGGGGGCAGGAAAGTGGGGATGGTCAATGGATACAACACTATAGTTAGACAGAATGAATAAAAACTAGTGTTTGATAGCACAACAGAGTGATTACAGTCAATAATTTTTTTTTTTTGATGGAGTTTTGCTCTTGTTGCCCAGGCTGGAGTGCAATGACATGATCTTGGCTCACCACAACCTCCACCTCCCGGGTTCAAGTGATTTTCCTGCCTCCGCCTCCCAAGCAGCTGGGATTACGGGCATGCACCACCATGCCCGGCTAATTTTGTATTTTTAGTAGAGACAGGGTTTCTCCATGTTGGTCAGGCTGGTCTCGAACTCCCAACCTCAGGTGACCCACCCGCCTCGGCCTCCCAAAGTGCTGGGATTATAGGCGTGAGCCACTGCGCCCAGGCTGCAATCAACAAAAATTTATTGTACATTTTAAAATAACTAAAAGTGTACGTTGGGATCGGGCATAGTGGCTCATGCCCGTAATCCCAGCACGTTGGGAGGCCAAAGTAGGCAGATCATGAGGTCAAGAGATCGAGACCATCCTGGCCAACATGGTGAAACCCCATCTCTACAACATACAAAAATTAGCCGGGCATGGTGGTGCGTGCCTGTAGTCCCAGCTACTCAGGAGGCTGAGGCAGGAGAATTGCTTGAACCCGGGAGGCCGAGGTTGCAGTGAGCCGAGATAGTGCCACTGCACTCCAGCCTGGCAACAGAGCAAGACTCCGTCTCAAAAAAAAAAAAAAAAAAAAAAAAAAAAGAGTATGTTGGAATGTTTGTAACACAAGAAATCATAAATGCTTGAGGTCGTGGATGCTCCATTTACTCTGACATGATTATTACACGTTGTATGTCTGTATCAAAATATCTCATCTACACCATGAATATAAACATCTACTATGTAGCCATAAAAATAAAAAAATAAGAATCAAAATAAATGCAAATTGATATCTCATTTTTTCTTTCTTTTTTTTGTCATCAAGGGATATTTATTGAACATATGATTCAATATGGCCCAGAATAATATCACAGTTCTTAACTTTTATTACTTTGAAAACTGTAAGGAATCATACAATTTAAGATAGTATTCTAAAGAATTCAGAGTACAAGACAAATTCTGCAATTAGAAGAGTAATTTCCTAGGCAGTGAGAATCTAAAAAAATCTTTCTTAGTGGTAGGTTCCAAATAACTAGATAGAATAACTGCAATTAATAAAGGTAACAAAAAAGAATAACTGCAATTAAATGAGTTAGTTTGACCAAAATAAGTCTTCTCACTGAACTAATAGTCCCTTTTAGGTTAGCATTTGATTTTCCTAAGCTGAGTCCTGAAATTATACGAATCTGTAGACTTTTTATGATTATGTAAAGGTTAATAAATTCTAGGGTTATGTAAAAGAATAAAATCAATATCATAAACACAAAATATATCAGTAAGGATATATTTCACATTTACTCGCTTTTATCTTGTTTCTTTTCCTGAGAAGGTCTTCATTCATTCATTCATTTGTTCATTCCGTTGATCAACAGATATTTAGTACCGAACACCACCAATTCGCCAGATTCTGGTCTATGCCAATAGCTACATCAAGAATATCACCATGTGGGAGGTGGAGGTGGCAGTAATGAAAACCTGAATATAAAAGACAGCTAAATAGAAAAAAGCCCAAAATTCAAGACGAAACAAGTTGTATGTGAACAAGGTTAAACCTCAAGAGCTAGAAAAATGTTATCAAGGAGCAAGGTTTCATTCAAAAAAACCTTTCCTCAAAAGATAAAGTGAAGAAAAGGACTGGGCCAGGCATGGTGGCTCACGCCTGTAATCCCAGCACTTTGGGAGGCAGGCGGATCACAAGGTCAAGAGATTGAGACCATCCTGGCCAACATGGTGAAACCCCATCTCTACTAAAAATACAAAAATTAGCTGGGCGTGGTGACGTGGGCCTGTAGTCTCAGCTACTTGGGAGGCTGAGGCAGGAGAATGACTTGAACCCGGGAGGCGGAGGTTGCAGTGAGCCGAGATCGGGCCACTGCACTCCAGCCTGGGCAACACAGCGAGACTCTGTCTCAAAAGAAAAGAAAAGAAAAGCACTGGAAGAAGAATGAATTAATTGTACAGAAAGGTAATTCTCATAGGTATCAGAATTCTTTTTTTTTTTTTTTTTTTTTTGAGATGGGAGTCTCACTCTTGTCGCCCAAGCTGGAGTGCGATGGCACGATCTCAGCTCACTGCAACCTCTGCCTCCCAGGCTGAAGTGATTCTACTGCCTCAGCCTCCTGAGTAGCTGGGATTACAGGCATGCACCACCACACCCAGCTGATTTTTGTATTTTTAGTAGAGACGGGGTTTCACCTTGTTGGCCAGGCTGGTCTCAACCTCCTTATCTCAGGTGCTCCACCCCACTCAGCCTCCCAAAATGCTGGGATTACAGGTGTGAGCCACCTTCCACGGCCAGGTATCAGAATTTAATGCTTCTGTTTCTAAATGTTTCTATTTGTCTTCTGCCTAGCTTTATACCACACTCTCTTCTCTTACAATTTCTTCTTAAGGAAGTTCCACTCAGAGAAGAATTTTTTAGGTTGATGCTAACCAGATGGCTTTTTCTAATCTTCCCCAGAAAAATGCAAAGCAGAGTTTGAAACTAACACTGCCACCTACAAGTAAGTACTTTGAAAAGAAAAAAGACTGAAATACCAATCATCTGGGTAGATGTCCAAGCTGCCAGAAATCTAAGAATAGGGCTTTAGAATGGGGTTTACAGAAAATAGAAATGTGATTAAAATAAAATAAGGAAAGAAAAAGAACTTCAAAGTCTTGACATCATTCAAAAACAAAAAATCTATTTGCCTTTGTATTTTATCTCTATATTTGCTATATCATTGCAGCCATTGCCCCAGATCCTTGGGCAAGTTACTTTTAACATCTCTGCATCTCCCTTTCCTCATCTACATGAAGATAATAATAGTACTTACCTCTTTGTTGTGAGGATTACATTCTTAATCTTATTAAGAATTTAGTGTTAATCATGAATACCTAGTATTATTAATACTGTGTTAATAAGAATTTAATAGTACCTATTAAAAATGATTGAATTTCAATTCAGAGACCTAGTTCATCTTTTCTTGAGTATTATTATGTTTAGCCTTAACCGCTACTAATACCCATGACTCCTTAACTCCCACCACCAGCCGCCCCACAAAAAAACTTACCAGACCCTTTGTTTTCCAGTGAAACTGTGAATATGCATACGATCACCAAGTAGGAATTATTCTCTTATTCACTGTGAAATGTGTACCTGAACAACGTGGTTGCTACCATAAGGAGAGAACCTGAAGTTGGACTTCAGCATTACACTGATAAAGTAGGTCTCTAAGAAATAATTGCCGAGTTGGGCTGGGCGCCGTGGCTCATGCTTGTAATCCCAACACTTTGGGAGGCAGAGGCGGGCGGATCACGAGGTCAGGAGATCCAGACCATCCTGGCTAATACGGTGAAACCCCGTCTCTACTAAAAATACAAAAAATTAGCCGGGCGTGGTGGCGGGCGCCTGTAGTCCCAGCTACTCGGGAGGCTGAGGCAGGAGAATGGCGTGAATCCAGGAGGCGGAGCTTGCAGTCAGCTGAGCTCGTGCCACTGCACTCCAGCCTGGGCGACAGAGCAAGACTCCGTCTCAAAAAAAAAAAAAAAAAAGTAAAAAAAGAAAAATTGCTGAGTTGGCCGGGTGCGGTGGCTCGCGCCTGTAATCCCAGCATTTGGGGAGGCCGAGGCGGGCGGGTCACGAGGTCGAGATCGAGATCATCCTGGCCAACATGGTGAAACCCCGTCTCTACTAAAAACACAAAAATTAGCCAGGCGTGGTGTCGCACGCCTGTCCCAGCTACTCGGGAGGCTGAGGCAGGAGAATCACTTGAGCCCGGGAGGCGGAGGTTGCATTGAGCTGAGATCGCGCCACTGCATTCCAGCCTGGGCGACAGAGTGAGACTCTGTCTCAAAAAAAAAAAAAAAGAAATAATTGCTGAGTTGGATTTTTAGATTTTAGTTTCAGCAATTGCAGAATTCAGTGAGTGGCTCCAAATTCTAAACACATACCAAAAACATATATCTTGATATTAAAATTATACTTAAACTTTGGAGGCCAGTTTCTTTTAGATAATGCAGCATGGAAGTCACAAGAGCTTGATCCTCCAGGAAATAACTTGATGTTTTGGGGAGGAGGATAAATAGAACTGAGGCAAAGGGGATACAAGGAATGCTGAAGACAACGAATTGTACCAGTGCACTACCCAGATGATGCCATGCTGGCGAATCATTAATGTTATTAATCAATCAACCTAACCATCATACAGCACTTTACTCGGCATCTAGAAAGTAGATTTATTTAAAATGATAGGTAAGAAGTGTAGGTGTATAAAGACATGACGAAAAGATACCTTCAAACTGAGGTTAAAGTTGAACCCAAAAATGACATCAGGGAAAATAAAAATATAAATATATGTTCAGCTGTCTGCAGAATGTATTTATAAAATACCTGGCAGAAATTTAAAAATAGGCCAATATAAAGTATTGATAAGGATGTGGATCAATGAGACTCCTTAAATACTTCTGGTGAAATTATACATTGTTGGGCAGGCACTGTGGCTCACGTCTGTAATCCCAGCACTTTGGGAGGCCGAGGTGGGCGGATCACTTGAGGTCAGGAGTTTGAGACCAGCCTGGCCAACATGGAGAAACCTTGTCTCTACTAAAACTACAAAAATTAGCCAGGCGTGGTGGCGGGCACCTGTAATCCCAGCTACTTAGGAGTCTGAGGCAGAAGAATCGCTTGAACCCAGGAGGCAGAGGCTACAGTGAGCTGAGATCGCCCCACTGCACTCCAGTCTGGGTGACAGAGTGAGACTCCAACTCAACAAAAAAAAAAAAAAAAAAAGAAATTCCTACCAAGGAGATGTATAATTATGTCAATGCCAGCATTACTTCAAATACCAAAAGCTGGTAACTCCTATATTCCTTGACAAGAAACTCAATGAATAAATTGTGCTTTATTTGTAAAAGAGAATACAATAGAGCAGTGAAAATAAATTACAGCTACTTATGTCAACATGGATGAACTTCATAAACCTGTATGTTAAGTGTGGGAAGAATAAGATGTAGGAGAAAAGATCTATATGATCCCAGTTATATAAGGCTTAAAATATATGCAAAACTAAAAAAGTTGTTGTTTAGGGATACATCCTTTTATGGTAAAGTATTTTAAAAGCATGGGAATGATAAATACAAAACTCAGAGTAGCAGACACCCATGGGTGAAAGGGAGAAAAGGAGAGGAATGAGAGAGTGAAGAAACAGAGAATGGGACATATTGGTGATATTCTAGTTCTTATCTTAAGTTGGGGGAGGGTACCTTTGGTGTTCATTTATTAGTATAATGAATGTGTATGTTACGCATAATAACAAAATTCTTTAAAATTGGAAATTACAAATCCTAAGAGATTTTTCAGTTAATGTGTGATTTAAGTTTTACAAGGCGGCCGGGCACGGTGGCTCACGCCTATAATCCCAGCACTTTGGGAGGCCGAGGCGGGCAGATCACGAGGTCAGGAGATAGAGACCATCCTGGCTAACATGGTGAAACCCTATATCTACTAAAGATACAAAAAATTAGTGAGGCGTGGTGGCACACGCCTGTAGTCCCAGCTACTCGGGAGGCTGAGGCAGGAGGATTGTTTGAACCTGGGAGGCGGAGGTTGCAGTGAGCCTAGATCGCGCCACTGCACTCCAGCCCGGGCAACAGAGCGAGACTCCGTCTCAAAAAAAAAAGTTTTACAAGGCTGGGCACAGTGGCTCAAACCTGCAATCCCAGCACTTTCGGAGGCCAAGGTGGGTGGATGGGTTGAGTCCAGGAGTTCAGGACCAGCCTGGGCAACATGGGGAAACCCTGTCTCTATCAAAAATTAGCTGACCATGGTGGTGCATGCCTGCAGTCCCAGCTACTTGGGAGGCTGAGATAGAAGATTGCTTAAGCCCTGGAGGTCCAGGCTACAGTGAGCCGTGATAGTGCCGCTGCACTCCAGCCTGGGCAACAGAGTGAGACCCCATCTCGAAGAAATAAAAATAAAAAAGTTTTGCAAGCATCCAAAATCCAGTCAAAGTAATGTGAACATAACATCAGGGAGGCCTCATTATACACACACACACACACACACACACACACACAAAAAGATACCAAGTGCTTCTGAGGTGGCTTTGATGCAGGGCAGGTTCTTGGCTTCACTCAGGAAGGAACTCAAGAGCAAGCAGACAATAGAAGAAAACAGCTTTACTGAGGCTGAGCTCAGTGACTGTTCTTGCAGAGGAGAGTTTCCCCATAGGGAGTGTGCCTAGAGTAGCAGCCCAGGGGCACTTTCCCCATAGGGAGTGTGCCTAGAGTAGCAGCCCAGGGGCACTTTTGCAGTCATACTTATACCTTTTTTTTTTTTTTTCGAGATAGAGCTTGCTCTGTTGCCCAGGCTGGAGTGCAATGGTGCCATCTCAGCTCACTGCAACCTCTGCATCCCAGGTTCAAGCAATTCTCATGCCTCAGCCTCCCGAGTAGCTGGGACTACAGGTGTGCACCACCATGCCCAGCTAATTTTTGTATTTTTAGTAAAGACAGGGTTTCAACATGTTGGCCAGGCTAGTCTGGAACTCCCGACCTCAGGTGATCCACCGCACCTGGCCATACTCACTTTTAATGACATGCTAATTAAGGGGCAGCCTGTTCAGGAATAGAGAGAAAATGGGCGGTAACTTCCGAGTGTTGCCATGGCAAGGGTAAACTGTCATGGCACTGGTAGGCGCTTCTTCCTGGCTGTGGCCAGTCTTCAATCTGGTCCACAGGTAAGTCCCGCCTGCCTCATACCTCAGCTTCACCCAATTACTCTCCAGTAGCCCCATTCTTATTGTTGTCAAGTGACATCAGACAAGCCAAATTCTGTCTTTGAGAACTATAAATGATATACAATGGAGGACAGATTACTCCAGCTTAATTGGCCCAGCTGATACTGAGCAATTTATGATTTTTAGTGATACTCAAAGTTGGACTAGGTCCCAGTGTAAGAAAACTTGGAACCTGAGACAATTTGCATTGTAAAAAACCTCCTGCAGAGAATGTAATCTACGTAAGGATGTTTTCATTTTTTATTACAACCGAAAATGTAATAACTTATTCAAGGCATCTGACTGTACACTTTTTGGTCATTTTTTCCAGCTGTTGTCTTATATCATTCTCTAAGTTCTGCTTTTCTCTCTAACCAGATTCCAAGTTCCTCAAGAGAACTTCCTTGTGAGTTCTCTAACCCCTGGCAGAGTGCTGAGCACACACAAAACAAGGTTTCAATAAACTTTTTAAAATTTATTTTTAGAGACAGAATCTCCCTCTCTCACCCAAGCTGGAATGCAGTGGTGTGATCATAGCTCATTGCAGCCTCAACCTCTCGGGATCAAGCAGTCCTCCCACATCAACCTCCCAAGTAGCTGGGACTACAGGCAGGTGCCACCATGCCTGGCTAATGACTTTTTAATTTTTTTTTTTTTTTTGAGATAGGGACTCACTCATTGCCCAGGCTGGTCTCAAATTCTTGGGCTTAAGCGATCCTCTCACTTCAGCCTCCCAAAATGTTGGGATTATAGGTGAGAGCCATTGTGCCTGGTCTAACTTCTAAAAAATTTTAGTAATTCACCAGGCACGGTGGCTCACGTCTGTAATCCCAGCACTTTGGGAGGCCGAGGTGGGCAGATCACAAGGTCAGGAGTTCGAGACCAGCCTGGCCAATGTGGTGAAACCCCGTCTCTACTAAAAATACAAAAATTAGCCATGCCTGGTGGTTCGTGCCTGTAATCCCAGCTACTCAGGAGGCTGAGGCAGAAGAATCGCTTGAACCTGGGAGGCAGAGGTTGCAGTGAGCCGAGATCACCCCACTGCACTCCAGCCTGGGCAACAGAGTGAGACCCCAACTCAAAAAAAAAATTTTTAGTAATTCAACTTAAAACATTTGATTAACGTACAAAGTATTGTATAATGTTATAAAAATGTAAACAATGTAGGTTGGAGTTACATACCTTCTTCTCTCCCACTCTCAACTATCCTACCCAAGGATTGTCATTGTTAAGTTTGCTGTGGGTTTTTCCAGACTTTTTAATGCACAGACATACTAATTTGTAAGTTTTTTTCCTTGTATATGTCAAAAGAAAAATTACAATGCATTTAATTATAGATCTAATTGGCTTCTTTTTTTTTTTTGAGACAGAGTTATGTTCTTGTTGCCCAGGCTGGAGCGCAATGGTGCGATCTTGACTCACTACAACCTCCGCCTCCCGGGTTCAAGCGATTCTCCTGCCTCAACCTCCCAAGTAGCTGGGATTACAGGCATGCACCACCACGCCAGGCTAATTTTGTATTTTTAGTAGAGACGGTTCTCCATGTTGGTCAGGGTGGTCTTGAACTCCCGACCTCAGGTGATCCGCTCGCCTCAGCCTCCCACAGTGCTGGGATTACAGACGTCAGCCACCGAGCTGGGGCTAATTGGCTTTTATTTGTAATTCATAAATCAGGTCAGTATCTCTTTTATATAATAGAATGAAAGCTCCCCCTGGGCAATGGCAGAACAGTGGGCTTCGGAGGGTGGGAACAAGGTAAAAAAAAATAGAAAAAAGCTGATTGGTTAACATCAGGTTACTTTTTTCCATAAGGTTTACAGTAGAGGGGATTTCCTTATATTAACTTAAGTAGATTGAAATCTCACATTTTCAAGGAAACGTGGTCTGTTTTGGGATCTATTTTCTTTTTTTAAGTTTCGATTTGATTATGTGGCATTTAACATGAGTGACTCTGTTACCCACACTGGATTGGTTCCATGACTTGGCAGGTGACAGTCCAATGGCGACAACCAACGAGGACTTTCCAAGGGGATTTTATTACTTGTAACAAATAAGAACACTGGGGATAATTCCCCAAAGCAGTCCCTACCCACACAAAGTGGAAAACCGGGCTTATATTAGGCTGGTTAGCTGAGTCATTGTATGTAGCAGTGTAAAGGCAGCACCGTACAGTTGCCGATCATGCTTCTACAGACCTCATACATCGCACATTTAAGCAATGGTGAATAAGCTCCTTTCTGGGTGGAGTTTTCAGTATGGTAATGAGGAGAGATTGCCAGAGTTCATCACCAACTCAGGTATCTCTGAATCTAAGTGTTTTCTTTTGTTTTGCCAGGGCTGAGCTGCTTCTCCTTGTTCTTTGAAACAAGAACTCAATGTGCAATAGTTGCAAGGGAGTACTTTTTCACCGTGTGTACTCAAAAACCCAGGGACGGTTGGGCGCAGTGGTTCACACTTGTAATCCCAGCACTTTGGGAGGCCGAGGCAGGTGGATCACCTGAGGTCAGGAGTTCGAGACCAGCCTGGCCAATATGGTGAAACCCCTGTCTCTACTAAAAATACAAAAAAAATTAGCTGGGTGTTGTGGTGGGCACCTGTAATCCCAGCTACTCGGGAGGCTGAGGCAGGAGAATTGCTTGAACCTGGGAGGCAGAGGTTGCAGTGAGCCAAGATCGCACCACTGCACTCCAGCCTGGGTGACAGAGCGAGACTGCGTCTCAAAAAAAAAAAAAAAAAACCCAGGGACTATGGGTTACAACTCCATTCTGGTTTGGTCTGGTCTGTTGGGGCCTAGTGCAGGAGCTCAGTCCAAAACAATAGCCTCCCAGTTTGTGTTTAACACATAAACATGGAATTATACTATCCATATTCTTCTACAACTTGCTTTTTAAATTGAACAATATAGTCTTCCTTGTCACTGTGTGTGTATACCTATATATGTTGTTTTATATAGCTGCTTAGTGTTTCATAACATGGATATGTCATAATTTATTTAAATTTATTCAAATAATCTCCTATGGTTGAATGTTTAGGTAGTCCTTAAGTTTTCACTCTTATGAACAATGCTACAGTGAATATTCTTGTACATATATTTTTTGCACAATTGGTGTTTTTTGTAAGCTAGAGCTCCAGATGAATTACTGGGGGAAATACAGTGATGTTTTGAAAAGGACACTCAGGAAGATGCAAGTTCCAGTCTTAACTCTGCGACTTCTAATTTGTGTGACTTTAAGCAAGTCACTTTAACTCCCTGAAATTCTGTTATTTCCTCTGTAAGAGGAGAAAACATCTCAGTGTGCTTCATAGAACTGTTGTGAAAATCAAGTAATGAAGCAAACACATCATGGTTGATTCAGATTAGTTTGTTTCATTTTAATAGAATAAGAGTATTTTCTCAGCCTCTTCGTATTCTGCTAAATCTCATTAGATGGCATGCAAAATTTTAGTGGTTGATCGGAATATTCCTCTTTTGAATATATAATAGGGAACCAAGTAGAAGAATATTATTGAAATAAAATAAACCAGTGCATTATGGGGAAATAGGTCTCTTTCTTTGGAAGAATGAACTGAGGATCCCAGATATGATCATCCTTAGAAAAAACA
Source organism: Homo sapiens (assembly GCF_000001405.40). Taxonomy (NCBI): domain Eukaryota; kingdom Metazoa; phylum Chordata; class Mammalia; order Primates; family Hominidae; genus Homo; species Homo sapiens. The sequence goes on along the minus strand of NC_000005.10, from coordinate 79,587,379 downwards.
TGAGAACAGCCCATAATAATCTCCAAGAAAGAATACACAGAAAATGCCTGCCCTGGAGTTCTATAAGGTCATAGGGCAGGAAAGTCTATAGGACCTTTATCATCAAAGCAGTCTATAAAACACCAAGTGGTTAAGAAAGTACTTGTGGACCTGATGCAGTGGCTCATACCTGTAATCCCAACATTTTGGGAGGCTGAGGCAGGAGGATCACTTGTGTCCAAGGGTTCAAGACCAGCCTGGGCAATACAGTGAGAGCTGATCTCTACAAAAAAAAAATTTTTTTTTTAATTAGCCAGATGTGGTGGTGTGTGCCTGTAGTCCCAGCTACCCAGGAGGCTGAGTCAGGAAGATTGCTCGAGCCTCGGAGTTTGAGGCTGCAGAGAGCCATGACTGTGCCACTGCATTCCAGCCTGGGTAACAGCGTGAGACCCTGTTTCAAAAAAAGAAAAAAAAAGAAGAAAGAAAGAAAAAGAGAAAGAGAGAAAGAAAAAGAAAGAAAGAAAGAAAGAAAGAAAGAAAGAAAGAAAGAAAGAAAGAAAGAAAAGAAAGAGAAGAGAACAGAAGAGAACAGAAGAGAAGAGAGAAAGTATTTGTGACACTAATATTGTTTTCAAAAGACCTGAGCTTGAACTCCAGCTTTATCATTGACCAGTTCTGTGAGCAAGTGATAAGCTCTCAGAGTTTTTTTAAATAAAATTGAGATAATAAAAATACCTATAATTCTTAGTAATTCTTATGAGGCAATATACATGAAGAAAGCCAACAGAGATCCTTGCAAATTGTGACGCTTAGTAGATGTAATTGAGGTAAAAGGAGAAAAAAAGAAAATTCTCACGGAAATAACATTTCAAGAAGGAAATAACTTTAAGACCTTGAACCAAGAGATGTCACCTCTCTAAACCTCTGCTTTCCTCACCTGCAAAATGAGGAAATTGAATTAGATCTTTTTTTTTTCTTTCTTTTTGAGTCTCACTCTGTCGCCCAGGCTGGAGCGCAGTGGCGCGATCTCAGCTCACTGCAAGCTCCGCCTCCCAGGTTCATGCCATTCTCCTGCCTCAGCCTCCCTAGTAGCTGGGACTGCAGGCGCCCGCCACTACTAATTAGCCTGCCCGGCTACTTTTTGGTATTTTTAGTATAGACGGGGTTTCACCGTGTTAGCCAAGATGGTCTCGATCTCCTGACCTCGTGATCCGCCCACCTCGGCCTCCCAAAGTGCTGGGATTACAGGCATGAGCCACCGCACCCGGCCGAATTAGATCATTTTTAAGGTCCCTTTCATTCAAACAACAATAATAATGACAGCTACATGTAATAAAGTGCTTACTATGTTGAAACGCTGTTCTAATTGATTTATATTTATTGATTCGTTTAATCTTTTAGCTGAACCATGAAGCAGACATTGATACCTGTTGATATTGGGTTTTTTGTTGTTGTTTGTTTGTTTTTGAGAGGGAGTCTCACTCTGTAGTCCAGGCTGGAGTGCAATGGCGAGATCTCGGCTCACTGCAACCTCTGCCTCCAGGGTTCAAGGGATTCTCCTGCCTCAGCCTCCCGAGTAGCTGGGATTACAGGCGCCTGCCACCAAGCCCGGCCAATTTTTGTATTTTTAGTACAGACGAGGTTTCACGTTGGCCAGGCTGCTCTCGAACTCCTAACCTCAGGTGATCCGCCTGCCTTAGCCTCCCAAATTTTAAGATTGCGGCGTGAGCCATTGTGCCCGGCTGATAACTGTTGATATTTGAAGGAGACTTCTTTTCGAAATTATTTTACTTCATTTTATTTTTAAGATTTATTGACTAATAAGTTTACATAGAGATGCTTTTTCTCTTTTTTGGGGGAAAAAATTTAAATACAGAGAAGAACTAATATTAGTTATCTAATGCTACATAATGAATTATCCTAAAACTTAGCAGCTTTAAACAAGCATTAGTCTCACGTAATTTCTGTGGGTCAGGAATCTGAGAGTGGCTTAGCTGGATGGTTCCCTCTCTGACTCTCTCATGAAATTATAGTCAGATTGTTGGCCAGGGCTGCAGTCATCTGAAGGAGCTGGAGAATCTCCCTCTGAGCTTATTCAGTAAATTTCCGTTCCTCACCACGTGAGCCTCTTCATAAGGCTCCTCAGACAACTTGGAAGCTGGTCCCCAGAATGAGAAATCAGAATGAGAGAATATGAAAAAGAAAGAGAGAACCCAACACAGAAGCTGTAGTCTCCTAATCTTGTAGGTGTATCCACTCCTCTAATCTTGGATGTGACATTCCATCATTTCTTTCACTTTCTATCTGCCAGGAGCAAGTCACCAAGTACTCAAGGGGAGGGAAATTAAGCTCCATCTCTAAGGAGAGAAATATCAAATAATTTATAAATTATAAATATATCTTTTATTTTATTTATTTTTATTATTATTATTTGAGACAGAGTCTCACTCTTTTGCCCAGGCTGGAGTGCAATGGCATGATCTCAGCTCACTGCAACCTCCACTTCCCAGGCTCAAGTGATTCTCCTGCCTCAGCCTCCTGAGTAGCTGGGATTACAGGTGCCTGTCACCACACCTGGTTAATTTTTGTATTTTTTGTAGAAACGGGGTTTCACCATATCGGCCAGGCTAGTCTCAAACTCCTGACCTCAAGCGATCCACCCACCTCAGCCTCCCAAAGTGCTGAGATTACAGGCGTGAGCCACCACACCTGGCCAGAATTTATAAATATATCCTTTAAATCACAATGAGTACAAAGAAAAAATAACACATAGTAGTGTACTTACTGCCCCAAATTGACAGTGAAATTATTACCTTATATTTTTCTCAGGAACATTTTCAATTAAAAAAATTAGAAATAGGCTGGTCATGGTGGCTCATGCCTGTAATCCCAGCACTTTGGGAGGCCGAGGTGGGCAGATCACGAGGTCAGGAGATCCAGACCATCCTGGCTAACACGGTGAAACCCTGCATCTACTAAAAATACAAAAAATTAGCCAGGCATGGTGGCGGGTGCCTGTAGTCCCAGCTACTTGGGAGGCTGAGACAGGAGAGTGGCGTGAACCTGAAAGGCAGAGCTTGCAGTGAGCCGAGATTGTGCCACTGCATTCCAGCCTGGGCTATAGAGCAAGACCCCATCTCAAAAAAAAAAAAAAAATTAGAAATAAAATCTTCTTTGTTTTTATGCCCAGTCCCAATTCTATTCCATCTCCAGAGGTAACAACTATCAAATTGTGTGACATATCTTTCCCATCTTTTTAAAATTATTATTTTACATACGCATAAGGATAGTGAAATAATGTATAGTATTATTTTGTGAATTTTTAAGAAATTTCATAAATGGTATCATACATATTCTGCAAGTTGCATTTTCACTCAATATTGTTTTTGAGATCTGTGTATGCTGATATATTTAGACTTAGTTAAATATTTTGTTGTATAAATACACCACTTTAAATTCATCTATTGACGGAGATTATTTCCTAAATTATAAATCACTATTATAATCAAAGCTACAACAAATAGCTTTATTCACGTTTCCTTGTGCACATGTGCAAGAGTTTCTCTAGAGCTGTTTCTCAGATATTTTGACCCAGCCCATAAGAAATGTCTCATTGTGACCAACCTATATCTCATTGTGACCAGTTATATATATTTAAATGAAACCAAAGTCTCATGAGAAAAGTACTTTTTTTTTTTAATTATTTTTATTTTTTGCTTTCGTTGCCCAGGCTGGAATGCAATGGCGTGATCTCGGCTCACTGCAATCTCCGCCTTCCGGGTTCAAGCGATTCCCTGCCTCAGCCTTCCAAGTAGCTGGGATTACAGGCATACACCACCACATCTGGCTAATTTTGTATTTTTAGTAGAGACGGGGTTTCTCCATGTTGGTCAGGCTGGTCGCGAACTCCCGACCTTAGGTGATCCACCCGCCTCGACCTCCCAAAGTGCTGGGATTACAGGCGTGAGCCACTGCGCCCAGCGAAAAGTACTTATTCTTTCTACAAAGAAATGGCCTTTGATGTTACATATTTTTAATCTGTTATTTATTTACTATGTTGCTAAGGCTGGAGTGTAGTAGCTATTCACAGGTGATCATAGTGTACTGCAGACTCAAACTCATAGGCTCAAGCCATCCTCCTGCCTCAACCTCCTCAGTAGCTGGGATTACAGGTGTGCATCATAATCTATTTTATTTTTATTTTTTATTTTGAGACGGAGTCTCACTCTGTCACCCAGGCTGGAGTGCAGCGGCACGATCTCGGCGCACTGCAACCTCTGCCTCCGGGATTCAGGGGATTCTCTTGCTTCAGCCTCCCAAGTTGCTGGGATTACAGGCACCTGCCACCACGCCCAGCTAATTTTTGTATTTTTAGTAGAGATGGGGTTTCGCCATGTTCGCCAGGCTGGTCTCAAACTCCTGACTTCATGTGATCTGCCCACCTTGGCCTTCCAAGTTTCTGGGATTACAGGCATGAGCCACCACACCTGGCCAAATCTATGTTATTTAAATTGCTAGTTGACATCCACTAAATTGATTTCTAGACCCACTATTGGGGTTTCCATCTGTAGTTTATGAAACAGTCTTCTAAGGTCTGTGTGTACCCATATACAGGTTGTGGCAATTTAAACTTTACAAAATATTGCAAAATTGTTCTTTGTAGTATTTGTATCAATTTACACTTCCCAAGCAACTTACAAGAGTTCCTTTTTGCCCACATTGGCACCCACGCTCAATATTGTCAGATTTTTCATTTTTGCCAATCTCATTATCAGGTTTCATTTAAGGGATGGATGAAAGCAGGCCTGCAGAAATGTATTATTTCTTTTGTGTAGGAGGCACAGTTCTAATGGGAAAATTCTTTCTCCTATGCTTGTCCTCAAAGTTGCTGTCTGTCATTACTGCATCCCTTGGAAAATGCAATAATTAAAGGCAGAAAGGAAACACTACGGGGGCATCCCTCAGAAGAATCATAAGAGCCTTTGGAACAGAGCCAGACCAATCAGCTGTGGCTCCCTCTGGTCTCCCTCGGGAGCCACTTCAACCCATATACCACTTTCCTCAAGCCGTCTACTCTTTCAGCTGCCCAATATTCAGCAGCTACTTATTCTCCTACTACATAGAGAACATGAGACCATTACATGAAAACTCTTCTATACCTTATTCTTCATCTATAAACTTCTGCTTCCATAAACTTCTGTGGGGTTACCACAACCCCAGGGCAAGTGGTAACCTTCTACCTGCCCAAGGCTAATTATTCCTATTGCCTCTACCCTCTGAGGGTTCTTGCTTCATGAATGATCCCTTTTTTTGTATCTATCTTTCACTCCTCTCCTCCTTCTTCTCTACCTCATCCTTCCCTTCAGCATGTAAGTATGCTCAAGTGTCTCCTTCCTGAATGAGGTCTTTCCTTGAGTCCTTATTTCCTCTCTGTCTGACTTATTCTTAATTACTGTCAGGCCCACCTATCATGTCCTCAGACTCATAAGACCTATTCTTTTCCTTCACAGCATTTACCGAAGCATGTGTGAGACTACAGACTCCTACGCAGTCAGCCCCAAAAGGTCAGAGACCTGGTATTTCTAGTGCCTAACACAGAGTAGACACTCAGTACATATCTATTGAGTAAATAAATGATTTACAGCCTAGAGCCTCACTCTATTATTCTCCACTTCTACACCATATGGATATTCTGAAATTAAAAGACTTTCCCACCTTCCCCCACTTGAAAAACACTGTTGGCTCCTCAGCCTGCAGAGTAAAGTCCACTCTCCTTAGCATGGCATACAATGGTTCTTTGAAAATACCTCACTCTTTCCCATCAAAGCAAAATAAATATCACCTCTTCTAGAGGAAGCAGAAGAGGAAAAATTCAAATCAGTTAATATTGTTATTAGCTGACAGAGCTGGAAAAAGATTCACCTTGCCCACTGCCTAGACAGAGCTGATTTATCCAGACAGGGGAATTGCAATAAAGAAAGAGTGGAACTCACGCAGAACGGGCTATATGGGAGATGGGAGTTTTATTATTACTCAAATCAGTCTCCCTGAGAATTTGGAGGGGTTTTTTGTTGTTGTTGTTGTTGTTTTGTTTTTTGAGACAGAGTCTTGCTCTGTTGCCCAGGCTGGAGTGCAGTGGCATGATCTCGGCTCACTGCAACCTCTGCCTCCTGGGTTCAAGTGATTCTCCTGCCTCAGCCTCCCAAGTAACTGGGATTACAGGCATGTGCCATCATGCCTGGCTAATTTTTTGTATTTTTAGTATGGATGGGGTTTTAACATGTTAGCCAGGATGGTCTTGATCTCCTGACCTCGTGATCTGCCTGCCTTGGCCTTTCAAAGTGCTGGGATGACAGGCGTGAGCCACCACGCCCGGCCGAGAATTTGGAGTTTTTAAGGATCATTTGGTGGGTAAGGGACAGTGAGTAAGGAGTGCTGATTGGTTGGGTTGGAGATTAAACTCATAGGAAGTTGAAGCTGTCCTCTTTTGCTGAATCAGTTCCCGGTGGAGGCCACGAGATCAGATGAGCCAGTTTATCCATCTGGGTGGTGCCAGCTGATCTATCAAGTGCAGGGTCTGCAAAATATCTCCAGCACTGATCTTAGGTTTTGCAATAGTGATGTTGTCTCTAGGAGCAATTTGGGTAGGGTCAAAATTTTGTAGCCTCCAGCTACCTGACTCCTAAACCATAATTTCTAATCTTGTGGCTAATTTGTTAGTCCTACAAAGGCAGTGTCCCCAGGCAGAAAGGGGGTTTATTTTGGAAAAGTGCTGTTACTGTCTTTATTTCAAAGTTAAACTATAAACTAAGTTTCTCCCAAAGTTAGTTTGGCCTATGCCCTGGAATGTACAAGGACAGCTTGGAGTTTAGAAGCAATATGGAACTGATTAGGTCAGATCTCCTTCACTGTAATCATATTCTTAGTTATAGTTTTGCAATGGTGATTTCAATCCCTCTCTTTGAGGTTTATAAGACCTTATTCGTAAGGTGTGTCTAGGAAGATGGGAAAAGGTCGAAAACTGCACTGGTTTCTTCCAGGGGGCATAGTGAGAATAGGAGTTGACCCCAAGGTGAGAGGAGTGGAACCGCTTTGCAGCTGTCTGAGCATAGGGACTGGGTTGGGGTTCCAAGGCTTACCTGACAAGGCTTCAGTATTCTCATCTACAGTTTTAGTGAGTAGCATACTATAAGGTAAATGAGTCCTAGGATAAGAAATGCAAATCCTAGTTTTAGAAGTAAAGATTTGAAAGCATTAGTTTGGGGACTTGTAGCCAACAAAGAATTTAGGATTTAGTCCAAATTGCAGAGAATAATAAAAACTTGAGAACAACTAACAATAGGTGTACTGTAGTTTTCTGAAACGTAATTTTTCTCTTTCCAGTCCCCATTTTTATTAAAGCAAAACAAGTTTTAGTCGTATTATGCATGGCCTGATTGTTTGTATAAAGTGCAGCAAGAATAATTATTTACCATATAGGCTCCTTTTAAAATTGGCTTTGCTGAGGCTAGACAAGGTGGTCCATGCCTATAATCCCAGCACTTTCGGAGGCTGAGGCGGGTGGATCACGAGGTCAGGAGATCGAGACCATCCTGGCTAACATGGTGAAACCCCGTCTCTACTAAAAATACAAAAATTAGCTGGGCATGGTGGCAGGCACCTGTAATCCCAGCTACTCAGGAGGCTGGGGCAGGAGGATCGCTTGAACCAGGGAGTTGGAGGTTGCAGTGAGCTGAGATTGAGCCACTGTACTCCAGCCTGGTGACAGAGCGAGAATCTGTCATAAAATAAAATAAAATAAAATAAAATAAAATAAAATAAAATAAAATAAAATAAAAATTGGCTTTGCTGAAACTTTGTTCCATAAGGAATCTCAGATTATACTTTTTAAAGCCTTGGAGCCCATCCACAGATTTATCTACGGCTGCAAATATACCTGTATGAGTTGGGTGAATTTTCCTCCTCTCCAGGTCCCAAGATAACTTGGGATCCCTGGACTTTCAGAAGGTGACATTCTTTACTCACCACAGGTCAGGAAACCTGTACAGAGACTGTGTAGACAAAGTATGAGGCCAGCTTTCCTGCAGGGCTTTTATTGGCTCTATAAGTCAACTTCGATTCCTTAAAGCAGTCTGTTTATATTTGAAAGCACGACATTTCAAAACCTTGGTAAAATAACCATCATATCCAATTGTGTCCCTTTTTGTCAGCATATAAGGTTTCCAGGTTTCTTTTCTCTGCAGCTTCCAGAAGAATGGACAGTCAGACTGAGTCAGGCCTGTTGAGCTTCCACTAACAATTCCTCCAGGTTTCAGCAAATGTGACCGACCAGACAAACTGGAAGAGCCTGTTGGACTTTCATCAGCAATTTCTTCAGAGATCTCCTCTACACATGCAAATACACACAACAAAAAAGTCAAGCAGAAGTCCTTCCAGACAGAGATTCCAGATTAAATCACAAACCAAGACTATTCCTCCAAATAAGTCCCCTATTCTCCATCCAATTAGAGCAGACACCCCACGATGGGGCTATAGACAGGCACCCCATGATGGGGTTACAGATAGCAACCCTTTCATTGAGGCCAACAAATCAGGAGAAGGAAGGGGCTGTTAGCAACACCTAGAATACTCATCTAATCAGACGCCCTGTGATGGGGCTACAGACACCCCATGTTGGAGCTACAGACAGACACCCTGTGATGAGGCTACAGTTATGGGATGTCTCCCCAGGATTATTTCTCTATCACAATTAAATCCATGCACAATGGGTCAGTAATGCCATGCCAATACAGACTGTGCCAGAGTCAAAGAGAACTAGATGTCTGCTTGGGCTGGCCTCTGGATCAATCAATCACCAGTAGGGGGCTATCAAACTGTGGGTGGGTAGAAACAAGGGCAATCCTGGATGAGCCCCCAGATTTGTAACTGCCCAACAGGTTCTCCTTGCCCACTGCCTAGATACAGCTGATTTATCAAGACAGGGGAACTGCAATAGAGAAAGAGTAGTTCATGCAGAGCCAGCTGTACAGGAGACCAGAGTTTTATTGTTACTCAAATCAGTCTCCCCAGTACTATTTCTCTATTGCAATTAAATCCATGTGTATTGGGTCGGCAGCATCCCATTAGTAGAGACAGTACCAGAGTCAGCCCTGAATCCAGAACTAAGTGGCCATTTGGGCTGGCCTGTGGATCCATTGCTGGAGTTGGGTACTGAGCCACAGGCAGGTAGCCACAAGGGTGATCCTGGACAAGCCCCAGATTTGTAACTGCCCAGTGGGTTTTTCTTGCCCACTGCCTGGATAGAGCTGATTTATCAAGACAGGGAATTGCAATAGAGAAAGAGTTTAATTCACACAGAGCCAGCTCTACCGAAGACTGGGGTTTTATTATCACTCAGATCAGTCTCCCTGAGAATTCAGGGATTGGAGTATTTAAGGATAATTTTGTGGGTAGGGGCCAGTGAGTTGGGAGTGCTGATTGCTCGGGTCAAAGATGAAATCACAGGGAGACAGTGCTGTCCTCTTGTGCTGAGTCAGTTCCTGGGTGGTGGCCACAAGATCAGATGAGCCAATTTATCCATCTGGGTGGTGCCAGCTGATCTATCAAGTGCAGGGTCTACAAAATATCTTGAGCACTGATCTTAGGTTTTATAATAATGATATTATCTCCAGGAGAAATTTGGGGAGGGTCAAAATCTTGTAGCCTCCAGCTGCATGACTCCTAAACCATAATATCTAATCTTGTGGCTATTTTGTTAGTCCCACAAAGGCAGTCTAGTCCCCAGGCAGGAAGGGGGTTTGTTTTGGGAAAGGGCTGTTATTGTTTTTGTTTCAAAGTTAAACTAGACACTTGAGGCTAGGAGTTCAAGACCAGTGTGGCCAGCATGGCGAAACCCTGTCTCTACTAAACACACAAAAATTAGCCAAGCATGCTGATGCACACCTGTGGTCCCAGCTGCTTGGGAGGCTGAGGCACAAGAATCGCTTGAACCCAGGATGTGAAGGTTGTGGTGAGCTGAGATCACACCACTGCACTCCAGCCTGGGTGACAGAGCAAGACTCTGTCTCAGAAAAAAGAAAAAAAAAGTTAAAACTATAAACTAAATTTCTCCCAAAGTCAGTTTGGCCTATGCCCGGGAATGGACAAGGACAACTTGGAGGTTAGAAGGAAGATGAAGTCAGTTAGGTCAGATTTTTTTCACTGTAATTATATTCTGTTATAATTTTGCAATGGCAGTTTCATGGTAGAGAAAGAGTTTCATATCTATAGATAAAGGTTACGTAATTATTTGTAAATTTTATCCATTTGTTATGCTGGTGGTGGTTGTTTTTTTCCTGCTCGTTTTTCTTCCATTGGAAACGTCGTATCTATCATTTCAAAGGGAAGGGACTCTAACATTTTACTGAGCACTTACTGTACAACAGGCATTAGACTAAATTTCTTATTTACTATTTAGAAGAGGAAACAGTTCAGAGCACTCTGAGCTATGTGAGGTATGCAAAATTTATCAGGCCCAGAGGGAATGAGTATGGGACTTCCGTTATCCCCCATTCCCACAGGCAATTGGCTAAAAGCATTTTGTTCCTGACTAGCTGCCTCATCCATTATCTTCATTTTCCTGGAATTTGAGATACAAAGAACAATGTGGCAGACAATCGATATCTTGTGTTATTTTAATGTAAATTCTTGGTAAGCAACTTAGGAACTGCCTCTTCTTTTTTCCTTTAAAAACCCACTTGTAACTGCTGCTAAGCAAAGCATATATTCAGGGCACCTTGGATCTATGCTCCTGGGTTGCAGTCCTCAAACTCAGCCCAAATCAACTCTCTACTTATATTAATTTTGCCTCAGTTTTTTCCTTTAGGTCGGCATGATTCAGAGTGACTTCCCACCATCACCTGGTGTTTCTCTCTGAAATAAGTGCTTGGTACCAGCATGAACCCATTGCATTCTCCATTTTTGGAGGTCCTACCACATGCTGGGGGTGACTTCTTTTGAATCTGAACCTTCCTTTCTTTTCAGTTGCAGTCTAGATTTTGAGCTGTTCTGCAAACCATCTCTTTCCTTTAAGAATGAGGGCTTTAGTTTCTCTCCCTGGATAGGAGATTCAAGTAAAAAGCTCTGCAGAGAGCTGCCTTCTTCTTGTTCCTCACAGTTCTTCGGCCTCAAAGCAGAAGGTTCAGTTCACAGTTGGGCAAGAAGTTATGCAGAGGACTTCTGCCTTCTCTGCCTCTACCTCATGACAAAAAGTTCAAGTTATAGATCATTTGGTTACTCTAGCACCGGTGGTTTCACCACTTCTGGCCTAGAATTCTATAGCATGCTTTTAAAACTGCAGCTGCTTTGTTACTTATAATTTGGACTTGTATTTTCATTTGTGACCAATTTCTGTTGATTCCAAACCAAAGCATGCATATGGGTAATTTATGCTCATAAGCAGCACACTTTGACCCAAAATATATTTCTGGCCTTGATCACTTTTGAAAAGTTCCTAAATTATAGGAAATCAAGCTTCAAAATCTGAGCACTCTTTAAAGGGACAGCTACCTTTAGAAACACTAGCTCGTTTTAGGTACAATGCTTATGGGGCATCCTCTTGTAAATATCTAAGAAAATTGACCCACATAACCTGGAATGGTCATAAGCATCAATGGCTGAAATGGGGGGGATCCTTTGAAATGCGTAAAATAATTCATTTGTGTCCACAGTTGGAAAAAGCTGAACTAGACAAACTGAATGAAAGACATACTTTTTTTTTTTTTGAGACAAAGTCTTGCTCTGTTGCCCTGGCTGTGCAGTGGTGCGTTCTCAGCTCACTGCAACCTCCGCCTCCTGGATTCAAGAAATTCTCCTGCCTCAGCCTCCCAAGTAGCTGTGACTACAGGCACGCGCCACCACGCCTGGCTAATTTTTGTATTTTTAGTAGAGACAGGGTTTCACCATATTGGCCAGGCTGGTCTCAAACACCTGACCTCGTGATCCACCTGCCTTGGCCTCCCAAAGTGTTGGGATTACAGGCGTGAGCCACCGTGTCTGGCCTGAAAGACATACTTATTGTTTGTCATGGTTGAAATTTGATAAGAAAAGACTTGAAAATATTTTTTAAAGAGTTCTAACAGCTAGAAGTTAGCTTAATTAAAAACTGATATTCAGACTACAACTTACTTTGTGAAAAATAAAGAAGGTCTTTTTGCTTTTCCTCTTTTGTTTTCTGTTTCTGGGTTTTTTTTTTGTTGTTGTTAATATACTAAAAACCTTATTTTAAAAAATGGTTGGTTCCCTCTGTTTCCTATTTTGTTGGCATGATTTTTGCTGAGAAAAAACTGTAAAACTTCACTGGCCTTTTAGATAGCTTAAAATCTCCCTCAAGCCAGGTGCAGTGGCTCACGCCTGTAATCCTAGCACTTTGGGAGGCTGAGGTGGGCAGATCACCTGAGGTCAGGAGTTCAAGACCAGCCTGACCAATATGATGAAACCCTGTCTCTACTAAAAATACAAAAATTACCTGGTTATGGTGGCACATGCCCGTAATCCCAGATACTTGGGAGGCTGAGGCAGGAGAATCACTTGGACCCAGGAGGCAGAGGTTGCAGTGGGCTGAGATCGTGCCATTGCACTCCAGCCAGGGTGACAGAACAAGACTCCGACTCAAAAAAAAAAAAATCTCCCTCAGTTGGGTCCTCCAGGACTTGTTCTTTCACTCACTTCCACTTCTGCTACTCCTTCCTTTTGCCATCTTCAATACCATGTATGAGACCTAATAGCCCTGAGACCGCTCAAGGAACACACAAAAATATGCCACCCTCTCCCCTTTTGGGAGGTCCTCTGTCTCTCATGGAGTCTCAAAAGTCATACGCAGGTTTCTCACAGGTCTACAGCTTTGCTTTCTTCTGCATTGAGTATTCTGATCTCTTTGGCTTTGGGAATGCCAAGGGTTACTTTATACTGTGAGGGAGAACTTGATCTTTGTTTGTGTAATAGCTGGCAAGTCACTGGTGAAACCTGCAGAAGTGGCTGACAGCAGCTGCAGTGAATGGTAATTACTGCAGGGAGCTACTTGTTTATTTGCACATTTAGATAAAAGACATATTATTTGAACACTTGGAATCTGTGGAAACACTCACCACCAAGGCATAAGGCTCCTATGGAGGACGAGCTGACCACGTACTGAGCTGAGTGTTGAGTTGCCCACCAGCCTTAGGGGAATGTCTTTGTAGCGAGGAGCACTGCGGAAATGTTGCACGGCCTAGTCTTGTGGCATTTCCCTTTTGGAAGAAACCAGGGATTCAAAGTAAATGTGGAATCCTTGATTTCTGGAGATCTAGATGCTCTGCCTTCCAGCTGTGCCTGCTTTTCACATATTTAAATATTAGGCCCTAAAAACAATAAATGTTTTATTTGCCCTATTCATTAAAGGGCTCCACCCTAAAGTCAGTAATTTAATTAAGAAACATGAAGTTGAAAAGACTACCCATCAAACTAAATCAGTCTCCAAAATGCAACTTTCTGACATTTAGCTAGTTATTTTGAAACTTTTTGTAAAAGATATTTAGGAGTGCAAAAGGCTTATGGAAAAAAAAAGAAATAATAAATAAAAGATAATTACATCTATAAAGGAAATGTCCATTTGTAAGAACATCTCCCTCTCTGCACCTAAACTACATTGGTTTAAAGTTTATGTAATAAGCCTTACCTTTGTTTAAGATGATTTTTCAGCCAGGCATGGTGGCTCACACCTGTAATCCCTGCACTTTGGGAGGCTGAGGTGGGAGGATCACCTGAGGTGGGGAGTTTGAGACCAGCCTGACCAAAGTGGAGAAACCCCGTCTCTACTAAAAATACAAAATAAGCCCAGCATGGTGGCGCATGCCTGTAATCCCAGCTACCCGGGAGGCTGAGGCAGGAGAATCGCTTGAATCCGGGAGGCGGAGGTTGTGGTGAGCCGAGATGGCACCATTGCACTCCAGCCTGGGCAACAAGAGGGAAACTCAGTCTCAAAAAAAAAAAGAAAGATCTGTACGTATATACGTTTATATTACGCGTATGGGATATTTCACTACCAAAATATACAAAAGAGCTCCAATTAATTGGATCTAAAAAAAAAAGTAAGCACTTGGCCGGGCATGGTGGCTCACGCCTGTAATCTCAGCACTTCGGAAGGTCGAGGCGGGCGGATCACGAGGTCAGGAGATTGAGACCAGCTTGGCCAATATGGTGAAACCCCATCTCTACTAAAAATACATAAAAAATTAGCCAGGCATGGTGATGCACGCCTGAATCCCAGCTACTCAGGAGGCTGAGGCAGAAGAATCTCTGGAACCCGGGAGGCGGAGATTGCAGCGAGCCGAGATCGTGCCACTGCACTCCAGCCTGGGTGACAGAGGGAGACTCCGTCTCAAAAAAAAAAAAAAAAAAAAAAAGTAAGCACTTAAATACTTTATCAGAAAAATAGAAACTAACTAAAATGTTCAGTTCATATGACTTGAGTAAATCTTTAGTAAAGAAGAACCACTTTAATATTATTGGTTTAATGAAAACAGCTATGTCTTCGGATCAGCAAAATACCCATGTATTTACCTTTAGGGTTTTTGCTTAGGTGGCAGCTGCCTAACATTTGCAGGCTGTAAAAATGATTAACACGGAAATAACATGAGATGATGGCTAGCTTTGTTTAATGAACAATTCAAGCATAATTGTTAAAAGTGAGTAAGTTAAATGAATAGAAACAAAAGTTTATCAGTGTACTCATTTGTATAGTGGTGAGTTTTTGAAAAATTTATAAATGAACTTTTCAAAAATCTTTTTCAGTAACTTGACTTTTTTTTTTTTTTAAGGTGGAATCTTGCTCTGTCACCCAGGCTGGAGTGCAGTGGAGCGATCTTAGCTCACTGCAACCTCTGCCTCCCAGGTTCAAGAGATTCTCCCGCCTCAGCCTCCCAAGTAGCTGGGATTACATTACAGGTATGCACCACCACACCTGGCTAATTTTTGTACTTTTAGTAGAGACGGGGTTTCACCATGTTAGCCAGGCTGGTCTTGATCCCCTGACCTCAAGTGATCCACCCACCTCAGCCTCTCAAAGTGCCGGGATTACAGGCATGAGCCACTGTGCCCAGCTTCAGTAAATTAATATTAAAGTCATGTTATAATTAAGTAGTAGATGTTCATGAAATGTCTGAGTCATCTCTAAGTAAAAATACTAAAACATTAATCATTAAATATAAGTTTAAATCTATATACTTTGATATCTTATTTTTATATGGTATAGAAAAGCTAAATATATTTAGACCTGTTAATAAACAAAAATAAATTGAGATATCTTTCTAAAAATTATAAAATGGTTTTCATCCATCTATCAGTAATGATATAAAACAGTTCAAAATTACTTCCTAAGTTTTCCACCAGAAATTCAGTTTGCTAAAAGTTAAAAATAGTAGTTCATATATGCAATTGAAACTACTAGATGTAAGAGAAACAATTCTGTATACAGAGTGAGTAAGAAAAATAGGATGTGTTTTTGGTAAAGAAGGTTATAAAGAAGATATGAAAGTGAGGTTTCTGTTAAGGGAAAACTAATTTTGTCTAGAGGCTTTTAAAGGGTGTTTTAAGTTGAAAGGACAAAAGAAAGAATGATGGATAAAACTACATGAACACAGAAACTTAAAGAAAGAGAAAGTGAAAAATTCTAAGTAAGTGGTTATGAGAAGTTTATAGAAATCTTATCTTGGTTTTTTTATTTAAAAAAATTATTTTGGTGGAGATGAGGTCTCACTATGTTGCCCAGGTTGCTCTCGAACTCCTGGGGTCAAGCAATCCTCCCACAGCAGTCTCCCAAAGTGCTGGGATTACAGGCATTAGCCACTATGCTCAGCCAGAAATACTATTTTGTGTGGTCAAAGATGATTGAGATTGGATGGATTAGCATTTCCATTGTGCAAATCACTCAGTCTTCCAGACTGGTAGAATGAATACACGGAATAGTGAAAAGTCAGTTGAAAGCTTAAAGAAAAATTTAACTTTCCCTGGCCTAAGGATCTTCCATTTGCTTAACTTACATTCTACCCTGTTTGGAAAACATCAGCTTTCTGCCTTTGAAATGGGAATGGGACTACCCGTGCACCTGGATAAAGGAGCCTATGAACTAGCTCTCCTTAAAAGTTGTAAACTAGGCCAGACATGGTGGCTTACGCCTGTAATCTCAGCACTTTGGGAGGCCGAGCGGGTGGATCATGAGGTCAGGAGTTCGAAACGAGCCTGGCCAACATGGTGAAACCCTGTCTCTACTAAAAGTACAAAATTTAGGTGTGGTGGAATGCAACTGCAATCCCAGCTCCTTGGGAGGCTGAGGCAGGAGAATTGCTTGAACCCGGGAGGAGGAGGAGGTTGCAGTGAGCCAAAATCGTGCCACTGCACTCCATTCTGGGAGACAGAGCAAGACTCCATCTCAAAAAAAAAAAAAAAGAGTTGGGCCAGGCACGGTGGCTCACGCCTGTAATCTTATCACTTTGGGAGGCTGAGGTGGGTGGATCATGAGGTCAAGCATTCAAGACCAGCCTGGTCAAGAAGATGAAACCCTGTCTCTACTAAAAATACAAAAATTAGCTGGGCATGGTGGCAGGCACCTGTAATCCCTGCTACTTGGGAGGCTGAGGCAGAGAATTGCCTGAACCTGGGAGGCGGAGGTTGCAGTGACCCGAGATCGCACCACTGCACTCCGACAGGGCGAGACTCCATCTCAAAAACAAAACAAAACAAACAAAAAAAACAGTTGTAAACTAAAAATCCAAAGTCCCTTACCAACTGAATGGACCCCCTCTTGTCCAAGGGGACCCCAGAGAAACCTTAACAACTGAACTCCCAAGGGCTGGGCGTGGTGGCTCACGCCTGCAATCCCAGCACTTTGGGAGGTCAAGGCAGGCGGATCACAAGGTCAGGAGATCAAGACCATCCCCGTCTCTGCTAAAAATACAAAAAAATTAGCCGGGCGTGGTGGCAGGCGCCTGTAGTCCCAGCTACTCAGGAGGCTGAGGCAGGAGAATAGCATCAACCTGGGAGGCGGAGCTTGCAGTGAGCTGAGATCACGCCACTGCACTCCAGCCTGGGCGACAGAGTGAGACTCGGTCAGAAAAAAAAAAAAAAATGAACTCCCAGTCAAAACAGGAAGAGAGGTCAAGCACGCCTCATTATATTCCCTCCCTTTTGGAGTTTAGGCACAACAATTGACCAGCATTAATGTTAAAATAGAGATTATAAGACTGAAAAAACAGACTCTTTGTGGCAATAAGATATCAAATTATAAACAAGACCTAAGACTATGGAAGGAAAGGGTTAAGTCATGTCTGCAAGCCATCCATCTTGCTACATAGCATGCTTAACTTAAAACGTGCCTTTCTGGCCGAGTGTGGTGGCTCACACCTGTAATCCTAGCCCTTTGGGAGGTTGAGGTGGGCAGATCACCTGAGGTCAGGAGTTCGAGACCAGCCTGACCAACATGGTGAAACCCCATCTCTACTTAAAAGACAAAATTAGCAGGGCGTGGTGGTGCATGCCTGTAATCCCAGCTACTCGGGAGGCTGAGGCAGGAGAATCACTTGAACCCACGAGGCAGAGGTTGCAGTGAGCCAAGATTGTGCCATTGCACTCCAGCCTGGGTGAGAGAGCAAAAATCTGTCTCAAAAAAAAAAAATCCCTTTGTGTTGACTTCAAGTTTTAGACAGAGCCCTACTCTTTTGGTCAACTGCAAATTAAAGAATCTCTGAATCCACCCTTAACCTGTAAGCCCCTGCTTTAGATATCCCACCTTTTCTTTTCTTTTCTTTTTTTTTTTTTTTTGAGATGGAGTCTCGCTCTGTTGCCAGGATGGAGCACAGTGACATGATCTTGGCTCACTGCAAACTCTGCCTGCCGAGTTCAAGCGATTCTCATGCCTCAGCCTCCCGAGTAGCGGGGACAACAGGCGTGAGCCACCACACCCAGCTAATTTTTGCATTTTTAGTAGAGATGGGGTTTCACCATGTTGGCCAGGATGGTCTCCATCTCCTGACCTCGTGATCCTCCTGCCTCAGCCTCCCAAAGTGCTGGGACTACAGGCGTGAGCCACTGCACTGGCCTAGATATCCCACCTTTTCATACAGAACCATGTATACCTTCCATGTATTGATTTATGTCTTCACCTATAACTCCTGCCTCCCTGAAATACATAAAACCAAACAGTAATCCAGGCTTTGGTACAAGTTCTCAGGATTCCTGAGGTTGTGTTTTCCTGGGCCATGTTCACTCATGTTAGCTCAGAATAAAACTCTTGAAAATATTTTACAGAGCTTGGTTTTTCCATTAACAAGGTGGTATTCTTCATTATTGCAAGGCCTGATAAGTTTCTCACTGAAAATTCTAAATTAATTAAGGATTATTTTAACAGCAAGCTCCCAGCGGGAGACAAAAACATCAAAGATCATGGACTCCAACCTGAAGATTTTGTTTAATGGAAAATGCCAAAAGAAAGAAAGAAAGAGAGAGAGAGAGAAAGAAAGAAAGAGAAAGGAAGGAAGGAAGGAAGAAGGGAGGGAGGGAAGGAAGGAAGGAAGGAAGGAAGGAAAGAAGGAAGAAAAGAAAATGCTATCAAATAAAGGACTTGTTCCAACAACTACATTAGAAGGGACACTATTAGGCAGCCCTGCCTGAGTGGACATCTTCCTCAGTGGAGATCTCCAATACTTTGTTCTTTAGACCAGGACAAGAAATAGGTTACAATATTCATTTGGTTATCTTCAGGAATAGGAATACTTTTCATATTTGTATTTCAAGATGTTTTGTTGATAACTGTCCTTATTTGTGTCATATTTTAAATGCCTGAATTAATTATGCTTTGTATTTCTAGATGTCTAAAGTTTACCACAAAAGTTTATAACAAAAAAACTAATCATGATAGCTAGATGCTTAGAAATGAGCTAACATGCCTCAACTCCAGTGTAAGTAAACGGCCCGACTAAGATCCTATTACTCTGACCCTTTATTGTTCAATTCAGTCCCTGAATTGTTGCCAACTGATTCAGCCTTGGAACTTCTTAAGCCGTAGTACTTCTGCTCTTTCCCTCTGACATGGGACAAGATTATCTGGGAATGAGTCTTCCCAGCAACATGGGACAAACTTAAATCTAAAATATTGATCATTAGTGCTTTCAGAAGAGAACCATTCTGATCAAAAGGAGGAAATGAGAAAAATAGCTCAGAGCAGCCTAAGATATGTGAAGTATGCAAAATTCATCAGGCCTGGAGAGACAGGAGTATGGGATTTCGGTCACATCTCACAGCACCCATTCCCAGGGGCAATTCTTTTTTTTTTTTTTGAGATGGTATCTTGCTCTGTCCCCAGGCTGGAGTGCAGTGGCGCAGTCTCAGCTCACTGCAACCTCCACTCCTGGGTTCAAGCGATTCTCTTGCCTCAGCCTCCCAAGTAGCTGGGATTACAGGTGTGCAGCACCACGCCGGGTTAATTTTTGTATTTTTAGTAGCCAGGGGCAATTATTTAAAAGCATTTTATTTCTGACAGCTGCCTTACCCGCTATCTTCATGTTCCTGGAATTTGTGATACAAAGAACAATGTATAGCCAACCAATAGCTTGTTATTGTAACATAAATTCTTGATAAACAACTTAGGAACTGCCTCTTCTTTTTCCTTTAAAAACCCATTTGTGGCCAGGTGCGGTGGCTCACACCTGTAATCCCAGCACTTTGGGAAGCTGAGGTGGGTGGATCACCTGAGGCCAGGAGTTCGAGACCAGCCTGGGCAACATAGTGAAACCCTGTCTCTACTAAAAATACAAAAATTAGCCAGGCACACACCTGTAATCCCAGCTACTTGGGAAGCTGAGGCACAAGCATCGCTTGAACCCGGGAGGCGGAGGCTGCAGTGTGCCGATATCATGCCACTGCACTCCAGCCCGGATGACAAGACAACAGCGAAACTCTGTCTCAAAAAAAAAAAAAAAAAAAAAGAAAGAAAGAAAAACCATTAGTAACTACTGCTAATAGGAGCATATATTCAGAGCAACTTGAATCTATGCTCCTGGGTTGCAGTCCTCAAACTAGGGCCAAATAAACTTTCTACTTATATTAATTTTGCCTCAGTTTTTTCCTTTAGGGTCACACTATTTACTCATTTCATGTGATTTTATTCACAACCAAGAGTATATATCTCTTCCCTTTCCAAAAATAAAATGACTGAGGCCAAAAATATCAAATGCAGCAAGAAAAATAAAATGTTCTGGTGATTTCCACATTATGAAACATGCAAAAATCTTGTATGATATATATGATTTTATTAGTTAAAATTAGGCAATGGGTCATCCCTGGCATGTGTGTAATGGGAAGTAGAAAATAATTCCCCAAAATATGGCACTTTGGCATGCTGAGTGCTTTTAAAAATTAAAAGACCTGGCCAGGCACGGCAGCTCATGCCTGTAATCCCAGCATTTTGGGAGGCCGAGGAGGGCGGATCACCTGAAGTCAGGAGTTTGAGAGCAGCCTGGCCAACATGGCGAAACCCCGTCTCTACTAAAAATACAAAAATTAGCCGGGTGAGGTAGCGCCTGCCTGTAATCCCAGCTACTCAGGAGGCTGAGGCAGTAGAATCACCTGAACCCAGGAGGTGGAGGTTGCAGTGAGCCGAGATCATGCTGCTGCACTCCATCCAGCCTGGGTGAGAGAGAGAGATTTCATCTCAAAAAAAAAAAAAAAGAAAAAAAAGAAAGAAAAGAAAAGAAAAAGGCCTTGGAAATAAGGCTCAGAATCAAAGTCCTCCTAATCTTGTCTTGTTTTTTTCCCACTCCAAGGTCAGGGAGGAACTCTGAAATTTCCTAACCTGACCAAGAAAGCATCTTACCAAAGAAACAATTGCCTTTTACTCCTTTCTAAAGTCTTATCTACTTTGAAAAAGAAGACTGAGGTATGCAACCACACCAGGATGGACTTTTTTTTGAGACAGAGTCTCGCTCTGTCACCCAGGCAGGAGTACAGTGGCACACTCTCGGCTCACTGCAACCTCCGACTCCCAGGTTCAAGCAATTCTCCTGCCTCAGCCTCCCAAGTTGCTGGGATTACAGGTGCCTGCCACCATGCCTGGCTAATTTTTGGAATTTTTAGTACAGATGGGGTTTCACCATGTTGGCCAGGCTGGTCTCGAACTCCTCACCTTAGGTGATCCACCCACCTTGGCCTCCCAAAGTGCTGAGATTACAGGCGTGAGCCACCTCGCCTGGACTTTTTCTTTTTTCTTTTTTCTTTTTTTTTAGAAGCTAATGCCTGCCTCTCAGCCTCCTTCAAATTCCAAAGAAAATAATTTACAAGTTAATTTCAGTCTCCTGGGTCCGTTTATTCTTCCTAATAATCATTTACTGCCCTTCAAAAAAATTGTCTACACTTTCCATTTCCTTCTTCCCCTATCAAGAACAGGCATAGGCTGGGTGCGGTGGCTCACACCTGTAATCCCAGAACTTTGGGAGGCCGAGGTGGGTGGATCATGAGGTCAGGAGATCGAGACCATCCTGGATAACAGGTGAATCCCTGTCTCTACTGAAAATACAAAAAATTAGCTGGGCATTGTGGCACATGCCTGTAGTGCCAGCTACTCAGGAGGCTGGGGCAGGAGAATCGCTTGAACACGGGAGGCAGAGGTTGCAGTGAGCCGAGATAGCGCCACTGCACTCCAGCCTGGGTGACAGAGCAAGACTCTGTCTCAAAGGAAAAAAAAAAGAAAAAAGAACAGGCATGTAAGCTTCTGTACCCCACTGGGAATTTGGGATAATCACTGTGATTTTTCCCCCATGCATGTTAATAAATTTGTATGCCTTTTTTGAGGTGGAGTCTTGTTCTGTTGCCCAGGCTAGAGTGCAGTGGCAGGATCTCGGATCACTGCAACCTCCACCTCCCAGGTTTAGGTGATTCTCCTGCCTCAGCCTCCTGAGAAGCTGAGATTACAGTGCCACTACACCTGGCTAACTTTTGTATTTTTAGTAGAGACAAGATTTCACCATGTTGGTCGGACCAGTCTCAAACTCCTGACCTAAAGTGATCCACCTGCCTCAGCCTCCTAAAGTGCCGGGATTACAGGTGTGAGCCACTGCACCTGGCTGCCTTTTCTCGTTTAATCTGCCTTTTCTCAGTTAATTTTCGTGAACCTTCAGACGGCAAAAGTGAGTTTTTCCTGACCCCTGCATGTGATACCAGTAACATGCCAGTCTTCTACATAAACTCCTCTCCCATCTCTATTTCTCTTTTCCTTCTCTTGTTCTTCTGTTCCTCTTTACTTGCTTTTCTTTCACTTACTCTCACTTGTCACTTTCTGCTTTTTCATTTTTCTCTCTGCCTACCTCTTAAACTCATCAATAGCTGCATTGTTGTCGTTTAGTCCAAAAGGATTACTGACCCCTTGTCTAAACTGAAACAAAAGCAAGCAAAAAGAAAAGTTTCTTTCAGCTCCACTGGGCTAGAACTGCAAGGTATAATGATGTTACAGTATAGTATATGACCCTGAGAGATAAAATAATATGTACACTAACCAGGCGTTTGGCTTCTGGTATGCAAAAGAAAATGCCCACTGAGCTCTTTGTGAGGGTCTCGATTATGACTGATAATTCTGAAGTTCTCATGTTTCCACTTTGAAATAAAAATGACTTGTAACCAGAAGCAATTAGCTGTGACAGACTGCCACTGCTACTACTTGAGACCCTCACTACCACATTTACTACTGTTACTATTACCACTTGAGACCATCCTTACAGGACGGAAGGAAGGGGGACAAACATAGAAATGAAAACTTAAGACAAAAGAAACTGTTTTAAAGGGGTCCGGGGAAGAAGAAGAGGGCTCCCTGCTTCTAGTGAATAAAGGCAGCAGCCCTAAGCATTTAGAGCCCTTTGTATTTGTTGGATAGAAAGAGCAGGGAGGAGGAGGTAAAGATTGGTCAGCTGCTTAATTGATCACAGGTTCACATTATTGCTAACAGGCTTCAGATGTGCCTAATCACAAGCAACACTGCACTTGGGGCATGACGGCCCTCAGCATTCGTTCTAGGCGGCAGACGCAGTTTGTCAGTTTGCCAACATTCTGCATTTATGAGAACAGTTTGCTGTTTACTCATATAGCTTCCAGTGGTATACTGAGTTGATCACAACCCTCACTCTTTCGGCCTGCAACAATTAGCATTTTATCCGCATGTGAGAAGTTAAGAGGTAAGTTTACCTGCGACTAGAAAAAGGAGAATGGAGGCAGACCAAAGAAGCTCTCCTTTAAAGGGCAAAGATTTAGGATGTGTGGCTGGGCGTGGTGGTTCACACCTGTAATCCCAACACTTTGGGAGGCTGAGACAGGTGGATCACCAGAGGTCAGGAGTTCAAGACCAGCCTGGCCAACATGGTGAAACCCTGTCTCAACCAAAAATACAAAAATTAGCTGGGTGTGGTGTTGCAGGCCTGTAGTCCTAGTTACTCAGGAGGCTGAGACAGGAGAATCGCTTGAACCCAGGAGGCGGAGGTTGCAGTGAGCCAAGATCGAGCCACTGCACTCTAGCTTGGGCGACAGAGCGAGATTCCGTCTCAAAAAAAAAAAAAAAAAAAGGATTTAGGGTGTGGAAATATAAAAGTAGCATCCTATGGAAAATTCAAGATGAGACTGGTGGTCCTGAAATTCCACCATTCATTAGGAGATTGCAGAGGCTGCTTTGGAAACCAAAACTAGATTATTAATCTAAGGAGCCTTTATACTCTGTTTAAATCAAAGCTGGCCTAACAGCTACCCTCTCCCTGCTCCACCCCTTTTGATGTTTTCTGATTCTCCATGATCTCCACTTTCAGGCAAATGAGAAGAAACCATTTCAGTTTCTTCTTCATTTCAATTTAAAGAAAAAGGTATTCATTTCAGTTTAAAGAAAAAGGTATTCACTTCTTTGCAAAATATTTCAAGTGCTTTCGGAATTCCAGACTCAATATTTAAACAAACGAAATCTTGGAGATCAAGCAGATGCTATAAATCATAAAAATAGCTCCCTATTCCCCCCTCCCCGCCAAACAAACCAACATTAAAAGAAAATTGGTGTTGAAGAACAGAGCGGGTGGGTAGGTGGTTTATAGCTTGTGGGTTGATGATCTGATGACATTTTATCAGAGAACTTTGCTAACTGGCAAAAAGCAGTGAGTTGCTAAAGCTGAGAGGTTGTTATGAATACTTAAGGGTAAAGGTATTGTTCTCTGGAAACAGGAGCAGTGTTTGAAAGCTATAGCCCTATAACTTTCACTTTCCTTAGGGACAAATGGATTTACATCTCATGAGGAAGTCTCTTTCACTTGATAAAAGGGATTTAGGTTACTGCCAACACATCTTCTGCCCTCTTTTTTTTTTCTTTTATCTGCCTTCTCTTGAAGGGACTCCCACCACCTTGAGTTAATCACATACCTTGTTGGTTCATTAAGTCTTGACGTCATTTTGATACATATATTGTTACAATGATACATACAAAGCTACAATACCCAACCTCTGCTTACAGAATTTTTTAGGCTGCAGGTCTCTCTTGTAAACAGTGATGTTTACAAGTAATTGATCACAACCTATTACAGATTTCTTTGTTCCTTCTCCACTCCCCTGCTTCACTTGACTAGCCTAAAAAAGAAACAAATGAGTAAATAAAAGAATTGTAAGGCTCTATTTTGGAGATGATAAACTTTTTTTTTTTTTTTCTAATCTGAGTCCGCTTGCTAGGGAAAGATGAGAAACTTTGAATCATCTAATTGGCTCAGGAAATGAGTTCACTGGCCTATTGCAGAGTCATTGAAGGATAAAAAAGAAGAAAGAGAATTCCCCGGGGCTTAGATCTCAAGGGAACTTTTAGCTCTCCATTATAATTTTAGGAATACAATAGTCATGGCAGTTATATGGAAGTTTTGCAAATTGGCACTTCAAAAATGTAGCATAAGCAGGGCTCCTTTTTTGGCTAACTGCATGTAACTGGCTCATTGAATGGGCTGAACTCAGTCAGAGGCAAATGAAAGCAACTCTCTCTACTGCTCTTTTAAACCTTCTCTGTCAAATTATTCTTATCCGTCCTTGGATGAAATTTTAGGCAGACATGCTAGCTCTTCTGGTCTCAGGCAAAAATTAAGAAGCCCAGTGCCAGCTGGGTGTGATGGCTCACACCTGTAATCCCAGCACTTTGGAAGACCAAGGCAGGTGGATTGCCTGAGCTCAGGAGTTCGAGACCAGCCTGGGCAACATGGCAAAAACTCATCTCTAATTTAAAAAAAATAATTTTTTTAAAAAAGAAAAAAATAATCAATGATAAAAAAGAAGCCTGGTACCATCTTATAGCAAAACATTATATTCTCATTTGATTCAACACTTCTTTTTAGGTCCTCACTCCCCCTCATTCAGTCCACAGGCCTGAATCAACTTGCAAGCCAAAAAAAAAGGGAAAGGCTAGGGTGGATGTGTGCATGTGGCAGAAAAGTGGGTGATATGATTTGGATCTATGTCCCCACCCAAATCTCATGTCGAACTGTAATCCCTAGTGTTGGAGGTGGGGCCTGGTGGGAGGTGATTGGATGGATCATGGGGGCAGGTTCTCATAAATGGTTTATCACCATCCCCCTTGGTGCTATTCTAGTAGTGAGATCTAGTTGTTTAAAAATGTGTGGCATTGCTGTCCCAGTACCCACTTGCTCCTGTTCCTGCCACGTAGACACCTGCTCCCGCTTTGCCTTCTGCCATGAGTAAGAGCTCCCTCAGGCCTCCCCCAGAAGCAGATGCTGCATTGCTTCCTGTACAACCTGTGAAACCATGTGCCAATTAAACCTCTTTTCTTTGAAAATTACCCAGTCTCAGATATTTCTTTATAGCAATGCAAGAACAGACTAATACAGTAGGGGTATTCTTTCTTCCTAGATCCACCTCCTGTATTTTCTAGCTGCTATTTTCAGCTCTTCTACGGTCTAGTCAATGTAGAAGATGGAGTAGAAGACAAGAACATTGTTCTGTGACTGATGCAATAGACTTTCTGAGTTTCCATTTCTGAGGACCTCTTACTTCCAGTTTCCTTTCATAGAAAATGATTCATGCTGACAACTGCTTTCTCTGCCACTTCTCACCCCAACCACATCACCTCAGCTTGAAGCTTCAGATGGCCCACCACCACTCTTTAGAAAGACCATTTTGGTGAAGTCCCTTTTAAGACAACCAGAATCTAACCCTTTTTGATGTAATTCACATGCATCCCATAGGAAACGTGTGTTTGTCCCACAGACCCTTATTTCCAACTTTATTATTCATGGTTCTCCAGAAAAAAAATAGAATGTATATGCCCAGAGGGAGACAGAGAGAGAGAGAGACAGAGATTATTAGGAGTTGACTCGTGCAATTATGGAGCTTGAAAAATTCCAAGATCTGTAGTCAGCAAGCTCGAGAACCAGGAAAGTTTCAGTTCATGTCAAACAGCAGGAAAAAAATTGATGTTCCAGCTCAAAGGCAATTACATAAGAGGAATTCCCTCTTACTCACATGAGGGTCCATCTCTTTGTTCTATTCAGGCCTTCTATTGATTGGGTGGAGCCCACCCATCCATTAGGGAGGGCAATCTGCTTTACTTAGTGTACCAGTTCAAATGTTAAACTCATCCAGAAACATTCTCACAGACACACCCAGAATGTTTGACCAAGTATCTAGGAACTCTGTGGCCCAGTCAAGTTAACGTGGAAAATTAACCATCACACCAAGTCTATTCACCCTGCCACCACATGTCCCTTCACCGAGCCTCCTCCTGTTTAGCCATTTTCAGACATGTGACAGGTTCCTGATTCCTCCTGATTCCAGGAGCACATGCCAGGCTCTTTTACCTTGGTATGTGGGTATTAAAGTGCCCCCCTCCCCTGTAGGGGTACATAAAACACTCCTTACACTCTGGCATCTCACAGGGGACAGATATAAGGTGACTCTATGGAGAATTTAATTTAGCTTCAGATTGATATGAAATCCCAAATCCATGGTAGAATAACCAGAATGTCTGTAGTCAAAATCTAGATCAAGAGAAAGAGAGACCAGCCCCCTCATCTGTTACCCCATTCCCAGAGCCTACCCTCTCAGGTCCCATTTCCTAAGGATCTACCAATTCCCCTAGGAATTGAAACAGAGAATTGCTGGCCAGGCGCAGTGGCTCATGCCTGTAATCTCAGCACTTTGGGAGGCCGAGGTGGGTGGATCACTTGAGATCAGGAGTTCGAGACCAGCCTGGCCAACGTGGTGAAACCACGTATCTACTAAAAATACAAAAATCACTAAGGTGTGGTGGTGCACACTTGTAATCCTAGCTACTCAGGAGGCTGAGGTTACATTAGTTACATTGGTTTGGTTCAGAAAGGTGGGACAACTCAAAGAGGGGGCTTCCAGGCAACAGGTAAATGTAAACATTTTCTGGTTGACAATTGGTTGAGTTTATCTGAAGACCTGGGATCAGTAGAAAGGAAATGTTCAGGTTAAGGTAGAGGATTATGGAGACCAAGTTTTATTGTGCAGAGGAAGCTCTCAGATAGCAGACTTCAGAGAGAGAGCAGGTTGTAAAATGTTTCTTATCGGACCTAAAAGGGTACCTGGCTCTTAGTTGATTATTTCCTGGATCTGGAAAGGAAGGAAAGAAAACAAAGGGGAAAGGGGATTCTCTATAGGATTTGGATTTTCCCCACAAGAGACTTTCCAGGGAAATTTCAAGGAATGGCAAGGAAATATATTTTGGGGTTAAATATTTTGATTTTTTTTCTTGTCTCATAATGTTATGCCAGAATCAGATTCAAAAGTCAGTCACAATATATAGGGTCAAATAAAACTCATCTGATGAGAATTTATGGTTTGCAGGGCATGACTCCCTAGACCCCTTAGATAGGAATTTGGGCAAGGTAAAAAAAATCAGAGCTTAGTCCTCACTAGTATTTTGTTAAAATCTGGAAGAGCAAAGTTGAGACCTTGTGGCTGAAGAGTGAAGCAATTCTCTGTTTCTTTTTTTTAAATTTTATTTTTTGAGAAGGAGTTCCACTCATTACGCCCAGGTTGCAGTGGCACGACCTCTGCTCACTGCAACCTCTGCCTCCCAGGTTCAAGTGATTCTCCTGCCTCAGCCTCCCAAGTAGCTGGGATTACAGGCATGCACCAACATGTCTGGCTAATTTTTGTATTTTTAGTAAAGATGGTGTTTCACCATGTTGGCCAGGCTGGTCTCAAGCTCCTGACCTCAAGTGGTCCACATGTCTCAGCCTCCCAAAGTGCTGGGATTACAGGCATGAGCCACCGTGCCCAGCTCTACTGTCCTTTTTGACAACTTCAGTTTTAAAATATCATGCCTAAAACAAACAAACAATTACCAAGTTTATTTTATTTTCAATGTAAGGCTTATTAGACATGATAGCATATTTCCTGAAACATCAATGAAAATAGGATGTTTAGTTTTTCAGATGTTTTGGCCCAATATAAATACAGCTTTATCCAACAATATCAGACCTGGCCATATTTAACCTACCCAATCTGAGTGTATCCTTAAGAAATATGCTTTTACTAAGTGTATTTTTTATTTGTTTGTTTTCAGTTTTTACTTGTTTATTTATTTTAGAGACAGGTTGTCACTCTGTAGCCCAGGCTGGAATGCAGTGGCACAATCATAAGTCACCGCAGCCTTGATCCTCCTACCTCAGCCTCCTGGGTAGCTGGGACTACAGGCGCAGGCCACCATTCTCAGCTGATTTTTTAAAATTTTTTGTAGAGACAGGGTCTTACTATGTTGTCTAGTCTGATCTTGAGCCCCTGGCTTCAAGAGATCCTCCCACCTCAGCCTCCCAAAGTGCTGGGATTAAGGCATAAGCCACCATGCCTGGCCCCCATACTTCTCAAAAACATGGTCCTTATTGCAATATTTTATACTATGTTTAATTCCCAGTATGTTCTGAGATAGAAGTTAAAACCAGGCTTTGATTCTAAATGAAAAAGTTATTTAAAATGATTTTTTTGCAACTGCAATATAGAATTTTCAAGTTAATTCAGAAATTATTAGTTTTTTCTTATTGAAACTTTCTTACTGTGAAATATATCATACCACCATAAGGGTGTATATATGTGTATGTGCCATTTTAAAAAGAAAAATAAAGAAGAATAATAAAAGAATAGCTATGTACCTATCATCCATCTTAAGACATAGAATATTACCAGTACCTCAGAAGTTTCCTTTATGCCTCTAATTATGTCCCTTTTCCTGCCTACCCCTAGGTAACCATACATTGAAGCTTTCTTAGTCATTCTTTGCTTTTATTGTTTTATAATATATGTGTGTCCTTAAGAAATATGTTATCTAATTTTACTTGATTTGCAATTTATATAAATGCAATCACACATATTTAGGTTTGTGTGATTTGCTTTTTTGTTCAACATTACTGAGATTCATCAACCATTGATATATGAAGCTGTAACATTCACTTTTGCTAGTCTGTAATATTCCATTGCATGAGTAGACCACAATTTAGTTATGCATTCTACTGTTGAAGGACAAATGGTCTATTTACAGTGTTTTGTCTCTTCATGGACAATGCTGCTGTAAACATTTTTATTTACATTTCTTGGTGTCCATGTGCACAAGTTTCTCTGGGGTATAAACCTAGAAGTGGAGAGTTTAATTATCATCTAAATAGATTAGTTTCAGTTAGACAGGAGGAAAAAGTATAAGAGACCTATTGTACATAATGGTGACTACAGTTAGTAACAATCCATTGTGGATTTGAAAACTGCTAAGAGAGTAGATTTTAAGTGTCTCACCACAAAAATGTAAGTATGTGAGCTAATGCCTATGTTAAATAGATTGATTTTGTCATTCCATAATGTATATGTCTATCAATACATCATGTAGTATACCATAAATATATACAGTTTTTACTTGCTAATAGAGACAAAGAAAGAAAGAAGAGAAAGAAGAAAGAAAGAAAGAAAGAAAGAAAGAAAGAAAGAAAGAAAGAAAGAAAGAAAAGAAAGAAAGAAATTGGGAATGATTGTATGTGGTGGAAGGAAGGAAGGAAAGAAGGAAGGAAGGGAGGAAAGAAGGAAGGAAGGAGAAGGAAGGAAGGAAGGAAGGGAGGAAAGGAGTGAGGGAGGGAGGGAGGGAGGAGAGAATATCCATGGGGAAAATAGTTATATTAAAAAATCAGGCTAGGCGTGGTGGCCCACACCTGTAATCCCAGCACTTTGGGAGGCCGAGGCAGATGGATCACCTGAGGTCAGGAGTTTGAACCTAGCCAACATGATGAAACCCCATCTCTACTAAAAAAAATACAAAAATTAGCAGGGCGTGGTGCTGTGCACCTGTAGTCCCAACTATTCAGGAGGCTGAGGCAGGGGAATTCCCTTGAACAGGGAGGCAGAGGCTGCAATGAGCCGAGATCGCTCCAGCCTGGGTGACAGAGTGAGACTTCATCTCAATCAATCAATCAATCAATGAAAAATAAAAATTCAAAGCAATTCCAAACTACCGTATTCACAGAACATGTATTTAAGATGATGATGATTTCCTTGCTGAATAATGATATAATAGGGAGTGCTTATGCTGTGCTTACTGTTTTGGCTTCAAAATATTATTATTATCACCAGCCCCATAAGAAGACATTCCAAGACACTTAAAACAAGTCTCTAGGTTTTTCCACCTAGGAAGCAAAATCTGGAAGGATGGGAAATTCAGTGAAGTGGTTTACCAAGTGATGGTAAATATTCGACAAGTGATATTATAGAAAGAACTGAAATCTCACTACTACCAGGAAGAATATGAGCTGGACAGGTACAAAAAAAGCTTGCCCTCTAAAGTGCCTCTTATAGATTTACAGATGGCTGTGTGATCTTGGGCAAATCAGGTAATCTCATGGGATCTCAGTTTTTATGTCCAAAAAATATGAAGTTCTGATTTGATGACCTCCAGGTCACTTCCCTCTCTAAAATTCCGATTCAGTAATTGCAGAATACTTTTGGAAATGACAGTTTTGCACGCCCCCTAGTGGTTCCCCTTCTGGTCTTGCAACTAGAGAAACCAGCTTAAAATGGTGGTTATTGCCTCAAATCCCTGAGCAAAACATTTTAGGCATTATAATTTTAAAAATAGTAAAAAATTAAGGCTTTTTGTGAAGTTACTACAATTTTTGAAAACACACGTAAATGAAAAATTATTTTTCTCAGATAAGAATTAACATTTCGTCTTAGCAATCGTGTCTTTTAGCTGTACGCTTAAAATTTTTGCATTTACTTTTTCTGTAAATGCAACTCACTTTCAATAAAAAGTGAAGAAAAAAGGTTCAGCGCTTCTGCTCCTAAGATGAAAAAACAAATTTACTGATGCATTACAGTACAACTAAATTAATGTCATTAATCATCATATAAATAGATCAAAGACTAGAGAATTCCTGAGGATTAAACAAAATAACTTACGTAGTACTCAACCCATAGGAGGCTTTCAAAATGGGTTAAATGGGTATGACTATGAATCTGAAAAAGAAAACACTTTTTTTTTCAGTTGGAGTCTGAGGTTTCTAGTAGATTAAAGAGAATGGCATTGATCTACTTTGTAAAATTCTTGGAAACAGACTTAACTACTTTAAGATTGAGTTTCTTTATTTGCAAGGAAGGAATGAAAATTCTTGATGTCTGTTGAAATGCCAGGGACATCATAAAGATTAGTGAGTTGAACGTTGGTAAAGAATATCATGTTCCTTAGAAGAGTAGTGCTATATAAAGACTTGGTTCAGTACCACGCGAAACTGGCTACAAGGGCACTATGAAATGTACTCTATGCCATTTTTAAAATAGAGTATAAAATCATATCAAGACAAATAGCCCTGCTCACAAAATTATAAAGTGTCATTTTTCTTCAAAGAGATGAAAATAAGAAAAATGAAGACTCCTATCACTGAACTTCAACACAAAATTAATATACAAAAGAATCAAGTTCTGAGTCCTGAATGTTTTAGTTCCTTCAGCGTTTTAGTGAATAAATATAAAATAAGTTTAATTACATAAAAATACTTTGACAGACGTTTTCACCTTTTTATTTTCTTTTTTATGGTTGTTGTTTCCTTTTTTTTTTTTTTTGAGATGGAGTTTCATTTTCATTCTTGTTGCCCAGGCTGGAGTGCAATGGTGCGAGCTTGGCTCACTGCAACCTCCGCCTCCCGGGTTCAAGCGATTCTCCTTCTCAGCCTCCCGAGTAGCTGGGATTGCAGGCATGCGCCACCATGCCCGGCTAATTTTTGTATTTTTAGTAGAGACGGGGTTTCTCCACGTTGGTCAGGCTGGTCTCAAACTCCCGACCTCAGGTGATCCACCTGCCTCAGCCTCCCAAGGTGCTGGGATTACAGGAGTGAGCCACCATGCCGGGCCTTTTGTTTCCTTTTCAATAGTAGAGCTACCCTAAGAAATCTTTTTCTGTGGTCTCTTGTCTGTTCATCTGATTTTCCTAGAGACAGCCCAAATGAGTGAAAAACAATGGGCTTCAGCCAGGAATGGTGGCGCTCGCCTGTAATCCCAGCAGTTTGGGAGGCCAAGCCAGGAGATTTGCTTGGGCCCAGGAGTTCAAGACCAGCCTGGGCAACAGAATGAGACCCTGTCTCAACAGCAACAACAAAATTAGCTGAATGTGGTGGCATGTACCTGTAGTCCCAGCTACCTGGGAGGCTGAGGTGGGAGGATCACTGGAGCCCAGGAGATCCAGGCTGCAGTGATCCATGATCATACCACTGCACACTCCAGCCTGGTAAAAAGAGCAAGACTCTGTCTCAAAAAAAAAAAAAAAAAAGAAAGAAACAAAAGAAAAAGAAAGAGTGGGCTTCAAGTTAGAGAAACTAAACTTTAACTCTGGCTCTGCCTCTTAAGTAGGAGTGAGCTTGGGCAAGCCAATTCAGCTCTCTAAGACACGTTCTTTTCTATAAAATGGGAGCTTTTGATAATAGCAGCAGCTCTTCCTCTCCCACAGTGATGATTAAGTGAAAGTGTGTAACTTTTCTTTAGGAACAGTAATTTCCAAATGTTAATGACGGTTTTTCATATCTTTGTTCCTTTTTGTCTATACAAACCTATCAATCTTGACTTTATCAATTATTAAGTCTCGATGATTTTACTCCAAAACTCTCATATCCAGCTCTTCTCTGTAACCCACCTCTGCTGCCGTAGATTCTATAGGAACCATTGTCATTCACCACCACATCACCCCCTCACTCCCTTCCCCCAGCTATTGCTAGGCTCGAATCAAACTACCCTCACATCAGGGTGAAATTTCTCATGGGCAAATGTAACCATGCCTCCCCAGTGCTTGGTATTCATTATGGCTCCCAGTCACCTACAGAATAAAATCTCAAATTTTTCACCATTTGGCCCTGCCTACCTGTTCAGCAAGCTTCATTTTCTGCGGGCTCTTTTTTGCCCTTCACAGACTCATAATTCCAAGATTGTTTTTTTCCTGCCTTTCTGCATTTGCACACTTACTCCTCCCGCCTAGACTGTCCTCCTCCCACTCAGCATCTCTAGTACAATTTTTCTGCAGAATCTTTTCATTCATTGCTAGCAAAATCCTACTTACTCCTCACATCTCAGTTCAAAATGTCCCCTTTTCACATGCTCCTTTCCCACTCTGTTTGCATCTTCTCTATGGTTCTTCATTGTACTTGCTGTGTCCCTGTTAGACCTTTGATACCTAAAGAGGGTTGATCATGTCTTTTTATGTTGCCATCTCCAGCTCCAGCACAATGCCCGCACCTAGTAAACACTTAACAAACACTTAACAATATCTCTTTGTTGCATGAGTAAATATTTTTTAGTATTCTTAACCCCTGGGCTGGTTTCATTTTATCTATCTTATTTTTCTATTTTCACAGGATTTAATCATTTATGTATACCAGTTTAGCATCTTTCTTTTGATATTCGTATAAGTAGTTATAATAACCTTATCTTGGGGCATCATTACTGTATCAAATACATTATTGCTGAAGTCAGGACTTTTGTAATTAAAAGGAACAGATAATCACTTAAGCTAACTCAAGGGAAGGAAGGGCTGCGGCTGTGGGTATTTTTAAGACACTGCAGTGATCCTGTGGTGATCCAAGCACAGGAAGCCTCATGGGAAATGGGGCTGGTACAGAGCAGCTTTTTCATCTCTTGTCATGTTGTGGCATCTTTCTATGCACGTGCTCTAGTGTTTTTCGCTGAGCTCCATCTGTTTTCAATTTCCTGGTAACTTGCCTGTGAATTTTGGCTATCATTCAAGTCCCTGACGTCCTTTCACTCTGCCTCACTATGTCCTCCCTTTTTCTCAAATTTCAGATCCATAAGGGAGAACTCTAATTGACCCAGTTCATCTATTTGGGCCAAGCCACAGTCATTCATTCATTTATCAAATATTTACGGAACACCTAATATGTGCCAAGGACTCATCTCGATGCTGGGGTAAAGACAGTGAAAAAGACAGATAAACATGTCTGCCCTCATGGAGTTTACATTCTATCCACCACAATCAAGTCACTGAACTGGCAGTACGTAGGCCAGACGCTATCTTTTGACATCATCACCCAGGGTGGAAGTGGAGAGGCAGGGTCATGTGGCATAAAACATGGCCACTTGGTCAGCAAAGGTGGGCAGGGCAGATTCCACAAAAGGAGGTGTGGGCAGGCATGGAGGGACTTTGGCACAATTTTAGTTTGAATTTTCTCTATATTATTCAGAATTCCCTTAATTTATTCTCCTTGCTTCCTATATGTCTCATATATGGCTTTAAAAACATTATTTAAATCATACCTTCCTTGATTCATGCAAGGACGTCATGATATCCGAACACATTGTTACATCTTCTAAGTAGGTGTAATCTTGAAAAGTAATTTGAAAGACTTTGCCTTAAGAAAAATCTAAAATTTGAAATGTTTTTCAATGCCTAAAGAGCACATTCCAAGGCAGGATGGTTAACCTTCTACTTTTAATTTAATTGTCTTGGCTCACTTTGCAAGTACCAGATGTTGTTATTCCCATTTATATCTTGTAGTTAGGGAGAAAAAGAAATGACTTTAGAAGCCTTTAATAACAAACCCTAAACTCCATTAAAGTCTATCTTTCTGTGTGAATCTGCGTTTCTAGGATCACTGTGTGCACAGGTGCAGGTCTATATGTCTGTGCACAAGTCAACGTGGCATAGTATTTTCACTGTCTCTTGATATGTCTGTCTTTATTCCTTTGTTCATCTTTTTCTCCTCTACCTCTCCATTTTTTCTCCCTTCTCTTCCCTCAGCCCCCAAGTCTGTTTGTCTCCCTCAACTAACTATGATATAGAATTGAAATCAATGTTTCAGTACTGGTGCCACCACTTCACTGGTTTGCAATGATAGATAAGTACCCCAAGACTAAATTACCATTTGGTAGTATGCCCAAAATTCAGTTAGCTGCCAACAGGTGAGAAGTAATGACTCAGCCATAGGCCCAAATGGCAAGGCTTCTTACGGGACTAGCTCCCACCAAAAATATACCCTTTCACTTACAACTCCATAAGTTACTGAAATGCATAAATGCATTATGTGAAATTCATAATGATGGTGCTCACGTATTTTTTATTAGAAAATGGTCACAATGTATGACAGTATCAAGAAAATCTAACACCCTTCTACAGTCAAGAACTTTTCTCATTAGACTTAACTATAATCAAATACTCTCCTCAATAATCCTCTATTTCAACTAGCCCAGGGTTACTCAGGCCTACACAGATTAAATTTGCCATAAATCTCTTCAAATCAAAAGTCTACAAGGGTCCTGGCTCCAGGACTATGGGACTTTGGACCAATTTATCATAAATAAACTCTTGTTGGTAGTTTTCACTCTGCTTTTATTTTTATTTTAATTTTATGTAAGTATTCATTTATTTATTTGAGATGAAGTCTTGCTCTTTCACCCAGGCTGGAGTACAGTGGTGCGATCTCGGCTCACTGCAACGTCCGCCTCCCGGGTTCAAGCGATTCTCCTCCCTCAGCCTCCCGAATAGCTGGGAGTACAGGTGCCTGCCACCATGCCTGGCTAATTTTTGTATTTTTAGTAGAGATGGCGTTTCACCATATTGGCGAGGCTGGTCTCGAACTCCTGACCTTGTTTGCTGCCGGCCTCAGCCTCCCAAAGTGCTGGGATTACAGGCGTGAGCCACCCCGCCCGGCCTCGTTATTTATTTTTTATTTTATTTATTTATTTATTTATTTTGAGATGGAGTTTCACTCTTGTTGCCCAGGATGGAGTGCAATGGCCCAATTTCGGCTCACGGCAACCTCCACCTCCCGGGTTCAAGCAATTCTCCTGTCTCAGCCTCCTGAGTAACTGGGATTACAGGCATGTGCCACCATGCCCGGCTAAGTTTTATATTTTCAGTAGAGACGGGGTTTCTCCATGTTGGTCAAGCTCGTCCCCAGCTCCTGACCTCAGGTGATCCACCCACCTCGGCCTCCCAAAGTGCTGGGATTACAGGTGTGAGCTACCCTGCCCGGCCTATTTATTTATTTTTAAAGATAGAGTCTCATTCTGTTGCCCAAGCTAGAGTGCAGTGGCGAGATCTTGGCTCACTGCTTCCACCTCCAGAGTTCAAGCTATTCTCCTGCCTCAGCCTCCCAAGTAGCTAAGACTACAGGCGCCTACCACCACGCCTGGCTAATTTTTGTAATTTTAGTAAAGACATGGTTTCACCATGTTGCCCAAGCTGGTCTCAAACTCCTGACCTCAGGTCTCCTGACCTCCTGCCTCGGTCTCCCAAAGTGCTGGGATTACAGGCATGAGCCACTGCACCCGGCCTAATTTTTTTAATCTTTGAGACATGGTCTTGCTTTGTCGCCCAGGCTGGGGTGTGTTGGAACAATCGCAGCTCACTATAGCCTCGATCTTCTGGGCTCAAGCAATACTCCTGCCTCAGCCTCCCAAGTAGCTGGGACCACAAGTGTGTCCCACCATACCTGGTAAATTTTTCTTTTTCTGTAGAAATGGGGTTTCACCATGTTGCCAAGGCTGATCTCAAACTCCTGGCCTCCAGTGATCCACCCACCTCGGCCTCCCCAAGTGCAGGAGGATACAGGCATAAGCCACTGCACCTGACCACTCTGCCTTTTTAAATTTTTATTTATTTTTTTTTTGAGACAGTCTCTCTCTGTTGCTCAGGCTGGAGTGCAGTGGTGCAATCTCAGCTCACTGTAACCTCTGCCTCCCAGGTTCAAATGATTCTCGTGCCTCAGCCTCCCGAGTAGCTGGGATTACAGGCGTGAACTACCATGCCTGGATAATTTTTGTATTTTCAGTAGAGACAGGGTTTTGCCATGTTGGTCAGGCTGGTTTTGAACTCCTGGCCTTAAGCAATCCACCCGCCTCAGCTTCCCAAAGTGCTGGGATTATGGGTGTGAGCCACAGCACTCGGCCTACTCTGCTTTTAAACTCCAAGTGGATCTATAACGGTTTGCTTACAAATTGTAGAAAGCCAGCATTCATTACGTTCTCTAACTCTCCCTGTTCCTTCTGACCTCATCTCTTTGATCTTATAGCAAAAGTGTATGGCAGCAAGAACAGGGACAGAGGAGACAATGTTTTAGCATGATCTAGACTTGAATAAAAATCCTAGGATGATCCTTTTTCAGTCAAAAGGCAATTCTACAACTGTTGACTAACTTCATCTGATTCCTTCCACACTAGTAATTGAATGTATACCTACACTTGCTGTGTATATATTATTGACTCATTTCAAACAACTTTAATAACATTATAACACCTTTTAAAAAAACTTGCTTCTTAGTGTGACACAATCTTGAAGTGATATTAGACATTACCCTCTTGTTCTAAAATATTTCTGTAACACGTTAAACTAACAAGAGTTTTTTTTTTTTTTTTTTTGAGACGGAGTTTTGCTCTCGTTGCCCAGGCTGCAGTGCAATGGCACGATCTTGGCTCACCGCAACCTCTGCCTCCTCGGTTCAAGCGATTCTCCTGCCTCAGCCTCCCTAGTAGCTGGGATTACAGGCATGTGCCACCACGCCCGGCTAATTTTGTATTTTTAGTAGAGACGGGGGTTTCTCCATGTTGGTCAGACTGGTCTCGAACTCCCGACCTCAGGTGAACCACCCACCTCGGCCTCCCAAAGTGCTGGGATTACAGGCATGAGCCACCATGCCCGGCCAACTAATGACAGTTTTAAAACAATTTGTTCAATTTTTCAACAAACATTTATTGAGTCCCCACTTGTGATAGGCACTAAGCGTATACCTGAGTACAACAGATAAGAATCTTGATCTCATGGAGCTTACATTCTAGTGAAGATGGAGAAGACATAACAAAATAACTAACAAGTATGCAGTATGCAAAAAGATGAAGTGCTATAGAGAAAAAAAATGAGAAAAGGCAGATAGGAAGTTGGAATTGCAGTACAAAATAAGATGATCAGATAGGCTGAGTCTTTTGAGATAGTTGTGTATTTTCTATTCTTGATTTCAAAAGCAGAGAAATGTCCATTTATAATCCTCCTAGTATAAAAAGGTAACTTACTATTTTTAATTGCTCTTGAACTTAAATGCTCTTATTAAGTATCTTTGTGTTGGATCTTCTGCCAGAAAATAAATAAATAAATAATACATAAATAAATAAACTAAACCAGAGCTTAGGTTTTGCTGGTTGTCTGCAGCTGCTTCAATTTATCAACTTAGCAACATTCTACTTTCTGAATTGACTGGCAATTTTGGGCATCAGAAGACATGTACCTAAGAGTTGATAATTCCAGAGAAAGAGAGTACTCTAGATTGTCTGAGACCAAAAAACTCTGGTGAAGCTGTCTGATTTTAGTCATGTCAAGTTAATGCAGAAAATTCTTGTATTTCATGTTGTCCATTTCACATACAACAGATAACAACACTAACCTACTATAACTGTAGTTTAAATTGCTTTCAAGCATATGAGAATGGGTTTAGGTTCTCTATTTCTGTTGCTTTCCTGCCTTTTTTTGTGTACCTTCCTTTTTTTTTTTCCTCTCACCTTGAAAAAACCTCTACTGAGTACCTACTTACCAGCCAAGTAGATATGGGACATCACTTCAGCTTCTATTAAACCAAATCAGTGGTGCTTAACCCTGGCTGTGCACTGGAATCATCTTTTAAAATTACTCATGTCTGGGCCCTGATTCCAGTTAAACCAGAATTTCCAGGGGTGGGACCCAGGCATGAGTACTTATTCATTTATTTACTTATTTTGCAATCAATCATGTTTTCATTTTCTTCTTTCTTTTTCCCTTCCTGTACACCTTCTTTCTCTCTTTTGTCTTTCATTCGTTCACATATGCCTCATATATATTTATAATTTTAAAGATATGCCATTATACTCCACATTATGATTTTTTAAAAATTCCAATTACATAAAAGATTCCAATGCACAGTTTAGGCCAACAATCCCCGAACTTAGCCTACAGGCCCTCAGCAGCCTCCCACCCAGCACCACTGAGGGTGTCCTCAGGAAATCAATCAGTACTTTGTTACCTCTGTGGGGACTTCAGCTTTCACCTCATTCTCTTATTCTTTCAACTCCTTTCCTCCCTCTCCTTTACTTCTTACCCTTCTTGTCTGCTTCTGCCTGAGGCCTGCTGACAGTACCTGCTAACACTGTTTAGCCCTATTGGTGGCCAGCATTAGGTTAGGTTTTCAGCCCCTGTTGCAAAACAGATCTAGTTACCTGGAGATTGCTCACTCATCACTTCTGCGGCTGCTTCTGTGGTTCTCTGGGGCCTCTCCACACCTGCCAGGCTGGCTGCTCTTCATGGCTGGTGCTGCCATGGGCCAACCCCAGGATGGCATGCTTTGACCCTCAGAATTCCCGTCTAAGAAGTGCTATCAGAGCATGTGTGTATGCTCTCACTGCGGCAGGTAAGGCATTTAATCATCATCTGGCCCTTTTCCTCTTTGCCATCTCACTTCCCACTATCACCACCACAGTACTCCCCGGCTGCCATAAACACACGTCACCTTATGTGTGCTATTATGTTTCCCTAGATAAAACCTTTCCTGAATCTGGAAAACTGCATATTCATTCTGCAGAATCCTAACTCAGCTGTTACTCCCCTAAGAAGCCTTCTCCAATCTCCTTGATCACAGTGTTGTTCACATTGTATCCTGCTGGCTTGTGTGTTTATGTTCCTGGCTCCTCCCTAGGCTCAAGGCAGAGGCTGGCTCTTTATTCTAAATGTCTTTAAATAGATAACAGCTTTTCAGTAAACGTTGAATGGAGGAAAATGTGAATAGACCCAAGGAACGTACATGGCAAACTACAGTTAGCTTGTAGACCACATCTGGCCCATCGCTTGTTTTGGTATCTAGAGTTTTATTGAAATACAGCTACACACATTTGTTTATGTATTCTGTGGTTGCTTTAGTGCTACAAGGCCAGAGACGAACAGTTGCAACAGAGACCGTGTGGCCCACAAAAGGCAAAAATATTTACTCTCCAGCCCTTTCCTGAAAAAGTTTGCTGACCTCTGATCTAAAAGAAACCTGAGAAGTCTCCTACAGTAACATATCCAGTAGAAAGATAATACAAGCCATCCAGTTAATTTTAAATTTGCTTGTAGCCACATTAAAAAAGAAAAAAAACTGGTAAAAATTATTTTAGTAATATGTTTTATTTAATCCAAAATATCCAAACATTATCATTTCAACATGCAATTAATATAAAAATTGTTTTGTAGTGAGATATTTTACATTCTTGGTGTGGTACTAAGTCTTTGAAATCCAGTGGGTATTTTACACTTACAGAACATGTTAATTTTGACTAGTTTCACTGTAAGTGCTCCATAGTTACATGTGTGGCTAGTGACTATCTTACTGGGCACTTCTAGATCAAATCCATCAGGTTATAGTTGAAGAAATTGGTCCAGAGAGAGTAAAAGTTTAATCTAATGTCACATTTAGTAGCAAAATTGGGCATTAAACCTGGCTGTCTTCATTCCTAGCAAAGTGCTCCACTGTCACATCATACTAACTTTGGCCTTATTGTTTGTTCACTAGAAGAGATATGATAAGAAGATCTAGTTCCTAATTCCGTACAAGCATTAATAAGTTGTGTGATTTTAGGATATTTCTTAGCTTCTCAGGATTTTCATTTCCTCATCTGTAAAATAAGAGCACTCAACTCACTAAAACTTAAAGGTTTTAAAATTTGAATGGTATATGACAAATCAAACATGTTTGGTTTACAAACCAGAACACACTGCAGTTATTTTGCCTGAGAATTCTTTTCCTAAGAAGCTGTGTGCAAATATGAATTCATGGCTATGTTGACTGTCAGCATAACTTGAGGAATGCTCTCAGAGGCCAGATTTCTGATGGACAATCCATTCACATCGACATTTTAGTAATAAGGACCAAGAGATTTGGAAATGATCCAAGAAGGTCTTCACTGAGGAGTGAAAGAGCAAAGAAGGGACTGGTGTTAG
Organism: Homo sapiens; assembly: GCF_000001405.40. NCBI lineage: Eukaryota > Metazoa > Chordata > Mammalia > Primates > Hominidae > Homo > Homo sapiens. The sequence continues at coordinate 79,545,888 of NC_000005.10, read as the reverse complement.
GGCCCATATGGGACAGTGGAATGGCTTCCTCTCTCTGCTAAGCAGCACCAGTGTCTGTCACAGGCAACAGGGCCAGTGAAAGGAAATGAAGCTGGCATATCTTAAGAAATTAGAGGATAGAAAACTGTGACAAAGATTAGATAATCAGATTTGATTATCTATTTATTTATTTATTTATTTGAGACAGGGTCTCACTCTGTTGTCCGGGCGGGAGTGCAATGGCACGATTTTGGCTCACTGCAGTCTCAATTTCCTGGGCTCAGGAGATCTTCCCACCTCAGCCTCCTGAGTGGCCGGGACCACCAGGCATGTGCCAGCACGCCCAGCTAATTTTTTTTGTATTTTTTATAGAGATAGGGTTTTGCCATGTTGCCCAGGTTGGTCTCAAACTCCTGGGCTCAAGCAATCCGCCCGTCTAGGCCTCCCGAAATGCTGGGATTAGCCACTGTGCACAGCTTTTGTTTTGTAAATAGTAAATATTGTAACAGAATCAATGGCTTTATTAAATTTGTACTCAAACCACAGAAGAAATGTAACAATGTAGGAGAAAGACACACCGAAATGGAGAAATGGAGGTGGGCAGGCACCAAAAACAAATGTGCTTTTTAAAAAAAGTTTGCCTAAGATTCATTGTGTTCACTTTAAAACCCATTTACACCTTTCCCCTTCCTCTTAACAGAAACATTGCTTTCCTTCAGGGACTGGAGAAGATTGCAGTATAAGGCAAAAGTATGGGCTTTGGAGTTAGACAGACTTGAATATGAACCCTAGATCCTCCTGTAAAAATTATATGGCCTTGGCACAAGTTCGTGCCTCCGTTTCCTCCTCTGTAACATGTGCATAATAATAGTACTTACCTCACAGGATAGAAGATTAAATGATTAAATGAGGCAGTATATGAAAAGTTCTTAGTACAGTGGGTATCACATAGTAAGTTCTAAATTAACCTTAGCTATTAGTCTCATTCTGAAAATAGGTTTCAAGAGGCAGGAGAAAAACTGCCAGTGTGCTATATCCACAGCTGGCTATAGGTGAATCAGAACCGGTCCATCATGTTTATGGAAATGGTGGTATAAATTAAATTGTGTACATGTAAATTAGTGCAACTCTAGAGCATTCCAAGGGAATCTGACTGTGCCACTGACTCCTCTGTTATAAATGCCTCCAGATAGTGACTGGGCAGCTGGACATGAAGGTAAGGAGTCTCCCAGGGAATTCTGCCAGACATCTTGCTTTTGTTACCTGATAGGTACGTTCTTCAGAATTCTAAAACGGAATTTTGTTTCTTTATGGCAGTATTTCATGTCTATAAGCGTGTGCATTGCTAACTGACTTCAGAATGGTTTTGTTACCTTTCATCTTTCTGGAAAAAAATGACACAACAGTTTAAGTGACTTCAAGTTTACATCTTGTGTAGGAGAATTTGCCTTCCAGTACCGAATGACTTTATAAAACAAAACTTGTGCATTTGTGCAGCCAGCAGAGGTGGGTTCCGTCCCAGCCGACTCATCTACCACGCTTCCTGCAAGATGGATTCAACTCAGCATATTTGCAATCACTGGCCAAAGACCAAGGAGACAGCCCTGGGGATTTCTTCCTGGGACACTTCTCAAGGAAAACTCAGTTCCTTAGATAGAACAGCAGATTTATTTTGAACCAACTGTCAGCTATAATTGAACTAGGAGACTACCCTTTTTCCTGTAATTTAGAGTATTTAAAAGAAATACACAATAATAACTACATCCAACACTTACGTAGCACTTACTGGCCACCACTATTCTGACTATTTTACTTTTATTAACTCATTTAATCTTAACAACCCTATGAAGCCCATACTGCTATTATCGTCATTCTCATTTAACAGATAAGGAAACTGAAGGACAATGATGTTAAATAACTTGTCCAAGACTACACAGCAAGTAAGAAGCAGAGCCTGAGATCGAGCCTAGGCAGTCTGGCTCCAGTTTGTGCCTTTATTTCCCTGTGCCACCATCTACAAGTTAAGAAGTGCCTTTTTAATTTTTGGCCAATGTTTTTGATGGGACTGCAAGTATGTAGAATTTAATGACTATTTTATTTAATAAAATTATGTATAATACTTGACTTTGATACTAAGTCAATTTGTACTTTTTCAGGACTTCTAAGTTGTTAGTTCTTTGATAAAATGATTATAGGATTACAATACATTTTATTTTGTGAATAAAGAATGAGAAACAGGCTGGGCACAGTAACTCATGTGTATAATCCTAGCACTTTGGGAGGCCAAGACTAATGGATTGCTTTGAGCTCAAGAGTTTGAGACCAGCCTGGGCAACGTGGCAAAACTTCATCTCTACAGAAAATACAAAATTAGCCGGGTGTGGTGGCACGTGGCTGTGGTCCCAGCTACTTGGTAGGCTGAGGCTGGAGAATTGCTTGAACCCAGGAGGTGGAGGTTGCGTTGAACCGAGATCACGCCACTGCGCTCCAGCCTGGGTGACAGACCAAAACCCTGTCTCAAAAAAAAAAAAAAAAAAAGAATGAGAAAGATGAGAAGGTGCACTCCTGCTTCCTCTCATCTTCATGTGAAATTCACAGTCATCCCTCAAAACCAGTGTATACACATCACCTCTCATGTGAGGCCTTCAGTTGTAGAGTTAATTACTTCTGCTACTGTTACAGCTTATATACATATCTATAATTATACTAATCACACTGCATTGTAATTATTTGTGTATCTCATTTATGACCTATGCTTGACAGGAAAGCCTGAAGATAGGATCTATGTTTTATTCATGTGTGCATTTGTGTAATAAAGTCAACAAATTTTAATTGAACTGTATTTGAGGAAAAATCCTTATATTTAAATGGATTTCTTTTTTTTTTTCTTTTTTTTTTTTTTGAGATGGCATCTCACTCTGTTGCCCAGGCTGGAGTGTCAGTGGCGTGATCTCGGCTCATTGCAACCTCCACCTCCCGGGTTCAAGCAATTCTCCTGCCTCAGCCTCCAGAGTAGCTGAGATTACAGGTGCCCACCACCATGCCCGGCTAATTTTGTATATTTGGTAGAGACGGGGTTTCACCATGTTGGCCAGGCTGGTCTCAAACTCCTGACCGCAGGTGATCTGACTGCCTCAGCCTCCCAAAGTGATGGGGTTACTAAATGGATTTCTTTTATTTGAAGTGTTTTTATTCAGCTGATCATGCAGATTTAACATGAGAGAAATTTCTGGAAGTATATGATCACTGATGGCTACTCATAAAATTTTTCTTATTTGAAATACTGTGCGTGCAAAACTATGGAATAACTTAGCTGTATTCATACTAAAGAACTGTAGCCTTTACAACATGAAATATTTACAATCCATTCTTCTAACATTAATAACTCTACCATTTAGCTGGGCGCAGTGGCTCACGCCTGTAATCCCAGCACTTTGGGCGGCTGAGGCGGGCAGATCACGAGGTCAGGAGTTGGAGACCAGCCTGACCAACATCGTGAAACCCCGTCTCTACTAAAATACAAAAATTACCCAGGCGTAGTGGTGCGCGCCTGTAATCCCAGCTACTCAAGAGGCTGAGGCACGAGAATCACTTGAACCTGGGAGGCGGAGGTTGCAGTGAGCCAAGATTGCGCCACTGCGCTCCAGCCTGGGTGACGGAGCGAGACTGTGTCTCAAAAAACAAAACAAACAAAAAAATTCTACCATTTATTCTAAAATTACATTTATTTACCATTTATTCTTAAATCTTATTGAGTCTAAGTTTTAAAGAGTTATGTGGAGCAGACGCAGTGGCTCATGCCTACAACCCAGCACTTTGGGAGGCTGATACAGGCATATCTCTTGAGCCCAGAAACTCGAGACCAGCCTGGGCAACATAGCGAAACCCCTTCTCTACAAAAAACACAAAAAGTAGCCAGGTATGGTGGCATGCACCTGTAGTCCCAGCTACTCAGGAGGCTGAGGCAGGAGGATTCCTTGAGCCCAGAAAGAGGAGGTTGTATTGAGCCATGATCTCACCACTGCATTCCAGCCCGGGCAACAGAGGAATACTCCATCTCAAAAAATAAAAATAAAAATTAATGAGCAAATACACATCAGATTTTAGTGGAACAAGCAGCACAGCGCTGCAGCTCAATTATACACATAGAAACAAATACATTTATGTAACAGCTTATATTTCACCACTTAAGCACTGCTTTTTATAAGAATGAAAGTAAAGTAATACATTGCATAATCTTTGATTAAAATTAGTTGAAAACCAATATGGTTCTAACATGCTGTAATTCACCTAGCAGCTGATATTAACAATGAATTTTTTTAAATCCCAAATTTATGTAATTTCTGCTACTAAGCATATTTACATGGCCTGAATTAAAACAGAACTTAAGCTTATGCTACTTCTAACTGGCTTCCTGAGTTTAATATAAGAGCTCTTTTCAATTAAAAATTTTTTGGATCAAGATTTATAATTTATTTTGCCATTCTAAGATAATACAGTTTCATACATTTAAATTATAAACATGTTGGTGTTCACAATGTTTTTAATATAAGCATTATGAATCTTGGAACTCAGATTCCCTAGGGGGCTTTTAGGAACTTGTAGTAAATATTTAATAGAGGATATGAGCTTTCTTTTTTATTTTAATCTTTATTTTTCCAGAAGGGGATATTATTTAATCTATCCATATTTACTCTATATTCCTGTAAGATAACGCCACTAGGGATGTAGTGGACTTATGGAATCTAACGTCCGAATTCTCAAAGGCTCGTTATATTTTGAATGTTTGCCTTAAATGGGATATTGCAGAGTCTGTTGAACAAACAGAAGCAATTAGTCAAAGGATGTCGAAAGAACAATGTTTTTTTCCTTTTCTTTATTTCTTTCTTTCTTTTTTTTTTTTTTTATTTTTTTGAAACAGGGTCTTGCTCTATCACCCAGCCTGGAGTACAGTGGCACAATCTCGGCTTACTACAACGTCTACCACCCGGTTTCAAGTAATTCTCCAGCCTCAGCCTATCAAGTACCTGGGGCTACATGCATGTGCCACCACACCTGGCTAATTTTTTGTATATTTAGTAGAGACAGGGTTTCACCATGTTGCCCAGGCTGGTCTCGAACTTCTGAGCTCAAGTGATCCACTAGCCTTGGCCTCCCAAAGTGCTAGGATTACAGGTGTGAGCTACCACACCTAGCCTACAATTTTTTTTCTTATGCTACGTTTACAACTAATTGTAAAGATTTCTAAGAATTAATCTAGAAGCAAACTGGTTTTGCAAATTAAGTATTGGAGAATTTTTTTCTTCATGTACAATCTTTGAGATGTAAAAAGAAGCTATTATTTTCATGGAGTCATCTTGTCTAAAAAAAGTTTGTGTTGTTTTTAAATGTGTGGTTTGCTCTATTTTAAAACAATAATAATGGGAAATTTTATTTTATTTATTTTTATTTTTATTTTTTATTATTTATTTTGAGACCAAGTTTCACGCTTGTTGTCCAAGCTGGAGTGCAATGGTGTGATCTTGGCTCACCGCAACCTCCACCTCCCGGGTTCAAGCGATTCTCCTGCCTCAGCCTCTCAAGTAGCTGGGATTACAGGCATGTGCCACCACACCTGGCTAATTTTGTATTTTTAGTAGAGATGGGCTTTCTCCATTTTGGTCAGGCTGGTCTTGAACTCCCAATCTCAGGTGATCCACCTGCCACAGCCTCCCAAAGTGCTGGGATAATAGGCATGAGCCACTGCGCCCGGTCTTGTTTTATTTTTTGAGATGGTCTTATTTTATTTTTTGAGATGGAGTCTCACTCTGTCGCCCAGGCTGGAGTGCAGTGGTACTATATCGGCTCACTGCAGCCTCCGCCTCCCAGGTTCAAGCAATTCTCCTGCCTCAGCCTCCCGAGTAGCTGGGATTACAGGCGCACATCACCATGCCTGGCTAAATTTTGTATTTTTTGTTTTTTTGAGATGGAGTCTCATTCTGTAGCCCAGGCTGGAGTGCAGTGGCGCAAACTCGGCTCACTGCAAGCTCTGCCTCCCGGGTTCACACCATTCTCCTGCCTCAGCCTTCCAAATAGCTGGGATTATAGGCGCCCGCCACCATGCCCAGCTAATTTTTTTTTTTTTTTTTTTTTTTTTTTTTTTTTTGTATTTTTAGTGGAGACGGAGTTTCACCATGTTAGCCAGGATGGTCTCGATCTCCTGACCTGTGATCCACCCGCCTCGGCCTCCCAAAGTGCTGGGATTACAGGCGTGATAAATTTTGTATTTTTAGTAGAGACGGGGTTTCACCATGTTGGCCAGGCTGTTCTCAAACTCCTGAACTCAAGTGATCCACCTGCCTTGGCCTCCCAAAGTGCTGGGATTTCAGGCTTGAGCCACTGCACCCAGCCAATAATAGGGAATTTTTAAAGTCACCCGTAATCTCACCATCCTAACAAAATAAAATTTCATTATTTTATGTTTCTGCATCAGATTCGTTTTGCATGTTGCTAGACAGTCTATAGCATTACAATTTTAATAAACTCATAGTTCCTCTCTCTTTCTCCCTCTCTCTCTCTCTCTCTCTATATATATATATATATATATATTCAGTCATCAATCAGGCATTTTTATCAAGTATGTAAATGGACGAACACAGGAAAACAAGGGAAGGCAATCATTTGTCTTTGAAATGGCTGAATCTTTTAATATCTCCCTTTGCAGACAATCCACACTCTTCATGCTTTGCTTCTGACAGGAAATAACAAAGCTAGCCTTGGTCATTACCAGTACTACCTTTCGTGCAAGTCCAAGTTGACCTTGTTCAACCTACATTCTAGCCATTTTAGTTGATTTCTCTCTGGGGCTTAGAGTACATCAACAAACATGTGGACCTTTGACTTGTTGGTCATGAACGAAAGCTAAACATCTTACAAAGGTATAAAACTCATCTTTGTTTCAGCTTATGTTAGCAGGAAGAGTTGTTTCAGCCCCATGGAGACTCTGAACAGTATTTTGAACTTATTGCCTGGTGCTTCAGAGCAATGGGATCAATATTTGGAGGCATTTTTTCAAATCTTACAATTCCACATCAACCTCAGCAAGTCGAACTAAACTTTATTTGGCCTTAACAATTCAAATCTTCAATATTTCTTTCCAGAGTTTTGCAAGTCAATCATATTTGCTCTTCAATGTGTTTAGGTTTTGTTTGAAGCATGGGTCTTTCATCGTTTGTAATCTTGACTTTTTATGCTCATGAAAGTAACGTAAGCTCATTATAAAAAGTTAAAACATTACAGAAATATTGTAGAAAGTTAAACTTTTGTGATGTGGCGAGCCGTTGTTAATAGAGAAATAGCAGATATTCGTCAATAATGTTTTCCTTATTATTAGCACATATTCCTAAATAGACTTTTTAAATTTCTTGACCATTATATAGCTCTTAGAAACATACTCATCATACATTAAATATTGTTTTGCACATCGTGTTTATCATCTTGTATCTCTTGGCTCTCTTTCCATGTAAGTACTTATAAATTCTACTTCACTCTTTTCATTAGTCACATAGTATTCATGTATATATATACATACATATATATATATATACACACATACATATATATATATATATATACACATACATATATATATATATATATATATAATAAATCCATAATGATGGACATTTGAGTTGTTTCCAGATTGGTTTTATTTGTTTCTTTGTGTTGTTTTGTCATACCAATGCTGCCGTGAATATCCTTTTAAATATACCTGTATATATGTGGAACACAGTATTTTAAAGCTTTAAAAAGGAAAGTAATGAACTCATACTGTTTAATGTATTTAATTCTTGTTAGCAGTTCATCTTACCAGCCTACCAAACGTGTAATAAATATTCCAAAAATTTTGTTCAATATCTTTAGTTCTCGAAGATAACTGCAGTTTTCTAGAATTTAAGAATATTGTCCTACAAATGACCTTCCAACATGTTCTTTTATGACTCACTGAATGATAGGAATAATGATTCCTTGACCATTATATAGCTCTTCAGTTTACAAAGCACCTTCAGATAATTATCTCATCTGACTCTCACATCAATGTGATGTATGCAGGACAGGTTTATAGGAAAAAAATGGTGCTGAGTTGGAAATTTTTACTGCCTAAAATAGTTACATAAAGTCCTTTGTTCTGCTAACTCAAAGGGTCAAGTCCACTGTCATGATGGGATTGTGGTATCATATTGGTACCTTAATGTGAAAAAAACACTTCTACATCACTTCAATAACTGATGTTGCTAAATTACTATTCAGTTTTCAAGCATTTTATTTAATTCTCTGATATCTAGAGATTAGGCTCAGCAGGCATTTTTCAGATAAGTGCTCCAGTAATTGCTACTCCAAAACCAAGTATTTAAAAGACATTTATGCAGTAGTTGTTAAAGGTTGGTGAGTTTCAGTATCACTTTTTCTTGTTTAGAATTGGAAGAACAGAGGGTAAAGGTTGAGGGGGGGAAAAGTCCACAGAAATGTAGCACCAACAGGACAGTTCCTGCTAAGACCTTGGAAATTCCTATCCTCACCCATTATTATTTCTGTATCCCTATGATCCTTCCTTTAAACAGTGCCTATAATGATTGGGCACATAATAAATGGTGATGCTTCTCTCATTTCCCACACTCCTGGTAGGAAGCAGCTCCTATACAGGAAGAGAAAATCATTGTCCTGTTGCCTCCCACTTTGAGAAAGGAAGCAATCTTGAATGACACTATTGTTTCCATAGCTACAAATTTACTTTGTCTCATTAGTAAATCTATCTATACCCTCAGTTTAGCTGAGAATGCACTTCTGAATTTCCTCTCTTCCTCCATCTACTGTAACATGTACAGGAACTCAAAATCAGTTCCCAGATCTGAAATCTTAGGAGACTGTATAAGTCCATTTTCTGTTGTTTACAAGAGAATATCTGAAACTGAGTAATTTATAAAGAAAAAGAATTTGTTTCTTACAGTTACGGAAGCTAAGCAGTCCAAAGTTGAGGGGCCACATCTGGTGAGAGCCTTCTTATTGGTAGGGACTCTCTGCAGAGTCCCAAGGAGGCACAGAGCATCGCATGGTGAGGAGTTTGAGTGTGCTAACTCAGGTCTCTTTTCCTCTTCTTATAAAGCCACCTGTCCCACACCCTGGATAACCCATTAATCCATTCATGAGAGCAGAGCCCTCAGGACACAATCACCTCTTAAAGGCCTCTCAACACTGCCACACTGGGGATTAAGTTTCAACATGAGTTTTGGAGACGACACATTTTAAAACCATAGCAGAGATCCAGTCCTCTTCAAGCTCTGCTTGAATATGATAGCAATTTCTAACTAACCATCATCCTACAGAGTGGCTACATTAATATTTTAAAATGAGTTATATTACTTACAGAGAAATCACATTGCTAGTACTTTGAAATTCTGATGCTCTGTTTTTTTCCATCAGTAGAATTATGGGAAGTTGATCTGCCCTTATCCCATCTGTCCAACATTACTTTGTATTGCTCAAGTTGTTCTTGCCTGTCAAGTCTTCACTGTATGGTCTCTTGACTGTCCTGTGTGTAATACCTAGCTCATTCTCACCTCTCTGCCTTTCCTTATATTGTTGCTGTCCTTCAAATCCTTCTGTCTGACCTACCTGAATTCTAATCAAGTTTTGAGAGCAAACCCCCGAGTCACACCACATAAAGCCTTCCTTCCTATGACAGAGAGCCCCACTGTTGTCGGTACACAGGCAGAGATAACTCAACACCTTTCTGCACATTCTGATGTCTTTCCATTCCCAACTTATATCAAATTTGTACTCTTGAAACCAAGCTTTTAAAACAGTAACATGTTTATTGGGTTGCAATAATCATATTAGACACCAGAGTGTAGCATATGCCTTGCCCATTCTCACAACCCTAGGGCCTTCTCTCTGACCCAAAATGGGGAGATACACTGACTAACAAGCTTGGGTTTTAATACATATCTCTGGGCCTATCAAAATACTCCCATTGAAAATAAGAGTCATCAGTTGATCAGTTTCTTACTCATGTAGTGTATGGGAATGGTAGATAGTTCCAGATTGATCAATGGCAAATGCCCTGCTCTTCTTGTTTGACAAACAAATTCTCCTTCTGTACACAAGAATGACCTATTGGCCCTCATGATATTTATATAGCACGTACCTTTGGACACATTTCAGTGACTCAGGGTATTTCGAGCATAAATATCCCATAATTGGTTGAAATTTCTCTCATACTTTTTTTTTTTTTGTAGAGACAGGAGTCTTGCTATGTTGCCCAGGCTGGTCTCAAACTCCTGGCCTCAAGCTATCCTCCTGCCATGGCTTCCCAAAGGGCTGGGATTGTAGGCGTGAGCTGCCATGCCCAACTTTCACTAATACTTTCTAGTTCACAATAATATATTTCATAAGTCTGATAAATTAAAAAATTCCAATTCAGATAATTTTAAAATGCAGGCACTCCAGCCTGGGCAAAAGAGTGAGACCTTGTCTCAAAAAGAAAACAAAAGAAAAGAAAAGCTTAAAATCTCCCAAATTGGCTCCTCTGACTTGTTCTTCTGTTTCCTTCGACTTCTGTTCTTCTTTCCTTTAAAAAAAAATAAATACACTGCTGGGCGTGGTGGCTCATGACTGTAATCCTAGCACTTTGGGAGGCCGAGGCAGGAGGATCACTTGAGGTTAGGAGTTCAAAACCAGCTTGGCCGTCATGGTAAAACCCTGTCTCTACTAAAAATACAGAAAATTAGCTGGGCATGGAAAGCGAGCATTTCCTATGATAATTTTATCTCCTTTCACCTGGCTAGTCCTATGAGCTACCTAATTTAAGATTTAAAGTCCTATGTTACATGTTAATAGTTTAATGTGTTGATTGTGGACTTCCTAACTAGATTGTAAACTTCTCAAGGGCAAGAACATCACACAAATGACTTTTTTTGTTAAGGCTAGTCAAGTGAAGCAATGGAAGTAGAGAAGGAACAAAGAAATCTGCCACTGGTTGTGATCAATTTGTTGTAGACACCACTGCACTTGGGCTAGCCTCGAATGACTCTTGTACCTGTCATAGCTCTTAGTATACCCTTAAGCACATCAAGATGCTCAATATGTACTCATTGATTGAAGTCAATGTCATCTTTGGGATGAGGTGCTTAAATTCCAATTCAATGAGTTTTAGGTAAGTGATAGTGAATCAGCTGGGGTCCTGGGGAAGAAACAAAATTCATCCTAGATGGTTCAAATGAAGAGACTTTAATGAAAAGACTACTCAAAAATATATAAGCAAGGTTAAGAAGAGACAAAATACGGTGAGATACTCAGGGACCAGCTTCAGAGGGAAAACCGTTTCCCCCCTGGGCCTGTAGAAACAAAGAATATAGAGTAGTTAGCAGGGCCCAGTAGAAGCCGGAGCTGGGGAAGAAGGCCAGTGTGGCTGGGGAGTGATGCAGGAGTGATGAAGCTGCTGTAAGAGATGGTGTGCCAAAGTGGGGGCAGGGAAGACATACCAACTTTATACTCTCAGATCTCCTGTGTGTTTCAATTCAAAAAGACTTATGGAGATGCAGTTAGCACATTTCAGCCTTCTGAGGCACAGTCCAGGGCAGAGCAGGGGGAAGAAGAGATGCAGGTGGAGAGGAAAGGGAAGGACTGGGAAGGATTAGCAAAATAACCAGCATAGAAGATTTCCATTATAAACGGGACAAGAAAAGGCTGGATCATTATGTACAGAATAAGAAAAGCCTGGAAACCCTAAAATTATCTGAGAAAAACTAAATCTAACTTAGCCAAATTTAGGCCACACAATTATAGGACATTGATCTGCCCCATCCCATCTGACACAGTGTTAATTTCTTCATTAAATCTCTCTGAATACACTCTGAATAAATAGATTAAATACTGTTAACATTTAGTTTCAATTTTTGCAGGAAGTGAACATATATATCTATCCCTCACAGCAATGAATAAAATTCATTTACAGACATAACTGCCGTCACACTCAAAAGTTAGGGCCCTACTGCTTAAATGAGCATCTCTGGTGTTTTGGTTTGCTTTTGGCTGTAAAGCAAAACAATAAAACAAACATGTACCTTCTGTTAAAATTTATTTTAAATTTAAATTTAACGTCTTTTACTTTGGTTTTGTGCCTGTTCATAACCACATGGTGGTTAGTGAATATTTACATAAATAGAATCACAGAATAGAAAACACTAAAGTCTTGTAATCTATCATCTCATTTAACAGATAAAGAAACAGGTTCTCACCAGTTAATTCACCTGCCCTTGATCAAATAGTTGGTTGTGGCAGAGCCAGACGAGAATGCAGATAGTCTGCATCCTAATCCTGCTACCCATAGTTCTAGAAATGCTTGATTTAGTTCTAATTAAATGGCAAAAGGGCATAGAGGTTAACGGCAAAAGTTTGGAATTAGGCAGACTTAGGTTCAAATCCAGGTGGATTTTAGGCAAATGATAAATTCCTGCTCAGCTTTCTTTTCCTTCCCTATAAAGATGGCATGAATACAGAATACCTACCCCATTAGGGTTGTTATGGGTTGAGTGAGGAAATATACATCAGCATAATGCTTGGCATATAATATTCTTTTTTTTTTTTTTGAGATGAAGTCTTGCTCTGTCATCCAGACTGGAGTGCAGTGGTGCGATCTCATGATCTCAGCTCACTGCAACCTCCACCTCCTGGGTTCAAGCAATTCTCCTGCCTCAGCCTCCCAAGTAGCTGGGATTATAGGCGGCTGCCACCATGCCCGGCTAATTTTTTATTTTCAGTAGAGACAGAGTTTCACCATGTTGGCCAGGCTGGTCTCAAACTCCTGACCTCAGATGATCCACCCACCTCAGCCTCCCAAAGTGTTGGGGTTACAGGCGTGAGTCACTGTGCCAAGCTAGATTTCACTTTTTAGAGCAGTTTTAGGTTTATAGGAAAAATAATTACCTTTTGGTTCACAGATATTGATACTATTAGACCCAGTGAAAAGCTGAAAATAGCTGAAAAGCATAAAGCACTATACAAATATAAGGTGGTATTTTTCTTATGAATAAATAGTGGGAAATGCCTAGGATCTAGTTAACACACCAGAAAGAGATAAATCAACAGAATTTGATCTACCTAGGATGTTAAAGAATATCAATGGTAAAGTTGTGCAATTGCTAGCAAAGTTGTGTATCCTGTTATGGCAAACTTTCCAGGGGACTGATGAATTGCCTATCTGAATTCTATCTAAGAGATGAGTTGCAAGCATAGCTGTGGAAACATACACATAGTGAATATCACACTATACTGGACAACCTCGTCGAATCTGTAATTAAATGGTAGGATCATGGAAAAATGTAAAAACAATCTACTGGGGAAAAGGCACCATAGCTTATAAGGGAAGTTCATATAGAAATATTGTGAGCTCTTTAGGGAAATAATGACTATTGTGGCAAAGGGGAAACCAGCAAATACAATTTACAGACATAAGACTTCTCAAAAATCATTATATGCAGAGACATTTCCTATTCTTAATTAAGAATTTTTTTTTTTTTTTTTGAGACGGAGTCTCACCTGTCACCCAGGCTGGAGTGCAATGGTGCAGTCTTGGCTCACTGCAACCTCCACCTCCTGGGTTCAAGCGATTCTCCTGCCTCAGCCTCCCTTAAATAAGAATTTTTAAAGATTGGGTTATCCTTGAATTGGCAGCACTTTAATAAAATATATGAGAAAAGTGCAGTGGCTCACACCTGTAATCCCAGCAAGTACTTTGAGAGGCCAAGGCAGGTGGAACGCTTGAGCCCACAAGTTCAAGACGAGCCTGGCTAACATGGCGAAAACCTATCTGTACAAAAAATACAAAAATTGGCCGGGCATGGTGGTGTGTGCCTGTAGTCTCAGCTACTGGGGATGCTGAGGTGGGAGGATGGCTTAAGCCTGGGAGGCAGAGGTTGCAGTGAGCCGAGATTGTGCCACTGCACTCCAGCCTGGGCAATAGAGCCAGACCTTGTCTCAAAAAAAATTTTATATATATATGGGGATGGGAGCTGGTTCAAAATGAAGAAAGAGTATATGAATCAATAAACACATCCTAATTGGGAGAAGCCTAAGAGCAGGGTTTCAAAGATCCCTCTGCTGGGACAAGTATATTTAAAATTTGTGTAAGCAATCTGGAGGACAGAATACCAGGGTCATAGATGATGCTGACTCCTAAGTAGTGAATGCCTACAATAGCAATGGGGGAAATGACAGGAAAATAGGAAAACTCTGAAGTTCGGGCAAGTAGGCAGAAAGGTAGCAGCTTCCATTCTTTTACACTAAATGTCCAGGAGTGTTGATTCCCTTTTTAAATAAAGGGATCACAGGGAGATGCTGTCAGTTAAGGGAGTGCCATGGCCAAAAGGAAAGCTCCATGTAGCTGAAGCCTCAGTGTTCATTCTAAAGTAGGTTTTGTGCAATGGATAGAGGTGGCTATTCTCTCTGGTTCTAAAATGTGGAATGTCCTGTCATTCCAGAGAAGTCTTCTATAGGAGTGGGGTGGACAGAAGAACTATGAAGACAGGCTTTTCCCTTAAGGGTAAATGCCTTCTGGAGGTTTAGCTGAAAATTGTAGTTAGGTACCCTAATGTACGAGCTCAGTTAACTCATGGGCAAGCTTTAAAGGCCAACTTTGATTGAGATTTCCTAAGGTCTTTGAAGGGTGACGTGAGCCTTGTGCAAGAAAAGGCATTCTCTCTTTTTTTTTTTTTATAATACATGCCATGGAATCCTTCAGAATGAAGACCCAAAGATACAGGAAAAATGGCCACTTTTTTTTTTTTTTTTTTTTTTTTTTTTTTGAGACGGAGTCTTGCTCTGTCGCCCAGGTTGGAGTGCAGTGTCACCATCTCGGCTCACTGCAAGCTCCGCCTCCCGTGTTCTCGCCATTTTCCTGCCTCAGCCTCCCGAGTAGCTGGGACTACAGGCACTTGCCACCACACCTGGCTAATTTTTTTTTATTTTTAGTTGAGATGGGTTTTCACCGTGTTAGCCAGGATGGTCTCAATCTCCTGACCTCGTGATCCGCCTGTCTCAGCCTCCCAAAGTGCTGGGATTACAGGCGTGAGCCACGGCCCCCGGCCAAGAAAAGGCATTCTTAAAAGGCCACGAGTTTATCCCCGTACCTATGTGATAAATCCATGTCAATGATAATCTGCACTCCCGTTTATAGATGAAAAAGACCAAAATGTAGCTTAGTTCAGAAGGATTCAGAGATTATGGAACATGAAGTATAAAATATTTTCCATTTGTATGCTAGGGTCTCTGTTTTGCTTTCCTTTTACACTGCATAAGATCACAGAGTTGGTATGGTATGCCTGTGTGAAAAACACACAGGTTTTGGCTGCTTTAAAAGAATACATTTCAGAGGCCGGGCGCGGTGGCTCACGCCTGTAATCCCAGCACTTTGGGAGGCCGAGGCGGGAGGATCACGAGGTCAGGAGATCGAGACCATCCTGGCTAACACAGTGAAACCCCGTCTCTACTAAAAAAACACAAAAAAATTAGCCGGGCGTGGTGGCGGGCGCCTGTAGTCCCAGCTACGCGGGAGGCTGAGGCAGGAGAATGGCGTGAACCCGGGAGGCGGAGCTTGCAGTGAGCCGAGATCGCGCCACTGCACTCCAGCCTGGGCGACAGAGCGAGACTCCGTCTCAAAAAAAAAAAAAAAAAAAGAATACATTTCAGAAATTTGAAGTCAGTTTCCCTAATTCTTTTTTTTAAAGGAAAATTTGTATTACTTTAATTATTTTTATGTACAGAAAACTCAACAGTGTACATTCAACCCAGTTTGATGGCAAGTTCTTTAGCCTTTGCCTTTTCAAGCTTGGCAATATGAGCCACAGACTTGGGACCCAGGACATTGCCTTCCCAGTGATGGCGGAGCTCATCATATATGTTGTAATTGGTCCTGATAGCTTCCACCAGCTTAGCCAAAGCTCCTTTGTCTTCCACGTTAACCTGTGTGAAGGTGACAATGATCCAGGTCTTCCTGTGGACTAGATGTCCCAGTTTTGCTTCCCCCTTCATAATGTAGTAAGGGACCCCCATTTTACAACACAGGGCAGGCAGGAAGACAACCAGACGTTGTGTGCCACACGTTGTGTGCAATCACTAGCAGCTGAGCTTTCTTGTTCTCCACCAAGGTGTGACAGTCTTAACTCCTGCTCAAAGGCCAGGTAGTCTCTTAATGGGGACATCCCCTTTGCCAGCAGCTTTCTTCTCAGTCAGGCCAACAGCCTCAGCTTCTTCTCCTTGCTTTATCTCTGGCCTGTACTTGTGGGCCAGCTTAAGCAGCTGAGTAGCTGTTTGGTGGTTCAGAGCCTGAATGAACTGGTTAATCGCAGGAGGCACTTTCAGCCGCTTATAGGGGATGGCTATCTGCCACTGCAACGTGATACAGCGGGGCCATTTCACAAAGCAGGTCAGGTCTCTTTTGGGCTGGATGTCCTGTCCAATGCCAAAATTCTTAGGCCTTTTCTCAAACAGGGGATTCACCACTTTCTTGGCCTCCTGCTTCGTCATGACAGCAGGGGCCGGAGCCACCTTCTTCCCCTTTTTTCCTTTTGGCATCTTGGGCGGTGGAAGAGAGAGCTAGTTTCCCTAATTCTTACATAGTCTAATGTTCCCTTTCCATTTTATAGTTCCTCTTAAGTAGCTGATTATAAGGTAATACAAGGAGTAGAAAAAATGCAACTAATTTTCACATCAGTAAAAGAAACAGAAAACTGACAACTATCTTTCATATGTAAAGAGTGCATTTACTAAGCATTTGCTTAGTAAATATTTCATTTAATTATTACAACAAATCCTTCAGGTACTATAATTATTCATATCTTAGAATCTGGGAGACTGAGGCTCAGAGATGATGTGTTGAAATAACACATCCCGTGCTACATGGCTGGGCCAAGAGGACTCAAACTCAAAATCCATCTGATTCCAAAATTCATGTTCTTAATAGCCCTATATAAGAATTTACTGATATTTTCAAAGTTCATGTTTGTATTTGAGTGTGATTAGTATTAACATTACAAACGGCAGTTTCATTAAAATATTTTCTTTTTTAATCTCTAATCATCTTTAATCTCTACTTTTAAGATGTTTTTCATTTTATTCTACATGCAGCTTACCCTGTTAGTACAACAACCAACATTATAGATTCTAAAATTGTTTTTCAACAGGGACATGTTGCTGAATGTCATGACTATTCATGTGCTGATTCTGGTGCTTTCAAATAAATTTGCTTTGTGGTGCCCACTCTACTGCATTTTGAGTAGGTTGTAAATCTTGTTAAAAACCAATAGAAAATATAATTTCAGAATGTTTCAAAAGTAATCTCTCATGTTACTGGAATCTCAAGTATTTTATGTTTCTTTCTTCTTTGCACAGTTCGAAAAGAACTCTGATAAAAATAATTTTATCTTTAAAAATAACATTTTTTTCTGATTCCAAAAAGTAATACATGCTCACTTGAAAGAATTTACACTATGTATAAATGTATAAAGAGTATACAAACTTTCATTAACCAGAGATAAAATATAATGAACATTTTAATGTGCTCCCTTTAAATATATATAAGACCAAAATGTTAACTTTGGTTTATTTTGGAGGTGGTGGTGAAAGAATTTTAAGTAAAATTATATGTATATATTCATCTAAGATATTCATCTCAGTTTTCAAATGCTTTCTCTAGCTTAAACTTATCCCATTTCTCTACATGGCGACTATGAAATGTTATGATGATAGGCAAAAATATGGCTATTTTGGGGCGCAGTGGCTCACGCCTGTAATCCCTGAACTTTGGGAGGCTGAGGTGGGTGGATCACCTGAGGTCAGGAGTTCAAGACCAGCCTGGCCAACATGATGAAACCCCGTCTCTACTAACAATACAAAAAAATTAGCATGCCTGTAATCCCAGCTACTCAGGAGGGTGAGGCAGGACAATCACTTGAACCCGGGAGGCGGAGGTTGCGGTAAGCCAAGATTGTGCCACCGCGCTCCAGCCTGGGCAACAAGAGCAAAACTCTGTCTCAAAAAAAAAAAAAAAAAAAAAAGTGGCTAATAAGTCTAGTCGTGAATTGAAAAATGTAAATTAATGAGATATAAACAGAAAACTTGACATTTTTGTATGTTTTAATTGGATTTGTTTACAGTGACATGTAGTCACTACACAAATCAAATAACATATAAAAGTCTTAAAAATAGCTAACATTTGTTGAGTGCTTTTTGTGTACTAGGCACTGTTCCAAGGGTTTTGTTTGTTTTCATTCACTTAATCCTCACAACTGTATGAGGTAAGGACTATTATTTATTCTCCATTTTACAAATAAGAAAGCTTAGGCATCCAGAGCTAAGCAATTTGCTTGAAGTCTTGGTTTGCCAAGAAACCAATCATGGCAAGCTAGAATTTTTTTGTTGTTGTTGTTCATTGGGTTATTTAAAATTTAATGGGAAAACAAAGATGATAAATTAGGGCATTATCATGGATATATTATATCTTCATTTCAGGAAGGAAAATGATAGTTCCACATGATGTTCTTGTAGATGAAGACGGTATTAATAAAAGAGGTGAATGCACTCCTAGGAGAGACTGGAGCTGGCTGAGCCCTTGGATTGAAAGGGCAGGTTAGTGGATCAGTATCAAGAACATGAAGTTACTAAACGACAGAGGTGAAATTCAAACCCAGGCAGGATGTCCCCAGAGTCTATACTTAACCACACCCTAAATTGCCTCTATAAAGTATAATGAAGAAAGGTAGCAAAAAGCAAGCCAAAGTCTTCAGATTCCATGACTCAGTGACAACTGCCACCACTTTGGGTGTTTGTTTGTTTGTTTGTTCTTAGAGACGTGATCTTGCTCTGTTGCCCAAGATGGGGCACAGTGACATGATCATAGCTCACTGCAGTCTCGAATTCCTGGGCTCAAGCGATCCTCCTGTCTCAGCTTCCTGAGTAGCTAGAACTATATAGGTATTCACCACCACATCTGGCTAATTTATTTTTTATTTATTGTAGAGACAGGGTCTCTCTATGTTGGCCAGGTTTGTCTTGAACTCCTGGACTCAAGCAGTCCTCCTGCCTTGGCCTCTCAAAGTGCTGGGATTACAGGCATGAGCCATCGTGCCCAGCCCATTACTTTGGCAAACATATTTCCAGACCTTTTTTCATGCAAGCCTTAACTGTAGCTGACATAAATTTTGGCAGAATATCTTGTGATCCTCCTGGAACGTGAGACCATGGGAGGCTTGGGAGGAATTGCTTCAAGGCCATTTCTCACTTGCCTTCCTATCTTTCAGGAGGGTGTCATGAGACAGTTTCTCATTGTCTCTTGGGTTCTGAGGAGGTATGAGGTTTTTCCTTCTGCAATGCAATTATCATGCTAACTATTTGGAGTTAGGTAACGTTTCACAGGCTAAGGGCACAGTGTCCCACAAGACTGACCTCGCTTCAGATACAAGATCAGGAGTTTCCAGGCTACTTACATTTCTGATGAACTGGCTACAAACTCAGCGTTTCCCACCATCCCCTCCTATTAAATAACTTGCTAGAATGATTCATAGAACTGAGGAAAGTGCTATACTTATGATTATAGTTCTATTATAATGGACACAAGGCCGGGTGCAGTGGCTCATTCCTGTAATCCCAGCACTTTGGGAGGCCAAGGTGGGTGGATCACAAGGTCAGGAGATGGAGACCATCCTGGCCAACATGGTGAAACCCCATCTCTACTAAAAATACAAAAATTAGCTGGGCATGGTGGCACGTACCTGTAGACCCAGTTACTCAGGAGGCTGAGGCAGGAGAATCACTTGAACCCGCGAGGTGAAGGTTGCAGTGAGCTGAGATCATGCCACTGCAGTCCAGCCTGGTGACAGAGTGAGACTGTGTCTCAAAAAGAAAAAAAAAAGGACACAAATCAGGACCAGACAACTAAAAAGACATATAGAGTAAGGTCTCGGAGGGTCCCAAATGTGAAGCTTCTGTGTCCTCAGGACACTTTCCTGGCACACCAATATATGACTACTAACCAGGGAAGTCCCCCTGAGCCTCAGCATCCAGAGTTTTTATTGGTGGTTCTTTAAATAGGGATCATGGATTGATTCACTGGCCATGTAACTGAACTCAATCCCTAGCCCCTTTCTCCTTCTCAGAGACTGGGCTAATAATATCTTACTCAAAGCCCTCATCCTCTAATCACATGCTTGGTAATTCTGGTATGGCCTACCCCTGTCCTGAGTAATTTCATTAGCATAAACTCAGGTATGGTCTAAGGACCCACAATGAATACAAAGGTTGGCCAAATTTTGTTTTATACAAACTTCCTTCCCCTCTTAGCATACAACTGTAAAACTGCTTAGTAGCCTCATAGAATTGACTCTTCAGCAACAGGGTATCCCACTATTCATGTTGCCTTGTCATAAAAAATTGTTTCTGTGTCGTCCTGTGAGACAAGAGACATAGGAGAACTGGCACTTTCGCTGTTTTTTTTTTTCTTACCTGCTATCTATGTGAGTAATAAATTGTCTAAATTGTAAAAGGGCTTCTTGTTTCTTTATCATCCAAATCTGTTAGCCTTGCTTACTATCATGTACAGAAAAAGGAAGAATTCCAAGAGGAAGAGTATGGGGGGGAATTAAGGTGTTTAACTTGCTTTACTCACTTCGATTTTTTTTTTTTTTTTTTGAGATGGAGTCTCGCTTTGTCGCCCAGCCTGGAGTGCAGTGGTGCAATCTCTGCTCACTGCAAGCTCCGCCTCCTGGGTTCACACCATTCTCCTCCCTCAGCCTCCTGAGTAGCTGGGACTAGAGGCGCCTGCCACCACACCCGGCTAATTTTTTTTTTTTTTTTTTTGTATTTTTAGTAGAGACGGGGTTTTGCCATGTTAGCCAGGATGGTCTCAATCTCCTGAACTCGTGATGCACCCGCCTCAGCCTCCGAAAGTGCTGGGATTATAGGCATGAGCCACCGCGCCCGGCTCTCACTTTGATTTTTTAAGAACATGCAAATGGACCATTTCAGTGGGCTAGATGTGAGAATCAAGCGTGGAAGACAATGTCAAAACTAAGTTGTGCAGTGACAATGACTGACACTAGTGGAAAGAATGAGTCATTTGAAGGAGACAATGTAGAGAAGCTAATAGTGAAGGACAACTTTGATGTGAGCTCAGACTTGAGTTGTCATAAAACTTTGAATGAAAGATAACTTGGGGGCCTTGTTTTTAACCTATTATCTGACACAAGCATCTTTTCTATATCAATCCAACAATTGATCATGCAGCCAGTTTCTGCTTCAGATCTAGTGAAGAAGATCTAAGCCAATTATTCTCAGGACAACCAATTCTACTGACATAGATCTAATTGTTTTCGCATTTTTTCTCATATTGAGCTGAAACCTGACTTGTAATACTTTTTTAAACCATTGATTCTTTACTATCTCATGGAGCACATATTCATATAGCTATTATTTATTCTTTGTGATAGCCCTTCTATGAAGTCAACTATCATATCTCCCCTTGATTTTGTGTTCAGCAAATTAAACATCTGTCTTCATCCATGCTCACATGGCCTTGTCTTGGTTGGTCATCACCATCTTAGTTATCCTGCCATCTCATCAGTATCTCTCCTAAAATAGAATATCCAGATCTGGTTTCATCAGTGATGAATACAATAGAATTACTGCTTCCAATGAAATACCTTATTTCAAACTTTTCGATGAATACAATAGAATTACTGCTTCCAATGAAATACCTTATTTCAAACTTTTCTTTTCATAAATGTATGTTGTAAACTTATAGTATTTTCTTTTTTCTTTTTTTTTTGAGACAGAGTTTTGCTCATGCTGCCCAGGTTGGAGTGCAATGCCACGATCTTGGCTCACTGCAACTTCCGCCTCTCTGGTTCAAGCCATTCACCTACCTCAGCCTTCTGAGTAGCTGGGATTACAGGCATGCACCACCACGCCCAGCTAATTTTGTATTTTTAGTAGAGGCAGGGTTTCTCCATGTTGATCAGGCTGGTCTCGAACTCCTGACCTCAGGTGATCTGCCCACCTTGGCTTCCCAAAGTGCTGGGGTTACAGGCGTGAGCCACTGCGCCCAGTCAACTTACAGTATTTTCTACCAAAAAGGATATAAAGGAGAGGAAGATAGGAAAATTAAGTGTATATTAATGTCTTATTCTATCCTCCCACAATTGAATTTTAAACATATTTGTGTATTTTAAATATTTTCCAAGTAATATGGTTTGGTTTTGTATTATTACAAAAAAATGCAAACGATACAAATGGTGTTACAGAAATCTTTTTAAAAATCCTCCTCTCCTCTCTAAATCTCAAATTTACATTCCCACTTTCTCAAGTTAACCACAATTCAGTTTATTATATCCATCTAGAATTTTTTTCTGTATTAGGCATCTTTCCGTATCAGGACTATGGATCTACCTCATTCTTTTAAATAGCTGCATAGTGTTTTATTATATGATTGTACCAGTCCTCTATTGATAGACATACAGGTTGTCTCCTCTCCCTTTTTTCATTTTAAAGCAATACAAAAAAATCTATGTGTTTCTTTGAACACTTGAAAAAGCATATCTGTAGGATAAATTTCTTAAAGTGGAACTGCTGTGTCAAAATTTATATATGTCTTCAAGGATATACCAATTTACACTCCTACTAACTGTGTGGTAGTGCTTGTTTTCCCACATGCCAAACTTTAAAATAATTGCTAATCTAATAGCTGAATAGAATAGAATTTGGACTGGATATCTTTAGTTTCCCTCTCCAGATCCATCTTTGAGCCTTCTTTTTCCTGCTCCTTGCCCCAGACCAACATGGACTGCATCACTGGGCTCCTCTGCCTAGCTTCCCATATGTCAGTTTTACAAGGAGGAATGCAACAGGAGATGGGGGGGGGGGTGGGGTGGGAAGGAGAGTAAAGTTGAGTTATTCATTTCCTGGGCTGTCTCTTTGTGGGGTCTCTGAGCTGGCTGAGACCTTTAAGCAAAGGACATAGCTACTTCAGACAACGCTTTCCACACAGCCATCTCTGTCTCCAGGTTCCATCCATTGCTCCTTCCTCCTGTCCTTTCAGGCACAGAGGGGACAGTCTGTGCTGCTATGCCAGGCACTCTCCTCTCTCTTATGGTTTTCCTATACTGTGCCCCACCTTTGTAAAGAGTAGCATTTTGCTGGGCATAGTGGCTCGCACCTGTAATCCTAACACTTTGGGAGGCCGAGGCGGAAGGATTGCTTGGGCCCAGGAATTTGAGCCAGTCTGGGCAATATAGTGAGACCCCATCTCTACAAAAAATACAAAAATTAGTTGGCCGTATTGGCATGTGCCTGTAGTCCCAGCTACTTGGGAGACTAAGGCAGGAAGATCACTTGACCCTGGGAGGCTGAGGCTGCAGTGAGCTGTGATTATGCCACTGCACTCCAACTTGGGTGACAGAGCGAGATCCCGTCTCTGGGGAAAAAAAAAGTAGTAATTTTTATTAAGCATGACTCAAAATACCTAATTTGAGTGTTCTGTTTCCTACAAGTTCTTGTTCCTGGGACTTCAGCAGGAGAATTCCCCAGCTCTCCCAATGATTCTATGAGCTACGTATACTATCCTACTAAATCCCTGTGTTCTAGTTACAGCAGATGCTGTTGTTTGCTCTAGCTACCTCGTTAAGAACCCTGACTAGGCTGGGCGCTGTGGCTCACACCTGTAATCCTAGCACTTTGGGAGGCCAAGGTGGGTGGATCATCTGAGGTCAGGAGTTCGAGACCAGCCTGGCCAACATGGTGAAACCCCATCTCTACTAAAAATATAAAAAATTAGCCGGGCGTGGTGGCAGGTGCCTGTAATCCCAGCTACTCGGGAGGCTGAGGCAGGAGAATCGCTTGAACCCCGGCGGGGGCGGAGGTTGCAGTAAACTGAGATCACACCACTTCCCTCCAGCCTGGGCTAAAGAGCAAGACTCTGTCTCAAAAAAAAAAAAAAAAAAAGGAACCCTGACTTAAGTAATTTCTACCTAAGGATAACTGAAAGTCCTAGCAAATTTATTCATTCAATAATCATTTATTGAACACCCACTATGTGCTAAACATTGTCTTGCTATTACAGACAGGAAAGTAAACAAGACAGGCAAAGTTCCTCTTCATGGGGCTCTATTCTATGAGTACACTAACATCTAATACTATTTTAGTGTTGAATATACTATGAAGAAAATAAAGCAAATTAAGTGGAAGATTAATGGCGATGGATGTACAGATATTTTATAAAGAAGATCTTTTTCAAGAGATGTAATTTGAGCACAGAACTCAATGACAAGGAGGAGCACACTATGTGAGGGTCTTGGACATATGTGTTCCAGGCAGAAAGAACAAAAAAAGCGTAAAGGCCCTGCATTTGGAGCAAGCTTGTTATACTTGAAGATCAGCAGGAATATGAGTGGCTTCAGGGTGTGTGGCAAATATGTGGTTTGCTTGCCCAACAGCCACTGGCCTTTCTTCCATGCTGAGAGTTTTAATTTGGTTCAGTCACAATAGGCAGACTCAAGGGATGAACCACCACTTGCCTAAGCCAATCAAGAAAATCCAGTTCCAAACTGTCAATCACTGATTTAGGGATGAGCATGTACTCTAGTTCTGGCCAACAAGACATGAGAAGGAATTTTCTTGAGGTCCCTTCAGAGTTTTTCTCCCTGGTAAAAAAAGTAGCCATAAAAGAGAAAATAACTCAGTCTCCTTCCTTCCCTTCCTGCTTTGGGTGTTCTTTGAATGTGATGCCTGGAAATATAATAATCTTCTAAAAAAGAAAGGGACAACAATCCAGGTTTAAAAGACAACACATGAAGATAGCAAAGTAAAGGGATGGAAAGATTCTAATGACACCTTGGACTTTCCAAATCAATTGTTAAGACCACCTACCTTCAGACTTCTTTTTAATAAGCAAATTAAAAAATGACCTTATAGGTTAAGTCACCATTACCTGGAGTTTTTGCTCATGCAGTTGACAAGGCACCAACCCACACACTAGCAATGGAGCGGGTAATGGAAACCAAGGTAAGAGAGGTGAGCAGGGGCCAGATCATGCAGTACCTCTTAGGCCAAGGCATGGAATTTGGATTTTATTGTAAGTGTAAGAGATTTTAGCAGATGACCTAATCAAAATGGGAAAACTATATTTTCATCATGTATTTCATCATATATATCAGGGGTCCCCAACCCCTGGGCCACAGACTGATATGGGCCCATGGCCTGTGAGGAACAAGGCAGCACAGCAGGAAGTGAGTGGTGGGTGAGTGAGCATTACTGCCTGAGCTCCACCTCTCACCTCCTGTCCAATTAGCAGCGTGAACCCTAGGAGCATGAAGTTTCAGGGTTCTTTCTCACAGCAGCGTGAACCCTATTGTGAACTGCGCATGCAAGGGATCTAGGTTGTGAGCTTCTTATGAGAGTCTAACTAATGCCTGATGACCTGAGGCAGAACAGTTTCATCCTGAAACCATCTCCCCCACCCTACCGAGGGGAAAAATTGTCTTCCACAAAAGCGGTCCCTGGTGCCAAAAAGGTTGGGGACTACTGATACATATGATAAAAATATATGATTTGTTATTAAAAATAATAGGTCGGGTGCAGTGTCTCACGCCTGTAATCACAGCATTTTGGGAGGCCGAGGTGGGTGGATTACCTGAGGTCAGGAGTTCAAGACCAGCCTGGCCAAGATGGTGAAACCCTGTCTCTACTAAAAATACAAAAATTAGCCAGGCATGGTGGTGGGCACCTCTAATCCCAGCTACTCAGGAGGCCGAGGCAGAGAACTGCTTGAACCCGGGAGGCGGAGGTTGCAGTGAGCCGAGATCGTGCCACTGTACTCCAGCCTGAGTGTCAGAGCGACACTCCATCTCAAAACAATAATAATAATAATAATAATAGAATAAATATTGACTAAAGATATGATGGTTTATCTTGGGCATCTACTTGACTGGCTTAAGGGATACATAAGTAGCGGGTAAAGCGTTATTTCCGGGTGTATCTGAGGGTGGTTCTAGAAGAGAATGGCATTTGAATCTGTGGACTGAGTACAGAAGATCCACCCTCACCAATGTAGGTGGACACTGTCCAATCTGCTGAGGACCTGGGTAGAACAAAAAGGCAGAGGAAAGGCAAATTCTCTCTCTCTTCTGGAGCTGGGATATCTGCCTTCTCCTGTTCTTGGACATCAGAACTCCAAGTTCTCAGGCCTTCAGCCTTGAGCTGAGAGTCACAACATTGGTTTCCCTGGTTCTCAGGCCTTGTAGGCTGAGACTGAATTATGCCGCCAGCTTCCCTAGTTCTCCAGCTTCAGACATTGATTTCTTGGCCTCCATAATCACATGAGCCACGTCCTATAATAAATATCACATCTGTCTCTATGTCTATCAATCATCTACCTACCTGCCTACCTCTCTCTATATATATACCCTATTGGTTCTATTTCTCTAGAGAACCCTAACTAATACAGATACATTTACCATTTCCATTTAATATTTAGAGAAATTAAAATTTAGAACAAGATTTAAAAAAATAAAAAGCCTCATAAATAATTCATGAAATATTTTGGCTGAAACTCTCAAGTGTTGAGAATCTTCATTTATTTCTGATTCTTTTGCTTGGGAGAAACTTTAACACGAGTTCTAGGTCTTGCTTCTGCCTGCTTTAGCCATAAATATAATATCTATCCATTATGTTCTGCTTCAGAGAGTTTGCAATTGCCATCTTAAAGCCCCATCTCTCTTTGAAATGCTCCAGAATTTCTGCCTCAGCCTTGTCTCTCTGAAAAGAAGGCCATTTCCTTCCATAAGAATGATTGTCCTAAATACCTTGTGGGTTGTTTTTGTTTTAGTTGGCACCATAACAGTCACAAAATAAGGTAGTTCATTTAAAACATTTTCCTCATGGTTGTTCTGTTCCCCCATTCAGGAAAAAGACTATTGGTTACCATGGCAATCAGCTTCCACAGCATTCCATTCTAAGTAACTGCACAGGTACAGCACAACCTTTACTCCACATTCTTTACTGTAGTTCTCTGCAGATCTGCGTATTTTTCTAGCCTGTTTTCTCTAACTCCTGCTTAAAACAATCAACCAACCAACCCAGGTTAAGCCAGACAATTTTTTCAAAGGTACCTTATCCCCATCTTTTCTGAATATTTTAAAAATGTTATATAGACAGTTGTACTACCATTTCCTCTAATTTTGTTCTATGTGGGCCCTCAACAGCAGCTAACTGAAAACTTTCTAGTACCCTCTTTCACTATCTAGGATTACATTTGTATCCCTCTGACCATATTTGGAAAATGAATTTACAGTAAAAATCAGAGCAGGAGGTAGTTCTGAGATCATTTCCCATGGCTATCTACCATAGTTTTCCTAAGGCTAATTCTTTAGCTTCCTTTCCTCTACCACTTTCAAACCTCTGTAATAAATTGTCCTCAAGCCTTGCCTTGAAGATGCCAAACACTTGTGTTCCCACCCTTCAGACTGTTTAACTACTTTGCTTCTGTTCAGAACATTACTGACAATAAAAGATGGTCTTATTACAGGCCATACACAACTCAATGGTACCCGGTATCTGCTATATAATGGAGGAAGTGGGATGATTTTGGAGAGTCACTGGATAAATTCTGTTTCCCTGCAACTCTTTCATTCTTATTACGTTTACTCTTTGCTGGTTAGTTTCTTCATGACTATGTATTATAAACTAGGAATTATGATATTTATTTTATATAGAGAGATATCTTTTAACTTATTTTTCAATCTGACTTTATTTGAATTGATAGTGGTATTTTGGTAATTAAAAGCAAGTTGTTATTATCTAATGTAAGGCAATTAAAAATAAAATCTGGCTTTTACTCTCTTTCCTGCAAAGGTTTTCTATCTCTTAGATGTCTTTTCATTGAAAAAGACATATCTCATGACCAGTGTATGAACACCCCATTGAAGATTGCCATCTCCTATTAAGGGCATGGAAATAAACTCTGTAACTAAAACAGATGCCTTCGCCCACAGATTCTAAAATCAGAGGGTATTCATAAACCGCCCTACAAATTTTCAGAGCACAGTGGGAAACAGGAACTGTTAAAATCTGAAACTCTACTAAAGTACTTTCTTCCTCTTCCGGTAAAAGAAAATATATTACTTTCTAGGAAGTTTACTATTTTAAAAAACATACAAAAAAATCAGGGTTGGGAATTCACAACTAAAATTTGGGTTACATCAGCTCATCTTAGGAGAAAAGATATTTATTTACTTACAGATGGAAAGCCATGGAATGCCTCTCTGACTCCTCTTAAAACTGTATTGGAATTGTTTCAAGCAGGGAGAAAAGGCTATTTTTTTCTGAGAAGACATGCCATATTACATAAAATGTTTCAAAGTTTTACATATTCTTTTGACTACATGGACACATGTACTTACTGATCCTGATCCCATATAAGCTGGCAAGAAATTCATACCTATAAGTAATAAATTATAGGTAGAATTTTCTAGATTGAGGCTGAAGTTAAATAATTGCATAAACTTTGAGTAATTATATCACAGTGCACCATTCAATTTATGTAGAAAAAAAGCTGCTCTCAATTTTCAGTTGATAAAAGAGCAGCTGAGAAGAGACGATGTGGTTGTGAAAAGTAGAAACTAACAAAGGGTCAGCACTCTAAAGGCAGGAAAGCAGCTGAAAAGCTGTTTTGACAGTTGGGTAAAGATGAGGGGAAAAAAGACTGTAAATGAGAGGAAGTTGTGATGAAAGGGTAGAATAAAGTGTTTGAAAATGGTAAAGTGAGAGCTTTAATTAACATGGAGAGAAAGAGCAGGAAAGAGAGAAGTTATTTAGTTAGGTAGGAAATTGTTTGTAGAGAAATTTTAGTAGTGTAATAACATAATTTGTATTTTAATTTGCCAAGGGATGACATTATTGGAAGAATGATAGTTTTATTGTTTTAACATTTTAGATATAAGAAGCTCCATTTGTCTGAAATACAAATTGGTACAAGTTTCGATTAATATGATAATAATATACATTAGACAAATTGGCAAGCAGGGATTTGCCTTTCATTAACCTTTTGTTATAACCTTAAAACAAACAAACAAAAAGCAAAACAAAAAAAAACGACGCGGTCGGGCGCAGTGTCTCAAGTCTGTAATTCCAACACTTTGGGAGGCCGAGGTGGGCGGATCACTTGAGGTCAGGAGTTTGAGACCAGCCTGGCCAACATGGTGAAACTCCGTCTCTATTAAAAATACAAAAATTAGCCGGGCGTGGTGGCAAGTGCCTGTAGTCCCAGCTACTCAGGAGACTGAAACAGGAGAATCACTTGAACCTGGGAGGTGGAGGGTGCAGTGAGCCAATATCGTGCCACTGCACTCCAGCCTAGACAGCAGAGCGAGACTCCGCCTCAAAAAACAAAACAAAACAAAACAACGTAAAAAACTAGGGTGAGCGCTGTGGGTAATGCCTGTAATCCCAGCACACTGGGAGGCCGAGGCGGGTGGATCACCTGAGGCCAGGAGTTCGAGACCAGCCTGGCCAACACGGCGAAAACCCATCTCTATTAAAAATACAAACATTAGCCAGGCGTGGCGGCGCGCGCCTACAATCCCAACTACTTAGGAGGCCGAGGCACGTGAATTGCTTGAACCTGGGAGGCAGAGGTTGCAGTGAGCCGAGATCGCGCCACTGCACTCCAGCCTGGGCAACAGAGCGAGACTCAGTCTCAAAAAAAAGACTTAATATTTCAAACTTCAAGCAAGATCATAATTTTATAATGTGAAGATGACCAGAGTGTTTGAATCAGTTACAAATGGGTCTTTTTTGTTGTTGGTGGTGTTCTTTAATCTTGGACTCCTAACTTGAGCAAGAAAATGTAAATACAGAAAGCTGCAAAACCAATGTTCCTTAATTAGGAACCATGTGAGTAGTTTAACATTACAAACAGTTTCTAAAAGTCACACGTGGTATACATTCTAACGAGTTTTAGCTTCTTTTATTTAAACTGCGTTGATATTGATCTATAACTTTCCTAATAATCACTTCATAGGTTGGTAATCCTATGTTTTGGATTTTCCAGGTCACTTCAGATTCAAATATTTTTTCCTAACGTCAAATGGTGTGTCTAGATTTTGGTCTGGAAAACAGGGTCACTAAATTTGTAGACTAACTTGAAACAGTATTGGCCTTTGGCAATACGCAGCAATTCTATTTCTTGGCCATGCTTATCAAGTTAAGTAAAATAAAATCAAAGTTCACTATATGATTTACCTAATTAAAAAATTGTTTTAACCTAATTACTTTAAAATAATTTAAAAACTCTGTAGTAATTTACAATGTAAAAAGCACTCATAATATGGTGTTTATAGACACACATAGCTAGTAAACCTATAGACAGCTACTCACCCTTGCCATACAGAAAATGCAAAACACACTTAAGAGATATTGTAATTACATATTATGTGGTCAAAACTAAAGAAGACGAAAATATGCTTGTGTTAATGAAAAAGGATTTGGTGCTCTTTCTTATTTTTAATTTTTAAATTTTAATTTAAATTCCACAGACTGAAACCCATATACTTTTTCTCTTTCTTGTTTTACTGGCTGGAGCCAAGTGTCATGGAACTCATATTCTTGATGAAGAGAAACTGAGAGGACACACTGGCATTTGCTATACGTGAACTAAGATTGACTCATTTTCCTATGTCAAAACTGCTATTTTGCAAATAAAATTACTATCCTTTATAACATTATTTCGTTTGCTTATTGCTCTGCTCTTTATTCTTTCGTGTTTCAGGTAACCACTAACAAAAAGTTTAAAAGTCGACTATGTCCAGAATGGCACTCTATAATTGAAAATTTAGGTGATTTTTCCGAAGTCCTGTTGGAAGCACATCTACCAGCAGTGTGATCAGGCTCTCCCTCCCACATTTCCCTGCTAGTCAGGACAAGAGAAGCCCGGGGGTGCTGCTGCAATAGCGGTGGGAGTGGGAGATAGGCTATTACCCGCTTGACACTGCACTTTTGCTACGAATGATTCACTCAGGTTTGGCACATTTGTTGCAAGGAAATCTCCTCCTCCCGCCGCTTCCTTGTTCGAGCTCCTCTCGGGCTGTCTCCTGTGCTTTGGCCTTTAAGGAGAAGTGAGAGCAGGTGGGCACACAGGAGCTCGCCGAGTCCTCCTCCCCCTGCTCCTTCCCTAATTTAGCAGTACTTCCGGCCGCGTGACATCATCCCCCGCACCTCGGTGACGTGAGCTGCGGGTGACGTGTGTGCGGAGAGAAGCGCGCTGACGTTGCTATTTAAAGGTCCTCCTGCGGGGAGGATGGAGACACAGCGCGAGCACCTGGTGTGGGGCGCGGAGGAGGCTGTGGCGGTCGGGAGCGGGGCCAAGAGCCAGAGGAGGAGCAGAGCGCACGGCCAGCCAGCCGCCAGCCTCTAGGGGAGGGGGGAAAAGAAGGACGAACGGACTGAGGGCCTGCCGCCGGCCCAGCTCCCCACGAGGGCCGCTCGGCCCCCCACCATCAGCCTCTCCGCCGCCTTGCGGCTGCTGCTTTCTCCCGCGGCCCGCTGCTCGCAAGGCCCGTCGGGCTCCCGGGACCAGTCCGCGCCCCAGCCCCCGGCCGCGGCTCCGCGGCGGCCACCGCCTCCCGTCCCTTCCCGCGAGCAGAGGGAGGGACCGCCCTCGCTCCCCGTTCTCTCCGCCCCCTTCCCGCCCCCCGCAGCCCACTCTGCCGCCGCGCTAGCTTCACGCCGGCGGCGCTGACCGGGAAAGCAGCACCCTCTTCTCTGCCAGCCGGCCGGCCGGCGGAGGCGGAGGCAGCGGCAGGCTTCAGGCCGCCGGGGCTGGCGCTGCTCTGCCCGGCGGTAGCCGGAGGCGGGCGCTGATGGAAGTGTGAAGAGGCGGCGGCGGGGCCCGGGGAATGTGAGGCGGCGCGTGGCGGCGGCGCGGAGCGTGAGAGACGAGGAGTAGGGGTGGGGGCGCTGGAGCGGCGGCTGCGCTTCGGCTTCGAGCCCAGCTCTCCTGGCCCCAACGCGGGCTTAGCCTCCCGCCTTGGCTCGGGCAGGCGCCCGTCGACCCTTCGGCCCCTTTCGCCCGCCCTGGAGCTGGGGGCAGGGTGCCAGTGGAAGCGTGGGGCTTGGCTCTGTGATTCATTCATTCTCCGCCGACGGGAGCCTCAGACCCGCTGTGCTCTGAAGAGAGGAGGGAAGAGGGGGCAGCCGCGAATGAAGGGCCGGGCACCAGCCGGGCTCCATTGTGCTCGGCGGCGGGGGGCGGGAAGGGGCTGAGGGAGGTGGGATCGGGTCCCCTCCTCCAGCTCTCCGGCGTGCGCTGCGCCCCCAGCCTGCTGCCAGCCTGGAAATGGCTCCGTTTATTCTCTTCGGGAGAATGAATCGATCCTGCCTAGCCTTCTCTTCGTCCTCCCCACCTCTTCTCTGCTCCGAGTCTTAGGAGGAGAAACATTTAAAAAGACAGATTCCAATGTGGAGTGCCGTGCAGGTTGCGAGCTGCCGGGTTTGCACTTCGAGGAGATTTTCCTGTGTAGTTTTTTTCCTAATGTGAGCGCAGGGAAGCCGTGGCATTACTGCTTTTGGGATTTTTATTCACGTGCACGTCGCGTTTGGTTGCTCGCTCCACCCCCGGAGACCTGGTGTGGTGGAGAAATTTGAACCCGCAGCCTTAGCTCCGAAAAGGCCGAGTTACCTGGCTCTCCCTGAGTGTCGAGGAGGACATGAGTGAAATGACCAGCGAACTCATTTTTTATAGGACTCGGTGAAGCCGGATTCTGCATTTCCCTACTTGTAGACTCATTTTGTGGAATAGAGTTGATCGCTGTCTCCTCCGCAAAGCATTTTAACTCGAATAAGCAAATGCCGCCTCTGTTTGAACGTTTTGGTATTTACAAGAGAGAAATCATTTTACCTAAGAGAACTAATTGAATTGGCAGCATCCTTGAAATACCTCCGGACAAGGATCTGGGGGTGGGGGTGGAAAAGCAACTGCGAAATAGCAGACGGAGAAATTCCTTTGGAAGTTATTCCGTAGCATAAGAGCTGAAACTTCAGAGCAAGTTTTCATTGGGCAAAATGGGGTAAGGATTTTTGTGCTTAACACAGCTTCGAATCTGTTTATGTATGTGTATTATTGAGCGGTGGTGGTGATTGTGTTTTGTGTTTTCAAACAAACTTGCCACCTTGCTAAGCTGGTCATACTTTAAAGAAATAGGCATGCTAACCTTTTAGGTTATTTTTGCATTTTTGTAGAGCGGTACCAGAGGTCATAATTTAAAAACACATATATCGTTTGTAACTTGAATATGGATTTGTGAGTAATGTTTACAAAGACAACGCATTCTACACTTTACTGGTCAGACTGCTGCATCAGTTTGTAATCAAAATCACATTATTTTAGCTTTTGCTGACGGTTATCTTTCAAAGAGAAGTACTGCATTCTCTCAGTACTTTTAGATAATCAGTTGCACAAAGGAACGATTTTAATGAGTGGTTAGACAACAGTCCTTGAAAGTGATCCAGAGTAAATTGTTGCCCTCACCGTGCCCTCTGTCTTGTCCTTGAATATTCAAAGCTAAAATGTATAGAATTGATTTACTGGGGCGTTAAAACGAAAATCTGAAATTCAGTCTTACTGATGCGGTCACCACGGTACGGGTGCATTTCGTAGGAAAAAGCTTTTTGTTTAAGGAACTTGTTCACTCCTTTTGTTTTTCGCTTTTAAGCTCAGCCCTTCAGTTTGAGTTAACAGTATCAGATCTACACCTTCCTTCGGACCCAGAGCCAACTGAGAGTGCATTTTCCAGTCTTTTATTAACTCTTCACACTGTGGGTTGATGAAATGCTAGTGACACTTCCTAATTTAAGCTGGAAACCCATAATATATTAATGGAGCAATCTGATTTCATTGACAGGTTGTCACTGCTTTTTGGCAGAAGAACTTCCAGAATTTTCTCTTTTTGTGTGTGTGTGGTTGAACAAACACATCTGAAGTGTAGTTGAGGGGCATGTTTTAAAGAATGGACTCTGCAATTCATCGTGATGGTTTAGGTGTGTACACACGCTTGAAACTTTCTGAGGAAAGTTCTTGAATAGTACCTTCCTTTTGGAGTTAGAATTTGAAGTTTAACATGCATAACTTTGAAAATTTAGAGCATGTTGTAGGAGACGTTCCTCAGAAATTAATGACAAAGTTATAATGGTTTTAAAAACTTGAATGACAAGTGATGAGAATATATATAACTTGCATGATTTGGGGGTACCGCTAAGAGTAATTAAAATACCTCATTCTATTTCTAGCGCTGCTATTAGTAGCTTAGTGATCTGAGGCAAATTACTTGACCTCTGTGGACTCTATTTCTTACCTGTAAAATGAACGATTTAGAGATGACTTAAAGATTTCTCCAAACTGTAAAAAACGAATTGCTTTCTTTTTATTCTCCTCCTCATTTTAATGATCACTAGTTGGTTTCTGCAAGTCGATCTTTCTGATGGAGACCTTTTTCACTCTAAGCAGTTTAAGCGCTTAACGCTGAAAAATAATGGCATTTGAAAAATGTTTTGGATGAATTGCACCAATTTTAAATGAGAAAAATACTGAAAAATACTACTGTTCAAAACCTTAGAAATATGGCTTCCCTTGAGCATCTGCAGCTCTGTTTAAAACATGTTGGAGGAAAAAAAATCAAGCAGCAGTTTTTCATGTTGATGGCTGCATTTTGTCTAGACTGTGGAGTAGTAGCATCATGGAAGAAAATCAGTTTTCCAGAACCTTTAAGCTGCATGAATGCCTGTCATTTTACCAAGGGAAGCTTAGGATGAATTTTTTTTTCCCTGCCTGAGGTTTCTTTGTACAAATAGCACAGGAGGACCCCAGCCCCACAGCCCCATGCAGATGGCAGCCTGGCGGGGGGTCGCACCAGTCCTGTCCTCACGTTGGCAGATAGAGATATCTACTCTGAAGCCTCTGTAGGGGCCTGGGCACCTTTGGGAGCCTGAGCTGGAACTGAAGCTGGAGCTGCAGCCTGGGCCTTGGTTTGATCCTTGTCCTTGGCCTTTGGCCAGCACACCCTGAGCCCCTTGGCAATGCGGGCACGAGCATGCTTCCCAAGCTTGGGGTGGACAGTGTAGGCAAGTTGAGCTTGCGGCTGACACCCTTTGGGATCTTGGGCTTAACCTCCTTGGGCTTTAGGAGGGCCTTGATAGCCTTGGCATGTGCACTCATGGCCTTGGCACTGTTAGCCTGCATCTTCTTTAGGCCCTTCTTGTTGTGTTTCTTGGCAAACTGCATGTTCCTCAGGAACTTGGGGTCCACCCCCTTAAGAGATTCGTATCTTTGTGCTTCGGGTTTCTTGATACCATTTCTGTGCCATTTTTGGGACTGGTTGTGTGTGGTGTGGTTCTTGGACTTGGCCATGTCTGCACCTTAAGGCGCGGCTCCTGAAGCGCCTAGAATCTGAAGAGACAGGATGAATTTAATACTAAGGGGGCTGTTGTTTAAAGTGGGAAAGTTAGCACCACACATAACATGCATTTAGACACTTAGCATAATTAATTTGTTTATAAATGAATGTATCTGCCCTTTAGTTAATAAAGTTCTATATATGGACTGAGGAGAAAAAGGA
The DNA here is from genome assembly GCF_000001405.40 of Homo sapiens. Taxonomy (NCBI): domain Eukaryota; kingdom Metazoa; phylum Chordata; class Mammalia; order Primates; family Hominidae; genus Homo; species Homo sapiens. The sequence goes on along the minus strand of NC_000005.10, from coordinate 79,510,225 downwards.
GCGAGCATTTTGTGGTGCTATTTTTTTTTTTTTGGAAAGCCTGTATTTGGGGCTATGACCCTTTCTCATTGATAGTGACTTGAGTAGAGAGAGGAAGGGTAGATGGAAGTAGAAGAGCATACAGCAAAGGCATTTGCTGACGTTTCCACACTTTATGCGTATTTATGCCTAATAAATGTTTGTGGAATTAGCATAGCTGCCTGGACCTATTTCAAGCAAAAGGAAACAGGGCTTTAAATGGCTTTTAAAGCTTTACCTTGGCAATCCATAATTACCTTACTGTAATAGATATCTAAAATTTAATACTGTGGGTAAAGTGTTTCACATATTACAACCTTCTTTTTTTAAACTAATGTTAGGTTATAATAAGGATTTATCTTCGTCTTAATTGTAGATAATTATTGCAAGTCTAGGGGCAGTCTAAGCAAAGGAATTATTTTTAATAAAATCAGTGATTGGGCAGAAAAAAATTATGGCTCCCCTAATAGTAGTTTATGAACTTTTTGGAAATGGAGAAGAACAGCTGAAACTTGACAGTTGGCAAAGTCTGTCAAAGTATCTTGGATGTTGCATGAACTGTTAATTGCAGTGAAGGCAACTAAAGTATGGGTTTGTAAAATAGGTGTATCAGATCCCCTAAAAATTAAGGCATTCATGTATGTAAAATGAAGTCTCTGAAAAGTTTTGAAGCCTCAGTGAGGAGCCCCTGTTAGGTATGACCCCCACCCCCACCTCCAAATAGTATCTCATAATGACAGCAGTGAGTCAGTAGCTATTTCAGAACTATCACAGTAGGCAACAGAAATCAAGTAACTTCAACCACTTATTTCATGAAACCCTTTGTTTTTACTTAGCTCATTTTGGCAACCTAGTGCCATCAGCAATGGTAAAGAATTCTTTCCCTCCCTTCCCTTATTAAGAGCTACTTATACATAAAATGGGGCTCTCCCTGCTAATGGAATCTGTTAATGCTGTTTCTGATTTATCTCACCTGCCTATGGGAACTTCTGGAGTCCTTCCTTCCCCTCTTTCCCCAAATAACTTCCAGAAGCATGGAAATGAGTGCTGCTACATTGCAGCCCAAACTGAGTCTCTTTGCTGAAAGATGGGAAGCTGACACCTCCTTCTGCCTCAAACTGCAGGGTTCTGCTCTCTAGGGGTTGTAGCAAAAATGTGAAAATCTTGATCCAGCACTATAAATGGGTTTTATTGCAAAGATAACCACCCTATCATATCTGACAATAGACAACTTAGATGCAAGTCCTTAATTCGTCATTTGTTCATTTTACCAACTTTGAACCTTTGTTATAGTGCGTGTACTTACCTCAGTGCTGCTGATAGGAAGGCCAATACAATGTGCTCCTTCCCTTAGTGAGTTTATACTTTGGAAGTTGGGCAGACAGTCAAGCCTAAAATTAAAATGTGCAATGAAATTTTGTAGGAGCTATAATGTAGGGCATTATGGAGACACAAAGTGTGTGTTGGGGGGGCATTAGCTGCTGAGGGAAGGATAAAAAGGCTTTGTAGAGGAGGTGATAGTTGTTAAATACTGAAAGATGAGTACAAGTGAGCCTCTTAGACAAATAAGAGGGCATTCAAGGCAGAGAGAACAGTGATTGACACCACTAAAACGAGGAACTGCAAAGGAGTTTGGCATGACAAGCTTGTTTGCTTGAGCTAGCTCCCTTTGGTGTAGCAAGAGATAGGTCTAGAGCCTTATTATGCAGGGACTGGGTTGGAGAACCATGTAGATCAAATGAAAGATTGGATTATCCTGTAGTTTAGTGTGTTTAGAGGTTTTTTTGGCTATGACCCGTTGGAAAGATAAGCATCTTTACATTGCAACCCAATATGCTTGTATATAAATGATAAAATGTCACTACATAATACCCTTGCTTTGTATGGTACACTCTGGTAGTTTCTATTCTGTTCCGTTCTATTTTATTTTTAAGATAGACTGATGATGGTGACCCACTCAATTTATTTAATGACGCTGTGTTAGCAACTGGTAATTTGAAAAGCACTTCTCTTCTGTGTGAAGATTACTAAAGGGTTTTAAGCAGAGTAAGAACATGATCAGGGAAGTAGAATAAGAAAGCAATTTTAAAAATCATTTACAATTTGGTTTTGTGTCTTGTATCCTGTGGAAACACCAAGCCAGAACAATGAACTCTGGCTGGGTAGAGGAAGTGGACAGTTGGGCAGGCCCTGGAAGGTTCCGAAGTGGGGAGGGGAGGGATGGTGACTGAGAGATGTGTAGTTGGCTGAACGGGGCTTTTTCAGAATTAGGACATTTCATTGGAGAGGTAAGAATGTAGCAAAGAGCATGGTATGTTCTTAGCAGAGTCACTAACTATGGGTCATAAAATAGTGAATTTGGGAGTTAAGGGGTTGACAGAAGAAACTGTCCTTATTCATAGTTTATAGTTTTGAGTGATTAAACATCTCAGAAGAAAAGGTGGTTATATCCCAAAAGGTCTAACCTCTCTACTGCCATGTGATTTTTTTTTTTTTCAGTCTTTAGTGTTTAGTTGAAGTATTTATTTTTAGTTACTGGATTGTTATTTCAGATTAATATGACTAACTGGACAGAAGAGTAGGGAAAATGAGTGCCGAGTGCTTAATGTTTTCTGATATAATTTTTTTCTGATGTAGTTTTTAAATGACTATAAAACATTTTACATAGATTTATATCTCAGGTCGTATCTCGTGGAATGAAATGTGCAGTTTTTTTGTGTTGCATATTTGTAATGCCTTATGACCCGTGGCTAATATTTCTGTTTGTTTTTGAAAAGTTGAGTGATTTTGAGGCATTGCAAAGTTTCAGGTCTGTTAAATATGTTCATTTCAAAAGAATCTACATGTGATAAGGAATATTTATTTAGATTTTAGCCCATCTACCATCTAGAAGAATTGAGATAAAATTTTCACATCTATCTTACTGAATGAGTATTGCAAGAGTAGGTAAAACTGTTTTTTTTTTGTTTTGGTTTTTTTTTTTTTTTTTTTTTTTGAGATAGAGCCTCACTCTGTCACCCAGGCTGGAGTGCAGTGGCGCGATCTTGGCTCACTGCAACCTCCGCCTCCCGGGTTCCAGCATTTCTCCTGCCTCAGCCTCCCAGGTAGCTGGGACTACTGGTGCGCGCCACCACACCTGGCTAATTTTTGCATTTTTTAGTAGAGACGGGGTTTCACCGTATTGGCCAGGCTGGTTTCGAACTCCTGACCTCGTGATCTGCCTGCCTCGGCCTCCCAAAGTGCTGGGATTACAGGCATGAGCCACCGCGCCCTGCCAAGAGTAGGTAAAACTTTTTAAAAGCTAATCATTCAATGGTCTTCAGTATGTGAATAAAATCATATATATATATATTTTTTTGTTTGTTTGGTTTTGTTTTTGAGACAGTGCAGTGGCCCATGCTGGAGTGCAGTGGTGCCATCATGGCTTACTGCAGCCTTGACCTCTCAGACTCAAGCAATCCTCCTACTTTAGACTCCCGAGTAGCTGGGACTATAGGCTCACACCACCATGGCAGGCTAATTTTTGTACTTTTTGTAGGCATGGGGTTTCATCATGTTGCCCAGGCTCGTCTTGAACTCCTGAACTCAAGTGATCCGTCTGCCTTGCTGTGAGCCATCACGCCTGGCCAAAATCATGTATTTTAATCTTAATTTTTACAGCACGCCTCTCCATAGTCTATAAAATTAGGACATCCATAATGACTCTCTGTTAAAAGAGTCAACTTTATTGATGAACTTATGTTCTTAATTTTAGCATTTCATACCTTTTGATACTCCTTTTTCCGTCTGTCCTGAGTGTAACACATTTGTCATTTCTGTGCTCCTTCATGAAATGTCTGAGAAAGGAAAAAAAGATGAAACTGATAAGAATCAATGCTGTTTGTTTTAAGCAGTATTTTTGAGGGAAATTATCAACACATATAATCTTTTTTGCTTTGCCTTTTTCTTCTACTTGGATTTTTTAAAATCTTGTTTTTGAAAGTTTTTATCGCTTGAACCTGTGAGGCGGAGGTTGCAGTGAGCCGAGATTGCCCCATTGCACTTGAGCCTGGGCAACCAGAGGGAAACTCCATCTCAAAAAAATAAATAAATAAATAAATAAAAGTTTTTAAAAATTTGTTCACTTCTCTGGTAAGTACAATTTAGAATTAATTTAATTTTTTTTGTCTGCTAAACATTTCAGATAATAGAATTAATTTTATAGGGTCATCTTTTTTACTATTCTTTCAGTGAGGTTTTGTCCGCCCAAAAATGGATTGTGAAGCCAGTATGGCTCTTGCGTAGCTAAAATAATTTTATACATAGAACTAACATTTGACTTAGTTAATAACTGAATCTTATTTACCCTTATTTATGTTTTTTTCTATTAAGGTAGACTACTAAAGGAAGGCAAAAAGTCATTGTTTTCTGTCTTGTATCAGAAAATAAAATTGTTTATAAAACCCCCCAAAACCAGTAATCTAATCAATGTTTTATCTTCATAGTACACTTACCTTTTCATTTTCTCTACCTTTTAAAAAATCACCTTTATCTCTTAACACCTAATATTAATATTAGCTTTAAAAATTAGCTTGGCTTTACGAACATCTTATTTTAATGTTCTTTCATAAAACAAGAAGAGTTTCAATGTTATCTTTTGAGAAGTGTTGGCACCATGTCCTCAAGGCACAAAAGTTGTAAGAATTGAGGGCTTTCTGTAAAATTACCAAGCAAGAGTTAGGTAGACATTAAATACAAACAAAAAACTGTGCTTAGGGAACACAATTTCATTACTTTACAAGATCATTGAAAGTCATGTTTATTATGTCATGTCTATTGGCATGTCTGGATCCATGTGGTCACATGCCTCAGAGTCCAGAGGCCTGTAGAGGAGAATGTCCATGATTCCCCCCCTTTCCATAGAATGGTTTGTTCCTAATTTCTCATTGTCTAGTTGGGGAGTCTTTTTTGAAACAGAGTCTTGCTGTGTCACCCAGGCTGGAGTGAAGTGGCACCATCTCAGCTCACTGCAACCTCCATGTCCCAGGCTCAGATGATTCTCCTGCCTCAGCCTCCGGAGTAGTTGGGACTACAGGTGCACCACCACACCTGGCTAATTTTTGTATTTTTGGTAGAGATGGGGTTTCATCATGTTGGTCCTGACCTCAAGTGCTCCACCCACCCTGGCCTTTCAAAGTGCTGGGATTATGGGCATGAGCTACTGTGCCCAGCCTAGTTGGGGAGTCTTAATAGAAGTCTACTGAGAGACATAGCTCTGATACATATCTCTTTGGGTATTATACGCTGTGCTTCCTAACCCACAAGTTCATAGTGCAGTACATATGTGCAATATTAGTTGAAAGGATTTGGGGGAATTAGTGCTCATAAATAGAAAATCCTGATTTCTAGCAATTAGGCCGATAGTTGGATATACCAATTATTTTTCTGATAATTTTTCTAAGTAAATTTTTGGATTCTTTTATATTTACGTATATCTCAATCTTAAGTAGTTATTGTCTTTCTTCTGTTTTATTTAAGTATTTATAAGAGTTGTTCTGAACAAGACTTTCTTTGTGTGAGTTGGAATTTTCTGCCCAGTTACTTTCTAGCTTCCCTCATTGGCTCTTAGTAATGATCTTTAGGACATGACTATCAAAGACCTCAAAATACTCATATTAGGAATTTCTATCAGTCAGTCTTCCTGGAAGATAAGTCTGTACATTCCTAAATGTATATGGGACAAATATTTTGAACCTATTATAATATTTAAGTTGCTTAGCCTATCCCTTTACCTTTCTGTGCCCTTTTTTTTTTTTTTGCTTATTCTTTTGTAAAACAGTGCTGTTTTCTTTCTTACTCTGTTATGAATCACTGTCTCATGGCTTTTAACATTAAAATTTGTGTGCTTTGCTTAATCACTCTGCCAGCTCCCAGGATGTTTACAGATTGAGGATTCCTCCTACTCTTGTTTACTGAGTATTGCCAGGGTTCTGTATACATTAAGCTCAGTGGGACTACTCCCAAGTCACTCTTAAACTCGTCTTTCTTGAGATTCTGTTGATTTAAAAAAAAAAATTCTAGATCTCGCAGGCTGCTGTTTTCCTTACCCAAGTGATGATCTGTAAGATTTTAGTTGTGTATTTCATTGTTGCTTTCATTTAGTATTTTACTATTGTTAAATTGATATTTATTGCTATGCATATGTTAGTATAGTGGAAATAGACATTAATGATGACATTGCTGTTTAATTGTATTTTGCAACATTTTAGTACAGATGCCCTTGAACAACACAGGTTTGAACTGTGTAGGTTCACTTAAATGCAGAGTTTCTTCCACTGCTGTCACCCCTGAGACAGCAAGACCAACCCTTCCTCCTCTTCCTCCTCAGCCTGCTCAATGTGAAGATGAAGATAAGAATATTTATGATGATCGACTTCCACTTAATGGATAGTAAATACATTTTCTCTTACTTATGATTTTCTTCTTTCTTTTTTTTTTTTTTTGGAGGCAGAGTCTTGCTGAATCCCACCCAGCTAATTTTTGTATTTTTAATAGAGACGGGGTTTTGCCATGTTGGCCAGGCTGGTCTTGAACTTCTGACCTCGGGTGAACCACCTGCCTCAGCCTCCCAAAGTGCTGAGATTACAGGCGTGAGCCATGGCACCTGGCCTCTGTTTTTTTTTTTTTTTTTTTTCTCTTTGTGACAGAGTCTCACTCTGTCACCCAGGCTGGAGTGCAGTGGCATGATCTTGGCTTACTGCAATCTCGCCTCCTGGGTTCAAGTGATTCTCTTGTCTCAGCCTCCTGAGTAGCTGGGATTACAGGCGCATGCTGCCAAGCCTGGCTAATTTTTGTATTTTTAGTAGAGACGGGATTTCGTGTTTTCCAGGCTGGTCTCGAGCTCCTGACCTCAAGTGATCTGCCTGCCTCAGCCTCCCAAAGTGTAGGGATTACAGGCGTGAGCCGCCATGCCTGGCCTGCTTTTCTTAATAACATGTTTTATTTTTCCCTAGTTTACTTAATTGTATGAGTACAGTATATAATACACATACAAAATGTGTTAATTGACTACGTTATCAATAAGGTTTCCAGTCAACAATAGGTTATGAGTAAAGTTTTTGAGGAGTTAAAAGTTACATGCAGGCTGGGCGCAGTGGCTCACGCCTGTAATCCCAGCACTTTGGGAGGCCAAGGCGGGCAGATCACGAGGTCAGATCAAGACCGTCCTGGCTAACACGGTGAAACCCTGTCTCTACTTAAAATACAAAAAATTAGCCGGGCGTGGTGGCGGGCGCCTGTAGTCACAGCTACTCGGGAGGCTGAGGCAGGAGAATGGCGTGAACCCTGGAGGCGGAGCTTGCAGTGAGCTGAGATTGCGCCACTGCACTCCAGCCTGGGCGACAGAGCGAGACTGTCTCACACACACACAAAAAAGTTACATGCAGATTTTTTACTGAGCATGGGTCAATGCCCTTAACTCACAAATTGTTCAAGGGTTAACTGTATATTCTGAGTAGTCAGTGTAAAATCTAGGTTGTTACATTATAGGCTATTCATGTGGTAGAAGCTATCCCAAAGAATGTTTTCAAAGATGGTACAGTGGTCAATTAGAAATCAGGATACGAAATTAGATGTTCTGTATGACCTCAAGTATATAAAATTCTGTATATGCATAAAAACGTTTGAAAGAGACTCATAAAAGCGCTACCATGTTTATTTCTGGGAGGTAAGATTGTAAAATTTTGTTTTTTAGTCTTTCTCAATCTTGTAGTTTCTCTATAATGAACATATTAAGTTTTAGAACTTCTCTTGGGTTTTAAGGGTGAGGGTATTAAAAAGAGAACTTCTCTTGGGTTTTAAGAGTGAGGGTTTTAAAAAAAATATTTATTACAGTAAAATGTTATCAGGACTGGCTGGGCGCGGTGGCTCACGTCTGTAATCCCAGCACTTTGGGAGGCCAAGGCGGGCAGATCACCAGGTCAGGAGATCGAGACCATCCTGGCCAACATAGTGAAACTCCATCTCTACTAAAAATACAAAAGTTATCTGGGCGTGGTGGTGTGCACTTGTAATCCCAGCTACTTGGGAGGCTGAGGCAGGAGAATTGCTTGAACCCAGGAGGTGGAGGTTGCAGTGAGCCAAGATCGCGCCACTGAACTCCAGCCTGGTGACAGAATGAGACTGTCTCAAAAAAAAAAAAAAAAAAATTATCAGGACCTGTTACTGTTCTTACATCTAGATACTTACATATATTTGTATCAATTTTAGCTTTATCTCAAATTTTATCTTATTCTTTTCAAGATTGGCTAAAGAAGTAGTTACTCTAGTGCTAGCAAAACTTGTTTAAATGTAAGGAGTATTTCTCTTGTCAGTTATTAGAGTATTAGCACTAAACTGTACTTTTTATGGAGAAGGAGACGCAGCCCAAAGGGAAATTGTGACTATGGGAGGTAATATAGCTTTGACATGGCAGATCATGTGCTGGATTCCCCCAGCTCCTTGGGGCTCTTACCATTAGAGCAGGTGCTCCTCAGTGAATGCTTGCATAGATACAGATTCATTTGGAGAAGGGTTTCTAACTCCTTATAGTAGTTTACAACGACTTAATTTTACTGCAAACTTAGTTTCTTATAGGTGAGTTCATTAAATGTATCTTGTTTTCCTTACAGATGGTACTGAAAAAAGCTGCATTTTAATTTTAGTGTAAGTAAGTCTCGCATAATGCATTATACAATTGTCCCTTGAACATGGTGGGGGTTAGAGGTACTAATTGCCCCACCAACTCACATTTACCTTTTGACTCTCCCAAAGCTTAATTACTAATAGCCTACAGTTGACTGGAAGCCTTATCAATAACATAAACAGTTGATTAACACATATTTTGTATGTTATATGTTTTATATGCTGTATTCGTACAATAAAGTAAGCTAAAGAAAAGAAAGTGTTATTAAGAAAAGGAGCCAGGCGTGGTGGCTCACGCCTGTAATCCCAGCACTTTGGGAGGCCCAGGCAGGCAGATGGCTTGAGCTTACCAGTTCGAGACCAGCCTGGGCAACATGGTGAAAACCAGTGTTTACAAAAAATACAAACATTAGCCAGGCTTGGTGGTACACATCTGTAGTCCCAGCTACTGGGGAGGCCAAGGTGGGAGGATGGCTTGAGCCTGGGAGGCAGAGGATGCAGTAAGCTGAGATCCTGCCACTGCACTGCAGCCTGGGTAATAGAGCCAGACCTTGTGTGTGTGTGTGTGTGTGTGTGTGTGTGTCTGTCTGTCTCACACACACACACACACACACACACAAATGGCTGGGTGCAGTGGCTCACGCCTATAATCCCAGCACTTTGGGAGGCTGAGGCGGGCGGATCACTTGAGGCCAGGAGTTTGAGACCAGCCTGGCCAACATGGCAAAACCCCATCTCTACTAAAAGTGCAAAAATTAGCTGTGTGTGGTAGCGCACGCCTGTAGTCCCAGCTTCTCAGGAAGTTGAGGCATAAGAATCGCTTGATCCTGGGAGACAGGTTGCAGTGAGCTGAGATCATACCATTACACTCCAGCCTGGGTGACAGAGAAACTCTGTCTCAGAAAAAAAAAAAGATAAAATATATTTATTGTTTATTACATGGAAGTGAATCATCTTAAAGGTCTTCATCTTCATTGTCTTCACACTGAGTAGGCTGAGGAAGAGGAGGGATTGGTTTTGCCGTCTGTGGTGACAGAAGCATCTGCATTAAAAGCCTGTTGAGACAAATATCCTTTCTCCTCAGTGATTTTCCTAATGGTATCTGGGAACTCATCTGCTACCTTTTAGTGGGCAGAAGCTGTTTTCCTGTTATCTGGACATTTTTTAAGCCAAAGCTCTTCTAATATTATCAAACCATCCTTTCCTGGCATTAAATTTTCTAGCTTTAGATCCTTCATCTTCTTTTTGCTTTATGTTATCATAAAACTGCTTTTTCTCGATTCATATTAAATAGCTGTGGTTTTTTTTAATAGTAATCCTTCACCCACATAGAAGCCACATTTTCAATATGAGATAAAAAGGTATTTTGCAAAAAGTGCAAGGTTTTTGCACCTGCTGGTATAGCTACAGAGATAGTTTCACAAATTTTCTTTTTTGCAATGGTCCTTACTCTGGGTTCTTTTAACTTGAAATGGTAGGCAACCACAGCTGCAGACCTCAATCTGCAGCACATATCAGGCAGTTCAGCTTTTTCTTGTAATAGCATGACTTTGCTTCTTGGGAGCACTTCCAGCATCACTAGTGGCACTTCATATGGGTCTCGTGGTGTTATTCAAAGTTTATGGTATTGCCCTAAAAAGGATGAAAAATATGCAAGAACCGTGATTTTACTGTTGTGATACACAATTTACTGTGGCATTTTAAGCAGACAGAACACTTGAGCTCACTGCAATAGCAACAGGAGTTAGCTACAAATTATTACAGTAGAACAGTATGTACTAGTTAATGTTATGCTATGATGTAATACTGCATCTTTACGTGTATTTGCATTTTTCTAGATGTGCCATGTATGGTCTGTAAGTTTTTTGCCTATGTTTTGATAAATTTTAATTCTTTGTAATAGATTTGTGTATTATTTTATGGTAGTAAATGAAAAAATAGACTAGAATCTACATATATTTTATGCACTCATAATGCCTTTTTCTATTTTTTTCAATACTTCTAAGGTATGCAGTTAACCTGTTTTTTCAAATTACAGCAAATCCCCAAAAATTTTTCTAATATATTTATTGAAAAAAATCAATTATAAAACATTATTGTAAGTATACTGGTGCAGTCCAAACCCATGTTTAAGGGTCAACTGTATTTTGAATACATTAAAGTACTTCTCATAAATGATTTATTACATGTGTTTGGTATAGAGTTTTCAAAGTTGATATTAAAATGTAAATTCCATCAGTCAGCTTTGTTAACTACCTTTGTAGTTATTGGGCACATGAGCCTCTGGAATACTTATGCATCTATTTACATAATACATAGGCAGGCTCTAGTTTTCTAAAGAGTTCAGACCAGAAAAAGAAAGCTTGAGACGCTATCTTGAAATATTTTTCCTGGAGCTTAAAAGTGGAGACTTGGCTGGGGACGGTGGCTTATGCCTGTAATCCCAGCACCTTGGGAGGCCGAGGTGGGCAGATCACAAGATCAGGAGATCAAGACCATCCTGGCCAACATAGTGAAACCCCGTCTCTACTAAAAATACAAAAATTAGCTGGGCATGGTGGTATGCGCCTGTAGTCCCAGCTACTCGGGAGGCTGAGGCAGGAGAAATGCTTGAACTTGGGAGGTGGAGATTGCAATGGGCCGAGATCATGCCACTTTGCACTCCAGCCTGGCGACAGAGCGAGACTCTGTCTGAAAAAAAAAAAAAAAAAGTGGAGACCTGCAAGTAGAAGGACCAATTGTAGCATATTGTACAATTTCTGAATCATCCCGAGGTAGTTGTAAGTTACTTGATTTCCTCACTTGTAAGAGAAGGTTGGACCATATTGTATCCAGATTTAAAATTATTTTTTGGAATTATTTTTCCCAGAGCTTTCAAACTCTTATGCTGCCATTGGCTGAGCAGAAAAATGTGTGATAGTATGAGGTAGAAGACAGTAGGGACTGGTGGGGACTGTAGGAAAGTGAAGAGAAGAGATCCTGCCTAAAAACATTCATATCCAGTGTATTCTTAAAACCCTCTGGCCAAAGAAAGACATCTGAAGCCTGATCCCTTATTCAGCAAACATTTTTTGAGTTCCTACTAGCAACTGTGATACTCTAATGTAGGTCAGATACAGTCAGTTTGGAAATGCTTTAACTCTTTTTTTTGAGACATAGTTTCACTCTTGTTGCCCAGGCTGGAGTGCAATGGTGCAATCTCAGCTCACTGCAACCTCCGCTTCCTGGGTTCAAGTGATTCTGCCTCAGCCTCCCAAGTAGCTGGGAATACAGGCATGTGCCACCGCACCCGGCTAATTTTGTGTTTTTAGTAGAGACGGGTTTCTCCATGTTGGTCAGGCTGGTCTCGAACTCCAGGCCTCAGGTGATCCGCCCTCCTCAGCCTCCCAAAGTGCAGGGATTACAGGGGTGAGCCACTGCACTTGGCCTGGAAATGCTTTAACTCTTGACTGAAGAAGGAAGACCAGAGCATCAGAGTCTAGTATGACAGTGGCAGAAATGCTTATTAGATCAGTGGTTCTCAATTTTGAACCTGCATCAGAATCACCTCGAGACCTTGATGAAACACAGGTTGCTGGACTTCCTTTACCACCAGAGTTTTTGATGCAGTGGGTCTAGGAATGGGGTCCATGAATTTACTCTTCTAACAGATTCCCAGGGCATGCTGATGCTGCTGGTCCAGGGAGCTTATTTGAGAGTGACTGCATTTGATAAGTGAAGCTTACAAATCAAACGTGAGAAACTTTTGTCCATTCAAAAGCTTCAGTGACTCCTGAAGCATGCTTGCTTGCTTGCTGCCCCTTCCTTTTGAAGTTGCAAAAACTAGAAGTTTGAACTAAGGGAGGAAAACTTGATTAAGCTGCCTTTTTTTTTTTTTTTTTTTTCTTTGAGACAGAGCCTTACTCTGTCTCCTGGGCTGCAGTACACGATCTTGGCTCACTGCAACCTCCGCCTCCCGGGTTCAAATGATTCTCCTGCCTCAGTCCCCTGAGTAGCTGGGATTACAGATGAGTACACCATGCCTGGCTAATTATTTATTTATTTATTTATTTATTTTTTAGTAGAGACGGGGTTTTGCCATGTTGGCCAGGCTAGTCTCGAAATCCTGACCTCAGGTGATCCACCCGCCTCAGCCTCCCAAAGTGCTGGGATTACAGGCATGAGCCACTGCACCCAGCTCTATTTTTTATAAGGGAAAATATCCAAGACAACTTGAAACTGGTCTCTAATCTTTTTAAACCTGATTACTTTTAACAGTACTTACCAGTTATGCCCATTTCTTGGTCAGAGTTCTGCTTTTTGATATTTCTGAATGTATGGTTTTAAACTACCAGATACTGCTTTGACTTCTGAAGTTTTCTGCTTTTAGAAGACATCTTACTTACTTCTATGTTATTCTGTCTAGATATCCTTAAGTTTGTCCAGTGTCGTTGAAGCCTACATGTTTCTTTCTTTCTTTCTTTCCTTTTTTTTTTTTTTTTTTTTTTGAGACAAAGTCTCACTCTGTTACCCAGGCTAGAGTGCAGTGGTATGATCTCAGCTCACTGAAGCCTCCTGGGTTCAGGCAATTCTTCTGCCTCAGCCTCCCAAGTAGCTGGGACTACAGGTGCATGCCACCACAACTGGCTAATTTTTGTATTTTTTAGTAGAGATGGGGTTTCATCATGTTGGCCAGGCTGGTCTCGAACTCTCGGCCTCAAGTGATCCACCCACCTCGGCCTCCCAAAGAGCTGGAATTACAGGCATGAGCCACCGTGCCTGGCCAGAAATTTTTCTATTCGCGGAATTATCTTTCTTTTGTGTTCCTTTCTTGTTCGTTTAGTTTCTTATTTCATTTTGGAAACTATTCTGGAATATCTGGTGAGCCTCAGCTGTGTATGATAATAAAAAGGTGATTAAAAGCTTTTTGTGAATCAGTGAGGCCTGTCACTGGTGGACTTCATCTTAGATATTTAGGTGGTGAACTGGCTAAAATTCTTTTGGCTGGTCCCCAAGTTTGGGGAGGTCTATTGTCTAAGATGGTAAGTTTTTCTATGACACTTCATTTTCTTTAGAGGAGACTCTTCCAATGTAGAGTTCTAATCTTGACATTCTGAGAGCAAGGTAAGTATATTCTTCTGTTATATACCTATGAGGCATATCATCTGCTGTAATCTGAAAGCCAGGAATGGGAAGGTTTTTGCGGGGACAGGGTTCTGTTTGCAGCCTTTCTCCTGGTGCTCCTATTTTAGGCCCCACTCCTGTCTTCTGCTATTGGAAAAGGTAGTTGATTGACTGTGGGAAGGGGTGGGAATTTCATTGCTCTGTTATTTAAACTTTCAGTCAGTTCCTCCATTTCAGTCGCATACTTCACACCTCCTCTGCAGTCCCTTTGCCTCTAAATTCTAGCCAGCAGGTTGTTCACTTAGTTCCCTCTTTGCAGGCACTTTTATTATAGTTTCCTTGGTTTTGTCAAACCAGGCACCATTCCTTCTATTTTCCATCTTTAATACATTTTGAAAACTGTATTAAAGTTACTTAAGAACTGCTGCTGCTTTTTACAGTCTTTGGTGTTATAGGTTTATACCTTTTTTTCCACTCCCCTTAACTTTCATTTTAGTGGAATTTTGGAAAAGGAAGATAAATGAGTACAATTAATTTGCCATGTTTGACCAGAATCACCGAGCCCTTAGCTTTTGAATTTCTATAAGGCATCTTTCAGAATGTGTTGACACTGTTGACAGTTAATTGATTGGAATTTGGCGGATGATAAAGTGTTGGCTTTCTAAAAATCTCTCCCTGTAACCAACACCTGAAAAATCAATGCATGATGTAAGCACATGTTAAAATTAAAAACTTAAAATTGATCATCAACCCAAACCTAAGGAAAACAGAGCACTGACTCAGCTGTGTCAGGTAACTAAGGTGTTGCTACAGTCTCCTAACACTGTGCCTCATGAGCATTTGTAAAAAACGTTAAGCACTTAATTTGTGTCGTGAGTCATGCCAGGCACTGGTAGTACAAAGATAAGTAGATAGCCATGTAAACAAAAAATTACAATACTGTGATTTAAGTGCTGTAATAGAGATGTATGTTGTGTTTGGTAGCACAGAGAAGGAAGTGCCCACCTCCACCTTGGAAGGTCAGAGAAAGCTTCACATAGCCAGTCATGTTTGTTTTGAGCCTTAACAAACAAATAAGAGTTGGGGGAGGGGAAGATGTATGAGTGGTTGTTAGGGTATTTTAGGTAGAGAGGTGGCATAGGTAAAGCTTCAGAGGTGAAGTATGCTAATTAGAAAGTTAAGGTAGTTAAGGGAGATGTGACTAGAAGGATAGAGGCCAGATCATGACTATGTCATGTTAAGAGGATTGTACTCTTCCTCTAGATTAATGGTTTTCAAATATTTTTGATGCAGTACCCATATCAAAGATTTTGAACATCTTCCTTCATATGTGTATATTTATAAAATTACATGTATTCTTTGTGTTAATATATATAGATATTTAATGTGTATATAATAAAACATATAAAAATAGAAATGATAGAGGAGAATAGTAACTTCTTCCTGCATATGACTTTAGAAGCTGTTAAGTAATGGTGAGCAACAGAACAATTTTAAGTTGGTAGTTATTACCATGCTTGCATTTTAGATCAACTACTCAGGCTGCAATATGGAGGAAGTTTTGGACTTGGAGAAGGCAAGAGTTTCACTCTTGTTGCCCAGGCTGGAGTGCAATGGCACGATCTTGCCTCACTGCAACCTCCTTCTCCTGGGTTCAATCGATTCTTCCGCCTCAGCCTCCCGAGTAGCTGGGATTACAGGCACCTGCCACCATGCCCGGCTAATTTTTGTATTTTTAGTAGGGATAGAGTTTCACCATGTTGGTCAGGCTGGTCTCGAACTCCTGACCTCAAGTGTTCCACCCGCCTTGGCCTCCCAAAGTGTTGGGATTACAGGCATGAGCCACCGCACCCAGCTGAAACACTCAAATTTAATTGCAAGATAGGTTAATGGCAGCAATTTAGTCAAGAGTAATGGCTTGAATTGAAACAGAGTAGAACAAGGCTTGAATTCAAGAGATTTAAGTAGTAATGTCTACAGGAGTTGACAGTGATCTAGATAGATATTATGAGGTAAAAGAGATTGCCTTGGTCAGCCATTAGTTGATAAAGGGAACCAAGAGGAGAGAAACAAGTTTGTAGCAAGGTGAGATGACAAATTGAAGGAACCTTGAGATATTTGTCGTCAGCCCCGTGGGAATGCTTTATAGTTGGATATTATTGGTCTGGTATTCAGGAAAAGAGAACTGGGCTGAGGATAGAGTTTTGGGAATCAGAATGTGTAATTTTTGGTTGGAGCTATGAATGTGGATGAGCTCATGCAGGGTATTTATAGAAAAGAGCAGATCAGGCATCTCTGGGAATAGTCATTTAAGGGGCAGCTGAGAAAGCTGTCAGGTGAGAATAGTGTCACAAGAGCCAAGAAAGGGAGTGAGTTTCAAGAAATGAGTAGTAGCCAGGATCACATGTACCAGAAACATCAAATGAGGCAAGAAATAATTAGATTGGATAAGTAATGGTCCTTTAACAATCTTACCTTGAAGTTTGAGAAGTGTAGGGTGGAAATCAAATTGCCATGAAGTGAAGGTGTTGAAGGATGAGGAGCAGACACTAGAAATGTGTCTGCTTCTCCTTTAAGACCAAGCATCTTTGAAATAGTAGCTCAGCAAGCTCTAGGGTTCAGGAAATTCTTTTGGTTTTGTTTACAGAATGGGATTAAGCATTCCTTTTAGGATCTGGCAAAGGAGTCTGTGGCAAGGTGTATTTAAAATATTAGAGTAGAGAGGGATAATTATTGAGAAAGAGATGGGTGAGAATGCAATATGGAGCACAGATGGAGGAGTTAACCTTCAGTAGGAGAAATATTGTCCTCATAGACCGAAGGAAAGGATATGAATAGTTTGTAGGTTAAAGAAGGAGACTGAGGGAATTCCTTAGCTGATGGACTCTGTTTCCTCCATTCATTCATTGCTTTAACAAACATTCATTGATTACCTGTTATGTGTCAGGCGGTGTTCTAAGTATATGAGATCTGTGAACAAAGAGCCTTGCCTTCATGGAGCTTACATTCCAGTGAATGATAAAAGGCAGGGCCATCTGCTAAGTGTAGGGATATAAAGGTTGGTCAGAGCCTTGGGAATAGAGGGAAGAATGGGAGACAGTGCTGAGGAGCTTAAAGGTCCCAGCTGAGATTAGAAGCCACACATTCTGGTGTTCTTGAAGCCGTCTAAATCTAGTTATTATTGTACCTGAAGAGCACAGTAGAGTTAGAAGGGTTTTCATTTTCAAGCCAGGTGCGGTGGCTCAGGCCTGTAATCCCAGCACTTTGGGAGGCTGAGACAGGCGATCGCCTGAGGTCAGGAGTTCAAGACCAGCCTGGCCAACATGGCGAAACTCCGTCTCTACTAATAATACAAAAATTAGCCAGGTGTGGTGGTGCATGCCTGTAGTTCCAGCTACTTGGGAGACTGAGGCACGAGAATTGCTTGAACCTGGAAGGCGGAGGTTACATTGAGCCACGATCGTGCCACTGCACTCCAGCCTGGGCAACAGAGTGAGACTCTGTCTTTAAAAAAAAAAAAAAAAAAAAAAAAAAAAGACAAAGTTTTCGTTTTCTTCATTCTGCTGAAAATGAAGCAAGAAGTGGGTATATGGCATTTTTGTAGTGTTCTATTCTGTTATTTTAATATACGTATCACTTTTTCCCCCCTTAGCGGCCCCTTTCCTTCTATAAAGAACATTTCTTATCTTGGAAGACCAACCTAATACGTATTAAGTTTGCCAAAATATCACCAATTTTTTAAACATTTGATGGCTTTTCTGTGGAAAACATCCTGAAACCAAGTCCTATGGAAAGTCTTAGAGGTCTTTTGAGGGCTGCGACTGCGTTTAATATTTATATTCCCATTTCCTGCTACTGCTCAGTACACATACCACATGCGAAGCACTTGCGCTCGTGTGAACCAAAGTGTATAGGGATTCTTTAATACGGTGGGTTTTTTTTTTCCTTCTTTCATAGTTAGGAAAGTCACAGAAGTTAATTGATTGGTATAAGCACTTAAACATTGTTCTGATTCTTACTGAGAATTCAGTATATTATTATTTTGGAAACAGTTTCAGAAGTTATCCTATCTTCCTTATTCTTGATAAATATTTTTAGTCTTTCTAGACAGGGTACACTTTTCAGTCAAAGTAGTTTCACCCAAAGTAACTGTACCCCTGTACTAATTCTATTACAGCCTCAATGTGGATTTTTTTTTATATGGGCACTTTCATGATGATGGAATGCATTTAACTAAATTAAGCAATATTTGTTAAATGACAGAAGTAGTTAAAAGAGGCCTCAACATGAAATAAATTTTACTTTATCCAAGATATAACTTCATTATCAAGCTCTATATTGTTGGACTGGATCCTTTAGAGGACTTTTTTAACCTTGGGAAAGGGATTTAGGCCACAAAAGCTGTAACTATGGTAAAGTGTAGCACAATACAGTACAGGCAGAACAACTTAGCAATGAATTGAGGTCTCTAGAGCCAGGTAGTGGCTACATTTAAATTAGTGATCCTCTTATTAGCTCCATAATCTTGGGCAAGTTACTTAGGTTTTGTGTGTCTCAGTTTCCTCATCTGTAAAATGGGGATACAATTGTGAAGATGAAAGGATTAAAATAAACAAGTTTGCTTAATAAACAAGTTTGTTAAAAGTGTTTATTTCACATAGTAGCTTCTCAATAACTCATAGCTATTGTTACTATGGGTTTTTGGTTTTTTGCTACATTTTACTTTATTTCATACATAAGGAAAACAACCAATTGACTAAGCAGTTCCAGAACTGCTGTGATAGTGTTCAGTAGTTAAGAAGAAAATGAGATCGGAAGGAAAACCTTTCATTTCTTCCCCAAATGTATATTGCCAGTATCACAGTAACTCATAACAACACATGTGACACAGGCTGATTTTCAACATAAAGAAAGCCCAAGCAAGAGGGGTGAGTATTCAGTTACATTTCTAGTACTCAACTGAATTGTATTTTTTAACTCCTTTTTTTTTTTTTTTTTTTTTTTTGAGACAAGGTCTCGCTCTGTCATCCAGGCTGGAGTGTAGTGGCACAGTCTCGGCTTACTGCACCCTCAACCTCCGGGGCTTTAGTGATCTTCTGCCTCCTACCTCGCCTCTTGCCTCACCACCAAGTAGCTGGGACTAGAGGCACACCCCACTGTGCCCGGCTATTTTTTGTAGAGATGGGGTTTTGTCATGTTGCTCAGGCTGGTCTTGAATTCCTGAACTCAAGTGATCCATCCACCTCAGCCTCCCAGTGTGCTGGAATTACAGGCGTGAGCTGCTGGCACCTGACCTGTAATTCTTTAACTTCTAAATAAAGAGCATGACAAGCTTTTTTTTTTTTTTTTTTTTTTTTTTTTTTTTTTTGCTTTGGTACTACTGAAGGCCAAAAATAATTTTATGGAATATATCTGTTCCCTTCCAATCAAAATCCACTTAATTTTTTTTCCTTTTTTTCCCTTGTATTATATTTCCAAGAAACTTATCTATTTATCTATTTATTTACTTAGCTGTTTTAGAGACAGGGTCTTGCTCTGTCACCCAGCCTGCAGCCTCAACTCCTGGGCTCAAGGGATTCTTCTGCCTCAGCCTTCCAAGTAGCTGGTTCTACAGGCTTTTGTGTCACCATGCCTGGCTAATTTTTTTATGGTTTTTTTTTTTGTTTTTTTTTTTGGTAGAGATGGGGTCTTGCTATACTGGCCAGGCTGGAATCAAACTCCTGGCCTCAAGTGATCCCTCCACCTTGGCTTTCCAAAGTGCTGGGATTACAGACATGAGCCACTATGCTCAACAAGCTTGTCTATTTAATGTTCTGACTTCATTGATTCTTTTGAAATATTATGCTGATTTTAGGGGCTGTGATGGAGCCATGAAAATATTACTTCTCAGTAAGCAATTTGAGTTTTAAATATTATTTATGATGAGTAATCATTAATTCTACTGTTATAAATTTTATAAGATACACTTAAGTAATATTGTTTTTATGAAAACTCTTCTGTATAAGCCATCTTATTGGTTAAAGTACAGAAAAGTATTTAAATATCTGATTTGGTCTTATTTATTAAACCTGTTTACCAGTTATGGGAAACTTTAAGGTCAGGTATTGTCAATTTATTCAGACTGGGGTTTAAGATATGAACAGTTAATAAAAAAAATAAATAAAAGAAGCTCATATTACCTAAAAATATGTTTCTAAATTCTTATGGTAGCATTAGTTTAGACTAAGTATCATGAGGGCATGGATTGCCTTGTCTATAAATTCATTTAACAAATGTCTACTGAGTAATTACTGTGTGCCTGGCACTCTTCTAAATGTTGGAAGTATGACAGCAGTGGACTTAATAGAAAATCCCTGCCCTGGTAAGATAGCATTTTCTTGTAGGTTATATTTGCAGTGATTGACATCACCTTGACCTTTAGCTGCCTCAGGCTGAGTACAGGGATGCAACCTAGACCTCTTACCTAGCCAGTTTCTGCTAGAGGTTACAAGTCAAGTTGTGCCAGGGAACTTCATATGTCCCCTCTATGAGTCAGTCTTTATAGATCTTGGGAATCTCTGGAGGATTCTAAGCATCAGAGTGAAATTTCGGTTCACCTAAAAAATGTAGCATCTATGCAATAAGTGTACTAATTTGACACCAGAGGGACTGTTTTTCTCTTTTAGTAATTTTGAATGTTGTAGTCTAAGTTGAATAGAAGAGAAAATTACTATAATCATATATCAACATTTTAAAGTAGATTTTTCATGTAGATGAAGGAAAGAACCTTAGAGATTCTGCCCTTTAAATTTTTTTAATGTTTTATTTTTGTTTTCAAGTACAGAATGGCCTCTTGTAAATTGGTGCCTGTGTTATTGATTTATTTTTATTTTTATTTATTTATTTTTGAGATGGAGTCTTGCTCTGTCGCCCAGGCTGGAGTACAGTGGCGCAATCTCGGCTCACTGCAACCTCCGCCTCCTGGGTTCAAGCAATTCTCCTGCCTCAGCCTCCCAAGTAACTGAGATTACAGGTGTGATGCCTGTGTTATTTTTAAATGAGGCAACTGAGGACTTTGCCCAAAGTCTCAATGCTAGCTGATGGTAGAGCCTAGCCTTCTGTTGCTTGGCCGTGTATTCTTCTTTCCTTTAGAAATAGAAATGTCCACCACTTAGTACAGTAATCCATTGGTACGGTGTCAAACTAAAAATTGGCTGTTTTATGAGTTTGTTTCTTGAACGTATTTTGAAATCTCTCTCTCTCCTGAATCCTCATAGTGCTATATATTACCTCCCCATGGCATTTATTACTTTCCACTCATATTGTAATTATCTTCTATTAACAAGATTTTTTTTAGATGAACTGTCTTTGAGAATAGAGTCTGTGTATGTTTCTTCTTTGTGTATTCCCCACAGCTCTTAACAGAATGCCTGGCATTCACTAGGTACTCAAATTATTAAACATGTTCTCATAGAGATTATATTTTGGGTTTGGTAACAATGTGAAACCACAGGAATCTATTTAGTCTACAACATTTTAAGAGGCTGTTTGGCTTACCATCAGATCTAGGTTTGAATTCTGGCTCCATCCTCATCTTGGCTGTGTGATCTTGAATAGGTCACTTAACATCATTTTCCTCATCTGTGAAATGAGAATATGTGCCCCATCTAGCTTTAAGATTTAGGTAAAATGTATACAAAGGGTCTAGTGCCTGATGTACTAATAGCTACTCAATGAATGGTAACTATTATTGTTAGAAATTTATTTTCTATTTATTATAAGTGCATTTTAAAATAACATTAAATAGCTCTATTACCTATGTGAAGGATGTACAGTAAGAAAAAGGTCCATGGTGAAAAGCTGACAGCATTTTGGTATGGTCAGCAGATTGCCCAGTCTGGGCTTTTTAGCTTACCAATTGCTTATTTAAGATGTTTGATTTGGGGCTCTTAAGAACTGGTTTACCATACTAAAACTCAAAGAGACTGATGTATAAACTAGAATGGAAGTTTATTAATAAGTCATTAAAAATGTATTCTCACATAGGAAAACAAATGCCACAGTGGAATCCAGATTGTAATCAGAAGCTTGCTTGAGGAAAAGGATAGTGGATTGGGTATCTGGTACTGCATTAATCTCCTGCATCAATCGTGACCTACCACTTAGCTGCGTCAGGACCCCTTCTCTTCTAGAGAGTGCTAAAGGCACTGCCTAATCACCTCTCATAAATCCCCTGTTCTAACTTACATAGTTGTCTGCTTTCGGGTTGCATGTTCTTAAAAGCAGACAGCAAAACCCTGGAGGAGGTTTTATACTTAGTCATTAGCCTGTCATTCCTGCTGGAGTTTTACAGCCTCACCTTAGTTGGATTTTGGGAGCTTAAACAGACTTCTAAAAATGTTTTAAATTTAAACTTTGTATTAAGTGTACAGAAAGTTTTAAGTATACAAAAACCTAAGGAGGATTGTATAATTAACCCCTATACATTCATCACCTGGCTTCAACAATTATTAACATGTGGCTCATATTGTTTTGTCTGTACTGCCTGCACCTCTCTAGATTATTTTAAAGTAAATTCCAGGTATCATATAATTTTACCTGTAAATATATGACTGTGTATTACTAAGAAATAAGGACTCTTAACACATCTTCAG
Source organism: Homo sapiens (assembly GCF_000001405.40). NCBI lineage: Eukaryota > Metazoa > Chordata > Mammalia > Primates > Hominidae > Homo > Homo sapiens. The sequence continues at coordinate 79,487,810 of NC_000005.10, read as the reverse complement.
TACCATTATCATATCAGAAAAATCACTTAATAATTCCTTAATATCTAATAAGTGATCACAGTTCCCCAGTTGCCTCATCAATGTCTTTTTTACTATTGGATTATTCAAATCAGCTTTCAAACATGGTCCACACATTATATTTGGTTGTTATGTTTGTGGATCTCTTTCAGTCTATAACAGCCTCCTTCCCCTCCTTTTCTTGCTGTTTATTTACCCAATTTGTCCTGTAGAATTTTTCACAATCTTTATTTGGCAGACTCATGGTATCCTTTAAAATGTTCCTCTGTTCTGTTTGTGGTGAACTTGTTGCTAGATCTCGGCATGCTGAGATTCAGGTTTTACTTTTTTTCCTCCCAAGCTATGTCATGGGTGGTGTGGTATGCTTCTTGCCTGTTGCGTTACACAGGGAGGCACATAGCAATGTCTGTCTTGCCATTTCTCTTTTTGTATGTTCAAGTTGATCATGGAGTTCAGTGTTATTAGCTTGATCCAGCCATTATGAAACGTATTCTTTCCTTCTTTCTTTCTTTTTTGAGATGGAGTTTCACTCTGTCACCAGGCAGGGGTGCAGTGGTGCTGTCTCGGCTCACTGCAACCTCTGCCTCCCGGGTTCAAGCGATTCTCCTGCCTCAGCCTCCTGAGTAGCTGGGACTACAGGCGTGCGCCACCACGCTTGGCTAATTTTTGTATTTTTAGTAGAGACGGGGTTTCGTCATGTTGACCAGGATGGTTTTGATCTCTTGACCTTGTGATCCTCCCACCTCAGCCTCCCAAAGTGCTGGCATTACAGGCATGAGCCACTGTGCCTGGCCAAAATGTATTCTTTCAATGAACTATTACATTTTGGGTCTTCTAATTTTATTCTCAAAGGGTACTTTGCTGTCAAATGTTATTGCCTTCTGATACGTTCTCTGTATGCAGCGAGAATGATCTTTTAAATATAAAATGGATTACATACTACCTACCTTGCTTAAAACTCAATAGTGTTCCATTGCTTGTAAACTGACATCTAAACTTCCTACCATAGTCTATAGGAATCTGCATAACCTGGGGTTTATCTGGCTTTCTAAACCTCATTTTATGCCATTCTGTCCTTTGAGAGGCAATGTGGCATTATTGTTAATAGCTTGGGCTCTTGTACTAGACTGGGGTTGGGGTGTGATCTTGGGTAGGTCACTAAACTGCTCTGTCCCTCCATTTTTTCATATCAAAAATTGATGTTCTAATAGTATTTACCAATAGGATTGTGATGATTAACACATATCAATAGCAATATTGTGATGATTAAATAATGAATATCAATCACCTACAACAATGCCTGTATAACATAACAAATACCTAATGTTAGCTGTTGTGGTTGCTGCTGGCGTTGATGCTTTGTTTTTTATGTCTGTGTTCAGCTACACTGTACTTTGCAGTTTCTGGACCTGACAAGCTCTTGCCAGCCTCAAGATCTTTGCACATTGTTCTCATTGTCTCTCTTGCAACATGACAAACCATCCCAAAATTTAGTGGCTTAAAAAAACAATTGTTTAGCTTACAAATGTGCAATTTTGGCAGAGTTTGTGAGAGAGAGCTCATCTCTGTTCCATATGGCATTGGCTGGGGTGGCTTAACTGAGGGCTGTGGGGTTTACTTTTAAACGGGTCACTCATGTGGTTGGCAAGATAGTCTTTACTCTTGGCCAGGAAGTCAACTAGGGTGGAGGTCTTGATTCCTCTTGATTCCTCTCCACAGGCTGCTTGTCCTTACAGCATGGTGGCTGGGTTCTAAGAGTGAGTATCCTAAGAGAAGCAGGCAGAAGCTGAATGGCCTAATACAATGTAGACTCAAGAAGTACACAGTGTTACTTTTGCCTCATTATTTTGGTTCAGGCAGTCACAAAGGCCCACTCAGGCTTAAGGGGAGAGAGCACATGGACTCTACCTCTTGATAGGGAAATAACAAGGTGTTCTAAAAGAGGGACAGGAGATACTGTTGCAGCCATCTTTGGGGAATGTACTTTGCCATACACATGCTGTTGCCTGAACCTGAAACACTATCATCTGTCAGATTCCCACTCTTTAGCAAACTAACCAACTTCAATTAGGTCCCTCTTTTTCCATTGCCTTTGTTTGCTCTCTTTCTCATAGCTCTTCATTTTCCTTGGTAACACTTACCACAGTTTGTAATTTTTTAAAGTCCATGGGTGTTATGACCTGTCATGTACTAAGTACCTAGCATTGGACCTGTTGAAATGTTAAAATGTGTTGTTACTTACAAATCTAAATATCATGTATTACATTCGCACTAAGGAAAGCGTGTTCCAAACTTTGTGGAAAAAAATGGAACAAATACACAGAAACACCAGGAGTCAGTCCTTTAACTCCTTAAAGTTCATGCCTTACTCTTTAGCTTAGGGTGAGGATGCGATGAAGAAAAACATATGTAAAAATGTTGGGGTGGGAGGAGAACTCAGTTGGAATAGCTGAATTTCTACTTACCCTCCCCATACTTTAAAAACCCAAACCCACAAATCTGTTTTCTATTCCTCTATCACCCCGTGCGTGGCAAGAAGCTTCTAGCTGGTCCTCAAAATATTTTTGTTGAGAAGAAAGCATGATAACTAAGAAATGTTTAGTACTCTCAGGGAATAGCCAAATATATTTACTTTACTCAGGGAAAGCAAAACACACCTTCACTCAGTACTAGTGTTTTTGTTTTGTTTTGTTTTGTTTTGTTTTGTTTTGTTTTACTTTTGACACAGTTCTAACAAGATTGGTTATCAGGTTTCTCAGCCCCCAGCAGACTGGGCAGGGAAAAGAGAATAGACTTTCGGAAGTGAGGTATAGATAATAGCAAAGAGAACAGCTGTTGTTGGCCTCAGGAAATACTTTTTCAAAACCTTGAGCAATGATGACATTGTAGCCTGGGAATTGTAGTAATGTGGGGTAGAAGGTCCCATACATTTTAAAAGAATTTCATTCACTTAACAGATATTGTGTGCAGTCTTGCTGATTGTTGGAGACACAAGGTGAACAAAATGCACATGGCCCCTGCCTTCATGGAGATTTCATTCTGGGGATGGGGCAGACCTTATGATTGATATTTGCGAGGTATATCTTTTTTCATCCTCTTTTAACCTATAGGTGTCTTTATATTTAAAATGATTTTTAAGGTGGTCTTCAAAATGGTTTTCTTATAAGCATCATATAGGTTGTTGCTTTATATACAATCTGACAATTTCTGCCTTTTATTTTTTATTTTTTTAATTTATTTTCTAAGAGACAGGGTCTTGCAGTGTTGCCTAGGCTGGACTTCAAATTCCTGAGCTCACCTCAGCCTCCCAGGTAGCTGGGACTACAGGCAAATGCCATGGCACCTAGCTAATCTCTGCCTTTTAATTGTGGGTGTTTAGATCATGTACATTTAATATTATTGATATGATTGGGTTTAAGTCTACCATCTTATGTATGTTCTGTTTGTTCCATCTGTTCTTTATTCCTCTCCTTCTTTTCTCTTTTGCATTACTTTAGATTGAGTGTTTTTTTATGATTTATTTCATCTCTTTTGTTAGCTTACTAACTATACCTTTTCTTTTTAAATGATTCTTTAGGGTTTATAGTATACATCTTTAACTTATCACAGTCTACCTTTAGGTGATCCATTTTACTACTTCATATATAATAAGAACCTTACAATAATACAGTTTTATCTCCCTGCCTTTGTTATTGTTATATATTTAATCCTAATGTTATAAACCCCACTTTTTTTTTTTTTTTTTTTGAGATGGAGTCTTGCTCTGTTGCCCAGGCTGGAGTGCAGTGGCATGATCTTGGCTCATTGCAACCTCTGCCTCCCAGGTTCAAGCAACTCTCCTGCTTCAGCCTCCCGAGATTACATGCACCCACCACCACACCCGGCTAATTTTGTATTTTTAGTAGAGACGGGGTTTTACCATGTTGGCCACTGTGGTCTTGAACTCCTGACCTCAGGTGATCCACCCACCTCGGCCTCCCAAAGTGCTGGGATTACCGGCGTGAGCCACCACACCCGGCCACTTTTTTTTTTTTTTTTTACTTAAACGGTCAATTATCTTTTAAAGAGACTTTTGCAATTAAAATATATATGTATTTACCTGCATATTTACCCCTTTTGGTGCTCTTCATTCCTTTGAGTAGATCCAGATATCTATATGGAATCATTTTCTTCTTCCTAAAACTTTTCTTTAACATTTTCTCATAGTCAGGTCCACTAATGATGGATTCTTTCAGCTTTTGTATGTCTGAGAAAATCTTTATTCCACTCTCCTGTTTTTAAGAGTTTTTTTTTTTTAAGGTAAAATTCACATAACATAAACCATTAACCATTCAAAAGTGCAATTCAGTGCATTTAGTACATTCACAGTGTTATGTAACCATCACCTCTATGTAGTTCTAAGACATTTTCATTACCCTAAATTCACTTGGGTAAATTCTGAAAGATGAAAGATGTTTTTTGCTGGGTAGAAAATCGTTAGGTTGACAAGTTTTTTTTCTTTCTATACTTTATAGATATTCTGTCTTCTTCTGGTTTGCATTGTTTCCAATGAGAAGTCAACTGCCATTCTTATTTTCAATTGTATGTAATATGCTCCATAACCCAAGACTGTGCTTAAGGTTTTATCATTGGCTTTAAGTAATTTAATTATGATGTCCCTTTGCCCTTGGCATAGTTTTCTTAATTTTTTTTTTGCGCTTGTGGTTTGTTGAACTTCTCAGATCTATGGCTTTATAGTAGTATCAGATTTGGACATTTTTTCAAGCAAAATTCTTAAAATAATTTATTTTGGAAACAGCTCTTGACCTGTTGTCGAGGCTGGAGTGCAGTGGCATGATCACGGCTCACTGCAGCCTCAACCTCCTGGGCTCAAGCAGTTCTTCCACCTCGGCCTCTTGAGTAGCTGGGACCACAGGTGTGAGCCACCATGTCCAGCTATTTTTTTTTTTTTAATATTTTTTTAGAGACAGGGTCTTGCCATGTTGCCCAGACTGGTCTTGAACTCCTGGCCTCAAGATTCTCCCACCTGAGCTTCCAAAAGTTCTGGGATTACAGGTATGAGCTACCACCTGGCCCAATTATTTTTAATCCTTCCCACTTTTGAGGACTTCAGTTGCATGCATATTAGGTTGCTTGAAGTTATCCCACAGTAATCAATCACATTAGTACTATATTTTTTTTTCAGGGTTTTTTTCTGTGCTTCATTTTGGATAGTTTTGATTTCTATCTTATCAAATTAACTGGTTTCCTTTTTTTTCTGTAATGCCTTATCTGCTTTTTATTTCATCCAGACATTTTCATCTCTAGAAAATTGATTTGGGGCTTTTTAATACGTTCAAGTGTAACTGCTTATGTCTTCGTCTACCTTATTGAACATGTAGACTGTAGTTTTAATAACTATCTTAATGTTCTTGTCTACCTGTTCTATCATCTATGTCATTTCTGGGTGTGTTTCTGTTTATTGAATTTCCTGCTCATTATGGGTTATGTTTTACTTATCCACTGAATGTTAGATATTTAGGATTTTATCTTATTGGGTGCTATTTTTGTATTCTATTATTTTTTATTTTTTTGAGACAGGGTGTCACTCTTGTTGCCCAGGCTGGAGTGCAGTGGTGTACCATGGCTCACTGCAGCCTCAACTTCCTGGACTCAAGTGGTCCTCCCACCTCAGCCTCCCAAGTAGCTGGGACTACATGTACACACCACCATGCCCAGCTAATTTTTTGTATTTTTAGGAGAGATGGGGTTTCACCATGTTGCCCAGGCTTGTCTTGAATTCCTGGGCTCAAGTGATCTGCCTGCCTTGGCCTCCCAAAATGCTGGTATTACAGGTGTGAGCCACCGTGCCCAGACTTATATTCTTTTAAATATTCTTGAGCTTTGTTCTGAGACTCAGTGAAGTTGATTGGAAACAGTATGATCTTTTCAAAGCTTACTTTTAAGCTGTGTTGTGTGGGACCAGAGCAGCCTTTTACTGTACAGCTAATTTTAGCTCATTACTGAGGAGATGCCTTTATGGAAACTTTACCCAATGTCCCATGTGCTCTCCCTTCTGGCTGAATGAACATGAACTGTTTCTGGTTTTATGTGAGTCCTGGGGATTGTTCTACTTGCTCTTCCTAGTGGCTCTTCTCTGGACTTAGACTGTCTTGACAAAGGTATGTACTGATCACTACTTAGCTGAAAACATGAGAGGAATCCTCTATAGATTTCAAGTGCTTTTTCTGTGCAGCTCACCTGTGTTCAGCTCCCTCCTCTTTAATACTCTGTCCTGCAAATTCTAGCTGCCTTACCTCTCCAAATTTTCAACTTTGTCTTAAACTCAGGGCTCTGTTATGGCTCCCTTCCCTGTGCTGTGGTCTGGAGCTCTCTCCAGTAAGCAAGAATATGTGTAGAGCAAGGTTGTTTCCTGCCTCTCAGAGATCACGGTGCCATGCTATTTATTGTGCAGTGTCTGAAAACTTGTTTCTTATATTTTGTCTAGTGTTTTAGTTATTTAAGGTGGAAGGATAGATCTGGTACTCCATAAATGTCTGGGGGTAGACTCTTAAAATATCACAGTTAAAAATAAAGTTGTAATTGTGACACGTGTCGTGAGGAGAGATAACTGGTGCTATGAGAGTGTTTATTTGGAGACTCTGAAAGTGCTGCCCAGTAATCATCCCATACCTAAGTGATGAAAGAAAAAGCAATTAAGAAGATGGAAAGTATGAAATGTAAATGTGTTTTAGATAGATCTGTATCATAAATGATTAGTAATCACTTACATAGACTATTGCTTTATATGGGGCAAATAAAGCATTGTGATGGTTGAAGAGTATCTTTTTGTACTCCTGTTTCTTTGCATCATTCTTTCATGACACATCACACATTGTAAGTTGATTATTTAGTAGTCTGCCTCCCCTCCCCACTAGACCATTAATTTGACAAGGCTAGGAACTATCTGCTTTACTTGCCATTGTGTCTAACACAAGATACAAGAGTAGACAGTCAATAAATATTGAAGGAGTGAATAAGATAATGAGACCATGTTTCATACTTGTGGGTTTTCAGTTATGAAAAGTTTGTTTGCATGAGCAAAGTTAAAATTCTCAGATTTTAGAAGGGCCTGGCCTAATCAAAGAAATAAAATATTTTCTAATATTTACATAAAGGTATAATAACTTACATGGGCATATGGCTGTCTTAGAGTGAGAAAATAGAATGTATTTTGCCAGCATGACACTAACAAAGATTTATAATTTATGAGATTTTGAGTTGGTCATTGAGTTATTCAGAAGCAAAGAAGAAATTTAAGTTTAGTTTCTATAAGTAGTGAAAAGTTATGGGCTTTGGAGTTAGTCTTGGATTTTAATCCCAGAAATACCAGTACTAGCTGTGACCTTTGACCAGTTACTTAAACTGCCCCCTCCTCCAACAAGTCATGTTATTATTTTTTAAATCTACTTTTATATCTTAGAGTTGTTTGAAATGTAAATGAGACTATATATATAAGGTGTTTACATGTAATAGGAATTCAACAAAATGTTTTTCTCCACCTTTCCCCCTACTTTTCAGGTGTTTTATTTTTGTAACAGTGCTGCTGCTTCTTCTGTTGTTGTTTTATTCTTTTTTAATTTTTCCTTTTGTTTCTGATTCTCTTGTTGAATTTCTTTTTTTTTATTCTTTTTACTTCTGAAACAGTGTTATTTCTAAATGACATGTTGGTTTGCTGTTTAGTGAAATGAGAAAAATAGACTTACTACTCAACTACGCTTGTTACTTTTGAACAATTGCTATAACTTGTCCCATGACAGTAATTTGTTATTCTTGAGCTTTAATTTTCATCAAATTACAGTGCAGTCGAAGATACCCAGTTGGCAAACATATTGCCTAAAATTGCTTTAATAAATATAAAGTTCCTTTTATTAAGATTTTATGCTGGTTTTCGGTAATTCTATCACTATTAAACATTCTTAATGAAAAAACACATATAATAGAATTTAGAATAATTTTAGGTGGTAGAGAGTTGATAGATTTTAACTGGATGATGGTTTTTATCACTATTACTGTATTAGTTTTCTATATCTACTATAAGAAATTACACTAACTTGGTGGCTTAAAACAACACACGTTCATTCTCATATGGTTCTAGAGGTCAGAAGTACGAAAGCAGTTTAACTGGGCTGAAATCAAAGTGTGAGAAGCCCACACTCCTTCAGGAGGCTGTAGGGGACAATGGTTCCCTTGACTTTTCTAGCTTCTAGAACTGCATTCCTGGTTCATGGCCTCTCCCTTCATCTTTAGAGCCAGCACATGGAATCTTCAAATCTGTATCTTCCTTCATCATATCACCTTCTGTAGCTAAATGTCCCTCTGCATCCCTCTTGTGAGGATAGTTATGATTACATTTGGGGCCCACTCGGCTAATCCAGGGTAATCCCCCCATCTCAAGATCCTTAACTTAATCACATCTGCAAAATCCCTTTTGCCAAATAAGGCAACATTCACAGGTTCTAGGTCTAGGTTTCTTTCGGGGCCATTATTCAGCCTTCTACATTCATTTGAAGGACCTATCAACAAATTCAATTTTTCAAATGTTAGTGTTTTTTATGCAGTCCTACATTTAAAAGTCTGTCAGTTTATTGAAGTCTTCTGTTGATTTTCCCTCTTCTGTTTACGGTTTTACTCAGTGAAGTTTGTTTTTCCTCCTGTGCCTGTGTCACAAATATTTAGTTGTGATGATTCAGAAGAAAAACCTACCTTAAAACTTGCGTCATTTTCAAAGAACTAATAATAAGTACTTTCTAAAATAGGCCATATTAAAATTTATTTTTATGGAATCCAGCTTTTCTTTTTTTGACGGAGTCTCGCTTTGTCACCCAGGCTGGAGTGCAGTGGCACAATCTCAGCTCACTGCAACCTCCACCTCCTGGGTTCAAGTGATTCTCCAGCCTCAGCCTCCTAAGTAGCTGGGATTACAGGCACCCACCATCATACCCGGCTAATTTTTGTATTTTTAGTAGAGATACGGTTTCACCATGTTGGTCAGGCTGGTCTCGAACTCCTGACCTCAGGTGATCCGCCCGCCTCAGCTTCCCAAAGTGCTGGGATTACAGGCATGAGCCATTGCGCCTGGCCTATGGTTGATTTTTGAGAGATTGGAATTATTTTGAATGACATCTTAAGGCAACTTAAGGTCATTGCACAAAGTGTGAGTTTAAAATGATCCAGGTTGTTTGACAAACACTTTAGTATTTTATTTATTTATTTTTTTGTATTTTAGTAGAGACGAAGTTTCACCATGTTGCCCAGGCTGGTCTCGAACTCCTGAGCTCAGGCAATCCGCCCGCCTCGGCCTCCCAAAGTGCTAGGATTACAGGCGTGAGCCACTGCGCCCAGCCTAGTATTTTATATTTCTAACTAAATTCTAAAGCTTGCTTTTGAACCATCCAGCAAAATTTTCATTGGCCAATTTAAGTTTTGGCATGTTACAGGCCCCTTTATCCTTCTATAATCTGAACACCATGCATAAAGGTATTATTTCTTATCAAGAGTTTCTGAAATGGAGTATAATAAGTGTTTCAATGCATGTAAGATGTGTTGGAGTTCTACAGCAAAGGCATATTGAAATCAGTACAGAACAGTAATAGAAAGAACTCTGATTTTGGAACCAGAAGATGTGGTTTCTAATCCTGACTCTTTAAATGCCTCGTTGTAAGTATGAAAATGGTCTTGTTAAAATGCCATTTCTGCTTCCCAAGACTAATTATGAATACAATTGATAGTCCGTGCAAAACTGAAAATAATAACTTATTGTACCAATGCAGACATTTTTAGCATTGTGTTATTCAGTCTGTGGCATACCTTTAGGTATGCCTTCATCATCTTCTATTGACATTTCTTACCAAGGAAGGAGAAAATAAAACCAGGATAATGATTGATTAAAAAAAAAAAAATCTTGTGAAGCATACTTACAACTCCTGGCTAAACTTAGATTTAGAATTTATCATGGACCTGTTTTCTATCTCCTCTTAGTTTTTATTACAATTTAAAGGTGGTTGTGCTGAAGCATCCATGTCATTGTCTTCTCTCAAATTTCAGGTATTGGCTCTCAAAAACTGTCAGACATTTCAGAAATTTCCCTAGACTCTTGTCCAAACATGAACATTTTTAAATGACAATTGATTAGTTGTATCGATTACTCTTTAAATGTTGGATAATCCGAGAACCTCCCTGTTCAATTTGAACAGATTGTTTTGTAGCAGAATGCTGCTGCCTTTCAAGTTTGTGATCTAAAAAAAATCCATATCCAATGGCCTCATATCCAGCCAACAGAAGGGATAGTGGAGGAAGATAGAACTTGTGAATGACAAAAGCTCAGCCCATGCTGGCCAAATTACCATGGAAAGAAAAAAATCTCTTCCTCTTGTAGGAAGTAAATGGTAAATCTGAACAATGAGCTTAAAGACACTTAAATTTAAAAGGTATAATAATAACAAGTGTTTTACCCAGTAAAAGCAAATTGTCCAATAAATAGTTTCCGGATTATAACTAATTCTTAACGTCAGCTTGGAGGAAGTCCTAGAAATACGAAAAATTACAGGTGAGGCTAGACTGCTATGATGCTATGATATATCTATTGTTTTTTGTCCACAGTTCCTGGCTCATAATTTTCATAGTCTTTGTTACAGACTCTATAATGTTATAATGTTGGGGTGCTTTAGGCCTCAGAAGCAGGTCTCAGGAAACAGAATTTCTCTCCGACCTGTTTTTTGTCCTTCTTTTACTTACTCAAGGCAGGACTCTGATCTGATTGTGAGTCAAAGATCCCCATTTCAGAGAGGGTCCTACCCCATACTCTAGAGAAGGAATGTGCACAGAAAGGCCAGAAAAATCTGAAGAGACAGGCCTCGTTGGGTTTTTTCAATCAGTTTATTAGCATTAAATTATACCTTTTTTGTCCAATCACATTTTGACATGGTTGTCGATGCTTCATTCATGTCTATCCAGTGAAGTCTCCATAAAAGGCCCAAGATAACAGGGTTCGGGGAGCTTCTGGATAGCTAAATGTGTGTGGAGGTTCCTGGAGGACAGCATGCCTGGAGAGAGCCTGGAAGCTTCACACCCTTTCCCCCATACTTTGCCCAACACATTTCTTCATCTATATTCTTTTTAATATCCTTTATAATAAACCAGTAAACTTAAGTGTTTTCCTGAGTTCTATGAGCTATTCCAGCAAATTAATCGAACTCAAAGAGAGGGCAGTAGAACCCCAACTCAAAGCCAGTTGGTCAGAATTTCTGGAGACCCAGACTGGCAACGGGTGTCTAAAGAGAGGGCAGTTTTGGGGGACTGAGCTCTCAGCCTGTGCGATCTGACACTATACTATCTCCAGGTAGAGTGTCAAAATTAAATTAGAGGACACCCAGCTGGTGTCCACTGCACAAGTGATTGCTTGTTGGTTGGTGGGGAGAAATCCCCCACGTTTAGTCATAGAAGTCTTCTGTTTGTGTTCATTGTTGTGGTGTGAGGGAAAAAATAAACATGGCTTGAGTTCGTTTTTTTTCCACTCAGAATTGTTTTCTTAGAACCCTTTCATTTTCATCATTTCAATTGGAAGAGATGTGGAAAGGAGGAGAGATGAGCAGTGCCATCAATGCAGATGGTAGATTCCTGAGCAATGTTGATGACTGGATTCCTATTTATATAGTATTTGGGGGCTTTATGCTATTACTGTTGTCAGGTATAATATTTCAATAACAACGGTGAGAGAACTGTGAAGAGCATGGTACTAGCATCCAGAGTAAGTGACAAGTTATTGATATATCTTCATAATTGTCTCTTTACTGAATTTTATTGACAGTGGGATAGTACAAGCAACATAATTATGATTGCTGTTAAGCACTTTTAAGGGTACCTGAGTGTTTTCATGAGGTGTATATATGTGCACTGATAACACTTTTATCTGTATTTTGAAGACAGTTTGTGCTGTAGTACTTGATTGGAGTGATAGTGTGGTTTGGAAGGCTCTGAAAACTTACTTTCAGTCATTACAATTATCCTAGTTCTTGAGTCTTCCTTCTGCAAGGGAAAATAATCTGTATTTTGATAGAATGATCCCACTTCTATAACAGATTACAAAATAATAATAGTGTTAGCCTGTTGAGGCTTAGAGACTAGAAGTTGGTTATTCATTCCAAAGCATCTCATATTTGCTTTAGACATTGGCTAGATTTTATCACATGTGGTATTCTGAGAAGGATGACATGATAGAATATTTTGATAAAGTATGAGGCTCAAAAATACCTTCTGCTTTTCCCCTGCTGTTCTTCTCACCTGGATTTGGTTTCTTGCAGGTGCAAAAAAAAAAAAAAAAAAAGTCTAAGAATTTAATTTTTTCAGCATTTATTGAACACCTTGCATGGGTCAGGCATGAGTTTGGTGACAGCGACGAACTGTCAGGTTTAGATGATAAAATAATTATTCTCCCATCCAGTGACTCAGTATAAGATAAAGATACGGGCTCTAGAGCCAGACAGTGTGCCGGCTCTATAATGTGTCATCTTGAGCAGTTATATACTGTCTCTATGCTTCAGGTTCCTCATCTTCAAAAGGGGGATGGGATAGTAATCATTTCATAAAGGCTGAGAGTTCAGTAGCACAGGCACAGTGCTTAGAACAGTGTCTGACCACATGTTAAGCTCTTTAAAATGTTAATTATAGCCAAAGAATGTACCACATTTTATAGGTTTAGGCCTTTGTCTTCAGATTTAGGAGTAGCATATTTAAATTTCTGAGTTTGAATTATGCAGCCTGTGGCTTCCCTCCTTTGGGACAAATGATGGAAGTTGTTGTTGAGTAATTTGTAATTTGTGTGCTCAATTTATAAAAGGAAAATTGCTGAGACATCACATAATTCCAACTGCAGAAGTTTAGAAACTGTCATCAGCTTTTTTCCTGTCACTATTACTTTTTTGACTCTATCAATTTGAAGCTATTCAGTTTTCATTATACTAGATCTGTAACCTTTCAGTTTCTGCAGAGAATTTTTAATATTTTGTAAAATCAGGAACAAGGTAAAACAGGATAGTTGAAGACACATTGTTGAAAAGAAAAAGATGAACAGATGTAGCAGGAACCTGAGATGAGATCATTATGAGAGTAGAAAACAATCTAACTGAGTTTCTTGGCAAATGAGTGAGGAGTGTATTGAGTTGTAGTCTTGTTTGGGTGTAATAGCAAACAGATGATTTTTTTGCCTAGCACTGTCATTAAGATACTGAGTGGGTTGATGATCCAATGGGAGTTTATTTTATCTGTTAAACAATTCAAGGGAGAACTTTAAATCTTAATTCAGTGAAGGCATCTTTTAGGGAATTGAGATAATCAGAAATTTGCTGTCTCACTATATTACTAATACAGGGGGAAAGAATTTAGTCTTAGAAAGTTTAGAAAGGCCAGGAGCAGTAGCTCATGCCTGTAATCTCAGCTTTTTGGGAGGCCAAGGCAGGATGATCCCTTGAAGCCAGGAGTTCTAGATCAGCCTGAGCAACAAAGTGAGACCCCGTCTCCACAAAAAAAAAAAAAAAAAAAAAAAAAAATTTTGGTTGGGCATGATGGTGCACACCTTTAGTCCCAGCTACTTGGGAGGCTGACTGGATAGGATCACTTAGCCTAGGAGTTTGGGGCTGCAGTGAGCTATAAGCCATGAGCATACTACTGCACTCCAGCCTGGGAGACAGACTGAGAGCCTCTCTATTTTTTTCTTTTTTAAAAAAGAAAATTTAGAATAGTTAATAGGCTCCAAAACAAATACTTTTGCTATTTCTGCCAAAGTACCTAAATAACAGAAAAGAGTAAATACATTTAGGATATACTGGTGGTAGGATAGTGTCAAATTTTTTTAATGTTATGGTGTAACTTAGAAATTTACATGAACTTTGCATTTTTCACCATAGTCTAGCCATACTTAGTATTGGAATAAAGTTTTTAAAATTATTGCCATGATGTGGAATTGCTGCAGGGTGATATGCTATGCTCATGCTGTTGTTTGTAGTACCTTTCTAATTAGTATTACCACTCCTCTCTCTTTTCTTAAGAAATAAGACTAACTTGTTCTTCTCAAATGTCTCAAAAGAGCCCTTGATTGAGATTCTAGAACTCTTTCATATAATGAGAGGCTGTTTTTGATTAAGAAAGATTTAAGAGTAGGTATTACCACTTTGTCCAGACTCCAGGGCATGAATTTTAAAAGAACTGAAAATAACTGGTTCTTAAATGGTTGGATGAGGCAACTGAAATTGGAGTTCTAATATTAATATAATCCATTTGAATATTGTGGAATGTCTGCCAAATACAAAGTCTTTAGTACAAGGGTGTCCAATCTTTTGGCTTCCCTGGGCCATATTGGAAGAGGAAGAATTGTCTTGGGCCACACATAAAATACACTAACGATAAATGAGGAGCTTAAAAAAACAAAAAAAGAATCACAAATGTCTGATAATGTTTAAGAAAGTTTACAAATTTGTGTTGGGCCACATTCAAAGCTGTCTGGGCTGCATGTGGTCCACAGGCTGTGAGTTGGGCAAACTTGCTTTAGTATTTGCTTGCTTTTTCTATTTATCATTTGGTTGGGCTATTATTTATCTGTACTTGTTTAGTTAAACCATCGTCTTTTATGCTGTGGTGGTTGGAGAACCAGTTAGGAATTTTTATCTAGCTTTAGATGATTGGCTTCCTTAAAGTTGATATTTATGGGATCCCTCAGGGCAAGCTTGCTGGTTCACAATTAAAGCTATATTGGTAGTTAAAGATTACTTGTGTAGGATAACTTGTGTAGAATAACTATACTGCAGAGATAATTCTGAACAGACATAGTTGATGGCAAAACTTGGATCAGTTGGAAGTTTGTGGCTGATTTCTTTTGTAAGAAACATTCTCTGGACAACAGTATCCGCAAATCTGTTTGCTAGGTGAATCTAATATCACTAGGGCTGTAATTTTTTTTTTAATTAAAAACATTTTTTTTAGAGACAGGGTCTCACTCTGTTGCCCAGGCTGGAGTATAGTGGCACAGACATAGCTCATTATAACCTCAAACTTACGGGCTCAAGCGATCCTCCTGCCTCGGTCTCCTGAGTAGCTGGGACATAGGCATGTACCATCGTGTCTGGCTAACTTTTTTTTTTTATTTTTAGTAGAGACAAGGTCTCACTACGTGGTCCAGGTTGGTCTTAAACTCCTGGGCTCAAGTGATTCTCCTACCTCAGCCTCCCATTCCTGGGAATACAAGCATGAGCCACCACGCCTGGCCTAGGGCTCTGTAGTATTTTTAATTGGTATTTACTTTGTTAAAAAATGTAAATCATGTCATATTCAGTAAAGTGCACAAATCTGCAGCTCAATGAATGTTTACATATGTATTTATTTAAGACAATATTCCACTAGCTGTGTATTTAAAAGCAAGCAAATTCATTGGATTAAAAAAGTATTTGCTTAAAAAATTTTTTTTCTTATAAATATATGTTCACATAGAAAATTGAGATAAGAAAAAATAAGTCACTTGTAATTCCACCATCAAGAACTCTAAACATTTTGGTGTATAAGCATTCATTCATTTACTATTATTTTCTGAATATCTAATATGTGCCAGAAATTTGAGATGCTGAGGATACAGCAATGATTAGAACAGTCAAAATCCTTGCCTTTGAGGAGATTATACTTTACTTGGGGGAAAAGGACAATATATAAGAAAGTATATTGTGTGTCAGATGGTGATAAGTACCATGGGGGAGAATAAAAGAAATAAAGGGAAGAGGGAGTCCTGGAAGGGACTGCAATTTTTACATAGAGTGACCAAGAATGGCTCTACTTGAGAAGGTAACATTTGAGCCAAGACCTGGAGGAGACAAAAGAACATGCTGGGCAGACCTGAAGGAAAAGAGCACTCCAGGCAAAGGCCTTGATGGGGGCAGTGCCTGGCATGTTTGAGAAACATCAGGAAGGCCACTGTGGCTGGAACAAAAGAGGGCAAGGGACAAATGAAGTTAAGACAGGGAGGAGGGGATTGTGTCCTCTAGTTGCTCTCCCTCCTGGCTGCACATGAGAATCACCTTAGAGGCTCTTGAAAACCACTGATGCTGAGCTCCCCACCCAGGCCACGGAAGCTGATTTCTAATGTGCAGCCAGGGTTGAGAAACACTGGCACAAGGCCTTTAGGCCATTTTTTTCTTTCTTTTTTTTTTTTTTTTTTTTTTCTTTGAGATGGAGTTTTGCTCTTATTCCCCAGACTGGGGTGCAAATGGCATGATCTCGGCTCACTGCAACCTCTGCCTCCCAGGTTCAAGAGATTCTCCTGCCTCAGCTTCCTGAGTAGCTGGGATTATAGGTACATGCCACCATGCCCGGCTAATTTTTTGTATTTTTAGTAGAGACGGGGTTTCACCATGTTGGTCAGGCTGTCTTGAACTCCTGACCTCAGGTGATCCGCCTGCCTCGGCCTCCCAAAGTGCTGGGATAGCATAGGCATGAGCCACCGCTCCTGGCCTCCTTTAGGCCATTTTAAGGACTTTGTATTTTACTGTGAGTGAGATGGGAAGCCATTGGGGAGTTCTGAGGAAAGATCTACCTTATGTTTTATTATTTTAAAATTATATATTATTGAATGTTCCAGATATACAGAAAAGGACTCACCATCCAACCCACTTTAACAGCCATCTGCATTTTGTCGTGCTTGCTTTATCCTGCCTCCCCACCCCACTTTTTTTTTCCTAGAGTATTTCAATGCTAGGTTGAGTTTTTAGAAGGATCATTCTGGTGTCTGTGTTGAGAGAAGGAGTGGCAGAGCAAGGGCTGAAGTAAGTGTATCCTCCATGTATTTTTTTCCTTAGGCTTTGTAGACATGTTTTTATACAGTATCCACTTATTTATAAACTGTTTTCTTTATTATATAGGACATTTTATGTCACTGGATATGCTACAACTTTGTTTTCTCATGGCTATATAGTGGCTTTTGATATGCATTGCTAAGGTGTTTTTCAGAAAGACTTTACTAATTTATACTCCCACCAGCTGCTTTGGAAAGTGTCAGGTTTCCTTAAGTTCTCACTAACATTGAATTTAATGACTAACATTGAATTTAGTCATTAAAAAATTTCTATGTTGACAGGTAAAAAAAGACAACTCATGGTTTTAATTTTAGTTCTTTGATGTCCACTAGGTTTATTTCTATTTTCATTTGCATTAGAAACTAGGCTTATATCATTTGCTAGCTGTGTGACTTTAAGTCACTCAGGAGTGCTGTTTTCATACTATAAGATGGGTGTTGTGTATCTGCTTCACAGAATTTTCATTAAGGTTAAATAGAAGCATTTTTTATGCCCAGGTCTTTAAATCTTTTGGCCATGATCTGCAGGGGGAAGAAAATGCATCTTACATTGTGACAAGCATATATAAATACGTGGCTGAAAGTTTCTTGGAACAAGATATATGTCCTCACCATGTATGATGCACTTCTGATATTGTACATTTTCATTCACTTTTAAAAATACCCCTTGTTGACCAGTAGATTGATCATGACTCCCTGGATTGTGACCTAGGGTTTGAAAAACACTGTAGTAAACTTGTCTTGTTAAGATGCCCGTTTATCTATAGGATTCCCTCTCTCAGGTAGCTCAGAAGTCAGTCTCCCTCTACCTCTAATAAAATTCACTTTCAGGAAAGCTAAATAGGGAAAAGGCCTCCCACTTAGATTATTGTATTCCTGTATTATATTTTTGGTCAGTGAAAAATGTTAATTGCTTTTCACAGTCAGAAAATGTATTTGGGTTTCTATGATGCCATGGTGACTGGGTTGTATTAACACTACTTTTATGAAATAGAGCTAATGCATCTAAGCACAAACACCACATCACTACAGGGATTATATTTGCAAAACCCAAAATTGAGACATTATCTGACAAAAGAGTTTTGTCTATAGTTTTTGTTACGTGAAACGCTGACAAAATTTGAAAGTAATGTGGGGCGAGGTAGCTTGTGTCCAATGTCCCAGCGGGAGGCTGAGGTGAGAGGATCCCTTGAGCCCAGGAGTTCAAGTTAGGCCTGGGCAACATAACCCCATCTCTTAAAAATAAAAAAAAAAGGCAAATTATAAGTCACATTTAATTATACTTAATATAGCCCCTTTTCAACAGATAAAAATAAAATAATATGAAACCTGGATAATCTTGGGAAATTGAGACTGTATGACTACCATACATAAAATAACAGATGTGCTATTCATTGGTAGGCTTATAGCTAGATGACTCGAGGACCATGTAGAAAAGACTTAGCTGTAATTAGTACCTGTGACTAGACAAAACTTGATCAAATGAAAGTTAGAGTCACTTCCAAGTCTGAGGGATGTTGGAAAGAAAAATGCATAGAGAAAGAGAGTGGGAATTTACTGCTTGAAAAACACTCAGGAGTTTAACTTATTTGGCAATAGAATTGTGTTATTTTTGACGTCTAGTTTAACATTAAATATGTTTTGTGTAAATTGTTTTTTGACGCTGAGCCAGGAAAACATTTTAAGCAGCTCTAAGTTAAAAGTTTGACTAACATGCATTTACTTACTCCTCCATTACCTCCACCAGCTCACCCTTTCACAATGGAGTAATTTAGAGGAGTATCAGAAACACTTTGGTATGGAAAAATAGAACCTAAATTTTATACCAAAGGACCATAATTTACCTTTATGTGGTTAGAATTGGATATATGAGATGTCGTTTGAGTACTGAATTTTAGATTCTGTCTTTTTCACTATTGGAGCTAAAATAAGGTTTTAAACAAGCTCAGAAATGAGTATAGCAATTTGTTGCGCTCAGATGGCCCAGAAATACATGAATAGCTGCTTAAGCTCTCTAGTGATCAGGCATATGCAAATTGAAACTACAGTGAAATACCATTTCATGTCCAAAATTGGCACAAATTAAAGATGTTACGTGGACATTACCAAATGTTAGGAGAGTGTAGTATAAAACTAATGAGTGTAAATTGGTACAGGTGCTGTGACCTGTACCAATACCCTATGACTAGGAATTCTGCTTCTAGTGTATCTCTTGTGTGCGTGCACAAGAAAACATACAGGAACATTGTTTGTAATGCTATTTTGTAACAGTGCAAAAATGAGAACTACTTATATGTCTGTCGATAAGGAAATAGCTACAGAAAATATTGTCTAGTCCAACGTTCTCCACTAGAAATATGATGTGAACAACATATGTTATTTGAAATTTAGTTTTAAGGTTCTAAAAAGGAAGTCAAAATCAATTTTTATATATTTTGACACAGTTTATCCAAAATGCTATCTTTTTAAAAGTGATTAATGTAAAAGTCATGGAGATACATTACATTTTTTAAAAAAATACTAAGTCTTTGAAATCCATTATGTATTTTGCATTTAGAGCACATCTCAATTTGAATGTTAAATGTTTATTGGAAATACTTGATCTGAATTTAAATTTCATAAAATTTCTGTTGGAAAAAGTAGATTCACATACCCAGGTTGTTCCATATATATTTAAAAGCTTTTCAGACACTGAACTGAGTATCAGATAAAGTTTAAATTAATTCACTTTCTCAGTTGCACCAGCTGAATTTCACATGCGTAGTGGTCAGGTGGCTAGTGGCTACCATACTGGATAGTGTAATTCTAATCATAACATGTATTGTTATGTGGCAGTTAAATGACCTAGGCTGGGCATGGTGGCTCATACCTTTAATCGCAGCACTTTAGGAGGCCGAAAAGTGAGAGGATCGCATGAGCCCAGGAGTTTGAGACCAGCATGGGTAACAGTGAAACCCCATCTCTAGAAACTAAAAAAAGCTGGATGTGGTGGTGCACGCTCATCTGTAGTCCCAGCTACTCTGGAGGCTAAGGCAGGAGGATCGCTTGAGCCTGAGAGGTCAAGGCTGAAGTGAGCTCTGATCGCACCACTGCACTCCAGCCTGGGCAACAGGGCAAAACCCTGTCTCAAAACAAAACACCGGCCTATATTATATAAAGTAAAATGTGGCCGATTATTCAAATTTTGCATTGTCAATAAGAACTAGAGAAGTGCTGTGACGTTTTATTGTTTGTTTTGAGCAATTTAAAATATTCACAATAATACAGGGAATACTATACACATATCCACTTTTCAAATTTCACAAATGTTAACATTTTGTTCAAGTATCTCTGAATCTTTCTCTTCAATCCTGAGTTTACTTATTAGAATATTTATTTGTTTAGATATTATATGGACTGAACATCCACTCATTTAGTTTGTAGCAAGTAGAAAAGTGTACCTTAGAGTATTATGATTGTTCGTTGAAGGTGATATTAGCACTTAAATGGCCTTTATAGCATTTCATTAGTTTTTTTTTTTTTTTTTTTTTTGAGATGGAGTTTCACTCTTGTTGCGCAGGCTGGAATGCAATGGTGCAATCTCGGCTCACTGCAACCTCAGCCTCCCAGGTTCAAGCCATTCTCCTGCCTCAGCCTCCTGAGTAGCTGGGATTACAGGCCCCTGCCAGCACGCCCAGCTAATTTTTTTATTTTTAGTAGAGACATGGTTTCACCATGTTGACCAGGCTGGTCTTGACCTCAAGTGATCCGCCCGCCTTAGCTTCCCAAAGTGCTAGGATTACAGGCCTGATCCTCTGCGCCCAGCCTAATTCATTTGTTTTTAAAGTTTTTAAGGCCGGGCACAGTGGCTCACACCTGTAATCCCAGCACATTGGGAGGCCGAGGCAGGCAGATCACAAGATCAAGAGATCGAGACCATCCTGGCCAACATGGTGAAACCCTATCTCTACTAAAAATACAAAAATTAGCCAAGTGTGGTGGTGCACACCTGTAATCCTAGCTACTTGGGAGGCTGAGGCAGGAGAATTGCTTGAATCCAGGGGGCAGAGGTTGCAGTGAGCCGAGATTGTGCCACTGCACTCCAGCTTGGTGACAGAGTGAGACTCTGTCTAAAAAAAAAATAGTTTTTAAGAACTGGATGTCTATTGGGAAATCACTTAGATTTTTAATAAAACGCCAGGAGTTTAACCTATTTGGCAATAGGTCAAATAGTACTACCTATATTAACAATAATTAAATTCTAGTTATTAACAAGAGATTACTTTCTTTAGATTTCCCAGGCATATACTGTCAGTTCTCAGAATTTAGCTTGAGTTAGTGGAAATCATTTGGGAAGAGGAGAATATTTAAAGTCAAGTAAAATGGAATGTGCCATATCAATTCTAATTGTAATTTATTTATTATTATTATTATTATTATTATTTTTGAGACAGGGTCTCCTCTGTTGGCCAGGCTGGAGTGCAGTGGCACGATCTCAGCTCACTGCAGCCTTGACTTACCTGGCTCAGGTGATCTCTCCTGTCAAGTAGCTGGGACCACAGGTGTGCGCCACCATGCCCGGCTAATTTTTTGTAGAGATGGGGTTTCCCCATATTGCCCAGCTGGTCTTGAACTCCTGGGCTCAGGCAATCTGCCTGTCTCAGCCTCCGAAAGTGCTGGGATTACAGGTATGAGCCACCACACCCAGCCTAAAAATGTAATTTTAAATGTGATCTATCAGGCATACTTGATATATTTTTAAACACTGAAATTTTACCTGAAATGGATGGGGTTTTTAATGGGTGGTAAGGACAAAGTCACTTGGCAGTTATTTAATACATACCAAGCAAGTTTCTTTGAACATTGAAGATGTTGCTTAAATGTGCATTGAATGAGGTTGCTTGCTTTTTACTCTGAATTTCAGCATATTCCTTAATACTTTATAGCTACTTATTAAAGTGGCCAAGAGTAAGTACTAAAATCTCTTAATAACTAATACCATGTCCTATAGATTATAAAAACTACTCTTAAAGTAAGAGGTGACATATAAGAAATGTAAACAGTAGCTCACGCCCGTAATCCCAGCACTTTGTGAGGCTGAGGCCGGCGGATCACGAGGACAGGAGATCGAGACCATCCTGGCTAACACGGTGAAACCCCATCTCTACTAAAAAATACAAAAAATTAGCAGGGTGTGGTGACGGGTGCCTGTAGTCCCAGCTACTCGGGAGGCTGAGGCAGGAGAATGGCGTGAACCTGGGAGGTGGAGCTTGCAGTGAGCCAAGATTGCACCACTGCACTCCAGCCTGGGCGACAGAGCGAGACTCTGTCTCAAAAAAAAAAAAAAAAAAAAAAAAAAGAAGAAATGTAAACAGTACTGTTACTCTTTAAGTGTATTTTTATATAATTTAAGAATCTTAATTTCCAAATGGAAATTTTAGATTTGATATTTTCTTCAAATACATCAATTAAATACTTAATGTCATGAAAATATTTCTGATAACTATAATGCAAACAATTATTTTTTAAAACCTTTAATTTCAGTGTTCACCCAACAGATTAAAAGATCAAGGAATTCAGATCATACATTTTTTTTTCTTTTTTAAAGAGACAGGGTCTTGCTCTGTCACCCATCCTGGAATGCAGTGGTGTACAATCATAGCTCGCTGCAGCCTCCAACTCCTGGGCTCAAATGATCCTCCTGCCTCATCCTCTTGAGTAGCTGAGACTATAGGCATGTGCCACCACAGCCAGCTAATTTTTAAATTTTTTATGGAGGCGAGGTCTTGCTGTTGGCCAACCTGGTCTGGAACTCATGGGCTCAAGCGATCCTCCCGCTTTGGCCTCCCACAGCACTAGGACTACAGAGGTGAGCCACTGTGCCTGGCCAGATCATACAATTAAAAAAAAAAATCCTTCCAGAAGTCTCGATACTTCTATTATAGCAAGGTTACTTTACAATTTTGTATTTGCTATAGAGTAACTTCCAGGTTTTAAAAAACATGCACCTGCTATATTTTTGGTTCATCACTAGGTGGAGTTGTTGCAGTATAATTATGTGTTGGGTAGCCATTAGCAGAAAAACCTTTGCATTCTTCAAAGTTCGTATATGGTTTTTAAAAAAGAACATTGTATGTATAAGCAATCAGCTTATTACACATATCATGGCATAGGGACATACAGTTGGTAGTATGTTATATTATGCAGTCATAATCTCTGAGCAGCATCAAAACAGGTATCTTAATGAGATTTTTCATGGGGTAGGATATATGTATGAGAAAGAGAGGAGGTGGTGAGATTTAAACCAGTTCCCTGATAATCGTGTGGAGTTTCAATTTATATTATTAAGTTGTACAGGATAATTCTTTCTAGGAAATTCCAGTGCTTGAGCTGCTGCATCCAAAGTCATGCTATGCCACTTCATAGTGGCACTGAAACTAAATTCTCCAGCCATTACCTATCAAGTTAAATGGTAATTAGTGTCCGTCTATTCCTGGACTTATCCTTGTCATTCTCATTTTGGCCTGAACAAGTATTGTTCAGCTTCTCTTGCCACTTCAGTCACCCAAAAGCAAGCTGAGGGTAGAATGTTTTTTGTCTTACTTTCCTGTTTACTTCAAATCAAGGGGGATGTTTTTGTCGGGAATTGGATGTACCTTCAGCACCTGTAGTCCTACAGTTAGGCATGTTTGGATTTCGCTCCTCTCCTACTTTCCCTTATTCCTCTCAGTTGAGTTCCAACCTGTTAAAATTGTCATTCTTTGATTCTTTGGCAGTCTTCAAAAATGGCCCCTAAAGCATTATTTTCCATCGTTAATTGTTATGTAAGTGTAATTTCTTCACAGTGCCATTTTAGAAAGATATTTTAATACCTATACAAGGTTAAGAAAAATTAAACAATACCTAAAGGATAAGAAAGCGAAGTAATTGAGCCCCATCCCCAGAAGCAACTACTTTTAAAAAATGTAATTTTTATTTCTTTTAGTGGTTGCCTCCATAGCTCTAATAAGCTCTTATATTACTATTTTTTTAATTGAAAGCTTTGGATTTTAAATCCTTATTGCAGAAAGTCAACTAGTGGTGAATTTTTGCCAGTTCCACATTTACCTTTCCATTTCTTCCTCTTCCCACCCATCTCAATGCAGTTATTCTTATAAATTGCTCTGTTGGTTCTACAATTTTAAATGGGGACCCCAAAATCAAATTGTGTATACTGTGGGGTGGTGTTATGAAGTGAATGAATGACCAGTGTGTAGCTTGTATAGTTCTGAACTGCCACCAATTACAGTATTGGGGGGGCATGTTAGTGCAGAGTTTATTGTAAGTAAGCCTCTTTCCTCAGTTTTCATTTGCATAGTTTTTTAAATGACAACTGTTTGAAACAATTAGCAAACGTATTATCATATAGAAGCCTGGAGATAAGGTGATTTGTTGGTCCAGTGACATCATCAAGGAACCAGAGTCTTTGTTTTTCCGTATGCTATTATCGACAGAGAATGTTGGCTTTGGTCTCAGGTATGCGCCCCTCACAGCACTAAGGGTTTCTTTAGGTCCTGATGTCACATGCAAACATACCGTTTCAGAGAATATTCCTTCTTACATGTGTACTGTCTGTGAGTGTACCTAGAAGTTTCTAGCAAACTTTTCTTGGTTATTTCTTGGAATTGTTTCAGAGGTCCATTCCTAACCCAACTTCTGGCAAGAATGGGATTGCCATGATTATCCTTAGCGAAGCTCACAGTCATATGGAAGAGGGTAGAGTATCTGAGGTTTGTTGGGGAGCAGCAAGGAAGAACAGTTGGTAGATAGTCAGCGAACAGGGTCTGCAGCAGAGTCAAATCCTCAGTGGAAAATATTACCAGCCTTATTTCTAATACTTCTTAGAATACTTAGAATACTTTCAGGCTACTTTCTTTTGGAAAATTAAAAAGAAAGGAAATTATTTGAAACCATAACCTTCTTTATAATCTCCTTTGCTGCAGTAGCCATTTGTACTTACATATCTGAAAAGGATACTTCTAAGCTAGGCATTAAAGGTATACCAGGAAATGTACAATTTCTCTTCCTTTCCTTGAGTTTGATTGTATTTATTGGACCTATGCCTTTGCACTCTCTTGGGATGAAGATTTACTGGTTAATCATATAATATTTTTGAAAGTATAGACTTCATTGGTAACTGTAAAACAGCATCATCATTGATTTTTAAAAATCAGAGCTATCCAAGTGATGAATGTTAACTGTCTGCTTTTTTTCTAGACCAAAACTTATGTATCTCCTGGAAAATAGTTTTTTGTTTTGCTCTAGTTTTTTTATGATCCTCGTTTCTTTCTTATTACGCAGATGCCTGAGAGCTAAATGTAGTAATTCTTTATGTCAGCTCTAGTGAGTTTGAGTAAGTCTTGTTTTTAAAATAAAATTCTGATTTTATTACTTTTTTCTCAGGGTTATCTTAACATTCTTCCAGTTTTCCACATCCATAGTAAGTTTTAGCATCCATCACTGTATGTAGTACTTTTAAAGAATTGTAGCTCAAGATGAAGAACTTGAGAATTATTGTTACACCAATTTCCTAGAATTCGTTTATGAATCAACAGAAAAATACTCCAGTAAGCTTTTCTTATGTCAGTAAAGTAGTTTGAATTACTTACTGTTCTGGTTATTCATGTAAGAAGTTACCGAATAGATAGTGCTCTATGATTAAAGTGTGTGTGTTTTCTGGTTTTTTTGTTTGTTTGTTTGTTTTTGAGATGGAGTCTCGCTCTGTCGCCCAGGCTGGGGGTGCAGTGGCGTGATCTTGGCTCACTGCAACCTCCGTCTCCTGGGTTCAAGTGATTCTCCTGCCGCAGCCTCCTGAGTAGCTGGGATTATAGGCATGCGACACCGTGCCTGGCTCATTTTTGTATTTTTAGTAGAGATGGGGTTTTACCATGTTGCCCAGGCTGGTCTCAAACTCCTGACCTCAAGTGATGAACCCACCTGGGCCTCCCAAAGTGCTGGGATTACAGGCGTGAGCCACTGCGCCCGGCATGGATCTATTTGTCTTTAAAATTGATTTTTAGAGCAATTTTTAAAGAGTAATTTTTAGTTTCTTAGAAGAGTTACTTTGAGTGTTCTTAACAAGTACCCGTTTAAGAAATAATACTGTAGTCGTTACTGAATAAGGCTTGAATTTTATATTATAAATATAATTAGTAATATCAGTAAAGATGGTAAGCTATCCAGACCAACTTTCAGTGAGATATTTACCTCAGAATTTGTCTTTTGATTCTCATAGCCATAAATATAAATCCTAGGAGATGTAAATATATTACATGAAAGAGTTCTGAGGTCAAATAATCTGCCAGATGCTGGATTATTTGGTGTTAGATTGGTTTCTTTACCGCAGAACTTCTCAGAACCTTTAACATGCTAATGTACGTTATAAATATTTTAGAATATAACACAGTGTTTGCGAAACTTGTTTGAACATGGACCATTCATTTCTCAGACTGTTGTTCAATATAAACACACTTCGGGAAATGCTGGTGTTTGATCCAGTTAGTATTTGTGTGAATTGTTGTAAAGAAAGCAGTGTCTAACCTTTATTTATGAGTTTTATACAGTTTATGAAAAGATATTAACTTTGATACCTGGACACTTGAACAATCAATTTCAAATGTATTACAGGTCTTTTTAAGAGATTAAGAGCTAGATTTTTAAGATAGCTTTTTAAGAGTTCAGTTATATGTAAATCTCTTAAAGATTTTAGATATAGCTTCTCTACTGCCTCTTCTACAGCTTTTTTCTAAATGGAAATTACGGACATGCTTAGTATTGAAACATACCCATCATAAAATCTGGTGATTCCCCAAACTCTGCATGCCAGCCTGGTTTTCTCTGAGCTCCAAACAAGTGTTTTTAAGTTCCTGGCCCAAGAGTTCTACATCCAAACCCTGTAGGCATCTGAACTCCTTCAAAACTGACTTCATCTTCCCCTTCCACTTCCCCAATCTTAGACTTTACTTTCTGTGGCCCATCCTTGCTAGTGGGACTGTCTTCTTTTCAGTTACCCAAAGTAGAAACCCAGGAGACTCAGATTCCTTCTTTGTCTTATACATCAGGAGTTCTCAACCTTGGCACAATGAACATTTTGAGCTGGAAAATTTTTTGTTGCGGAAAGCTATCTTGTGCATTGTAGATGTTTAGCGGCGTTCCTGGATGCTACCCACTAGATGCCAATAGCAGTTTCCCTCATTGTGACAGCCAAAACTGTGTCCAGACATTGTGAAATGTCCCGAGGAACAAACCCACCCCAGTTTGGGAACCACTGCCCTATATCCAATCTATTACTTATCTGCTGATACTGCTTCCTAAATTTACCTTTAATCCTTTATCACATCTTCATCCTGTTCCCTAAACTCCTATCCTCTTTGTTAATATTTGCGATTCTTTAGTAAGGTTCTGACTAGTCTCCCTGTGTCCAGTATTTCTCTCCAACCCACCTCCTTTTTATTGCTGCCAAATTTTGTGCATGTATATGAGAAGGTCTGGCTCTGTCACCCAAATTGGAGTGCAGTGGCATGATCTTGGCTTACTGCAACCTCTGCCTCCCACCCCAGCCTCCCAAGTAGCTGGGACTACAGGTGTGCACCACCACGCCAGACTAATTTTGGTTTTGTCATGTTGCCTAAGCTGGTCTCGAACTTGTGAGCTCAAGTGATCAGCCCAGCTTGGCCTCCCAAAGCACTGGGATTACAGGTGTGAGCCACCACACGTGGCCCAGATTTATCTTTCTAAAATGCAAAGCTGGAGCTGAGCTAGGTGGCTTACTCCTGTAATCCTAGCAACTCGGGAAGCTGAGGTGGGAGGATTGCTTGAGGCCAAGACTTCAAGACCAGCCTGGGCAATATAGTGAGAACCTATCTGTTAAAGAAAAGAAAGAAAGAAAGAAA
Source organism: Homo sapiens (assembly GCF_000001405.40). NCBI lineage: Eukaryota > Metazoa > Chordata > Mammalia > Primates > Hominidae > Homo > Homo sapiens. The sequence continues at coordinate 79,460,012 of NC_000005.10, read as the reverse complement.
AAAGCAAAACTATTTCGTGTTTATAATCTCTCAATAGCTTTCAGTAGACACCCTCATGAACTGTCTTCTCTCTTTTTTCATTCTCTATTTTTTCATTCTAGCCTCATTCTTCAAAGGCACTCAAACTTACCTGTACTAAGGTTCTTGCTACACAATGTACTTAGCCCTCCTCCCACTGTGCAACAGTTTGTTTCAAACTCTATTTAGGCATCTGTTTTCTATCATAGCTGTCAGTTACTTATTTTTAGAGAATCTATCGTAGTGAAGAGCATTTTGTTTTTAACATATCCATCTTTTGTCACCAAATTGAATTTTTCAAGGGCAGGGACCATCTGGATCCTACATCTTGGCATATAATAGATATTCAATAAAAGTTTGAATCATTTATTAGTATGCCCTGTCAGATGCAGTAACATCCTCATTACTTCTAGGAATTCTGTTCCCTGGATCTGTAGTGAAAATTATTTCCCTAGTCTTTATCATATAGACTTTGAAGTACAGGCTTTTGACCACAGAAATCTTAAACTATAATTTTCTTTAAAAAAACCAGCTGTTCAGAAGAGAATTAAAGAAAGCTATGTATTTAGTTGATATTCAAATGGCATTTGCTTATACAATAGCTAGCTTAAAGATTTTTATTCTGAAAGGAATTAAATTGTGTGGATTAATTAAATGTATGACTCAATATGATGTAGAAAGTCTTTACCGTACTGAAAACATTGCATTTCCATTGAGTAAGGATTTGTTGATTGGTTGTAGAAAGCTTGCAAAAGCAACGTTATTATCTTAATAACTAATTTACTATTTTAGAAAAGATGTTTATTAGAACACATTCTTATAATCACCAACTTGTGTTATTTAGGTGAATTTAGGAAACTTAACCCCTACCAAATGAAAACAACAAAAAAATCAAGTAATCGAGTTAGTAAAGAATAGTGTCTTACCTCCCTTCCTTATGTGCCTTAATAGAGTTGTGTATGATTAGATGTCCCTGTGACTTGTAACTAGCCACTCCCAGCCTGACCAACAATACTTTTACCTCAGACTTTAATTAGAAGGTGAAAAAAGAAAAATAGGGGTTGCAGGGGTTTTGGAAGATAACCCAAGCTTATAGCACCAGCCTCACTGAAAGTCAATGGTTGAGGATGGGGAAAGAGGGAATGAATAAGACGTATTCCCAATTCAGAGTTCATCATCCTGGTACAGTGTTTTGCCAGATTGTTAATAATTATTAAATGAATCCATATATAGTGGCAGTTAAACAAGAAGTAATGGCTCCACTTCATTTTTTAGGGAGTGGCACAAAATATATCACTTTCTTTTAAGAGAGATTCTTTAATAAGAAAAGTTGTATAGGAGGTTTCCAGAAATAAAACTAGGAAAGTGCCAGGTTACCTACAGGGAAGGTACCTCACTTTCACACCAACTCTCTAAGGGTTGAAATGGATATAGGAGTCACCCAACCTTTTATTAACCTTAAGAGCCATTTTGCCGTGGACTCAGATTTGCCTTGCCGTTTTTCTAATTTTTCTCCTCTCCATATTTACTCTTCCTTTCTTCAAATTTAAAATTTTAGAAATTTTAAAATTCTTCATAATTTTAAAATTAATTTACTTAATATTAAATATTACCAATTAAAATTTTCTTTATGACATTGAACTGCTTTAGAAAAGAAAGATGTGCAGTGAAATGAAATAAATGAGTTTTATTTGGGCTCTTAAAAAAACAAGCTTGATAAATGCTGCTTCCAAGATAATTTTTACTCAGAACTTGGAAATTTTTGAATTACGATGCTTCTATTATATATAGATCATCTTATGCCTGTTGTTCATACTGTAAAGAATTCTGTAATGATATTTTAAACAAGTATTTTTTATTAGTTTTGGTTCTTTGTAATTTTAAAAATCTATATCTTTAAGGCCCTGCTTGATCTAAGTAAGAGATATTTGTGGTTTCAGCAACTTTGTTTTCCATAGACTTTTAAGTATAGTAGCGATTATAGTGAATGTATGTTTTCCCAGTAAGTTCTTTACCTATTCCCAGATTATTCTGGGTTTTAAATGGGTAAAATGTGTTTAAATGGGTTTTAAATGTGGTTTTAAGTGGGTAAAAATATTAACTTTGTAAGAGTCAAATATAAGATACTTGTATTTTAGCAGAGCATAGTTTATTCTCATTATTCACATCTTCCATGAAGGTGCCAGCAACACTAAGTTAGCAAATACTGTACTGAACCATTGCTCTTAGGGAAAAATACTGTGTCATGTTCCTACCATCCTCTGCTCACGACATTTTCATCAACTAATCAATACATAACTATGTTTTATGTGTGTTTCTACTTAAAGACACCTTGCTTAATATATATTGTTAATGCATTAACATTGAACTGATGGCCAACAGCACTGTAACTCATGCCTCAGTGAAACTTATCTAACACATATTTTCTCCACATCACAGCCTTCTTGCACCTAGGAACAGCTAGCATCTGGGAACACTTCAGCATGATGCTTATGGGCCATTTTACACAGTAAAAGCACCAACAAAGTGTGAAATGTGTAAAACATGGTGCTAAATAGACCATAAAAAGGACACTTGTAAATGTAGTATGAGAACTGAAACAAGAAGGCATTGTCACTTTGTTCAGTTTCAGATGGAAATGTGCCATGTCAGGTGATGCATGGTTTTGCACTGCCCTGTGTGTGTCTGTGAAAGACTAAGAATGTGCCACACTATTGATTTGGCGGTTACAGATAAATTTTAGTGAGTAGGTGAATTCACATGTACAGACTCTTCAAATAATGAGGATTGACTATAATTGTTTTTAGAAACCTTATGACTGAATACTTAGAATATGCAAATTTGAAAGTTTCTCTTACTTTCAGGTATGTGGAAATTGTTGATTAAGCAGAATCATCCTTGCAGTTTTCATGTTCTCTTGTCTAGTGAAATAAAACTGGCTGCTTTCAGTCCATCATTTTCTTTTCTGCCCTGCAGGGAACAACCTATCTTCAGCACTCGAGCTCATGTCTTCCAAATTGACCCAAACACAAAGAAGAACTGGGTACCCACCAGCAAGCATGCAGTTACTGTGTCTTATTTCTATGACAGCACAAGAAATGTGTATAGGATAATCAGTTTAGATGGCTCAAAGGTAAGCTACGTTTACTTTGAATGATTTGGCTGGTTTTGCTTTTTTCAGTATGACATTTTAGTTCTATTCAGAACATTTTATCTTCATTAATATAAAATGTTTCCTTTTGAGTTCTTAAAACTTTTAAGAAACAAAATGGATTATTAAGGTAGCAACATGTTTTGTCCACTAAATGACTAACCACTTTATTACATTGTTACATGCCAAAATATTCTACAAATTTGAGGTCATTCCATTTATTTAATGTTCATTGCATATCTGTTATGTGTCAGGCATTATGCCAGGTACTAGGAATATAGTGGTGGACAGAATAGATATGGTCTAGAATTCTAGGAGCTCTAATTCTTTTCAAATATACTGCTACAGACTAGTAGCAGTTTAAAGTCCCTATATCCTATGAAGTTTGTCAGTGTCAATACTAAAGCTGACATTTCTTCTCTCAAGAGAAGTATAAGGACAAAACCTATTTTATTTTTAGGAGAGGCAATTAGTGTAACAGGAGCAAGGACTGCCTGGGTTCAGATCTCAACTCCACCATCTACTGAGTGTTTTCTCTTTGGGCAGATTACTTCTCTGAGCCTCATTGTTCTCAACTCAGTACTGGTGGTTGTAAGGATTAAATGAGTTAATATCTGCAAAGCACTGAAATCAGTGCTTAGAGGACAGTGTGCCCTTCAGAAGAGTTGGTTGGGGATCCCTTTTTTTTTTTTTTTTTTGAGACGGAGTCTTGCTCTGTCACCCAGCCTGGAGTACAGCTCAGCTCACTGCAACCTCTGCCTCCTGGGTTCAAGTGATTTTCTTGCCTCAGCCTCCCCAGTAGCTGGTATTACAGGCGTGCGCCTCCATGCCTGGATAATTTTTGTATTTTTAGTAGAGACAGGGTTTCACCATGTTGGCCAGGCTGGTCTTGAACTCCTGACCTCTCGATCTGTCTGCCTCAGCCTCCCAAAGTGCTGGGATTACAGGCATGAGCTACCGCGCTGGGACGGGGGATCCTTTAATCATCAATGAACTTCATGGAACTCACTTAGAGAAAGAAATTCCAAAGAAAAATCAGACTCTAAGATTCTAGGTTTGAAGTGTGTAGAAAGATGAGGTCTTCAGTTTCTTAAAGCCATGAAGCCTTTCCACTTTCAGGAATTTTAGCAATTAAATGAAGAAGGGGTTAAGTGCACACACTGTAGAGCCAGACTGACTGGTTTGAATTTTTGTTTCTACTACCTGCTTGCCATCTATATTAGTCCATTCTCATACTTCTATGAAGAAATACCTGAGACTGGGTAATTTATAAAGGAAAGAGGTTTACTTGACTCACAGTTCCACATGGCTGGGGAAGCCTCAGGAAACTTACAATCGTGGCAGAAGGTACGTCTTCACAGGGCGGCAGGAGAGAGAGTGAGAGCAAGCAGGGGAAATGCCAGATGCGTATAAAACCATCAGATCTCGTGAGAGTCACTATCACAAGAACAGCATTGGGGAAACTGCCCCCCATGATTCAATTACCTCCACCGGGTTCCACCCTTGACACATGGGGATTACAATTCAAGGTGAGATTTGGATGGGGACACAGAGCCAAACCATATCACCATCTGATCTTGAGCAAAGTATTTAGCTTCTGCATGCAGGGCTGGGCACTGAGGTTTGTGCCTGTAATTCTAGCACTTTGGGAGGCCGAGGCATGAGGATCACTTGAGACCAGGAGTTTGAGACCAGCCTGGGTAACACAGTGAGTTCCCATCTCAAAAAAAAAAAAAATTAGCTAGGTGTATTGGTGCATGCCTGTAGTCCTAGCTACTCAGGAGACTGGGGCTGGAGCTAAGGAGGTCAAAGCTGCAGTGAGCTATGATTATATCCAGAGCGAGACCCTGTCTCTTAAGGGGAAAAAAAAACTGTATGCCTCAGTTTTCTCATCTGTAAAAAGGAATGAATAAAAATACCTACATCATTCCACCATAGGGTTGTTGTGAAAAGTAAGTAAATTTAGGCAAAAGCACAGTGTATATAGTAATCACTATACAAACACTCACTGCTATTGTTGTTAATACTATTATCAGGCGATTATTGCCTAGTGTTTTATGGGGAATAAAAGATAATTTAATGCTAAACTTTTTGTCTGTTTTTTCTGTGTACTCATTCCTTATCTCCTTAACTAGGTTAACTAGATGATAAGACCCTAAGCGCTATTTGCACTTTGTGTCTTGTACATAAGTAACTAATATGTATTTACTTGAATAATTGACTTTTTCATTTTTACTTGGAGGATTTAAAGGACTTGAGAAATAGAAATAGTTCATTTCCGTGAAGCTTTATTTAGTGAAGAATAATTTTGTCATATTTTGTAACTGATTTAGTGAAGTTTGACAGATACTAGATATTATAACCTGAGACTCTAGAGTGTTTATTTCTTTTCCCTTATTTGAACCTTGAATTCTCTGTAATCTGTTTTGTTTCTGGGCCCAAACGACAGATAACGTGCCTCCTTTATTAGAAAGGAGGGTTAACAGAGGTAACAGAAAAAGATAACAATCCTCCTTTATTAGAAAGGAGAGTTAAATGTTGTATACAAAAAAAGGTCAACTGAATAGTCCCATGTCGGAGAAAAGAAACCATATGGAAGTGATTAAATAGATTTCATTTGCTAACTTAATTTTCACCAGATTAAAATACTTTGAGTTATTTTAAAGGAAGGAATTTTAGTGATTAACACATAATCCTCATGTGTTCTTCCCACTGAAGCAATATGAAATGTTGCTCTTGCATTTTTCCATTTCTGAATATACGTTGCTGATTGTAATTATTAGAATCATAAATGACTTTGGAAAAGCTTTTTGTATTTTTTTAACAAAATCTATCTTCTGTAGCAGAGTTATATTTTCTATCACATTTTCCATTTTCTAATTACTTTTCTAAACTGATGCTATTAACTGCTGCAGTTCCTACAGGAGTGGTTGTTTTTTTAAGTCAGCAATAGTGGTTTATTTGACTCAGCTAAACAAGTGTTTTCTCCATCTCACCCCCGACTTCTGCTCTTCATGATTGAGTTGGAAACCCCTTAGGTGCCCTGCCTAGAAAATGTGCACTCGTTCTCACTTAGTGCCTCTACTGTGCATATGAAGTTTGCTTTAAGGTTTTCTGATTATTCTACAGAGACCTCAGCATGGTCAAGGGCCAGGATCAGGGCACTGTGTGATCCATACATGAGGTAGTAATGACACTGCATTTCTACCTCTTTTCCTTAAAAGGACTAGAACTCCAGGGTTGAGAGACATATTTATTTTCAGAACTAAAATTTTTCTTTTAAATGCATTCTACTCAAAGAAGCTAAGAAATAAAGCTTTTTAAAAGTGTGGGATCATCTATCATTTTAAGGTTTTCTTCATTAAAGAACAAGTAATACAGAGACAAGGGAAAGGTTCAGAATGGAGATTAAAATAAAACTCATAAAAGCGGAAAGAAGTTAATTTGAAATAGTTAAAATGAGGGGGCTTAGTGACCAACTACCAGCACGTTGGTCAGTTTTCTTAGATGCCTATAAAACCTGTTGTTGACTCACTTTTGAGTTATTAGGGTCACGTATAAAATGCCCTTGTCAGAAAACACAGAGATCCCAGTTCAGATGTGCCCCCTCAGGACCAGCAAATCTAAGGCAGTGCCTACCAGTCTTGATTTCTTGCGTTTCACTCTGTCACATCCTGGTCTTTATAGTACTTACTACTGTCTGAGATTACATTGGTCAGCTATTTATTTACTTGTATGTTTACTGACTCCTTTTATTCTAGACTGTAATTTCCAATTATATTGCCCCTCTTATTGTTGTAGCTCAAATTTTTAGAACTGTGCTTGGCATTTAAAAGGTACTCAATTAAAGTTGAATAAACGAATGATTCCTTAACCATTTGTTGATAAAGTCCTTCCTATTTAGTCTTTCATTTGATGACTTCATTTGATGCCATTCAAGTTAGAGCAGTTATTAGCCACATTTTACACATCCCAAATGATATGCTAAGAAAAGCAGTTTTTGAACTGAAGGGTAAGGAAACTGTATAAGTATGAATATGTAAATTTTGTCTGAGGTAAAAACACTTAATTGAGCATAAGGGCTCTCATATAACAGTGGACACATCTTCTGTCTGAGAGAAAGGAAGGGACCACTCTGTTTTACTGGTTTTTTTTTTAGTAGGACAGGTGTCATGCATTCATTTTTATGACTTCTCCAATACCTGCATAGCTCTTAAATATTTACTTTTATACTGTTGTTCACATGGTAAACAAATTTAGTTTTGTTCAGAAAATGCTCACATGGTAAGCAAATTTAGTTCAGAAAATGCTTGATGTATCATTCCACATTTAAGAGTTCAGCAGATGACTGCTTATGGATTTGTTAACATCTGTCTATTACTATTGGAATCACTTTCTAATCTTAAATTTGGAGTGCGTTAGACTAAAGAAATGATTCCTCACTTTTATGGTATTAGCAGAGAGAATGAGTTAATATTTTATGATAATTGAAATTTATTATGGTGATCACCAAAGTTAATATTTAGTAACATGCTAAAATACTAGTTTTCTAAGAAATTATGTGTGAAACAAAAATGATAGCAATTCTCAATATCATGAATCTATACCACTTTATGAGAAAAGAAATGAGTATGCAGTTGACTCATGACACTGGTTTGAATTATGCAGGTTCACTTATACGTGGATCAAAAAATACAGTATTTGTAGGATGTGAAAACCAAGTATTAGAGAGTTGACCTCGTATATGCAGGTTCTGCAGTGCTGACTATGGGACTTGAGTATGCATAGGTTTTTAGTATACATAGGGGTCCCGGAACCAATCTCCCAAGTCTAGCAAGGAACACCTCTATATTTAGAGGTTTGTTTTTTCCTTGAGTAAAGGGAAAAAGTACTAAACGATTGCAAGTCTTTTCTGTATCATAATGTATTTCAGGTAAATCAGCTTGAAGAAAACTCAATTATGGATTTTAGAAAATCAGTGTCGGCCGGGCGCAGTGGCTCACGCCTGTAATCCCAGCACTTTGGGAGGCCGAGGCGGGCAGATCAGGAGATCGAGACCATCCTGGCTAACATGGTGAAACCCCGTCTCTACTAAAAAAAATACAAAAAAGTTAGTAGGGCGTGGTAGTGGGCGCCTGTAGTCCCAGCTACTCAGGAGGCTGAGGCAGGAGAATGGCGTGAACCCGGGAGTTGGAGCTTGCAGTTAGCCGAGATCACGCCACTGCACTCCAGCCTGGGCGACAGAGCAAGACTCCATCTAAAAAAAAAAAAAAAAAAAAAAAAAAAAGTGTCATATTTTCTATGCATATTTTCATTTTTGAAAGATTCTTTGGAGGGTGGTACCCTACTTTTAAATAAACCACTATTAAGGCCTACCTTCTTCTAGTGATTATCATCCAAAATTAATAAATATTGATTCTAAACATTCAAAAGGAAAAAACTGACCATATTAAAAACTCTTTGACACTTTTTGGATCATAGGTAAACTTATTTGAGTGTAAAATGTTGAAATTTTTGATAGAGTGTCATCATATTTATATTTTAGTTAACATATTTCCACACTATCACTTATAATGCCAGAAACTATTTCTGTAACTATCTTTATGTATTTAACGTTGTGGCTTATTGATAATCTTAAGCTTTTATGTAACTGAATGGTCTTGTATTTAAATGCCTGTTTGCTGATTTTTTGCTGGTTGCTCATACTTGCTTTATTTTTTAGGCAATAATAAATAGTACCATCACCCCAAACATGACATTTACTAAAACATCTCAGAAGTTTGGCCAGTGGGCTGATAGCCGGGCAAACACCGTTTATGGATTGGGATTCTCCTCTGAGCATCATCTTTCGAAAGTGAGTTAAATCATAAAATTTGAATGAAAATCTTCATCTTCAAGTCGTATATCTTAAATATATAATACCAAATGGAGAGTATAAAATATAGGAGAAATTTATTTAATATTCTCGAAACAGCAGTAGTGACTTCAGAGCAAGAAGTAAGAGATCATTAGATTCTGCTGTCACTTGGAAAATGTACACATTAAAAACAGTCACCATTGGTTGAGAAGGATTTATGTGGTTAATTGTCTGTGTGATAGGAATTAAAAGGTGGGGATTATCACTTCAGAATGGATTTTTGTCAGAGATTAGTACCCTCAATTGGAGATGGTCTACAAGATAGGCAGATACCAAGCTCTTTTGAATTGTGAAAACTCAAGCTGACAGTGATATAGATTTCAGCATTTTGATGTGACAGCAGGTACATATAAATTACTGTGTTTAGGGGAAATTGTGCTTTATCTGGATGTGGAATACTCCGAGCTCTGATGCAGTGCAGACTGAGATACTATAGACATCATGAGGAATTTTTAGATAATACTCACCATGTGACCAGAAAGGCCAATAAAATGCAAAGCATCACCAGGCTAAATATTGGAAATAAGACAGTTCTCCTGTCAATAAGCAAAAGCCATGTAATGTTTATACCAGCAGCACCTTGGGTTCTTGTGGATGTTACACAGAAAAGAATATATAAGAAAAAACAATCTCAGTATACTAAGTGATCAAAGAGAAAAGTAAAACTCACTTTTCTCTTCAGAGCTTGTGCCTGCCAGACCTAAAGATTTATTCTTAAAACCTCTGTTTGAAGCATTCAGTTAAAAGAATAACCATATATTTTAAATACTTTACATATGATTTGGTATATGCAGGATCTGATACTGGAACTCAGGCTAGAGAGTTGAAATTATCCAAGTGCAGAGAAATCAGGCTCTTGTAGATATACAGTGTTTATATTTACATTAAATTTTAAGCTGTTTTTCTTTACAGAAATTATTCTGTATTCAAATTCTTAAACTGGGTTCTTTTTAGAAATCTTACACTTTTATGAATATATATTGAATCTATTTTATTTTCTTCTAATTATAAACATTTCTTAACACTGTTTTCAAGTGTTTTTGTTATCTTTTGGATATGAATTATAGTTTAAATCTCAATTTTAAGGGTATTTTAACTTTCGCCTTGGTGATTATAAATCATTTTCTGTAGGATGATTAAAACAAATATTAAGGCTGGGCACAGTGGCTCATGCCTTTAATCCCAGCACTTTGAGAGGCCAAGGAGGGCAGATCATTTGAGGCCAGGAGTTCAAGACCGGCCTAGTCAACATGGCAAAACCCCGTTTCTACTAAAAATACAAAAAAATTAGCTGGGTGTGGTGGCACACACCTGTAATCCCAGCTACTTGGGAGGCTGAGACATGAGAGTCATTTGAACCCAGGAGGCAGAGGCTGCAGTGAGCCAGGATTGCGACACTGCACTCTAGCCTGGGTGACAGAGCAAGACTCTGTCTCAAAAAACAACAACAACAAACAAATATCATTTTGGTTTCTCTTGTACACATCTTATTCTTTAAATGTATTTCTTGAACTGTGGTAAAATAAGAGTTTTACATTCAAAGTATCTCAGCATAACTAGGATACAGGTTTCCATTGAACATTGCCCTTCCATAAACAGTTCTGTTGAGAAATTATATGTTTATTCTAATACTTTTGCCATCATTCAGAACCTTTTTAGAACTTTGTGTTTTTTTTTATTGCCTATTAAAGACTATAGCAAAAATCTATAAATATATCTTGCTGAATTTCTTAACTTGACAATACAAGAACTAAATCATGGATTATTTTCTCAAACTTGCCTTAAATGCTTTTTGGGCTGAGTAATTTTGTCTGTAAATTAAGTTCTTCGTTACATCTTTCAAGTTACTGAGCAGCTAGCTAATGTAGTAAAGGAATAGTTTATTAACTTCTGTCAGTTCTACTCTTTTCCCTTGTTTGAACTTTTCTCTGAGAATGGCTTTTTTTTTTTAATTTTTTTTCTTCTTTAAAGTTAGCATATGCTTTTGACCAGCCTTACTGGTGGTAAATCTAGTATTTGAGGGTAGGTTGAATATTGGGAAACAGCTCTTAAGCTCTTGGAGCCAATTCTAGCTTATATACTCACAGAACTTGGCTCCAAGAGCTTCAGATCAGTCTCTTCAGAATGTTTTGATCCAAAGCTGACAAAATCATAATTTATTTTTCAGGCTACCTTGTAGACTAATTTTGGTGTTTTGCAGACTGTAGGAGGCTCAAAGGCATTTATAATATTTTACATAAACAAAGCAAGTACATAAACATTCTAGCTTGTTTTATCAGTTAAAAGCCATGAGTAAGTCAAAACATTATAAGGGTTTGGAGAAGGCAATTCTAGACAAAGACATCTCAAAATAAGGGAAAGTACCATCGTTGAAAAAAAATGTGTGGTCTCTTAAGATTGAATGGTATGAGCAAAATTCCAGCTATGCTTGGATTGTTAGAGTGCTTACTAAGCTGTATTTTGTTATTATGGGAAATCTAAGCTGTCACTTTTTTATTTTGCTGAAAACTAAGGATATACAAATTAGCAATAGTGTAGATTTTTACGAAGTTGAGAAGGCTTTTAAAGATTAACTATTGTGGAATGTTAAATTAGTGTAAGAAAAACCTTGTATACTATTTCAGATTACATAAAGAGAAGTTTTGTTTTGATTTCATTTCCACCAATGTGAGTGAGACCCTTGTAGCTTCGTATTCAGATGTTGTACTGTTTGGAGATACTCTGTTCAATTGGAGAAGTATAGTAGCACAAATTCACTTTCCTCAGATACACATTATAGGTAGAAGTGACAAGGTTTAAGGTAAGAAGGAAAAGTTGTGATAATGATGGCTTTAATTTTGACCCTCCTCCATCTCGCCAGGATTAGAGTATCACAGGCCTTTCCTTCCAAAATTTTTCTTCCCAAGATGGAAATGAAATCAGAGTTCGTTTATGAGGGTTTGAGAAAGGAACTATAATTTCATGTTTTAATTACCAGCTCTAACAGATATTTTAAGTTGCATAGGGATTTGGGGTTTTTACATGTAGTTATTATGTAGTCTTAACTTATTCTCACTGATAATAGTGATAGACTAGCTTCCACTTCCAAAACATAAATAGATATTCTTTGTGGCCAGGATGTTTTATAGTTTCCTATGAGTTCCTAAGAATTAGCATTTCATGTACAATAATTTTTGTTTTGAAATTGTTATCCATCTTAAAGACCACTGAGTATTATTCCTTTCTGCTGCTGTACATGAGCTATTTAGGAATCTTCGGAAATAAATTTTTAGTTATGTCAGTTAGTGAAAATAGTAAATATTACTATTTGTATTACTGAAAATGCATTGTGTATTAAGAGAGTTTATATTTTAGTAAAATTTAAAAGCATTTTCTAAATACTGTGATGTTTACAAGTGGATACTTGTGAAATTCAGTTTTCTCAATGATAAACATAGCACAGTACGCTTATGTTTACTGATTCTTTCCCCTACCTTGGTCTCAGTAAATTATTTCTGAACAACCAGGAGTCCTTTAGGTAAGCTAGCTGACTCTGAAGTCTGACTTAGCTATATCATGATGTTTTGAATAAGATTTGTCAAAATACTTCATAGTGCACAGACAACTGTTTGGAATTAGGTTTCATTTCCTGTCATTTTCATATTAGAAGCTATAATTGGTTTGGAGGCTATATTGCTTGTGTAGAGTCAGTTATTCAGAAAATGAATAACTTTACTAAGGTAAAAGTGGGCACTGTGACCTATTTTTATTTGGTTAATGTATGTAGTCTCTATACATTCAGTTTGCAGAAAAGTTTCAGGAATTTAAAGAAGCTGCTCGACTAGCAAAGGAAAAATCACAAGAGAAGATGGAACTTACCAGTACACCTTCACAGGTGGGTATATCATTTCTATTCTTAATTATGAACCTTGTTCATTTCAGATAATATCCTTCATGCCAGAATTAAATCTCCAAAGTACACACAGAAATGCACCCTTTAGTGTGGTGGCTCACACCTGTAATCCCAGGACTTTGATAGGCTTAGGTGGGAGGATTACTTGAGCCCGGGATTTCAAGACTAGCCTGAGCAACATAGGGAGACCTCATCTCTACAAATTAAAAAAAAAAAAAAAAAAAAAAAAATTAGCCAAGTGTGGTGGTGCAAGCCTGTGGTCTCAGCTACTTGGGAAGCTGAGGTAGGAGGATCACTTGACTGGGAGGTCGAGGCTGCAGTGAGCTATAATTGTGCCACTGTGCTCCAGCCTGGGCAACAGCAAGACCCTGTCTCAAAAAGAAAAAGAGAGAGAGAGAAATGCACCCTTTACTTAATTTGTACTGGTGGAAAAAGGTTTTTCTATATGCCAATGCCTACAAGAATATTTGTAATCAAAATTTCAGTTTAGTAATTCAATTCAAATTATTTAATGTGCTTGTAACTTAGCAAAAGTACATAAAGATCATGTGATAGTCAAATGTAACCACAAGGGGAGTCATAGGAAAAGTTCAGGAAAACAAGTTTATTATACTTGCTGGTCCTAGAAACAGGGAAAGTCTTAAGGTGGTCAAGAGACAGAAAGCAGGAGTGAGGGGAAAGCCGAGGTAGAGCTTTATTGGAATTTCCATTGGAAAGGTAAAGCAGGGGAGGGGAAATAGTTTAGGATTGGCTGGGTTGAATAATTTCAGGGGGCTCTAAACTGTAGGGGTGGTCCCTCATTGTCTGGTAACTGGCCCTGGGATGGATTAAGTTAGAGGAATATTGTCTCCTGGATCAGATGTATGGATCAGATAGAGGAGGTATGGCTCTGGATTGGCTAGTTTGCATATCAGAGGCATGCTCTGGACTGGGCTCTTGCTGTCCTTAAGAATTAGCTAGCCCTAGAGGGGAGAAGCAGTCTCTTTGCAGCCAGAAAATTTTTTTAAAAGATGTCAGAATGTCATAATATACATAAAGTTAAAATACATGCACGTGCGTGCACACACGCACAAACAATAGGGTTTGTTTTACATACTTTTATTATTTATTTATTTATTTTTGAGCTAGAGTCATGCTCTGTCACCCAGACCGGAGTGCAGTGGCACAATCTCGGGTCGCTGCAACCTCTGCCTCCCAGGTTCAAGTGATTCTCATGCCTCAGCCTCCCAAGTAGCTGGGATTATAGGCGTGCACCACCCCACCTGGCTAATTTTTGCATTTTATTAGTGGTGGTGTTTTATCATGTTGGCCAGGCTGGTCTCCCTGGCCTCAAGTGATCCGCCTGCCTTGGCCTCCCAAAATGCTGAGATTACAGGCGTTAGCCACAGCCCCAGCCTGTTTTACATACTTTTAAAGTATACTTAAATCTGACAGTTGGAACATCTTTATGCTTAGCACTGAGACAATGGTTATAGGTTTTACAAAAGTATTACTTTTTCTTTTAACAAAGGACCTTTTACTTGTCCATCATAATCTTCCTTCAGTTGGAAGTTATATCTCCAAGTAAAGTTGATTAAATAGTTACATTTTGGTACTTTTATAATACAGTGGTTTTACTGTATGATTAATATAGAATGCCACTATTTTCAGCTTTTTAATAGTAGGCTTTTCTAAAATTAATTTTTATTTTAATTGTATCCTACTAGTAGGATTCAGCTTTTGGCTGTTCTCCTCTGTAGTAATTGTTTCTGAACTGTACTCAGTAGCTTTTATGGAAAGGAAGAATCAGATGTTACAAATGTTTCTCTGGAATAATGTCAGTAGTAGCAGATTTACATGGAACTTTCTTGAAGAAAATAGGAATTGCCTTGGAATTTAATAACTAACCAAATGATTGGAACAGTTTAGAAAATTATTTATTCTTTATCTCCCTCTCCACTTCTATCACCCAGCTCTATTTGGAAAACTACTGGTATAGAGAGTTGATTTTTTTTTTAATAAGAATAAAGGAGAGCTCTGTTAAATATGCTTAAAGTGCATATTCCCTTAGACTAAAGGTGTACTCTGGATTGAAGCCAAAGCTCCATTATACGTCTGTACATGCAATGACCTGGAATAACTTTGATGATCATTTGAAACTTCTCTTGAATCTGTCTTCTCTAAGTGCTGCGAAGGTGTAGTGATACTTTTAAACATAAAACCCCATTTAAAATTAAGTGGCAATACATATTGGGAGCTCTAGTTCCTCTGGTGAGTGATTCCAGTGTTATAAGAAGATCCAACAAACAGCACATTCAGTAAAAGAGTACTCAAAGGATTTTAATAAAAGTGTGATGGATTAAGCTTTGCCATTGTACTTAGTTCCCGTTTCTCTAATCGTAACTTCCATTTTAGTTGAATTGGTCATGAACCATTATAAGTTGCTGCTAACACCTTGTTCCTCTTTGGTGGAAGGAATGACTTTAAGCCTCTGCTTTGATTAAAGGAATATATAAAAGATGCTTATATTTGAAAAATACTATGAAATATAAAGAATAAGGAAATAAGTTCATCACTATTTGAGAGCCAAAATATATGGACCTTAATTTATCTTATCAAAACATTTGAAGCCTAATTGTCAATTTAATATACAGAAGCCAGAGAGAATCATTTTTTAAAAAGCATTTATCAGCCAGGCATGGTATGCACCTATAGTCCCAGCTACTCATGAGGCTAAGGTGGGAGGACTGCTTGAGCCCAGGGGTTTGAGGCTGCAGTGAGCTACAATCACGTCACTGCACTGCAGCCTGGGTGACAATATCTAATGTGTCTGTTTTAGTTTGAATTGTATGACCATTGGCCATACCTACCCTACTTGATTCTCAGTGGTTTAACCCAATCTGCTGAATTAATGCTGCCTGAAGAATGTAACGTAACTCTGGAATTTAGCAAAAGAACGGTTAAGTGGGGTAATTGATAATAGGTTAAACACGAAAATCGATAGTAGTAGAAACTTGGTTGGTCAAAGCTTTTGTTTTTATTTGAGGGAGGTGTAAGAGACTGGTTAAAAGTTTGAGTCAGACAAACCTAGATATAAATTACTTTTCTGTTGCCATGTAATACACTTGGTTGTTTAACACAAGTGTGTTTATACATTTATAACATGAGTATTACATTACTTATAGAATCATTGATCATCATCAATAAGTATGGTAACGACACAGTGTCAGGTCATGGTTAATAATGGGAGTTCTAGAATCTGAATTTGAAACTGGGCTCCAACCCTTAATAGTTTTCTGAGCTTAGGCAAGTCTCTGTTTTTCTTCCTCTATAAAATGAGAATGAGAACAATATGTCCTTAATAGGAATATTGTGAGAATTAAATGAGGATTAGAAAGTACTTAGCATATAGTACTAAATGCCTAATAAATGTTAACAACTGATGTGGTTGTAATGGGGAGGATGATGATGTAAGGCCTTAACATACTGTCTGGCACTAACAGTTATCTTTAAAAATTCAGATGCCTTAATTGTATATTTATACAATATGTATTTGAAAAATACTATGCGTCAGAATTCTGCATCAGAATTCCCTGAAAGACTTGCTAAAACTCAGATCGGTGAGCTCCACTCCCAGACTGTCTGATTTAGTAGGTCTAAGATGGAACCCAAGGATTTGCATTTCTAACAAGTTTTCTAGGAGATGCTGAAGCTATTCCTATGTTAGATATTATATTATATTGTAGAATATTATATATGCCTAATTCAGTTGTGAGTATTATTTTAATTTTTTAGCCATTTACATTTTAGTCATTTCAAAGTATTTAGCCTGGCTTTCATTAAAATTACCACTCTAGTTTTGCATTCAAAATCAGTAGTTTACATAGTACTTAATTCAGTTTTATAATTATATAAATAGAATTGGCATAAACAGGTTTGGGACACATACAGCTGACTCTTGGTAAGCATTTGATGCAGCTGGTGGTTGCAAAATATTCAAGCAGAGTAACAATTAACCCACTAACCCTAAGCATCAATCAGCCAATATACTTTACATAGCGAAGGAAGAGCATAAATTAATCCAGAAAGTCAGATTATAAGAACTTCTGTGGTTGTCACAAAATGGATTTCAGAAATGGTGGCTCTGGATGGTGACTAACTATAGGAAAAATGTATGACTGAGGATATGAGGATCTTGTTTGAGAGCTCAACCTCATCTTCCTTTATGTATCGTTTTGCTGTCTTCTTTCCATTCTCACTGCCATGGGATCTCAAGACTATTAGCTCCTCCCCAGTTTTTCTGTCAGGCCCTCTGCTGAGAAAACAGTGGTGTTCTCATCTTTGTTTAAGTATAAAACTGGAATGGACTGAGTCTTCCATGAATGTTTGTTAAATGGTAAAGAGAGGGCCTTGTTTTCCTTAAGCCAACAAGGTTGAAACTGTAATGGGAATTTAATTTCAGGTTTTATTGGCATGAAATGGAAGGTGGTAGTGGTATTTGGTATAGTGGGTCATGGCAGTGCTGCTGCGTACCTCCCCAGCCCATCCTTCCAATACACAGTAGGTCACTGAAACCACCCTAAAGGCTTGTCCTAGAGTGAGGGTCAAGGTCAACTTTTTTCCATGTGTTCTAGAATATTTCTCATTTTTTGGCTTTCATAGCCAAAATTTCAGTTGTGGGTTTTATTTTAATTTTCACTTAAGTTACCCACTTCACAAATGGGTAGGAAGAGAGAATTCTTAAGAAGCATTTCCTGAATCTCACATCTGTGCTCAGGTGCCTTTTTTATAATAGGTTGCATCTGTTAGTTTTGATTTCCTTGATACTCTCTCAGATTTGTTCTTCCAAAAATAAATTTTTTCTTCAGTGTTACTGTCCTTTTTCTTACTGTAGATTATTTGTTTTGGTGGGAGTTATAGGGAGAGTTTCTCAGAAAAAAAATGAGATGTAAGTGGTTTTATTTTCTCAAAGCAAGGATATAAAGTCAATAGAAAAGATTATTTCATCTGTTTTTATTTCATTTTATTTTTTGCTTTTTTTTTTCATTTTTCTTATCAGCTTTGGGTATACACACACACACACACACCCCAAAAAAGAATAACTGAAGTAGGATGTTTAGGAAATTACACACAATTTAGATTAAAAAAGAAATAGATGCTTAGAATATGTTAAATAAAAAACATGTTTCAAGTACTATTTTTAGCATATGCAAAATTTCTGGAAGGTTTTGCAGAATACTTTTGGCTACCTCTGCGGTAGTTGGAGGGAAAGAGGGTTTCATTTTCCTTTTGTGCCCTCATGTACTGTTGGAATTTTTTGTTGTTTCTCATCAGTAAATACTAATTTTATATTTTTAAAACTGACTTTAAAAAAACCCAAGTTCTCGATCGGTTCAGAATAAAAAATTAAATTAAAAAAATAAAATACCATGCTTTGGGTGGGCTTTTTGTTTTTTACTTTAGGTATAATGACCTAGGATAACTATGCCTTTACTTAAATATAGCTAATATTCAAGTTTTCTGAAGAAAAACTTGCTGCTTTGAGATGTTGGAATTGCTACAACCTCTATCCCTTTCTTTCTCCCCTTCTTAACTTGCCCCTGGGAACAGTCTTTCTACTTTAGTAGCATTAACATTTGTAGCCTCCCCAAGTTCCATGCCTCAAACCCTACTCCCTCTTATATTACCCTCAAAGTGACCGGAGCATTTATCCCAGAAGATGGTAACAACCATGAGTCAAACTGCTACTGCTCTTCCTCTCTCTCTTTTGATCCTAATGTACTTTTGCACACTCTTGTCAACCAGTTCCAGCAAATCCCTGAGTTAATCCTTAATTGCTAACCCTAGTTATGCCCTTTAAGTTTAATAAGGTAATTTATTTTTATTTTTATTTTTTATTTTGAGATGGAGTCTCACTCTGTTGCCCAGGCTGGAGTGCAGTGATCTCGGCTCGCTGGAACCTCCACCTCCCAGGTTCAAGCGATTCTTCCACCTCAGCCTCCCGAATAGCTGGGACTACAGGCACCTGCCATCATGCCCAGCTAATTTTGTTTGTATTTTTGTAGAGATTGGGTTTCATCATGTCAGCCAGGCTGGTCTTGAACTCCTGACCTCAGGTGATCCGCCTGCCTTGGCCTCCCAAGGATTACAGGCGTGAGGCACCACGTCCCGGCCGGTAACTTGTTTCTGTTATCATTTCTACTGAATTGAATCTTCACCAATTTAACTGTTTAGCAGGTTGCACATTCAACCTTTCATTATTTTAGTTTGGCTTGGCCTGTCTTGGAGAGAAATAAGCCTGATTTGTTAATACCAGAGATGATTATTTTATGATATCTTACTGGCTGGTTAAATTTTTTCTGACTAATTAATATGGTCCATAACTGACCTAGAAGTAGTCACTTTGTGATTGCTATTCCCATTATTCACTTAATAGGATTTGACTTTGTTGTAAAACATTTTTATATTGTCACATTATACTGTAGATTTTATTCGTGCATTGACTGTCAGCTAAAGGAAACAGCTGATTTAGGAGAAATATTTAATAAAAATGAAATTAAAGGTCAAAATTAGAAGTTTTACTGAAAATTGAAAAATAGTTAAGTGATAATGTGGAATTAAGAAAGTATCCTTTTGATCTTTAACAGCTTGTATAGTTTATAGCATTATGGAACCATTAGTTAAAATACTTAAATGTGAAATAAAATTCATACAGCAGTATAAAACCAGAAGTCTCAAAAACAAAAGTCTCACCACGTTAATATTTACATATTTTTTCTAGCACTTCATGTGTAACATTCTAAATGTGAAGGATATAAATATAACCCAGTTACTGTTTTACATTCTGATTTTTAAAAATTATATGCTACATTGCTCATATTTGTCTTATTTTTATTAGAGGAAATCTTGTATTTTTTTTAAGTTGACAAATTATGATCATTCCTAACCACTCCCCTGTTGGACACTTATTTTTTTCTCCCAAATATAGACAGATATTTCAATTGTAACATTTTTTTGCCCAGGGATCATAAGAGGTCCACCAAGCTGCTCTTTAACAGTCTGGTTTTAGCACCTCCCCTAGTTAATAGGTCTATCAAATGACTCCTCATTCTGATTTCCAATATCAAATTTGGATAATCTGATGGTGGCAGACATAAGTGTCAGCTTGAGCTTCATTTTAAATTCAATTTATTTAAAATGACATAAATTTTAATGTTATTTAAATAAATTTACTTTGAAAGGAAAATCTTAATGAAAAGTAGAAATAAGACAGGAAATTTTGTAAAGAAAAGTAATCCCACTATGAGTACCAGACAAGATAAGTTGAAATGCACTAACATCATTATAGATAATAGGTTATAGAGGCATTTCTTCTTGCTTTTCTAAGTAGCTCTATAGGGATTGAAAAGTAGGGCAGATAAAACGTGTTGCAAATTTCATTCACCCCTTTGCCCTCCCCCTCTCCTCATCCACTTCTTCTCCTGTACCCCTTCCATTATCTACTTCTTTCACCAAAATCACATCTTCTTGCATTTTTGTGCATCTTTTCTTCTGAAGTATAGTAATTCTTTGAATATCTTTTATTCTGACCAATTAGTTAAATAAACCAAACATTTTTAAATTATTCGAAACTGTTTCTAAATTGTGTTATATTTCCGTTTCTAAATTGTATGTTTCAGAGAGTTTTCTTGTGAGTAGCCCAGCTTCAAAAAACTTTTTCTCCTAGCTTGCCATGAATAAAAAATAAAAATTTCCATGTTTTATGTTTTTAAGTCTTTGACTCAAATTTCAGTTGAAATTTGGTTCATCAGTAAGCATACATCAAAGGCAGTTTTAACCTCAAGATGATATTGTGTACTTTAACAAAAGTGTAACTATTTTTTATCCCCCACCCCTTTTTTTAAAGGAATCCGCAGGCGGGGATCTTCAGTCTCCTTTAACACCGGAAAGTATCAACGGGACAGATGATGAAAGAACACCTGATGTGACACAGAACTCAGAGCCAAGGGCTGAACCAACTCAGAATGCATTGCCATTTTCACATAGGTACAGATTCAATTCAGCAATTATGATTAAGTAAATGTGTAAATATGGAAATGTTTGGTTTCAGGAACCCTTGTAGTTACAAGCTTTGAGTGAAAACTCCAGGTTGACTTTGACTTTTTTTTTTTTTTTTTTTACTGCTTCTGTTAACCTCAGAAATGAAATACACAAACTTTTTATTAATTTATAGTTTATAGTTGCATAGATGGACTGCAGTGAACATTTCCTTTATGTAGAAAAAGGAGCACTAGGCTAATTACAGTACAAATTGTTTTTCAGTGAAATAAAATCTTGTA
Source organism: Homo sapiens (assembly GCF_000001405.40). Taxonomy (NCBI): domain Eukaryota; kingdom Metazoa; phylum Chordata; class Mammalia; order Primates; family Hominidae; genus Homo; species Homo sapiens. Next base: position 79,438,716 of record NC_000005.10, on the reverse strand, counting down.
AGTTGCTTCTACCTGTCTTTTAACATAGCCTCTAAAAGGCCTCCTTTATTAACCTGGTTTCTATTTTTGTGTATGTTCTTGAAGGTTATAAGTTGGAATTTTTTTTTAAGTAGGCTTTCCACTCTGAAATTAAGCTTTATCATAGTCTTTGAGATGATCTCACCACGTGATTTCACAGAAGGAAACAGTGGGATAACTTTTAGCATGGGTTTGTTAATGTTAATGGCAGATTTATCTTTGCACACCAACTAACAGGAGATAAGTCTTCACTTGCTTTTGAATTTTAAAAGAATCTGTTTCTCTGAAAACATACTATTTATCCTAAATGTGTTCCAAACCAGTTACATTCATTATTGGCCATACTTGGTGTATTTAGGATGTAAGGAGGTCTGTGCAATTGCAATCTTGCAAATGTAAAACAAGTACCTATCAGTCATCTGTTTTAAAGTTAATTTTTTGTCCTTCTTTGGAAACTTTTCACTAGGTTAGTTTTAGTTAAAGTTAGGAAAACATTTTCCTTCATTGAACATTTCTTTTGGGGACCAATTTTAAAAAAATCCTTTGGCATATTAAGCAAAATTGAAGTGAGATACTCTTCAACCCTCTTTCTCATGAGAATTTTTATTTTGATTGAAATTTGTTGAATATTAAGGGCATTGGATTAAATGCCCTTAGTAGAGGCTTAGTAGAGGCTAACATTGGGAGACCTCATTGTCAGGCTGAGGAAGAAGAAAAAATTAGTTAAGGTTTTTTAAGGAATGGCCAGGTGCAGTGGCATATGCCTGTAATCCCAGCACTTTGGGAAGCTGAGGTAGGAGGATCACCTGAGGACAGGAGTTCAAGATCAGCCTGGGCAACATAGTGAGACCCCTGTCTCTAAAAATATGTAAAAACTTAGGCCAGGCATGTTGGTGCACACACCTGTAGTCTTAGCTACTTGGGAGGCTGAGGAAGGAGGATCACTTGAGCCTGGGAATCCAAGGCTGCAGTGAGCTACGATTGTGCCACGGTGTTGCAGCCTGAGTGACAGAGTAAGACCTTGTCTATAAAAAACAAAAAAGGTTTGTTTAGGAATGAACAGAGGAAAACTGTGAGGCTATTCTAATTTGTTGCTAACAGTGCTAATAATTTTACATAAAACAGTAGATATATTGTGGAGTTATAGATTTATTGTTGTGGTATAACGATATTTTCTGTTTATAGTGATAAAGATGACTGAACACATGAAAAATTTTAGTTGTTTCTATCTGAATAATATGTTTACATTACATAGTCTTTTAAAATATGCAGTTACAATTAAATAATCATATTAGTATGCAATTTTAAAAAATATTTTACTATGTTGAGGAAAGGAAAAATTTTCTTCCTATTAAACTATATTTAACATATCCATTTAATAAACAGACTTAAAACTTCACTGAACATAATTATATACTTGATTTCTTTGGCTAACACTTAAATTGAGCCATCTGTGTGGAATACTGTAGCATTTAGAAATAAATTCTGTATTTAACATTTGTAAAAGCTATTTCTAGTTTACTTTATGCACCTAAAATTTTCTAAATGTCTACGATTTTGTTAATCCTTAGTATTTGGAGTTACTACCTGGAATTGGTCTTCTCTACGATTTTTCTCTGTTCTCAAGAGTCTAATAAGAGTTACTTTGACTTGAAGTACATAGCTGCTTTGACTACTGGAATTTATAGATGAGTCATGGAGATACTTGACAGAGTTCTGAATATAAAATTTAACAGGTCAATTTAAGTTTTTAATTATGTGAAAGGTATTACATAATCTTGTAGTTCTTACAGAAAAATACTTCACAGGATTTTTTTAAGACATTCTCTGAACTTGTTTTGATTTTACATTAATCAGTATTAATCAGTATTCACTAGTTACTTGACTGAAAACAAGATTTCCACCTGAGGTATAGAACACTGAGTATTTTAAGTTAATGCTAGAATCCCAGAATATCAGAGCTAGAAGAAACCTCAGAGATGATATAATCCATGATTTTCCAAACTGTGGTAGTTTGATATCAATTTAATAGGCCATTCGTGGCTTTCTGAAAAATGAAATGTAATGAAACCAAAGAGAAAACATTAGAGTAAAACTCATATTGAGGGTAGAAACTGTTTCAGTAGTGTACATATATGTGTGTGCGCTGACTATATTGTAAAATGTCAAAGTTTGAAAGTGTGTGCCTTTGGCATGTGGAAGACTAAATCCCAGAGGTTAGGTGAGTTGCGTAAGTCACATAGTTCATTAGTAACAACTGTGAGTCTACAACTCAGCTCTCTGATTCTGGTATGCACTGTCAGTTACAGTACATTAGGCAAATACCCAACACAAGCACATTGTTGTGTCAGGAAGTTAGTAACTGTTCCTATCCTAGGAGACCTATATGGAAATAAGATCCGTGTTTCATGATTAGAAACAGATTATTGAAATAAATTTTATTGAAATCTAAAACTCACAAGTTTTTAAACTGGGTACAGTATTATTTTTTCCCATCACAAAGGAACACAATTAAAATCTTATTTATTTTTTTATTTTTATTTATTTTTATTTATTTATTTTTTTTGAGACGGAGTCTCGCTCTGTCGCCCAGGCCGGACTGCGGACTGCAGTGGCGCAATCTCGGCTCACTGCAAGCTCCGCTTCCCGGGTTCACGCCATTCTCCTGCCTCAGCCTCCCGAGTAGCTGGGACTACAGGCGCCCGCCACCGCGCCCGGCTAATTTTTTGTATTTTTAGTAGAGACGGGGTTTCACCTTGTTAGCCAGGATGGTCTCGATCTCCCGACCTCATGATCCACCCGCCTCGGCCTCCCAAAGTGCTGGGATTACAGGCGTGAGCCACCGCGCCCGGCCTATTTATTTATTTAGAGACAGAGTCTCACTCTGTTGCCCAGGCTGGAGTGCAATGGCTCAATCTTGGCTCACTGCAAGCTCCGCCTCCCAGGTTCATGCCATTCTCCTGCCTCAGCCTCCCGAGTAGGTGGGACTACAGGCGCCCGCCACCACACCCTGCTAATTTTTTGTATTTTTAGTAGAGACGGGGTTTCACCCTGTTAGCCAGGATGGTCTCAATCTCCTGACCTCATGATCCACCCGCCTCAGCCTCCCAAAGTGCTATAAAATCTTAAGTTTTTAATGCTTATTTAGACTATATTGCCTTCCTTCTCCAATATGTGTTTTAGCAGAGAAGAATGAATAGCAAAAAAATTTTTTGCCAGTATTTCTGTTTTAGTTGATTCCATTTTACTGCTAAATAAGGAGCAAAATCACTAGAATGTCTATGTGCTAAAAATAAAAAAGATGGGATATAGGGAACAGTGATCTAGTCAGTCAGATTAGTTAAGAGTTGACTGTAGTAATAGCTACTTAGCAAGCCATTTGTTCTTTTCTTAAAATTCAAATTTTTGACTAAACCTCATGAATTTGTTAATTAACATGTCAAAAGAAGGTCCTACTTTTCATTTAGCACTGAAAGTTTTAGTAATGTGGTTAGTTTGTTCTTTAAGTCTTTCTTAAAAAGTTACTTAGCTTTAGAGAAATAAGCAAGATTTAAAACATTTTTAGTATTTATAACTTTTTATTATAAAAATTTTCAAGCATACATCAGAGAGAAAATACTATAATGAACTCCTATAAACATGTCACCTGCCTTCAACAGTTATGAAAAAATGGCCAGTCTTGTTTCATCTCTGCCCTCATCTAGTCCTCCTCCACTGTGTTATTCTTAAAGCAAATTCACAAATACTTTTCTAAAATTACTTTTGGACTTTTGAAAAACTTATTTACTAAGCTATTACAACTTTTTATATCATACCTGATTCAGTGGCATTATAGATTACCTTGAATCATTTACTACTTTCTTTGATTTTTAGCTATACAGCTGAACTAAATTTTAAATGTATGAGCTGCTCAATACTCCTTAGTCAAGTGCTATAGTACTGTATCCTTGTCATAAACTATGCAAAAACATTCTTATTGAATAAGCTTCAGTGAATTAATACTGTTTTAGTGTACTTATTTTTAAAGTTTAGAGACGTGTAAAAAAGGGAGATCATGAGGATGAAATGTTTACTGATTTTTTGGGGGGAAATGTTATTAAATTTTATCTAAATTGCTATTTCTTTCTAAAAACATTTTTTAACCTAAATGATAATATCTTTTGAGATTGAGCAGGTATACACTTGAACATCCTTTGAAACCAATCTTAGATTAGCTATATATCAAGTAAAGTAGCTATATACTAATAGGCTGGCATATACGTAAGAGGGAAGGTTTTGTTCTCTTTCCAGGGAATTCTTGTTTGCTTCATAGCATCAGCTGTCTAGAATTCTAGAATTTACTTTTTTTTTTAATAAATAATAATAGATTTTTTTAAAAAGATTTAAAGCCACTGAAAATTATCTTGGAAATAGTTGATTTTATAGTATTCCAGTGCTGTCACAATGTAATACTGAAAACTAAAAGTTTTCATTTTGTTCATTACAATTTTTTGATCCTCAAATATGGTACAATATAGATAAATAATTGTTGTCATATTTTCGAGAGTTCAGAAAAGACATATACATTAGCAGTTTGTGAAGCTATTTTTGTACTGATAAATTTTAATAACAGTTTGATTACCTTGATAGAAAATGGGCTCTTTTAAACACTGGTTATATTTAGATTCTTCTAATGTTTAGATAACGTGTTCTCATGGTGCTTCTAGAATTTATGTATTTTTGGGGATATTGCATGTACCTTCTATTCTGTTAAAGAGATTGTTTTCTGCCACATTATGTGTTTCCAACAGATAATCATTAAAGGATGTATGCAGAAATATTATTTTCTAGCATATTAGTCTTGCTTTATATCAGTATAACTACAGTTTTATCACAATGTATGACATCTGTATGGGTTTACTCCATCTGTATTTATCATCAAAGTTTTAGAAACACTCTAAAACTATGACTAGGAATTTTTGTGCAATTTCAAAAACTAAATTTCACTGGAAATTTTACATAGCATTTTAACTAAATGCTGCTTAAATACAAAAACACCAAAATAAATACAAAATTTTTATATTTAACAGAATAAATGCAAACTAAAATACAAAAGGAAGTGCTTAATCTTTTTTGTTTGTTTGTTTTTCTTGAGATGGAGTCTCACTCTGTTGCCCAGGCTGGAGTGCAGTGGTGCGATCTCAGCTCACTGCGACCTCCACCTCCCGGGTTCAAGCCATTCTCCTGTCTCAGCCTCCCAGGTAGCTGGGATTACAGGCTTACATCACCACGACTGGCTAATTTTTGTATTTTTAGTAGAGACAGGATTTCAGCATGTAAGCCAGGCTGGTGACTGAGGTCGAACTCCTGACCTCAAATTATCCACCTGCCTCGGCCCCCCAAAGGAGATGACAGGTGTGAGCCACCACGCCCAGCCCTGATCTTAAATATAGTTTGGATTTACTGTACTTTTAAGATGATAAAAACAGGAAAAAAGTGAATGGCTGTTAAGAGCTCTCAGGTACTATATTCTCCACACTGTGACATGTTTCCCTTTTTAATGGGTGGTAAGCAAATCTTAGATTATAGTAATAAACTAGAATAGAAATAATTTCTGGGAATAACTTTTGTTTGGATGAGACTGTGGACTGTATGTAAAGCTGGGACTTGGTTTCACAAGAAGTGACTTTATCATTGATATAATTGTAGGTGAAAAATTTAAGTTGTAGGATTCTCTTTAATAATTGACTTAAATATCATTATTCCTCCACTATCAAACCTCAAAAACTAGATTAAGTTTTTCTAGATTAATTTGAAGGCAAGGAATATTTGTGAGAGATCATAACTTAACAATTTAGAGATGTCAGAATTTTTTTACTATAATTGTGAACAATAGTATTTTACAAGAAGTACGGTAGTAATTTGGTCATGTACATTGTTCTGCATTCTCTGGAAACTGAGAAGCAGTTTATATATTTTAAAATAAGATGAAATAAATATAATTTAGTGACTAAGAGTGTTTATTAGCTTTCTGAATAGATACATTTACATTTTCATGTCTTGATTTTTTTTAAGAACTGACCTTCATTCTCTAAAGATTTTGAGGAAAGTGTTAAAATTTGCTAAACCATTTTGTCAAGCACTATCACTTGGTAAAGATTATTCACAAGAAAAAAACTATTCTTTATGTGAGATAAAGACATTACTAACCCACCTCCAATGGCGATTAGACCCTTCCTCTTCTCTACCTCTGCCTTACTGTTACAATTAATGGGAAAGAATTGTTCATCAATCCATTCCTAGTGATTCTCAGTTTCTCTTTTCAAGAAGACTAGCTGGAATTACAGGTGTGGTCATTTGCCATGGAACAGATTGATCCTAGATTAATTATGATCTCTTTCTTGTGGAGGGCTTTAAAAAATTCCTTTTTCCCCTCCATTTCTGTTCTTAGCCTGCTACATGGGGATTTCATTGGAAGGGAGGTAGGTGATACGGACAGTTTTGCTCTAGGACGTAGAGAAGAATGTTTTTTTCCTTTGGATTTGGCCATCTTTCCTCTTACCCAAATAGTTAGGGCCAAGATCAAGGTGTAAACCTAGGCAGAGGCCAGGCAAGCCACAAAATGTGTGACATTTGTGATATATGTGACAGTAAATAGTGGTAAGGCCTTTGGTAAAATGGAGTGTGCAGGGTTCACCTAAACATATTAAAGCTGTTTAAAATGAAGCCAAAAGAGGTTGGAGACTAGGTAACCCACATAGTTTCTAGTCTACATCTTTAAAAGAAATCTCTGTAAAGATTGGATCCAGTTCTTGCTTCATGGGGATAATACATAAGATTCATACTTCATGTGGAAATAAGGTCACAATCACTGATATTGAAAGTGGTCATTCTCCAGGGACTGCCTTCCTTGTAGAATGTGTCAAATGTAGATATGACTGAACAGTTTAAATAAATGTACATTGTACTTTTGTTTTCTGTCTGCCATTTTCCATTTAGAGTTTAGCTTGGCCGTATATTCACTGTTGACAAAATTGTTAATTTTGGGGACCTTGTTTTATTATATCTCAGCTTTATTGAGATATAATTCAAATACTAAATAACAACTACCTCAGGTATACAATTCAGTGGTTTTTAGTATATTCACAGAGTTGTATAACCATCACCACAGTGAATTTTAGAACATTTTCGTTACTCCCCACCCCCAAAAAACCCTGTACTCATTAGTAGTCATTCTCCCTATACACCCACACTCTCCCTCCACCTACCCTAGGCAACCACTAATCAACTTTCTGTCTTTATAGATTTGCCTATTCTGAACGTTGCGTATAAATGGAATCATAATATGTGGCCTTTGTGACTGGCTCCTTTCACTTAGCATGTGTTGTTTGTTTGTTTGTTTTGAGTCTTGCTCTGTCACCCAGGCTGGAGTGCAGTGGTGCAATCTTGGCTCACTGCAACCTCCATTTCCCAGGTTCAAGCAATTCTCCTTCCTCAGCCTCCCAAGTAGCTGGGATTACAGGAGCACACCACTATGCCGGCTAATATTTTTTGTAGAGATGGGCTTTCACCATTTTGGCAGGCTGGTCTCGAACTCCTGACCTCAAGTGATCCGCCCACCTTGGCTTCCCAAAGTGCTGGGATTACAGGTGTGAGCCACTGCGCCAGGCCAGCATGTGTTTTTAAGGTTGATCCATGTTATAGAATGTATCAGTATGTCATTTCCTTTTCTTGTCTGATATTCTTGCTCTATGAATATACCATGTTTTATTTATTTTTTTTTTATTTTTATTTTTTTGAGACAGAGTCTTGCTCTGTTGCCAGGCTGGATCTCAGCTCATTGCAACCTCCGCCTCCTGGGTTCAAGCAATTCTCCTGCCTCAGCTTCCCGAGTAGCTGGGACTACAGGCGTGCGCCACCATGCTCAGCTAATTTTTGTATTTTTAGTAGAAACGGGGTTTCACCATGTTGGCCAGGATGGTCTCGATCTCTTGACCTCGTGATCCACCCGCCTCGGCCTCCCAAAGTGCTAGGATTACAGGCGTGAGCCACCACGCCCGGCACCATGTTTTATTTATCCATCCATCAGTTGATAGACATTTTGGTTGCTTCCACTTTTTGAAAGTTCCAATATTATGAATAATGCTGTTATAAACATTTGTGTATGAGTTTTTGTGCAGATGTATGTTTTCAATTCTCTTGAGTATATACCTAGTAGTAGAATCACTAGGTTATGTGGTAATTCTATGTTTAGCCTTTGGAGGAACTGCAAAGCAGCTGTGCCATTTTGCATTCCCACTAGCAGATATATAAGGGTTCTGATTTCTCCATGTCATCAGCACTTGTTATTGTCTGTCTTTTTTATTATAGCCATCCTGGTTTAAGTGTGAAGTGGTATCTCATTGTGGCTTTCATTTGTATTTCATTGATGGCTAATGATATTGAGCATGTTCCCATGGGCCTTATTAGTGACTTGTGGGTATTCTTTGGAAAAATGGCTGTTCAGATCCTTTGCTCATTTTTAATTAGACTGTTTGTCTCTTTGTTGTTGAGTTGTAGTTCTTTATAATTTCTAGTTATTAACCTCCTACCAGATAATTGATTTTTAAATATTTTCTTCAGTTCTATTAGTTGTGTTTTCACTATTTTTTTTTCTTGGTGCTTTGCAGCACAAATGTTTTAATTTTTTTTTTTTTTTGAGAAGAGTCTTGCTCTGTCCCCCAGGCTGGAGTGCAGTGGCTCAATCTCGGCTCACTGCAAGCTCTGCGGCCTGGGTTCATGCCATTCCCCTGCCTCAGCCTCCCGAGTAGCTGGGACTACAGGCGCCCGCCGCCATGCCTAGCTAATTTTTTAAATTTTTAGTAGAGACGGGGTTTCACCGTGTTAGCCAGGATGGTTTTGATCTCCTGACCTCGTGATCCACCTGCCTCTTCCTCCCAAAGTGCTGGGATTACAGGCGTGAGCCACCACGCCCAGCCAATGTTTTAAATTTTTAAATAAGTCTAATTCATTTTTTTCTTTCTTGCACTTTTGGTATCATATCTAAGAAATCACTGCCTAAACTAAGGCTACAGTGATTAACACATGTTTTCTTCTGAGAGTTTTATAGTTTTGGCTCTTAGATTTAGGTCTTTGGTCCATTGATTTTTATATATGATGTGAGATAGAGGTCCACATCTATCCAGTTGTTCCAGCACCATTTGTTGAAAAGACTGCTTTTTATACACTGAACCTTGGCACCCTTGTCAAAAATCAGCTGATGGTAAATATGAGGGTTTATTTCTGGAGTCTTAATTATGTCCCATTGGTCTCAATGTTTATGCCAGTACTGCACTTTCTTTTTTTCAGACAGAGTCTTGCTTTGTCACCCAAACTGGAGTGCAGTGGGGCCGTCTTGGCTCACTGCAACCTCTGCCTCCTGGGTTCAAGCGATTTTCATGCCTCAAAGTGATTCTCATGTCTCAGCCTCCCGAGTAGCTGGGATTATAGGCATGCGCCACCACCCCCAGCTAATTTTTGTATTTTTAGTAGAGACGGGATTTCACCATGTTGGCCAGGCCAGTCTTGAACTCCTGACCTCAAGTGATCCTCCCGCCTTGGCTTCCCAAATTACAGGTGTGAGCCACTGTGCCCGGCCTACGCTGTCTTAATTAATGTATCTTTGTAGTTAAGTTTGAAATTGGGAAGTATGATCCCTTCGGTATTATTTTCAAGATTGTTTTGACTCCTCAGTACCTAGAATTTCCCTATGAATTTTAGTGCCTAGAAATTGTATATGAATTTCCTTGTGTGTTTCTTCAATGAAACCAGTTGGGATTCTGATAAGGATTGTATTGTATTGAATATGTAGATCAGTTTGGAGCTCACGGCCAAAATGTTCCTCTTAATGTTAACTTTTGTGATCTATGAACTTGAGCTGTTTTCCCATTTATTTGGAGCTTCTTTAATTAATTTCAGTGATGTTGTTTGGTTTTCAGAGTATAGATTTTCTTCTTTTGTTAAATGTATTCAGATTTTATTCTTTTTGGTGCTATTATAAATGAAATTGTTTTGTTAATTTCACTTTTGAATTGTTCATTGTTAGTATATGGAAGGATGATTGTTGTGTAGTGATCTTGTATCCTACAAACTTACTGAACTCATTTATTAGTCTTAATCATTTTTTAGTGGGTTCCTTAGGATTTTCTATATATAAAATTATATCATCTGTAAATAAAGATAGTTTACTTCCTCCTTTCCTATCAGGATATCTTTTCTTTTTTTTAAACTCATTGCTCTAGCTAGAACCTGTAGTACAGTGTTGAATAGAAGTGACAGGAGTGGACATCTTCTTAATCTTGTTCCTGATAGAAGGAAAGCGTTGAGTCGTTTACCATTAAATATGATGTTAGCTGTATGTTTTTCATAGATGCTCTTTATCAGGGTGAGGAAGTTCCCCTATATTCCTAGTTTTTCAGTGTTTGTTTTTTTCTATTAATGTTTGTTCCTATTGATTAATGATTTCCTCTTATACCCTCAGAACTTGATGGCTTTAGGAATTTATTCATTGACAAATAGAGCAATATGCTTTCTTATGTTTATTTCTTAAAAGCTAATTGATGGTTTATTTTAAAGGAAAAATGAACTGGACTAAAGAGGAAGAATTCTTACTAAAATATCACTGTTTTTAAGAGCTCTTCACTGAGTATCAGTTTTCCTATGTAAAAATATGAAACCTTCCTGTCTTCTAGCATTTTCTCTCTCCAAAATAGGTGAGGTAGCTCTTATAGAGAGGGAATGGGGGTACATTTGCTGTCTGATTTTTAAAGAGGTTTAGTTGATTTTTTTCCTTTAATTTGTTTCTAATTGAAAGAAAATAATATAAAAAAACCTTGAAGGAAGGAAAGGAAGGAAGGAAGGAAAAGAAGGAAGGAAGGAAAGGAAGGAAGGAAGGAAATGAAGGAAAGGAAGGAAGGAAGGGAAGGAAAGGAAGGAAGGAAAGGAAGGAAGGGAAGGAAGGAAGGGAAGGAAAGGAAGGAAGGAAAGGAAGGAAGGGAAGGAAGGAAGGGAAGGAAAGGAAGGAAGGAAGGTAGGAAGGAAAGGAAGGAAGGAAAGGAAGGAAGGAAGGTTGTAAACATACCATGGCCAACATGGCAAAACCCCGTCTCTACCAAAAATACAAAAATTATCTGAGTGTGGTAGTGCACGCCTGTAATCCCAGCTACTCAAGTGGCTGAGGCATGAGAATCGCTTGAACCTGGGAGGCGAAAATTGTGGTGAGCTAAGATCGTGCCACTGTACTCCAGCCTGGGTGACAGAGCGAGACTCTGCCCCAAAAACAACCAAAAAACAAACAAATACAAAAAAAAACTGGATAAATTATAGGATTATTCCAATGAATATAAAGCATGTTCTTATTAAATACGAATAAAAATACACATTCTAAAAATTATTCATTTCAAATAACTCTGATTTCTAGTGTAATTATTACTCTAGAAAAAGACTTAGCTTGTGTTTTTCCTTATTGCATTATATAAATGTCGGCTGATGATTATTTTAAAGGACCAATTATATGGTCAATACTTGTTTTACATAGACAGTGTTCTACCTAGTTTTTATTATAGAAGATTTGTTTTTCTGGATACATGTAGTTTTGAGTATTCAGCATACTTGTATATTAACCTTCAAGCAGTATATCAATGCCATAATTATGTCAAAGGACATTTTAAAGGCTGCTGTATGTACAAAGTGCAGAATTAAGTCACTAAATTAACCCAATTTTTTTTTAATTTTTATTTTTATGGATACATTATAGTTGTACATATTTATTGGGGTACATGTGATATTTTGATACAAACATACAATGTTTACCAATCAAATCTGGGTAGTCAAATATCTGTTACCTCAAACATTTATCATTTCTTTGTGCTAGGAACATTCCCCATATATTCTAGTCTAGTCATTTTGAGATAATATAATAAATTATTGTTAACTATAGTTGCCTTACTGTGCTACCAAACTCTAGATCTTACTTCTTCTATCTAACTATTTTTATTCCCATTAACCAACCCCTTTTTATCTCCCACTCCCCACTACCCTTCCCAACTTCTGGTAGCCATTCTATTCTCTACCTCCATGGCATCAATTTTTTTAGCTTCTACATATGAATAAGAATATGCAACATTTGTCTTTCTGCGCATGGCTTATTTTATTTAACATAATGTTCTCTAGTTCCATTCATGTTGTTGCAAATGACAGGATCTCATTCATTTTTATGGCAGAATCGTACTCCATTGTGTATATGTAACACATATAGTACCACATATACACAGTGTGGTACTATTTGTAGATATCCATTCATTGGTGGACACTTAGGTTGATTCTATGTCTTGACTGTTATGAATAGTGCTGCAGTAAACATGGGATTGCGGATATCTTTTTGATATACTGATTTCCTTTCTTTTAGATATCCCAGCAGTGGGATTGCTGGATCATATGGTAGTTCTATTTTTAGTCTTTTAAGGAACATCCACAGTTCTTCATAGTGGCTGTACTAATATACCTTTCCCACCAACAGGGTGCAAACTTTCCACTTTCTATCCTCACCAGCATTTGCTATTTTCTGCCCCTTTGATAATAAATCCAAATCTTTCAAGTCTCATTTACCTGACACACTAAAGGGTTTTTTTTTTTTTCAATTTTCATCAATTAAGGTTTTCCATGACATTTAATGTGACATAGTTAATGGAGAAAGGTTCCCTTCATAGCTGCATCGGTGTCTGTAACATAAGGCTATTGGAACTTTATATTAGCAAAAGTGTTTTCAGAAAGCATATTTGGTCTTATGGCTTACTTGCTTTTTCTAATTAGATCATTTTAGGGTGTGCTTTACTCACAATCTAAGTTACTATTAAAGAGACCACCTAAGGTCTCTTTGGCTCTACGAAATAATAGATTTTTTTTTTCTCTAGAGTTACAGAGAATGGATACTAGTAATTTGTTAAGTTATGTGAAGAACCATGTCATGGAATGTTACCTGAGTCCAAGAACACTGCTACTATTAGTAGTTATATCTTTTCACCTTTTTAAAACAGATAAACTGTTCTGTCATTATTACGTATAGTCAGAAAGTCTTAGGTTCCATAGCGAGGAAGGAAGCTGATCTTTAGCTGTACTTTATCTTCGAAGTCTCGCAACCCATGTGATCTACTAGATGTTCAGCCTTGAACTAATACTAGACATATTATCACATCTGGGTTTTTTGCAGAGAGAGAATTATCTTGAACAGTAAGTAATAAAGAAAAAGCATAACACACCTAAATAGTTTCTCCTCCCTTTCCCCTGTTACCACTTTTTAAAAATTTTCTGCTTGAACATTTTGCCTTTTTATGGAAAAGCTGGACTCTTTATTCTCTTACATCCTGATATCTACTGGATATATTTTTGAGAGACAGAAAAGATCAGTTCTCCAAGTTAGATTTTTTTTTTTTCCTACTCCGGAGACAGCCAGTTTCCCTTGGTGGATGATTTCTCTGATCATCTTTAGTTTTGGAACTTAGTGGAGTCACCATTTCTTGTGGAAGAAGAGGATCTACAATTTTTCCTAATTGACAAGATGCAAATAGTCCCTGACTGAGAGAAACTAACATGGAAGAAACATGAAAATTTAAAAAGACCCAATCATCACAGCTTTAACATGGAAGAGTCAAAAGAAGTAGTATCTTTAAAGAAGACACTTAACTGCTTGGATTCCTGTGTATGCCTAGATAGCATTTAAGCTATCTCCATGTAGAGGAAGAAGAGAATGACTTGGCGTGGCATCCCGTGTTTTGTTTCTTTGGCAAAATGCCATTATACTTGCTCTGCTAATTTTTGGAAGATTTAAAAGCCTTTGATGGAGAAAGATTTCTGTTGGTTGAAAATCAAAATAGCTGTTATTTCTGATAAATATAGTCAAAAATAAGCAACCTGATCTTCCTGGACTTCTTTGTAGAACTGACTCATAGATGCCATTTCTTTTTAAGATTTAAAAATATAGCCAGTTTTCTACATGTAACCAGATACTAATATTTTGATCAATTTGGTTTGTTGTCATATGAGAACACTTACCTCCCTACCTCACAGGGATGTTGTGAGGCAAATTTTAAATGTTCCTAAGAAAAGTTTAGAAATAATAACTCTTGTGGGTAGTTTCTATAATCATAAGTTTTTGTTTATTTTAGAATTTACAAATGCTTTCCCATAGTTATGAATAGACATTAGGTAACATTTTTAAATGGAAGATAATGCAGTTGTACTTGATTTATCGATGCATATCCTTGTATAAAGAATAATTTGCATGGAATGTTGCATTTTTTTTAACCAAGAGCTTTTATACAATTAAAGAAAAGCTAAAGTAAAAATGTCTGGTTTCCCCCTTTATTTAGTTGAGATTTAATTATTCATACCTCTTCTGGAATCTAACACCAATAAGTTATTTTTTGATTAAAATATTTAGAGAAAGGGTACTTCCTCCCCAAAATATGATACTAATACAAGATGTGTGCTCTTCTATTATAGAAAGCAAATATTAAAGTTGGTGAAAACGTACTTTAGAAATAAGGAAGAAATATAACAGAATTAGTCATTACCTTAACAGTATTGCTTTTCTGGTATTTAAAACTTAGAAGGGCTTCTTGTACCAGTTCCCATTTTATTATGGGACTAGTTTATAGAATGTGTTCTGAACCTAATAAAATTCAAGAGAAAATAATTTCCTGGGAGAAAATGTGAATAATACAATGGTCTGTCATTGTTGTCATGTTGGTCTCTAAAAATATGACATTCCTACCATCATCTCTGTCTCAAAAATGAAGGGATTGCACTTAGGTTCTTCTAGCTGTGCCACTAGTCGTGTTCACAGTCTTAGACAAAAGACTTTATCTCTTTGAGCTACAGTTTCCTCATATATTAAGTAAAAGGGGTGGTCAGGTGGGTAATGATTTCTGAATCTCCTTATCCTGATTATCTTAAAGTGATCCTGCCTTTAGTCTAGGAAATTAATAAGATGTCCACCTACGGCCTTCCATGGCTGAGCATGAGACTTAGTACTGCCTTTATAATCATTAAAACACCGATAATGTTATTGTGCTATATAAAAGAACCCATTACATAAGGCAGATTAGCCATTTCTGTCTTTAAATAGAACATTAGAAAAAAAGTAGTGTCCTATGCTTTTGCATTATGCACACACATAATTAAAATTACTGAAATTCCTTCCAGATGGCACCATGGATTAAAAATGTGTGATCCATCAGTTACAACTTTTCAACAATAATGTAAAATTAGCACAAGAGACCGCATAGCTTCATAGTATCCTGAAATAGATTATTATAATGGGATAAATTTCTGAACTACAATGCTAATAGCTAGGCTTATAGATTCAAACTTATAGATTGAATTAAATCTTCTATACTTGGGGATGGATTTTAGCAGTATTAAATCATAACCAGCAAAAAGAAACCAGAATGCAACTTGTGCTGTCTAGTGGCTCTCTTTGAAACACAGTGTTGATCAATGGAAAATAGTGAAGTCAATTATGCCATTTTTGGGAAAGCAAGATGTAAGCATTTAATAACTTTTACATACTGCTATACTTGGAAATATTGTAGACATTTAGTGCTTCAAGTAGTGTTGTTTGATATCTCACCTGTGAATCATACCTTACAGTCCTTGATGTAAGTTCTAGACTAACTTAAAGTGTTATACCCAAAAGGACCAGGGAAGACTATCACTTGTTTTTAATTCAGTGAAGTTAGTGATAACAAATGAGAGAAAGGTCATCTTTGTTGTTCTTCATGTTTCTTCCTTAAGAGATCATCTTGTCTCCACTCCCACTGTTTTACTTGACTAGCCAAAAAAAAAAAAAAAAAAAGAGATCATCTTTTAAGAGTCCATTTATTCAGCAATATTAGTATAAAACTTTAAATGCTAGGTAGTGAACACTATCCTTAGTACTTCCAAAAATTAGATGGTATAGTGTATAGAAGTCTATTCATTAAAGGGCCTACTTGGGTTTATATTTAATCCTGTGTTTTCATAATTTTTATTTTTTATAGTTTTATCTCTACTGTTTTTTTCTTTTTTTTTTGACAATTGTCTCATGAGAAGTAGAATGGATACAATTTCTGCTTTTTCAGGAAGAAAAATCCAAAGCATATGGTCAGGGAATTTTTCTAAAATCTATAGATAGGTACCAGAATTAGAACTTTAATCCCTTGCTTCTGTACTTCAGTCTTTCCTTAACCTGTCTTGAAGAAATTTTAAGTCACCATATGGAGACCAAATATAAAAAAGATGATAATTAACAATATTGATTCACTATTTGATGCAAAAATAAGTTATGAATCTTTAAAATGTGTAGTTGAAATTCAATGAGTATTGAGTCTGTAGGCATTTAATTTATTTAAGAAAATAACTGTGTATTTCAGTTAAGTCAGCACAGTCATGTTGATTTTTTTTTTTTTAATTTTTTTGAGATGGAGCCTCCCTCTGTCACCCAGGCTGGAGTGCAGTGGCACGATCTTGGCTCACTGCAACCTCTGTCTCCCGTGTTCAAGTGATTCTCCCACCTCAGCCTCCTGAGTAACTGGGATTAAAGACGTGCACCACCATGCCTAGCTAATTTTTGTATGTTTCTTAGAGATAGGGTTTCACCATGTTGGTCAGGCTGGTCTCGAACTCCTGACCTCAAATGATTCACCCTCCTTGGCCTCCCAAAGTGCTGGGATTAGAGGTGTGAGCCACTGCATCCGGCCTATGTTGATTTTTATAACTATTTACATTGAAAAGTATTGGCCAGGCCCGATGGTTCATGCCTGTAATTCAGTGCTATGGGAGCCTGAGCCAGGCTGATCACCTGAGGTCAGGAGTTTGAGACCAGTGTGGCCAACATGGAGAAACACCGTGTCTACTAAAAAATACAAAAAAATTAGCTGGGCATGGTGGCGGGTGCCTGTAATCCCAGCTACTCGGGAGGCTGAGGCAGGAGAATCACTTGAACCCGGAGATGGAGGTTGCAGTGAGCCAAGATTGCGCCATTGCACTCCAGCCTGGGCGACAAGAGCAAGGCCCCTTCTCAAAAAAAAAAAAAGAAAAATAACAGGGTTTAGTGTGTGTGTGTGTGCTCATAGTATTCTTGATTATGTAACTGGTAGTTTATATTTACAAAGCAAAAGTATTAGAGAATCTTAGATTAAGGTAATTTACATGATTATAGGCCATAGTAAACTTTCCTTATATGTTATATTATTTCTTTGCTCTTTTGTCTATTGATTTAGTAGTATAGCTAAGAATCCAGTCTGCATGTTTACCAAGTAGCTGGCTAAAGCTTTCAGTTCCACTGAGAGTTAAGCTTATGTTTCTGAAACCAGCATAACATAACTAAACATTTGGAACACTTGTTCTACAAGTTTTCGGATTTGAATGTAAGGGTATCTCAACCTTACAGCATCTGGGGGCACTTTGTAACAAAAGTCATTTCTTGGAAGTAGAAAGTTGAAACTTGTAACATAGCTTCAAAGGTATTCTGCAAAATATTGCCCTAATAGTTCAAAAATAGTTTCTAAATTTTATTTGAAAATAAAGAGCTCAAAAGTAGTTCTATTGTAAACCAGTGACTGAAACATATCAAGAGTCTGGGAGTACCTGGAAAGCACAGTTATCTTTGTGGAGTATTTTGTAGGCATGTTGTATACATATATAATCATATGAATTAGAAATCATTTAACTAGCAAGTTATGCATCTAAAATCACCATGAGCACACACATGTAAGCAGTTAGTGTCCAGACTGAGCATGAGCAACTCTTTGGCATAGGTCCATTTTAATACTACTTAGTTCAAAATCATGTATGGAGCATGTCTTTGTGCCAGGTGAAAGGTGAATAAGATTGCCTTCGAGGAGCTTCATGAGACAGCAGAATATATAACCAGTATGGATGATGTGGAGGTAGTGATCCATGGGGTGCTCTGGAAACTCTAAGAACAGTCCCCAAGCTCTCTCCATGATTACTCCAACATTCTCTGATGTGATACTTCCTTTACAGTTTTAACAAATATTTGAGTGCCAGGCAAACATTAGTGAACAGGTAAACAGTCTCTGTTCTTATAGTGTTTAAACTTCAGTGGGGGAATAAGAGAAATAATTGCATAACTATATAATTACTGTTATGGAAAGTGCCACAAAAGAAGAGATCAAAGTGAGGGAAGAGGGCAGGCGGTGGTATGGCTGGATCATGAAAGTAGGCTCCTTGTGGAGTCATACATAACTCATCCTTCCAGTGGGTAGAAGTTGGCCTGTGAAGTGGGGAAGGAGCGCTTCTGGCAGAGGGAGGGGCATCTGCTTTGGCCTTTGAAGCAGTTAGGTGTTTTAGTGCCCTCATCTGAGGTCGTGGTAGTGACAACTGGAAAGAATCTATAAAGACTGGGATGGAATAAATGAGAGAATTGTTCACTATTTAGCTTTGAGAGTAAGGAAATAGGAAGAAATAAAGATATTTCTGTTCACTAGCCAATAACATCTGTATCCTCCAAAATATCAGATACATAAAAGACAATAGATGTTGATTTATTACATTTAATACATTGATTGCTTAAGTTCAGAAGTTACACAAACTGATAGCCTATTTAGTTGTACATGACCGTCACAATACTAGCATCACATGTCTAAATAAATTAGAAATGCAAATCGTAATGCAGATAAAAAAAAGAATGCTTCTTTAATCATTTTACATCTTCTCCAAATGAAACCCATGAGTCAAGATATATAAATGCCCAAATTGTATAGAAATTTGTCATATAGTTCTCAGTTGCTAAAAATTTTAAGGAAGAGGTACTTCCGTGTTAAAATCCAGAAGTCATTTAGCACTGTTTGTTAAGATCCTCTGTGAATATCATGTTAAGTAGTATTAGTAAATGGAATCTAGAATAAGTGTTTTTCTTCTTGAATTTATTCACTTTTACAAAAATGCATTTGAAAGAGTGATTACTCTGAAAAGATTAACATTTTTTAGCTTGCATATGAAGTTTGTTGCCACAAGTCATTTTAATATTATTCTTGAAGAATACTCAGCATGGCAGATACGCTTCCAGATCTATATAGAATGTCTCCTAAGGCTTTAGTATGTTTTCTCTAAATAAGTAATAGTTACAGAGATATAATTTAACTGGTTGAAAGATAGGGAAAATACCACTTACCACAAGCTCATAAAACTTTTACGTAAGCAGTTCACTAATATGGGTGACCATAATGTATATGATAAAAGCCCCTCTCAAGCTTGGGAATATGTGGTCATTTGGGATGGTTTTCTGAAAGCTGTTAATAAGCTAAGTAAACCTATAGAAGCACATTTTAGTACTTAGAGTCTAGTTTTAGTAGAATCTGCATTCATCCATAGAAAGCAGTCTAGCAAATGTTAATAGTAAGGCCTGAAGTAGTTCCACAGATATCCATGTTCATATACTATTGTAAAATTATTTACTTTTCATATAAATATAGGCAAAGCATGCAGTCATCCATCTCTACAATGTAAAGTCTTTCAGGTATTAATGATAGATGTCTATTATTTCCATATCCTTAAAAAAAAATATAGACATCCTTTCTATTTTATTTGTCCATCCATATTTGTAACTATTCTGCATTTTGAAATATGTTTTGCAAATTTTGCAATGATATTTAAGGCCCTTGGAATAATAACTTAAATCTGTTTAATCCATACTTTACCAGGCTATTAAATAATTTGATCCCAACTTTTCCTTTTGATTACAGCATATTCTAAACTAGTTTAAAAGTAGTCACCTATTTTTCAGTGATCTCTGTGTGGCATTCTCAACACCCTTATATATAACTGCATATAGCCAATTGTAAATTACCCCTAAGGTAACAGAGCAAAGGAATAGCACATGTGAAAAAAGACATTGTAGTTCAGTTTGAAAAACCTTACGGGTGGGCGTCTTAATATTGCTGTGGTATGGAAGACAAAGTACCCATCCATTACAGCATCTGAATTTAATAGCCTGTGTTAGTTAATTCATACTTAGGTTAAAGGAAGCCCAAGTCACTGGTCCAGATATCATACATGACAATGTCATACAAAGAAAAATTCTTTCAAAGTCACAGATTACAAAAGAGGGTGTTAGATTAAGGGAAGCTGAGTTTTTGTGAGTAATATGCTCAAGACTGTCACTGTACTGGAAAAACAGCAAAGCAAATGTCCGCTGAAAGGGATTTCTGTCGTGTTGTTTTTCTGTAGCTAAAGTGGTGACTCTTGCTGAACTAATCTGGAGTTGGAATACAGCCAGACTTCATCACATTGGCCAGTAAAGTTAGGAGACTTTTGCTTCCATCGAGGCCGATCAGGAAGGCTTTAGAAGGAAAACCAAAAAAAGCCTCTTTTGATAATAGCTGCGCAATCAGTAGTGGACTAAGCTATTATTGATTCTGGGCTGTATTCACTTACTATCATCTCCATTTGCTTAGAATTCATTTGCATAATACTTTTCATCAGGGCCCTTACCTTTGCATATTATTTACATAGCTTATATGTGCATTTAATAAATGAAGTTGGTAGGGATGATTCTGCCA
Organism: Homo sapiens; assembly: GCF_000001405.40. Taxonomy (NCBI): domain Eukaryota; kingdom Metazoa; phylum Chordata; class Mammalia; order Primates; family Hominidae; genus Homo; species Homo sapiens. The sequence continues at coordinate 79,418,119 of NC_000005.10, read as the reverse complement.
CAAGTAACATGCTATTAACAAACATTTAAATAATTCGATGTTATATCCTTTGATTCTGGCCTCCTCTTCAAAAACAAATTTAAACTGAATGCAAAAGTTTTCTGATTCAAATCATGGCTAATGAAATTATTGGTTACTACTGGTTTCTAAAAGATGGAAATCTGGAAACAGATTTTACTGTAAAATTATCCATATCTTTTCACACAATTTTAGCTTTGGTAAAATCTGTTAATAAGCATCATTTCAATTCTGCCAGTACCAACAGAGATTTTTATCGTTTAAATTATTATTTCCCAACAACACTATGTATTGTACAATTTTTAGGGTGAATTTTCCTTAAGTGACCTACTCTGCAAGGAAATAGTGGCATTTTTGTCTCCAAAGTTAAATCAAATTATAGAAGGCCAGATAAAAACATTCATTTCTATCTTTAATAGATTATAATGATTATAATGCTATTACCCTGTAGATAAGAGAATGGGATTGAAATTAACTGATCTCATTCTTGGCAAGAGATAGATGTATATTCATAAGAGTTGAAAGAAACATAATTTTTTATTTAGTATGTAAGACTGATTTCCTGAAGACATCCCACTGTGGAATAGTCTAACATCATTTCCTGAATAAATTTCCAAAGAAAGCTTTTAATCAATGGTCAGTTTTTTAAGAAGGGAAATCGGCCGGGTGCGGTGGCTCACGCCTATAATCCCAGCACTTTGGGAGGCCGAGGCGGGCGGATCACGAGGTCAGGAGATTGAGACCATCCTGGCTAACACGGTGAAACCCCGTCTCTACTAAAAATACAAAACATTAGCCGGACGTGGTGGCAGGCCCCTGTAGTCCCAGCTACTCAGGAGGCTGAGGCAGGAGAATGGCGTGAACCCGGGAGGCGGAGCTTTCAGTGAGCCGAGATTGCACCACTGCACTCCAGCCTGGGCAACAGAGCGAGACTTCGTCTCAAAAAAAAAAAAAAAGTAGGGGTGCGGGGAGGGGAAATAGGGAAATCAACAAAAATACTGACTTTTGTGAATCTAGTAGATACATAATTCACAGCATCACCTTGGGTCAATTCGTTTTTCTTCTCACTTAGGAACTAGCAGTAGGTCCACTGAATAGCTTTTTATTCCCTTCCCTTAGATCTGGCTCTCAACCTTCCAAATTCACTGATGTAGGGAAACTATGATTTACGTTAAAGTATTTAAAACACCTGTAAGGCACTTTGAACCTTTCACAAATATCCCTGAGCAAGAAGTTAGTATCCACATCTCCTTCCTAAAAGAGGATAAGCTGCTTAAAATTTTCAAAGGGAATTTCTTAAGAGGCTTTAGAGTATCATGGGTAGAAACCAGCAGCGAGGATACAAAGTGGAAGTGAAACTGGGACCTCCTGTGGCTCTTCACCCTTGTATTTCCATTCCTCAGCCACAGCTACATTAGGGCATGTGGCAAAGACTACAGAAGGCACTGTGCCAGGCAAGCAGTGCACAGATGTTAGCAGATGTTACAGTGTGGAGCCATCTCCAATGGAGCTGCCCATCAGCACATAGAAATGTTGCTCTTACTGCTAGAAGCACAGTTACAGGAACCAGGACATTTCTCGGGCCCTCTTATGGGACTCTCCATTGTAGCAAATAAAAATGGAAGTAGAGCTAGACTTTTGCTGTGCTCTCTCAAATCAAATGGGAAACTATGCACTAAAGTACAGAGTGTTTTTATGGAGTACACATAACATAGATTCCCTTCTCCCCTCTCACAATCAGAAATTAACCATACCACTTCTTAGAATCATTTCTGTTTACTTATTTTCTCATTGCTTCATTAACTTGCTAAATTTATTCTGAGGTTACATAAAAGGTTTAAACTTGCTATAAATAATACATCTGTACTAAGAATGACAATATAAATCATTGAGTGCATACAATATAAATCATTGACTGGGTTTGATTTAAATTATTTCTGTTCTTTACATCAGTAATCAAAAGGAGCCACTTTAAAATATTTAATGTTAAATCTTTTCGGCTTTTTAGCAGCTTGCAGAAGATTCTTTGAGGATTCTTTATTGACTGCATATATGGAAGGTACTACCATCTGAGTGTCCCATTTTTTGTCTTCAAGAGTACATTTACATAGGCTATTTACTCCTCAAAATCACCCTATAAAGATAGTTGTTAATAACCCTAATTTTATAGATGAGAAAACTGAGACCTGATGAGGTTAGGTAACTTGCCCAAGGCCCATATCTATTAAATGACTACAGCCATAGTTTGAAGCAAGTCATCAGATTCGAGCCTGAACTTTTAACCAGCTGTTACAGCAATTGATTCTTAATACAGATGTTTAATAAAATTCTTCGAAACTCAGAAATATTTATAGAGTGATAAAGGCATACATTATACATTTTGAAGTAATTTGTTTCAGATTAATTTTCCTCAGAAAAGTCAATAGTGTTTCACTTTCTTTACCAGAGCTGAGTAAAATTCTGTATTTTATCTGATCTACGATACACCAAGAAAAAATATCGTCAATTAAACTATGACTATGACAACTCTTTTAGGTTTACGTGGACATAGATTTTAATATCAGCCTCTTTTGTACACATGTAATATATGTAAAATAAATGGCTTAAGGTGTTCTTATAACTTCATCATATGCAGGGTCCAGCTCTTCTGATTCACTTTATGACTACAATTTATGTCCATGTTTTTCACCTCGATATCATTTTTTTGTGCTATCAGTAACATTGGTGATACATTGTTTCTTTAAAAACTATTCTCGGCCAGGCACAGTAATGCCAACCCTTTGGGAGGCTGAGGCAGGTGGATTGCCTGGGCCCAGGAGTTTGAGACCACCCTAGGCAACATAGAGAAACCCTGTCTCTACAAAAAAAAAAAATACAAAAAATAGCCAGGCGTGGTGGCACTTGTCTATATTCCCAGCTGCTTGGGAGACTGAGGTGGGAGGATCACTTGAGCCCAGGAGGTTGAGCCTGCAGTGAGCCATGATTGCACCACTGCACTCCTGCTTGAGTGACAGAGTGAGACCATGTCTCAAAAAACCAAAAACCAAGAAACTATTCTACTTTTATTTCTGGGATTTTCTTCCAATGTTTATTAAAAGTATTAGTACTTAAATTCTATTTCACTTCTAAACACTGTGTTTCCTAGAATATGACCAAGTGATTTCTAGTTCACTATAGGAACTTCCTGTAAAACTTCATCAGTCAACATATATCTCAATCTGTTTACCTATAGCCAACTATATTGTATGTTGATCCAGACATGCCAGGCTATGTTGCAAAGGTGGTGGATGTTAGGCAGAGAAGGAGTCTGAGATGGAAGGTAAAACCTGGGAGATTATCAAGGCATACATTAAGAAAAAAACAAGGACCAGAGGAGGTGGCATTTAGAAGCAGGTGCCAGCAGGAGTATAAAGAATAGAACAGGGCCAGGCACAGTGGCTCATGTGTGTAATCCCAGCACTTTGAGAGGCAGAAGCAGGAGGATCATTTGAGTCCAGGAGTTCAAGACCAGCCTGGGCAACATAACAAGACCCCCTCGCTACAAAAAATTTAAAATTAGTCAAGTGTGGTGGTATGTACCTCTTGTCCCAGCTACTCCGGAGGCTGAGGCAGGAGGATTGCTTGAGCCCAGGAGTTCAGAGTTGCAGTGAGCTATGTTTGCACCACTGCACTCCAGCCTGGGCAACAGAGGGAGATCCTGTCTCTAAAAATAACAGGCCAGGCGAATAACAGGCCAGGTGCACTGTTGGGAGGCTGAGGAGGGTGGATCGCTTGAGTCCAGGAGTTTGAGACCAGCCTGGACAACACTGCAAAACTGCATCTGTACAAAAAAAAAACAAAAACAAAAGCAAAAATTAGCCAGGTATGGTTGCATGCCTGTAGTCCCAGCTACTCAGGAGGCTGAGGTGGAAAGATTGCCTGAGCCTGGGGGAGGCAGAGGTTGCAGTGATCACATCACTGCACTCCAGCCTGGGTAACAAAGCCAGACCCTATCTCAAAATAATAAACTTTTTTTTAAAAAAAGAACAGAACAATGTAAACATCTGATGAGAGGATCCCAAGAAGTACTGTGTTTAGTAAGTTAATGACTTGCTGACAAATGGAGACTTTCAGTTATATCTAATAGAAAATTTCCTTCATATACTAGGCTATTTGCCTAGCAGGACCTGAAATCGCTACTCATTTAGGTCCTTTTGACAATAAGTATTATTTATAAATAATGCAAGATTACTCTGTTTTCATTTCTTTCCTTTAAAAGGTTAACTTTTATAAAGAAAAATTCAGACCCTAAACTGTTGAAGATGTCATTAGTTTCTAAGATGACCTATTATAGCTTAGGGCCAACAGGCTGATATGAAAGCACCTAGCCCAGAAGGCGGCAGGCACACAAGTAGTTTTTTTTTTTTTTACGTTAAAATTTATTCATTCATTGCACAAATATTTATTTAGTGTTCCAGGCACTGAAAGAAGAAGCTGAAAAGAGGAAGATACAGGGAAGGTATGGGGGTAGGGGGTGGGGGCGTGAGGGTTGAAAATTTACCTGTTGGGCATAGTGTTCAGTATTTGGGTGATGAATACACTAAAAGCCCAGACTTCACTACTATGCAATATATGCATGTAAGAAATCTGCATTTATACTCCCTAAATATATATATTTTTAATGTTTAAAGATACAATTTCCTTGGGTTATATACTTTAATAGATAAGGAGTCCTGAGACCTATATAACTAGGCTATGGGGAATTGTGATGTATGACTAATACATGTGATACAGGATATGTTTGCACTTGTATTTCTCTTGGGCTTCTTGAATTTGTGTTTCTGTCTTTTGCTGACTTTGCCAATAATCTAGTTTCCTGTGATTATTTCCTTAAGTAGTCTTCCTGAACTGTACTCTTTCTCTTATTTTTCTCAAAGTCAGATTGCATAAATGTTAGACTTTCTAGTATTTCCCACAGGTTCCTGGGGCTCTATCAAATTTTTCTCCCATTTTTCTCTCTGATGTTCAAACTGGAAAATTTGTATTGATTAAGCTTTAAGTTCACTGACCCTTTCCTTTCTCACTACCATTCTGCTATTGGGTCCATTCAGTGTATTTTTAAATTTCAGTTATTATATTCTTTAGTTCTGAATTTTCCATTTGATTCCTCCTTATATCTTCTATTTAATGGCTGAAACTTTCTCCCTTTCCAGTCCCTCCTATTGTATTTGCCCTTAGTTGTTATAGCATTTTCATAACTGCTTTAATGTCTTTGTGAGATAATTCCAACATCTGTGTCATCTCGTCACTGACGTTTATTGAACTATCATTGTCTATACAACTTCAGATTTTCCTCATTCTTTGTGTCAACTAATTTTGAATTGTATTCCAGATATTTTGTCTATTATGTTATGAGACACTGGGTCTTGTTTATATCCTATGGAGAATGTTGATATTGTTGTTTTAGGGGACCATAGTTAGTTAGGTTCAACAGTTGCAAGTTTCCGTGAGCCTTCTGTGAGCTGCAGTTCCAATACCAGTTCAGTTTTCAAGTCTTCTTGCAGGGCTATTTGCATCTGTCCCATGTGTGCACTACACATTAACCAGTCTGAGACTTGGGTAATGGAATATGCCACTGTTCAGTTCTCAAAGTGTGTAGACTGTTAAGAGCAGATCCTCAAATGCACAGCTCAGGAATAAGCTTATAAACACAGATAACTTTAAGAGGTTGCTTTCCTGAGCTTATCTCACTCTGCAATGTTCCAAGTATTTTTTAGTAGACTGGACACAAATAGTTTTAAGTCAATATTGGTTGCTTCTGCGTTCACAGTTCTGGAATAGGAAGTGAGGAGACAACCCAGCAGGCAGATCCTGAGACAAGCAGTGCTGTGGAGTGCTTTCATAGTTAGGGATTGACCCCACTACTGATACAGAGAATAATGTTAAGAAAAAAACCTACTGCAACCTATTTATTTTAATTTGATTTAATTTAATTTAATTTTTTGAGATGGAGTCATGCTCTGTCGCCCAGGCTGGAGTGCTGTGGCATGATCTCCACTCACTGCAACCTCCACCTCCCAGGTTCAAGCAATTCTTCTGCCTCAGCCTCTCAAGTAGCTGGGATTACAGGCGTCTGCCACCACACCCGGCTAATTTTTGTATTTTTAGTAGCGATGGGGTTTCACCATGTTGGCCAGGCTGGTCTTGAACTCCTGGCCTCAAATGATCCACCCGCCTTGGCCTCCCAAAGTGCTGGGATTACAGGCATGAGCCACTCCACCCAGCTGCACCCTGTTTTTAAATTGTTTTTTGAAAGAGTATCGGAATATTTTTCTCAGTTCTACATAATTAACATGCCTAAAAAGTACATGCAAGGCGTTACCATTATAGAGACTCTAATAATGGGTCCTAGGCCCTGGAGGAATGGGAGAGAGGCAGCTTTCTTAGACTCTGCAAGTGACCATTCACATGTAGCATTCACTCTGCAGGTTAGATAAGTATATTGCTCATACATTAAGCTCTTATTTTGAAAATAGAGCCTTTTGAAGTACTTTTTCTTCTTGATTTTACATAGCTAATTTAATGAAGTTTAATATCTTCTCATAGAACAACTGTGACTTTATTTTTATTTTATTTTTGAGTCAGGGTCTCCCTTTGTCACCCAGGCTGGAGTGCAGTGGTGCCATCTTGACTCACTGCAGCCATGACCTCTTGGGTTCAAGCAATCCTCTTGCCTTAGTCCCACAGGTAGCTGGGACTATAGGCATATGCCACCACGCCCGGCTAATTTTTCTATTTTTGGTAGAAGTTGGGTTTCACCATGTTGCCCAGGCTGGCCTCGAACTCCTGAGCTCAAGCGATCTGCCCTCCTCTACCTCCCAAAGTGCTAGGATTATAGGCATCAGCCACTGTGCCTGGCCAGAACTTTGACTTTAGATAGGGAAAAACTGTAAAATTCCAGTTTAAGGAACCTTTCAAATGGTGTTTTTGAAGTGTTTTGAACTCCCTCTAGATTTGAAGCCAACAGGAAACCAGCTGGTCCATTTTGAAGGGAAACTTTACTGAACAGCCACAAGAATAAAGAATTGGTTTGCCCTTACTCCAGCGTTGAGACGTGAGATCATAATGGTGTTTCAGTGTATTTTCTGAATCACTGGTCTCTCCAACTAAGCACTTTAGTGATTTCTTTGTGAACAGCTCTCTTAAGGTAAAACTACCAAAACTGTACCTATAAAAAAGAAACCAAATTAACAGAGAACCTCCCCAACAGTTCTAAACAAGTATTCCTGAAAAGTGAGATGCTAACTGAAAATTTTGGTGTCAGAATTAATCCTAAGGTATTAATTGTTGCTAAATGTAAGTCTAATGGAGGAGAAATGTGATATCTTAGATTTGAATATTAAAGAAAGGAACTTTTTTTTTTTCAAAATTAATGTGCAAACTATTGAGAGGTATGGGTGTTTGGAATTTATTATAAGTTGAAGTTGTGTAGGGTATTCTAATAGGAGCATTTATTATACTTGATGAAAGGAATATATGAAGAAGCTACAAAGAGAACAGGGAAGATTGACAAAAATCAAAAACATTTTACTTCCTAAATTCTATTTCTTTTTTCTTTTTTTTTTTTTTTTTTGAGATAGAGTTTCACTCTTGTTACCCAGGCTGGAATGCAGTGGTGTGATCAGCTCACTGCAGCCTCCGCCTCCTGGGTTCAAGCGATTCTCATGCCTCAGCCTCCCTAGTAGCTGGGATTACAGGCATGCGCCACCATGCCTAGCTAATTTTCTATTTTTAGTAGAGACGTGGTTTCTCCATGTTGGTCAGGCTGGTCTCAAACTCCTGGCCTCAGGTGGTTCGCCCGCCTCGGCCTCCCAAAGTGCTGGGATTACAGGCATGAGCTACCATGCCTGGCCCTAAGTTGTATTTCATACTGCTCTAGAAAGACAGATTATTAAAGGAGCAGCTCATAAAATAGAAGAAGCAAGAATGTTCTCAGATTCAAATTTATAATACCTATGTTTTATTATAAAAATTTATTTTTGGTATCTAAGAAAAAAGAAAATTGTAAAAAGAAAATTATTTGAGACCCTGCCTCACTGCTTTTGGGCATATACCTAGAAGTAGAATTGCTGGATCATATAATTCTAAATTTTTGAGGAACAGCCATACTGTTTTCCACAGCAGCTACACCATTTTACATTCCTACCAACAGCGTACTAGGGTTCCACTTTCTCCACCTCCTCACCAACCCAACACTGATTTTGTTTTTTGATAGTGCCATCCTAGTGGATGTGAGGTGGTGTCTCATTGTGGTTTTGATTTGCATTTCCTTGATGATAATGATGTTAAACATCTTTTCAAGTGCTTAGCACCTGTTTATTTCTCTTCTTTGGGAAAATGTCTATTCAAGTTCTTTGCTCATTTTTAAATTGTTATTGTTGAGTTATAGGAGTTATTTATATATTCTAGATATTAATCCCTTATCAGATAGATGATTTGCAAATATTTTCTCTCTTTCCATGGATTGCCTTTTCACTCTGTTGATTGTGTCCTTTGGCACATGGAAGTTTTTCATTTTTATGTAGTCCACCTTACCTGTTTTTTCTTTTGTTGCCTGTGCTTTTTTGGTGTCATATTCAAGAAATCATCGCAGATCCAATGTCACAAAGGTTTTCTCCTTTTTTTTTTTTTTTTGAGACGTCTTGCCCTGTCGCCGAGGCTGGGGTGCAACGGAGCAGTCTTGGCTCACCACAACCTCCGCCTCCCCGGTTCAAGTGGTTTTCCTGTCTTAGCCTCTGGAGTAGCTGGGACTGCAGGTATTCACCACCATGCCTGGCTAATTTTGTATTTTTAGTAGAGATAGGGTTTCACCATGTTGACCAGGCTGGTCTCAAACTCCTGGCCTCAAGTGATCTGCCCACCTTGACCTCCCAAAGTGCTGGGATTATAGGCATGAGCCACCATGCCTGGTCATTACATTGATTTTTGTATGTTGAACCATCTTTGCATTCCAGGAGCTCTTCAATTTTTTTTTTTTTCTCAAGACAAAATCTTGCTTCATCAACCAGGCTGGAGTGCAGTGGCATGATCTTGGCTCACTGCAACCTCTGCCTCCTAGGTTCAAGCAGTTCTCATGCCTCAGCCTCCTGAGTAGCTGGGATTACAGGCGCCCACCACCACATCCAGCTAATTTTTGTATTTTTAGTAGAGACGGGTTTTGCCATGTTGGCCATTCTGTTCTCAAACTCCTGGCCTCAAGTGATTCACTCATGTTGGCCTCCCAAAGTGCTGGGATTAAGGCATGAGCCACCCCCTTGGCCTCTTCAATTTTTAAATAGTGTTGTTCAAAGAGAAGTTTTTAAGTTTATGAAGTTCCTGTGATCAGTTTTTTTAATGGACCATGTTTTTGGTATTGTATAATATCTAAGAAATTTTTGCCTAGCCCAAGGTCACAAAGAATTTTTTCAAGTTTTATAGTTTTATATCTTATAGAAGTTTTATATTTTTAATTTGCGTATAGACTATGAGATATGGGTTGAGATTTATTTATGTTTGTATGTGGTTATCCAATTGTTTTAGCACCATTTGTTTAAAAGACTGTTATTTCTCCTTCGTATTATCATACCTTTGGACCTTTTATAATTATCTTCATTTTAATAATTTTCATCTCTGTGTAGATCTACATTTCTCTCTGGGGTCATACTCTCACTTAAAGAACTTTCTTTAATATTTCTTGTAGGACACATCTTCTAGTAATAAATTATCTGAGCTCTTGTTTACCTGAAAAACTCTTTATTTCACCTTCATTTTGAAAGATATTTTTCCTATGTGTAGAATTCTAGGATGAGGATTGTTTTCTTTCAACACTGTCACTCCACTGTCTTCTGGATTGCATCATCTGTGATGAAGTATTACTATGCAGTAGTCCCTCCTTAACCACAGGGGATATATTGCATACTCCCAGTGGATGCCTGAAACCATGGATAGTAGTGAACCCTATATGTAGGGTTTATGTTTATGTTTTTTTCTGTAGATACATACCTGTGATAAAGTTTAATTTCTACAGTAGGCACAGTAAGAGATTAACAACATGAACTAATAATAAAATAGGACAATTATAGGAATATACTGTAATAAAAGTTATGTGAATGTGGTCTCTCCCTCTCTCAAAATATTTTATCATACTGTAATATTTTCAGACTATAGTTGACCATGTGTAACTGGAACCACAGAAAGAGAAACAATGAATAAGGAGCTACTGTAATTGTTATTTTTGTTCCTCTATGTATAATATGTTCTTGTACTTTTTGCATCTGTGGTTTCATGTCTTTTATTTTTTGAAAATACTCAGCCTTTATGTCTTCAGATATTTCCTCTGCCCTTCTCTCTTCTCCTTCTATGATTCTAGTTAAACATTTGTTAGACAGTTTACATGGCCCTTCATATCTTAGAAACTCTTTTTCTTTTTTCTCTTTGTGTTTCAGTTTGGCTGATTTCTCTTGATCTGTTTCCATGTTCACCGACTTTATGCAGCTGTGTCAAGTTCACTGAGCCTGTCAAAGGCATTCTTCACCTCTGTTGTTATGTTCTGTATTTCTAACATTTCTGTTGGGTTCTTTCCCATAGTTTTCATTGCTCTGCTAAAATTCACAATCTGAGTGAACGTGATGTCCTTCTTTCCACTAACACCTTTAACATTGCTATCTTACTTCCTTGATTTATTCAAGATCAAGATCAGATTAATCTCTGAGTATGATTCTGTTGATTGCTTTCTTTCTTGACAGTGAGGAGTGTTTTTTTTTTCTTGCTTTTTGATACATCTTGTAATTTTTTTTTTCATTGAATGCTAAACATTGTGTGGAGGACAGTAATGATGAACACTATTTCCTCCTAGAAATGGGTATGACTCTTCTGCTAGGCTGTTATTATGAAAGTTAGTCCATTTGGGGGTTGAAAGGGATTTTGATTTTGTTGTTGGTATGGTTACTATGAGTATGCTATAGCCTTTAAACATCTCTAGCATTACCTTGTGCTTAGGATTGCTAGAGGGTTCTACTCACTGCTCGACACTCATCTTTTGGTCTTTTTTTGTGTGTGTGCACACCTCAAAGAAGGTCTGTCTCTACAGTCTTGACCTTCCTGCAGTGGAAGGCTGCTATAATAGACGACAGAATGGGGTTCTCTGTTGTTTTTGTCCAGCCTCAGTCTTGGGTAGACCCTTTGTCCCAGGATCTCAGAAATGAGGCTTTCTCAGTGATCCTGCCCCTCTCCCAGTAACAGGTAAATTCAGCCTTGTGATAGTTGAGAGTCTTGTGTAGGAGTTTCCTGCCTCTGTCCCACAGGTTAGAGACCTCTGAATCCAGGACTATTTTCTGTTCCTCTCACAGAGTTACAGTGTTTTATTCTCTTTGCCCCCAGCCATAACAGGTCTTCACCTGAATCCAGGTTAAGTGGGAGAATGACAGGATTTAGGGGTATCCTTCTCCCATTGGTTTAAGATTTTGGTCCTGTGGAGAAGAAGGGTCTTGGCTAGACTTTGTGAATTTCCCAAATGGAAGTCTCTCCCCTCATCCAGGATCCTTTCTCTAGTCTCTCTCTCTGCCTCTCCAATCTTTCTCCTGAGAACCTGATAGAAGTCTGTGGTAAAGAGCCTGCAAGACGGTACAAATTCCCTTTTGTATCTCTGGCTCCCAAGAGCCTTAGAAATGCTTGTGGTAGCCATCTTGCTCATAAGTACCACTCCAAACATGAAATTGTGAAGTTATCTTCTTGATACAGGTAGAAAATAAAATGATTACACTTACCTAGATTTTATCATTAACGTATAGTATATTTCAAGATTTTACCAGAGTTGTATCTTAAACTTGAGCTTCCTTGGGTCTAAATACCAACCAAATATGAAAATACTGGATAATGCTAGGATGAATTTGAAGAATCTAGTAACCTACTCTAAACATATATTTCAACAGTCAAGCGTTTTAAAATAATTGATGTGGTGTTATAACTACCTAGACTACTCATATAAAAAGTACTTCTGCCAATCGGTATTAACTTGTAAATTACGCCAAAACAAGGCAACTAGTTCAGGAATACCAACCTTTTCTTAAACAGGTTTGTTGTAGATTCTCCATGTTCCAGGTCTACAGTGTTTTATAGATGAAATCCCTGTTACCGTATATGCATGCCTGATAAGTTTAAAATGGGAGTCAAGAAACTCCATATGATTCTACTACCCAAAACTAGTGTGAAATTCCATCCCTGATGTGAGAGCTAAAATATTTATATTTGAGGTTTTTATTAGTGTTGAAAGTTTTATTAAAATTAGTGTTATAAAATTTACTACTCATTAATTGATTTGATCTGAGGTTAGCCTTGCACTTATTTCATAGTGAATACCTTTACTTTTCATTTAGTGCATTGACTAAGCTTGCACAGATTGGCAAGCACCAGGTTTTGCTGGTAAGTGAAAGGATGGGTGTAATAACTGGAAAATACTTGTTGGAGAAAACTTGAATCAATGAAAGGAAAAAATGCAATCTGATAGATTCTGAATATAGAAAAAATTGGACAAAAATTCATAGAAAAAAATGAGAATCTGATTGAGAAGAAGAGCTCATCACAGAAAAGCCAGCTTGATTAGAACAGGAAATATAATCCATGTACTTCAATTCAGGAAGATGGGGCAAATTGATAGGTTACATAATGTGGGTTTAAAAAATTATGTTTATTAGTTTGCTTGAGTTGTCCTAAAAAATGCTGTAGACTGCATGGCTTAAACTATAGAAATCTATTTTCTCATAGTTCTGGAGGCTAGAAGTCTGAGATCAAGGCGTCTGCAGGGTCATTTCTTCCGAGGCCTCTCTCCTCGTCTTGTAGATGGCTGTCGTCTCTTTTTATGTTCGTGTGTCTGTGTCCTAATCCCCTCCTCTTGTAAGGACACCATTTATACTGGATTATGGCCCACCCTAATGACCACATTAAACCTTAATTACCTCTTTAAAGACTCTGTCTCCAAATACAGTCATACTGTGAGATCCTGGGAGTTAGAACTTCAATATATGAGTTTTGGAGGGACACAGTTCAGCCTCACGCACAGAATCGAAGAGGCAATCAGGACCGGGCACGATGGCTCATGCCTGTAATCCCAGCACTTTGGAAGGCCGAGGCGGGTGGATCACCTGAGGTCAGGAGTTAGCGACCAGCCTGGCCAACATGGTGAAACCCTATCTCTACTAAAAATATTAAAAAAAAAAAAAAATAGCTGGGCGTGGTGGTGGGCACCTCCCAGCTACTTGGGAGGCTGAGGCAGGAGAATCGCTTGAACCTGGAAGGCGGAGGTTGCATGAGCTGAGATTGTGCCATTGCACTCCAGCCTGGGCAACAAGAGCGAAACTCCATCTCAAAGAAAGAAAGAAAGAAAGAAAAGGCAGAATGTCAAGATCCTCTTGAACAGTACTGTTCAGTAGAACTTTTTGTCATGATGAAATGTTCTGTTATCTTTGCTGTCCAGGGTAGTAGCCACCAGTCATGTGTGGCTGTTGAGTGCATGAAATGTGTCTCAAATTCAAAGCTGAATTTTTTACTTTAATTTTGAAGTATTACATTTAAATAGCCACATGCTAATATTTGGATAATACAGATCTTGACTGATCTATTTATTTGACATATAAAGAACTGAGAACCAAAGTGCTTGAGTGTTGGGTCCGAGGTTACCCAGATAATTACTGAATACTTGTGATGTAAGCAGTTATAAAATGCTTGATGGATTTTACTGTCTAGTGACTATAAAATAAAACCCACATAAATATAATAGAAAAACACCCTCATTTTAAAATTATTTCTCCTGCTATAAATATGTGGTAATCCATTTTACTTTATAATTGTGTGATTTTGACAAATGGATTTTAGGAGTAAATAATTGTTGTTTCTTCCAGTTAATTTTTAAAGGTGTTTGCTATTGACATGTAACAAGTGTTTAAATTAGTTCACTAAGATGTCAATCGTCAGATTGAAGTTTCCATTTAAATAAAACGCATCTCTATAGGGGAAAAACTGGTAGGTGGTTTAAAGAAAAATCTATAATTCAGTTAGAGCAGGTGAATCCATGCATGCTTTTTTCAGAAGACATGAATCTGAAAAATCATTTCACAAAGGAAGAATAAGAAAAGAGCTTTCCTTTTCAGGATAGAAATGGATTGTTAAGTTAATAGCTTAGCTTGTTGCTTGATTCTATCCTTTCATGTTTTGATGATATTTTCTCACTTAGTAAACTTTAGGAATATTTTTAACTTTTCATTTTAAACTAATTTTAGACTTATAGAAAAATCACAAAAACTGTACAGAGTGCCCGTATACACTTCACACAGCTTCCCTTAATGTTAACATCTTGTGTAACCATAATACAATGATCAAATCCAGGGCAGTAGCATTGATACAATACTACTAACTAACCCTCAGTTTTCACCAATGTTCCCTTTCTGTTCTAGGAACCTACCTAAGATCCCACCTTGCATTTAACTGTTATTTCCTGTTTCCTTCATTTTCTTCACATGTTTGAAGAGTTTCAGTTATTTTACAGATTGTCCCTCAGTTTGGGTTTATATGATATTTTCTCATTGTTTGACTGAAGTTACGCATTTATTGCAAGAATACTACAGACACAATCTTGTGTCATTCTCTGTACATCATATCAGGGGGTTCGTGATGCTAATATGTCATATTTCTGGTGATAAACTTTAGAAATCTTGGTGATGAAAACTATGCTTTTTAAATAAAATATATGCTAAAATTACTATAAAATATCAACCCATCAAATTTACCCTAGAATACAAATGATTTATCAAACCCCCAAAAAATGGTGATTGAAGAAAGCTATAAGCCTCACTAGTTAGTTAATGGGATGAGGTTAGTAGAATTTAACTAATAGAAATAAACTTCAATAATGAGAAAGAGAAACAACCTTTTTCTTTCTAATGAGGCAATTCTTCATTGGAAAGTTAGGAAAGGAATTTTCAAGAGGAGTCTTTCCAACTAAAAGAATTGTCTTGTAGTAGAAAATTGTTTTAGTTGAGGTACTTAACTGTAGTAACTTATCAAGTAGAATATTAAATGAGGAAAAACGGTGATTGCTTTAGTCTTCTTCTATTTATGACACTGGAATTATATCAGAAGTCAAGTCTTTAGAACCAGTTTGTAGGCCTAGCCTTTCCTATGAAATCAGTTTATTGTAGCAAATGTTTGTATTTTTGACATTTTAAGGTCCTGAATAAGATGAAATAAATCAAAAACAATTTCAAAAGAAATACTACATTACATATCCCAAACCTTATGACATTTAAGCATCCTCATATGTTTTCATTAAGGAATAACATTGTACTTTAGGGTTTGACACACGTAAAAAATGTAATACATTGTTAGGTTTTTTTAATAGATGTTTTTCAGGCTATAATGTTTATTCCTTAAAAGAGAATGGGTGGAAACTCTTCTGTAGATAACTGTATCTGTCATAATGAAGGTTGGAAACATTCCACGTTAAGCCTGGTACTTGAGTACTTTTTATATTTCTTCACTTGCCAGGTTTTCTTTACTAGGAATATTTTGGTAAAGTATTTGTGTTTTTTAGTATTTTGAGGTTGTCTTTGAAAACATTCTTAGGGCTGGTCACAGTGGCTCACGCCTGTAATCCCAGTACTTTGGGAGGCTGAGGCAGGTGGATCACCTGAGGTCAGGAGTTCAAGACCAGCCTGGCCAACATGGGAAACCCCGTCTGTACTAAAAAAATACAAAAAAATTAACTGGGCATGGTGGCGTGTGCCTGTAGTCCCAGCTACTCAGGAGGCTGGGGCAGGAGAATCGCTTGAACCCAGGAGGCGGAGGTTGCAGTGAGCCAAGATTGCGCCACTACACTCCAGCCTGGGCAACAGAGCGAGACTCCATCTCAAAAAAAAAAAAAAAGAAAAGAAAACATTCTTAGACTATAAACCCTACAATAGAACTGAGTCTTGCTGTCCCTTCAAGGTAACAGTAGTTGGTGTAATGGATAGAATTTTCTTTTTGTTTTATTTTAGTTCAGCAATCAGCAAACATTGGGAGGCTGAACTGGCTACCCTCAAAGGAAATAATGCCAAACTCACTGCAGCCCTGCTGGAGTCCACTGCCAATGTGAAACAATGGAAACAGCAACTTGCTGCCTATCAAGAGGAAGCAGAACGTCTGCACAAGCGGGTAATTTCAGGGCTGATGTCTATAGGGATTTAGGGCTAACAGGTTTTCTTGATCAGAAGAAATTTGCATGTAGATTCAGCACAGGGATATCTTCTAGTTCTAGGATGTCAGAACATAGATATGGGTTGTATGATATGCATTTGTTTGATTAAGAAAAATATTTTCCATAGTTTAATGAGAATGAAGAATATACGCCTTTTGAAGTCAACAAACCATGTTGATTCCCCATATTATCCATGGGGACTAGCAGTAATGCACAAGTACATAAAAGCACTAATGTATTAGTGCTAGTTGATTAGTACTGACATGGTAGTTAAAGTGTGTGCTGAGAAAAAATTCAGGGAGTAGTTTAATTAGAATTTTAGCTTTGGGTGTTGACGGTGAAGCGGGAATGCTTTTCTCCTGAGTTGTCCTGGGGAGGGGATTCTCCATTTCTGGTTTACAAGACCAGAGTATTCCAGAGTGCGAATTCCAGTTCTGCCGGTTATTATCTGTATGATCTTTGATAAGTTATTTCCTTCTTCCAGCTCAGTATTCTCATCTGTAAAATAGGAATAATAAGTACTCTGTACAATTCCTGTGAAGATTAATTGAATACTTAATTGGCATGTAGTTGCACTGAGTCAAAAGTATGTATTCTGTACAATTCCTATGAAAATTTGTTGAGACACTTAAGTGCCGTGTAATTGCACTGTCTCAATGAGTTGCAGTGAGTCAATGAGCTGCTTTTATTATTTTCTTTTTAAAGAAGGAACAATTTGAAAAATACAAGTAGAAAATTATTAACTTTGGTAATATTAGAGATTTGGTGCAGAAAAAGAAAACCAGAAATTTCAATACCATTAATATCAGAAGCCCAGATAATTACTTGTAAAGTGTTTTAATGCTCTCAGGCCAAGAGTTTGAGATTAGCCCAGGCAACATGGCAAGACCCCATCTCCATTAAAAAAAAAAAAAAAAAAAATCTTTTTTCTTTTTTTTTTTTAATTAACCAAGCATGGGGACACACGCCTGTAGTCCTAGCTACTTGGAATGCTGAGTGGGAAGGATTGCTTGAGCCCAGGAATTGGAGGCTGCAGTGAATTATGATGGCTCTACTGCACTCTAGCTTGGGTGACAGAGCAAGACTCTGTCTCTAAAAAACAAAAAAAAAAAAGAAGAAGTTTTTTTTTTTTTAATTCAAGGCATAGAAGTGCTTCACCCAACAGATGCCTTTAATTTCTCCTTTTAAAAAAAATTCCAAGCTGGGCACATTGGCTCACACCTATAATCCCAGCACTTTGGGAGGCTAAGGAGGATGGATTGCTTGAGCCCAGGAGTTCAAGACCAGCCTGGGCAACATGGTGAAACCCCATCTCCACTAAAAATACAAAAATTAGATGGGTGTGATGGCATGTCCCTATAGTTCCAACTACTTAGGAGGCTGAGGTGGGAACATCACTTGAGCCCAGGAGGCAGAGGCTAAAGTGAGCTGAGATCACGCCACTGCATACTCCAGCTTGGGTAACAGAGCAAGGCCTTATCTCAGAAAAAAAAAAAAAAAGAAAGAAAAGGAAATGCAGTTGAGACAGAGTGGAAATGTTAGAAACTTGAGTAAATGTTATTCTATCCTGTGTGTAAAAATTAACTTAAGAGAGGTGGGGGAAAGGAGAGTTGTTTAATGGGTATAGACTTACAGTTTTGCAAGTTAAAAAAGTTCTGGAGATCTGTTTCACAGCAATGTGAATATAAATACTTAACACTATTGAACTATACACTTAAAATGACTAAGATGATAAATTTTATGATATATGTTTTTTACCACAAAAAAAAATTTATGACAATTGTCATAGCCAGAAAATATTAAGGAGCTATCATGTCTCCTTATTGTGTAATCTCTGCCCTTAAGAAATTTTCTCTTTAAATAGTCAATTGAATATTAAAGAACTTAAGAAACATAATATATTTATTTACTCACATATTTTCAGTTTCCATTGTGCTTCTTTCCTGTAGATCTGAATTTCTATCAGGTATTGTTTCCCTTCAGCCTGAATAACCTCCTTGAGCAGTTTTTGTACTCCAAGTGTACTGCCAACAAATTATCTCCACTTTTATTTAGATAAATTTTGTCTTGATTATAAGTTACATTTTACTGTTTTTTCAGAAAAATGACTAGTCATTTTTAATTTTGTATTGGACATTGCAAATGAGATGTTGTAGAGACCACAGATTTTGTTATTTTTGAATAATGTTGAGTTTTTGTTTCAACAGGCAGTTATTTGGAGATTATCTTGAATTTGTGGAGTTGTGTACTTATGCTTTGTTAGAATTCATGTATTTCAATTTTGCTGTAACCCTAGGGTAAATCACATTGTCCTAGGAAATCTTTATCTCTAAGACATAACCCTTTCCAAAGTTTCACTGCAAAGCTTGAGGTATTTACCAAGGCCCTCTAATTTAGCAGGGACTAGCAGAACTTCAAACTGTCATCTCTGTTGAGCACCATCGCAGTTTAGTTCTTTCAGCCTTCCAGCTCTTTTCCTACTCCTAGTTGTGCCAGGTGTTCTGCAGAGTCCTAAAATTCTCAGGCTTCTCAGAGAAATAAGACTATGGATTTCTGCTTGTTCAGTCAAGCAATGCAGCCAGACTGCAGAGTACCTTCAGGCAAAAAGATGTGGAAATCACCCAAAGTGACTGCTTTCTTGCAGTCTTTTGCCCAATTTGGTTACTCACCAGGTCCTTCAAACAGTTGACTTTTACATTTTGCCCACAATTTGCAATTGTTACCTATAGGAAAGTTACTCCAATAAAAACTATTTCATCATTATCAGAATTGGAACTCCCTTTAAGGAATTTATTATATAATGAGACAAAACAAATACACATTAAACAATAAGTGAAATAATTCCCAAGATTTTTGAACAGATGCTTGGTTTTGTGAACCAGAGGAGAGCCTTGAAGACTTGAGCAGATAGGAATGGCTTTCTGGAGAAAGCACATGCTGAGCTAAGAGTTAAGGGTTCGGTTAGGTCCGAGTGGTTTTCAGAGGCAAGAGAGGACATTCTAGTTAAATCAACAAGTTGGGAATGAATATCACTTGTTCTTAGGACAAGGAGATTTGCCTGCTTTTAGTTGGAAGTACTCACTGAGTATCTTGGGCAGTGTGGATGGTTGAGAAGGTTGGGGCCAATATACAGAGGATCTGAGCGTTTAGATCTGATACCGTAAAAAAGATGAGCTGCTGAAAGTCTTTGAATGGTGGAATCACAGGAATGAAAGATGAATCTTAGCAATTTGCAGAATAGACAAAAAAAAGATTATAATTAAGTCCACTGGGAGGCTGTTGGTTTTGTTCAGGTCTGGATGATAAGGGTTTGTAACGAGGCTATTAGTACATGAGAAGAAAGGAAGAAAATTATATAAGAGAGAGAATCACAGAATGTAGAGGGTAATTTGATATTTGGAAAATGCCAGGGAGAGGGATTTACTCTGTTTCTTTAATAGTCTAGAATTTACTATCTTCTAGTAAACCAAAATTTTATGAGCACATGATATATGTAAAGAACTGTGATAGGGTGTGTGTGTGCATGTGTGTGTGTGTGTGTGTGTGTATTTATATTGACTTCTGTCTATTGCTGATTCTAGTTTTAGATGGTATAACTTGAAGGACAGTGCCCCTCTCTGTTCTCTCAAAAAATACCAAGTGCTCATTAAAAGTTATATTACTCTTTGGGCCCCCAGTAAATTCTTATTGACTAACAAAATTTTATCTTACCCGTAAGAGACACTGTTGATGTAAAGTCATTCCAGTATCTAATGATTTAAGTTGTATTTTAAGCCTATTTTCTCTTCCAGATTCTCTTACATGTTGGAAATGTATTTGAAAAAATTCTCACTTCTGCAAGGCCAGTTTTCAGAACCCATATTGAATTTGAAGGCTACAGATGAAGGACAGATGGTCATATCTGATCTTGAATATGTTTTTGGAAGAAATTTTTACAGAAGACTTTCATTATAGGGATTCTCTACTGTCATTAATCACTTAATTTAAGTTATCCTAACCTTTCTATGACTAAGCCATGTAAATGATTATTTTTCCCTTTTCCTAGTTTTATATCTTTGAAGAATCTATTCACTCTACCTTGAGTGTCTTAATATTTCTCAAAATTAATTTTTATATATTTATTCAGAATATACTATTCACTTATTTGGGGCTATGTATTTAGCAAGAAACTCTTTAAAGTTGAAATTTAAGTTAATCTGTGTTCTCATTTAATTTTAGGTGACTGAACTTGAATGTGTTAGTAGCCAAGCAAATGCAGTACATACTCATAAGACAGAATTAAATCAGACAATACAAGAACTGGAAGAGACACTGAAACTGAAGGAAGAGGTATTTGCTGCTTTTTACTCATCTGTAATCTAGCTAACATGTTTGTACAAAGTATTAGATTCCATGTCAAATTTAAAAGTATTTTATGGAATAAAGTCAGGTTGTGACCTCTTTTTTAGGATGAAATTTTTCTTGAGTGGTATTAAGCTTGCTCATATTTTCTCTATCCTTATTTCTGTTATTATGAACTGTGGTGAGGCAGTCAGACCGAGATACCACCTGTTGCCTTCCAGATGAGAGTTGCATTTATACAGTCAACAGAAAATCATTAGGGGTTAAATGGATTTTAAAAGCTGTTGGTTTCTCTGGGTTCCAGTCAAAACTTTAATATCTTAGGAAAGAATTATATCCACAAAGCTTGAAGCAACATTAAAATGTTCAGGTTGTTATTTCTAAGCATTGCTGTACCAGAAGCACCAAGTTAGACTTGTTGCTGTTGCTTAAGATTATTGTTCTAGACAACATACATATAAAGATGAATTCATCCCTCTAAAAGTCAATATGAAGGAATGTTTTTAAAATCATCTTTTTCTAAGAACTAGAACAATAATTTCAGGGAAAAACAAGACCTTCCCTTGCCTTGATATAGTTTGAATGTTAAGACATTGCTCTGTCTTTTCTAGGAAATAGAAAGGTTAAAACAAGAAATTGATAATGCCAGAGAACTACAAGAACAGAGGGATTCTTTGACTCAGAAACTACAGGTGAGCTGTAGTAAAAATTGTTATTCACTTCTGCATAGAAAGGCATCATTTTTTCACATAGCACTGACTTTTTTTCTGAGACTCCATTTTGTAGGTTTTTGGTCATTTTTCTTTTCCGGGACTTCTGATTCATGCCTAATCTTTGATTTTTAAAAAGTTACTTGATAACTTCATCTATGTAGCTTATAATTATCATAGATGGTCATTTATAAATTGTAAATTATTTAGTAAATCCTTTTGGAAATTTCTACTTTTAATTAAAAAAAAATACTCTGGGTTTGGGCATGGTGGCTCATACTTGTAATTTCAGCACTTTGGGATGCTGAGGAGGAGGATCACTTGAGCCCAGGAGGTTGAGGCTGCAATGAGTCATAATCACACCACTATACTGCAGCCTGGAACAGAGTGGGATCCTGTCTTAATAAAAAGAAAGAGAGAGAGAAAGAAAGAAAACCCTGAATTTAAAGAAAAATTTGCAAATTGATTTCATTCAATTTGGGAACATTATTATTATTATTATTATTATTTTACAATGTACTAATGTATGAATTATACCAATAGTTGTGCCCTAATGGAACACAAGTTAGTACTTTTCGTTCTTCAGTGTAATTAATTTTACTCACTTTTTTCTGCATAAATAGTATTCTTCCTGATTCCAGTGTACAAAAAACATCATGTGTCAGTGATAGTCAGACATGGTAAGGGAAGATTTCTCAGAATTTATTACCAAAGTCTTCTCTTGCCAGCTCAGGCAGTTTTCTTACACCCTCAGCGTTAGGTGCCTCAATAAAGAAGGGTTAGGATGACTTTGGAGTAGAAATAAGTATATGTATAGAGTGAGGAATCTGAGATAAGGCATAATAAGAGGGACCTGAAAGCCCAGGATTGGAAAGAGGACCTAGATTATAATAAGAACAGCCAACATTTATTGAGTGCTTGCAACATATCGGACACTGGGCTTAGCACTTTACCTGTATTATGCATTTAATCCATGTAACAGTCATAATAACCCAGATGAAGAAACTGAAGCTTGGAGAGGTTAACTTGTCCAACCTATATTTAAATGGAGACAGTCAAATTTTAAAATCCAAATCTTTGACCACTAAGATAATGGTCAAAATACATTATTTTAGTAGTCAAAGACATGGGCTTTAAACCCCTTCATAATAATCCTTCATGAAATAAACAGATTCCTTATATAAAATGGAATATTTACCTCTCCCCTTCCCATCACTGGCTTTCAGTAGTCTGGGAAAAATGAGATCACTTGTTTTGGTTGGCCCTATTAAATGCCGTTTGTATATTTTAGTCGTCTATATAGATTAGTGGTCATCAACTTGGGGCACTTTTGAAGCCCAGGGGACATTTAGCAATGTGTGCAAACATTTTTTATTTTCACAATTAGTGGAGCGCCACTGATATCTAGTAGACAAAGCCAGAGATGCTGCTAAGAATCAGATTATCCAACCCAAAATGTCAATAATGCCAAGGTTGAGAAATCCTGATGTAGAACTTAAATATGAAGCATGGAATCAGGGCTGGAAGAAAGGGGGAAATTCAGTCAAGTTTTGTCTTTCGTTTGTTTTGGGTTTCGGGTACTTGCGATGATTCAAGCATATGTTAAGCACTTAACTTACATTAGCTCTAATTCTCACAGTAGCAGGTGAGGTATCCCCATTTTCAAAGAGAAGACAGCAGTTCAAAGGTGTTAACAAGTTTAATTAAGGCACTTAGCTAGAAAGTAATGAGGCCTAGATTTATTTTATTCCAAAGTCCGTTCTTTCTGCATTACCACACTTCTTCAAGCAACAAACAGTCAAGTCATCCTTAATGATTCTTTTAAAAAGTATTTTCAGTTATATACACATTTACATTGTCTCACTTATGAAGAGAAACAAAGAGATGATATATTTATATCAAATTTCTAATGTTGATAATTCTAAATGTATTTGAAGCCAGGCATAGTTGCTTATGCCTATAATCCCAGTGCTTTGGGAGGTTGAGGCAGGAAGATCTCTTGAGGCCAGGAGTTCAAGGCCAACCTGGGCAACATAGCGAAATGCTGCATCTACAAAAAAATGAAACAGTAGAATTAGCTGGGAGTGGTGGTGTGCACCTGTAGTCCCAGCTGCTTGGATCACTTGAGCCTCGCTTGAGTTGGGAGTTGCAGTGAGCTATGATCACACCACTGCACTCCAGCCTGGGTGACAGAATGAGACCCTTTCTCAATAAATGTATGAATGAATGGATTTCATCATTGATAGAGCAGTAATTGAATTTTATAGCTGGCACTTGAAATTGTGAATATAATTCTTACCCATCCTTTCACTGAATATCAAAAATATTATCAAAACAACCTACCTAGAACAGGACAGGGAAGCTTTTAGAAAACCTGAGGATGAATTCTAAAAGAACAAGCTACAGAAAATAACATATTTTTTCCAATTCAAAGAAATTTCCTCCTCTGCAGCCTTCTCCCTCCCACAGAAACATCTCCTGTTTATCAAAGGTCCCAGCACCCTTGAACTCCATTCATAAGTTCAGTACAGAAAATTGGGATCATTAAATTCCTTGGAAAAGAATCCTGAAATTGCAGTATTTAGAGTTGGATTAGTATTTAGAGTTGAATGTGGATAGAAAATGTATAGTTATTGGTAAATTAAGGATACCGTGCTACAGTTTTTCTAATTTATGAGTTTTTGATATTTGGCAATATTTGGATATTTCTGTTATAAATGTCTATGAAAAACATGCCCATTGTAAAAAAAATTAGAAAAATTTCAAAAAATGTACTTAGCAAGGTTAGTATAAAATCATAATTCCATAATATTAAAAAAATCATAATCCTGTCATCTTAAGGCAAGGTAACTGGCATTTCCTTGTCCCAGTGTTGGTTTAGATAATATTTTCTTTATAAGAGATGGATATAGATACCATTTTTTGTTTGTATACATTTTTATCTAACTTTATGTCATAAGCCCAATGGCTGCATAGAATTCTCCCATATAGAGGTATCATAGTTTTCTTCCAGCATTCCTATAGTAATGGCAGTTTATGTTGTTTCCAGTGTTATGCTATAAATAAATAATATTACAACCTTTTTCATAAATCTTTGCCTTTCTGATTATTTCTTTAAGATAAACTTTCAAACAAGAATTGCTTGGTGTCAATGTTTTAAAATTTCTTATGCTGGGAAATTGACATCTGGAAAAGCAGGGTACCCACTGGATATTGGTACCCCCTGGACCCGTTCTTTGCCATCTCTTAAGAAATGAAGTGACTCAACTATTTAGTTAATTTTTAAATTATGAATAACATTGAACAATTTTTCACATGCATTTAGTCTTTACCTGTATCTTGAAGTCACGAGTGCATTTTCACCTTAGAGCATGTGGAATATCTTTGCCTGGAATTCTTTGCCCAAATCTTCAGATGGCTGGCTTCTATTTTTAGTTTAGGTCTTAGTTCAGATGTTAATTTCTCTGACTTCCCAATTTAAGGACTATGCTACAGTCCCCACACCCCATCCCAGGTATTTTTTGTAGTATTACCATTTTTTATTTTCCTTTTAGTACTTATCACTAGCTGAAATGATCTTGTTTTTTATTTCTATTTTGTTTTTAAGCTATTTATTTTTATTTCAATAGGTTTTTGGGAACAGGCAGTGTTTGGTTACATAAATAAGTTCTTTAGTTAAACTTTTTATTTTGAAATAATTTCAGTCTTACAGAAAAGTTGCAAGAATAATACAGAAATTTTTTATATACCCTTTACTTACATTCCCCAAATGTCATTTTGGCTATATTTGCTTTGTTTTATTCTGGATGGCTCTCTTCTCTCTCTCTCTCTCTCTCTCTCTCTCTCTCTCCCTTTCCCTTCTTTTCCCTCCCTCCCTCGTAAGACAGTGGTAAGTATTCATGTATTTGTATCTAAGCACATCTAAACACAGAAAAGGTAGAGTAAAAATACAGTAGAAACGATAGAAAAGGTACAGTAAAAATACAGTAGAAAAGGTAAAAATTGTACACTTGAATAGGACACTTATCATGAATGGAACTGTAGGACTGGAAGTTGCTCTGGGTGGGTCAGTGAGTGAGTGGTGAGTGAATTTGAAGACCTAAGATATTACCATACACTGCTGTAGACTTTATCAACACTGCACTTAGACTACACTACATTTATTTTTTAAAATGTTATTTCTTCAATAATAAATTAGCCTTAGCTTACTGTAACATTTTAACTTCATAAACATTTAAAATTTTTTTAACTTTTTACTTTTTTGTAATAGCTGCAAACATAAACATGTATTCAGCTGTAGAAAACTATTTTCTTTATATCCTTAGTCTGTAACCTTTCTTCCTATTAAAAAATGTTTTTAAAACTTTTTAAACTTCTTTTAAAAAACGAAGACACAAACACACATATTAGCTGATGCCTACACAAGGTTGGGATCATCAATATCACTGTTTTCTACCTCCACATCTTGTCCCACTAGAAGGTCTTCAAGGGCAATAACAGGCATGGAGCTGTCATCTCCTATGATAACAATGCCTTCTTCTGGAATACCCCCTGAAGGACCTGCCTGGGGCTGTCAGATAATTAATGTTTTTTTAAATAAGTAGAAGGAGTACACTCTAAAATAACTTGAATAGTAATAAATAGTATAGTATAATAAATATATAAACCAGTGACATGGCCATTTATTTTTATTAAGTATTATGTACTATACATAATTGTATGTGCTATGCATTTATACAGCTGACAGCACGGTAGATTTATTTATATCGGCATCACCACAAACACATGAGTACGGCATTGTGCTGTGATGATATGGCAGCTGCTGGGTGATAGGAGTTTTTCAGCTCCCTTATAATCTTATGGGACCACTGTTGCATATGCTGTTCATGGTTGATCAAAACATTGTCATGCATTGTCATGCTGTGCATGACTGTATTCAATGGGAAGTCTTATACTTCTTATTTGATATACTTGTTCTTTCTCATTGTCTTTTTTGATTACCTAAAGTTAGTAGTGATGTGTCTACTTTGTGAAGTTTCTTTTTCTTTTCTTTTTTTTTTTTGAGACAGAGTCTCACTCTGTTGCCCAGGCTGGAATGCAGTGGCGCGATCTCAGCTCACTGTAACCTCCGCCTCCCAGGTTCAAGCTATTCTGCCTCAGCCTCCCGAGTAGCTGGGACTACAGGCACATGCCACCACGCCCGGCTAATTTTTTGCATTTTTTTAGCAGAGACGGAGTTTCACCGTGTTAGCCAGGATGGTCTCGATCTCCTGACTTCGTGATCTGCCCACCTCGGCCTCCCAAAGTGCTGGGATTACAGGCATGAGCCACTGCACCTGGCCTTTTTTTTTCATACATAAAAAAAAAAAGATTTTGGCCAGGCGCGGTGGTTCACACCTGTAATTCCAGCACTTTGGGAGACCACGGCGGGAAGATTGCTTGGGCCCAGCAGTTTGAGACCAGACTGGACAACATGGTGAGACCTTGTCTCTACAAAAAATTAGCCGGATGCGGTGGCACATGCCTGTGGTCCCAGCTACATGGGAGGCTGAGGTGGGAAGAACGTTTGAGCCCAGGAGGTTGAGGTTGCGGTGAGCCGTGATTGTGCCATGGCACTTTAGCACTGGAGACAGAACAAGACCTATCTCAAAAAAAAAAAAAACAAAAAAAAAACCCACAAAATTTTGATTAACTAGTAAGTGCCACTTATGAATTTACCTGATGAATTTCTGTTTTTATCTTATTTATTCCTGCCTTGTGCTTTGTTTTTTATTTTTTTAGCATTTTGAAAGGGGATTTAATTCCTTTTTTTCATTCTTTCACTTTTATTTATATATGTGTTTCAGGCTGTAGGTCTTCCTCTGATCATTGCTTTAAGTATATCCCATAGATTCTGATATTTAATGTTTTCATTATTATTTCTGGAAATTCTGTAATTTTGACTTTATTTCCTTTTCATACAACAGCTGTATGAAAGGTATAAAAAGTCCCTTAATTTCCTGGTGGAAGGGTCTTTTTTAATCTTTTGATTTAGTTATTAATTTATAGTTCTATTGCATTGGGATCACAGTGTTTTATTTGTATAATTTCTATGTTACGTAATTTACTGCTGCTTTTTCGGTGACATAATATTTTATCAGTTTTTATCAATGCTGCTTGTGTGTCTTGTGTTCATATACTTGGATAGTGCTTTGTGACCCAACTGAAAATATTTTCTAGTAGATGACTCATTCATGTTTATTGATATGATTTTTATGTTTGGTCTCAATTCATTGTTATCATTTCTGTGTGTGCATTGTATTAATAATTTTCCTATATGATGTGTTCTTTGCTCTTTTTAACTATCTCTTGATTTTTAAATATCTCTTGATATTTAAAATGGTCTTAGTTTTGTTGTAGTGGTTACCTTTGAACTTCCACTCCTTTAAAATGCTCCTAGTTACCTGTGTTCGTATTTAAACGTATACTGTCTGGTTTGTTTTTTGGGGGTTTTTGTTTGTTTGTTTGTTTTTTGTTTTTGAGACAGAGTCTCACTCTGTCACCCAGGCTGGAGGCCAGTGGCACAATCACAGATTCCTACAGTCTCGACCTCCTGGGCTCAAGAATTTCTCCCTACTCAGCCTCCCGAGGAGCTGGGACTACATGTGTGTGCCACCAAGCCTGGCTAATTTTTTAATTTTTTGTAGAAGTGGGGTTTCACTCTAGTGCCTAGGCTGGTCTTGAACTCCTGGGCCCAAGCAATCCTCCCACCTTGGCCTCCCAAAGTGCCAGGATTACAGGCATGAGCCACCGTGCCTGGCCTGGTTTATTAGTTTTTAATGATATCCTTTGACTCTGAATTATTAACACACTTAATAATAATGTGCTTGTTATGCTCTCATTTTTCTCTTTCTCTCCCTGTTTTTTGGTTGCATTATTTCTACCTCGTCAGAATACTAAACAGATTATTTTTTAACTATCATCTACATTTGTTTTAGTCTTTATACATTAAATATATTAAATGTTTCCTGTCTTAGTCCTTTTGTGCTGCTGTAATAGAAAACTACAATCTGGGTAATTTATAAAGAACAGAAAGTTCTCACACTTCTGGCAGCTGGAAAGCCGAGGTCAAGGTACGGGCGGGTTTGGTTGTGGGACTGCTTTCCCCTTCCAAGATGTTGCCTTGTTGCTGCATCCTCCAGAGGGAATGAATGCGGCCTCCTCACATCGGGGAAGATGGAAGAGCAAGCCACCAACACTGGAGGGGAAACCTCTTTTATAAGGACCTTACTCCCATTCATGAGGAGAGGAGCCCTCATGACCTAATCGTCTCTTAAAGGCTCCACTTCTTAATAGCATCATATTGGCCACTACATTTCAACACTTGGATTTTGGAGGGGACACATTCAAATCATAGCACTCACCATTAAGTCCTTTTTCTGAAGTTTCCACAGTGATCTCTTGGTTGGATAAAGCTTATCTTCTTGTGGATGGTTGCAAAAGAGCTCATGGATACATACTTTCTGAGATCTTGCTTATTTAAACTTTTTTTTTTCTCATGTATTCAGTATTGGGGCGAGAGCTTGGCAGGATATTTAATATAAAATCCCTGGTTCATAATTTTCTTTCATTGAGTTACTTGAAAATGACACTCCATTATTGCCTTGTTTTGTATATTTCTTTTGAGAAATCTGATTCCAGTCTGATTCTCTTGCCTTATAAGTTTTGGACTCATTTTGCTTGTGTGCCCTGAGGATTTTTCCTTTATTTTTTAAATAAAGTTTAAATGATATACTAGAATATTTCACGAAATACATTGTTGAGGGTGTTTTCCCAGGTACACAGTGGGCCTTTTTAATTTGTATATCCAGGTTTTTCTTTATTTCCAGGAAGTTTTCTTGCATAAAAGTTTTAAATACTAGTTCTGTTCTAATGTGTTATTTTTCTTCTTCAGGAGCTCCAATCTTGTGTAATTTGATTTTGTTTTTTGCAACCTCTTTCTGTTTTCTTTACTTTATCTCACTTTCATTCTCTAGGATTATTTAAAATAATAAGTAATAATTGAATTAAAAATAGTTTTATTCAAATCTATTTTTCCTTGGGTCCTTATAACTCGGTTTTCATTTCTGATAGATTATGCCTTTTTCTTCTGTTTCTCTCATGAGTTCAATCAACCTTTCTGTTCTTTGGAGTTTTGTTTACCTATTTCTATTCTAAGTTTTTCAATATATAATTCAAACTTGTTTTTAAATGCTTATTTGAGAATATTTAGTTCAGAGTGGAATATTGAGTTAGAGTTTTCTTCTGATTCATAGTTGGTTTTTGGAAGATTCATCTACTCAAGTGTTTTTAGTATTTTCTATTTTCTATTTCCTTTTGTAATAGTTTGTGTAGATGAAGATTGCTTACACATTTGCATTTTGTGGATAGAATAGCAGTTTGGGGTGGTTTATAAATTGTTAGTTCAAAAACACCCTCTTTTGCAGAGACAATCAGAAGAAAGATTGTATGTCCTTTAATAGTTTTTCTTTGGTCTTAAATTTTCCTTTCTTGCTTATTTTTCCCTTTACCCCGCAAGATTCCTTTCTCTTCCTTTTATCTTCTGCTTTTTGGAACTGTCTTCAGCCTTTCTAAGACTACCTCCTCAAGTTTCGTTTATACTGTTAAGTTCCTTTCTTATAGTCTGCTCTGGTTTTCTAGAACTTTTTTTTCAGTATTCTGGCATTCACACTGGTAGTGGTTTTCTCCTTCTTGGGGTTACCGTAGTTTAGTCTGAGCCCTTTTGTTCTCTACTCTTCTGGGCATTGCCCCCACAACTCTGCCTTCCCTTTTGCAAAGGGTTAGAGTGAGAGCTTGAGAAATACCTCTGCTGGAAATTGGTGCTTATATTTTCTAATTAAAGGCAATTTGATGTTTGTATTGTTCTGTATCTTCTAGTTATGTCGAAGTCATGGAATTTGCATGCCTTTGTATAGTTTGTATAGTTTATATAGTTTGGGGAGGATAGAGGACTGTGATTGCAGTGTACACAGTCACTATTACCTTGGCTGCCCAGAAATCTATTCTGTTTACCTCTTTATAGCCAGAGTCTTCCTTATAGAATGTATGTTCTATTAAAACAAGAACCATCTTTGTTTTATTTACTACTTTATCCCCAATGCCTAGTACATAGAAAATGTAATTGTTGAATAACTGCTTCAAAATGTGTGTATGTTTTACCCATTTTTCTATTAAATTATTCTACTTGTCTTGATTATTTATAGTTCCTATTATATAGAAGGTAACAGTCTTATAGGGCAATAATACATCTTATTCATAAGAGCTTAAGAAGTATATCAGATGTCAATTTTTCTACAGCTTTTATTTAGATTAAATGATGCAAGATTTAAATTTATAGAAAATTAAAGCTGGGTTTAGTACTGTAATCCCAGTACTTTGGGAGGCTGAAGCAGAAGGATTGCTTGAGACTAGGAGTTTGCAACTAGCCTGGGCAACATAGTAGGACCCTATCTCCACAAAAATATTTTAAAAATTAGCTGGGCATGGTGATGTGCACCTATAGTCCTAGCTACTCAGGAGCTGAGGCAGGAAGATCATGTGAGCCCAGAAGGTTGAGGCTGCAGGGAGCCATGATTGCACCACTGCACGTCTGGGTGACAGAATGAGACCTTGTGAAAGAAAGAAACGTGTACGTCTGGGTGATAGAATGAGACCTTGTGAAAGAAAGAGAGAGAGAGAGAGAGAGAGAGATAGAGAAAGAAAGGAAAGAGGAAGGAAGGAAGGAGAGGGAGGGAGGGAGAAAGAAGGAAGAGGGGGAAGGGGGAGGGGGAGGTTCAGAGAGGGAGGGAAGGAAGAAGGGAAGGGAAGGAAGAAAGGAAAGGAAGGAAGGAAGGGAGGGGAGGAGGGAGGGAGGAAGGAAGGAAATTAAGCTGATCTGGTGCCAGTGGTGGTATTCATAATTGTTATTTAATTTTCTTTTAATCATTGTAGTATTTTAGGCTCTTTAACAAATAGCATAACCTCCTGCCCAGTAGGATTTTATACTTTGTTTTTGCCTTTGTTTCCTTTTATTGATAGATAATATTTTACGTATTTATGGGATACATGTGATAATTTTTACATGTGTAGACTGTGTAATGATCAAGTCAGGGTGTTCGAGGTATTCAGCTCCTTGAGTACTTATCTGTGTGTTGGTAATATTTCAATCCCTCTCTTATAACTACTTTGAAATACACAATATATTGTTGCTAACTATAGGAACCCTAGTCTGCTATCAAACATTAGAACTTACTTCTTCTATCTAACTGTAAATATATAGCCATTCACCGATCTTTTTTCATTTTCTCCTCCCACCATCACACCTTTCCCAGCTTCTGGTAACCATCATTCTACACTCTATGTCCATGAGATCAAGTACTTCAGGTCCCACATATCAGTGAGAAGATTCAGTATTTGTCTTTCTGTGCCTGGCTTAGTTCACTTAACATGATGACCTCCAGTTCTATCCATGTTGCACCAAATGACATGATTTTACTCCTTTTTAAGGCTGAATAATATTCCATTGTATATATACCACATTTTCTTTATCCATTTATCTGCTAATGGACACTTAGGTTGATTCCATGTCTTTAGTATTGTGAATAGTGCTGTGATAAACATCCCAGTGTGGGTATCCCTTTGATGTACTGATTTATTTCCCCTTGGACATATATCCAGTATTGGGATTACATGATTGTATGTTAGTTTTTTATTTTTAGTTTTAAAAAAAAAATCTCAAATAGTTTTTAGCAGTTGTATTAATTTACATGAATCATTGTGTAAAAGAGTGCCCTTTTCGCTATATCCTCACCAGCATCTGTTCTTTTTTGTCTTTTTAATGATAGTCATTCTATCCATTCAATTCTGATGTTATCTGAAAGTAATGATAATAGCCATTGTAATTGCAGTAAGATGATAGCTTTTTTTTTTTTTTTTTTTTTTTTTGAGACAGAGTCTTGCTCTGTCACCCAGGCTAGAGTGCAGTGGTGCGATCTCGGCTCACTGCAAGCTCCGCTTCCCAGGTTGATGCCATTCTCCCTCCTCAACTTCCTGAGTAGCTGGGATTACAGATGCCCACCAACATGCCTAGCTAATTTTTATATTTTTAGTAGAGATGGGGTTTACACCATGTTGGTCAGGCTGGTCTGGAACTTTTGACCTTAGGTGATCCACCTGCCTCAGTCTCCCACAGTGCTAGGACCATAGGCATGAGCCATCGCACCTGGCCATAAGATGATATCTTATTTGGTTTTGATTTGTATTTCCTTGATGATTAGTGATATTGAGCATTTTTTAATATACCTGTTAGCCATAATATGTCTTCTTTTGAGAACTCTCTATTTATGTCCTTTGCCCATTTTTTAGTGGAGTTATTTGTGGTTTTTTGTTGAGTTGTTTGCATTTCTTGTATATTCTGGATATTAGTCCCTTGTCAGATGAATAGTTTGCAAGTAGTTTCTCCCATTCAACAGGTTGTCTCTTTGTTGTTTCCTTTGCTGTGCAGAAGCTTTTTAGTTTAATATAGTCCCATTTGTCTATTTTTGTTTTAGTTGTCTGTGTTTTTGAAGTCATAGACATGAAGTCTTTGCCTACACCAATGTCCAGAAGTGTTTTTTTTAAAGTTTTCTTCTAGTAATTTTATAGTTTTAGGTATTACATTTAAGTCTTTAATCCATCTTGAATTGATTTTCATATATGGTGAGAGGTAGGGGTCTCACCCTATCTCTGAGGGAAAAGCTTTTCCTCATTCACTATGATGTTAGTTGTGGGTTTGTCACTTAGGCTTTTATTATCTTGAAACATGTTCCTTCTGTGCCTAGTTTTTTGAGCATTTTTATCATGAAGCGATGTTGAATTTTATCAAATGTTTTTTCTGCATCTATTGATGATCATATTTTTTTCCTTCATTCTGTTGATGGGATGTATCATTTATTAATTTCTCTGTGTTAAACCATCCTTGTTTCCTTGGTATAAATCCCATTTGATTATGGTGTATCATCTTTTTGATACACTGTTGAATTCAGTTGGCTGGTATTTTGTTGAGGATTTTTACATCTGTGTTTTTCAGGGATATTGGCCTATTGTTTTCTTTTTTTGTTGTATCTTTGTCTGGTTTTTGGTATCAGAGTAATGCTGGCCTCATAGAATAAGTTAGGAAAAGTTCCCTCCTCTTCAATTTTTATGGAATAGTTTGAAGAGGATTGGTATTAGTTATTTATTGTTTTGTAGAATTTGGCAGTGAAGCCCTCTGGCCTTGTATTTTTCTTTGTTGGGAGACTTCTTACTACTGATTCAGTCTTGCTACTCATTATTGGTCTGTTCACGTTTTTTATTTCTGATTCAAATCTTGGTAAGTTGTAAGTTTCCAGGAATTCATCCATATCCTCCAGGTTTTCCAGTTTGTTCATGTATACCTCATAATAGTCTCTCGTAATCTTTTGTATTTCTGTAGTGTGAGTCGTAATGCTTCCTTTTCCATTTGTGATTTTGTTTATTTGGGTTTTTCCTCTTCTTGGTCTAGCTAGTGATTTATCAATTTTGTTTATCTTTTCAAAGAACCAAATTTTTGTTTCATTGATCCTTTATTTTTTTGTTTTATTTTTTGGTCTTTGTTTTGTTCTCCTCTGATCTTTATTATTTCCTTCTGCTATTTTGAGGTTTGGTGGTTTTTTTTTTTTTGCTTTTCTAGTTTCTTGAGGCACATTGTTAGATTGCTATTTGAAATCTTTCTACTTTTTTGATGTCGGCATTTATTGCTATAAACTTGCCTCTTAGTACTGCTTTTACTTTTGCTGTGTCACATGGGTTTTGGTATGTTGTATTTCTGTTTTGTTTCAAAATATTTTTTAATTTTCATCTTAATTTCCTCATTGACCCAATGGTTGCTCAGGAGCATGTAGTTTAATTTTCATATATTTGTATAGTTTCCACAGTTTTTCTTGGTATTGATTTCTGGTTTTATTCCATTGTGGTCTGAGAAGATAATTAATACGATTTCGATTTTTAAAAATTTGTTGAGACTTGTTTTGTGGCTTAACATATGATCTGTCTTTGAGAATGTTCCACGTGGTAATGAGAAGAATTGTTGTATAAGATGTTCTGTAGGCCAGGCGAGGTGGCTCATGCCTGTAATCCCAGCACTTTGAGAGGCCAAGGTGGGCAGATCACAAGGTCAGGAGTTCGAGACCAGCCTGGCCAACATGGTGAAACTCTGTCTCTACTAAAAATACAAAAATGAGCCGGGCATGGTGGTGGGCACCTGTAGCCCCAGCTACTCAGGAGGCTGAGGCAGGAAAATCGCTTGAACCCGGGAGGCAGAGGTTGCAGTGAGCTGAGATCGCACCACTGCACTCTAGTCTAGGTGACAGAGCTAGAGTCTGTCTCAAAAAAAAAAAAAAAAAGATGTTCTGTAAATGTCTGTTAAGTACAGTCTGTCCAAGGTCCAGTTTAAATCCAATGATTCTTTGTTGATTTTCTGTCTAGATGATCTGTCTAATGCTGAGAGTGGGGTGTTGAAGTACCATACAAATTATTGTATTGGAATCTATCTGTCTTTCAATCTAGTAATATTTACTTTATGAATTTAGGTGTGCCAGTGTTGGGAACGTATATATCCTCTTGCTGGATTGATCTCTCTATCATTATATAGTGACTTCATGTTTTCTACTGTTTTTGGATTAAGGTATATTTTATCTGATATAGGTATAGCTACTCCTGTGCACTTTTGGTTTCCATTTTCGTGGAATATCTTTTTCCATACATTTACTTTTGATCTGTAAGCCTTTTTACAAGTAAAGTATGTTTCTTGTAAGCAGCATACAGTTGGTCATAACTGTAATCCATTCAGCCAGTCTATATCTTTTAAGTGGAGAATGTAATCCATTTTCATTCTAGGTTACTATTGATATTTGAGGTTTTGTTCTGTCACATTGCTAATTGCTTTCTGGTTGTTTTGTTCTTTGTTCCTTCCTTTTTCTCCTATTGTTCGTCATTGTGATTTGGTAGTTTGGTGTAGTGATACCATTTGAATTCTTTCTCTTTTTTATTTGTGTTTAACAATATTTTATACTTTCATGTGCTCTCAGGATGGAAAATGTCATCCTTTCATTTCCAGACTTAGATCTCCCTTGAGCATTTCTTGTAGGGCTGGTATAGTGGTGATGAATTCTTTCAGCTTTTGCTTTTCTGGGAAAGACTTTATTTCTCCTTCATTTACAAAGGATAATTTTGCTGGATGTAGTATGCTTGGATAGCAGTTTTGTTTTTTGTTTTTCCTTTCAACACTATGAATATATCACCCCATTCTTTCCTGGCCTGTGAGGTTTCTGCTGAGAAATGCCCTGTTGGTCTGAAGGGGGTCCTTTTTAGGTGACAAGATGCTTATCTCTTGTTCTTTTTAGAATTTTGTCTTTAGACAATTTGACTATAATGTGCCATGGAGAAGACCTTCTTTCATTTTATCTGTTTGGGGATCTCAGAGCTTCCTGTATCTGGATGTCTAAAATCTTGCTAGATTTGGGGTGTTTTCATCTGGTATTTCATTAAATAGGTTTTCTACCCTTTTGCTCTCTCTTCACCTCCGGGAACCCTGATAATTTGCATATTTTATGGCCACTTTATGGTGTCCCGTATGTCACAGAGGCTTTGCTTATTCCTTTTTATTACTTTTTCTTTATTTTTGTCTATATTATTTCAAAAGACTTGTCTTTGAGTTCTGAAATTATTTTTTCTGTTTGATCTGGCCTATTGTTGAATCTTTTGAATGTATTTTTTATTTCATTCAATGAATTCTTCATATCCAGAATTTCTGTTTGATTCTTTTTTATAGTGTATATCTCTTTGGTAAATTTCTCATTCATAGCCTGAATTATTTTTCAGATTTCTTTGTACTTTTTTTTTTTTGGAGATGGAGTCTTGCTTTGTGGCCCAGGCTGGAGCGCAGTGGCATGATCTTGGCTTACTGCAACCTCCACCTCCGAGGTTCATGTGATTCTCCTGCCTCAGCCTTCAGAGTAGCTGGGATTACAGGTGCATACCACCATGGCCAGCTAAATTTTTGTATTTTTAGGAGAGACAGGTTTCACCATGTTGACCAGGCTGGTCTCAAACTCCTAACCTCAAGCAATCTGCCTGCCTGAGCCTCCCAAAGTTCTGGGATTACAGGCGTGAGCCACTGCACCTGGCCTCTTTGTGCGTTTTTTACAATTCTCTTGTATCTCACTAAGCTTCTTTAGAATCAATAATTTGAATTCTTTTGGGGGGACTTTATGAATTTCGTTTTGATTGGGATGTATTGCTGGAGAATTATTCTTTTCCTTGGAAGGTGTTACATTTCATTGCGTTCTCATGTTTTATGTATTCTTACACTGATATCTACACATCTGGTTTAACAGTCACTTCTGCCAACTTTTAAAATTTGCTTTCATAGGGGAAGATTCTTTCCTGTAGATGTATCTACGCTATTGGATGCACAGGGCACTTTGGCTTTGATTCCGAGTGTGTTCAGTAGCATGGTCTCTGTATGATTTCTTTGGCTGTAAATAGCATCAATAGTACCTGTGATTTTCTTAGTGGCTTAGGGTGCAGTTCGTGGAGGCTGTGGTGAAGTTTTGCTGGGGACTGGGACACCAGGTGGGCCAGTCTTTGGACCCTGATGGTGGTACCAGTGGGCCAAGTATGCCTGTCCTTAGGCTCCAGGGCTGTGTTTGCTTGCACCAGTGTTAGCAGTTCCAGGCAAGCTGATTTTGGGGTCTCCTGGTGTCTTGGAGGCCAGTAGTGGCAGCAGTGCAAGGGTGGGTGGGTTCTCCGACCCCTGGGCAACTGGTGTAGTATGGACGATGGCAGTGGTGGGACAATCCTCTGTGTCCCGTGCAGTGCATGCTGGTGTTGGCAGTGGCGGCAAAGGGCTGGATAGGCCATTCTCCAGGCCTGCAGGTGGTATGTGCAGGTAGGTGCCAGCTGTGGTGGTAGCAGCCAGGAAGGTAAGCCCAACCTTATTCCCCTGGGAGGAGTGTTTAGGTGCCAACATTGGTGGACTGGGCTGGGCAATCCCTTCACTCCCCCTACCCCCCGATTATATGCTGTGACATGGAGGGGATCAAAGCCAGGCCAATTAGGCTAGTTTTCAGGCCCCCTGATGGTATGTGCAGGTGCCAGCCATGGTAGGTAGGGGCGGGGCAATCCCCAGGAATGCTCACATTGTTGTTCTGCTGCTCAGAAGGACAATGCCACCTTCACTGGTGGCAGCCTTGGCTGATGTGTGGGAAATGTGCACGCCACTCATGCCTCAGCCCTGACGGTGGTAGCCTGTGCCTCGATGGCACTCAGCCTGGGTGCAGTAGCCTGCAGTCATTTGCACCTAAGCACTGGGTGTAACAGCCCATGTTTCTCTTGAGCCTTAGCTACAGCACTGTTGGGCTCTAGGACACTGCAGTTTATTGGAGGTGGGGCTCTAAAATGGGGCCTTGCTGCAGCTTAGGTCTCGGGTTGTGTGGCACCCAGCGCTAGTGCTCTCCCAAGAGCAGTGCTGTCACACAGTCTCCCAGCAGTGTTAGTTTCCAGTGCCTGTGAGAGCCAAGAGATTTTCCCATGACTCAGATTGCAGGATTCATGGTGGAAATATGGACCACTGAGGTTCTCTTACCCTTTATCCATATTGGGGAATCTCAGCTCCCCACCAATCCTGGCCAAGCCGACTTCCTTCTTCCTTGCTTTAGGTATTTCTTGTCACTTTTTCTGTTTAATTCCAGTGTCCTCTGTTGGATGATCCATTTGAAGTATGATTAGTCACTATTTCGGTTCTTCTTAGTAGAGGAGGCAAGTACAAATTGCTTCTAGTCAGCCATCTTGAATCCTCTCCCACCTTTTAAAGCACTCAGGAGGGAGTTGATGATTCTGGTCTACTGTGCTTTATCAGGGCTGAACAATGCCTCTCTCTAGTTGCCCCTGGTGTGTGCCTTACATTAGTAAAGGAAAAGAGGGAAATAACAGAGCCAAAATGATAATGAGCAGAAGAATGAGTTTGGAAGGAGAATGAAAGGCAAGGCCGGGCATGGTGGCTCACGTCTGTAGTCCCAGCACTTTGGGAGGCCGCGGCAGGACGATCACTTGAGCCCAGGAGTTTGAGACCAGCCTAGGCAACATAGTGAGACCCCTTCTGTACAAGAAAATAGCAAATAGAAAGGCAAGAAGGGAAAGGTTGGTTGGAAAATATGGACAAAAGGTGCTGAAGTTATTGTTGTCAGAATATATGTATATAAAATTCTCTGTCTGTAATATAAATGTATATAAATATTTATATATTTATATATTTATATATAAAATATATATTATATATTATATAAATATATAATAAATATATAATATATAAAATATATAAATATATAAATATTTATATAATATATAAAATATATAAATATATATAAATATTTATATAATATATAAAATATATAAATATATATAAATATTTATATATTTATATTACAGACAATTTTAATATATATAATAGATATATATAATATATAATATATATAATAGATATATATAATATATAATATATATTATAGATATATAAAAATATATATAATATATATTATAGATATATAAAAATATATATAATATATAAATATATTTATATAAATAATTTTTATATATAAATAAATATTTATATATTTTATATATATATATATATATATATATATATATATATGGACAAAAGGTAGACACCTAAGAAGTGCCACTCACCATGGCTTCTGTTACCTCTTGGCCCCTGTGCTCTAAGTTGTCTATTCTTGCTCTAGGAACATATTCTCTTTGCCTAAAAATAGACTAGCACCATCAAGCAGTGTATTAGGTCCTTTTTGTTATCTAACTAGTAAAATTCCTGCAAACAGAGAGGTGCTTAGAGTAGGGGATTCATTCTAGAGAGAATAACACAATTTTATTAGCTGAGGGAATTTTGTGTTTTGCTTGCTTCCATTGAAAATGTTTGACTATTGCATTGATTGGCAAGGAAACAAGGGAACCTTTCATTTTTGGGAGGGCTTTAGAGGGCAAACTGGGTGGTGCCTGGTGAAGTGGGTGTCTGCTAGTGAATGACATTTGGTCTATTTTTATAGTTGGAAACATTGTACCCTTAAGCTTATTGTTTAAGTAGGCAAGAGAGCATGCTGTGCAGTCATGAGTGGAATTTTTACATTTGATCTCAGGATCTGTGTCCTCCCTCATAGTTAAAACCTCCATGTGTTTGGCTTCTGAATTTATAAATATTTTATTAGTTTGAGATTCTCCTCTCAATTTACTTATCTTGACCTTGCAGATTAACCAAAGTGAAGAGATTGGAAACATACCTGGCTAACATCTAACAGTCAATAGTTTGAGATTCGATTCCTTAAATTCTTCCTTTAAAAATCATTATAGCTGCTTGATTCCTTTCTTATATTTTCCCAGGCTCTTGCAACTCATCTGTAGCATCCTTGAGCCTTGTCAAACCACTGACAAAGATAACCCAGAGTTATTACTTTTTAAATGTATTTGAGCCAATTTCCTTTTTTTTTTTTTTTTTTTGAGACAGAGTCTTACTCTGTCACCCCAGGCGGCTGGAGTGCAGTAACGTAATTTCGGCTCACCACAACCTCTGCCTCCCGGTTCAAGTCATTCTCCTGCCTCAGTCTCCCGAGTAGCTGAGATTACAGGTGCCTGCCACCACGCCTGGCTAATTTTTATATTTTTAGTAGAGACGAAGGGATTCGCCATGTTGGCCAGGCTGGTC
The DNA here is from genome assembly GCF_000001405.40 of Homo sapiens. Classification (NCBI taxonomy): domain Eukaryota; kingdom Metazoa; phylum Chordata; class Mammalia; order Primates; family Hominidae; genus Homo; species Homo sapiens. The sequence continues at coordinate 79,378,017 of NC_000005.10, read as the reverse complement.
TCGACCTCCTGACCTCAGGTGATTCAGCCTCCCAGAGTTCTGGGATTAAAGGCGTGAGCCTTGCCCTAATTATTTTTCTTGAAAGTTTAATTTTTACATTGTGAAAAAAATTTAGTTCTTAATTTTTTTTTCATTCTTTATCCAACTTGAGAGAAGAATAAATTTTTGGAAAAAAGTGTCTGTAATTTCAACACCAGAACTATTTTTTATTTCCTATTTCTACATTAATTCCTAGTGTTTGTCCTCATGCATACGAATTTTTGCCAGTTTCAGTGAGCTACTTTATATTCTGTTCTTTTCATTTAACATTTACCAGATTGTCTTTCAGTGATCTAATTTTTTTAAAATTTCCACTGTCCTTTAGACTTGATAGAATTCCTTTAGAGATTAACATTTAAAGGATGTATTAACATTTTGAAACATCTCATTTTCTGAGGCTATCATGTTGTGTAACTAACATCAAGATATTTTCGTTGTCCCATATAGTTTATATATCTTAATGTAAATTGTGTCAGTCACTTAGTTTCTCTCAAATGTAAAAGTGAGCTTTCCAGAACGGATATATAACAACTTTCAATTCATTGCTTATCTGAATTGCTTATTTAAAGTGTAATAGTTGGCTTTCTCCCATTTTTCTCAATCTGATTTTTTTAACCAAAATGAAATCATTAGCTTGATTTATGTCATTTTATTTTTTTAGACTCACTTTATTATATTTGTCACATTTAGAGACAATTTTAAAAGCAGTAATAGGCCAGGCGGGGTGGCTCACGCCTGTAATCCTAGCACATTTGGAGGCCGAGGCGGGTGGATCACTGGAGGTCAAGAGTTCAAGACTGGCCTGGCCAACATGGTGAAACCCCGTCTCTACTAAAAATATAAAAATTAGCCAGGTGTGGTGGCGTGTGCCTGTAATCCCAGCTACTTGGGAGGCTGAGGCAGGAGAATGGCTTGAACCTGGGAGGCGGAGGTTGCAGTGAGCCAAGATTGCACCATTGCACTCCATCCTGGGGGACAGAGTGAGACTGTGTCTCAAAGAAAAGAAACAACAACAAAAAAACAAAAGCAGTAATAACTGCTAAATAATTTTTAAGTGTGCCAGAGTTTATTCTGTCAAAAACAAATCATTTAGTGTTTTTTTTGTTGTCATGAACATTTGATTTCCTTTTGTCATTTTTTTCCCTTGGTTTGCAATGTATTGGAACTGTTAACTTATAATTCTCTAATATGTACAGTTATTATGTATCTTCACTACAGTTTCTAGCAATTGAGTGATACTCTCTACATATACATTTATTTGATATTGAGGCAAAGCAAAGAATAACATATTCAGAGGATCCTAAAATCACATTTTAGAGAGTTACTTTCTTGTCTAAATCTTTCTCTAGAGTTGCCAGTAAACAGAAAAAGTTAATTTCTTTTTCTTTCTCTGCCTGCTTTCACCTGTGATTGCTAATAATTATGCATTAGGAGAAATAGGTGGACAGCAATAAAAATGAGATCTAAGTGATCCATAAATAGGTCTTCAAGCCTGTCTTGGTATTTGAAGTACCTAGAGTGTTGCCTGGCACAAAGTAATGAGTCAGTAGATTTTCGTTGAGTGGTTAGATAGATTGATAACCAAGCCAGTCATTAAAATCGTATTGCTCTCTGGGATGGCCAAGTCTAAAATCTCCTTAAATTGTGCTAAATTAAGATTCTGCAGCTCATCCTGACAGTCAAACTGCATTGATTACCGCAATATTGGTAATAACAGAGAGTTGTATTGTTTTCTAAGTGATGAATTGACATATATACATGTTACACTTTTGTTTCTGAAGGAAGTAGAAATTCGGAACAAAGACCTGGAGGGACAACTGTCTGACTTAGAGCAACGTCTGGAGAAAAGTCAGAATGAACAAGAAGCTTTTCGCAATAACCTGAAGACACTCTTAGAAATTCTGGATGGAAAGATATTTGAACTAACAGAATTACGAGATAACTTGGCCAAGCTACTAGAATGCAGCTAAGGAAAGTGAAATTTCAGTGCCAATTAATTAAAAGATACACTGTCTCTCTTCATAGGACTGTTTAGGCTCTGCATCAAGATTGCACAAAAAAAAAAAAAAAAAAATTGAATATCACTCCTCCAGGAGGAGGATCTTTTGAAATTGGAATTGTATATTTCACTGTAAATTTTAGAATCCAGCTTGTAGCTAGTTGGGGAAAAAAGATGAAAAACTTGAACTACAAATTACCTCCATGTATATTATTGGCCATAGTTAACTAGAAAGTTATAAATAGACACTTAATGCAATCTTTTTTCCTGATATTAGCCAATGGGAGAATTAACAATGTCTAGGTCACATCCCCTTTTTGTGTTCAACACAGTGAAGATTATCTGCTTTTTAAATTAATTTATTTACGATATCTAGAGCTGTGTTTTGTGCAAAAACTTAGTGATGAAAGCCTGTCTTTTGTTGTAATCTGAATAATTTCTCAGGATATTTTTGCACTGCTGAGAAGCAGTGCCATTACCAATTAATTCTTGCCAGGAGTGAGAGAGAGCTGTATCTTTAATTGAAATATACTATAACTGGGTGTATAGAGTTCTTCCCTTTTTTGTGCTGGAAGATATTTCACTCTGGTGACTACTCTGGTACACTCTGGTGTTCTCTAATCTTGTCTGTTGTATAGTTTACTTTTCCATATTGATTCCATGTATTTATGAGAAGATATTGTCTCCCATTTTATTACACATTTTAAAGCCAACTAACGAAGGCAGCTGAGTCCCTCAGAAATTTTTCTTTTTAAGTTTCTAATAAATTTGACACACAGTACTGAAATACAGCAGCCCGTCATTGACAGGCTGGTCTAGCAATGTTAAGTATATTTACAGAATATGCAGTTACATTTATTTATATATTTTGCAAGAAATCTTTTCTGAATGATCAATGCATTTCAATTTACGAATAATAATGGTTATTGGGGAACTGTTTATTATAGATAATTTTAAGGTGTATAGCTATTTTAAAGGGGGTCCATTTACATCAAACAGCTGATCAGAGGACTCTATCTAAATTGTGATCGTGGCAGATAGAGATGGAGTCATGTACTCTATCTGGCTCTACACATCAATCACATCTTGATTCAAACCTCACAAGGCAATATTCTGAATTGTTAACTAGGTATTTCAAAACAGGAATTAAATTCAATAGGCTCTTCTCAGTGAACAGGTTTTAATGTTGTTTTGATGTAATTTTAAAAGACTTTTAGCAAACATGCATTTCTTTATATGATATATTTCTTTTACGAAGCTATTTTAAAAGTAAGCCAAGTGCTGTCTAGTCTGCTTATAAAGTAGGAATTGCATCAGAGTACATATATTCTTGCTGTACAATGCCTGTGATGTTGAGGAGGGTTCTTTTTTAAAGTGTATGCTTGAGTAACTGACTCTATGGAGTCTATAAATGCACTGACTTCTTGTTTGTACCCCAAAATGATCGAATTGTTAAGTACAAAATTAAGCTAATTAACCAATTTGTAACCATTTTTTCACTCATAAACAGCTACTCAATACTAGACAATTTTGTTTTTTATGTATGTGTATGTACGTAAATACATACATATTAATTTACATTAGAGTGAAAAATAAATGGTTTGTTTCTGAAGTTAGTTTCTTAAGTGAGTTTTCAGGTGTCTCTGAAAAATTTATAACAATCATGTATTATATGTGCTGTAACATCATGTACGTTACCTCCATCTATTTTAGGATATTTTCCTCACCTATATATTATAGGGAGAATAATTTAGATACACATGCTCAGAGCTGAGATATTTCTCTGATAAATCAGGTAACAAAATGTATTTGATTGATGGAATTTTGAAGTAAATGTGTTTTTATCCATCAGTTTCTGAGTAACAAAGAGCACCAAGTTTTAATTTAAATAGGAGATTTAACACTAGGGATCAGGGAGTTTAGTATGAAGAGTTAAAAAAATTTAAAAAACAGTGTAAGCTGTTGAAATGGCAAGTGAATTATTTTAATGATGTAATAAAATATTTTTAAATTTTGACATAGTGATCATTTAATGAAAAAACTCACCAAAATGTCTCCATTTGAATTGTATTGATAATGTGGGACATATGTGTGATTCAATATATACATATACCCATATGTATATACAGAAAATTATTTTTAATACTTTCCTACTGATAATGAAATTTAAAATTGGAAATTTTGTGAGTGTTTTTCTTGTCCAATAGAGCCTAATTGTTTCCTTTTTTAGTGATTTAACAATCTCTTGAGGGCTGCACCTTTAAATTCCCAGATTGTCAATAGACATGTACAGTATATGGGATAAGGTGGACACAAGTGCACATATAAATAAAATCTTCTTAAGACTTTTAACTATTCATTTACAGTAGGAGAGTATGTAGAAATCATCATCCACAAGTCATAATTAGGTTGTGTGCCTACTGTAGTTTTTTCCATTTCTGTATTATATAAACATTTGCATATTAAAATTTGATTTTTCCCAGAGACAAGTATTATATACTGTATCTATATTTAAATCAAACTGTGGTAATATATTTCTCAGAAAATAATGTTGGGGACTATAGCCTGAACATGTGGACTTGAAGCGACATGGAGGAGGAGGTTGATCCCATTGTGTATAAGTTAATATGTGATAACTATTGAATCTTGTACAAAAACAAAAATTGAAAAAAAAAAAGAAAAGCAAAAATACAGTTTTTATTTTGAAATACATTTGTTCTCTGGAGAATGTACTTTATCTTTTTTTCCTCCAGTCTTTTACAGATATTTAAAAGCATTTAAATGATGACAGCATTTACTTAAATCTTTCAGGTGCTACTGGATTTTGCATTAGTGTGTTATGTTGTGAAATCCTAACTTTGACATAAAAGGTTTTATAAGTATTCCCCTGCCTGGAAAATTAGTTTTTGTTCTCCTCTCTCTCTCTTTCTCTTTTCCACTTTCTTTCTGCAGACTAAAACATGCTCACGAAGTTGCATCTCTCCTTGTCTCTATAGAAGATCTCCAGCACCATCATAGATTTGATGTTCTGCTGTCATTGAACTGTTGGGAAGCAGTTAGAGGAAAAGCTCACTTTTTTTTTCAGGTGGAAATAAAAGGAACACTCAAAATTAAGCCAACACCACCACTACCTTTAAAAACTAGTTTATTTGCCCTGTTAAAATTAAATGTATTCTTTAACATGTGGGCTACAGTCTCCCATGTTTTTATTTAACTGAAGCATATACACTTCGGTCATTTATCTCCTTGTGGTCCTGATTTTGTCAGTACTGGAATGGGAGGCAGGTCGGGGAAAGTTTGTTTGATGGCAGTGGATTCTTATTGTTGTTTTAACCATTGCATTTATTTGATATCAAATGATTTTGACATCCTGAAATTCTGTGCTTGAAGTCATGAAATGATTTTCATTGAATTTTTGCCTCCTAAATGTATAGCATGAAGTAAATTAATTTATACAAAATCTTAAGAAACCTTTCAGGTAAGAAGTAGTTGAGATTGACACTGTTAGAAAATTTCTCAATTTCTAAATTTAGAAATTACTAGAAAAGGAAAGGATGTGTCATTCACCTTACTCCAAATTGCGAAAGTGTGTTTTTTCCTAATATTCGTGTTAAATTTTACCTTAAAATTTTTATGATAGTTTTTCTTCATGAGAAACTGATATATAGATGTCACGCAAATACAAGCAAAGTTACTGAATTAAAGTAGTGGGTACTTAGCATTTTTTGTTTATATATTACATAGTAAAATAGCTAAAAATCATATCCCAGAAAACTCAAAAACTCAGTCAGCACTACACTGCCTGGTGGTTTCTGCTTAGTACACTAAATAGAAAAAAAAAAAAATTTTAAGTGATTTTTACCAAAAACTTGAACTAGGGAGAAATTGCATCAGGACTAGAATAGACAGAAGGCCACAAACTCCTAGTCGACTTCTTGTCAAGTCTCTGATCTCTGTAAGGACCTCTCTTTTAGGTTAAAGGACACACTGCTTCTCGGCCTTTTGGCTAAGATCAGGTGTAGGTTAAAGGACATATTCCAGAAGCCACCCAGATTATATCTGGGTGGGAAGAGGATATTTTTTGTGAAAGCAGATGCAGAAAAAAGAGCAGGAACATGCTGCCTTCAGTTTTTATCTAAGGCATATCAGGATAGCCAGAGACACAGACCAACTATTTCCTACCTTGCTGCTGCTTTTAACCAAACAGATCGAGATGGCACTGAGTTTCAGAGACTTTCAGAAAACCCTGTCACTTGTCTTGTCAGGATTTGTAACCCAATATAAGACACCTGACATTCAGAACTCACCATTTTGTGGGATTCTGACCTACTTTTTTTTTTTTTTTTTTTTTGAGATGGAGTCTCACTCACTCTATTGCCCAGGTTGGAATGCAGTGGTGCAGTCTTGGCTCACTGCAACCTCTGCCTCCCAGGTTCAAGCAATTCTGCCTCAGCCTCCTGAGTAGCTGGGACTACAGGCACCTGCCACCACGCCTGGCCAATTTTTGTATTTTAATTAGAGTCGGGGTTTCACCATGTTGCGTAGGCTGCTCTTGAACTCCTGACCTACTTTTGTCGGTTGTTTTCGTATCAGATATACCCAGGGATAGAGGTATTACTCTGTTTTCTTCTAACAACAAGAAGTGAAGATAATGGGTGCCTAATAAATGCAAATATAAGGTCATTTCTGTAGCACAGAAAAATCTTTTGTGTTTATCAACATTCATGATTTTTCTTGTTACCTATGTATTATAACTACTTTACTATATACACAGATATATTGTCAATCACATCTATATGAATTGTGGATATGACTTACTTGATTATTCTACCTTAATTTATAAGGAATGACTATCTCAGGAAGCATGACTAGAAAGCAGATGTAGTTGAAGTCAATGTTTTCTCTGACTTCAGTTTGAAATGGAACATCAAGAAGTATGTATTAAACATCTGCTATGTGATAGGCACTGTACTAATTGATATTTTATTTCTATGGATAGTGGCCTTTCCAGGGGTATTCCTGTGGGAGGGGAGGGGGATAAGGAAGGGAAGAGGCTCAAATGATTCTACCTGCTGTTCCCATGGTTATTGGTCTGGTTATCCAGCACACTGGTGAAAAGGTGGAGGTCTTGCTCATATTTGTGGTACAGTTTTTTTGGCTTTTCTGTCTTGCTTCTCTAGAGTATCTCTGTTAGGGCACTTGTTAACTAAATATTTCACATCTGGTCTTCTGAACGTCTTCAGTCTTTGGTGTTTACAGTACTTCTTATGAAGTTATAAATTTTACTTTCTTTGCAGGTGTCATTTATGCAATATGTTTTGGACTCAATTTTTTTTAAAACTTACAAACTTCCAATAATCCAACGAAAGTAAGTAATTCTTTATATGCATAATTTTAATCTATAAAATTTAAGCAGCAAACTATTCGGCCTTGGGAAAGCAGCTCATCTCTTAAGTTTTTAATGAAATGAGTTGTAAACCTATAAAACTCATCCCCTGACACTATATAGTAGTTCAACAAGATATGGGTTTTGCTGTCAGTACTGGGTGACTTTGTGGTCAATTCTGGTTGTGCCAGAACTTAATGTCTTCCTTTTTTTTTTTTTTTTTTGAGAAAGAGTCTCGCTCTGTCCCCCAGGCTGGAGTGCAGTGGCGTGATCTCGGCTCACTGCAAGCTCCGCCTCCCAGGTTCACACCATTCTCCTGCCTCAGCCTCCTGAGTAGCTGGGACTACAGGCACCTGCCACCACGCCTGGCTAACTTTTTGTATTTTTAGTAGAGACGGGGTTTCACCGTGTTAGCCAGGACGGTCTCGATCTCCTGACGTCGTGATCTGCCCGCCTTGACCTCCCAAAGTGCTAGAATTACAGGTGTGAGCCACCACGCCCGGCCCAGAACTTTATGTCTTTCTAGGTTGATCAAACCATTAGATCAGTTGCAGAAATAACTCATGGCTCTAGGATCTTCAGAGAGATGGTAACAAAGATCAGGGTGAAGACACTTCGGTTTTTTTGTTTTGTTTTGTTTTGCTTTTTGGGGTCGGTTTTTTTTGTTTTGTTTTTTTTTTGGTCTGAGTTTTGCCCTTGTTGCCCAGGCTGGAGTGCAGTGGCACAATCTCAGCTCGCTGCAACCTCTGCTACCAAAGTCCAAGCGATTCTCATGTCCCAGCCTCCTGAGTAGCTGGGATTACAGGCGCACGCCACCACACCTGGCTAATTTTTGCATTTTTAGTAGAGATGGGGTTTCACCATGTTAGCCAGGCTGGTCTTGAACTCTTGACCTCAGGTGATCCACCCACCTCAGCCTCCCAAAGTACTGGGATTACAGGGGTGAGCCACTGTGCCCAGCCTCAAGTGTTGAGTTGTTAACCTTTCTTATTGTAATAAAATGTACATAACAAAATTTGCCGTTTTCACAGTTTTTTAAGTGTATGATTCAGCAACATTAAGCACATTCACAACGTTGTGTAACCATCACCACGTATCCCTTTCCAGAACTTTTCATCATCCCAAATAGAAACTCTGTACCCATTTAATAATAGCTCCCTATTCCTTCTACCCTCTCCACCCTCCCCACCTGCCCCTGCAGCCTGTGGCAACCTCTGTTCTACTTTATCCCTTTATAAATTGGCCTATTCAAGGTACCTCATATAAGTGGAATCATATAATATTTGTTTTGTTTGTGTCTGGCTTGTTTCACTTAGCATAATACTTTCAAGATCCATGTTGTGGCATATATCAGAATTTCATTACTTTTCAAGGCTGAATAATTTTCCATTGTGTGGATATATGATACTTTATTAATTCATCTGTTGATGGATACTTGGGTCGATTCCCCTGTTTGGTTCTTGTGACTGTTGCTGTTATGAACATTTGTGTACAATTTATCTGAGTTCTTGCTTTCTAGCATTTTTGTGGATATTTACCTAGGAGTAGAATTGCTGGATTTTATGAGAATTCTATGTTTAACTTTTTGAGGAACTGCAAAAGGATTGGGTTTGAATTAGGTAAACCTAAAAGAGTTGTAGAACAATGTGGTAGCTCACTAGGAAATCAGTCTTGGGGTTAGTGTCTGGTTAATACACCTGTATGTAATTAATTGGCCTCTGAGTCATGCCTTTTATCACTTCTTTTCTAAAACATTTATTAAGCACGTACTTTGTCGCAGGCCCCATTTTGGAATACAAACTATAGAGAGAAGCTCGCAGTTCATTGCAGAACACAGTTACTTTGCAGTGCACAAGTTATATGACAAAGGAGAACACTAGCACAGGGCAGTCCAGAGGGAAGAGAGCTTGGCTCTTTCCCAGAGGAGGTGACATCTGCCTGAGGCTTGGTGGAGGAGCAGGAGCTGGCTAGTTGAAGAAGAGGTAAAAGACAGTTGCAGAGAGTGTGCTGTGCAAAGGCTCAGAAGAGTGAAGAAAATATTGGGACATACAGAAAGTTAGAATGGATCGATACAGCCCGAAGCATAGGATGTTAGGGAAGGACGTGGCAAATGATGGGGATGGAGAAGTAGCCAAAGGCCAGAGCAGGAAGGACTTTGTAAGTCATTTTAAAAGATTTCCATTTCACACTGAACGTAACGGAGAAATATTGAGGATTTTTTTTTTTTTGCAAAGAAATGATGTAATCAGAAATATATTTTATATAGCTATTATGTACCTACAAAAATTAAAAATTATAACAAATAGGCCGGGCACAGTGGCTCACGCCTGTAATTGCAGCACTTTGGGAGGCCGAGGTGGGCAGATCACTTGAGGTCAGGAGTTGAGGCCAGCCTGGCCAACATGGTGAAACCCTGCCTCTACTGAAAAATACAAAAATTAGCTGGGCATGGTAGTGGGCCCCTGTAATCCCAGCTACTCGGGAGGTCGAAGCAGGAGGATCGCTTGAGCCCGGGAGGCAGAGGTTGCAGTGAGCCAAGATCATGCCACCGCACTCCAGCCTGGGCGGCACAGTGAGACTTCATCTCAAAAGAAAAAAAAATTATAAAAAATAATATGGTTTATAAATCAGGCAGCTATGTAAATCACAATCCCTGTTGAGAGGCTGCATTATGGCAGTAGCGGTGGGAATGGATTCAGAGTCTATAGGTGGTAGAACCGGTAGGACTTCTTGACTAATTTAGATGGCAAGGAAAAGAGGAATGCAGGATGCTTCTAGATCTCGTGGACAACCAGATGAATAATCTCATTTCCCCAGAGAGTGAATTCAGAAGGGCAGAAACTCAGTTTTGTGAGTTCTGTTTTGCATTTTACATGCCTATCGAATATCCAAGTGGAACTGTGGGTCTAGATGGAGCTCGAGAGATAACTATGAGCTGGAGATAAATATTTGGGAGTTGCCACTTTATGTAGTGGTAATTGAGAGCATAAGAAATGGAGAGAATGCAGGGTGAAAATGTCATCTTGGGGCAGATGCAGGACAAGAGCTTGTGAAAGGAATGGCCAAGAGGAATAGGTGGACAACCAGAGGAGTGGGAGCTCACAGGAGCCTTGAGTGGAGTTTCAGAAACCCAGATTTCACACAGAAACATCAACAAATCAACTTCGCGTCTCGAGGTGATGGTATTTAAACTGTGTTCTATTGAGACCCTTCATTAATATTTGGTTTTGAAATATATTTTAACATAAGTTAAAAATAGCAAACTCAAATATGGTGTTTCTAACATTTTAAAACTGAAATCCAGCAAACATCAGTGCCACGTTAACTGTTTTTTTGTGCAGGTGCCAGAATAAGGCCATTTCTGGTAAATTGAAGAGCTTCCTGGTATTTCAAGGTGAGCTGTTGAAAGAACTGGTACCATTTCTCAGTGTGAATCAGGGCTTTCTCAATGCTCTGTCACTGAAACAAAATACAGAAATAGGGTCTACATAAGATAACTTCTGTCTTCTGTAAACCTAGTCTCAAATGTTTGTTTATGAAAATAATTTTATTTTGAATGACTTAACTGCTTAAGTGTGACATCCCATGCCTTCTGTTAATATATGGGGCTTTGATGTTGTCGTTTTTAAGGGTTGGGGAGGTGTAGCTAAGAAGAAGTTAACCAACACCACTTTCTTTCTGTAGCTTATTTGCCTCTCTTCAAAGTCAAGTTTTAGAGGCTTATGTGTATTGTGTGTTTCTTTTTACATGTATTATTTTGATACTGATTATATCACGAGGACCACGTAACTTTGTGTTTGCATTGCTATAGAAAGTTTAGAGAGTTAATATTTCTGTTATCTTAAATGGTCCTCTTTTTTTCATATTTACTCATAAACTTAACTGCTTACAAATTATCTCTGATAGAAGTGCTCTCAAATTATACTCTTTGTATTTGGTTTTAGACTACTGTATGATATTTGATTTTTATTTCTAGTTTAAGTTACAATTAAAATTAGTCTGAATTTGAGTAGAATATGACTTACACTACTTGGTCAACAAATTGAGCATGTTCGACGGTCCAGGAAGAAAAAAGGAGCGATCAGTACTCAACATTGGCTCCAAATAACCCACAGAATTTGCAAATCACTTGCAAATTGTCTAATAAAGTTTAACTTTTAAACAACTTTTGTTTATATTTTTCTACTTAGTGATTAATCTTGGTCTCCTGTAGCAGAGCCTTTATTTTACAATTACAATCTGTGCATTAAAATCTCAGCGTTATACATAATAGTATAAGGCATAGAACTACCTAGACTATGGTGCATGGCCAACTACTCCATCTCACAACAGTTTTCATACAATTTCATGACCTCAGTGTTATCGTTATCCCCATTTTATAGATGGGGAGTCTGAGGTTCAGCAAGATAAAGTGATCAGCCAAACAGGAGGCAGAACCAGGAATAAAACACAGGTCCTCTGCCTCCTCTGTGCCTTTCTCCATCATGCCTGAACCATGACCTGTGGGTATTTTTTAAGAAGGCAGGTACAAAAGTTTATCAATTTTCAGTATTTAGCAACCTATCACTTAATGAGAAGGATCGAATGGTTTTCCATTTCACAATAGTATTATGTCTTCGAATTTCACCCTACTTATTTTTTTAGGAGAAACAAGTTTAATTTTAATTATATAAGTGGTTCATGTATACTTTCTTTTTGTAATTGTTTTTAATAATACAGATAAAGCAAAAATCATCCTTGACCTCTCAGTTCTATCCCTAAAAACTGTTACTATAAGCTCTTTAATGTCTATCCTTTCAGCATTTTGTATGCATTTGTATACAATATGTATGTACTTATAGAAACATGTAGTTTTGGAGGGCAAAGAGTCATAAATTTTATCATATGGTATGTTTTATTCTACAGTGTGCCTTTTTTAACTTAATCTTATTAGATGATCTGTCCAAGTTGGTACATACAGATCAGCCTGATTCCTCCGAACTCCTTCAGAGTATTATTTCATTTTATGGATATATATGATTTATTTAAACATTTCACTATTTTTTCTTTTCATTTTCATCTTACCCCCTTCTTCCCCACCTTGAGCTACTTGTTAAATGTTAGCAATATTCAGGAATAATCAGTGCCTAGTCACCAAACGTCTTGCAGTGCTTCTAATGCCTTCTCTCACTGGGGAGAATGAACTGTGGATGAACAAATGTTCCTGAAAACTAAAACTCAAAAATAAGTTTTACTAGCCTTGATGAAAATCTTCCCAAATTATACTCAAACAACATCTAGCAACATACTTTGGACATAATAATTGCACAATAAATGTGTTAAATGACTGTTCATGTTTACTGCCTTAGAAAAGAGAAGACGCCACGTGTAATTTTATTTTATTTTATTTTATATTTATTTTATTTTTTTGAGATAGAGTCTCGCTCTGTTGCCCAGGCTGGAGTGCAGTGGCAAGATCTCAGCTCACTGCAACCTCTGCCTCCCAGGTTCAAGTGATTCTCCTGCCTCAGCCTCCCGAGTAGCTGGGATTACAGGTGCGCACCGCCATACCCAGCTTATTTTTGTATTTTTAGTAGAAACGGGGTTTTGCCATGTTGGCCAGGCTAATCTTGAATTCCTGACCTCAAGTGATCCACCTGCCTTGGCCTCCCAAAGTGCTGGGATTATAGGTGTGAGCCAGCACGCCTGGCCACCACATGTAAATTTTAACGTTTGCTCGGTGACTTGGTCTTTCAGCTATTGTACAGTGTCACCATCTGGAGATGCTTGGTGATCACCAAGTTTAAAACCCAAAGTGCTGTGCTTTGTAGCCTTCAAAGTGGGAAAGAAAAAGGTAGGATTAAAAAGGAAAGAAGGAATAGGGAAATGTTTGAACCCCAGTATATCCAGACATTTCTCTCTCTTATGTCAAGAGCCTTTTGTCTCCTGATTGGTGGCTTTTCTTCTGACAGCATCCTCTGCCAGTTTGCTGTTCAGTCAAACATCTTGTGAATACCTACAATGTCACTAGGCACTCTGCCAGGCACTGGAATGCAAAGATGGGAAGACACAGCCCTATCCTCCAGAAGCTTATAATCTAATGAGGGAAGCATGCATATTAACCAAGAAGCAATCATACATCAATGCTGTTATGAAAGGTATATACACAGGAGAGAATTAGCCAATATCACTGAGAAGGTAACATTGGAACTAAGTGTAAAAGACGAATAGATGTTCACTTTGAAGATTGGAGTGATGGAGGAAAGCAAGCCACACATTTGAATTCACAGTCCTGACATACACTCTGGCTGAGCTTGGGGAATCAGAGCAAGTCATAGAGTCCAGACTACGGACTTTGTTTCATGTCCTCAGCAGTTCTGACTTTTCCCAAAGGCAGTGGAAAGCCACTGAAACCTTTGAGGAGGAGACATAGCATGACTGGATGCACATTTTAGAGACAGTAAAACATTCTGGCTACAGTATCAAGAATGGCCTAAAGAAAGCTTATGGGGCCAGGCGTGGTGGCTCACGCATATAATCCTGGCACTTTGGGAGGCCGAGGTGGACGAATCACTTGAGGTCAGGAGTTTGAGACCAGCCTGGCCAACATGATGAAACCCTGTCTACTAAAAGTACAAAAATTTGCCAGGCATGGTGGCACTTGCCTGTAATTCCAGCTACTCGGGAGGCTGAGACATGAGAATCACTTTAACCCAGGAGGCAGAGATTGCAATGAGCTGAAATCACACCACTGCTCTCTAGCCTGGGTGACAGAGTGAGACTCTGTCCAAAAAAAAAAAAAAAAGCTTATGGGAGGCCAGGTGCAATGGCTCATGCCTATAATCCCAGCACTTTGGGAGGCCGAGGTAGGAAGATTGCTTGAACCCAGGAGTTCAAGACCACCCTGGGCAACATTGTGAGACCTCATCTTTATAAAAATTAATAATAGTTTCTTAAAACAAGAAAGCTTATAGAAAACCATATTCAGGAAGATCTTTTTTTTTTAATTGTAGCAATCCAGGTAAGAGACACAGAAAACTGTAAATGATGCAAAAACAGCTGAACTGAATATGAGAGATGTTCAAGAGGTACGTGATGGGATGATATTTTGAAATTTGGATTTCTGCTGCTTTCCTGGCATTTATTCTTCCTTTCAACAAATGTATTCTATGCACTTGGCCCTCAGTTTTGGGTTATTACTGTAGTAATGAAAGGGTCAGTTCTCTACTTTTGAATTTCCCACCTCAAATGAGACTTTTTTTTTTTAATGACACCCCCCACGTAGCAAGGAAGGAGAGTGGAAGGAAATGAGAGGGTGGCAAATATCACTATGGAAGAGCCCTGAGCACAACCTCCTTTCTCCGGTTGTCTAGTACATCAGCCTTAGATGGGAGCAGGGAGGGTAAAAAAGTGAACCTTCAGACAGGATAGGAGATTGAAGAGCAGAGGACGCCCATGCCTCAAGTTCCAGGTGTGACCTACAGAAGAGTTCCCTTGGGCCAGGGTGATGCAGCAGCCACTGAGTAGAAATGACAACATGGTGTTTTTAAGCTAAGAGGGGCCCAACACATTTCTTGGAGCCCCAGTGTGGCATCGGAAAGCATCTGAAATGTTTCCGTGTCCCACTGCTCCAGCAGGTATGACAAAAGAGCTACTGTGTTAGATATGAGGACACACGTTCACCTGGGTGGATATGGGACCAAAGACAAGATGGACATCTCAGTGGATGCTGGCAGAGAAAGGGGCCAGAGGGAGCCCACTGTCTAAGCAAATGCCAGCATAAATCAGGTGGATCAAGAAACAGAAACCCTGGCCGGGCACGGTGGCTCATGCCTGTAATCCCAGCACTTTGGGAGGCCGAGGCAGGTGGATCGCCTGAGGTCAGGAGTTTGAGACCAGCCTGGCCAACATGGTGAAACCCCGTCTCTACTAAAAGTACAAAAATTAGCTGGGCATGGTGGCAGGCACCTGTAGTCCCAGGTACTTGGGAGGCTGAGGCAGGAGAATCGCTTGAACCTGGGAGGGGGAGGTTGCAGTGAGCCGAGATGGCGCCATTGCACTCCAGCCTGGGTGACGAGTGAAACTCTGTCTCAAAAAGAAAAAAAAGAAACAGAACCTGCCACACCGCAGCCCTGAAGTGCTTGAACACTGTCATCACTTAGATGTAACCCGAGGGAGCAGGTGGCAGAGGAGAAACCTTAAATTCGCTGAGTTTATATTGACTTGACAAAAAATGTTTCTACCGC
This sequence comes from Homo sapiens, assembly GCF_000001405.40. Taxonomy (NCBI): domain Eukaryota; kingdom Metazoa; phylum Chordata; class Mammalia; order Primates; family Hominidae; genus Homo; species Homo sapiens. The sequence continues at coordinate 79,362,368 of NC_000005.10, read as the reverse complement.
CAGGCAGAAAAATGAATTTTGGAACAAAATTGAGAAAACAAAATTACATTCTTTGCATTCCCTAGTTATGACCTGAGAAGATGTCCCCGCCATCAATAGACATTGCAGGATGTGATACCACTCTGGAGGACTTTGAAGTTTCTGGATTTGGTTGAAGAAAGATGCTTTGGACATTTTGAATTTGAGATGCTTCTCCAGAAGTCTTATGGATCTGAAGCATGGGAGAGGAGTATAAGCTGGGGAAATAAGTTTGGGGGTTACCAGAAAACTAGCAGTGGGTAAGGCCATGAGCAAATGAAATCAAATAGAGGATGAAGAGAACAGGAGCCCTAGCAAACCTTGACAGTTAAAGAGTATGCAGGGAAAAGGACTTAGAAAGGACCCTGTAAAGAAAGATCCAAGATGACCTGAAGAACTGGTAAGTGATGCCATATAATCAAACAATCAATAGCATCCAGCCCAAGGATAGTTCAGGGTTGCACACAAGCTCTTTATCATGGCTCTTTTTTCTTTTTCTTTTCTTTTCTTTCTTTTTTTTTTTTTTTTTTTTTTTTTTTTGGAGACAGAGTCTCGCTGTCTCCCAGGCTGGAGTACAGTGGCACAATCTCGCCTCACTGCAACCTCTGCCTTAGGATTCAAGCAATTCTCCCTGCCTCAGCCTCCCAAGTAGCTGGGATTACAGGCACCCACCACCACACCCGGCTAATTTTTGTATTTTTTAGTAGAGACAGGTTTTCACCATGTTGGCCAGGCTGGTCTTGAACTCCTGACTTCAGGTGATCTGCCAGCCTCAGCCTCCCAAAGTGCTGGGATTACAGGTGTGAGCCACCATGCCTGGCCTTAGGCTTTTCTAATTGATCAGGAAATTATTGGCCTCACATTAGAACTTAAGAGAATGTTCTCATTGCCCAGGGATGCCAGGAGTCTGACTACAGGGATTAATTTGTGCTAATGCAGTGCAGCCTTACTTGTCATAATGTTACTGCAAGGTAAATTATAGTTCACATACACAGAGAACACTTCTGCATGCTTTGTCAACATGCTATTAGGATTTTTTCACTGTATTACCCAATTCCCCTTTTAAGAAAAGATCTCTGTCTCAAATTATTGTCAGAGATTAGAACTAGATAAGTGTGTCCTCTTTGGCCTATGTGTCTTCTAGGCAAAGAGGACTACGTAAGTCCATGATTCCCTCTTCACTCTGGCTGCTAGGAAGCTCAAGACAAGATTTTGGGCTTAATTGCTATAATGTTCCTCAGATAGTTTCTACAATTCTAGTTTTTTCTTCCTCTTAGCCCTTATTTATTTGTTCCTGCTCCTATTTCTTGATCAGTCATTTGGTCCTGTTATACTGGTGTGATGGTACCTGTGTTTTCATCAAAAGTTACTTCAAATCTTTGGTGCATTTGGAAAGATACAGAATAGCTAATTGAAAAAAAAGTCTAAGTCAGCTGGCTGTGGTGACTCACACCTGTAATCCCAGCATTTTGGGAGGCCAAGGCAGGAGGATCACTTGAGGCCAGGAGTTCAAGACAAACCTGGGCAACATAGTGAAACCTTATTTCTACAAAAAAGAAACCTAAAAATTAGCCAGGCATGCACCTGTGATCCCAGCTACTCAAGTGGCCGAGGCCAGAGGATCACTTGAACCTGGGAGGTCAAGGCTGCAGTGAGCTGTAATGCACAACTACACTCCAGCCTGGGCGACAGAGCAAGACCCTGTCTCAGAAAAAGAAAAATATCATAATTTTACAGTTTTTTAAAAAACTGTATCTTTAAGGTTGACCATGTAGCTGCTGTCTTCATATATTAGTTATAAAGTTCATTCTGATGAATAATTCAGGGAAGCTTTTTCCCAATAGTCCATCTATATGTCAACAATAGCAAAAGTAACATTTGATTGCTTGATGCTATAGGACATTTAAAGAGCCAGAGTGATAAGGGAATGATGGATTTATGTAGTTCTCTTTGCCTGGATGGAACGTAGACCAAAAAGGACAAATGTATCTAGTCCTAATCTCTCACAATAAGTTGAGACAGGGATCTTTTCTTAAAAGGAGAATTGGGTAATACAGTGAAAAAATCTTCATAGCATCTTGACAAAACATACAGAAGTGTTCTTTGTGTATGTGAATTACAGTCTACCTTGCAGTAACATTATGGAGATGAGCAAGGCTGCATTAAAGGTAACCCAATCCAGTGATAGGAAGCTTTCCTCTCTAGCCTATTATCTGTGCTTATCTCTAATGACCATTCTGGTTAGAAGTGTGGCTACTAATATTAAGTCATTAGTATAAATTTTTCCTTCTCCAAATCCAGTGTCAAAGCTCATAACAAGCTGCTTGCTTTGACTGTTGAATGGTCATGAGCAAGCACTTTTGAAGGTTATCAGAATCAAAATGGAGTCAGTTGTGTTAAAAATTGGAAAAAGGGCAGGGCACAGTGGCTTACGCCTGTAATCTCAGCACTTTGGGAGGCTGAGGTAGAAGGATTTCTTGAGGCCAAGGGTTTGAGACCAGCCTTGGCAACATAGTAAGACCCCATATCTACAAAAAAGTTTAAAAATTAGCCAGGCGCGTTAGTACACACCTGTAGTCCCAGCTACTTGGGAGGTTGAGGTGGGAGAATCACTTGAGCCCAGGAGGATGATCACAGCTGTGATCACACCATCGCACTCCAGCCTAGGTGATAGAGCAAAATTGTGACTCTGTCTCAAAAAAAATAAAAAATTGGCTGGGCACAGTGGCTCAAGCCTGTAATCCCAGCACTTAGGGAGGCAGAGATGGGTGGATCATTTAACGTTAGGCATTCAAGATCAGCCTGGCCAACATGGTGAAACCCTGCTACTACTAAAAATACAAAATTAGCCAGGCGTGGTGGTGGGTGCCTGTAATCCCAGCTACTCAGGAGGCTGAGGCAGGGGAATCACTTGAACCCGGGAGGCGGAGGTTGCAGTGAGCCAAGATTGCACCACTGCACTCCAGCCTGGGTGACAGAGTGAGACTCCATCTCAAAAAAAAAATAAAAAATAAAAAGAGGAAAATAAAACCCTAACAAATAGATCCAGGGAGGGCTATGAAGAGAGGGTTCTCACTTCCATGCCTGATAACAAAAGCTATCACAAAAGGCTGCAAAACCCACAGCCTTGCCCCAAGGCCATCACAACCTTACACAAAAAAATATTTCTATGAGGGCATCTGCTCAGCAACTACCTGTCCAACCTCAATCACTGCTATTGTTGATCTTGTAGTTTAGAATAATCATTTCAAAACAATTATGTAATCCTCCTCATTTTTCCTTTAAAATCTTTTGTCTTCTTTTGCCTCCCTGAATACACACATAGTTTGCTATGACACTCATATTCCCACTGCAATGCCCTATTCCTGAATATATATATATATATATATATAAATTTTTTTTTTTTTTTTTTTAGAGAGAGCCTCTCTGTTATTTAGGGTGACATAAATAGCGTCTGGAAGCAGGACCTGAAGTAGGATCAGTTTTGGACAGAGCTGGCAATTCTTGGTACCAGTATGCAGCACTTACAGGAGCCCTTTGAGCTCTCCACTTTCACGGCTCGCCTCTTCTGCCCTGGTGAGTCTTCTCTCAGGCTGAGCCTCCCTCTTTTTGGTAGAGGCTTTAAAAATTTTTTTAGGATCACTTTGGTTGTAAGCCTGCCTTAATAAAAGACCTTATAGGCTGGGCATGGTGGCTTATGCCTGTATTCCCAGCACTTTGGGAGGCAGGTGGGTCCTTGAGCTCAGGAGTTTGAAACCATCCTGAGCAACATAGCAAAATCCCATCTCTACAAAAAAGACAAAAATCAGCTGGGCATGGTGGCACGTGCCTGTAATCCCAGCTTCTTGGGAGGCTGAGGTGGGAGGATTGCTTGAGCCTGGGAGGTAGAGGTTGCAGTGAGCCAAGATGGCGCCACGGCACTACAACCTGAGTGACAGAGTGAGAACCTGTCAAAAAAAAAAAAAAAAAAAAATTAAAGGACCTGGCCAAGCGCAGTGGCTCACGCCTATAATCCCAACACTTTGGGAGGCCGAGTCAGGCGGATCACCTAAGGTGAGGAGTTCCAGACCAGCGTGGTCAACATGGTGAAACACTGTCTCTACTAAAAATACAAAAATTAGCTGGGCATGGTGGTGGGTGCCTGTAATTCCTGCTACTCAGAACACTGAGGCAGGAGAATCACTGGAACCTGGGAGGTGGAGGTTGCAGTGAGCTGAGATCACTGCCACTGTACTCCAGCCTGGGTAATAGAGTGAGACTCCATCTCAGAAAAAAAAAAAAAGGACCTCAGATCCCCCTGGGATGATAAAATACTTCTTGTTTTTTCTGGCAAGTTCTTTTTGGTATAAAGACAAGTGTCTTTCTGGGTTGAGCACTCTGAATTCTACGGAATTTACACTCTGTCTTTGAGGCATGTTTTTTCTGGTGAACTTACTTCTTAATTTAATATTTTGTTTGATCTGCAAACCTGGCTTAAAATTTTTGTGAACACTCTTACCCTGGTTTCATTTGGTTACAGGCATCTGTAACTCTTTTCCCTTGCTTGTTTCTGAAAATGTTCTGAGAGCAAAAATAAACATTTAATTCATACAGAATGGCTGATTAAAAGCCACTAGGGCAGCCACCACCATCTAAACATTGGTCCAAAGTCCTGACACTCTCTGATAGGATTTATAGGATCTTCTTTGCTCTCAATATATTAATAAGAACAGAATGAGATTCTCAAACATTAAGGCATGCCACGTTTTCTGGGACTGAAGCCAGCTACATATTATGATCAGTTCTTGTGCATATTTTTAAACAGATAGGCAAAGTACATAATGGAAAATTCAGAGCCAAAATGGTCATTATTTTAAACTCTCTTTAAAAACCTTGCAACTATAGAGTTAGCATATAGAGCCTTCTGAGTTCTTTGTCTGCCTCTGTTTTTTTTTTCCTTCTGCCTACTTTAAATCTGCTGATTTTTCTGTCGGTGTTATGGCATTCCAGAAAAGGTCTTGGACTGGGCATGGTGGCCCATGCCCGTAATCCTAGTGCTTTGGAAGGCCAAGACAAGAGAATGGCTTGAAGCCAGGAGTTCAAGACCAGCCTGGGCAAAACAGCAAGACCTCATTTCTACCAAAAAAAAATTTTTTTTACACTAGCTGGGCATGGTGGTGCATGCCTGTAGTCCTACCTATTTGAGAGGCTGAAGCAGGAGGATCACTTGAGCCCAGGAGTTTGAAGTTCCAATGAGCTATGATTGTGCCACTGTACTCCTGATGTGCCTGGATGACAGACTGAGACCCTGTCTCAAAAAAAAAAAAAAAAAAAAAAAGATTTTAAAGCTCTTTCAAATTATTGGCTTTACACATTACAATAGCTCCATGGCAAGTAACAATCTAGAAATCTTTGGGAATGTAAATTTAGGTTTGCCTGACTAATAATTGCATATTGTGATGAAATGGATAATTGAAGGATTGACAATATAAAAGAAAAAGAACCAGATAAGACCAGGTGTGGTGGCTCACACCTGTAATCCCAGCACTTTGGGAGGCTGAGGTGGGCAAATTATGAGGTCAGGAGCTTGAGACCAGCCTGACCAACATGGTGAAACCCTGTCTTTACTAAAAATACAAAAATTAGCCCGGTGTGGTGGCGCATGCCTGTAATCCCAGCTACTCAGGAGACTGAGGCTGGAGAATCGCTTGAAATCGGGAGGTGGAGGTTGCAGTGAGCAGAGATCATGCCACTGCACTCCAGCCTGGGTGACAGAGTGAGACTCCATCTCAAAAAAAAAAAAACAAAAAACCAAAAACCAGATAAATGTTTATAAAGTTACACACTCAGATCAAATAGATCAAAATCTTGATCTCAGAGCAATCATATGATATCTTTGTCCAGCATAAAAAATTTGCTTTGTCTGCCATGCAGGGGCCAAAAGGAGAAAGTCAAAACAAAAGCAAAGCAAAGCCTTCTAACATGTTTCCCCGTCCACATTGACTAGTCAAACACACCAGACTGGCAAAAGATAGATTATTACTAAAAATACAAGGCCGGCCAGGCGTGGTGGCTCACGCCTATAATCCCAGAATTTTGGAAGGTTGAGGCAGGCAGATCACTTGAGGTCAGGAGTTCAAGACCAGCCTGGCCAATATGGTGAAACCCTATCTCTACTAAAAGTACAAAAAAAAAAAAAAATTAGCTGGGTGTGGTGGTGCATGCCTGTAATCCCAGCTACTTGGGAGGCTGAGGCATGAGAGTTGCTTGAACCCAGGAAGCAGAGGCTGCAGTGAACTGAGATCACACCACTGCACTCCAGCCTGGGCAACCAAGCAAGATTCTGTCTCCAAAAAAAATAATACAGAGCTACTTAGAGATTTTGTTTTTCTTATACAATTTGGCCAGTCCTATCTAAAATATAAACATTGAAAATTTAAAACTAAACTTACATGAAACTAAGAAAAAGAAAAAAAAGGTGAAGGAGTTTTTTAAAAATCAAACTGCTATGGAAACTGCTTTACGCAACATTTTGGTCCACAGCCTTCATTAGATTACCTTTTTGGGGAAAATGCAGTTTAGTTGTATAAATAGGTCCCAGTTTTGTCTGAAATTTTGTCATAACTTGAATACAAGTTTTTTTTGTTTGTTTTTTTTTTTGAGACAGAGTTTCGCTCCTGTTGCCCAGGCTGGAGTGCAGTGGCACGATCTTAGCTCACTGCAACCTCTGCCTCCTGGGTTCAAGCGATTCTCCTGCCTCAGCCTCCTGAGTAGCTGGGATTACAGGCATGCGCCACCACAGCCGGCTACTTTTGTATTTTTAGTAGAGACAGGGTTTCTCCATGTTGATCAGCCTGGTCTTGAACTCTCAACTTCAGGTGATCCACCTCGGCCTCCCAAAGTGCTGGTATTACAGGCGTGAGCCACCGTGCCCGGCAATCCAAGTATGTTTTATAAACTGGTGAGTTTGTATTACTATATCATGAATAAAATTGTAAAATGAAAGCTGTAACATCTTCGTGTGTGTGTGTTTAGGTATGTTTGTGCATATGTACATGTATTATGTTGTGTCTGCATGATCAAATCTGCCGTGGTTGGCCAGAAATCATTAAGAAATTCTCTTCTGGTTGGGCCAGATGCAGTGGCTCATGCCTGTAGTCCCAGCACTTTGGGAGGCTGAGGCGGGCGGATCACCTGAGTTCAGGAGTTCAAGACCAGCCTAGCCAACATGGCGAAACCCCGTCTCTACTAAAAATAAAAAAATTAGCTGGGCATGGTGGCACATGCCTATAATCCCAGCTAACTCGAGAGGCTGAGGTGGGAGAATCGCTTGAACCCGGGAGGTGGAGGTTGCAGTTAGCCAAAATCACGCCACTGTACTCTAGCCTGGGCAAAAGAGTGAGACTCCATCTCAAAAAAAAAAGAAAAAAAGAAATTATTTTCAGATTGGCTTATATAACTGAGTGCTCATATAAAATGTGGTAATTCAAGTGCCTTTTAGTTCACATGACTTAAGTAAATTGTTAATAAGATGGTTTTAAAACTATTGGTAAAATAAAAATACAGATATCTTTAGAAGTGTCCACATACATTTTTCCCAGAGTTTACTTGTCAGACAGTTCTATATTTGTCTCTACTAGATGTTTTAAGATGTCTGGGTTTGACACAAAGGTTATATAACTATAAACCCAGCATAAACCAGAATGATCTTTGTGTAACTCTTTGATATGTAAAACTAATTTAATATTGCTCATAATGAAAACAGATTTATGAGTCATGGACAAAATACCTACATGTTTATCTTTAAAGTTCTGACTTAGGTGAAAACCTGATATTCACAGGCTATAAAAATGGTTAATAGCAAAATAATTTGAAAGGGTTCTAGGCTTTGTCTAATATGTCAGTTTTTATAAGTAATCCAGATAAATTATTAAATTGCATAAATGTAAATGGTGTAAATATTTATAAAGAAACTTTTAATTTGAAATCTTAAAATTATGTTAAATTAAGTAATAGATACTCATTAAATGTCTGGGTCATTTCCAAATAAGATTTTTTAAAAACTGAAACAGGCCAGGCGCGGTGGCTAACGCCTGTAATCCCAGCACTTTGGGAGGCTGAGGCAGGTGGATCACAAGGTCAGGAGTTCAAGACCAGCCTGGCCAAGATGGCGAAACCCCATCTCTAGTAAAAATACAAAAAAGTAGCCCGGTGCAGTGACAGGCGCCTGTAATCCCAGCTAGTTGGGAGGCTGAGGCAGGAGAATCACTTGAACCCAGGAGGTGGAGGTTGCAGTGAGCCAAGATCACGCCACTGCACTCCAGCCTGGGCAACAGAGTGAGACTCTGTCTCAAAAAAAAAAAAAAAAAAAAAAAAAAACCTGAAACAAATTGCTGAATATAAGTTTATTTGTTGTTTCTTAAATTTTATACAAAGACTAAATATACTTGGGTCTATTAATACACACAAAGTGTGTGTTTTTTGTAAAAAAAATTATAAGAAAGACATAAAAATCTGTTCTTTATTGAATAAGAATACATTTGTCTAATGTAGAGGTTATTTTAAAATTATTTCAAAATATAACTTTAGGAAGGAAATAGAAGCAAGACAGAAAGGAACCAGTAAGTAGGAAAGAGAGAAAGTAAGTTATGTGCCACATGCAGTGACTTACACTTGTAATCCCAGCACTTTGGGAGGCTGAGGTAGGAGGATCACTTGAGGCCAGGAGTTTGAGACCAGCCTGTGCCATATAGCAAGACCTCGTCTCCACAAAAAACTAAAAAAATTTAGCTGGGTATGGTGGCGTGTATCTGTAGTCCCAGCTACTCTGGAGGCTGAGGTGGGAAGATCATGTGAGCCTAGGAGTTTTAGGCTGCAGTGAGCTATGAATGTGCCACTGCACTCCAGCCTAGGCAGCAGAGCAAAACCCTGTCTCAAGAAAGATGGCTGGGCACAGTGGCTCATGCCTGTAATCCCAGCACTTTGGGAGGCTGAGGCAGGTGGATCATTTGAGGTCAGGAGTTTGAAACAAGCCCGGCCAACATGGTGAAACCCAGTCTCTACTAAAAATACAAAAATTTAGCCAGGCTTGGTGGTGGGTGCCTATAATCCCAGCTACTCAGGAGGCTGAGGCAGGAGAATCGCTTGAGCCCAGGAGGTGGAGGTTGCAATGAGCAGAGATTGTGCCACTGTATTCCAGCCTGGGAGACAGAGCAAGACCCCATCTCAAAAAAAGAAAACAACAGAAGAAAAAGAAAGTAAGGTGTATTTTTGGTAAGGTTAAAAACAAAAGAGAATAAATTTGTATGAGAAAGAATCTTATGTGGTAAATTACTTATTTATTTTTATTTATTTATTTATTTATTTATTTGAAAGGCAGGGTCTTGCCATGTTGATCTTGCACTCCTGGCCTCAAGCAGTCCACCAACCTGGGCCTCCCAAAGTGTTAGGATTACAGGGGTGACCCACCGTGCCTGGCCTTTATGTGGTAAATTTTTGCCCCACTAGTTGTTTAAGAGGAAGTATAGGACAAAGCAGAAAGTCCGAGCATGTTGTCAATGGTATGAGTAAGTCATGAAAAAGGTTTGTGGAGAACTTTATGAAAGGAGTTGTGTGTGTGATTCAGTTGGCTATAATTAGAGGGGAATTATTTGTAAGTGTTTCTAAAGTGTTTCTATGTTATAAGTGATCTTTGATATTAAAAATACACTAATGCGGCTGGGCGCAGTGGCTCATGCCTGTAATCCCTGCATTTTGGGAGGCTGAGGAGGGCAGATCAAGAGGACAAAAGATCAAGACCATCCTGGCCAACATGGTGAAACCCCATCTCTACAAAAAATACAAAAATTAGCTGGGCATGGTGGCGTGTGCCTGTAGTCCCAGCTACTCAGGAGGCTGAGGCAGGAGAATTGCTTGAACCCGGGAGGTGGAGGTTGTAGTGAGCTGAGATCGTGCCACTGCACTCCAGCCTGGTGACAGAGTGAGACTCCATCTCAAAAAAAAATAAAATAAATAAATAAATGCAAAATTAAAGTGTGGTTTCTTATGCTAGAACAACAAAGTTTTCTTTTTTTTTTTTTTGAGATGGAGTCTCACTCAGTCGCCCAGGCTGGAGTGCAGTGGCATGATCTCGGCTCACTGCAAGCTCCGCCTCCCAGGTTCACGCCATTCTCCTGCCTCAGCCTCCTGAGTAGCTGGGACTACAGGCGCCCACCACTATGCCCAGCTAATTTTTTTGTATTTTTCGTAGAGACAGGGTTTCACTGTGTTAGTCAGGATGGTCTCGATCTTCTGACCTCGTGATCCACCCATCTTGGCCTCCCAAAGTGCTGGGATTACAGGCATGAGCCACCGTGCCCGGCCACAACAAGGTTTTCTTTTTTAATGTTTTATTTTTCTAGAAAGGTTCTCACTCAGTCATCCAGGCTGGAGTTCAGTGGCCTGATCACAGCTTACTGCAGCCTCAGCCTCCCAGGCTCAAGTGATCCTCCCACCTCAGCCTCCCTAGTAGCTGGAAACATAGGCATGCACCACCACACTGAGATAATTGTTAAATTTTTTATAGTGATGGGGTCTCACCATGTTGTCCAGGCTAGTCGATTTTCTTGATATATTGATTTGCTCTTAGTAAAATTGCAAGAGGTTTTGATTTTTAAATCTGAAATCTCCTTTGTAACCGCCATCTTCTAAATTGCAGTTTATATTACTGCCATATTTTGTCCTGAGATTCATTTAATTTCCATAGTTTTAGGTTAGAAATGCTGTCTTTTTTATTCAGAGTGGTAATTTCATTTCTTGAGGTAGAGTTTTCCTCTAGAAGTTTCTCAGATTCATATCTCAGAAGTTCAACTTTGGCTGTGTCTCACTGCACACAATTTGCAGGGCATGTATAATTGTCTTCAACTCTCCTTTCCCCTCTTGAAAAGGCATATCTTTTGGCTCAGCTAGGATATTAACTTTTTCAGGTTTTTAGTAAGCTCTTGTGACTTTTTTTCCAGTTCTAACTCTGCTGTTACTGCCTGCTGCTGAAATGACTCTCTTTAAGACCTAGAAAAGCAATGTTTTCCTCTAGTATAACTTGATGTTGTACTCTTAGCTTTTCTTTTCTTTTTTTTTCTTTGAGACAGGGTCTTGCTCTGTTGCCCAAGTTGGAGTGCAGTGGCACAATCGCAGTTCACCAAAGCCTCAATCTCTCAGGCTCAAATGATCCTCCAACCTCAGCCTCCCAAGTAGCTGGGACTACAGGCAATGCCACATGCCCAGCTTACTTTTTTATTTTTTGTAGAGATGGGATATCTCTATGTTGCCCAGACTAGTCTCAAAATCCTGGCCTCAAATGATCCTCCCACCTTGGCCTCCCAAAGTACTGGGGTTACAGGCATGAGCCATTGCACCCAACCAGCTTTTCTTCATGTGTCTGAATTGTTTCATATAACCAGGAAATTTCACATGCTTTTACTTTTTCTAAGAGCCATATATTCCCCTGCTAAATGGTCGTGTGCACCTGTAATCTCAGCTACTCAGGAGACTGAGGCAGGAGAATTGTTTGAACCTGGGAGGCAGAGGTTGCGCTGAGCCGAGATCATGCCCCTGCACTCCAGTCTGGGCAACAGAACAAGACTCCATCTCAGAAAAAACAACAACAACTTTGTTACTTGTTAAATTTTTGTGGACGTAGAAACTCAGAATAACACTGACCCAACACTTTGAGATGACAGCAAAAAACTACACAACAGACAAAATTGAACTCCATAATGGAGTCCAGGCAGACTTAGCCTGAGAGCCAGTCCCTTCCAACCTCCCTTTTGTGCAAAGGTGTTTAAAAGAGTTTTGACAATGACTCCTACTTGCCATTCATTTTCTCCATCGTGGGATGAGACCAGCAACCTGGGACAAGTCTATCCCAGCACCAAGGGACACCAAAACCCAACTACAGGGTGATTGACTAGTGATACTTTTGGAGAAATATCTTGATCAAAAGGGGAATGTTTTGCTTGTGGGAACTAACAATAAAGTATAATAAAGATACAAAAAAGGAAAAAAACAAAAGAGGGAATGTGAAAGCAGAATCAAAATGGAGTCACTTGTGTTAAAAAGGAAAAAAATAAAGCCTAAAAATAGAGTGAGGGTAGGCTGTGAAGAGAGGGTTCTCACTTATATGTCTGATAACAAAAGCTGTCACAAAAGACTACAAAAAACACAGCCTTGCACAAAGGCCATTTAAGCCTTACACGCTAAATGTTCTGTGCAGACATCCACCCAGCAACTGCCTGTCCAACCTCACCCTTGTTATTGGCCTCACCCTTGTTATTGATCTTTGTAGCCAAGGATAATAATTTCAAAATCGTTATGTAATCCTCCTCATCTCTCCTTTAAAACCTTTTGTCTTCATTTTTGCCTCCCTGGGTACACACACACAGTTTACTGTGGCATGCATATTCCCATTGCACTGCCCTATTCCCAAATAAATATATGTTTTTTCTTTTTGAGAGCCTCCCTCTGTTCTTTAGAGTGACAAACTCAACAAAAATAAATAATCAAACATGTTCCTCTGTGCTGTGTTATATTCATAACTTTGGGCTTTCATTCATCATATGTCTTAGTCTATCATCTTTTTTTTAGGTGCCAGGATCTATTTTTGTCATCACCAGCCAGGAAGGATACAAGGCCTCTTCCAAGATGAAGACGAAACTATTGACAGATATTTTGTCAAGACCAAATTTTCCCTAAGGGCCCTGTCATAGATTGTTCCCTGGGCAGGATGCAGCCTCCTTCAGAGAGTGAAGAACACACCAAAAGATCCTCTACTAAATTAATCATAAGCCACATGAGGCAGGCTGGAATACAGTTACCAATCTGCTTTAATTCTCCCACTTAGATGGCCTGAAGCCGCCTGAACTGAAAGTTGGATGAAGCTCGGCTTTGAGTTTCATCGCGGGGCATCGTGTGGCCTAAGTCCTTAGCCAATGCCTGCCAAATATTAGCTTGAGTCGCAATAAAGAGAAAAGGTCCAAATTCTCCCCTTGACTAATGATTTATTCATCAAACCAACATGTCTCAAACCTGTAATTCTAGTTTTGTTTTCTGAAAAGATGTCATTCTATTTGAAAGAGAAACAGCTGTAGGGAAGGAGAATAAGAACTTTCATGGAACACACAGCATGTGTCGCGCACTCAGCATGTAAAGTCACGTGGCCCTTACTACAGCCCTGGGGAGGTGAGCAGTGGCTCTGCTTCACATACAAGCACCCTGACACTCCAGGAAATCGGTCGTCACCCAGCACCCTCTAACTAGGGAAGGATGGAATCCGATTTGAACTCAGGTGTGCTTTTTTTCTCCAGGAAGCATACTTTTCTTTGCCATCTTCAGTGATGAGAGTAACAGAGACAGAAAGATAAAAGGAGTTGACTGCTCACGAGGCTGTTGCTGGACTTTTTAGGACAGTCACTGGAAGATTCTAGTGTGTCTTCTGAATTGCTGACCATAATTCATTCTCTTCCCTCTTTTGCCTGGTTTGTTATTTGATCCCAAGACTGTGCTATAAGTTTTGGGTTGATAAAAGAGAGCTAAGAGTCCATGAAGCGCTCACACCTCCCGTCGAATACCTGATTCCTACAATGCCTGCTTCAAACATAATGGAGAAAATATTTGCAAGAAAGTTGCATGCAATGATTAAACTGCATTCCAAATATAATTTTCCTCTTGTGCCAGAGGAGATTAATTCACATGGACTCAAAAGAGCCTTGGGGACAGGTTTTTGGAAAACCAGACCCTGGCATTCCGGATGCTAAAATGCTGTCAGTAATACTAAGAGTGCTTAGGTCTCCTGCCTCCTCAGCCCTCTGGAAAGAGCCCCAGGGTTATTCGAGTTGGGATCAAATAAAGGGGGTCATTATGATAAAAAGTGGGTGACACCCCCATTCCTCACCTAGAGAACTTACTTAGCCTTCCCATACACCTTCTTCAGTAAAAATCTCCCTTCAACTTAGATTTCAATGTGAAGATTTTGGTTCCACCTTGACTGAATACTGGAATAGTTTTTGTTGCAGACTGGGAGCCAACAGTTTACCTTCAGAGTGAGAATATGTATGGGTTCCTTAAAAACATGCAGTATGGCCGGGCACCATGGCTCATGCCTGTAATCTCAGGACTTTGAGAGGCCAAGGTGGGCGGATCACTTGAGGTAAGAAGCTTGAGACCAGACGCCAACATGGTGAAACCTGGTTTCTATTAAAAATACAAAAATTAGCCTGGCGCAGTGGCGGGTGCCTGTAATCCCAGCTACTCGGGGGGCTGAGGCAGGAGAATAACTTGAACCTGGGAGGCAGAGGTTGCAGTGAGCTGAGATCGAGCCACTGCACTCCAGCCTGGGCAACAGAGCAAGACTCCGTCTCAAAAAAAAAAAACAACAACATACAAAAATGCCTTTGGGATTCAGCGTAATCTGCAGGTTATAAAAGCAACTGCAAGGATGATAGGAGCTTTTTTCACCACAGCCTAGGATGCCTTTGAGAAAACCGACAAATTTGAAAACATGATAAAGGTAACATCTCTCTGTAAGTTGTTATTTCTTCCTCTTTATTATTTGGGTCAAATAATTTTTGAATTTCATTTCAATTCTTTTCACTTTGTGAAGAAAAAGTCATTCCAAGAAACCAACTCTAAGTCATTCCATTCTAACCAATATATTCTTTTCATATCATGAATTCTCTTCTCAATGTTGTTTTTCCTGAAGGAATGAAGTAATTTTATTTGCTGTTGAGGTTATGGTCAAATACTTCCAAGTGACATGTTTCTTCCTCAAAATATGCATTTTTTTATCTACCTGATTGTAACACTCAAAATATTATGCATCAAGCAGCGTCCCGTCTAAAATAAGATTTGCTATCTTATTGCTAAAAGTGATCTTATCAATATCCCTCCAGGAATCACGCATGCTATTGACAATAGACAGCAAACATGAATTGATTTTTTTTTTTTTTTTGAGATGGAGTTTCACTCTTATTGCCCAGGCTGGAGTGCAGTGGTGCCACCTCGGCTCATCGCAACCTCCACCTCCAGGGTTCAAGCGATTCTTCTGCCTCAGCCTCCTGAGTAGCTGGGATTAAGACATGCGACACTACACCGGCTAATTTTGTATTTTTAGTAGAGACGGGTTTCTCCATGTTGGTCAGGCTGGTCTCAAACTCCCAGGACCTCAGGTGATCCACCCGCCTGGGCCTCCCAAAGTGCTGGGATTACAGGCGTGAGCCACCACGCCCGGCCGAATTGATTTTTTTAATTAGAATTTTATGAGGCTTATTTTCAGATTAGGAAAGAGATGTGCTCAATTAAAGATTTCATTCCATTTTTATTGCAAACAAGGATGAAAAAGGAACAACTATTTCCACTGGATTCTACTTGAAGGAATTCAAAGTTCACTACTGGCAGTTTGACATTTGTCAAAGGTGTGAGGTGTTTCCACAGAGGTGTTGACCTACTCAAACTGCAAAGGCCTAGCTGTTTGAGTGGGCAGTGCTGGCCTGGGGCAAAGTGATGGTCCGTCCACATGACTGTTAAGTCTCAGGGCTGGGGTTCTGTCAGAAACTCATGCTAAAAACGACTTTTCCTCATCAGATTCTAAGTTGAGAAGATGTGTCATCCAATATAAATGATGACTAAGGCCACTCCCAGCTGTGACAGTGCACAACTCTAATAGTGTGAGTCAGCTCCCAGAGCCAGGGGGCTCTTCTTGACATTTCCTTCCATGAAGAACTCCGCACACGTGCATTTGCCACGCGGTGTTCTTCACACACGTGACCTGCCACTATCTTCCATGCAGCTTGTAACTCTTTGTTGTTATTGTTTTGGGGGTTATTTTTGTTTTTAGTTTTTAATCAAGCATGATTGTTTTGTTGTTGTTGTTGTTGATTTTGTTTTTTTGTTTTGTTTTTTAGACAGGGTCTTACTCTGTTGCCCAGGCTGCAGTGAAGTGGCATGATCTTGGCTGACTGCAACATCTGCCTCCCAGGCTCAGGTGATCCTCCTGCTGCAGCCTCCTGAGTAGCTGGGATTACAGGCATGTGCCATCACACCTAGCTAATTTTTGTACTTTTGGTAAAGACGGGGTTTCACCATGTTGACCAGGCTAGTCTTGAACTGCTGACCTCAAGGGATCCACCTACCTTGGCCTCCCAAAGTGCTGGGATTACAGGTATGAGCCACCGCGCCAGCCTTTCTGGTTTTTTTTAGACAGGGTCTCATTCCCATCCCCCAGGCTGGAGTGTGGTGATGTGATCACAGCTCACTGCAGCCCCGACTTCCTGGAATCAGGTGATCCTCCCATCTCAGCCTTCCAAGTAGCTGGGACTAAAGGTGTGTGCCACCATGCCCAGCTCATTTTTGTATTTTTTGTAGAGACAGGGTTTCACCTTGTTGGCCAGGCTGATCTCAAACTCCTGGGCTCAAGCGACCTCAGCCTCCCAAAGTGCTGAGATTATAGGCATGAACCACTGTGCCAGGCCTGTATATAACTTCATTTTTGGCAGGTACCTTCATCTCACCAGGCCCTAATTTCCTCCTCTGCAAATGAGGGAAATGATGTATAACTTGTTAAAACCTCTTCTTCCATCCCTGTTATATTCAAAACATTCAGAGAAAGAGAACGTTAAAAATCAATGCCTCCAAAGAAACTCTAACCTTTTTTTGCATTGAGGGCAAAGGTGTGTCTGGCAATCATTTATTGTTTGCCTCAGGATTTTGTGAACTTTCTTTAAACATACACCTACCATATGATCCAGCCATTCTACTCCTATTTACTCAAGAAAAATAAAAATACACGTCCACACTCAGACTCGCACATGAATCTTTATTCGTAATATCCCCTGGAAACAACCCAAATACCCTCCAAGGGGTAAATGGATAAATAAAACATAGTGCATCTATACAATGGGTTACTATTTAGCAATAAAAAGAAACACATGTTGGTACAAGCAACATGAACAGATCTCATTATGCTGAGTGGAAGAAGCCAAACACAAAAGGACATACTGTTTGATTCTATTTATTTAAAATTCTAGACTCAAACCGATCTATATAGTGACAAAAAGCAGGTCGGTGGTTGCCTGTAGCAGGGGATAGAAGACAGGACTGCAGAAGAGCCCAGGAATCTTTTGGTGGCCATGGCAGTGTTGTGATCTTGGTGGTGATGGTAGTTTCATGGTGTATACAACTGTCCAGACTCATCCAGTTGTATACTTTAAGTCAGTACAACTTGTTTGTAACTTATGTCTCAATAAAGTTACTAGGGGGATCTTTTTCGTAAGCTGCTGACTGTTGAATCTGGGGCTAGGAGAAAGGTGTCATGCGCAGCCGAGAAGTTGTGTGGAACCGCGTCATCCAAAAAGCATTGATGAACCTCTGCTTGATAAGTCAGTGGGTTTTTTTTTTTTTTTTTCTTTGAGATGGAGTCTCGCTCTGTCGCCCAGGCTGGAGTGCAGTGGCGCGATCTCGGCTCATTGCAAGCTCCGTCTCCCGGGTTCACATCATTCTGCCTCAGCCTCCTGAGTCGCTGGGACTACAGGCGCCCGCCACCACACCTGGCTAATTGTGTTTTTGTATTTTTAGTAGAGACGGGGTTTCACCATGTTAGCCAGGATGGTCTCAATCTCCTGACCTTGTGATCCGCCCGCCTGGGACTCCCAAAGTGTTGGGATTACGGGCGTGAGCCACCGCGCCCAACCTGAGCCAGTGTTTAAGACTCATGTGAAACATTGTGGAGAGCCTTTTGGTTTCTGGGAAGCCTATGTGGATTTGTAGAAAAAGAGTTTATCTTATGGTTTTGGGTAAAGCCCCTGAGCAGAGAACTAGCTGGGGACTGAACAGGGTCTTGGGTTTGTGGAGCCCTTCTCTTTCTCCAGTCCCCTATGCACCCCTGAGCGCCAGCTGCCGACGGCAGGCAGCCTCTGGGTTTAGCAGGCCAGGCCCCTAGAGACCTATTTCTTTCTGCACCCTGCCCTGCAGTGGTGTGGCTTCCTCGGGGGTAGATTCCATTTTACTTCTTCCATGCCGTATTCAGAAACTAGAAGGCTGGAGAGTGTGTTCTTGTTTTATTGCCCACTGGAGTAACCTAGTTCAGTTGGAGGGGCTCAAAGAATCATAGGTTGTAGTTTTTGGAAGAAACCTCAGAGAGTCTACTGTCCAACCTCCTCATGTCCTGAAGGAGGAAACTGAGGCCCCGAGAAGCTAAGTGACTGGCCTCAGGGCACACAGGACGAAAAGCCACGGCCCTCCAGGAGTTGCCCCTTCACCACGCTCTCTCCACGACAGGCTGAAAAAGTGCAACTCAAAATCTTTCACTGTCTAAACCCAGATCCTAAACCTAAGCTGCTTAGCTTGCTGCATTTGTGCAAAACAGAAGCTGGAAAATGGCAGGCTTCTAGCTGAGAGAAAGACACCGAAGTCTCGGATGTGCTGCGAGGACGCGTGAGGGTCAAGCTTAGCATGTGAGTGAATGAGAGGCATTTATGATGATTGCGGAACTCGGCAGCAGTTATAAAAGCCTGCTCCACGGTGAAAGTGACCATGTTAAATTTCCATTCTTATTTGCATTTGCAAAAATAGAATAAAATTATTTCTTGGGTGGGAACATTTGCTGTGACTGAGCAGTGCTTCTCACTCATTGCTGCTCCTTTTACTTTTCATAGACTTCTTTTCCCATGATGGCTGTTGAAATAGGAGATACTTTATATAGAGAGAACATTCACCACAGCACATTCTGGATTGACGTTGAATCAGATTCTTCCAGTGCCAGGGAGTAAACTAGCCTTTCTGGAAACTGTGCTAACACTCAGTCCAACACGGCTTGAATTTTCAAACTGCGGCTTGGCGGGCTGAGGTCTTAGTGGTGTTCCTAACCCTCTCCTCTCATCCCGGCTCTATAATACCTGGGCAGGAGCGCCAAGTTCCCAGGGCAGAGACACTCCCCTGGCGGGCCACAATGTTCTCTCCCAGTGAAAGCCACACAGCGAGCGTCCTGCCGGTGCTGGTCCAGGGGAGGCAGAAATGACAGTTGTGTAAGTGAGCAGGGGGCTCCGCCCTGGGGTTGACCTACTGTGCTGGTAACATGTTTTGCTCTTCACAGAGATTTCCCGGAAATCAGTTGCAGAGTTTGGCAGAAGACTTCAGGTTGTAAGACAGTCAACCCCCATATAAGAGCGGCACCCTCTGGGGGGACTACTAGGTTCCTGAGGGACAGCACTTCCCCAGGTGCTGCAGGGCTGAGGCCACACCCTCTTCCCAGTGGATCCCTCTTTGCTTTCTATGCCACATTGTCCTCTCCTGATGTCCCTGCTGTGTTGTGGCTGCAGCAGATACCTCTTGTGATTCAGCCATGGTGGGTGCCTTGCATGGGTCTCACACAGGTGTCCAAAACTTCCCACCCTACTGAGAACGGTGAGGGCAGAGCCTGGCCTTTGCAGCTTGTCTCTATCACCTAGCGTTGTAGATGCGTGTACCCTGCCATATTCTGGGGGCTGAATGAATCCTGTTGAATGATTAAATTACTTGTTGAGCAAATGGTTAATAAGGTCACTGACCTGGCCAGGTGCGGTGGCTCACACCTGTAATCCCAGCACTTTGGGAGGCTGAGGCGGGTGGATCACGAGGTCAGGAGTTCGAGACCAGCCTGTCCTATATGGTGAAACCCCATCTTTACTAAAAATACAAAAATCAGCCAGGCGTGGTGGCGCGTGGCCTGTAATCCCCGCTACTCAGGAGGCTGAGGCAGGAGAATCACTTGACCCCAGGAGGCAGAGGTTGCAATGAGGTGAGATTGCACCACTGCACTCCAACCTGGGCAACAGAGCAAGACTCTATCTCAAAAAATAAACAAAAATTGCTGACCTTGAATGTGAACTATTCAGGACACTGCACTAGTGATGCAAGAAACTACTGAAAGTACAGTGGGAAAATGAAACTTTTTCTAGAAAATTAGTACCAGAATAGATCTATGGTTATTTTCATATGCACTGTTTAATTATGGAGAACTGAGGCAGCTACTTGGGGGAAAATAAGTCATACCCTCCCTCATCTCTTATAATCCCTTGAATTTAAATCTTCCTCATCATTGAGGTCAAAGGTGCTTAGGCACCAGAATTCCTGAATTGGAAATTTTCTTTTCCATTTTCTTTTTCTTTTCTTCTTTCTTTTTTTAGAGACAGGGTCTTGCTCTGTCACCCAGGCTGGAGTGCAGTGGCATGATCATAGTTCACTGCAGCCTGGAATTCCTAGGTTCAAGTGATCCTCCCATCTCAGCCTCCTGAGTAGCTGGGATGATGGGTGCGTACCACTTTTTGCAGAGACAGGGACTTGCTATGTTGCCCAGGCTGGTCTCCAACTCCTGGCCTCAAGCAATCCTCCAGCATTGGCCTCCCATAATGCTGAGATTACAGGCATGGGCCACCGCTCCCAGCCCTCCATTTTCTTTATTAATTATAAATGTGAGACAGGCACGGTGGCTCACCCCTGTAATTCCAGCACTTTGGGAGACTGAGATGGGTGTATCCCTTCAGGTCAGGAGTTTGAGATCAGCCTGGCCCACCATGGCAAAACCTTGCCTCTACTAAAAAACACACAAATTAAGCTGGGCACAGTGGCTCATGCCTGTAATCCCAGCACTTTGGGAGGCCGAAGTGGGTGGGTCACCTGAGGTCAGGAGTTCCAGACCAGCCTGGAAAACATGGTGAAACCCCATCTCTACTAAAAATACAAAAATTAGCTGGGTATGGTGGCGCATGCCTGTAATCCCAGCTACTTGGGAGGCTGAGGCAGAAGAATCGCTTGAACCAGGGAGGGAGAGGTTGTAGTGAGCTGAGATTACAACATTGTACTCCAGCCTGGACAACAAGAGTGAAACTCCATCCAAAAAAAAAATACAAAAATTAGCCAGGTGTGGTGGCGTGCACCTGTAATCCCAGCTACTTGGGAGGTTGAGGCACAAGAATCGCTTGAACCTGGGAGGTGGAGTTTGCAGTGAGCTGAGATCGCAGCACTGCACTCCAGCCTGGGAGACAGTGAGACTCTGTCTCAAAACAAACAAACAAAAATATATGTGTGTATATATATTAATATATATATGTGTATATTTATATATATATGGTCTTCTTTACCTCAGAAATAGGAATACAATTACTATTTCAAGCTACTTTTACTATTTATTTTTTCAATCATCATAGAAGTATGTCCTAATGGCTCTTACCTTTAAAAAAAATCCTCCTCGAGATCAGGCAGCAATATTTGCTGTTCTGCAATATTTTCTGTTCTGCAGCCTCTGCTGGTGATACCCAGGCAAACAGGGTCTAGAGTGGACCTCCAGCAAACTCCAACAGACCTGCAGCTGAGGGACCTGACTCTTAGAAGGAAAACTAACAAACAGAAAGGAATACATCAACATCAACTAAAAGGACATCCACACCAAAACCGCATCTGTAGGTCACCAGCATCAAAGACCAAAGGTAGATAAAACCACAAAGATGGGGAGAAACCGAGCAGAAAAGCTGAAAATTCCAAAAACCAGAGTGCCTCTTCTCCTCCAAAGGATCGGAGCTCCTCGCCAGCAATGGAGCAAAGCTGGACAGAGAATGACTCTGACGAGTTGACAGAAGTAGGCTTCAGATGGTCGGTAATAACAAACTTCTCTGAGCTAAAGGAGGATGTTCGAACCCATTGCAAGGGAGCTAAAAACCTTGAAAAAAGATTAGACCAATGGCTAAGTAGAATAAACAGTGTAGAGAAGAGCTTAAATGACTGATGGAGCTAAAAACCATGCACAAGAACTACGTGACATATGCACAAGCTTCAGTAGCTGATTCAATCAAGTGGAAGAAAGGGTATCAGTGATTGAAGATCAAATTAATGAAATAAAGCAAGAGGAGAAGTTTAGAGAAAAAAGAGTAAAAAGAAACGAACAAAGCCTCCAAGAAATATGGGACTATGTGAAAAGACCAAATCTGCATTTGATTGGTGCACCTGAAAGTGATGGGGAGAATGGAACTAAATTGGAAAACACTCTTCAGGATATTATCCAGGAGAACTTCCCCAACCTAGCAAGGCAGGCCAACATTCAAATTCAGGAAATACAGAGAACACCACAAAGACACTCCTCGAGAAGAGCAACTCCAAGACACATAATTGTCAGATTCACCAAGGTTGAAATGAAGGAAAAAATGTTAAGGGCAGCCAGAGAGAAAGGTCAGATTACCCACAAAGGGAAGCCCATCAGACTAACAGTGGATCTCTCAGCAGAAACTCTACAAGCCAGAAGAGAGTGGGGGCCAATATTCAACATTCTTAAAGGAAAGAATTTTCAACCCAGAATTTTATATCCAGGCAAACTAAACTTCATAAGGGAAGGAGAAAAAAAATCTTTTCCAGACAAGCAAATGATAGAGATTTTGTCACCACCAGGCCTGCCCTACAAGAGCTCCTGAAGGAAGCACTAAACATGGAAAGGAACAACTGGTACCAGCCGCTGCAAAATCATGCCAAAATGTAAAGACCATCGAGACTAGGAAGAAACTGCATCAACTAATGAGCAAAATCACCAGCTAACATCATAATGACAGGATCAAATTCACACATAACAATATTAACCTTAAATGTAAATGGACTAAACGCCCCAATTAAAAGACACAGACTGGCAAATTGGATAAAGAGTCAAGACCCATCAGTATGCTGTATTCAGGAGGCCCATCTCATGCGCAGAGACACACATAGGCTCAAAATAAAGGGATGGAGGAAGATCTACCAAGCAAATGGAAAGCAAAAAAAAGCAGGGATTGCAATCCTAGTCTCTGATAAAACAGACTTTAAACCAACAAACATCAAAAGAAACAAAGAAGGCCATTACATAATGGTAAAGGGATCAATTCAACAAGAAGAGCTAACTATCCTAAATATATAAATATATATGCACCCAATCCAGGAGCACCCAGATTCATAAAGCAAGTCCTTAGAGACCTACAAAGATACTTAGACTCCCACACAATAATAGTGGGAGACTTTAACACCTCACTGACAATATTAGACAGATCAATGAGACAGAAGGTTAACAAGGATATCCAGGACTTGAACTCAGCTCTGCACCAAGCGGACCTAATAGACATCTACAGAACTCTCCACCCCAAATCAACAGAATATACATTCTTCTCAGCACCACATCGCACTTATTCCAAAATTGACCACATAGTTGGAAGTAAAGCACTCCTCAGCCAATGTAAAAGAACAGAAATCACAACAAACTGTCTCTCAGACCACAGTGCAATCAAATTAGACTTCAGGATTAAGAAATTCACTCAAAACTGCACAACTACATGGAAACTGAACAATCTGCTCCTGAATGACTACTGGGTACATAACGAAATGAAGGCAGAAATAAAAATGTTCTTTGAAACCAATGAGAACAAAGATACAACATACCAGAATCTCTGGGACACATTTAAAGCAGTATGTAGAGGGAAATATATAGCACTAAATGCCCACAAGAGAAAGCAGGAAAGATCTAAAATTGACACCCTAACATCACAATTAAAAGAACAAAAGAAGCAAGAGCAAACAAATTCAAAAGCTAGCAGAAGGCAAGAAATAACTAAGATCAGAGCAGAACTGAAGGAGATAGAGACACAAAAAAAACCTTCAAAAAATCAATGAATCCAGGAGCTGGTTTCTTGAAAAGATCAACAAAATTGATAGACCACTAGCAAGATTAATAAAGAAGAAAAGAGAGAAGAATCAAATAGATGCAATAAAAACTGATAAAGAGGATATCACCACTGATCCCACAGAAATACAAACTACCATCAGAGAATACTATAAACACCTCTATACAAATAAACTAGAAAATCTAGAAGAAACAGATAAATTACTGGACACATACACCCTCCCAAGACTAAATCAGAAGAAGTTGAACCTCTGAATAGACCAATAACAGGCTCTGAAATTAGGCAATAATTAATAGCCTACCAACCAAAAAAAGTCCAGGACCAGATGGATTCACAGCCAAATTCTACCAGAGGTATAAAGAGGAGCTGGTGCCATTCCTTCTGAAACTATTCCAATCAATAGAAAAAGAGGGAATCCTCCCTAACTCATTTTATGAGGCCAGCATCATCCTGATACCAAAGCCTGGCAGAGACACAACAAAAAAAGAGAATTTTAGACCAATATCCCTGATGAACATCGATGCAAAAATCCTCAATAGAATACTGGCAAACCGAATCCAGCAGCACATCAAAAAGCTTATCCACCATGATCAAGTCAGCTTCCTCCCTGGGATGCAAGGCTGGTTCAACATACGCAAATCAATAAACGTAATCCATCACATAAACAAAACCAACAACAAAAACCACATGATTATCTCAATAGATGCAGAAAAGGCCTTCGATAAAATTCAACATCGTTTCATGCTAAAAACTCTCAATAAACTAGGTATGGTTGGAATGTATCTCAAAATAATAAGAGCTATTTGTGACAAACCCACAGCCAATATACTGAATGGGCAAAAACTGGAAGCATTCCCTTTGAAAATTAGCACAAGACAGGGATGCCCTCTCTCACCTCTCCTATTCAACATAGTGTTGGAAGTTCTGGCCAGGACAATCAGGCAAGAGAAAGAAATAAAGGGTATTCAGTTAGGAAAAGAGGAAGCCAAATTGTGCCTGTTTGCAGATGACATGATTGTATATTTAGAAAATCCCATCGTTGCAGCCCCAAATTTCCTTAAGCTGTTAAGCAACTTCAGCAGAGTCTCAGGATACAAAATCAATGTGCAAAAATCACAAGCAGTCCTATACACCAGTAACAGACAGAGAGCCAAATCATGAGTGAACTCCCATTCACAACTGCTACAAAGAGAATAAAATACCTAGGAATCCAATTTACAAGGGATGTGAAGGACCTCTTCAAGGGGAACTACAAACCACTGCTCAATGAAATAAAAGAGGACACAAACAAATGAAAGAACATTCTATGCTCATGGATAGGAAGAATCAATGTCGTGAAAATGGCCATACTGCCCAAGGTAATTTCTAGATTCAGTGCCATGCCCATCAAGCTACCAATGACTTTTCTTCACAGAATTGGAAAAAACTACTTGAAAGTTCATATGGAACCAAAAAAGCCACATTGCCAAGACAATCCTAAGCAAAAAGAGCAAAGCTGGAGGCATCAAGCTACCTGACTTCAAACTATACTACAAGGCTACAGTAACCAAAACAGCATGGTACTGGTACCAAACAGATATATAGACCAATGGAACAGAACAGACGCCTCAGAAATAGCACCACACATCTACAACCATCTGATCTTTGACAACCCTGACAAAAACAAGCAATGGGGAAAGGATTCCCTATTTAATAAATGGTGCTGGGAAAACTGGCTAGCCATATGTAGAAAGCTGAAACTGGATCCTTTCCTTACACCTTATACAAAAATTAATTCAAGATGGATTAAAGACTTAAATGTTAGACCTAAAATCATAAAAACCCTAGAAGAAAACCTAGGCAATACCATTCAGGACATAGGCCTGAGCAAGGACTTCATGACTAAAACACCAAAAGCAATGGCAACAAAAGCCAAAATTGACAAATGGGATCTAATTAAACTAAAGAGCTTCTGCATAGCAAAAGAAACTACCATCAGAGTGAACAGGCAACCTACAGAATGGGAGAAAATTTTTGCAGTCTACCCATCTGACAAAGGGCTAATATCCAGAATCTACAAAGAACTTAAACAAATTTACAAGAAAAAATCAAACAACCCCATCCAAAAGTGGGCAAAGGATATGAACAGATACTTCTCAAAAGACATTTATGCAGCCAACAAACACATGAAAAAATGCTCATCATCACTGGTCATCAGAGAAATGCAAATCAAAAGCACAATGAGATACCATCTCACACCAGTTAGAATGGCGATCATTAAAAAGTCAGGAAGCAACAGGTGCTGGAGAGGAATGCTTTTACACTGTTGGTGGGAGTGTAAACTAGTTCAACCATTTTGGAAGTCAGTGTGGCCATTCCTCAAGGATCTAGAACTAGAATTACCATTTGACCCAGCCATCCCATTACTGGGTATATACCCAAAGGATTATAAATCATGCTACTATAAAGACACATGCACACATATGTTTATTGTGGCACTATTTACAATAGCAAAAACTTGGAACCAACCAAAATGTCCATCAATGACAGACTGGATTAAGAAAATGTGGCACATACACACCATAGAATACTATGTAGCCATAAAAAAGGATGAGTTCATGTCCTTTGCAGGTACATGGATGAAGCTGGAAACCATCATTCTGAGCAAACTGTCACAAGGACAGAAAACCAAACACCGCATGTTCTCACTCATAGGTGGGAAGTGAACAATAAGAGGACTTGGACACAGGAAGGGGAGCATCACACATGGGGGCCTGTCGTGGGTTGGGGGGTAGGGGAGCGAGAGCATTAGGAGAAATACCTAATGTAAGTGATGAATTAATGAGTGCAGCAAACCAACATGGCACATGTATACCTGCGTAACAAACCTGCATGTTGTGTACATGTACTGTAGAACTTAAAGTATAAAAAAAAAAAAAATTCCTCCTCAAATCACTTGAACCTGGGAGGCGGAGGTTGTGGTGAGCGAAGATTACACCACTGCACTCCAGCCTGGGCAACAAGAGCGAAACTCCATCTCAATAATAAATTAAAAAAAAAAAAAAAATCCTATGGCTGGGCGCGGTGGCTCACGCCTGTAATCCCAGCACTTTGGAAGGCTGATGCGGGTGGATCACGAGGTCAAGAGATGGAGACCATCGTGGCTAACACGGTGAAACCCTGTCTCTACTAAAAATACAAAAAATTAGCCGGGCGTGGTGGCGGGCGCCTGTAGTCCCAGCTACTCGTGAGGCCGAGGAAGGAGAATGGCGTGAACCCGGGAGGCGGAGCTTGCAGTGAGCCGAGATCGCGCCACTGCACTCCAGCCTGGGCGACAGAGCGAGACTCCCTCTCAAAAAAAAAAATAATAATAATAATAAATAATCCTTTTCATAGCTGTCAGTTGATTTTCTTTCTCGCTGTAAAACTTGTGTGTGCTCACACATTGTCTCCTCTTCCTTTCCATTCGCTCCTCAGACTTCCCCCTGGATTCAGCCCCTCTACTCTGCCAACATTGCTCTCACCAGGGTACCCAGTGACCTCCAAGTTGCCCACTGTGGGAGCACTCCTGAGTCCTCATCTTACTGGAACGCTCCTCACGACCATCAGGGAATCTTCTGCTGCCCATGAAAGGAAGCCCAACTCGAATTGCTGCAAGCAGAACTGTGAGTTTCTGAAATCATTTCTTTGATTATTTTCTCCCCTCTATTTTCCTTTCCCTGGGGGCAGTAATCGAATGTGGGTTTGGGAACTCATCCTCTGGTTGTCTTTTCTGTTGTTCAGGTCTTTGGTTGCTTATTCAGCTTTAGGAGTTTCTGGCTGTACTTTTAAACTTTGTGTTTAATTTGTAATTTTAGCTCTCATAGTTTTAGTTTCTAAGTGTGGTTCCTTGTTCTCAGAATATTCCTTTTTATCGCAACACATTCTTGTTTCATAGATACAGTATCTCACCTCATTTTTTTCTGATTAAAAATAATTTTAATTAAACTTTTTTTCCCCCTAGTTTCTGAATGTCTGTGTTTTCTCAGAATTGCTTTCTTCAGTCTGTTTGTGTCCATGGTATGGACACTTTCTGAAAATGCCACTGTGACTCTTAAGTGGTCTGCTTCTGTTCTACAGTGAGATGCTGGAGCTCTGGGGTGGGGACGCTGACTGACTGGTGGCTTTGGGGATCGACATCTTCAGAGAGATTGGGTGGGATGCCAGCTGTGTCATGTCACAAACCTTCCCCTCACCCCCAACACAAACAACATGTGGAGGTCTCTTCTGGGGCCATTTAGCGTTTCCAGGGAGGGTCTTCCAGACCCACCGGGTGTATGTGTTTGGCTGAGTGCCCTCCCAGAACCAGGCAGGAGAGGGCAGCCAGGAGTCTCACGGCTCTGGCAGCAGACTTTATTAATAACGGAGTCCTCCAGTGTTCCATGTTACCTTCAACCTCCTCTTGTTCCTGTTGGTTGAGTCCAGATCTCCTCTGGCTCATTTTGTCCAGAAAATGAACTCTAGTGTCTTGCAGTGGGAAGGGAGGGCATGGAAGAGGGGAAGGGTCTAACTGCTCCTGCTTCAAATTTTCCACCAGTCCCTTTTTTCAACTTTGTCCTTCAACCCCACCTTCCAAAGAACACAGTGCCTCCGAGTGCTGGGCCGCAGGGCTGCACTGCAGACCCTCAGGTCAGCTGCCTCTAGTCGGCTAAGTCATTTCCCCTTCATGCATCCGTCACTTTCTCCCCTTTGTTCTTTGTCTCTCTGCTGCCATGCTAGGGCCTTAGGAGGGAGTATCAAGAAAATCATGTTTTAATCCACTGTATTTAACTCCAAGATCTTTTGTGTTCATCATATTTTTAAAATAGTTTCTTTTTTTTTTTTTTTTAAATAGAGATGGGGGTCTCGCCACGTTGCCCAAGCTGGTCTCGAACTCCTGGGCTCAGGTGATCCACCTTGGCCTCTGAAAGTGCTGGGATCACAGGTGAGAGCCATCAGTGATTGTTTAGGATGCAGTTCCACAGAAAGTCAGTCAGAAAATAGAAATTCCACATTCTTCAATTGCACCCAGTTCTACAAAGAGCAGACATGAAGGTAGGGATTTTTCTTTGTTTTTATTGTTAACTTAAAGTGTTCCCTATTGAATAACATTCATTTTGTGACATGTGAATGAAACAATTCCCATTTCTTTTATGTAAGGACATGTAGATGATTACTGATGCTTTTTCAGATCTGTCCAAGAGGATATATTTTAGCCTCAGAGGTTTTTGCTTTTAAATTACTCAGATCTTTGTAGTCCTTTGTGAATAATTTTGGCATCACATCTTTAGGAGAACAATAATAGCTGACACTTACATAATGTGCCAGGCACTCTTCTATGCACTTTATTTTTTATTTTTTTATTTTTTTATCTTTTGTTTTTTGAGACGGAGTCTAGCTCTGTCGCCAGGCTGGAGTGCAGTGGCACAATCTCGGCTCACTGCAACCTCCGCCTGCCAGGTTCACGCAGTTCTCCTGCCTCAGCCTCCTGAGTAGCTGGGATTACAGGTGTGCGCCACCACACCCGGCTAATTTTTGTGTTTTTAGTAGAGACGGGGTTTCACCATGTTGGTCAGGCTGGTCTCGAACTCCTGACCTAGTGATCCACCCGCCTCAACCTCCCAAAGTGCTGGGATTACAGGCGTGAGCCACCGTGCCCTGCCTATGCACTTTAAATATACTCACTAAACCCATACAGCAACCATGAGGTAGATCTCATTACTGCCTTCAATTTACAGATGAATGAGAAGAAGCAGAGAAGTGACTTGCCCAGCCTCACACAGCTAGTAGGCAGCACCAGAGCCCTTGCTCTTAACCACTGTGTCATGCTATTTTGAAGCAGCTTTTTTCAAAGTAACTTGAAAAAATGCAAACCCACTTCTCAAAGGAGAACATTTAAAATGTTAAAATACCTAGGGCAGGAGAGTTTACAAAACACACACACACACACAAAGCCAATTAAAGGGAGCACAGAACTGTGTAACCCAGAAGTCTGAGATGAGTTGGCTTTTCCATTGGAGCACTAAATTTAGCTTGTAATTCTTGCCAGCTAATAAAAAAAAGTAAAGCATGTTAGATTATATGGTTCTCCTTGTTTTGTAGAGCAAGAACGCTAATTATTTTGTGGAGAAAAAAACTTTTTGGCAACTAAATTCCAGAAGTAATTTCTAGAATTTTAATAAAAAGCCCTGTGTTAGAGCTTTTAAAAAACTTTTTATATTGTAAAATGTAATACTTATTTAGAAAAATGTGTAAACACGAATGCACAGGTTACTGAATTATTGTAAATTAAACCTCACAACCGGCCAGGCGCGGTGGCTCACGCCTGTAATCCTAGCACTTCGGAGTCCAAGGTGGGTGGATCACGAGGTCAGATGTTCGAGACCAGCCTGGCCAACATAGTGAAACCCCGTCTCTACTAAAAATACAAAAAATTAGCTGGGCGTGGTGGCAGGCGCCTGTAATCCGAGCTACTTGGGAGGCTGAGGCAGGAGAACTGCTTGAACCTGGGGGGCGGAGGTTGCGGTGAGCCTAAATCACGCCACTGCACTCCAGCCCGGGCGACAGTGCGAGACTCCGTCTCAAAACAAAACGAAACAAAACGAAACAAAACACCTCACGACCACCCTGGCCCAGAAGTAGAAACGTGACAGCCCCACAGAAGTCCTTGGTGTGTCCCGTTCCCAGTCATAAAGCTCTCCTCTCCTGCAAAGGTGACCACTGTTTTGATTTTTTTATGGTCATCACCCCCTTGCTTTTCTTTATAGTTTTATTGCCTGAATAATACCCCTAAAACACTACAGTTTAGTTTTGCCTATTTTGAAACTTTATATGACTGGAGTCATATTTTATATATTCTTTTCAGCTCCTTTTGCTCAACTTTCTATCAGTGAGATTCATCCAAATTGTTGCATGTAGCTGTATTCCTTTTGCTCTGTCTTACTCCATTGCATCACTAGATTACATTTGAGGAATATACCGCAATTTGCCCATTCACCTGTTGATGGACATCTGGGTTATTTTAGTTGCTGCCTATTGAGGATCATGCTGCTATAAACATTCTTGCCTATGTCTCCCCGTTTAGGCATACACATATTTCAGCTGCATAAGGAAGTGTTGGGCCACAGAGTGAGCATATATTGAACTTTTGTAGATAATGCCTACCAGCTTTCCAAATAGTTGTTGCAGTGTATATGACCATCAGTAGTATATAAACGTTGTTTTCCAAATACTTGCCCACACTTAAAATCGTCAATCTTTAAAATTTTAACCAGTCTTGAGGGTTAAATTTGGTTTTAATTATGCTTTTTGTTACTTTTTTGTATGCACATTTAGCCATTTGTATTTCTTCTTTTATGAGTTGCCTACTCAAGTCTCACGCCCATGTTTCCACTGCATTGTTTGTCTTCTTTTCATTGATTTGTTAACTTTCCAAAACAATGATACTAATATATAGAAATTCAGTTGGTATTTATTTATTTATTTATTGACACAGAGTCTTGCTCTGTTGCCCAGGCTGAAGGGCAGTGGCATGATCTCGGCTCACTGCAACCTCCACCTCCTGGGTTCAAGCAGCTCTCCTGCCTCAGCCTCCCAAGTAGCTGGGATTACAGGTGACTGCCACCACACCTGGCTAATTTTTGTATTTTTAGTAGAGACAGGGTTTCACCATGTTGGCCAGGCTGGTCTCAAACTCCTGACCTCAAGTGATCTGCCCACCTTGACCTTCCAAAGTGCTGGGATTACAGATGTGAGCCACTGTGCCCAGCCTCAGCTGATATTTACTTTTATTACATTAAAAAATAAAAAATAATTTTATTAAGCAACCTCACTAAACCTCTTAATCCTAGTAATTTATCTATTGATACTCTTGGATTTTCTACATATGTAACCATTATATCTGCCACCAAAATGTCCATTTCTGTCTTTCCCTCCAATCCTTAATGCCTTTTATATATTTCTTGCCTAACTGCAATGTTAGTACCTCTAATATGATGGTGAAACAAAATAGTTGACAGAGGGTACCCTTGTTCTTTGTCGCAATCTCAAAGGAGGCTATACTACCTGGTAGTGCACGAGCCCTCTTCATTTGCCACAAAAGAAGAGAAAGATTGGTGCAATCTTGGACTTTCCTATCTCAGGCTGAAAGTGATGCACGTTATTTGCTTTTTCATCTCACCGGGTAGAATTAGTTACAAGGCTCTTTATCAGCAACGGTGCTAGTAGATGTAGGGGGCAGTTGATGGGACATCTGGTGAGCAGGCTCTGCCACACAAGGGGCCGACATAGAGGATAACAGGGGAGTTACTTGAGGAAAAGCAGGAAGTCCTCTGTGAGGAGCTGGCATCTCAGTGGAAGGCTCAATGATGATGCATTAGCTTCCAGGGCTGCTGTAACAAAGGGCACAGGCTGGCTGGCTTACGCAACAGGAATCCCTGTCTCACTGTTCTGGAAGTCAGAAGTCCAAAATCAAGTTGTCAGCAGGATTGGTTCCTTCTAAGGGCTGTGAGGGAGGGATCTGTTCGAGGCCCCTCTCCTTGGCTTATGGATCACCTTTTCTGGTGTTTCTTCCTTCTTCTATAAATGTCTGTGTCCAAATTTCCGTTTTCATAAAGACATCAGTCATATTAGATTAGCGTCTACCTTAATGACCTCACTTTAACTTGACTATCTCTGTAAAGACTCTATCTCCAAATAAGGACACGTTCTGAGGTACTAGGGGTTAGAACTTAAAGTATGAATTTTGGGAGACACCAAGTTGGCCATACTTACAAAAGGGAGGGAGGTGAACAATTCTAGGGAGAGGGCAGAGTCTGCGCACAGGTCCTAAGGTAAGAAAGAGATTACACATGTGGCTGGAGCCCAGTAAGCAGTGGGGTGGATAGCAGGGGCCAAATCACATCTCCTTGTAGTTTATGGGTAGGAAATTTATGGCTTTATTCCAACTGCAGTGGAAATTGGAGAGCTTTATGCAGGGGAGAGACATGATCTCACCACGTTGTGGGTATAGAATGAGTTGCAGGCAGACAAGAGTAGCAGTGGGAAGACAGGGCAGGAAGCCAGTGAAGCGTCTAGTGGATAGATGACGTAGGCTGGGACCCAAGGGTGGCAGGGGATAGAGAAAGAAGTGTGTGTGTGCCAGGTGTATATTAGAGTTAGGTATGACAGGACTGGGAGATTTGGATGGGAGCCGGGAAGTGAGGTTGAGAAAGGTATCAAGGATAACTTCTAAATTCTGAAAGGCAGAACTGGAGGAATTGTGAAAGACGGGGAAAAGTGGGAAAATTAGGGTTCAGGTTTTGATGGTGATAGGGTCAAGGGGACTGTTTTGGGCATGTTATATTTCAGATACGTGTGAGGCTTCCAAAGAAAGAGGTCACTAGGCAACTGAACACATATGGACCTGCGTACATACAGTGAACTGAGAAGAGGCGAGGACATGGAGTCATGATGAGAGAGATGTCATCTGGAACCATGAGAAAGAGTAACTAGGCAGAGAGGGAAGAGTTATGAAAGAAGCCTAGAAATACTTAGATATTTTTTGTTTCAACCATCCATGAAAGCCAAATCATCACGCTTCTATGTAACGGAGTGAAAGCATGACTGGGGTTGAGATGATGCTGAAGTACTGCCTTCTGATAAGTCAACTTGATGCAATGACAAAAGTTAGATAACGGTAGGCAAAGTTGGAATTGGCATTAGAAAACCTTTCAGCAAGTGCTGGGTCACAATAAATGTTTGGTTGCATTTTCTGACAACTCTTGGAAGTTCCAGAGTTAATCCTGTGTTTCAGAAATTGTGGGACTGACCCACGAGCTTGTTGCACAGGTAAGCCATCCTGTTTCTGAAAAGAGGTGGGTCACAAAGTGCCCTATAGGGAAGACCAAATAATTCCTCTAAAAGGATATTTGAGCCACCAGAATAACTTGAATACTTACTTACTCAAGTAAGATCCCAGAAGTTTGGGTCTTTAAGCATGAAAAA
This sequence comes from Homo sapiens, assembly GCF_000001405.40. Lineage (NCBI taxonomy): Eukaryota > Metazoa > Chordata > Mammalia > Primates > Hominidae > Homo > Homo sapiens. The sequence goes on along the minus strand of NC_000005.10, from coordinate 79,328,694 downwards.
GATCATTTTGGTCTATAACATGGAATGTTGTTGCCACCTGGACTACTTCATCTCAGAGAACCACTGTATGGCATCTGTATAATGTAATTTTGAATACACATATAATGTCACATGTCCTAGGCATATCAGAAAATAATATGCCTAGGATGGCTAGACTGTAAGTTCCCCTCCCTCCCCTTACTCCTCTCCCATGACTTTAGAGGTGATCTACTTAATGGCATTTATTCGTCTGGCTTATACACTTACACACTGTACAATATCTGCAAAACAATTCACAGTAGGGTGTCTTTTTATTTTTTTTTTATTTTTTGAGATAGAGTCTCGCTCTGTTGCCCAGGCTGGAGTGCAGTGGTGTGATCTCAGCTCACTGCAACCTCTGCCTCCCAGGTTCAAGCAATTCTCCAGCCTCAGCCTCCTGAGTAGCTGGGATTACAGGCACATGCCACCATGCCCGGCTAATTCTTGCATTTTTTAGTAGAGATGGGGTTTCGCCATGTTGGCCAGGCTGGTCTCGAACTGCTGACCTCAAGTGATCGGCTCGCCTTGGCCTCCCAGAGTGCTGGGGTTACAGGTGTGAACCACCGCGCCCAGCCTATACAAAGTTTTAAGAATAACCATATGATTAATTCCTGCTATACTTCCCTTCCATTGAAAAATGTTTACAAACAATATAAGGTTTCTTGTGGAGTTTTCCAATCTCTCACCAGTCTTTCATTACACAAAACATCTGTTGATGCACTTGGGGATGAATAACCTTTCAATTGTTCTTGGTATTAAACAGTTCTGACAGAAATTGGCCAGTATATTTAATTGTTTAAGGCTTTTCCTCAAAACCATATTTTCCTCATAAGCTTGCAATGACTTGGTAAAATCATTATTGCACATTTCAATATAAAGGGCTCCAGATCACCAGAGGAATATGGCAAGACATTTACTGAGGGTGGAAAGAGATCAAACTGGCTGCGGTCACTGGAATGTTCTAGCTCTGAAAGCGTGTAAGTAGAAATTCCTGAGACTAAGGGAAAATTTCAGATACTACAGTTTTCAGGGTATCACTGGAAGTGAGACAAACAACTGCTGAGGCATTGGTGGGGATCTATGTTTCTTTTCTTCTTTTCTTTTCTGTTCTATTTTTGAGATTTTGATCTATTTGATCTGAGTGTGTAACTTTATAAATATTTTTCTGCCTCTCCCCACCCCCATTTAAAAATTTTCCAATTTGGAAGTCAGCACTTCCAAACTTTGTGAATATTTATAAACAATGAGAAAGTTCATTAATAGCACAAAGAAAGTTGCCATCAAAATATGTCACAACAAACAGCGCTCAGGAAGAGGCAGAAATACAGGCATGGATGGTCTCTGGATCCTGTTCTCCATGTTATAACTTTTGTCATAACAGATATACAACTTGCTATGGTCCTCCTATTTGAAATGAAGTGAAAATATGTACCACTGATATTTTAAACAAACAAAATCAGGTTAATTAATTCAAATAAATATCCTTTATTAAAGAAAAAGAGGAATATTGTTAAAAGCACCAAAACTGTAGGTTGTTACATTGCATGTACAACAAGAGAAAGGTGATTGCAATACTTGGTGTACAAGTACTTAACTCTGAAGTCATGAGTGTAAAAAACATGAAATACAAAGCAATACAATTACAATGCAGAAAAGCTGCACTAAAGAGCAAAAGGCAACAGTCAAAACGATTACTGGAGATTTCATGGTATTGCTATAAATGCTTGCTTAGTTTTTCCTCTGTACTTTTAATACTTTAGGATGTTAATTGAACATATTTAAGTATTGTAAATTTGCAAGAGTTGGCATTTACAATACACTGTGCACACTGTCCATTTAATGTAATGGTACTAAAGCCATCCTTACAAGCCAAGCAAAGCACAATGTGCTAGTGTTTTGCTTCTACCTTTTATAATATTGCACAAAGCTAGTAAATGGTGAATGAGTTTTCCATTAAAATTTTCATTTACCCAGAACCGATAAAAATCATGTCAGTCTCCTTAGCCCTAATGGGCAATTAATTATTCATGCAAAATAATCTGCAGCCTTCCATTTTTCATTAACTACATATTATAGTTTGCACACTTGGAAAGACATATAATACAATGAGAAATTCAATGAAACAATGGAGATTCTGTCAAAGTTAAAGAACTCAGAAGTCACTGTATGGGTAGCATCATTTACCCCTCTTGGTTCACAAATGAAGGGAAAATGCCACCTAGTGATTATGCAGACTTTTTAAAACCAATATAATTAGTATTGGGAAAAGCTGGAATAATTTGTTACACCCTTTGATAGCTACCCATAGAACATGCAAGTAAAAAAAAAAAAAATCCCCAAATTTCCCTTGTTAAAACTGAACTCTGTAACCAACATCCATACCTTGTGTTTTCATCTACACATCACTTTTCAAGGTCTTTCCTATCCACCAATTCCCCCAAATTTAGCCACTCTTAGTGTGCCTAATTAAAAACAACAAAAAACACCAGCAAAAAACAAAACTTTCCCCTAACCCGCAAAACAAATGACTGCTTTGAGATTCAGTGTGAAATAACATTCATCAGTTATTTAACAAGTCAACCTCAGAGGTATTTTCTGTACATGCACCTTACAGTGGCATAATGTCTCTGCAGAAGGGAAGAGACAGTATAAATTTGGAATTCAATCAATTAAATCCTACAATTGCGAAGTTGTACATTTACTGTGGGCAAAACGTAGAAAACTTTACAATAAACACATCTTAAGAATAACCCAATGGGGAAACTTTTCATACATTCACACACACAAACGCACACTCTCGCCGAATCTAGACTCCCTCCCGCCTTTCCAAACCCTTTGCTTACATAACATAGTTTAGGCAACAATATAAACTCACTTTGTAGGAAAACTTTTAAATTACACTATATCGGATAAAAAATACCATTGCTTCATTTTACAAAGCAATTAAGCAGTGACCCTTCTTAATGTGCTTTAACTAAAGAGCACTTTGCAGCAAAGTTCAGAAATAACTACTGAATTGTTCAGTAGCACTAAATAGATGCAACATGCTCTAACAGTAAGGTGCTTCCACTTTCTCACCCCTTTTCCATCTGAAATAAATCTTGCTGGTCACTCCTCTAACCATAGCTCTTTTTCTATGCTAAGCAGTAAGTGGGAAATAGAATCTGTTTAAAATGCACACTTAATTTTATGTTATCATTTACATTTAGTGCAATAATTAGGTAAAACTTAAGGTTTCTGCTTTCATTATCAAATGGCTGCATTTTAACAATGTGTCTGCAATGGTTTTGAAATGTCTTACAGCTGTTCATTTTTTACAAGTAACCTGGTAAAGCGTATGAAATTTCAACTCCCTGATAGAGCCCTTAAGGACCCAATAGTACTTTTTACACATTGGTATCTGATGTTAAGTTTGTAATACTTCAATAATAAAGCTGAAAAAAGAAAACCCCAAAAACCTTGTATTTAGCTTTGCCTAGGCTAAAAGCATTGACTTAAATTTATACAAACACTCATGTGACTGTAACTTAAAAATGGTGTCTTAGGGAATGTGTAAAATTAAATTGTATTAATTGTATACTGATCCCATTCCAAACAGAGAGAATGCTGCCCATTAGTTTTTGTTTCACTGATTTAAGAGTTTTAATTCTTAGTGTCTACTATGGCCCAAGTATGCTTTGCAACTTGACACACATTCTGTGATATAAAGTGGCCATGCCATATGTTACCAAATATTACTACATAGTTCAACTTTGTGGAAACAATTTTTTTCCTTATTACATAGAGTAAGTCAAAGTGCTGAAAATTATTTTCTGGTTTTGTGTTATGAGAAAAGCTCTACATTTCTATTCCCACTATTACAGCTGTGTCTAGGAGTCTCCTTTTAAAAAATGCATTACAGAAATATTTCAGTTCCACAATGAAGAATTAAGGAATGATTGTTTTTATGCTGCTCACAAACTCAGTAAGCCTATATAATACAAGCAAAACCATTCTTCATCTTTTAAAAAATCCTCTTTAGCCAGGCATTCCTCATACTGCTGTAATATACACAATGATTTTAAATAATTAAAAATACCTTTCCTACACATGCTACATTGGTTATAATTTTGGTTGCATTAGGAGCCATTTGAAATTGACAGTCAAGTGGGCAGTAACATTAATCTCAAAATGTCCCAAACTCATTTACTTGTTTTACCTATTTTAAATGCATTGCAGTTGAGACTAGATTGGAAATTAACTTCTAAATTGACTCAGCATAAGCAAACAGCGGTTTGTGGATACAGAAATCATATATTAACAGAAATGTGTCCAATATTTTGAAGCACATAAAAAGTACGGGCGAGTTTGGAACTGGAAATGTGAGCATCTACAAGTACCATCATAACTAAATATACACATATTTAGTATCAAGGCCGAAGATCCTGATTTTATTAGAGGCAAGAAGAAAAAAGGACATTTAACCAGGCTTACATAATTTTTGTTGGGTTCTGAAGCTACTTTAAAATTAACAGGTGGGTTCCACTGGTAATGTCATCTTGATGGACAAGTAGACCCTAGTTATTTGAAATTTTATTATTATTTGTGAGTAACTCCAAAGGTTTTTGACCTGCAATCATTTGAAATTTTGTAGAAGTAGGAACCTGCACCTTAAGGCAAGGAAATGGGTGTGTTGGAAAGTTATTTACAAGAGGATGGGCATAGCTGGCTGCCAACAATACTCTGCTTTAACCTCCTTCTTTTCCAAGTGTGAGGTGACTCTCATGGAGAACTGTAACAGGATGGGTTGAGAGACTTGTAGATGTATCCATGAGGCTGAGTGGAGTTCTACACACCCTCCACCCTCCACTCTTTGCTAGAGACTTATGATTACAGCACACTCTGGAAGACAGACCACAGGACATATGTATAAAATGAGCCTATTTTATAATGAAATCCCAAAAGTAAAAGAGTAGCAAATTCCCTCTCAAGATATGAATGTTCCAGGGTTTCTGGTTAATTTAACATTAGATCCGTCCGTATTTTTCTGAATTTGAATAAATGAAAAAAAGTGAACCAGCACCCAAAGAACTGGATATATGAAATGTTGACACATGGGTACGTAAAAACTGGATAGCATAAAATTGATACATGATTTTGTAAAGGTTTGCAAATTTGCTTTAACTTTTTCAAATATATTCATATAACCAATCACTCTTTGGGTTAAGAAATACGCTTTAATATTTTACCAAGGGCAAATAGGACACTATCACCACCCCCATGCTGTTGAAGCTTCCATATTACATCTGTATTTCTAATCTTCCCAGATAAGATGTGGGAATAGTGTGGGAACTAAAACCAATGTATTATGAAGATGCTGCAGAGAAGCTCCTAGTCTCATCAATAAACGTATTACTAACATTTAAATAAATAAAAGATTTTGTCAGGCTGGGCACAGAGGCTCACGCCTATAATCCTAGCACTTTAGCAGGCCGAGGCTGGCAGATTGCTTGAGTCCAGGAGTTCAAGACCAGCGTGGGCAACATGGCAAAACCCTGTCTCTATAAAAAATATAAAAATTAGCTGGGGCATGGTGGCATGTGCCTGTTTTGTTTTGAAATAATAAAAAAAGTTGTTGTCTTACATAACCTGTTGCCAGAAAATTTTCTCCCTAATTATTTTCAAGAAAACACTTTAAAATAACAAAGGTGTGAGCATTTCTTTTTTTCTCTAGGAATACCAATTCATATACACTGGGCTTTTGCTCCAGTACTGCTTTCTGGGTTTAGGCCAGATAATTGTCTTAAAAGAAATAAAGTGATTTTTGGTATTTTAGTTCTTAACTCCCTCCACAGAAAGGCCAAGATCTGTCTTATGCAGAATTATATGTACAGGGTACTGCACACTGAGTCCAATGATCTACATGTATTCAAGCCCACAACAATCCTGCTGAAAATCTGGAACATATAAATGTGTCCTTCAGGACTCCATCACAGCCAAAATCAGCACCTAAAGCTGTGTATAAGTTTAAAATTTTAGTGACTATAACAAAGGCATTCTCCCAAAATTCCATTCAGTGCATGTGAAGATGGTGAAATGCCAGCCACGGAGACTTGTCTCTACTTTCTATCTTTGTAGAGCACATGCTTTTCACTGTGGAGCATAAAAATAAAAACTTAAAATGGTAATTTGTGAAAAGAGTTAAGATCTGCATCCCTATGATTGAATCTTGATTTTTGATTCTCAATAGGAAAGTCATGTCAGTCATAGCAATCAAGCAATAATTCAAACAAAATAAAAATAATTTGAAATATTATCAAAGTACTGCCTTCCATAAACAAGGATGCACATAAAATTCAAACTATTATAAATTCAAGAAATATGAAGAGTGATTTAAAAGCACGGAAACTTCAAAACCTTACAAAGTATAAGACTCCTAAAAATATGCCATGTTAAATGTATCATGTTGTGAACATATTAATAGATGTATCTCCATAAATGCAGCTTTTCAGATGTTGCTGAACATCTTTATGAAAAATCCTTTGGAAATGAGTAATGCGGACATTTTAGGTGTATTTCCATTTGATTTTAATGCCTGACTTACAGCTATCATGATGATAAACTTTCTCAGAGTGTCACAGTATTTAATATAAGCTGATATGGAAGAAGCTATTTTTTCAGATGACTTTTCAGTGCATTGAAAGATGGTTCTCAAAGCAGTCCCAATACAGCTCACAGTAGATCTCTGTCAACCCAGTGTTCTTCCAACTTACAGCAAGCCCTAGCTTAACTGGCCATTACAAGGATGTAAATATGTGGATGGAAGGAGAATGTGCTTAAAAAACAGAAATCTCCAGAAGGCCTTTTCTTCATTGCAGTCAGGAACATTGCACATGTAAAATTCATGTTAACCATCATCTATTGGAACGACTGGAAAGTGATAACCTGCCAATTGTGCTTCCTTTCTTCACACCACTGAACCAATGAACTTTGGATCTAATGTTATCCAACTGAGGAACCAAGTGCTTAAACTGTCATTTTCCAAAAGAATCAGAACCAATCTTGAATGATATTTTTCTTCTGTTATGTCACCTGTTTACAAACAAAATAATACAGACCATTAAAAAAAAGACCCTTTAAAGATACAGTGTATTTACGTTCCCTCAAAAAGTGTAAAAAAGACATTTTTTACAAAAGGCCATGACTGTATTCTTAAAGCAGTAAAAATGAAAACAAAATAATCTAAATACAGATTTTGATCACTTTTAAAAGACTATTAGATTTTCATTTTTATTATTTTTACTCTAACACTGTATGAAAACTATATACTAAAAAGGTAAATTCAGTCTAAACTATTTGCCCCATAAACTGCTACTAGAGTAAGAACAACTAAATGGTGTCTTCAAAATGCAGTAGAAACTGTTTTTGTTAGACTAACATTTAGAGGACAGGATTAATACCAATCTTTAAATGGATACTTCACCCGGGCATTTTATTGAAAAGTGTTGTGCTTAAGATCTATGGGGCGTACCCAAAGCACAGGAGCATTTATATAAAAGACATACTCTTCAGATAAAAGCTGACAGGAACATGAATAAAGTACCAACTTAATACAGTTCTGCATTTTCTAATACTGTAGCTACATGTGGCTAATGAGCACTTGATATGTGTCTAGTGTGACTGATCTAGTTTGATTTAAATCCAGTTTGATTTAAAAATCTAAAACAGTAAGTACTATTTTTCCATTAAATACAATTTTGCTGTTTTGGTAGGACATTTCTCATTAAGTATCAGATCCTTAGCATTCAAACTGAGATGTGCTACTAGTATATATAAAACATACACTGAATTTTGAAGACTTAGTGTGAAAAAAAGAAATAGAAAGCAATGTCCTTAGTTTTTAATGTTGATTATGTGTTGAAGGATACTACTTTGGCTACATTGTGTCAAATAAAATATTACAAACATCAGTTTCACATGTTCCTTTTCATTTTTGATGTGACTATTGGACATTTTAAAATTACATGTCTCAAACTATATTTCCTTTGAACTACATTGCTATAGTTACTTTAGAAGACTCCTACAGGGGCCTAGCACAGTGGCTCACGCCTGTAATCCCAGCACTTTGGGAGGCTGAGGAGGGTGGATCAGTTGAGGTCAGGAGTTCGAGACCAGTCTGGCCAACATGGTGAAACCCCTCTCTACTAAAACTTCAAAAAAATTAGCTGGGCATGGTGGTGCGCCTGTAATCCCAGATTGAACCCGGGAGATGGAGATTGCAGCGAGCCAAATACGGCGCCACTGCACTCCAGCCTGGCTGACACAGTGAGACTCCATCTCAAAAAAAAAAAAAAGACTCTCACAGGAAACAAACTAGAAGCTTATTTATTTATTGAGACAGATTTCCTCCTGCCTCAGCCTCCCAAGTAGCTGGGACTACAGGTGTGAGCCACCACGCCCAGCTACTTTTTGTATTTTTAGTGGAGATGTGTTTCGTCATGTTGCCCAGGCTAGTCTTGAATTCCTGGGCTCAAGTGATCCACCCACCCCCAGCCTCCTGAAGTACTGCAGAATTACAGGCCTGAAACTTAAAGTTCACACTCAGCCTGAAACTTATTTTAAACCTCTATGTAATTACATACATTTTAAGAAATTTCCTTGAGCATGACTATGGCTATCTCTGGAAAGAGAAGAGTTTCAGAGGGGAACGAACAAGGCAGAACAAGGGACCTTCATTACCTACTTTATGAATATTCAAGAAATTAGCTCTTAAAAGTATATAAGTACATTAATGACAAAATCTATAATCAAGAAATCTGGCCAGGCACAGTGGCTCACACCTGTAATCCCAGCACTTAGGGAGGCAGAAGCAGGTGGATCACCTGAGATCAGGAGTTTGAGACCAGCCTGGCCAACATGGTGAAACCCCATCTCTACAAAAATACAAAAATTAGCTGGGAGTGGTAACACACGCCTATAATCCCAGCTACTCCGGAGGCTGAGGCAGGAGAATCTCTTGAATCACGAGGCACAGGTTGCAGTGAGTCAAGATCACACCACTGCACTCCAGCTTGGGCAACAAGAGTGAAACTCAGTCTTGAAGAAAAGAAAAAAAGAGAGAGAGAAAAAAAAAAGGAATCTAATAAATTAATGGGAAATACAAATTGCGGTAAAGCCTTCTTAGCCATTTGTAGATAAAAAGTTCACAGCCTTTTAGTCTCCATGATCACAAAGTAGTGATACACAGCTACTTCATCACTGCCTAATCAGTCCATACTAGTCTATGGTTTGCTTCTGGGTTAGCACACATTTAGTAAAGGGAGACTGCAAACTTCCAAGCTCATATATTTTCTAAGTGTTTCACTGTTTCTCTCTCAACATTGTACCACATATTCCAGCCATCAGCCGTCTCCCACACCCCCGAAAAAAGTTTTAAGCAATTTTCAAAGTGTATACACCATGCACCATGTTAACATCTGATACTAAGGCTAAATTAGTAGCCAGAAGCTATGAGTAACATCCCAGCCACTTGAGTATACAAAATGCTGATGCAATGTCTAGGGTTAGGCAGGATATGGTGGGATGGGAGGAGACAGACAAGGATAGGCTGACTTGAGCAGCTGCTGGTGTGCTGTGAATGGGCCACTGTGGACCATCTGTAATGAAAGAGCTAAACACACATTTATGTGAAGGTCCAGCTGTGGAATTAGTCAGTGCAAAGATGGTAGTTTTAGGCACAAGCTTAAGCAGCTTCCTGAGAAGCTACAGCAGAAGGAAACAACACATGGTAGTAAGAACTGTAAAGTGGGAGACAACCTACAAATATCCACTATGGAAAAGATTCCCAGTTAGACATACCTGAGAGTCTAGACATTCACAAACTGATATGCATCCCTCTCTCTCTCTCTCTCTCTCTCTCTCTCTCTCTCTCTCTCTATATATATATATATATATATTCCTTTACAAAGCATAGTGGACATATGTACAAGCAAAAATAACTCGAAGTTACTTTGGGATCCAAAAACATAAGTCATACAAAGTGACTGTTACATGTAACTGTATACATAATAGGAAAAAAAGCAGGATAATGCTACTACTGAATGTTGGCTGAATCATGGTGAATGTAATATTACCCTTTTTAAGTTATTGATTGATGCAGATGCTGGTGGAGAGGTACTACAGGAATATTTACCTAATGAACCCATACCCAAAGGAACAGGTGAAACTGCTTTCAGTAATATTTTACCTAATGTAACTAATAGAATCTTTCAATATGTAATCAGTTGTTTAAAAACTGACATACATTACATTTTTATATTATGTCTTCAAAATCTAGATGTGTACTTGCATATACATTAGATCTACTCAGAATTCTTTTTTTTGGGCCAGGCATGGTGGCTCACACCTGTAATCCCAGCACTTTGGGAGGCTGAGGTGGGTAGATCATTTGAGGTCAGGAGTTCGAGACCAGCCTGGCCAAGATGGTGAAACCCTATCTCTACTAAAAATACAAAAAAAAAAAAGAAAAAAGAGCCGGGCATCATGGCAGTCGCCTGTAATCCCAGCTACTCAGGAGGCTGAGGCACGAGATTCACTTGAACCCACGAGGTGGAGCTTGCAGCGAGCCGAGATCATGTCACTGCACTCCACCCTGGGTGAGAGAGTGAAACCCTGTCAAAAAAAGATTTTTTTTCTTTGTTGTTCTACTCAGAATTCTTAAGTCAAGGACAGAATGTCCATTTTTAATAAGCTCCCCAAGTTAATTCTTATGATCAAACATGTTTTAAGAATTATTATGCTAATCGGGGCAACCATAAGGAGACCCTGTCTCTACAAAGAAATTAAAAAATTAGCCCGGCATGGTGGCATGTGTCTGGAGTCCCAGCTACTTGGGATGCTTGATCCCAGAAGGTTGAGGCTGCAGTGAGCCATGAACGTGCCACTGCACTCCAGCCTGAGCAACAGAGGGAGACTCTGTCTCTAAAATAAAAAAAGAAATTCAACAAAAATAATTCACAGGGCTAACACATGAATTAATTATTCCTTTACTTATTCCCTTCTAGGACTCAAGTCTTCCCTACTTTGGTGAATGTTTGAAGCCTAGAGAAACATATTCCATCAAGAAAGAATAATAATTAATAGAACATGTTTGTATACTCTATAAATTTTATACAAATTACAACATTTCAGTTACCATCATTATAAATTTGATATACTGTTTAATTTATACCATGTTATCTTTAATGTTTCTATATATTTGGTGTAATCTGTGCCATATTACTCTATAATTAGTATATTAAAATGTAGTAGACTATAGCTCTCTATTATATTAGGAGAATGCTACATGTGTAACCAAAGAGAATCTTAATATGTATAGGAGTATTCATTAGATATGTAGATAATTTTTATATATTAATGATACCTGCAAATTTGTCTAGATAATACAGTAACTGTGACAATAAGTAGTTTTTTTTAAGGGTTTAGAAAGTTAAATAATCAGACAATGCAACAATTTTTCCAGAATGATCTTAGAAAACTCCTTTGAGGTCAGCTAACATGACATCAAAATTCAGTGTGCATAACAGTTTGTTACTGAAATACTTTGTCAGAAAAGGCTTTGCATTAAAAAAAAAATTGACGTATTGATTTCTTTTTACAGACGGGGTATTGCTATATTGCCCAGGCCGGATTTGAACGCCTGGGCTCAAGAGATCCTCATGCCTCAACCTCTGAGTAACTGGGACTACAGAAGCGAACCACTGAACCTGGAAAGCCTTTTTTTTTTTTTTTTTTTTTTTTAAGACTGAGTCTCACTCTGTTGCCCAGGGCAGTGGCACGATCTCAGCTCACTGCAACCTCCGCCTCCTGGGTTCAAGTGATTCTCTTGCCTCAGCCTCTCGAGTAGCTGGGATTACAGATGCCCGCCACCACGCCCGGCTAATTTTTATATTTTTAGTAGAGAAGAGGTTTCACCATGTTGGCCAGGCTAGTCTTGAACTCCTGACCTCAAGTGATCTGCCTGCTTCAGCCTCCCAAAGTGCTAGAACTACAGGTGTGAGCCACTGTGCCAGGCCCTTTTCTGTTTTTTTAGGGCAAGAATGAGACTGTCACTTTACTTGCAATTACAGCTGTATAGCAGAAATTTTTAATGAGGAGGACATTTTTAAAAATAGTATTTACATAGCAATAATCATTAAAAAGTTATCTTAAGTTTCTAGAAACTACAGAATTAAGTAAAACCTGAAGTTCATAAATTTGTGATCCATGCTAAAATTGGGTTATAAAACAAACGATATGCCTCAGGCTCAATAAAAAATACCCCAAACCTCATCATCCGATATAAAACCTGTATTACTGAATGCTACTAAAGACAATAAGGCCGTTTACTTGTTAGTTCTCCCAGTCTGTGCAAGGTAAAGCCTCCTCTTCGTCCTCTGACTCTGGGGATGCTTCTTTAATTCTTCTAAGAGCTTCATGGATGCTCCGTGTTAGAGGGTCTGTATCGGGTAGAAGTGTGAAGGATTCTCTCAAAACATCCTTCTGTACCTTCTTCAATTTTACCCCTTTCCTTATTTGTGCCAAGATATTATTACTATCATCTTCATCAGGAAAAGGAGGCAGAGTTCGCTGTTCAACCTTTTTCAGATGAAAACTACCACGCTTCAAGGAGGCTAGCACCTCATCCATGGGTGAGCTCACTTTGGAAAATGAAACAGAACAGTATTACAGTTAGGACTGCACTTAATTAGAATGAAACTGTATAACCTCTACCGTTCGCAACTGTGAAAGCACAGGACGCTGAAACACCATCTTCAAAATGGATCATGAAATGTGTGCAGAAGGTGATCAGAACACAAGGGATCCTAATTATCCTTCTTTTTAGAAAATCCCAAGACCCAATCCATGGTGGGTACTGTTGGTATTCCTATCATTTCCTACATGAGAGAAGTGACCAGATTGGGAACTGGGAGGTGGTCTTAGTAGTATTATGGGTGTGATTCCCAAAGGATTTCCATATTGCAGTTGCTCCACCCAAATTCAGAGTGATGGGGTTACACATTTTGTTTTTAAAAATTAATTTTTGTTTATTATGGAGACTGTGCTTTTTTCATTTAGTTGTTTTACATGTGAAATCCTACTCAGATTACATCAAGAAATGTTTTATAGAATGGTCCTTCAGGTTAAAATGTAATATACAAGTAATATGTAACATTTATATAATGTTCTCCCCATGCAAAATGCAAATTCCTTAAAGGCAAAAGGCAAGGGTTATTCTCTGCTCTTTTTAGAAATAATTTTATTTGTGCTTGAATCTCTCTTAACAAAAAAAATTAGAAAAAAAAATAGTAACCTTATTGAGGCACATCTGTCACATTGTAAGTTGAACAGATTACTCCCTGTTCTTCTTTGCTTCTTTATACAAATACACAAAAGTCCTCAACAAATGTATGAACAAATGTTACATGATCCTGCCAATGTCTTCCCTGTGGTGACAGTCCTTACCAGATATCTTACCCTTTCTGATATGAGTATTTTTTTAAAAATCTCAGGTTTAAAATCAAAACTTTTTCCCTAACACAAAAGGAGCCACCCATTATACATTACCAAACATGAATGTATCACTTTAGAAGATCTGTTTTTAAAACATGCCTAACAGCCCAAGAAGGCATACATTTCTGTGTACTTTATGCACTAAGAATTCTCCTCTAGTGTGACTTTGAAAACCTGTTTACTATCAAATAATGTCAAAAATAAAGTGTTTTAAGCTTTGCAACGTCAAAAAATATAGTTTTTTACTATGCCTGATGTCATACAACAGATGGACCATGAAAATATGTTGACGTACCTCTCCTCCTCTGCAAACCTTCAGCAGTCTTTCTGAGCTTCTTCCGTGCACTGACCAGCTGGCTGCTGTCAAAGAGGTGTGCTGAGGGGGCACTGGCTGACTTTGGGATCCTCTTCTCATTCCCCTCCTTTCTAGGCAGATCTTTCTCCAGTGTCTCTGGGCCACTGTCCTTAGCAACAGGCAGAGGTGGTGGTGGTGGGGGAGGGGGAGGAGGTGGGGGAGGTGGTGGTGTTGGAGGAAGAGGGGATGGGAGTGGATTTATGGTAACAGAACATGGTTCGAGGTTGTTATTCAAAAGTGGAAGAGATATAGTGGGAGGCAGTTCAGAGGTAACACCACTGAGAGGTAATGAGGTGGCTTCAAGTTGTGTTAATGAAGTATCTTCAAGTTGCACAAGGCTCTGGGGTTCTGTTGTCTGTGATGGCCCACGCTTGACTCTTCCTTCTCCCACCTCTTCAGTTTTCTCTTCTACCTGTAACACACTTGGTAAAGAGTCACAATGATCCTCTTGGAGAACAGGACTTGCTGCACCTTTTCTTCTTGCATGAGCTAGTCGTAATCTGGTTGATTTAAGTATGACTTGCCCAGGATACCTCTAAAATACCAGAAGTTATTGGAACTGGTTAAATGTTATTGAAACAATTTATGAGCACATGCCTATTTATTTTCTCCTTCAAATAAAAGATGTTATGTGGCCGGGTGTGGTGGCTCACGCCTGTAATCCCAGCACTTTGGGAGGCCGAGGCGGGTGGATCACCTGAGATCAGGAGTTTGAGACCAGCCTGGCCGACATGGTGAAACCCCGTCACTACTAAAAATACAAAAATTAGCTGGGTGTGGTGGCAGGCACCTGTAGTCCCAGCTACTCAGGAGGCTGAGGCAGGAGAATTGCTTGAACCCGGGAGGCGGAAGTTGCAGTGAGCCGAGATTGTGCCACCGCACTCCAGCCTGAGTGACAGAGTGAGATTCCATCTCAAAAATGTTATGTTGGCTTATTGGTTATTTCACCCTTAAAGTTATACAGAAAATCCGAAAGTACCTAATAATAGCTTACAAACAATTATGAATTTATTATTTGCCTATCAAATCCACGATTGATAATTCAAATATTCAAAATTATGATTAAAAAAAGATTTTTAGTGAATAAAACTACTAAATGTATAAAACAAATAGCATGTAAAATGCAAAACATAAGTGATGTCAAATGTATAAATGCTACTGGTATGCAAAAAGTTTCCTATGTTTTCAAATGCACACACGAGAAAATTAAAATATTCTTTAACAGGTTACTTGGCATTTTTAAAAAGCTCCATCAACTATATATCCATTTTATGACAGAATGAAGAGAGAAATACATTTTTTTCAGTACTTACTGGTAGAACTCTTATATATATTTTACCATGGTAAGACCTTTTGTTTGTTTGTTTGTTTTTGAGACAGGGTCTCACTCTGTTGCCCAGACTGGAGTGCAGTGGTATGATCACAGCTCACTGCAGCCATGACCTCCCTGGCTCAGGTAATCCTCCCACTTCAGCCACCCAAATGGCCGGAACCACAGGCATGTTCCACCATGCCAGGCTAATTTGTATAGAGACAGGGTTTCGCCATGTTACCCAGGCTGGTCTTGAACTCCCCGGCTCAAGCAATCCACCTGCCTCAGCCTCATAAAGTGCTGGGATTACAGGCGTGAGCCACATTTACTTAATAACAAGGCTTTTCCCCTGCCTCACCTCCTTTTTTTCCACTGTAACACTTGTTCAAAAGCCTACTTCACCTACAAAGTGATCCTTCAGCATGCATAACTGAAGTAAGGCTCCAGAGTACTTTAAAAATGAGAACTGTGAGGCTTCAGCACAGTTCTGAGGAGATGTGTGGATACTGTGGTATCAGTGTGTGGTCATGGCTTACCCTGGCAAGAGAACTGCTGAAGCATTTCTCAAATATGCTGCTCCCCTCCACCTCTAATTCTGCCAATGGTCATTTGATGTATTACCACCACAGGCTGATGTATGTGGAATAAATAACATGCTGATGCTTGAGCTGGATAGTCAGTTGTGATTTAACTAATTTTTTAAACTCAAGAGGAATCTAGGTTTCCCAGAGGCCCTTATCATTCCTCTTATACTACTGAAGCTGTGGGTCAAAGGTCACAAGAATACTAAATTCGGAAAACCACCAGAGGAAATGGAGCCATGCCATTAAAACAATTTTAAAAAGGACTTCCATGGTTATAATAGTTTATAAATAAGGGAAAACCAAGTTTTTCCCACAAAGAAATCCTACAGGTGTATATGTAGCTCTGTTAAAAAAAAAAAAAAAAGAAAAACAATAAATGGACCATTACTTTTAATACCTGTTTAAATGTTCGAAGTCTATCCAGTGTTCTCTGTCTCTCTTGGCTAACCCAGGCACTTTTTCTTTCTTCTTCATCATGTAATTTTTCTCTCTTCTGGTAAAAAATTAATAATAATTCCATTATGCTGTGTCCCAATTTTTATCATTAATAGGAAAAAAGATGAGAAGTTATCCTAATGTGGGCCAAAGGGGATGATTCACTGAACAAAATTTTTTTTTGTTCATGAAACATGAAATATTTTTAATACTTCATGAAACATGAAATATGAAAGCATGAAACATGAAATATTTTTAATACACAGTTTTAGTGTAAAATACTTCTAGCTGCTATATTATGCTAACTTAAATGTAGATGACTTTAAAAAATAAAATCAGCAACCAGCCAGACACGGTGGCTCACACCTATAATCCTAGCACTTTGGGAGGCTGAGGCGGGTGGATCACCTCAGGTCAGGGGTTCGAGACCAGCCAGGCCAACATGGTGAAACCCTATCTCTACCCAAAATACAAAAATTAGCCGGTCGTGGTGATGCATGCCTGTAATCCCAGCTACTTGGGAGGCTGAGGCAGGAGAATCGCTTGAACCTGGGAGGCAGAGGTTGCAGTGAGCCGAGATAGTGCCACTGTACTCCAGCCTGGGCAACAGAGTGGGACTCTGTCTCAAAAAAACAAACGAACAAAAGCAATCAAATCAACAACCAATATAACCAGCAGTTAGAAAAATATTTTTCAAGCATTATCCATGAATCATCTGGTTTAGTATCACAGCTTATTTTTGGCAGTTATCTAAACAAACTTTTAATTTTCCCTATAGAGTTGAATCATCTAAAAGCTATATAATAAAATCTCATTTGGTAAAATTAATTTTAGTTAAATAAATGAAAAGGCTTTCTATATAGGTAAATGGGTTGTCTATTTTCTTGCTTTGTTTTAAAAAATTAGAGATACCTCCCAGAAGACCAGACCAGATAATTTCAAATGGAAATTAACTACCCTCTCTTCCATTGTTCTCCTGTCCTTTTCAGATCCAACCCCCCATTCTATTCTTCTATCATTTCTCTCCTCTTCCCCACCAGCTTTCCCTAAACAATATAATTTCTAATGAGAATTACTGTTGCATTTGCATTGGGTGATTGTATCATAAACTCTAACAAGAAAGTATGAGCAGGGACGTAAGGGTGGCAGGGAGACAACAGGAAACTGGAAAATAAAGCCAAGTGTGGTGGCTCATGCCTATAATCCCTGCACTTTGGGAGGCTGAGGCAGGAGGATTGCTTGAGGCCAGGAGTTGAAGACCAGCCTGAGCAACACAGTGAGACCCTATCTCTACCAAAAAAAAAAAAAAAAAGAAGGTGTGGTAGGCTAATTTTCTGAATAAAATGCAATCTAGTAATATACTACTAATTTACACAAAAGGACACAAAGATACACCACACATGAACACAATTCAAAAGGGCTCTTAGAGCCTGAAATAAGTTAGCATGTGCCCAAGACAAGCATACGCCACCATGCCCAGCTATTTTAAAAATTTTTTATAGAGACAGGGTCAGCCTGGTCTCGAACTCCTGGGCCCAAGTGATCCTCCTGCTTCGGCCTCCCAAAGGCTAGGATTACAGACAGGAGCCACCATGTATGTTTTCTTGAAGTGAAAGCCTGGAGTTTTGAGTGTACTTACAAAAAATAAGAGTTCATTCTTTAATGGGGAAAACAGAATTCTCTTATCCAATTTGAGCTAATAACAATTTAAAATAGTAGTATTAATAAGTAATCCTCATATTTTGTTTTAGAGAGTTTACTATCAAATATTAAAATAAACTTCCTTAGTCTTGCATATTTAATTCACAAGGATGTCCAGGGGAAACTGTTGCAATAATAAGGTTAACATCTAAGAATCTGTATTTTAAACAATCCACCACATAAGAGGTTCTGACACTGGTGGTTTAAAACTAGCATTGAAAAACAATGATCTATTTTGATCTAAGCTAACTTTCATTATGCTTTATCTGTATGTGTTAAAGATGACTAGTTATTTAATGGATTCATTCTCTGACAATTATATATTCCAACCAAGATATTAGGCAAAATTCTAAGGCAGATGACATTTATCTTTGGGATTACCTTAAGAATCAATTTCTTGGCCAGGAGTGGTGGCTCACACCTGTAATCCCAGCACTTTGGGAAGGCGAGGCGGGCAGATAACTCAAGGGCAGCAGTTTGAGACCACCCTGGCCAACATGGTGAAACCCCATCTACTAAAAATACAAAAATTAGCCAGGTGTGGTGGCATGTGCCTGTAATCCCAGCTACATGGGAGGCTGAGGCAGGAGAATGGCTCAAAGCCAGGAGGTAGAGGTTGCAGTGAGCAGAGATGGCACCACTGCACTTCAGCCTGGGTAGAGTAAGACTCCATCTCAAAAAAAAAAAAAAAAAAAAAAAAAAGGAAAAGAAAGATAATCGATTTACTAATTTTTACTCCTGTTGCCCCCAAAAAATAGATCTGGGAAAAAGATCTGATACTCATTCATTCTAAAAAGTTAATTAGTTCTTCCCCTCCACCAAAATCTTATGTTTTATAAAAAGAAATATATTGGAAGTGTGGAACCTTCATAAGTAAACTGATAATGCAAGTACAAATGGTTATAGCAGGGAGCAACTTACCTCACTGTCATGCTGGTCCCCTGACTAATCTTATAAAGCAGTTTCTGACCCACAGAAACAGTAATGAAAAATAAAAGTACATTAATTAATCTATTTCTAGATTCTAGGAGAAAGGTAATCTTATAGTTTATGGGTAGTTTGGCTAATTTTATGTGGTTAAAATGAAGAGTAAGGGGCAGCATTAGCTAAGAATGTGCCTTAAGGAGTAATGGAGACAAATTTAAGCCCTTTGGCCTTTAGTATGATGCTAAAGACAGAAAATTTTAGAAATATCCAAATACAGAGATATGGTCATGTTGGCATTTCTGATATTTAAGTACAAATTACTGGTGTTAACTAATTTAAGACACATCTGTAAAGATGACTGTCAGGATAATATATATTGTGTGGGATGCGGCACAGCAATATGGGAGTAGGAGAAGGTTTCTAATGTAACTTTATATAAAGTGAACTAATATTCTCAGCAACCTAGGAATAGAGGGGGAACTTCCTAATATTCTTAGCAAACTAGGAATAGAGGGGGAACTTCCTCTACTTGATAAAGAACATCTATCCCAAAACCTACAGGTAACATCACACTTACTGGTGAGAAACTAGAGCTTTCTTGCTAAGATCAGGAACAAGACAAAGATGTCCCCCTTACCACTCCTTTCACCATTATACTGAAGTGCTAGCTAATGCAATAAGAAAGAGAAATAAAAGCTATACAGAAATAAAACTGTCTGAAGACAGATGTAGAAAATCTGAAAGAAAACTGACAAAAAAAATCTAGATTATAGATTATTAAGAAAAAGCTTAATTAACAAAAGTCAATTGTTTTGTAATACACCAGCAATGAACAACTGGAGTTTTCAATTAAAAACATAATACTATTTATATTACCACCTCCCTGACAAAGAAGAGGAAGAAAGACTTAGGTATCTTAGGTATAAATCTTACAAAAGGTGTACAAGATCTTTATGAGGAAAATTATAAAACTCTGATGAAAGAATCAAAGAATTAAATAGATGAAAAATATTCTTTGTTCATGGATAGGAATATTCAATGTTAAGATGTTAGGTGTAGGAGAAGGCGGTAGAGGCTAAAATAAACATAATAATTAAAAAGCAAAAAAACTAAAAGAAGAAGTATTTTAAAATGAAAAAAACAAAAAAGATATTAGGTCATCCCTACTTGACTTATAAATTCAACACTGTCCCAATCAAAATCCCAGCAATTTTTTTGTGGCTACTGACAAGCTGATTCTAAAGCTTATATGGAGAGGCAAAAGACCTAGATGAACAAAACAAAATAGGACACCCAAAAATAGACTGAAGAGACAGAATCATCTGATCTTTGACAAAGGAACAAGACAATTCAATGGAGAAAGGACAGTCTTTTAAACAAATGGTGCTGGAACAACAGGAAGTCCACAAGCCTAAACTAGACACAAACCTTATACCCTTCACAAAAATTACCTCAAAATGGATCACAGACTTAAATATAAAACACAAAACTATAAAACTCCTAAAAGATAACATAGGAGCAAATCTAGCTGATTTGGGGACTGGCAATGACTTTTTAGATGCAACACCAAAGGAATGAACCATGATAGAAAGTGCTGGTAAATTGGACTTTGTTAAAACACTTCTGTTCTGCAACAGACACTGTCAAAAGAATGAGAAAACAAGCCACAGATCATGAGAAAATATTTGCAAAACAAAGGGACATATCTGATAAAGGAGTGTAAGCCAAAATATATGAAGAACTCCTAAAACTCAACAATAAGAAAATAAAAATCCAATTTAAAAAATGAGCAAAAAGGCTAGGCACGGTGGCTCATGCCTGTAATCCCAGCACATTTGGAGGCCAAGGAGGGCAGATCACTTGAGGTCAGGAGTTCAAGACCAGCCTGGCCAACATGGTGAAACCCCATCTCTACTAAAAACAAAAATTAGCTGGGCGTGGTGATGCATGTCTGTAGTCCCAGCTACTCAGGAGGCTGAGACAGGAGAATTGCTTGAACCCAGGAGATGGACGTTGCAGTGAGCCGAGATCGCGCCACTGCACTCCAGCCTTGGTGACAGAATAAGACTCCAAAAAACAAAAGAGCAAAAGATCTGAACAGACACCTTACTAGAGATATATAGAGGGGCAAGTAGGCATTTGGACAGATGCGCTCTTTCGCTCTCTGTATATGTATCTATTTATCTATATATCTGCATTAAAGATTTGCAAATTAAAACAACAGTAAAAGCCAGGCACAGGAGTCCATACCTGTAGTCCCAGGAGGTTAAAGCAGGAGGACTGCTTGAGCCCAGGAGTTTGCGGCTAACCTGGGCAACCTATCAAGACTCCATCTCTTAAACACACACACGCACCCACACACACCAAAAGATACCACTATACACCTGTCAGAATGGCTAAAATTCAAAAACGTAACAACAGCAAAATGCTATAGAGGATGTGGAAAAACCTGAACTCTCACTCATTGCTGGTGGGAGTTCAAAATGGAACAGCCACTATGGAAGACAGTTTTGCAGTTTCTCACAAAACTAAATACACTCTTACCATACTCTCCAGCATTCATGCTCCTTGTTATTTACCCAAATTGGCTGAAATTTATGTGCACAAAAAGCCCTCCATGGGTGTTTATAGCAGCTTTACTAATTGCTGCCAAAGCTTAGAAGCAACCAAGATGTCCTTCAATAGGCACATGGATAAACAAACTGAGACATCCACACAATGGAACATTATTTGGTGTTAAAATGAGCTATCAAGCCATGAAGACATGGAGCAACCTTAAATGCACGTTACTATGTTAAAGAGGCCAACTGAATAGGTTACATACTGTATCATTCCAACTATACATTGGTAAAGGCAAAACTATGAAGACTATAAAAAGATCAGTGTTTGCTAGGGGCTTGGGGAGAGAGAGGGATGAGTAGCGGAACAAAGGGATTTTTGGAGCAGTGAAATTATTCCATATGATACTATAATAGCAGATTCATGTCATTATACACTGTCAAAACCAACAGAACACAAAACACCAAGAAAGAACCCTAACATAAGCAACAGATTTTGGGGAATGGTGATGTTCAATGTTTCACTGATTTTA
Source organism: Homo sapiens (assembly GCF_000001405.40). Taxonomy (NCBI): domain Eukaryota; kingdom Metazoa; phylum Chordata; class Mammalia; order Primates; family Hominidae; genus Homo; species Homo sapiens. Next base: position 79,306,741 of record NC_000005.10, on the reverse strand, counting down.
ACAAATATTCCACTCTGGGGGATGTTGACAGTGGAAAGGCTATCAAGTGTGGGGACAGGAGTATAGGAGATGTTGACGGTAGGGGAGGCTACGTGTGCGGGTTGAGGGTATAGGAACTCTGTATTCTCCAATCAATTTTGCCTAAAAACTGCTCATTATATAAACTGAACTAATGTTAACATGCAGTTATAAGTTTTTTTATCATTCTCTACAGATTTTATCCACTCTAAAACATGCAAAAAAATTAAGTTTTGTTCAAAATCTTCGAATCCAAACTTACTAGTTGTACTGTGTGATGGGTTCTATATTCATCTTCAATCCGAGTGCGCTGTTGGATTTTTTCATTGTGTTTTGCAATACATATTTCCTGTAAATACATAAAATGTGTTTTAATACAAGTGAAACTTGAAAGACTCTGAACACCACACCAAGGTTAAATTTTGATCTTAATATATACCACCTACAGAACAAAGTATCACATTGACCACCTCTTGTTTCTTATTTGGACAACTGAAGCTGTAAAAGCCAAGTAATCAGGATCTTACGAAAAGACTCCTCTATGAAACTATTAACTTCTATAGACCTCCTGGTTTCTCTTTTTTGAAGGAGGAGGGATGGGGCAAGGTGGACTGAAGGGGGTTGTCCTGAAAGGTCTCTTTCAGATCTGAAGTCTGCATCCAGAAGATTCCACATCTCATTATACTTTTTTCTGAGAGATGGGGGTCTCACTATGTTGCCCAGACTGGTCTTGAACTCCTGGCCTCAAGTAATCCCCCTGGCTCAGCCTCCTGAGTTACTGGGATTACAGGCATGAGTCATGGCACCTGGCTTCATTATGCTCTTTAAACATGTCTGGGCAAAAAAGAATATGAAAGTATTTACTTATATAAAATATGTATTGTTAAGCTCCCTCTGACAAGTTAAAGACCATGAATTTTTTGTCCAGACTGGCTTAAACAATATGAGATCTGAATCTTTTGGTCGCAGACATAAGAGCTGCAAGAGACCTGGAAGACTAGAAAGTCAAAATTATCAAAATTATTTAGAAACTATGAAAAAAAAGCATATATTTTCCAATCACCATATAAAACAGGATTTTTGCAATAACTGTGAGATATGCACTACTTTATAAAATTATGCACTATATTCTGGTAACTTTTTACCAGTACCAAGCTAAATCTTCATTTACCCTGTGTCCTTTCCTAAGGAAACTATTTGGAGAAGTTTTCCAGATAAAAGGGTTAGTCTCCAACATTCCAAAGCTATACTAAAATGATCACTTTTTTTTTTTGAGATGGAGTCTCACTGTTGCCCAGGCTGGAGTGTGGTGGCATGATCTCTGGCTTACTGCAACCTCCGCCTCCCAGGTTCAAGAGATTCTCCCATCTCAGCCTCCCAAGCAGCTGGGACTACAGGCGCATGCCATCACGCCTGGCTAATTTTTTTGTATTTTTAGTAGAGACGGGGTTTCACCATGTTGGCCAGATTGGTTGAACTCCTGACCTCAAGTGATCTGCCCACCTTGACCTCCCAAAGTGCTGGGATTACAGGTGTGAGCCACCATGCCCAGCCTAAAATGATCACTCTTTCAATTAGAGAAAGTCAAATAATAACCTTTGAAGTCAGTAAACTGTTATTTTAAAGCAAAATGTCATTTTTTACTTCATGTTCTTTACCCACTCTGGTTCACTCTATTGCCTATCAAGAATCTATCCAGTGCAATGGGGAAAACAAAGGGCGTGTTAGATAATGTCATGACTTGGTGATACAGTAACTCAGGTCTCTGAGTGTCTAGGACAGAATCCTACCCCTGCTCCATATTAGCTGCTTTTCCTTAGGTGATTTATGTCACTACCAGAAGCGTTGGTTCCCTTGCTTATAAATGAGGATACAGGTCCACAATCCCTTATCTAGAACAGAGGTCAGACATGTTTTGAAATTCAAAGTTTTTTGATAATTTAGAGAATGGTGTTAAGTTGTATATACCATATATATCCTAATAAGCAAGATCTGAAACCATATCCCATAATAAGCAGTAATAGTTAAATGAATTGTCAAAGTGAGAATAAGATAATAAATAACTTCATGTTAGCTCAGGTCTGGTTTTGCCACCAAATGAAGTATGAAAATGATTCTAATTTTCTGAGCTCTCTGGATTTCATTTGACTACTGGGAGAATTAAAGAAGATAAAAAACAAAGAAAATTGTTATTTTTGTTACTCTTCTTGAAATGTTTAATCACAAAGCATTGACTTCACCAGCACAGCCGGGGACCACCTATCTCCACTCTTTCAAGGGGTGAGGCAGGACATGAACTGTGTATGCAATCTTAAGATGAGTGCCAGAGAAACCAAGAAGCCAGTGACCTTGGGCATGTTGATATGTAAACAAGGGAATATAGGATTATGTTACATAGGGAGACATTTGTTTTTCCTTGTATATTTGATCTTCTCAGTAGCTTTTCTTTTTAGGACTTAGTGTTTTGCATTTCCTATCTTTTCACCACCCTTCCTTATTTCACTACTCCTTCCCTCTGCAGTTCTGCCACCTCAGTTGCTGGGCTTGGGGTACAGGCACACAAGTGTAAATGGAGAGATTCTCCAAGGCTGGGTTTCCCTACTTCAGATTTAGATTAACACAGAAATGAAGACTGAAGAATACTGATTAAATTGCTATGAGCTAACACTTATCAACAAGGGAAGAGCTGGTATTAAGCCGGTATTAAGTTCAGCCTGAAGCTCTTAATACTGCTAGAAGAGTACACAGCTCTGTGGGCCATGGTCACCAAGGTTGCTCCTCTTCACCCCTCACCTGTACAGTTTCCTTTGCTATTCCGTCAGTCACTGCTTTAAACCTCTGCTGCACTCCCTTCTCAGACCACCAAGATCTACTCCTTGCCCACAACTTTTCTCGAAACTCTGAACATAAGGCCCCAATAGTCTCCCAATATTGGATGTCATGGAGTCATTTCTTTCTTCCTTTACCTTTCTGGAGCACCTGAGCCTACTGACCATCCTGTTGTGTGGAATCATCATCTTCACTTCTATGACTTCGAGCTCTCCTGCTTCTTCCAACTTCGATTACCCTTTCTCTTTGATCCCGTTCTTCTGCACACACTTTCAAATGTTCCCCAGTGTTCTTTCCTTAGAGCCTTTCTCCTCGCACTACATCACAGCAGCTCAGTCTTTCATAGCCTGTGCCCTTTACAATGCTTTCTCACCCCTAGCCAAGAACGTTTTGCTTCCTGAATTACAAATATTAAATACAATGAAGGTTTTTCTTCCTCAAACTATGTATCTATCCTGCTCCACCACCTTCCCTTGCTCTTTCCTATCAGCCTCCCACCTCCACCTCATCATTCCTAAGAACACCCTCCTCAGGCTGGGCACAGTGGCTCACACCTGCAATCCCAGCACTTTGGGAGGCTGAGGATTGCTTGAGCTCAGGAGTTTGAGACCAGCCTGGGCAACATAGTGAGCCCCTGTCTCTATAAAAAAATAAATAAAATATTTTAAAAATCACCTGCTCAGTATGTTGTTCTGAGACCATCTCATACACTCTTATAAGACCCAGGTGCCCAATTGTCTCAACTGTCTCACAGCCATCTCTACCTGGATGCCCAAGACCTCTTATATGCAAGTCTAAAACTCAGCTTATCACCTCCCACCCATATGTGCTCTTCCTCTGGGTTTTCCATCTTGGTTGGTGACACCATCATCTACCTCAATGCCCAATCCAGAAACCAGAGGGTTGATAGAGAATGGCTCTTCCTCCCTCCTTCACCACATCACTAAATCCTACTAACTTTTTCTGCAAAGTGTCAGATCTAGACAGTTCAAGATTTGTCCATCTCTTACCCTGCACAGGCACCCACTTACTTCATAGTCTTAACCTCTCAACCTTATTGAGGTGGAGGATAATGACACCTTCCAATCAGAACCTTTCCATCTCTTCTCCCTCTAACCTATTTTTCATGCTGCCTTATCTTGCTAAAATGTGAATCTGTTCATACTACCCCTTTGCTTAACTTATACTACAGACAAAGCTCAGGCTTGTTAATGTGGTATGTAAAATTTCCCATAACTTGGTCCCCGCCCTGCAGCATGTCTTACAATGTAGAATGCTCTGACAAACCATGCTGTTTTCTGCTTCAGTGTCTTTGCTAAAAACTATTCTGTCCTGCTTGTAATTACCCCAACACCATCAATCTGGCCAATTTCTATTCAGATGTTAAAAGCCAGTACAAGTGTCATCTCTTCAGAGAAGCCTTTCCTCACTCCCTGCTCTTGCTGTTTTTGGCCGGCAGAACACTCATCTGTTCACCTGGTTTGCCTTCTCTAAAAGACTAGGAGGAGCAGGGACTATGCCTTGCTCATCTTTGTATCCTAAGTCTAACAATGTGCCTAGCATACTGGTGAATTAAAATGAAATCAGACTTTCAATTAAGTCTGAATTGCATAGCATTTTCAAAAACTTGCAGGTTTGCAAATTCCGAGTCTCAAAAGTACTGCACTATACACCTAAAAGTAATATATAAAATACTCCTAATATTCCTCAAAAATGTGCTCTTCTGAAATCTTATTTACTTTTCATTCTCCCCTAAAACTGTTCTATAAGACCTGCTGAAATCACTGCAATGTTTTTTTTTTTTTTTTTTTGAGACGGAGTTTCACTCTTGTTGTCCAGGCTGGAGTGCAATGGTGCCATCTTGGCTCACTGCAACCTCCACCTTCTGGGTTCAAGCGATTCTCCTGCCTCAGCCTCCCGAGTAGCTGGGATTACAGGCGCGTGCCACCATGCCTGGCTAATTTTTTGTATTTTTAGTAGAGACAGGGTTTCACCATGTTGGCTGGTCTCGAACTCCTGACCTCAGGTGATCCACCCACCTCAGCCTCCCAAAGTGCTGGGATTACAGGCATGAGCCACCGCGCCCAGCCTGCAATGTTTACCTGGTTGGTGCAGATTGGAACGTGAAATGAAGCTCACAACCAGGGCTGACACAGCAGTGGGTTTCAATTACCACTGTCACGGGGAAATAGCAAAGGCACATAATTATGTGAAAGCCAGGGCTCTGGATGGCAAGGTAACTGTTCTGTTGATGGACAACGTGATAGAAGGTCCTGGGTTCTTGACTTACTGTGGATACATGCCTGTCTGAGTTTCTTTAATGTGCAAGAGCTATCTATTTCAAAAAGCAAAGGTATTGATTTTCTGTGGAATGAGGAAGTGGTAGCCTTGGAATGTGGTGAAGAGCAGGAAGGTGGGTTCTCAGAGAACATGACATACTTTTATAATACTTGAGCTTAAAGCGAATCAGTACCACACAGTCATCAGTTTGGTCTAGGTTGGAGAGCTAGTTCCAGATTCCAACTCTACACTTACAGTGACTAGAAACAGCTCCACGATAGTTAACATCTGGACTAGAGTGCAAAACATTTTTTAAGACACAGGAAGAATCACATTTCCACAAAATGAGTCATTCCAAATATCAAGAATCAAACATTCTAAAATGTAATCAAAGTTAAATAAAGAAATAACAATCTATAAAATTCTTTAAGGTCAGAATCAGGGCTTGTAAAAAACATCGCTGGGCCTCCTTAAATAAAAAGGGAGCCAGGAATCACATTATCAGGGATCCTGTAGTCAAGGCCTTTAGCAGAGTCACCATTAGTGTTTCTAGAGGTAAAGAGAACATCACTATTGGCTGTTCCAATGTGTTTAAGAGGGCAATTCTCAGAGCACTATAAACGCATTGAGCACTGATAAGAGATAGTGCTTACTTAGTTTTAAAACATAAGCAAGTTTTAAAGACAAAACAGATGAGATTAGTAGATACGGATAAAAGACTAAATAATGAACAAAAGCAATATTTAAATACCTTTTTATTTCTGAGGTAGGATTTCTTGGCAGAAACCCGTCCACGTCTTGCTTCCAGCTGGCGTGCTTTCTGCTGAAGTTTCTGCAGCTCTTCTCTCTGTAAGTACGCAGATGCTGCCATCTCTTCCTTCTCCAGCATGGCCTCCATGCTTTCGTAAGTGTCATAGTATACCACTTCATCTCTTTTTTCTGTTACAGAACAGCAAAAAAGAGTAGTGGTAAAGAATATGGGCTAGGGTTTGGAAAGAACAAGGTTCTAATCTCATTACTGGCTCTGCAACCTCAGGCAAAGCCATTATCTCTTAAGCTTCTTTGTAAGTGGTGATTATTATTTAATACACCTCATAGAGTGAATGTATGCAAAGTGTTTAGCAGTATCTGGCAAACAGTAAGTGCTCAATAAATGCTAGAAATCACCCCCCCACACTCTATCCCTACAGAAAACAATTTTTTAAATGTCTTAACAAAAGAAACATACCTAGTCCATAAGTATTTTCTCATGTATTCAATCTTTGGTGAACTTATGTGGTTAAATGCACGCCATACCTGATATAAGTCTTTTGATGCTTTCTAGTTGCGCTGTCAATAGTAACTCTTCACACTTCAAGATTTCAAACTGTACTTCATACAACTGAAGTTGCAGATCATAATAATCAGCTTCTAACTGATCCAATCGTGCTATCGCTTCTGTACCACCCCGCAAACTCTGCATCTGCATTGAAAATACAAATTAAAAAATTTCTAGCTGGTGGGGACAAGAAAATTGAGTTAGTATTAAAAATTAATACTAATCAGATAGCATAAACCTATTAAGTAATTCCTCTCAGAAAGAAACTTGTAGGCATGGAATCTAGACTTTAAAAATATATATATATATATGTATAAAACAGTAATAATCAAGTCATATTATATGGTGGAAGTAGGCAAACATGGTAAAAATAAGGTTTTAATGTTTATGTTATACTTATGCATATTTATGGTAATAATATATGTATCATCTGGATATAAATGCTTTCCCTCTCAAAAGTGGATGCTAAGTTATGTAGTTGTTCTTTTCACAGAGATATATGAAAATGACGGGGCTATTCTCAGATATTTACAAGAATGGTAAAAGCTGGTTAATGCCACATATCTGGGGTTTTGCTTTGCTCCATGGTCACAGACTGGCTAGGTTCTGGGATCTGCTGACTATAGAGTGAGGTGAGAATATGTGACTGGAACAGCAGAAGACAATTGCTTTAGATGGAAATCCTTGCAATCCGTAAGGTGTCACTTTAGGTAAATGTAATCAACGTCCTAGGCTGAACTTAAAGTGAGATCCAGAAATTTCTGGGCATGGCTCATAAAGTGAAGGATGGTCTTCTGTGAGGTTTGCTTGGTTGGTCAGTTCTCGGTGCTGGAGTGGGAAAATTTTTGCCAGGAATGAAGGAAACCACCAAGGGGAAAGTGTACTTTAGATAACTGGTTCCTAACCCTACTATTTCTATGGCTTTCTATTTGGCTGTACGGAAAAAGGCAGATAAAAGAAGCCAAAGGAATGGCTTTTCAAGAGTCAGTGAGATGTGAAGGACAAGCATAGTTCTCTAGAGTGAGACAGTAAGCATTCTTCCAAGAACATAGCACCACTGCTTTGGTAGTTTAAAGGTTCATGCTTAGCAGCTCCAGGAAAGCCCCGATACGGGCATCAGTGTGCCCTCAGAGCCAAAGGAGCAATAGTGAGGAGCCCTGGATTCAAGTGGCTTCCCAAGGAGTGACCTTCAAAGGAGGAGACGAGAGGAACAAAAGGGAAAATTATTAAGAGTATTGTTTACGAGCTCATGTGAGACATCACTGGGGTCCCAGAATACCAAAGAAATACTTGACTGGCTGTACAGGGACAACCTACAGGGAAAAAGACAGTGAATTCTTATTTTCCTAAATGATCCCTTTTGTCTGGCGAGGTTGGTAAAACCTGTCAGCACATAAAAAGAATACGTTTTAAAGAAAATTCCAGCTTTTGCTTTACAGTCTATATATCTACACAGTCTTACCCAATAATTAGAATATTTTTCCTTAAAATATAATTTCAAATCCCTTTCACAAGAATTTTGAACTGAAAAGCAATGGTTAGGCTCCAGTCTAAACGTGCAGTTGTAAAAATTTAAAAATAACCAGGTGAATTAAATACAGTGGTACTTTGTTTTATGAATATTTTATAAACGGATACTTAATAGATTATCTAAGTGTAAGACTGTGAGTGATCCCGCTGTGTTAGGAAATATTTTATGGGTGACAAACAACGTATATAACCCCAAAGTGGGTTTAATTATAGCAGCTAGGGAGGGGAATGTGAACAATATGAACTGTTGTTTTTGTCCTAAGTCATAAAATAAGAACCAAGGAATAATGTCTACCTTGAGACTCGTGGACTCGCCACTTTAGATGATAAACATCCCTTTTCATACTCTCTTGGGGCTCTTGCCCAGCTCTGCAAACACAGCTGTAGGATATACATTGTTCCAGTATCTGCACCCACACTCTCTATTACCACAGCATACAAACAGGTAAGATATCTAATGTTAGAAGGCTTTATTCTCAAGTGGGGAATCGTTAAGTTAAAACCTTAGTGTAAACCAGTCTAAAAACCTTAATCTAAGATTACTTTCCAGTGATATTGTTCAGATCCAGGCTGTGAGTTCATTTTCACTACTCTGGTTCTACCCAACTAAGTGACCATTTTCTGCTACGTTCATGATGCTCTGCTAAGTTCTTCCCCTAGCACTCTGTAAGTTTCTCTCTCCTGCCCAATCTCTTGGCTAAGGAAAAAAGTTGAAAGTCCCCCAGTGACATGCCTTTACGCTGTCAGCTTTCTCAACCACAAAGAGAACAGTACTCTGACTGCAGCCCAGAGCCAGGGTACTTTAAAAGCACTTGAGAAGCGCAGTGCTACCAGCACACACTCAATATCAAAAATCAAACTGAGAAAGGAAGTAGGTATTCTCTTACAAGCAGTGACCTCACCCTCAATTTTTTGGTTCGGTGAGTTCTATCTAGACCAAGAGTCCAGACGTGGATTTGCCAAGGGCTGTGGTCTAAAGATAACCAAAACCTCATCAGAGGCAGACAAGCAGTGAAGGAGTCTGTTAAATCCCAACCTCTGAAAGGACAAACAATAGGTCAGTGGTGGACTTTGGGAAAAGCTAAAGGGTTGTAGAACCAGAACATACAGGACTTTTATGAGATCAGCAAAGGAGAAAAGGATGCTATGACTCAGAGAAATCTGTGAGGGCAAAATAATACTCTGAGGTCTATCTAATCTTCAATGTGGAGGCAAAATCCTTAGTATAAGGCATGAAGAGGTATGGAGCGGGCACCCTGCTCCAAATTTCCTCCCTGTTTTAACATCTGAAATTTCCAGACTGAGTTTTCCTGTCCTCAGCTGACAGCCACAGAACTAAGAGAAACAGAATCCAGGGTGAAAAGAGAACTAATTCCAGATAATGGAGCAGTGCAGGGAAGGTGGGTGCCACAATGGGGTGTCTTTTTTATATCTGAGAGCAGTGCTTCCCTGGGCAAGAAGAAAGAAGCCCTGAAAGTAGTTTAAATACTCAAAGGAAAAATTGGCCATCTTAAAATTTAACTTAGCTCAACTTTTACTCTCCTAAACATACTTCAAGTATCAGGATACCAGTACCCCAAACCAAATTGTAACCTCCCAATGTGATCCAGGTAATGACTAGCAAAGTTTGAGCTAGACTCAGTTCTCCTGATTCCTACAAGAGTGCTCTTTCCACTAGAAAAAATTAGGGATTACCAGCCCAAAAAGACGGAAAAATATCAAAGTGTTATTGTTATTGTTTTACAGCAAATCTAGTAAGGGGATGAAGTACCAATTCATGTCCATACATCCATGTAAGTACAACATACCCTGCTGACTCCACAATCATTCTCACCATGTGTAATAATGATAAAGTAGTTTTCATGTATACCTATTTTGACTGTACTTTATCATGAAACCAGATGGCACTTTTTGCAAACTATGCAAATGAATTATGCCCTTGTTCTGCCTTTTACCCTACTGTGCTAGAAAATTCCAATGACATTAGAGGAACTATTAAAAGAGCTACCTGTGGACTGAATCATTCATTCAAAAAATACTCACTGAGCATCCACCACTGTTTGAGTTACAGAAAATATGCAGTCAACAAGAAATGAAATGAGGGTTCGAAAATAAGTCATAGCTAGGCATAGTGGCATGTGCCTGTAATCCTAGTGACTTAGGAGGCTGAGACAGTAGGGACTCTGAGTCCCAGGAGTTTGAGCTTGTGGTGAGCTATGATCGTGCCACTGCACTCCAGCATCGGTGACAGGGCAAGGCTATATCTTTTTTTTAAAGGGTCATAAAAACCTTGGACAGCATAAGGTGAATGATGTTAAGGGCAAGTTTTCAACCAAAACTAGCCCTATTATGTAGAAAGAATGAACATGAGAATTAGTAACAGACAAGCCTGAGTATAAATACAGGTTTCACCAGTAACAACTGCACAAATATGGGTAACACAAGTTGACAGAATTATCTGAATTCCACATGTCAGAAATCCTGGAAAATGGAAAATTCCCATAATTTAATGTCAAACCAAATCTCACAATCCATTTGTGGAAAAATGTGATCTGAACTTTTCATAAACTATTTTTAATCCTTAGGTATTCCATTTAATGTGACCATGTGTTTCATTAGTGGACTAATAACACTTGTCTGAAGTTATATGCTCTATCTTACCTTTCTAAAATCTAAAAAAACCCTGGGATTCTGAAATATATCTGTCTTCAGGGAATTCAGATAATGGTTTTGGGCTTATAGCATAAAAGGTTATGTTTGAGAATTTAACAAGATAATACACATAAAGCACTAAGGACAGGGACTAAAACATTTTAAACTTTAACTGCTGCCAAAACAGAATTCATATGGTGAAAACAGAATTTAAGATAAACTAAGGCCTTTAGAGTGGAACCTACCTTTTTGTATTTAGACTCTTTGAAATATATAGTGTGCACCTATGGAATAATCTACTTATTGACAAATAAAATGAAAACTAAAAACCAATCTCCTTGCCTGGACAAGGACCTCAAAAACCCCACCTCAGCTCAGACTCAGGCTGTGTCTACCACATCACAGCTTCTTACTATTGGAAGTTTCTGGCAAGGCCCATACAAAATGTCACATCACCTAGTCAACAGCATGCTTTGTGAACCCTGAAATGTTGGTTGAGGCAAGTAAACATCTTAAGCATGGAAATTATGTATCTTTTTCTTCTCTGTATTCCCTTCTGGGATACTGGCACAAAACATAACATACAATTATAGTAATAATCACTAATATTTATCCAGGTCTTACTCTATGTCAAGTGCTATAGCAAATGCTTTATATGCATTAACTCATGAAATCATAACATTCCAGAAGGTATATAATATTTACATTTCAAAGACAGGTTAAGGAACTCACTGAAGCTTTCCTAAAGAGTTAAGTTTGCAGAACTGAGATCTATAGAGGTGCTCTGTTCAGTAAGGTAGCCACAAGCCACATGTGGTTATTTAAATTTAATTTAAAATGCTGTTCCTCTGTTGCATAAGCCTCATTTCAAAAGCTCATTAGCCACATATGGCTGAAAACTACCCTACTGGAGAGGGTAAACATAGAACATTTCCATGATTACAGGGCGTTCTGCTGGACAGCACTGTCCAAATCCTAAGCTCATATCCACCATGGTATATAATCAATGCTCAATAAATACTTGACGAATTAAAACTGAAAGAGGGGAATATAACCTTAGTTAATCATAATTTAGCTACATGCTTGTAGGAGAAAGACAAAAATAAGTAGCTAATCTTCAAGACTAGTATGCATTCATATTCTATTAGATTATGTATGTTCAGAGAAATTATCAAGGAATTATAAATAGATGGGGAATTGTTAAAATCCTCTGCCAGGGAAAGAAAGCACACTGATATACCTTTTTTTTTTTTTTTGAGACAGAGTTTCACTCTTGTCGCACAGGCTTGAGTGCAGTGGCATCATCTCGACTCACTGCAACCTGTGCCTCCTGAGTTCAAGCTATTCTCCTGCTTCAGCCTCCCGAGTAGCTGGGATTATAGGTGCTCACCACCACATCTGGCTAATTTTTGGTATTTTTAGTGGAGACAGAATTTCGTCATCTTGGCCAGGCTGGTCTCGAACTCCTGACCTCAGATGATCCGCCCGTCTTGGCCTCCCAAAGTGCTAGGATTACAGGCATAAGCCACTGCGCCTGGCCCTGATATACTTTTTAAAGTCTTTCAGCCACACGAATTGGAATCTAAAGGGTTTTCTGGTTAATCCCGGTTAACCACAAAATAGAAGTCTACAATTTAATCCAGATGTTTCATGATTTGCTTCATGATGGCTTTATTTCATTTCATTTTAATTTAATTTTATTTTATTTTAGACGGAGTCTCACTCTGTCGCCCAAGCTGTTGGAGTGCAGTGGCACAATCTCGGCTCACTGCAGCCTCTGCCTCCCAGGTTCAAGCGATTCTCCTGCCTCAGCCTCCAGAGTAGCTGGGACTACAGGAGCACGCCACCCACCTGGCTAATTTTTTGTATTTTTAGTAGAGACAGGGTTTTGCCATATTGGTCAGGCTGGTCTTGAACTCCTGACCTCAGGTGATCTACCCGCCTCAGCCTCCCAAAGTGCTGAGATTACAGGCGTGAGCCACCATGCCCAACCTCATGATGGCATTTTAATTTTATCATCATCTATTTCAATTAATAACTATATAGAAAATCTCCTTATTTCAACATTAATCCTTATTTTAATAACACTTCCAGCATATACTCTACTCCTAATCCTGTGTGGTTGTATGTATTTTAATCTTGTCCAATAGTTTAAAACAAAAAACGTAAGCTATATCTGATAACCTGGATTAACAATATAGAACTGAAAATAAAGACTTACTTGCATGGTCAGATTATGCTATTATTTCCAAATCTAGATGGGGAGTATACTATTGAAAGAGTAGAATAAAGTAGCTACAACTAGTTAAACTCACAAAGGATTCTTTCACAGGTATTGGGCTAAAAACACAGTATTTTCAGCAGTTTTGATGAGGAAATCAGAACATGGGCAGTCATTCTGAAATAAGAGGCTCAGATATAGATAATTTGAGAACCTACTAAAATTGTGTGCAAAATTGCATATATATGTACATTACTCTGAGTACAGGGTTGTCATATTCTTAAAGGGGCAAGAATGACCTAAAAGGGGTAAGAATGATTATAATTAAGACTCAGCGCCAGACGCAGTGGCTCACACCTATAATCTCAGAACTTTGGGAGTCCATGACATGAGGGGTCTCTTGAGGCCATGAGTTAGAGAACAGCCTAGGCAACACAGCAAGACTCTGTCTCTATTTTAACTAACTAAATTAATTTAAAAAAAAAAAAAAGTTAAAAAAAGTTAAAAAGTTAAAGGGGGTATAAATTAAAAGGAACAGTATCAACTCCTAAGAGCAGTTAATTCTTTCAAGTCAAACAGAATTTTGCCTGCTTAGGTAATATTTAATATTTCAGTGTTAATTCAGAACATTTATTTCAAGTATGGTATTACGCTTGTGGCAAATATTCTGAAATACTTTACATTTAATTTTTAAATTAAATTTAAATTAAAAACATTTTCATTTTTAGGGTTGTCTTAATTTTGTCACATCAAGAAGAACTTTGTTTTAAAAATAACCTATGGGGACAAATCACAGGGTAGTACTGTTTTGCAAAACCTCTACTGGCAAAGAACTGTTCTGGAATGGGCTTAATAATTCACATTTACTCTCTTTCTCATGAGTAATGTGGGCATGTTAAATTAATGCTAATAAAATTGGTACATCACCACACATAGATACAAAGCACAATACCTATCTAAATTATACACAAAACAAGCATAAACCTGGCAAGAATGACAGCTGGCAGTTTTAACAAATACTGTGAAGAATTCAAATACAATCCAGACTATTACATTAATGGGACAGCCCCAGGGAATAGGACCCCCCCCACTCCCCAAGATAATCATCTCAAACTCTCAGGACCCATTTCATGCTCGTTTTTCCTCTACTACTCTAGACCAACTACAGTAAGAGTAGTCAGAAATCTTACCCTCCCCTGCTCTCTTAGGCAGCTGTCCACTGACAGAATAACTCAGTGTTAGCCAGGTTAGAACAATAATGCTAGATAATATAATGAAGACGGGCTGGGCATGGACCTTAACTCCAGCACCTTGGGAGACAGATGCAGAAGGACTGCTTGAGCCCAGGAGTTCAAGATGAGCCTGGGCAATATAGGGAGACCTCGTCTCTACAAAAAAATAAGTAAATAAATAAAAATTTGCAAGGTGTTGGGGGGGGTGCGTGCCTGCTACTCAGGAGCCTGAGGTAGGACTGCTTGAGCCCCAAGAGGTCAGGGCTGCAGTGAGTTGTGATCGCACTCCAGCCTGGGTGACAGAATGAGACACTGTTTCAACAACAACAACAAAGATGAAGATAAAGGTGGTACTCTATTATAAGCAAAAAGAGGGACTTAAGTTTAAAAGTTCTAGAATTTAAGACAACTCCAGAGAGCCAGTAACATGAGGGGAACAAGCTAATTAGAAAAGGATATTATAGTAGAAATGCCTCAGGGGAACATGAGATGGGGATGAAATCCATGCACAGCGATTCTGAATATAAAGTGTGAACAATTTCCCGGATAAGCCAAGTTCCAATTTTACCTTCTAATAACCAGCAAATAAAAATAAGGGGGAAATGAAATAATGATAAAAATCCATCAACAAAAAGTGTATATGAGCATAAGCACTTCAAAAATGTCAATGAGAACCATCTTGCTGTACAACCTAAGCCAAAAAAATACATATTTTACATAATGCTGTATTCTTATAACTAAAGCAGAGATGATGATTTGTTCTTCTCTAGCAACTAAAATGTGCTACTTTAATAAATATGTACTCAGTGTTTTCAAGCCAATGAGGGCAGCCCACAAAATGGGTATGAATATTTATAACTGTCAATAGTAAAAAAGGATAGACAGTGACTGTAGCGGGTACAGAGGTGGTGGGAGATGGGGGAGACCAGTGTGTTCCAGTAGGAATAAAATGGGAAGTTCCAAAATGTAATGGTATAAAAGCATTATATAATCAATCCTAACAAAATGCCACTGCCTTAGAAATTTTACTGAATTTCTCTGGTCAGTGATACTTTCTTAATAATTGCTGGAAAGCTTTACGTTTTTACAGTATTAAAAACTTTACAGCAACTAAGAAATTCTGATGCTGGCCCCTCTGATCAACAGTGCAGTGCTGCCAACCATCACACTGTGATGCTGTGAAATACGCTACGTCTAACTCTTCTAATGACAACTTAAGTCACAGGACCTATTCTAAGTGTTTTCATCTCATGAAGATGGCATAAAATCACTGCCTATCGAATCAAAAAAATGTCTTGTGCAAAGATTAAAATGACAAACTGTAACTTTTTCTGATTTTATATTTCTGATGATTTTTGTTACCTCTTCCTTTAGTGCATGTTTCCGCTGTTCCAAGCATATCTCTTTAGCTCTCATCATCTGCAAAGTTTCCTTAGAAACTGCATACTGGAGTTTTTCCATCCGTTCAGCAGCCGCTGCCCATGATGCTTTACCAAATTTCTTCTGATCAGCTCGCATTCGATCATACACAGCTATTAATAATTTTTTAAAGAGAAATTAAGACAAATAACAACTTAATACTGAAGCATTTGAAAAAGATTTCACTGACCACACAAAGAGAAACAAATCCTGCTGTCATGATAAACTGCTTATAACTTTTTTCTTTTTTTCTTTTATGAGATGGAGTCTCGCTCTGTTGCCCAGGCTGGAGTGCAGTGGCGCGATTTCAGCTCACTGCAACCTCCGCCTCCCGGGTTCAAGCAATTCTCTGCCTCAGCCTCCCGAGTAGCTGGGATTACAGGCACCCACCACCATGCCCGGCTAATTTTTGTATTTTTAGTAGAGATGGGGTTTCACCATCTTGGCCAGGCTGGTCTTGAACTCTTGACCTTGTGATCCACCTGCCTCGGCCTCCCAAAGTGCTAGGATTACAGGCGTGAGCCACCGTGCCCGGCCGACATTTCTAAAACATAATTTGAGAGTATCTTAGATTCTAATGTCTTCAATCTGTCCTCAGAAATAACGTTCTGCAGTTAAAACACTTATAAAATTAGCTTTCAGAAACTTTAAAAATACTCTCACATGTCCGGTGTTATTAACTTTCAAAGTTTCCAGGAAAGCATTAATTCTGTGAGGTTTTATGGTTTTTTCCTCAGTATGTTAGTAGAAACACAATTATTTACTATTCATATTTAAATTATATATATTTAAATATATGTATCTATGAAAAGACTGATAGGATGTGCCTTAATTTGCTAATAGTGGTTTTCTCTAATTGCTGGGATTATGAGTGATCTTTATATACTTTTCTATGTAATTTTTCTGAACATAAAATACTTAACCACTCATTTTCAAAAATACCTAAAGGATAAATTTACTGAGAAACCTACCTTTTTGAGCTTTAGCTGTTATTTCAAAGTACTTGACAGTAAGATCTTGAATAGACAGTACAGCCATGTGAGCTTTCCGCTGCCAATCAGCATCTTCTTTTTGTAGACTCTCAATTCTTCGAGGTCCCAGATAATCATTCTCCATGGAAATCTTCAGAGAGAAAAAGAAAAAATTAAGAAGTTCAAGTCTTTCTTCTACTCATTCCTCAAACATTTAAAGTTTATATACCACAAAGAATACTTGTTCTTCCCTGCTCAAGAGGATAAGCTATTAGTTTACAAAACAAGTGAATTAACAATAATACTGAAGATATTTGACATAGAAACCTATTCCCCATTTTGCCCTTTCTTCCATCCCCCTCTCACTCCATACGTAGGCAAAGAATATATACCAATATGTTAAGACTGATTGTTTTTAGGTGTCTCGATGAGGAATTTATTTCCTCCTCTATGATAAAATATCTTTTTTGGTTAAGACTTATTTATGCCCCCCCCCAAATTACTTAAATTGTTTATTTCCTTAACAGCCACTATATAAAACAATTGAAAACCTGGATTTTCACAATGACAATATAAAAACCAGCCTATAGGCATACTGAAAAGACTTTAGATAACAATAACAGAGGAAGGCCAGGCACGGTGGCTCAGATAGCTGAAAATCAAAGGATGGACAGGAATGAACCAGGTGAATGCTAAAACAAAATTTAAAGAAGTGATAATATTAAAAGTATATTTCAAAACACTACATAAGTATGTTTTAACATGGAAGAAAGGTACAATCAAGAACTGCAATGGATCACTTATACATACAATCTTGCTTTACCATATACAGAGAAATAGCTATCAGCAAGTTATATATGAAGCCAATGACAACTTTATTAGGATAAATTAAAAAAAAAACAGGCAAAATGTTAACCCACCCATGACACACTTAAAAAAACACTGATCAAGTATAATTAAGCCACTAAAAAGCTAGTAATGAATTCTGAAGGTAGAAATAATACAACCCATATTCTCCTTTTTTTTTTTTTTTTTTTGAGACGGCGTCTCGCTTTGTTGTCCAGGTTGGAGTACAGTAGTGCGATCTTGGCTTGCTGCAACCTCCGCCTCCCAGGTTCAAGTGATTCTCCTGCCTCAGCCTCCTGAGTAGCTGGGATTACAGATGCCCGCCACCACACTCGGCTAATTTTTGTATTTTTATTATAGATGGGGTTTTGTCATGTTGGCCAGCCTGGTCTCGAACTCCTGACCTCAAATGATCCGACCGCCACAGCCTCCCAAAGTGCTGGGATTACAGGCTTGAGCCACCACACCTGGCCTACAACCCATAGTCTCTAAACAATGCTGTGAAAGGAAAATAAAATCTCAAGACCCCAAACTCACTATATCAAAGGGCAAGATAAGCTTGGGAGCTGAGTCACGCAAAAACTGCTTTCCTTTTGCTCCCAGACAGACAGGGAGGATTGCTTGTGACCAGGAGTTGGGAGACCAGCGTGGGTACCATAGCAAGACCCCATCTCTACTAAAAACAAACAAACAAACAAACAAAAAAAAACAAAACAAAACAAAAAGAATTAGAATACCAAAAAAACAAAAAAAAAAGTCATGAGTGAGCATGCCTAAGACATCAAGGGGAGCATCAGGTGTAGAAATCTGGGTGCAAAGTCTGGGCAGACTTTCGAAAGGGAATAATGAGTAATATCTGGAAATATTAAGAGTAGAATTTTATATTAACAGAATTTTAGCCAGATACTAAAGATGGTTAAGTGTGTCTCTGGGTAAAACACCTATGAGAAAAATAAAAGGTATTGTGGGGAAAGAGTATCATTTGTGTAGATGAGGACAAACTTCATTGAGGTTCATTAACTGCAGATGGCTTTGAAGAAGGGGTAGGATTTTGACGGGTACATAAAGAGAGAAAAACCACTGAAAAGGCATGCGAGAGGTGAGGAGCAATCTGAGCAAAAGCCTAAAAATTTTTGTGCCTGCTAAGGGATGGAAAGCAGTCCAGCCTGCTTGCTTTCAGGAGAGAAAAATGAAAGTAATGAGAGATACTAGGAAAGTAGGTTGTTATCATATGAGGTTGTCTTAAAAGACATTTAAAATGTCAGGCTAAGGACCGTGTATTTAATTTGACAGGAAACCACTGTGGGATTCTATGCACTAAGTGACATATTTAGACTTCATCTTAGATTTAAGGATTCTGGTGGAGTTGTTTGCTATAAGAAAATTGGTATGTGTGCTTTCTTTTATTGCAATTACCTCTGAATTTAAAACATACAGGTTTAAAAGCATACAATTAGTATTTACAAGTATGGGATAGAAATTTAATAATGATACAAGTCAAAACTTAAATCCCTTACTCAGGATATTATAATAGAAGTTCTTCTCAATGACATGATTACACTTTATTTAACAATACAAAGAAAAGACAAATGGAAATTAGTGAAGTTATACCTTTTTTGAAAAGTCTAAATCCTTTGACAATTATGTGAAGATAACATAGTTTGCTACCTTAATATATTCAAATATACAGAAGGTGAAATACTCGAATGCCCAGTATGCTTTTCTTTTAAGCTGCTGTTTAACTGACTTTAAATTTTTCTTTTCTTTAGAGATGGGGGTCTCACTATGTTGCCCAGGCTGGAGTGCAGGGGCTAGTCACAGGCACAATCATTAGCGCACTGCAGCCTCAAACTCTCAGCCTCAAGTGTCCTCCTGCCTCAGTCTCCCAGCAAGCTGACACTACAAGTGCACACCACCATGCCCAGCCTTTAACTGACTTTTAAAACTCAGCAGCTGTAACATCTGTCCAAAGGTTAAAGATCCGTAATTAGTCGATTGTACCTAAAACCTTAAGCTAGTTCCCCCTAACTTTGAAAGTCTGAAGATGTGTGTACATTCTTGTCTATTCATCTCCAAGTTCATCCTTCTGTCTTGTGATGCTAGGTTTGAGAGTGCAAATCACATTTAGCCTTTGCCAATAGAAGAGTTTGGAAGAGGGAGGAGATATGCTTCTATCTGCATCCCTTGACTTCAACTGGTGGCTGTTCCTGTCAGCATCACCCAAGCCTTATTTCACCCCAGCATCGGCAGTTCCTTTCTGAAGCAGTAACGGAATCTAATTTGCAGTTTTTTCAACCCTAGGCTCATAGTACAACCCCCAAGACAAACCAACCCCTCAGTACTGAATCCTCTGAGAACTAGGTCTCTCCATTGAGCACCAGGCAAGCAATGCCCTCTTTTTCAGGTCAGCTCCACGGGGTTCCTCCTCTATGCTTCAGTTTTAATAATTCCAATCCCTTCTCTTTGTTTCTCCAACCCTAGGAGTGGTAGCTGTTTTTACAATTGCTTCCTCTGGAAGTACCTTAGAGTTACTTTCTTGCCTTCTCAATTATCTGGTTAACAACTTTATACCTAATTAACAAATTCTTTATATTAGATTCTCTCTGTTGAAATAACTAGTTTTTCTGATTAGCTCTCAACAGATACAACTATGGAACAGAAATTTAATAGTGTTCAGAATTCAAAAATCTTAATACAAAAATCATTCTTACTTGCATGGTTAAGTCCATGTACCATTTATCGAAAGAAAAGTGTAAAACTTGCATTATGGATTTTTTTTTTTTTTTATGGAGTCTTGCTCTGTCACCCACACTGGAGTGCAGTGGTGCAATCTCAGCTCACTGCAACCTCCAACTCCCGGTCTCAAGCAAGTCTCCTGCCTCAGCTTCCTGAGTAGTTGGGATTGCACGAGCACGCCACCACACCCGGCTAATTTATTTTTATTTTTAGTAGAGATGGGGTTTCACGACGTTGGCCAGGCTGGTCTTGAACTCCTGACCTCAGGTGATTTGCCCACCTCGGCCTCTCGAAGTGCTGGGATTACAGGTGTGAGCCACTGCGCCCAGCCTTGAGGCTTTTTGAAGAGGCAAAAAAAATTTTTTTTTAACCTGTGGCAAGTTATTTGAAAGTAACTTGTACTTTGTTGTGGATTAATGTCTTTACCTTTATGAGTACAGCTACAAATACAAAGAACATAAACATGCTTTCTATGCTTTTTAATGCTGTCTTTTAACTGATTTTTGAAGTTTCGTAGCTTTAATGTTGCAGCCAACTCGTAAGCAACTTGTTTAATAGTTTATTGTACCTAAGACATTAAACAAGGGTACTAAGTACTTTTCCTAACTTGGCAAATTTGAAGATGTGCAGCACTGGTTAGATGGATCATGTGCTAAAAACAATGACACCTCTGTTTTCAATTTCAGTGCTAGAAAGAAAACAGTGCCTGTTTTTAACACGGAAAAAAAGCGCGTGTCAGCTAGGATAGCGAAACTAGTTTATAAATACAAATTACCTGACGTGGAATTATTATGAAGCACAGCACTTGGATACTGGCTTTTATGTAAGAAACACAGTAGGGGGGAAATCCACCTTAGATTCTTTGGTAAAACAATGCCAAGATAAATCTGTGAATGTACCATCATGAAGAAGATGAGGGGGAAAAAACTGTGAATATACTAATGTAACAGCACCCACAATGCAAATATTCCAGACCCTGGAGTTGCCTGAAGATGACTCTTGAATGATCTAACAACATGATTAGCTTAGTATCTATTCATGGGTTTTTATATTCAGAGCAAATATTGTTGAGAGATTCTTATAGCTAAGCCAAGTGTGAGAAACTATGCTTAAAAAAAAAAAAAGAGAGAAATCGAAACTCAAGTGAACTAAAGGAAAGTATAGCTCAGGTGAGATATGAGTATCTTAATGTATAATGGTGGCACTACCTAGTTCACAGTGTGCATGCGGTGGATGCATACAGTGGTAAAAACTGCACCCTGCACAATAAATAGCACCCAGCCAAGGGGATGGAGTAGATACTGAAATGCAGCCCATGCTTTGCCAGGCCATGTGTATTTCTACACTTGATGAAAAAGGGCTCTTTCCTAATTTGTTTGATGGGTGACTGGCAGTGGGCGGGTGGGGGGCAGGGGGTGCAGTTTTCTATTTCACAGAAAGGCACCTACAGACTTGCCCTGGGGGTTGGGATAAGAATGAAATGCACATTCAAGAATTTACTAGGAGACAACTGGCAAAATGAGGTGACTGGCTACAACAGAAAGAAATGCAAGTGCCTTCCAGTTTCTAGCTTATTTACTTTCAGGAAGTATTTAAAAATAAGTTGGACAATCTGTCTGAAGTGCTTATGGTTGATCAAGATGATGAGTATAGTCCAGCTGGCTCTGACTCATTAAAGACACTGGATTTAAAAATCTAGAGGTTCGTCTAGTTTCAACTTCATTTTACTTTCATTTGAAAGTAACTTCCTTTTGGCTCTCTGACCAGCACCATGGCGGTTGGCAAGAACAAGCACCTTACGAAAGGCAGCAAAAAGGGGGCCAAGAAGAAAGTGGTTGATCCATTTTCTAAGAAAGATTGGTATGATGTGAAAGCACCTGCTATGTTCAATATAAGAAATATTGGAAAGATGCTCATCACCAGGACCCAAGGAACCAAAATTGCATCTGATGGTCTCAAGGGTCGTGTGTTTGAAGTGAGTCTTGCTGATTTGCAGAATGATGAAGTTGCACTTAGAAAATTCAAGCTGATTACTGAAGATGTTCAGGGTAAAAACTGCCTAACTTCCATGGCATGGATCTTACCTGTGACAAAATGTGTTCCATGGTCAAAAAATGGCAGACAATGATTGAAGCTCACGTTGACGTCAGGACTATTGATGGTTACTTGCTTCGTCTGTTCTGTGTTGGTTTTACTAAAAAACGCAACAATCAGATACAGAAGACCTCTTATGCCCAGCACCAACGGGTCCGCCAAATCCGGAAGAAGATGATGGAAATCATGACCCGAGAGGTGCAGACAAATGCCTTGAAAGAAGTGGTCAATAAATTGATTCCAGACAGCATTGGAAAAGACATAGAAAAGGCTTGCCAATCTATCCTCTCCATGATGTCTTCGTTAGAAAAGTAAAAATGCTGAAGAAGCCCAAGTTTGAATTGGGAAAGCTCATGGAGCTTCATGGTGAAGGCAGTAGTTCTGGAAAAGCCACTGGGGACGAGAGAGGTGCTAAAGTTGAACGAGCTGATGGTTTTGAACCACCAGTCCAAGAATCTGTTTAAAGTTCAGACTTCAAATAGTGGCAAATAAAAAGTGCTATTTGTGAAAAAAAATAAAAATAAAATAAAAAAATAAAAAAAAGAAAGTAATTTGTACCTTGCTGTTGGATTAATATCTTTACCTTCAAAATGTGTTTATAGCTACAAATACAAAGAATACAAACACGCTTTTTGCACTTTTTAATGCTGTTTCTAACTGACTTTTGAAGTTTTGTAGATTTAATACTGCAGTCAATTTGGTAAGACCCAGAAAAACTCAGACCCAGAAAAATTGTAACCTTCAGTTCAGTATGTGAAATCCCTAAGCTGTTTCAAGTCCTGTTTTATTAGGCTAGTGGTTCTCAAACTTAAGTGTGTATCATAATCACCTGGAAAGCTTGTCAAAACAAAGATTGCTGAGGTCCATTCCTAGAGTTTCAGTAGAGAAGATCTGAGGTGAAGCCCAAGAATCTGTATTTCTACAGGATTCCAGGTTATACTGATACTACTAGTCAGGTGATCACATTTTTGAGACCCAATGTAGTAGACTTAGAATCTGTGAGCTCCCTAAAGGGGTGTCTATCTCAGAAAGACTTCCTGGCCTAAAATAATGCTGGGTAGGCAGGAGCTGCTTAATACTTAACAGGTGAGATATTATGTTAATATCATAAATATTAAATGTAAAAACAAATATAAATACATTATACATTTGGGATGCCAAGTTCTCTTCTTTCCTATCATACTTTAATACCTAGGTTAATGAAACCATTGGAAATCAAGCTCTTCATAAAGAGAAAAGGTCAATTATTTGGTTAACTACTTTATACCTAGTTAACAAATTCTTTATATTAAATTCTCTCTGTTGACGGCTGGGTGCAGTGGCTCACACCTGTAATCCCAGCACTTTGGG
The DNA here is from genome assembly GCF_000001405.40 of Homo sapiens. Taxonomy (NCBI): domain Eukaryota; kingdom Metazoa; phylum Chordata; class Mammalia; order Primates; family Hominidae; genus Homo; species Homo sapiens. Next base: position 79,283,245 of record NC_000005.10, on the reverse strand, counting down.
AGGCAGAGGCGGGTGGATCACCTGAGGTCGGGAGTTCAAGACCAGCCTAACATGGAGGAAACCCCCCTCTACTAAAAAATACAAAATTAGCCAGGCATTGCGGCACATGCCTGTAATCCCAGCTACTCCGGGAGGCTGAGGCAGGAGAATTGCTTGAACCCGGGAAGCAGAGGTTGCGGTGAGACTGCACCACTGCACTCCAGCCTGGGCAACAAGAGTGAAACTCCGTCTCAAAATAATAATAATTATTATTATTATTATCATTCTCTGTTGAAATAACCGGTTTGATATTTTGATTAGAACCCAACAGACACAACTGTCCATAGAATATAATAACATTCCAACCATCTTTCCTCTCATCTTCTATAAATCCTTAGACTAAAAGCATACCAAACAATTCACACCCTGTGGATAACAGCAGGTTTTGCTATCAAACACGTGTTCAATCCCAACCACGCTACTTTCTGGCAACCATCAATGGTGCTGGATTGGTGTGAAGATTCAATTAAGTTAGTGCCAATACCACATTACCTGGTTAAAGCACAAGCACTAAGTATAAGCACTAAACCATTCCTCTTTGTACATCTCTTCATCAGGAATATTCTCTATTCCAATCTCTGACAGAGATTGTAACGTACCCACTTCCTACTGAAAATTCTTATTCATTCTTCAATAGTGAAGCACTAGATAGTCCCTCTTTTCACATATATCTTTAGGCACTGATCACCCCATTTTGTGTGCTTCTTATATAAGTGTGTACATTCTTCACATTTAACTTTTTTTAAAAAATCACGTTTATTGAGATATAACTTGCCTACAAAAGGCAACATTTTGAATGTAAATTGTGATTGATTTTGACAAATGTGTACATTCATTTTTATCACTAAAATCTAGATTTAAAGAATCACTCCAAAGTTGTCTGTGGTGCTTGCTCCCTGTCAATTTCCCCTAAGCCACCCAAGGCAACAATTATTTAGCTTTCTGTTAGTACAGATCAAAATCATCATTTCTAGAATTTCTTATTTTTTTTTTATTTTTTGAGACAGTGTCTCGCTCTGTCACCCAGGTTGGAATGCAGTGGCATGATCTCGGCTCACTGCAAGCTCCACCTCCCAGGTTCATGTCATTCTCCCACCTCAGCCTCCCAAGTAGCTGGGACTACAGGTGGCCACCACCATGCCCGGCCAATTTTTTTTGTATTTTTAGTAGAGACAGGGTTTCACCGTGTTAGCCAGTGTGGTCTCCATCTCCTGACCTTGTGATCCGCCCGCCTCGGCCTCCCAAAGTGCTGGGATTACAGGCATGAGCCACTACACCTGGCCTAGAATTTCAAATAAAGGTATCACAAAGTTTATGCTCTTTGTGTTAGATGTCTTTTCCTCAGCATATTTCCTGTAAGCAATTTTACTATGGCTTAATTTATATACAACCAAGTGAATCCATTTAGAGTGGTCAACTCAATGAGTTTTGACAGCTGTATACACCTCTGAAACAACATTAATCAAATACTGACCATTTCCATCAACTCCAAAAGATTCTTCGTGCCCCTTTTAAGTCCATCCCCCTTTATGCATTATATATTCTTTTGTATTTGGCTTCTTTGACTTAGCATGATTTTAAGATTTACCCATGCTGTGTCCATCAGTTCATTCCTTTGCATTGCCAAAAATTATTCTATTATAGTCACGTGCTGCGTAATGATGTTTCAGTCAACAATGAAACACATATACAATAGGGGTTTGATAAAATTATATTGGAGCTGAAAAATCTGTTTGATTGGCCTAGTGACATCTCGATGATCCTGATCCTGGGTAGGCCCTAGATGTGTGATTGTGCTCCAGTTTTTAACAAAAAGGTTTTAAAAGTAAAAAAAAAAAAAAAAAAAAAAAAAATTAATTTCTTGGCTGGGCACAGTGACTCACGCCTGTAATCCCAGCACTTTGGGAGGCCGAGGTGGGTGGATCACGAGGTCAGGAGATCGAGACCATCCTGGCCAACACAGTGAAACCCCGTCTCTACTAAAAATACAAAAAATTAGCCGGGTGTGGTGGCAGGTGCCTGTAGTCCCAGCTACTCGGGAAGCTGAGGCAGGAGAATGGCACGAACCCGGGAGGCGGAGCTTGCAGTGAGCCAAAATCGCGCCACTGCACTCCAGCCTGGGCAACAGAGCGAGACTCTGTCTCAAAAAAATAAATAAATAAAAATAAAAATAAAAATAAATTATTTTCTTTTTTTCTATTACTAATACATCTTAGTAATACTTAAAACAACTACTTTGCTAATCAATTATACTTGCTTTTTTTTTTTTAGCTCCTCCAGATTTAAAAAGTCTGAGTAGATTTTTTAACTTAGAAGTAACAAGTAACCAGTAATGCAGTTAAAAAAAAAAAATCTTTGGAATCAGAAATGCCTGATTTGAGTACTGTATCAGTTCTACCACTTACAAATTAGCTGTGAACAAGTACATAATTATCCCAATATTAGTTTTCTTATCTATGAAGTAGGAAAATACAAATAATAAGAGTACCCAACTTACAAGGTTGTGTGATAATTAAATTAGCGGATCTTTTTAAAGCAATACAACACACTCAATCTAATGTAATGTATGAGTTGCTAACTAAATCTAGTTGTTGGCTAACAAAAACTTATATCTGCAAATTCACAAGTAGGATCAAGAATAAAAGAATAGTCATGATTGATGGGGCATTTTCTCAATGTCTTAGAAAAAGAAATGCAGTGAAATACCATTTTTACTGTCAGAAAAGACACAAATTTTCAAAATATGTTTTCTGTTCCTCTTCACCTACATTCTACTTCCCAGGAAAAATGTAGCAGTTAAGTGATGCTAGTGGACAATATAGGCTGACAAGTAGGGTCAACCAATTTGCTAATATTAATACCCAATACAAATCATGATATAATTATGTAAAAGAATGTGTACAGATTCTGGATAGTCAGTGCTGTGCTATAGAGATTATGTCTGCTAAACAATGCAGCAGTCTAAAGTAGGTGGGTATCCAGGTCGTCCAGTTTATTCCTGGCCTTCTAGTCAAGTTCTTAGCAGACAAATATCCATGATTCATTTAAAGAAACAGGAATTTCCAGGCTGGGCAGTGGCTCATGCCTATAATCCCAGCACTTTGGGCAATCAAGGTGGGCAGATTGCTGGAGTTCAAGAGTTCTGGACCAGCCTGGGCAACAGATGGAGACCTCCGCACAAAAACTACGACAAAAAACAGCTGGGCGTGGTGGCATGCGCCCATAGTCCCAGCTACTTGTGGGGCTGAGGTGGGAAGACTGCTTGAACCCAGGACATCGAGACTGCAGTGAGCTGAGATCATGCCACTGTACTCCAGCCCAGGTGACAAAGACGCTGTCTCAAAAAAACAAAACAAAACAAAACAAAAAAAACCAGGAATTTCCAACATCTAAAAATTATTTGTTCCATGTTGCTGTTTTAACCCAAATGCCAAATTTATGATAAAACTGACTGACCAAAACAAATCCCCCCCTCAAAAAGCTGACAGCACAGCTATTTTCCAAAAGTATTGATAAAGGAGTATGTCTAAGTCGTGTGACTGTCCTACTCTCCACCCTGATACGTTAGTAAAGAGAAAATAAGACACACAGACAACCTTACTTTCTCATACCTTTTCAAATATACTCACCCCTGTCCCCACGCATAAGGTTCTCAAAGTAATTGCTAATTTTCTCAAATACTCAATCTTACATAATGATATTCCAACTTAACCTATTAGGTAAAAAGACAATTTTAATGTTCTAGTTCAGCAACATTTATATATGAATTACACATAACATTTAAGGTCAGCTATAAAATCAAACCCTTAAATGCTTGCCTCAAAAAATGCTTTTTCACCCATGTTGTGGGGGAAAAAATTTAATTTTATTTTTGAGACAGAGTCTTGCTGTGTCGCCCAGGCTGGAGTGCAGTGGTGCAATCTCGGCTCACTGCAACCTCCACCTCCCAGGTTAAAGTGATTCTCCTGCCTCAGCCCTTCGAGTAGCTGGGACTACAGGCATGCACTACCATGCTCAGCTAATTTTTGTATTTTTAGTAGAGATGGGTTTTCACCATGTTGACTAGGCTGGTCTTGAACTCCTGACCTCAGGTGATCCACCTGCCTCAGCCTCCCAAAGTGCTGGGATTACAGGCATGATCCATGCCTGGCTGAAAAAAATTTTTTGTAATATACTTTGTCACACACTAATAAAAAATTTCATGTATTTAAAGTTCTGTCATTAAAAACTTAAAACTTTCCTAACAAGTTCTTCTAAAACAAATGTTCCCAAAACTGGCTGGGCATGGTGGTTCACACACCTGTAGTCCCAGAACTTCGGGAGGCCGAGGTGGGCAAATCGCTTGAGCCCAGGAGTTCCAGACCAGCCTGGGCAACATGGCGAGATCCCATCTCGAAAAAAAAAAAAAAAAAAGAAATGTTCCCAAAACTTTTTCTTCTTCTTGGAGACAAGGTGTTGCCTAGGCTGGAGTGCAGTGGCACAATCATGGCTCATTGCAGCCATGACCTCCTGGGTTCAAGCAATCTTCCGCCTACCTCAGCCTCCTAAGTAGCTGAGACTATAGGCATGTGCCACCACATCCAGCTAGTTTGATTTTTTTTTTTTTTTTTTTTTTTTTTTTGTAGAGACGGGTTCTCCGTGTTGCCCAGGCTGGTCTCAAGCTCGGAGCTCAAGTGATCCTCTTGCCTCAGCATCCCAAAATGTTGAGACTACGGGTGTGAGGCACCACGCTCAGCCTGCCCAAAATTTCTGGTAATGAAGTCTAAGAGTACACAGTCTCCAAAACATTAAAGAGGAGACATGACTAGAGGAGGAAGGAAAGTGCAGGAAAGGGAGAAAATAGGAATCCTCCCAATGTATTTACAACTTTGTGCTAACTTGAACACATTACTTTCTGGGCTATCCTCAACCCTGGCTACTCAGCAGAATTGCCTTTTGAGGTGCTTTAGAATGGATACTCAGGCTACAACCCTATTCTACCAAACAAGAAACTTTGCAGAAATAGGACCAGGTACCTTCTTTTTTTTTTTTTTTTTAAAGTTCCTCTTGTGGATAACGCATGGCCTTTCAGGCTGAGAACTATGAAACAGGCAGGCTACTAGTTAGGATTAATAAAAAAATACCTTGATCTGCTGTCTTCGTAGCATGGCAAGTTCTCTCATGTCTCGGAATGGCTGTAGTAAATACTGATAGAGTTCGGTTGTAGCTTCTGCAAGGCTGCTGTAGGCTTCATCCTCCATCTGATACAAGTCCAGAAGCTCCACCATGCTCTCTGTATTCTTGTGCTTATCCAAGAGCTGTGGAACAAGACAGTTTCACAACTAAGAAAATCAATTCTAATAACCTATAAATACTTGCTTTGAACTCTCCCTATCATGCCAGGACCTCGGAACCCTAAAACACAGAAGCAAGAGGGAATGAAAAGCATTGACTGCTTTTCATCACTATCTCCATACTTCTGGTGTCTCACTACTCAAGACCATGGCCTGAATATTTCTTTTGAGGCTCAAAGTATTGAGCTTAGCCTTAACACTTCCCATTTTTTATTTTCCTTTTTTTTTTGTTTTTGAGACAGGGTTTCACTCCTGTCACCCAGGCTGGAGTGCAATGGTGCGATCTCAGCTTGCTGCAACCTCCACCTCCTGGGCTGAAGTGATTCTCCTGCATTAGCCTCCCAAGTAGCTGGGACTACAGGCACACACCACCACACCTGGCTAGTTATTGTATATATTTTTTTTTTTTTGTAGAGACGGGGTCTCACCATGTTGCCCAGGCTGGTCTTGAACTCCTTGGCTCAAGACAGCCACCCGCCTCGGCCTCCCAAAGTGCTAAGATTACAGGCGTGAGCCACTGGACCCAGCCCAAAAAATTTTCTGCTATCTAGTAGAATGAAAACCATCCAAATCTGGAACATTTCCAATAAATTTCTTCAATTTCTACCTGTCACCTCCTTCAAAATCATGTCAGGCACTGGCCTACGAGCTGGACATACAAAAACATGGTCCTGGTCCTCACAGCTTACAGTGTAGTGAATAAACAGAAAACAATTTTTAAATAATTTAAATTTTATAAAAAATTATTCTTTTCCCCATGGTTCTTTTAGAGACAAAGAATTTCAAACTGTGATAAATATTATTAAAATTATAAATAAAAGTTTTATAAAAGAATGAGGCCAGGTGCAGTGGCTCATGCCTGTAATCCCAACACTTTGGAAGGCCAAAGTAAGAGGATTGCTTGAGGCCAAGAGTTTGAGGCAGGCCTGGGCAATGTAGTGAGACCTTGTATGTATAAAAACAATAATCGGCCAGGCATGGTGGCTGAAGCCTGTAATCCTAGCACTTTGGGAGGCCGTGGGGGGTGGATCACAAGGTCCAGTAATTGAAATGATCCTGGCCAACATGGTGAAACCCCGTCTCTACTAAAAATACAAAAATTAGCTGGGTGTAGTGGCGTGCACCTGTAGTCCCAGCCACTCGGGAGGCTGAGGCAGGAGAATCAATTGAACCCGGGAGGCAGAGGTTGCAGTGAGCCGAGATCACGCCACTGAACTCCAGCCTGGCGACAGAGTGAGACTCGTCTCAAAAAAACAATAATTTAATCTTAGGCAAGATTTCTTGGGAGAAAAAATGTAAAAATTAGCTGATAGTCCCAGCTATGGGAGGCTGAGGCATGAGAATTGAGCCCAGGAGGACGGGTCTGCAGTGAGCTGTGATTGTGCCACAGAACTGCAGCCTAGGTGACGAAGTGAGACCTTGTCTCAAAAAAAAGAACAAACAAAACAAAAAGCAGCCAGGCACAGTGGCTCATGCCTGTACTCCCAGCACTTTGGGAGGCCGAGGCAGGCAGATCACTTGAGGTCAGGAGTTTGAGAGCAGTCTTGGCCAACATGGTGAAACCCCACCTCTACTAAAATTACAAAAATCAGCCAGGCGTGGTGGCACACACCCATAATCCCAGCTCCTTGGGAGGCTGAGGCAGGAGAATCACTTGAACCGGGTAGGCAGAGGTTGCAGTGAGCCAAGACTGTACCATTGCACTCCAGCCTGGGTGACAGAGTGAGACTCCATCTCAAAAGGCAAGTAAATACATAAAAATAACAAATGAAAAGAACTAATACAGAAGACAGTAATTTATATATGCATACATGGACTCCATTTACCTGCTGGCAGTATCACCTCCCCAAAGGCACAAAATTCTTCTATTCCTTTTCATACCTATAGTTTCCACTACTATCTTTCTCCCCACTTATTTTCATTTTAGTTGTTGTATCAGTTCATATGTGTAATCATGCTGAATTGAGACTTCAGACTCATTTCCTGTTCATATTTTTGGCACAACATGTAGCAGCACTGTATTATTAACAATCATGATAAATCAGACAATCTACATTAAAGTGCTTTTATAACAAAAAAAGTGCCAAACAAATATTAGCTATCATTCTGTTTTTTTAAGGCTACTGTTAAAACTAATATGGAGAATTTTGACTTCTCTAGTATTAGCTAAGCAGTTCTATCAGAGCAACTTTTGCCACTGATAACAACAACAAACCGTGGGGCAAAATATCACAAAACAACTGCCTGTAGGCACTACAGAGTGACCAAAATAGCTATAAAATGGAAGGGACATCAACAATACCTTGGAAGCAGGGAGGGCTCTAGACGGTTTATTCATGCCTTTCAGCCTGAGGGTGTGCCCCAGTGGATGCCAAAAGAAGGGGAGAGGTATGACTAAAAACTCAGAAACCCTTGCCAGGCACGGTGGCTCACGCCTGTAATCCCAGCACTGTGGGAGGCCAAGATGGGTGGATCACGAGGTCAGGAGATCGACAACATCCTGGCTAACATGGTGAAACCCCGTCTCTACTAAAAATACAAAAAAATTAGCCAGGCGTGGTGGCGGGCACCTGTAGTCCCAGCTGCTCGGGAGGCTGAGGCAGGAGGATGGTGTGAACCTGGGAGGCGGAGCTTGCAGTGAGCTGAGATCGCGCCACTGCACTCCAGCCTGGTGGGCAACAGAGCAAGACTCCATCTCCAAAAAAAAAAAAAAAAAACCCTCAGAAACCCACAGTCTTGTTGGCTTGCTGGCTTGAAGAATCTGAGGATAGAGTTCAGGACAACCACAGCAGCTAGAAAGCCAGAGAACAGTGATGAAAGGGAGACAGCCTAAGAAGAAGAAAGTCCAAATTCATATATAAACTCTACTCAAATTTCTGGCTGATCACTGGAACTATACATGCACAGGACAGGTACTAAACAATCCAGATAAAACAAAACAATAAATATTTCATCTGCTGCCTTCCGTGAAGGAGGTAGAGTTTGACATCTGAATCCAATCAACTTGACTGCTGAAGACAAGACTGTAAAAATCAACACTCTGAGGGAACATAACAGAATCCAGAGGCTCTACAATTTATCATTCACAATGTCTATTATATAATCCAAGATTAACAGACCAACAAAGAAATAGGAAAACAAAACTCAGTCATCAAAAAGCAATCAATGGGGCAGGTGCGGTGGATCAAGCCTATAATCCCAGCACTTTGGGAGGCAAAGGCAGGCAGATCACTTGAGGTCAGGAGTTCGAGACCAGCCTTGGCAACATGGTGAAACAGTTTCTACTGAAAATACAAAAATTAGCCAGGTGTGGAGGAGCACACCTACAGTCCCAGCTACTGGGGAGGCTGAGGCAGGAGAATCACTTGAACCCAGGAGGCAGAGGTTGCAATGAGCTGAGATCATGCCACTGCACTACAGCCTGGGTGACAGAGCAACTCTGTCTCAATTAAAAACAAACAAACAAACAAAAAAAAACACTATTTTTAAAAAAAGCAATCAATGAAGACCAATCATAAGATGAAACAGATATGGATTTAACAGACAAATATTTCAAAGCAGCTATTATAACGCTAATTGGACATAAAAGAAATACACTCAACAAGAATAAACAGGAAATCTCAAAAAATAGAAACTAATTCTAGGATAGAAAATTCGCTGTATGGGTATAGAGTATGGTTCTAATAACAGTCAATGAACTTGAAGATAAAGATAAATTATCCAATCTTATAGAAAAAAAAGAAAGTGCTGGGTGTGGTGGTTCACTCCTGTAATCCCAGCACTTAGGGAGGTCAAGGCGGGCAGATCACGAGGTCAGGAGATGGAGACCATCCTGGTTAACATGGTGAAACCCCATCTCTACTAAAAATACAAAAATTAGCCAGGCATGGTGGCGGGCACCTGTAGTCCCAGCTACTCGGGAGGCTGAGGCAGAAGAATGGCATGAACCCGGGAGGCGGAGCTTGCAGTGAGCCGAGATAGCGCCATTGCACTCCAGGATGGGCAACAGAGCGAGACTCCATCTCAAAAAGAAAAAAGAAAAAAAAACAAAAAAGAAAGCCTCAGGGACTCATGGGGCAATATTAAAAGGTCTTCCCCCACAACCCGAGATGAGGTCTCACTATATTGCTTAGGCTGGTCTCGAACTCTTGGATTCAAGCAATCCTAGTGCCTCAGCCTCCCAAAGTGTTAGGATTATAGGCGTACGCCATTGTACCTGGCCAAAAGGTCTTAACATATATTGAACTGAAGTTCCAGAGGAGAAGAGAAAATGATTCAGAACAAAATATTACAAGAAAAATCCCAAATTTGGCGAAAGACATAAATCTACACATGCAAGAAGCTCTAATAGCTCCAAGCAGATAAATGCAGTTACCCACAAGTAGGTTTATCATATTATAGTCAAACTACTGGAACTCAAAAATAAAAGAGAAATTCCTGAAAACAGCTAGAGAAAAATAACATAGGAGGAACAAGTACACCTATGAATGCTGACTACAAACTAGAAACAATAGAGAACAGATGAGGAATAAACAAAACACAACAAAACATCTGTCAACCCAGAATTCCATTTCCAAGCAAATATCCCTCCTGAACAAAGAAAAAATAAACAGTTAAATTAAAAGAGAACTCATCACCAGCAGATGGACACCATAAGAAATGTTCTTTAAAATGTGTTCAGATTGAAGGAAAATGATACACATGGAAACTTAGATTTTCATAAAGGAATAAAGATTGCTGGAAATGATATTAGTAGGAAAATAGACTATTTTTCCTCTTAATTTCTATAAAATACACAGGAGTGTTCAAAGCAAAAATCATACGACTGTACTGAAGTTTATAATGTATCTGACTATAATAAATATGAAACCTAAAGCATAAAGAACAGGGTTAGAGATGAATCTATACAGACACATATGGGTTCTTAAGTATAAGATGGGCTGGGTGCAGTGGCTCGTGCCTGTAATCCCAGCACTTTGGGAGGCCGAGGCAGGTGGATCACTTGAGGTTGGGAGTTTGAGACCAGCCTGGCCAACATGGCAAAACCCTGTCTCACTACTAGAAATACAAAAATTAGCCAAGCATGGCAGCACACACCTGCAATCCCAGCTACTCGGGAAGCTGAGGCACGAGAATCACTTGAACTCACGAGTTTGAGGCTGCAGTGAGCTATGACTGAGCCACTGCACTCTAACCTGGGAGAAAGAACAAAGCCCTGTCTCTTAAAAAGAGATGAAGTGGTACAATATTAACTCCAAGTATGGTTTAATCCCTATGGCAACCACTAAAAGAATAATAATTTAAGAAGGTATGCTATAAGCCCCAATATATTCAAGTTATTAAATTAACCCAAAAGAAATCAGGAAAAGAAGAGGAGAAAAAAGAAGTAAAAACTACACGCTATTTTCATATACATACCTCTATGTCAAAAAAAAGAAAAGAAAAAAAAGGAAACCAAAACAGAAGATATAAACAGAAAACAAATAGACCTAAATCCAACCTTGTCAAGAATTATATGAAATATAAATGGACTAAACTCTTTAATTTAAAGGTAGAGTTGTTGGAATGGATATAAAAGGAAGCCACAATTATATGTTGCCTAGAAGAGATAAATATTGAAAACAAAGACACAAATAAGTTGAAAGCAAACAGTAAAGCATAAGAAGCCTGGAGGGACTATTTTAATATCAAAGAGTAGATAGACTGTAAGATATAGAGTATTACTGGAGATAATGCAGAACTTCTTTTTTTTTTTTTTTTTAAAGACAGAATCTCACTCTATGACACAGGCTGGAGTGCAGTGGTGTGATCTCAGCTCACTGCAACCTCCACCTCCCGGGTTCAAGCAATTCTCCTGCCTCAGCCTCCCAAGTAGCTGGGATTACAGGTGTGCACCACCAAGCCTGGCTAATTTTTTTGTATTTTAGTAGAGACAGAGTTTCACCATGTTGCCCCCTGGATGGTCTTGAACTCCTGAGCTCAGATAATCCGCCTGCCTCGGCCTCCCAAAGCACTTAGGATTACAGGCGTGAGCCACTGCGCCCAGCCCAGAACATTTTATAAACACGAAAGAGTCAATTCATCAGGAAGACACAACAATCATATGTGTACATACCTAATAATGGAACTTCAAAGTACATTAAGTTATAATGGAAAGAATTTTTAAAAAGAAGGAAGAAAGTTGACAGAGTTGGTGATTTTAACACTCCTCAGTCACAACATCCTCGTTAGCATAACGGTGAGTAAAAGAAAATGAGACACAAATGTACAAAAAAATTCAGTAGAAACAACAGGTAATCTGAACAGACCTATATCCATGCAAGTGATTGAATCAATAACTATACCCTTCCAAAACAGAATGCATCAGGCCCAGATAGGTTCATAGGTGAATTCTACCAGATATTTAAGAAAGAAATTATACCAGTTCTCTCAAATATCTTCTAGAAAATAGAAGTAGAGGGAATACTTCCTAACTCGTTTTGTGAGGCCAGGTTTAGCCTAACAGCAAAAACAGACAAACACTACAAGAAAGAAAAACTACAGGCTGAGCATGATGGATTGCACCTGTAACCCCAGCACTTTGGAAAGCCTAGGGAGGAGAATCACTTGAGCTCAGGAATTCAAGGCCAGCCTGAGCAACATAGCGAGACTCTCTCTACTAAAATTTAAAAAAAAAAAAAAATAGCCAGGTGTGGTGGGAGACTTGCTTGACCCTGTGAAGTCAAGGCTGCAGTGAGTCCTGATCATGCCACTGCCCTCCAGCCTGGGCAACACAGCAAGGCCCTGTCTTAAAAAAACTACAGACTGACATCTCCCATTAGCACAGACACAAAAATCCTCCACAAAATATTTAGCAAATCCAACCAATGTAAAAAGAATTATATACCATAACTGAATGTGATTTATTCCAAGTATACAAAAGGCTAGCTCAACAGTCAATAATCAATTGTCATCTACTACAAAAACAGGCTAAACAAGAAAAATCACATGATCATATCAACAGATGCAGAAAATGCATTTCACAAAATCCAACACTCAATTCATGATAAAACTCTCAGCAAACTAGGAATGGAAAACCTCCTTCACCTTGATAAAAAAAAACCTTGAGCTAACATATTTAATGGTGAGAAAGTATTTATGGTGTATATATATTTATAATAATAAATATATAATATATAAATATATTAATATAAATATATTTTATATTTATGTAAATATATATTTTATATAAATATTTATGTAAATATATTTTATATAAACATTTATGTAAATATACATTTTAAATATTTATGTAAATATACATTTTAAATATTTATGTAAATATACATTTTAAATATTTATGTAAATATATATTTTAAATATTTATGTAAATATATATTTTATGTAAATATTTATGTAAATATACATTTTAAATATTTATGTAAATATATATTTTAAATATTTATGTAAATATATATTTTAAATATTTATGTAAATATATATTTTATGTAAATATTTATGTAAATATACATTTTAAATATTTATGTAAATATATATTTTAAATATTTATGTAAATATATATTTTAAATATTTATGTAAATATATATTTTATATAAACATATAAATTTTTATATATGCATTTATATTTAATGGTGTTCCCACTATGATGAGGCAAAAAGCAAGGATGTCCCCTTTACTACTCCTATTTAACATAGTACTGAAAGTCCTAATTAATGCAATAACAAAAGAAAAGGAAATTTAAAATGTGTAGACTGGGAAGCAGTAAAACTGTCTCTGCTTGCAGATGACCTATTTGTCCATGTAGAAAATGAACTCACGTACACACACCCACACACTCCTCCAGGCCAGGTGCAGTGGTTCATGTCTGGCAATCTCACCCCTCTGGGAGGCAGAGGCAGGAGAATCACTTCAGCCCAGGAGTTCAAGACCCACCTGGGCAACATAGTAGGACATCATGTATACAAAAAAAAATTTTTTAATTAGCTGGACACGGTAGCACATGCCTGCAGTCCTAGCTACTGCAGAGGCTGAGGCAGGAATCCTTGAACCTAGGAGTTCAAGGTTGCAGTGAGCTATGATTGCGCCACTGCACTCCAGCCTAGGTGACAGGGCAATACCCTGTCTCTAAAAAAAAAAATAAATAAAAAATAAAATACATTAATTTCAAAAAAAATTCCAAATGTTATTTCTATTAGCACACCAAAAATTAGGTATAAATCTAACAATATATGTACAAGATCTTTAACAAGAAAGCTATAAAACTCTGACAAAGGAAATCAAAGTAGATCTAAGGAAATATTCCATGTGTATGCATAGGAAGACTCAATACTAACAAGGTATTAGTTCTTCCTAACTTGATCTATAAATTCAATGCAATCCTAATCAAAATCTCTGCAAGTTATTTTGTGGGTATCAAAAAATAAATTCTAAAGTTTATACAGAGGTGAAAAGACTCAGAATAGCTAACACAATATTGAAGAATGTTGAAGGTCTGACACTCCTCAACCTCTTTCAGACACTCTAAAGCTACAGTAGTCAAGACAGTAGGGTATCTGTGAAAGAACAGACAAGTAGACCAATGGAACAGAATAGAGTCCAAAAATAAATCCACACAAATACAGTTAAATGATCTTTTAACAGAGAGCAAAGACAATTCAATAGAAGAGTCTTAAAAAAGAATCTAGACACAGACCTTGCACTCTTCACAAAAATTAACTCAAAATTGATCATGGAATTAAATGTAAAACTGAAAACTATAAAACTTCTAGAAGATAACATGGAAGAAAATCCAGCTGACCTTGCCTTTGGCCTTGACTTTAGATATGACACCAAAAACACAATCCATTAAAAAATTGGTGAGTGGGACTTCATTTAACTTCTGCTCTGCAAAAGACACTATTAAGAATGAAAAGACAGGCTACAGATGGAGAAAAAACATTTGCAAAAGACATATCTGATAAAAGACTGTTACCAAAAGTATACAAAGAACTCCTGAAGCTCAACAGTAAAAAAAGATCCAATTTACAAATGGGCAAAATATCTCATTGAAAATATACAGATGACAAATAAGCATGTGAAAAGATGCTCACCGGGCGCGGTGGCTCACGCCTGTAATCCCAGCACTTTGGGAAGCCGAGGCGGGTGGATCATAAGGTCAAGAGATCGAGACCATCCTGGCCAACATGGTGAAACCCCGTCTCTATTAAAAGTATAAAAAAATTAGCCGGGCATGGTGGTGGGCGCCTGTAGTCCCAGCTACTCGGGAGGCTGAGGCAGAAGAATCGCTTGAACCCGGGAGGTGGAGGTTGCAGTGAGCCGAGATCACGCCATCACACTCCAGCCTGGGCGACAGAGCGAGACGCCATCTCAAGAAATAAATAAATAAATAAATAAAAAATAAATAAAAAGATGCTCAACATCACATAGCATTAGGGAATTATAAATCAAAATGAGATACCAATACATACCTATTAAAATAGTGAAAATCCAAAACCCTGACATCAGAAAATGCTAGAGGATGCGGAACAACCAGAACTCATTCACTGTTGATGGAAATGCAACTGTACAGCTACATTGGGAGACACCATAACAGTCTTATTTTTTATTTACTTTGATAGATGACTGAGAGATAGACAGGCAGGATCTCACTCTTGCCCAGGCTGGAGTGCAGTGGCACATTCGTAACTCCCTGCAGCCTGGAACTCCTGGGCTCAAGTGATTTTCCCACCGTAGCCTCCTGAGGAGCTGAAACTACAGGTGCGCACCACCACACCCACTAATTTTTTAAATTTTTTGTAGCGATGGGTCTCACTGTGTTGCTCAGGCTCATCTTGAACTCCTGGCTTCAATCTTCCCACCTCAGTCTCTCCCAAAGTGTTTGCATTACAGGCATGGGCCACTATGTCCAGCCCACTCTGACAGTTTCTTACAAAACTACACATACCTTACCACCTAATCCAGAAATCATGGATCATTAATATTTATCCAAATGAGTTGGAAACTTTTATCTACACAAAAACCTGCACACTAAAGTTTATAGAAGCTTAATTTTAACTACCAAAACATGAATGCAACCAAGATGTCTTTCAACAGGTGAATGGATAAGCAAATTGTAGTACATCCATACAATGAAATGTTCGGCAAGAAAAAGAAATGAGCTGGGTGGGCACTGTGGCCCAGGCCTGTAATCCCAGCACTTTGTGAGAGCAAGGTAAGAGGATTGCTTGACCCTGGGAGTTTGAGACCAGCCTGGGCAACACAGGGAGATCCCATCTGTATAAAAAATAAATATTTTTTAAAAGGGAAAAGAAATGAACTATCAAGCTGCAAAAAGATATGGAACACCTTATATGTATATTGCTAACTGAAACAACTAATCTGAAAAGGCTATATATGATTCCAACTACATAACATCCTGGAAATGCCAAACTACAGAGAGTAAAAAGACCACTGGTTGCCAGAGGCTAGGAGAGATGGAGCACTCCAATGAACAGATGGAGCACTCCAATCAACAGATGGGGCCCAGGGGATTTTCAGAGCAGTTAAACTATTTTGTATATTATAATGGTGTACACAGGACAGCAGGACATTATGCATTTGTCAAAACATAGAAACTCTAGGGTTCTACATTTTATAAAAAAGGAAAACAAACCCAGAACTGTACAAAAAATTAATTTTAATATAAACTATGGATTACTCAATAATCTATGGATACTGGTTCATAAATTATAACAAATGTACCACACCAATGCAAAATGTTAATAATAGGGAAGACTGAAGGCAGGAGAGAGGTATGAAGTATGGAATCTCTGTACTATCTGCTCAATTTTTCTGTAAACCTAAAACTGATGTAAAAACTCAAGTCTATTAATTTTTAAAAACAGATGACACAAGCCTAAAGACATGTTATATTTCATTGTATGTGTTAAACTATCATAAAAGTAAAACAAAGAAATCATTCAAAATAAAGCCATAATAACCAATTAACACTGATTTTCATACCTGCTGACACCTATTTTTTGTAAGCTGATCAAAGCTGTGTCTGTCTTTCTACTTTGTTAACAGGCGGTTTTTTGGTTGGTTCTATTATTTGTTTTTAATAGTCAACTAGAGCAAAAAGAAGCAATTCAAACATCAGTGTGGGGTTTGGTGAAGAGAAGTTGGTTAATGGATACAAAAATACAGTTAGAAGGAATAAATTCTGGTATTCAACAGTATAGTAGGAAAATTATAGTTAACAGTAATTTATTGTTTATTTCAAAACAGTTGGAAGAACTGTAATGTACCCAACACAAAAACAGGATAAATGGTTGAGGTGATGGATATTGCAATTACCTGACGTGATCATTATACATTGTATATGCATATCAAAATATCACATGTACCACCTAAATATGTACAACTATATCAATTAAAAATACAAAACGCCCCTGACCTTGGTCATTTAACAAGTATTAATACATGATTTACATACTTAACTAGTCAAGAAAGAACGATATTTGTGGACTGCTCACTCTGTGCCCAGCATTGATTTATCCAACAAATATTTCTGTGATTCTACCACTAGGTAGACATTCTACCAGACACTAGGGACACAATGGTGAACCAAACAGACATCGTCTCTGCTTCTAAAGAGCTTACTTAATCTGTAGAGACATTAATCAAACTCCCAAACAAATTTAAAACTGAACGCCTCTGTGAATGAGAGGCAAATACCTTGCAAATAAGACTACACACATGGACAGAGGACAGGCCACATGGGATTTTGCTTGTGATGAAAGCTAAGAAAAGTTGGCCAGGCACGGTGGCTCACACCTATAATCCCAGCACTTTGGGAGGCCAAGTTGGGTGGATCACCTGAGGTCAGGAGTTCGAGACCAGCATGGCCAACATGGTGAAACCCTGTCTCTACTAAAAATACAGTACTAGCCGAGTGTGGTGGCGCATATGCCAGTAATCCCAGCTACTCGGGAGGCTGAAGCAGAAGAATCACTTGAACCTGGGAGGCGGAGGTTGCAGTGAGCCGAGATCGTGCCACTGCACTCCAGCCTGGACAAGAGTGAAATTCTGCCTCAAAAAAAAAAAAAAAAAAAAGAATCATCACAGATGAGCAATCTGGGTGGGAAACAGTGGGTGAGGCCGTGTCATCATGCTCCCTGAGAAAGTTCATAGGAGGGAGTGGGACATCACACTGAGTCCATAAATGCAGCACATTCTAATAAGCAGTAAGCCCATCTACAGAGTGGGGGAAAAAGAACATTGCATGTGGTCAATCCGTCCTGTTTAATCTTTAGTCTACAGAGTTCAATTCAACTAACTAAATGGCCATATCAAAGTGACGGTACCTTGCTACTCAAAGTATGGTCTGGGACCAGCAACATTGGTGTCACCTAGGAACTTGTTACAAATGAAACCAGAACCTCACCTTTAGATCTGCAGAATGGGACTCTGAATTGTAGTTAAGACTGCCAAGTGATAAGTGTATACATTAAACTTTGAGAAGCACTGCTTTAATAAATATCTTAATATCCCCATATTAACCATCAGTTAGTGAGGCAAGTATCTCTGAAGTTATATAAATTATGTAGTCAATTTACTTATCTATAAAATTAAAACATATAACATTTTTCTTGAATCTAAAACAGTTTTTTGGCCGGGTGCAGTAGCTCA
Organism: Homo sapiens; assembly: GCF_000001405.40. Classification (NCBI taxonomy): domain Eukaryota; kingdom Metazoa; phylum Chordata; class Mammalia; order Primates; family Hominidae; genus Homo; species Homo sapiens. The sequence continues at coordinate 79,265,204 of NC_000005.10, read as the reverse complement.
CGCCTGTAATCCCAGCACTTTGGGAGGCCAAGGCGGGCGGATCACGAGGTCAGGAGATCAAGACCATCCTGGCTAACAAGGTGAAACCTGTCTCTACTGAAAATACAAAAAATTAGCCAGGCATGGTGGCGGGCGCCTGTAGTCCCAGCTACTCAGGAGGCTGAGGCAGGAGAATGAATGGCATGAACCTGGGAGGCAGGGCTTATAGTAAGCCAAGATCGTGCCACTCACTCCAGCGTGGGTGACAGTGATAGCGCAAGACTCTGCCTCAAAAAATTACATAAATAAATAAAATAAAATAAAATAACTTTTCCCACTCTTTCTCTCACTGCATTTACTGTCATTCTATGTTAGATTAATGACTACTATTTAAACTAAAATTGAGCCAAAACTCATTTCTTATGGTTCAGTTCCTCTACTGAAGCATTTTTAGTTATTCTAAGAAAAAACACTGTTATTACTGAATCACAGAATGATCTTCAGCGTTAGAAGGCAGGCACAGAGTGACAAAATCAGCCTAGTTTCTCTCCAGCATTGGCCAGGGTCTTATCTCCAGTGCATGGGTCATTCAACAAAGTTGGCCTTAATGCAATGGCCATTAAAATTATATTAACTCTTTTCATTCTGATGAAATATTATTTGCTTTTAAAAATCATGATTTATGCCAGGCGCAGTGGCTCACACCTGTAATTCCAGCACTTTGGCAGGCTTTACCTCCTACAGTGAGGTAGGAGGATCACTTGAGCTCAGGAGTTCAAGACCAGCCTGGGCAACATAGTGAGACCATGTCTCTACAAAAAAAAAAAATTAAAAATTATGGCCAGGTGAAGTGGCTCACACCTGTAATTCCAGCCCTCTGGGAGGCTGAGGTCAGCGGATTGCTTAAGCCCAGGAGTTCGAAACCAGCCTGGGTAACACAGTAAAACCCCACCTCTACTAAAAACACAAAAAATTAGCCAGGTGTGGTGGCACACAGCTGTAGTCCCAGCTACTCAGGAGGTTGAGGTGAAAGAATCACCTGAGCCCGGGAGGGCCAGGCTGCAGTGAGCCAAGATCACATCACTGTACTCTACCCTGGGCAACCAGAGTGAGACCCTATCTTTAAAAAAAAACAAAAAGGCCAAGCACAGTGACTCGCGCCTGTAATCCCAGCACTTTGGGAGGCTGAGGCAGGCAGATCACCAGAGGTCAGGAGTTTGAGACCAGCCTGGCCAACATGGTGAAACCCCGTCTCTACTAATTAGCTGGGTGTGGTGGCAGGCGCCTGTAATCCCAGCTACTCTGGAGGCTGAGGCAGGAGAATTGCTTGCACCTGGGAGGCGGAGACTGCAGTGAGCCGAGATCGTACCACTGCACTCCAGCCTGGGCGACAAGAGTGAAACTCTGTTTCAAAAAAAAAAAAAGACGGACATGGTGGCACACATCAGGATGCCAAAGCAGGAGGCTGATGCTGTAGTAAGCCATGATTGCACCGGTGTACTCCAGCCTAGACAAAAAGGCAAGACTCTATAAAAAAAAATTTTAGTGGCCACAGGCGGTGGCTCACACCTACAATCCCAGCACTTTGGAACACCTTGAGGTCAGGAGTTCAAGACCAGCCTGGGCCACATGGTGAAAACCCTGTCTCCACAAAAAAGTGAAAAATCAGCCAGGCGTAGTGGCGCACACCTGTTGACCCAGCTAGTCAGGAAGTTGAGGCTGCAGGATCACTTGAGCCCGGGAGATGGAGGTTGCAGTGAGTTGAGATCACGCTACTGCACACTAGCCTGGGTGACAGAGCACATCCTGCCTGAAAAGAAAAAAAAAATCAAAAAACCTGTTTGTAACAAAGACCGTGCATATTCAAGGATACTTGGGTCTGAGTCTTCTCGGCAGCTGTCCTTACTTTGGCCCAAGTAAACTCTTCAAATATATTTTGTGCCTCAGCCTCTTCCTTTTAGGTCAAAGGCAATAATTCCCTTCTTCCAAGAATATGTACATACAAAGAAGCCCTTTATCTTATACTTCGCTTGAAAACTAACACTTTCTTCGAGATAATGGTTTTCTACCAGGTTTCAGGAATAGCAAAAGTGTTAAAAGAATGAGGGGAAAAAAATGGTGCCAACATCTTTCAATAGTAAAATCCCCCTGAGTCATTTACAAGTGATCAAATGCCACAATTCAACAGTAAGCGAACCCTCAAACACTAGGCTTCTTTGGGCTCTTCTTACAGGGTCAATAAAGTAAATGTAATACAAAGTTTAGATACTATTTTCTGCCAACACAAAAACATCAAGTCATTATATGATTATTAATTAAGTCACAATACCACTGTACACAAATATGTACAATAACTGAGGACAGAATATCAGTTACTCTATCCAAACATTAACATTTTTATCTATTATTTCCACCATGCTTTTTGTCCTCAGACAGAATAGTACTTTACAAAGCTATTATGCAGCACCTAAACTTAATACTCTTGCAGAGAAGCCCAAGCCATCTCACCTAACACTGCTAATTTATTAATCTGCCTTCTTTCCTATAAAGTTTCATGTTTTTCCAATACTAGACTACCTTAAAAACAATTTTAATTTCAATTGGTCAAACTATTTTAATCTAAGTATTGGCAAATAATCTTAAAATACAGGGAATGCATTTTATAACTTCATTTCAAAAGATACAATTTACTAAGCATTAGACTTTCGTGTAAACCGTTTCCTATAATTCATGATAAAAGAATTCAACAGGTGAAAAAATAATCACTAACTTGATATAATTATAAAACTTAATTTTTGATTTTGCTAACTAAAAACTGACAAAGTCCAGGGAATAAATAAACTGAGCTATGGGCATTTGCAGGTTATAAACTGCAAAATGTGTAAGGTACTATAAATAATGCATATAAAAGACTAAAAGGAATTATAAAGAAAGTCGAATTATTTAGGATTAAGGATATTTGAGATGAAGAGGGAAGGCCTTAATTTAAAATGCAGCAGATGCACCTAAAATGTGAAAGATGCATTTTGCTAAATTTGAGAAGATTCACTGAGAGCCACACTGAATAAGAACGCAGATGGATCTGAATGAGAATACAACCACAAAGGGTTTCAGAAGTGCTGAAGCTCAACCAGCACAACATAAAAACGGCCACAGCAGGATTCAGCAGAAAGGAAGGACAAAGAGCAGGGGCCTGGAAAGTAAAGCTTTGATAATTTCTGCTTCAAAATCTGACATATCTCTTGTAGGATTTTAGAAAATGATTTTGCTCTATTGATTCACTTAAGAAACATGAAGCAGAGGTTGGGCATGGTGGCTCACGCCTGTAATCCCAGCACTTTGGGAGGCCTAGACGGGCAGATCACTTGAGGCCAGGAGTTTGACAGCAGCTTGGCCAACATGGTGAAACCCTGTCTCTACTAAAAATACAAAAATTAGCCGGGCATGGTAGTGCACGCCTGTAATCCCAGCAGGGTTATTTGCCAAAGTTAAGGAAATATGCCCGGGAGACAGGTCTACGCCTTTCTCTGAAGATAATTTTGAGGGCTCCAAATTTAAAGGGGAAAGGGCAGGTTACTGAGAAGTACACAATTTTCATGTAAGGGGGGTTAGGGAAAATAGTAATTCACGCCTTTGTCTGGCCCAGTGAATCTGCACTTTATTTTTTTAGAGACAGCCTCTCGCTTTTTCACCCATGCTGGAGTACAGTGGCTCCATCATGGCTCATTATAACCTCAACCTCCAGGGCTTAAGTGATCTTCCTGTCTCAGCCTCCTGAGTAGCTGGGACTACAGTCACGTGCCACTATGCCTGGCTAATTTTTTGATTATTATTATTATTATTATTTGTAGAGACGGCACTTTTACATAAGATAACCCAAACAAAATGGGGCAGGAGAACAATCAGATATGCATTTGTCTGGTGGGCAGGGGGGTGACTGCACCTGTAAGGATATGCTATCAATTTACATTGCCATGGTAAAATTTTAGCAGAAAAACCTCAGGGTAAAGATCTTGGAGCTCACTATGAATTTGCTTGTGGGCAAAATATGGCGGAAGCATGTAGCTTTTCATCTTGTAGCCATCTTATTTAGGAACCAAAAGGGACAGGTTTGTGTGACCCAGTTCCCAGCTTAACTTTTCCCTTTGGCTTAATGAGTTTGGGGTCCCTAGATTTATTTTCCTTTCACAAAATCTATAAGTAATATCTTTACCATTAATTATTAAAACATGCAAATAATTACTGTGAAAGGGAGTGACTTAGGATACTTGGATGGAAGGAACCTACCCCAGCAATGATACTGCATCTGTGGCCCTGGGAACTGCCTTTAGGTCCATTTGGTCTGTTTCCCCTACTGAGAAATAAGGACCAGTGCCATACATTTCCACATTTACACTGCCCATCTCTGTTCTTGCTTTGTAAAACTACTGAATTATTTTTATATTATTCCTGCTAATTATTACTTGTTAATACTAAAATCTGAGAAAAAAAAAGACTCAAGGGACATGAAATCAAAAAAGAAAAAAAAAATCTGGGGCCAGGTGTGGTCGCTCATGCCTGCAATCCCAGCACTTTGGGAGGCCAAGGTGGGTGGATCACTTGAGCTCAAGGGTTTGAGACCAGCCTGGGCAACATGGCAAAACCCCGTCTCTACAAAAAAAAAAAAAACCCACAAAAATCAGCTGGGTATGGTGGTTCATGCCCATATTCCCAGCTACTCAGGAGGCTGACGTGGGAGGATCGCTTGCTCCCAGGAGGTTGAGGCTGCAGTGAGGCAAGATCAAGCCACTCATGGCAGTGGCGGGCCATCTAGACTGGCTGCTGCCATCACATCAGTTGCAGTGGGGAGGCATAAGCGGTGGTGGCAAGAGCAGCTGTGGGAGCGGCAGTGGTGGCAGTGGGTTTCCTGTGCCCCATGTCCTGGAGGCACCTGACTGAACCACCCCCACCATCACAGGGCCAGGCAGGAACCACTCCCAGGCCTGGAGTCTCCGCCACAGCCTCAACCTTGCTTCCTACCGCATCCCAAGGGTCTGTGAGCACCTGGCTGAAGGGTACAGCTAGGACTTGTGAGGCCAGCCCTGGGTGCGTCAGGTTCATTTGTGTGGCGCTGGCCAGGGCTGCCATGCCACCTGTACCTCGACCACTGTCCTGGGAGACACTGCAATGGGGCCAGGCTGAGTTGCCTGCCAGCAGGGTAGCAGTACAGTCGGGCACTGAGGGGCAGGCAGAGAGGGGCCCTGAGGCAGAGGTGGGCCCAGGATGTGCATATGCCATGCTCCATGGAGCCAGTGGGAGCCAGGGGCATGCAGGATTCCCACCCTCCCAGGGGTGGCTACAGCTGCCCAAGCTACAGCTGCAGATCCAGGCATCTCTGCACTCTCCGGGGCCTGGGAAGGCCCCACCTTGCCCCTGCAGGCTCGGAGGTGTCTGCTCCCACTGCCTGGACTTTCCTCAATATCAGCGCCTGTTCCACTCACAAGGCAAAGTTGAGGCCAACCCTAGGTCTGTCACAACCTGGCTGGGTGTGCACAGGCTCGGGGGCAGTGCTGACACACCAGCCCCTGCCACTTCAGCCTGCTGCGGACTTTGGGCACCAATGAGCACAGAAGAGAGGCCAAGGGGGTGCTGAGGGCAGCTCAGCGCTGGCCCACAGACACTCCTTGGCACAAACAGCCTGGGCACCATAAATGGCAGCAGGAGGCAGACAAGCTCCTGGGCAGGAGTGGGTGAGTCCTTGGTGAAGCACCACCTTCAAGTCGGGGAGGGCCTGAAGCCTGGGTGTCAGACTGCTGATCCTACTGACTGGGGTGGGAACTTGTGGTGCCTTTTCCAGGCCCGCCCATGTTTGCCCACGGACCATTTCGCACACACTTCCTCCCCTGAGGCCCATAAAAGCCCCATATTCAGCCAGATGATGGGAGAGCAGCTGCAGAGAGAAGCTGCCCACCCCAGGGTCTCCTCTCTGCTGAGGGCTGAAGAGACGACCAGATAGCCAGCTGGAGAGATGAACTACCCTCTCTTCTGAGAGCTGGACACTCGTCGGGATGACCTGCCCAGCAGAGAAAAGCTACCCTCTCTACTGAGAGCTGAAGAAATGATGGGACAACCAGCTTCAGAGAGGAGCTACCCTCTCTGCTGAAAGCTGAACACTCATCGGGACATGCTGGCTACGGAGAGGAGCTGCCCACTACAGGTCTCCTCTGAGTTGTTCTATTGCTCAATAAAGCTCCTCTTTGTCTTGCTCACTCTCCACTTGTCTCTTGTCTGTGTACTTCATTCTTGCTGGATGCAGGACAAGAACTCAAGACCCAGGGAATGGCAGGGCTAAAAGAGCTGTAACACAAACAGGGCTGAAACACCCCTTGCCCACAATGTTACAGCCAACAAGAGGACAGAAGAGCTGTGGCCCTCTGGGGAGCCCAGACCTAGGAGCTCCCCAAGCCAGAGCGGTGACACCCTCTTTAAGGCGCTGCAGTTCCTGGAGTCTCCAAGCTTCCAGGCACCACACTGCATTCCCTGGTGTCAGCCATGGAAACTGCTTATGGTATCCCTGGTCCAGCCACAGCCTCATAGGGAGCTGGTGCCAGTACTGGCACCTGGAGCTGCCCGCCCCACCACCGCCAGAGTGCCTGGTTGTATGCAGTGGCCAGACCCCACGCTCACTAACACACCCCTCACCGCTCCATGACTGGCTCTCCCTTGGCAGGCATGGGACCCAGACTGGTAGCAGGAGCTGAGCACAGCCTGCCAGGCTGAGTGGGTAGAATGAGCCCAGCAGGCCAGAGGAAAACTCAGGCAAAGGCACCACTGGCCACACAAGTTTCTGGCTGGTGAGGCGACACCCCAAGGATCCCGTAACACCACTGTACTCCAGCCAGAGGGAGACCCTGTCAAAAAAAAAAAAAAAACAACAAAAACAAAAAAAGCCCTAATATCTGAATTTATAAAGTAATGCTCCAAACTGATATTTTTATTTCTTTTTAGTTCAAAGATAAATATTGTAGAAACTGATATTTAAAATGATTTTCAGATTCTTTCCTTTGTAGATAAGTAGTAAATTTCAGTAAATTTGACTGTGTTCTACCCCTGGGAAAATACATACCTCTCATTAAAATGTACATACACACTCTGTACATACATGTTATGTATAAAAAATCAAAGGCCGGGCACAGTGGCTCATGACTGTAATCCCAGCACTTTGGGAGTCTGAGGCAGGCGGACCACTTGAGGTTAGGAGTTCAAGACCAGCCTGGCCAACATGGTGAAACCCTGTCTCTACTAAAAACACAAAAATTAGCCAGGTGTTGGGGTGCATGCCTATAATCCCAGCTACTCAGGAGGCTGAGGCAGGAGAATTGCTTGAACACAGGAGGCAGAAGTTGCAGTGAGTCGAGACTGCACCACTGCACTCCAGCCTGGGCAACAAGAGTAAGACTCCGTCTCCAAAAAAAAAAGATAATCTGTTTTCATCTCTTAGGGACTTACAATGCACTTTAAGGGGCATGAGGGGTCCGTAAAGAGAAAAACCAGGGTGGCAGTTATGGATGATATCAGCTGTCAACATAAAGCCTCTTTGATTTCTGAATTTCTAACACAATTTCTGATTTTTTCTTGTTTGTTTGAGACAGGGTCACGCTGCTGCCCACGCTAGCATGCAGTGGTGCAATCATGGCCTACTGCAGCCTCGACATTCCTGGTTTCAGGTGATCCTCCCACCTCAGCCTCACAAGCAGCTGAGACCACAGGCTTACATCACCATGCCTGGCAAATTTTTGTAGTTTTTGTAGAGACAGGGTTTCACCATGTTCACCACGCTGCTCTTGAACTCTTGGACTCAAGCAATCCGCTCACCTCAGCCTCCCAAAGTACTAGGATTATAGACATGAGCCACCATGTCCAGCCTCTGATTTCTTACAGTGGTCAGAAATGACTTTCTATAGGGAAGGGACCTGATCTGGCCCTACCTAGAAAGAAGTATGGAACTTAGCCGGGCATGGTAGCTCACGCCTGTAATCACGGCTACTTGGGAGGCTGAGGCAGGAGAATCACTTGAACCTGGGAGGTAAAGATTGCAGTGAGCCGAGATCGCACCACTGCACTCCAGCCTGGGTGACAGAGTGAGTGAGACTCCATCTCAAAAAAAAAAATAAAATCAAATAAAATAATAATAATAATAAAATAAGGAATGTGGAACTTAACCAAAAAAAAAAGGCAGTGGTGATGGTGTACATAATGGAGCAAAAATAGGACTGTGTATAGTGACTTCAGCAAATAATGCATTTAAAAGGCTTGGCTATGGCTGGGCCTGGTGGCTCATGCCTGTAATATCGGCTAGTTACTAGGGAGGCTGAGGTGGGAGGATGAATTGAGCTCAAGACTTGAGACTGCAGTGAACTATGATCGCAACCCTAGGCGATGGAGAACCTGTCAAGCAAGAAAGAAATGAAAGGAAGGGTGGGGGAGGGAGGAAGGCAGGAAGGTCAGCACAATGGGAACAGGTGCAGAAAAGAAAGAAAGAAGGACAGGTGCAGTGGTTCAGGTCTGTAATCCCACCACTTTTGGAGGCCAAAAAGGAACAATCACTTGAGGCCAACAGTTCGAGACCAGCCTGGATAACACAGACTCCATCCCTAAAAAACATTTTTTAAGTTAGCTAAGGGGAATAGGACAGAGCAAGATGATGCAAATTACCCTTTACGAGACTCTGCACATTCTCAGCTGTGGTAGCTATGGGGTGGGGCGAGACTACTTCTGCTTGATTCCTGGCACCAGGTTAGCTATCAGGTCAGCCACGGTGGGGTAGAACACCAAGTGGGCTCATGGGGTCCCTGATTCCAGGACTTGACTCTTGGATGGCATTTCTGAACCTGCCCTGGACTATAGGAGAAGCTACTGCCCTGAAGGGTGGTTGAAAGGTGAGTCCCAGGCCAGGCAACATTCACCACAAACTGACTTAAGAGCCCTTGGGCCTGAAGGGAACATCAGCAGCAGTCTGCCAGTACTCCCCCTGGGCTTGTTCCTCTGGGATGAGGTTCCTCTGCCACTGGGAAGGGGAGGGAAAAGTGGGAAGGACTCCACCTAGTGGTGTGAGTGCCAGCTCAGCTGCCATACAATAGAACACCAGGTAGACTTCCAAGGTTTCTGATTCTAGTCCCTGGCTTCCAGAAAGGACCCATCAGGGACCTGGGGGAATTCTTCCCTCTGAAGGGAAGGGCACAGGCCTGGCTGGCTGGCTTTGCCACTTGCTGATTGTAGAGCCCTAGGGCCTTGAATGAACGTAGGCGGTAGCCAGGGAGTGGTTATAGCAGGCCTTGGGGGAGACCCAGTGCTGTGCTGGCTTCAGGTCTGACTCAGCACAGTCCCAGTGGTGATGGCCACAGGAGTGCTTGTGTCCCTCCACCCCCAGGTCTAGATGGCTCAGAACAGAGAGAGAAACTCTGTTGTTAAGGATAAAGTAAGGGAAGAGAACAAGAGTCTTTGCCTGGTAATCCAGTGAATTCTTTCACATCTTGACCAAGACCATCAAGGTGGTACCTTTATGAGTCTGCAACAACCACAGCAATATTGGGCTTGGGGTGTCCCCTAAAACAGATACAGCTTACATCACAACACCCAAGTCCTTTAGAATATGTGGAAAGCCTTCCCAAGAAGGACAGGTACAAACAAACCCAGACAGTGCAGATCACAGTAAATACCTAACTCTTCAATGCTCAGACACAGATGAACATCTACAAGTACCAAGATGATCTAGGAAAACATGACATCACTAAATGAACTATTAATAAATAAGCCACCAGGAACCAATCCTATAGAAACAGAGATATGTGGCCAGGTGCAGTGGCACACTCCTGTAATACCAGAACTTTGGGAGGCCGAGGCAAGCAGATCAATTGAGGTCAGGAGTTCCAGACCAGCCTGGCCAACATGGCGAAACCCCATCTCTACTAAAAATACAAAAATTAGCCAGGCGTGGTGGTGGGTGCCTGTAATCCCAGGTACTCAGGAGGCGGAGGCAGGAGAATCCCTTGAACCTGGGAGGTGGAAGTTGCAGTGAGTCGAGATGGCACCACTACAAGACCCTGTCTCAAAAAAAAGGAGAGAGAGATATGTGACCTTTCAGACAGAGAATTCAAAGTAGCTTTTTTGGGGGGAAACTAAAAGAATTTCAAGATAACACAGAGGAGGAATTCAGATTTCTATCAGACAAACTTAATAAAGAGATTGAAATAAAAGAACCAAGCAGAAATTCCAGAGCTAAAAAACACAATTGGCATATTGAAGAATGAATGCATCAGAGGCTTTTAATGACAGAACTGATCAAGCAGAAGAAAGAAATAGTGAGCTTGAAGACAGACTATTTGAAAATACAGTCAAGAGGAAAAAAAAAAGAGAAAACAATGAAGTGTGACTGCAGGATTTAAAAAATAGCCTCGAAAGGGCAAATCTAAGAGTTATTGGCCTTAATGAGGAGGTAGAGAGATGGGGTAGAAAGTTTATTCAAAGGGATAATAACACAGAACTTCCCAAACCTAGAGAAAGATACCAATATCCAAGTAAAAGAAGGTTATTATAGAACACCAAGAAGACTTAACTAAAGACTACAAGGCATTTAATAATCAAACTTCCAACAGTCAAAGATAAAGAAAAGATCCTAAAAGAAGTGAGAGAAAAGAAACAAATAACATACAATGAGGCTCCAATACATCTGGTAGCAGACTTTTCAGTAGAAGCCTTACAGGCCAGGAGAGAGCGGCATGACATAAAGTGCTGAAAGAAAAATCTTTTACCCTAGAATAGAATACCAGCAAAAATATCCTTTCAAACTTGAAGGAGAAAATAAAGACTTTCCCTGACAAAAGCTGAGGAATTTCATTAACACCAGACCTGCTCTACAAGAAATGCTAAAGGGAGTACTTCAATCAGAAAGAAAAGGACATTAATGAGCAATAAAAAAGTCATCTACCAAGCTGGGGCGTGATGGCTCATGCCTGTAATCCCAGCACTTTGGAAGGCTGAGGCGGGCAGATCACGAACGAGGTCAGGAGTTTGAGACAAGCCTTCCCAACATCGCGAAACCCCGTCTCTACTAAAAATACAAAAAAAAAAAAAATAGCTGGGCGTGGTGGTGGGCACCTGTAATCCAGCTACTCAGGAGGCTGAGGCAGGAGCATCATTTGAACCTGGGAGGAGGAGGTTGCAGTGAGCCAAGATCAAGCCACTGCACTGTAGCCTGTGTGACAGAGCAAGACTCTGTCTTTAAAAAAAAAAAAAAAAAAAAGTCATCTACCAGCACTTTCAGGGGACAGGATGGGTGGATCACTTGAGCCCAGTATTTCGAGACCAGCCTGGGCAACATGGCAAAACCCCATTTCTACAAAAAAATAAAGAGTGGTGGCATACACTTGTGGCCCCAGCTACTAGGGAGGTTGAGATGGGGGCACTGCTTGAGCCTGCACTCCACTGCATGCCACTGTACTCCAGCCTAGACAGAGTGAGACCCTGTCTCAAAAAAGAAAAATCATCTGAAAGTACAAAACTCACTGATAATAGTAAGTAAACAGAAAAACAGATTATAACACTGTAACTGTGGTGTGTAAGCTACTCTTATCTTAGAAAGATTAAATGATGAACCAGGCTGGGCGGTGGCTCACGCCTATAATCCCAGCACTTTGGGAGGCTGCGGTGGGCAGATCATGAGGTCAGGAGATCAAGACTATCCTGGCTAACACGGTGAAACCCCATCTCTACTAAAAACACAAAAAACCAGCTGGGCTTGGTGGCGGATGCCTGTAATCCCAACTACTCAGGAGGCTGAGGCAGAAGAATCGCTTGAACCCAGGAGGCGGAGGTTGTAGTGACCCGAGATTGCGCCACTGCACTCCAGCCTGGGCGACAGAGCGAGACTCCATCTCCAAAAAAAAAAGATTAAATGATGAACCAATCAAAAATAACGGTTAGACAACTTACAATAAGATATATAGAAACAACAACAACAACAAAAGAAACAACAAAAAGTTAAAAAGTGGGGAGACAAAGTTAAGATTAGAGTCTTTATTAGTGGTAAGTTGTTATCAGCTTAAAATACTGGGTCATGAGATAGTATTTGCAAGCTTCATGGTAACCTCAAACCAAAAAACATAAAAAACATACAATGGATTCGCAAAAAGAAAAAGATCAAGAAATTAAATAGTATCACCAGAAAAAATCACCTTCAATAAAAGACATGAAGAAAGAGAGAGGAGACCACAAAACAAACAGAAAACAACAAAATGGCAGGAATAAGGTACTTATCAATAACACTGAATGCAAATGGACTAAACTCTCCAATTGTTAGACACAGATGGACTGAATGGATTAAAAAACAAGACCCAATGATCTGTTACCTACAAGAAACACATTCACCTATGAAGACATACATGAAAAAGTTATTCCATGTCAATGGAAACAAAGCAGGAATAGCTATACTTAGACAAAATAGATTTCAAGACAACAACTAGAGACAAAGAAGGTCATTATATAGTGATAAAGGGGTCAATTTAGCAAGAGGGTATAGCAATTTTAAATATATATGCACCTAACACTGGAGCACCCAGACATATAAAGCAAATATTAGAGCTAAAGAGAGAGAGGCCTCAATACAGTAATACCTGGAGACTTCAACATCCCACTTTCAGCGCAGGACAGATCTTCCAGACAGAAAATCAACAAAGAAACACTGGACTTAATTTGCATCATAGGTCAAACAGACCTAACAAAAACTTACAGAACATTTCATCCAACAGATACAGAATACATGTTCTTTTCCTTAGCATATCTATCACTCTCAAGGATAGGCCATGTTATGTCACAAAGCAAGCCTTAAAACATTAAAAAAAAAAAAAAAAACCTGACTATCAAGCATTTTCTCTGACCAAAATGAGATAAACTAGAAATCACTAACAAGAGGAATTATGGAAACTATACAAATACATGGAAATTAAACAATATGCTCCTGAATGACCAGTAGGTCAATGAAGAAATTAAGAAGGAAAATTTATTAAAACAAATCATAATGGAAACACAACATACCAAAACCTATGGGATACAGCAAAAGCAGTACCAAGAGGGAAACTTATAGCTATAAGTGCCTATATCAAAAAGAAGAAAAGGCTGGGCATGGTGGCTCATGCCTGTAATCCCAGCACTTTGAGAGGCCGAGGCAGGCAGATCACCTGAGGTCGGGAGTTCAAGAACAGCCTGACCAACATGGAGAAACCCCATCTCTACTAAAAATACAAAAAATTAGCCGGGCGTGGTGGCACATGCCTGTAATCCCAGCTACTCGGGAGGCTGAGGCAGAAGAATCGCTTGAATCCAGGAGGCAGAGGTTCCAGTGAGCTGATATCTTGCCATTGCACTCCAGCCTGGGCAACAAGAGTGAAACTGTCTCAAAAAATAAATAAATAAATAAAAATAAAAAAATAAAAATCACAACAATTGAACTCATTGAAATAGACAATTGAAATAGAGAGTAGAATGATGGTTACCAGAGTGTGGGAAGGGTAGGAAGGAAGTTGAGGGGGAGGTGGGGGCGGCTAATGGGTAAAAAAAAAAAAAATAGAATGAATGAGACCCGGTATTTGATAGCATAACTGGGTGACAACAGTCAATAATAATTTAATAGTGTAATTGGATTGTTTGCAAAACAAAGGACAAATGCTTGAGGGGACGGATTCCCTATGTTTCATGATTTGATTATTATGCATTACATATCTGTATCAAAACATCTTATGTATTCCATAAATATATACACCTACTATGTACCCCCCAAAATTAAGTTAAAAATTAGCTGGGCATGGTGGCGCATGGCTGTAGTCCCAGTAACTCAGGAGCCTGAGATGGGAGGATCACTTGAGCCTAGGAGGTTGAGGCTGCAATGAGCCATGATTGTGCCACTGTACTCCAGCCTGGGTGATGGAGGGATATTCTGTCTCAAAGTATAATAAAATATATTTATAATAAAGAAATAACTACAGATATGCCCAGCTATCTTAAATCACATTCATTTTTCCCTCCTTCCCAACCAAACAGGAATGGGCATTTTCAAATAACTTGACTTTTTTCCAATCTTTCTCCCCACCCTCCACAGTCAAATAAATTGGCTTGTTAAAAAAATCAGCATATACAAATACCTACATACTCTTCTTAAGAAATATAAATCTGGATCCTTTGAAAATCACACTAATGAAATAAAAGTGAAGAATTATAGGCAGTTCTCAATTATTAAATATATTGTACCCTAAAGGCACATTTAACTTTGTTTTTTACCATAGACAATATTTTAAGTTATGGTTAGACTTTGCAAAGCTACCCCAAACCACAGTAAACATGTAAAAGTGCAATGAAAGATATTAAAATACAACATCTTGCTAGAGTAAGTATGAAAATACTAATCAGAAATGCCAACATTAAAAAAAAAGTAGGTATAATTAGAAAGAATTAATAGTGGGGTAAAATTTCTAGTGAAGTGTGAGAGGCTGTTAAAAGCACCTGGATAGCTCTTACTTCATATGCCAAAAAAAAAAAAAAAAAAGAAAAATAATTAAAAATTAAAAAATACCTAACACAAGATCTATTTATTAAATAAACAATTGTTGAAGGAGATTTAAAGGTATTTTTAAGGGCTTCCAGAGGTTAATGCTTACCATTTCTTTAATAGTTATTTCAACTGGAATATTTGCAAATCAATTGTGATCAGGGTTGTCTGGGACGCCTACAAACAAAGTAAAGGTAAATACAGAAAAAAATGGAGAAGAGCTATCAATAAAATTGACAAGAAAAAATACTAGAATCACCGTTTTAACTGACTGTATCAAAAGGACCACCTGTCCTGTGATGTCAACGAATATAATAATGTATACACGAAGCAGCAACAAGGGACTTGGGAAAGCACGTACTAGGAGTTCCTATGGAGGGTACAGGAGGCTGAAGATCAACCCGTTAGATTTTTCTTGTTGTTTTGACATTGTTTTGGCTTGGAAATATTTTACCTGTACAGCACCAGCTTCCATTACAAACACGGTTTTTAGTACAAACAAGTTTGGGTTTAGGAGGAACCCAGCATCAGTATGAGTTGCTTCAGGAAAAAGTAGATGAGAAAGTATCACAATAGCAGCTGACATTTATGACGGTTTCTATATTAGATACCACGCTAGGCACTTCACGTACATTCTTTCATTCTTCCTAACAATCTTATGATGTAGGTATATAGTTATTATGCCATTTTAGAGATGAAGAACCACGGGCAGAAAGCTCAGTTACTACCAAGAGTTAAGCTAGTGGAAAGTAGAAGTGAGGTATGAACCCCTGTAGCCTAACTCAAACTCTGGAACCACTGCCCCACATGGCCTCTACTCAAGGCCAGTCAATTCATCTTTCCTTAAGGGAAAGATCCCAATCTTGAGTCAAGGGAGACTGAAAATACGATGAAATTTAATACAAAAGGAAAACTTGAATAGAGTAACTGGGGAATGGTGCAGTTAGACAAAATGAAAAGAGAAAAACATTACTCAATTTTGAAATTCCTTCCAGTTTTCAATTTTTAAACCCAAAAACATGCTGATACTTCAGATAAATACCTGTTCCTCCATTCATCTCCTTTAAGATAATTTCTACCAAGAAATAGAACAGTCTTACTTCAAGTTATGGGTCTCATAAGGCTCAATGCAGAGTAAAACCTGCTCAAGAGCCAACTCCAAGGCTATACAGGGAGCCAGTGACTTGATAACATACTGTTTACAAAAGCAAGCATCTAGGCAGCTTCACTATGAGCTGGCATATCATTTCCTTTTGGTAAACTAATGTTATTCATTCCCATGAAATTTTCAAGTGTAAATACTGCTACTCTAAAATTAATTCACAAGGGCAGGCACGGTGGCTCACACCTGTAATCCCAGCACTTTGGGAGGCCAATGCAGGAGGACTGCTTGAGCTCAGGAGTTTGAGACCAGCCTGGCCAATATGGCAAAACTCCATTTCTACTAAAAACACAAAATAACAATAATGAAGTTAATTCACACCGTTTTTCTTAGTCCTTCATTTCTTTAACCCTACTTTTCATAAACTTTTCATTAGCAACCCCACTACCAAAATTCACATCACCTAACAAGAGGGAAAAAAAAGGGCAGGCACAGTGGCTCATGTCTGCAGTCTCAGAACTTTGGGAGGGCAAGGCGGGAGGATAAGTTGAACTCAGGAGTTTGAGACCAGCCTAGGTGACACAGTGAGACCTCTTCTCTACAAAATAAAAATTAAAAAGTCAGCCAGACGTGGTGGTACACACCTGTAGTTCCAGCTACTCCAGAGACTGAGGCGGGAGGATCACTAGAGCCCAGGAGATCAAGGCTACATACAGTGAGCCATGACGGCACCACTGCATTCCAGCCTGCGCTGACAGAACAAGACCCTCTCTTAAACATACAGATGTAGGATTTCTAAACTGAAAATAAAGTAAGAAATTAACATCCTTAACTGTCCTCCCTTCTGGACTAGTCAGAAAAATTGTTAGTAAGAAACTTTTTTTTTTTTCTATATGGGACTGAGGTGAGGTAATTATTTACTATAATTATAAGAAGGAGGCCGGCGCGGTGGCTCAAGCTTATAATCCCAGCACTTTGGGAGGCTGAGGCGGGTGGATCACCTGAGGTCAGGAGTTTGAGATCAGCCTGGCCAACATGGTGAAACCCCATCTCTACTAAAAATACAAAAAACTTAGCTGGGTGTGGTAGCACGCACCTGTAACCCCAGCTACTTGGGAGGCTGAGGCAGGAGAATTGCTTGCACCTGGGAGGCAGAGGCTGCAGTGAGCCGAGATCGTGCCACTGCACTCCAGCCTGGGTGACAGAGGGAGACTCTGTCTCAAAAAAAAGGGAGGAAAGTACAAGACTAAATTCAATGTTATGGACTATTTAAAATGGAAATAAGGCCAGGAGTTCGAGACCAGCCTGGCCAACTTGGTGAAATCCCGTCTCTACTAAAAATACAAAAGTTAAAAGGCCAGATGCGGTGGCTCACGCCTGTAATCCCAGCACTTTGGGAGGCCGAGGTGGGCGGATCATGAGGTCAGGAGTTTGAGACCAGCCAGGCCAATATGGTGAAACCCCATCTCTACTAAAAATACAAAAATTAGCCAGGTGTGGTGGTGTGTACCTGTAGTCCCAGCTACTCAGGAGGCAGAGGCAGAAGAAACACCTGAACCTGGGAGGTGGAGGTTGCAGTGAGCCAAGATTCTGCCACTGCACTCCAGCCTGAGCAGCAGAACGAGACTCTGTCTCAAAATAAAATAAAATAAAATAAAATATAAAATAAAATAAAATAAAATATAAAAAATAAAATAAAATAAAATAAAATACAAAAATACAAAAGTTACCCAGGCATGGTGGCGGGTGCCTGTAATCCCAGCTACTTGGGAGGCTGAGGCAGGAGAATTGCTTGAACCTGGGAGGTGGAAGTTGCAGTGAGCAGAGATTGTGCCACTATACTCCATCCTGGGCAACAGAGCAAGACTCCGCCTCAAAAAATAAATAAATAAATAAACAAAATAAAAAGGAAATAGAAGTGATAGCAGGGGCCGGGCAAGGTGGCTCACGTTTATAATCCCAATACTTTAGGAGACTGAGGCAGGCAGATGGCTTGAGCTCAGGAGACTGAGACCCGCATGGGCAACATGGTGAAACCCTGTTTCAACAACAACTAAAAAATACAAAAAATTAGCCAGGTGTGGTGGCACCTGCCTGTAGTCCCAACTACTTGAGACTACAAGGTTGAAGTGGGAGAATCACTTGAACCCGAGAGGTGGAGGTTGCAGTGAACCGAGATCACGCCACCACACTCCAGCCTGGGTGACAGAGTGAGACTCCATCTCAAAAAATAAAAAGGAAAAATAAAGTAGCCTCCTTTGGATTGCATCATTCTCTAATCCCAAACAAAAAAAGGTAATTACAGTATATGTATATAATTAAGATTTTCCAAAAATATCATCAGCTAAGCACTATTGCTTTTGTCCACTGTTGAGACACTGAACATATATTTCAATTGGACAACATTTAAATTTATCACTTATCCTCACTCTCTTTCTACAGGGATGCAGACAGTCCAGTGGTTAACAAGGCAGGCTTGGATTTGAATCCGGTTCTTTCATACAATAGATACGTTATGTAGGCAAATTTACCAATTCTCTACCTCTGCTGCAAAATCCTTATCTCTTAGGTAGATACAAATATTAATCAAAGTTTAGATTTATCAAGTGTTTACTAGATGCCAGGCACTGTTCTGAGTGCTTTATAGCATACTTTTTTTTTTTTGAGATGGTGTCTTGCTCTGTCGCCCAGGCTAGAGTGCAGTGCCGCAATCTTGGCTCACTGCAACCTCTACCTCCCAGGTTCAAGTGATTCTCCTGCCTCAGCCTCCCAAGTTAGCTGGGATTACAGGTGTCCAACACCACACCCAGCTAATTTTCGCATTTTTAGTAGAGACAGGGTTTTACCATGTTGGCCAGGCTAGTCTCAAACTCTTGACCTCATGATCCGCCTGCCTCGGCCTCCCAAAGTGCTGGGATTACAGGCGTGAGATACTGTGCCCGGCCAACATACCTATTTTTAAATCACTCTATGAGGCAGCAGTATTAATCTCTCTACAGATGAAGAAGCTAAGGCACTGCATCAGGTAACTTGCCCAAAATCACAGATATTAACAAGGAGAAGTCAGGTCTCAAACTCACTTGCATCCTACCTCTTACTGTCTAATCTACGTGTGAACTGAGATAATGTACACAAAGATCTTTGTAAAGTGCTTGGCCTACAGTAAGCATTCAATAAAGGTTAACTAACTATTGCAGTTATTGAAAACTTGTTATATACATCCTTATACACACTCCAGTTATGGCCCCATAGGTGTGGATAGAAACTCATCTAGATAGGACGGCAAGGAGAAAGATAGGCCTAGAGAAATAATTTTAATAAGTAAGCATTCACTTTGCAAGTATAACTTTCAGTTATCAAAAACTGATCGGAAAAGCAGTTTTAATACTAAAAACCACAGGGAGAAGTGAAAAAAGAACAGAAAATTTGAAGTATAAGTAATGAATGATTTAAGGATGTAAGGATAAACACACACAAAATGAAACACTACTGCCATATTCAAATGCCCTTTGTACTTCAAAGTGAATTTAGGCTTTCTCAAAGCCTAAAAACACTAGCAATATTAAAAGTGCTGCGATTTCAACAGTCATCTTACTGCAAGGAGATGGAAACCTGAATACAGGCTGGGTGCAGTGGCTCACACCTGTAATCCCAGAACTTTGGGAGGCTGAGGCAGATGGATACCTGAGTTTAGGAGTTCAAGACCAGCCTGGCCAACACAGTGAAAACCCGTCTCTATTAAAAATACAAAAATTAGCTGGGTATGGTGGCAGATGCCTGTAATCCCAGCTACCCAGGAGACTGAGGCAGAATAATCATTTGAACCTGGGAGGCGGAGGTTGCAGTGAGCCAAAGTCATGCCACTGCACTCCAGTCTGGGCGACAGAGTGAGGCCTCATCTCAAAAAAAGAAAAAAACCAAGTTGCTCAGGTCCCAACCCTTGCCACACTGTGCCTATCAACTGCTGTGGGTCCTTTAAAAAGAGGCCATACTTACCTCACTTTATAAACTAAAAACTAAGGCCCAAAAAGGCTAGTCAACAGCCTAAGGTCAAACAACTCATATTACAATCAGGACAAAAATACAGATTTTTCCCGAGCCATATCCATTTAATTTTTTTTTTTCCATGAAGCACTCAAGACAGTGTAGTGGGATGCTTCTGAAAAAGCACCCTGCTTCAACTACCTCCAAGCACCAGGATGACTTCATGACCAATTTTATTTAAAATTTCTTCCCAAAGAAACAGTGTTCATCACTGCATTTTCCCAGTGCCTATACTACTATTTGTTGAATAAACTAAGACCCTAGCCACTACCCTCAAACCTGAAAGTTACAAATAAAATTCCGAATCATTAAAGTAACTTCATACATTTATCCTTAAAAATCCTCCTCTGTGAAATGTCTAACCCATCAGCCCCATTATTTCACAGCCCATTTTATAGAACCTTTGCTACAGTCTGAAAAAGAGTCTACTATATAGAATTGTAATTATATTTAATTTAAAATTCAAGGACAAACATAAAGGACAATCCCCCACATTTAGGAAAACAACTCCAAATTTTCTGGCCTTTTGCTGGATAAATTCTTCTCTGCCCCTATGCAGTTTAATAACTTAGATATGCTGTGTTAAGGCTACTTGGTATTATCAAGTCCCCTAAAAGAAGCCTGAAAAACCAAATGAACTTCACTATCTCTACCAAAAAAAAAAAAAACAAATAGTTACAAGAACTATTATTTAGTTTTCAGTGCCTATGTCTCTTACACTTGGAACTTAATTTCTCCTACCAACAACTGAGTGAATCAGGCAGATTCAGAGGAAGCAGGTCCTGGCCTTTTAGAGAGTGAAAAGAGCCACAGGAAACTTCTCGTTACCAAAAAAAAAAAAAATAGGCACACATACATTTAACCATCAATGGAGCAACAGAGGGCTCATCTTGTGCTTTCAAGACCTACTGTCAAAAATATTTTACAGTTAATGAAACGTCAAATGAAGCAGCAATGGAGAAGGTTAACAGATCGATTAAAATTACATGTGAGAATTTGCAAAGATAAGATGGCTAATTCAAATACAGCAGCTGCTATGTTTGACAAACCAATTTTCCCACCCATCTTCTCCCTTCTCTCCCCATCTCTCTCAGACACACATACACACTCCCTTATAATAATATCACTGAAGTGTTGTCTAAGTTAACCTCATTTTAGCAAGGAGGAAACATCCCCAGACTTCATGTCTATGAAGTATCTGGGCCAGGCGTGGTGGCTCATGCTTGTAATCCCAGCACTGTGGGAGGCCGAAGCAGGTGGATCACCTGAGGTCAGGAGTTCGAGACCAGCCTGGCCAACATGGTGAAACCCCATCTCTACTAAAAATACAAAAGTTAGCTGGGTGTGGTGGCACATGCTTGTAATCCCAGTTACTCAGGAGGCTGAGGCAGGAGAATCGCTAGAAGCCGGGCAGTGGAGGCTGCAGTGAGCCGAGATCACACCACTGCACTCCAGCCTGGGTGACAGAGCAAGCCTGTCTCAAAAAAAAAAAAAAGGAAAAAAAGAAAAAAGAAAGAAATCTCTGGTGGACTGGGCATCTTGTGATGTTAAGTGGCAAGCAGAGAAACCATTACACAAATTAATTACCAAGAAGGGTGACATCCTGCTACCAGTCTCCATGTTTTTGTTTTATAGAAGCCCTAAACTAGAAGCATATATCCATTTTTCTATACTTACATCTTTTTCAGTGATGCAAAAAACTGTCTAAAAGTACATTTGGGTACAGGATTGAAGAAAATGATTAGCATCAAAATATTGTAAATGTTTCCAACTTTCAAGTCTTTCATCAATACTTTAAGAATCCCACAAATTCACTTAGTTTCATTATTCTTTAACTGTATTTTACAGTAAAAGAGCAGTTTGCAATATTTTCATGGGAGTATAACATGGTTAGACAAGGCATCAAGCTACAATGTTGACATATCTTCTGTCTTGAAAGTCTACAGCTCCCATATGTCCTCAACATGTAATATCCTATTTTTCAATACTTCCAGTCAATGCAGTCAAGAACTGCCAGACAGAGCAGCTCTCTTCATTGGAATCATATTATATCCTTCCCTATAAATAGCAGCCTGCTTCCACCATTTATTTATATGTAATCATGGGTCATGGCTTGCTGGCCCAGTGAAAGACAGGTGGCGTCCCAAGACTCCTAAAGTACTGTCATTTCTCTAATGTATATAGTTGGGGTTTCAGCAGGGCTTGAGTTTTAAAACTAATCTTAGGTTTTCAAGAAAATTAGAAAAGTTATTTTCTAAGGACCCAAAGGTATCCTTGGGAGGACACCTGTTAAACAAAACTTCCTCCTAGAGCTCCTTGCCCCTTGCCCCTTCAGTTAAATAACCTCAGAAGTCAGGAGCTGTTTTCCAGCTTAGCCATTAAGATACAAAAACAAAACAAACAAAAAACTTCCCCACAATTGGGCACTCTTCTCTAACATAAACCTATCCTTGCACCACTAGGCAACACCTTTCTCTAAAACATCACATTCAGACTGCCCTACCTCATGCTTGTCATAATTAATTCGAAATGAGTTATCCTAAATCAAAAGCAGTTATTGAGTGTTTGCATGCACGTGTAATCCCAGCTACTTGGGAGGCTGAAGCAAAAGAATTGCGTGAACTTGGAAGGCAGAGGTTGCAGTGAGCTGAGATACTGCCATTGTACTCCAGCCTGGGCAACAGAGTGAGACACTGTCTTTAAAAAAAAAAAAAAAAAGTCATTATTGAACTGACTGCATTTTAAAATAATACCACTCCCCAATTCTCAAGAGTAGAGATTGACATCCTTTCTCTTTAAGGAAGGAATACAGTCCCTTGGATTAAGAACCCCAACAGGCCACAGGCATGGCAGAAAAGGCACACGTTTGGATTAAGACAAATCTAGGCTTTCATCGGAGCTTGGTTACTCAGCTGTTTAGCCTTGGTGAAGTCCACAGGACCTCTTTAAGTCTCATTTTCTGCCTCAGTAAAATAGGTATAAAACACCCACTGATCTCAGCAGATAGTGAATAATAAATATTAGTTACAGTCCCCACAAAAAGGGCTGAATGGAAAACCAGATAATCCTTGTTACATGAAAAAAGGGAAAATAACACTTCCTGGAAGCCTCTTTAGTAAGTGCCAGGCACTTTGTTAGGCCCTTTCTCATACTGTCTTACTCAAATCTTAAGACATCCTTTATTTCCCCCACCTTCCTTTTTAAAAGAGGTTAAATAACTAAGCAGGTCATCAGAAGTGGTTAGTCCTATTTTCAACCTAGGTGTTTCTGACTCCACTCACTCAACAGGCTATTTATTATGTGGCTTACACGGATAATTTTGAAAACACATGCTACTTCCAAACCGTGGTTTCAACAGAAGAGAAGTTAGAATTGAGCACATCTTTATAAACATAATAAATTCCAAAATGAACACTGATGATTAGATCTTAATCAAGCCTACCATCATAATTAAGGTTTACTATCTAAAGCACCACAGTTAATCATCTTGAGAATAGCTGTCCTTATACAGAAACCATTATTTATAAAATCCAGGTCAAACCTAAGCTGCAGTATGGGCCACCAACGCACATACACTAATACAAACCTCAGCTCTGACCAACAACCAAGGCTACTGCTGAAAACTGTTCAAAGAGGTCTTGGTGGCACCTGCATTCATTTAAGGACTGATTCAGTGTCTACTGTATAAATACTGCTTCCAATAGTAAACTCTTGTAAAAGTCCAAATTCAAACATACCAGTAACAAATTTCACCTTTCACTTGGATTTAGCCCCTAAGAAGTATAATGTACATTATAGCATAAACATAACTTTTAAACGCACTGTGAAACCAAAACATTCCTGTGACTCACATTATTGCCTTTCTCTCTAAAATGCACACATGCCCACAGATATAAAACTCGGCAGGACGCCCCATTAAAATCCATCCATAGCCCCTCTTACAGGGAATTCACCATCCCCAAGTAAAAACCTCTTACTGAGGAATTTATTTATGTTTTAAGAAATTTTCCTTTGAAGTACTAAAAGAAAATTTCTCGTTTTAAAAACACTGTCCTTTGAGGAATTTACACTTATCAATTTATAAAAATTTTACTTACAACTTCACATTAAAAGGACACATCTTCTAAGTCCTTTAAATTCTTGCAATAGTAAGAATAAATTAATTTTAAAAACTTCTCTAGTTTCCTTTATCCACTAATTAAGAGTGCTCACAAGATGTGTGGTCCTGAACTAGGGGTGGCAAAGAAGAGAGTTCCAAGGTATTGTCAAAGCCAAGGACCTTGAAAAGCTTACAATCTAGTTGTACAGTCTGTTCTATTAAAAACAAACAAAAAAAAGTTCAACAACTTACTAACCATTTTGAACAAAAACAGGTGATTTTAAGTTGAAACCTTTAAATGGACAGGGAAAGGAATACTGTAGGAAAAAAGACCAAAAAATAGATTCATAGAAATTAAAGAAGGAAAAGGACTAAGTATTGTAAGTGACCAAAGGACTAAGCATTCTAACATATCCTCAAAAGTAACATATCCTCAAGAATGCATTTGATTTATCAGATAAACCTAGCTTGAAAAGCTATAGCCAATTCCACAAACTAAGTCAATAGAATAACACAAACATGGCACAACTTCTATAAAAATGTTACCTTAAAAAATGTTACTGCAAACTATTAAGAAAGCAAAGTTAAATTTAATTAGCTTAAGACAAATACATGGCTAGCATCCTATACACTTTCATTATCATGCCCATGGCAGACATCACCAATCAATCACACCACACTTCCCTCCCTCCCCCAATATAATCTAAAGACACAATCTTCCAGCAGAAGTCAAGATAGGCATTATTACTGAAACTATTTGTTGTCCTTGATGGCTATTTTTCAAATATTGAAGTTGCCGGGTGCAGTGGTTCACGCCTGTAATCCTAGCACTTTGGGAGGCCGAGGCAGTTAGATCACCTGAGGTCAGGAGTTCAAGACCAGCCTGGCCAACACTGGGAAACCCTGTCACTACAAAAATACAAAAATTAGCCAGGCATGGTAGCGGCGACTGTAATCACAGCTACTTGGGAGGCTGAGCAAGGAGAACTGCTTGAACCCGGGAGGTGGAGGTTGCAGTGAGCTGAGATTGCACCAGTACAGTCCAGCCTGGGCAATAGTGCAAAACTCTGTTTGGAGGGGGCGGGGGGAGGCTGGGTGCGGTGGCTCACGCCTGTAATTCTAGCACTTTGGGAAGCTGAGGCAGGCGGATCACCAGGTCAGGAGTTCGAGACCAGCTTGGCCAACATGGTAAAACCCCATCTCTACTAAAAATACAAAAATTAGCCGGACAAGGTGGCACACGCCTATAATCCCAGCTACTCAGGAGGCTGAGGGAGGAGAATCACTGGAACCCGGGAGGCAGAGGTTGCAGTGAGCCAAGATCGCGCCACTACACTTCAGCCTGGGCGACAGAGCGAGACTCCATCTCAAAAAAAAAAAGAAAGAAAAAAAGTATAATTTTCTGTTAAAGAAAATAAATCATTATGGTCAAGAGAACCTTAATTAGGAACACATTTTTTAAAAAATGTAATCCCCTTTTTAAAGAGTTCTAGAAAATTATATTTTTTGAGAGCTTATTTTTGACCCAT
Source organism: Homo sapiens (assembly GCF_000001405.40). Lineage (NCBI taxonomy): Eukaryota > Metazoa > Chordata > Mammalia > Primates > Hominidae > Homo > Homo sapiens. Next base: position 79,239,873 of record NC_000005.10, on the reverse strand, counting down.
TTGAATTAAAAAACCGGAGATAGTCGCTTTTTCTCTTTTTCTTTTTCTTTTCTTTTTTTTTTTTGAGACGGAGTCTCGCTCTGTCGCCCAGGCTCGAGTGCACTGGCATGATCTCAGCTCATTGCAAGCTACGCCTCCTGGGTTCACGCCATTCTCCTGCCTCAGCCTCCCAGTAGCTAGGACTACAGGTGCCCGCCACCACACCCGGCTAATTTTTTCTTTTGTATTTTTAGTAGAGACGGGGTTTCACCGTGTTAGCCAGGATGGTCTCGATCTCCTGACCTCGTGATCCGCCCGCCTCGGCCTCCCAAAGTGTTGGGATTACAGGCATGAGCCACCGCGACCGGCCTGACAGTCGCTTTTTCTGAGTATCCAAAAAGTTACAATCAGACAGGCCCATTCATTAAGGGATTTTTAAGAATATGTATTTTAAAAAATATATCTGTAAATCTAATAAGAGAAAGAAGCACTAACGGTTCTTGCAGTTTAAGAGAAATACAGGTCAATATTAACCAAACACTTCTGAGAATATATGTGGTCACTTAAGATTTGTCACTTCCTTCAAAATAATTTAAGGTAGACTCCCGAAGTGAGGTGATAAAAAAGGGAAATAAAAACAGATCCCTGGAACTCTAGGATCATGTTATAGTGGGTGACATTTAGCATACAGTAAACCAACAGGAAGCAGTGAAAATCTGGATTCGGGAAGTTGTAAGAGAGTACTATGGTATAAGTGAGAAACAAACATTTCTTAAATACTCAAATCTAATAAAGAAAAATATCTAATATTCTACGAAAAAAACATGAGGCTCTAGCTCCCTAATCTAACAACAAGGTTCAACTATTATATATACATAAGCAGATAACAACACAATCTTAGGAATATAAACACCATTAAAAGGGGCATTTCAGGCCGGGCACAGTGGCTCACGCCTGTAATCCCAGCACTTTGGGAGGCCGAGGCGGGCGGATCACGAGGTCAGGAGATCGAGACCATACTGGCCAAGATGGTGAAACCCCGTCTCTACTAAAAACACAAAAAGTAGCCGGGCTAACGTGTTAGCCGGGCGTGGTGGCGCGCACCTGTAGTCCCAGCTACTCAGGAGTCTGAGGCAGGAGAATCGCTTGAACCCGGGAGGGGGAGGCTGCAGTGAGCCCAGATGGTGCCACTGTACTCCAGCCTGGGAGACGGAGCAAAACTGCTTCCAAAAAAAAAAAAAAAAAAGAAGGCGCGGAGGGCGGGGGTGCATTTCTCCACCAATCTCAATTGCATTAATAGTAAAAACAGTAACTTGCTTTGAGAAACTACGTGTAGTAGTATCCATTAGGGAAAACTGGGTCTATTTTAAAAGACTTTTTTAGTAAAGTTCCTTCAGCAGAAGCTAGTGAGCAGGCATGAATTACACATTTCCTACACATTCTAGAGCCCCATATGTATATCCATTCAGACCCTTTCTTCCACTTTTTTTTTGTTATTTTAAGGATTAGTTTGAAAAGGCTTTTGTACTTCTACAGTAAGTACAAAAATACAACGAACATTCCTGCCCAGAATCTTTATTTCTACCTAAAACAGCAGTGAAACCTGAGCCATCTGTAAAGACCTGAGGTAGTCCAAAAAAAAAGAAACAAAACACTTCTAAAAAACCTTTTAAAAATAAATTTGCATCCGATAGTCACTAGGTGCTTTTTCACTTAGGTCACTCGTTTAAAAATGAATTTAAAATTTGCGTAGGTTGCCACACTGCACAAAGAAGAATCAAAACAGATCAACTTTGCTCCGTAAGACAAACTATTTTAAATAAAGGTGACAAGGACAAAGAAGAGTTGACATCTGGGCAGTTATTGCTGGAAGAGCTTTAGGGGTAGAAAAATGCTCAGGTAGCCCATGCTTACAGAACACTTTTCTTAGTGGCTTTAATTGCGCATTACCAGTACTGAGTAGTACACAGAGCGCACTTACTACTTTTGATAAATGGGGGAGGAAATAAAGACGAAGGTCCTTCAGAGAGTCAATTAAGCAGCCACCGAGAGGGATGAAGGGCAAGGTAGATCAGGAACCCCTCTTGGTTTCCGCTTGTCCAGAAAAACAACCGTCCTACTGCGCACACCCGACACCGAGGCTCCAGCCTTTGGTTTGGCCAGTAAACCAAAAGCGACCAGTAGAGCCCAGACTAGGAGCTCACTCACTCACCTCCTGGATGCGCTTCCTGGCCCGCTGAAGCACTTCTTCGTAGCCCTTCTGCCGCAGCTCGCTGAGGCTTTCGTAATACTCCTCGGGATCATCGGTCTCGGTGAAGAGCACCTGGGAGAGGATCTTCCAGCCGCAGGTGTCCAGGCCGTGGCCCAGGTAGACCTGGAGCTGGTAACACAGAGTGTCGATTTCCTGCTCGGTCATCTCGGGGGCGCCCCCAAACAGCACAGTCCACATGCCCGAAGGTTCCTCGGGGAACACCGGCAGGCACGGCTCCAACTGCGAGTTCACCGAGCACAGCTGCTGGTGCACGGCGCGCAGGTCCTGGAAAGAAAACAGTCCGGCCCAGCTGCACTCTTCGGCCGGAGACTCCAGCTCGGTGGCGGGCGGCGGCTGCTCCGCGTCCGAGAGCGCCAGAGGTGCCTCGTCCTCCTTCACCATTTCCAGCACCTCTATCTCCTCGGAGACCGTCCCAGAGGCGCTCACTATCCGTACAGAGGACACCTGGGCCTCTCTGGGCGCCGGCCGGGCTGCTGCAGCGGCTGCCCCCGCCGCATCGTCGGCTTCAGATGTTTTCTGACCCGGGATGGGTTTGGCCCGCACTGGGCTCCTAAGACGACTCTCCGCCCCTTTGCTGCCAGGACTCCGCAGCCGCGGGTCCCCCAGAAGGCTGCGAGTGCTCCGAGGAGAGCCGCCCTCCGCCCAGGCCGAGCTCCGCCGGGGCCCGGGGCTCCTAACCAGAGTTGCAGAGGCAGTGGCCTCGGGCCGACCCCTGCCCGCCGGGCTGCCGGGCCCGCGGCTCCCGTCGGACGCAGCTCCGCCGGCCTCGGCGCCCCCTCGCGCCCCCGCTTGCTCCCGGGAGCCGCTCCTCTGCCTCTGGGCCGTCCGGTTGTGGCAGGTTATGGCAAACTTGCCCTCAATCTCGTTCCAGGCCACAATAAAGACGAATTTGTGTTTCTCGCGCTCGTCGAACACATGGGGCCGCACAGCCACCCAGTCCGACTCGAGCGTCTCCTCCAGCGCGAACGACATGGTGGCTCCGGCTTCTCGCCGCGGGGAAGGGCCGCCGGCCCGGCCCGCCCGAGGACTCCCCGCTGGCTGCGCCGCGCCCCCCGCTCACCCTCGCCGGGCGCCTTCAGCCATCTTAGTGCGCCGGCCGGCTCTCCCGGCTCGTTCGCCTGTCCCTCCGCGCCCCGACCGCCGAGCTCCTTTGTGGCGCGGATCGAGAGAAGGACAATAAGCGTCCCGGGAGCAGGTAGTTCACATGGTCACCTGCGGCCGGATCTGTTTACAAGCTCCGCGCTGCCGCAGCGCCTCGCGGCCGCCCGCCGCCCCCCGCGCGAGGCCGTGGAGCTGCGTCTGCGGCGCTCCGGTGGTGAGGCGCGGGTCCCGCGGGGTCAGGCCGGCGCTGTATGCGTCCCGGTCGCTCGCCCAGGTCAAGATCCCCGCCCCCGCCCCTGGTGCTGCTGCAGAAAGCCCGGAGCCGGCCTGACTGATGAACCCGTCTCCTAAACTCTGCGCCTCAGCATCGCCACAATGTTGCCATTCGACTGCTGACGTCGGCGGCTCCACGAGGGACGTAAACATGGGCACGTGCCGCACGCTGGTGACGCGGCGGCGGCGGCGCGCGCACCCCGCCCGCGCGCGCCGGCGCCTCCTCTCGGCGTCCCCTGAGCCAGCCCGCGAGCGGCCGCGCTCCCGACTCTCCTTCCTTCCGCGCAGCCTCCAGTTCCCCGGGGCTGGAGCCGGCTGTCGGCTGGTTGCCGGCTCCGAGGGCGATGAGAGTGGCAGGTGTGCCCTGCTGCACAGGTGGCCTCCGAACCCGGGAAAAGAGGAACTAAGGCGGAGGAACTGAGACGTTTCGAATTCCAGGTATTGAGACCCTCGAATGTACATTTGCCTCCATTCTCCTGGAGGGAGCCCGGACGGAGAGTCGCTCCTGCGTTCAGAAGTAGCGTGTTGCCGCGGGGAACGGTGTGCTGAACTATGTGGGGCTCGCCCCCAGCCTGTTAGGTTCTCCCCTAATGCCCTTGAGACCAAAACAAAAAACAAAAACAATTCCAGAAGCTTTTCTGGAAAGACAGAGTTTAATATATGAAAGGAAGGTGTCTGAGGAAAGCCCAGTAACAGTCCAAAACAAAATGAAAAATGAAAATGCCATGTCCTAACAGCATGAATGTTTACATTTCAGTTCATTGGTGTTTTATTGCTTCAGGTTTCATCATTATGTACTGTTCTGTGAACCTCGTTTTGAGGTCACTGGGCTTTAGCCCTTTTGAAGTTGTATTCAATTATGGGAGTTCCCAGAATGCATATACAAAAACAGTCATATCAATCTCTGCTATTCTTACTAAACTATGATGAAACACATTCTTAAAATTAGTAGACTTTATAATAATTATTGGCATTCTTTTTCCGATTAGTATTCAAGTCACAGATGTTGTGCACCATAGTAAAGCACAATGGAAATTAGTTCTTTTACATTTATTCACATTTCTAAAGTATATACAAAACCGTTTGGATTAGCCTTGTATTGTTAGGTTCAGTAAAAACAGCTGTTTATTCAGATGACAGAACAGTACTGAACTAGCTAAGCTTCAAACTTAGTTCAGTATTGTCCATCTTAAACTCTAAGCTTCAACACTTGGTTCAGTATTGTCCTGATATTTGAATAAACAGCCAAAAAAAATTTTTTTTTTGAGACAGAGTCTCACTCTGTGGCCCAGGCTGGAGCACAGTGGCACGATGTCAGCTTACTGCAGCCTCTGCCTCCCGGGTTCAAGCGATTCTCCTGCCTCAGCCTCCCAAGTAGCTGGGATTACAGGCACACACCACCAAGCCCGACTAATTTTTGTATTTTTATTAGAGACGGGGTTTCTTCATGTTGGCCAAGCTGGTCTCGAACTTCTGGCCTCAGGTGATCCGACCGCCTTGGCCTCTCAAAGTGCTGGGATTACAGTCGTGAGCCACTGAGCCCAGCTGGTTTTTAACATTTTGTACAGTTCATTATTTGAAACCACAAATTTTCAAAGTTTGTAACTGAGTTTGTGTCAAATCTCAAATGCAAGTCAGAGACACGTTCTGAAAGGCAAAAAAGAGAGAAAACCCATTTCAAATCTGAATTACGGGGCTGGGCATGGTGGCTGACGCCTGTAATCCCAGCACTTTGGGAGGCTGAGGTGGGCAGATCACTTGAGGTCAGGAGTTCAAGACCAGCCTGGACAACATGGTGAAACCCCGTCTCTATAAAAAATACAAAATTAGTCGGGTGTGGTGGCACGTGCCTGTAATCCCAGCTACTTGGGAGGCTGAGGCAGGAGAATTGCTTGAACCCGGGAGGCGAAGGTTGCAGTGATCTGAGATCATGCCACCGCACTCCAGCCTGGGGGACAGAGACTCCACCTCAAAAAAGAAAAAAGAAAAAAGGTTTGAATTACCAGCTAAGCAAACAATAGCACATTGTAGAAAACTTTCTCTTCTTTTTTGCTAAAAAGCAACTGCAAAAAGCTAGTTTTTCTGATAAAGCATTACTGACATGATCCCATTATGTATAATTGTGAATACAGAGAATGAGTATTAAAAGAATTTGTTTACAAGTTCTCTTCAGAGTAGAGGACAAGAAAAAGAAAAAAATTATTATTTAAAAAAATAGTCCGGGTGCGGTGGCTCACGCCTGTAATCCCAGCACTTTGGGAGGCTAAGGTGGGCAGATCGCAAAGTCAGAAGTTCGAGACTAGCCTGGCTAACATGGTGAAACCCCGTCTCTACCAAAAATCCAAAAATTAGCTGGGCGTTGTGGCAGGTGCCTGTAATCCCAGCTACTCGGGAGGCTGAGGCAGGAGAATCGTTTGAACCCGGGAGGCAGAGGTTGCAGTGAGCTGAGATCGTGCCATTGCACTCCAGTGCCTGGGCAACAAGAGCGAAACTCCGTCTGAAAAAAATAAAAAATAATAATATTTTGGCTGGATGGCTGGACACAGTGACTCATGCCTGTAATCCAAATGCTTTGGAAGAATTGCTTGAGCCCAAGAGTTTAAGAGCAGCCTGGGCAACATGGGGAGACCCTGCCTCTACAAAAAAATAAAATAGACCGGGCGCGGTGGCTCCAGCCTGTAATCCCAGCACTTTGGGAGGCTGAGGCGGGTGAATCACCTGAGGTCGGGAGTTCGAGACCAGCCTGACCAACATGGAGAAACCCCATCTCTACTAACAATACAAAATTCACCAGGTGTGGTGGTACATGCCTGTAATCCCAGCTACTTGGGAGACTGAGGCAGGAGAATCTCTTGAACCCGGGAGGCGGAGGTTGCGGTGAGCAGAGATTGCTCGATTGCACTCCAGCCTGGGCAATGAGCAAAACTCCGTCTCAAAAAAATAAAAATAAAAAATAAAATAAAATAAATAGCTGGCCATGGTGGTATGCACCTGTGGTCCCAGCTACTTGGGAGGCTGAGGTGGGAGAACTGCTTGAGCTCAGGAGGTCAAGGCTGCAGTGAGCCATGATCGCACCACTGCAGTCCAGCCTGGGCAACAGAGTGGGACTCTGTCTCAAAATAAATAAATAGACCAGGTGTGGTGGCTCATGTCTGTAATCCCAGCACTTTGGGAGGCCGAGGTGGGTGAATCACTAAAGGTCAGCAATTCGAGACCAGCCTGGCCAACATGGTGAAACCCCATCTCTGCTAAAAATACAAAAATTAGCCAAGCGTGGTGGTGGGCACCTGTAATCCCAGGCTGTAATCGGGAGGCTGAGGCAGGAGAATCACTTGAACCTGGGAGGCAGAAGTGGCAGTGAACCGAGATTGCGCCACTTCACTCCAGCCTGGGCAACAGAGCAAGACTTCGTCTCAAAAATAAATAAATAAATGGAAATAAAGAATGTTATAAGAAATATTTTATGTGCACGTATATTAAAATTATAATATTTCGTCAAGTGGTGTTAAGAGTAAAATAACATGAAATTATATTTATTCATGGATAGAAAATTTTATCTTATCAGAATAGTGATACACAAAATTGGTTCACAGTTACACAGGTGTTAAGTATTTCCTCTCAATACACTGGCCACTGTGTTTTGTCAAATGAGATGTTTCAGTGTTTCTTGTTCGTGCTATGTTAGTAACTGTTATCCTAGAAATGAAGAGAAACAAACCAAAATTCCCATGATAGGTTACTATAGTACTCTACAATTCTTTGTTTAGGTCTGTATCTGATTGCCAAGCAAGATCTCTCAGTGTATAAGTTACTCCCTGGGAATAAGCAAAGCTACAGAAAAACCCCACATACACCATACCAGCCTTCAAAGGGCTTAAAACTATTATCTGTTTGAAGTTTTTAGAACTATTGTGCATCTTTAGGTAATTCAGGAAATGCTTTAACTCTTTAGAACTTTTCATAAAAACTATAATAGTTTACATAGTGATTTTCAAATTATATAGCATTTTCTCACCTCATAATAACCATGAAATGTAGGTATGAAAGGAATAAGCATCTTTAATTTATATAGGAGAAAACAGCAGTTCAGATTAGTTAGGTTACACATCCCAGGGTTGGGAGCAGGGAGCAACTTCAGTTCCGGGGTCCATTTGCAAATCCACTGGTGTCTCAGTTAGATTCTCCCGGAAGCAGACACTGAGAAGTAGGAACGCAAAAAATTTATGGGGTGCCGGGTGCGGTGGCTCATGCCTGCAATCCCAGCACTTTGGGAGGCTAAGGTGGGCGGTCACTTGAGGTCAGGAGTATGAGACCAGCCTGGCCAATATGGTGAAACCCCGTCTCTACTAAAAATATAAAAATTAGCCGGGCGTGGTGGCACAAGCCTGTAGTCCCTGCTACTTGGGAGGCTGAGGCACGAGAATCGCTTGAACCCGAAAGGTGGAGGTTGCAGTGAGTCGAGATCATGTCACTGCACGCCAGCCTAGGCATCAGAGTGAGACTCTGTCTCAAAACGAAAAAAAAAAAAGTATGGAGGCGACCCCTGTGGAAGAGAAGGGGAAGGGGCAGAGGCAGAATCAGGCAGGCTAATCCAACAGGGAGTTCTGAGGCAAAAATTTCCCTTAAAGAAGTTCCTCATGGCCAGGCACGGTGGCTCATACCTCTAATCCCAGCACTTTGGGAGGCCAAGGCGAGTGGATCACCTGAGGTCAGGAGTTCAAGACTAGCCTGACCAACATGGAGAAAACCCATCTCTACTAAAAATACAAAATTAGCCAGGCGTGGTGGCGCATGCCTGTAATCCCAGCTACTTGAGAGGCTGAGGCAGGAGAATCACTTGAACCCAGGAGGAGGAGGTTGCAGTGAGCCAAGATCACACCATTGCACTCCAGCCTGGGCAGCAAGAGCGAAACTCTGTCTCAAAAAAAAAAAAAAAAAAAAAGAAGTTCCTCTCATTGGGTAGATATAGCCAGGCCTTGCTCAGTCATTGGCTGGGGACCACCCTGAGAAAAGCACAGGATAAAAACCTGAAGCTGATGCTGAAGACACTAACAGGTGGGGAGTGTCCACTTACCATACTCCTTGCAGCTGAGGGGTGGCTCCTTTCTAGAAGGGGGATCTAACTGACACATCTTCACAACTGCCACAGTTTACCTTGTGTGCCACATGGATCCACTTCATAAAAACACGTGGGAAGCATCTCCTCTAGGGCTCTGGTAGGCCTCTGTTCCCGAGGGAAAACAAAAGAGGGAGGTTATTGGGGCAAACTACAGCCTCCATAGCCACAGCTGATCTCGCAGCCACAACTGGTGCTCCTTTTTCTCTTTTCTTTTTAATTTTTGTTTGTTTGTTTAAGACAGGATCTTGCTCTGTCACCCAGGCTGGAGTGCAGTGGTGCAATCTTGGCTTACTGCAGCATCTACCTCCTGTGCTCAAGCAATCCTCCCACCTCAACATCCTGAGTAGCTTGGGACCATAGGTATGCGCCACCACGCTCAACTAATTTTTTTTTGTAGCGACGGGTGTCTCCTTATGTTGCCCAGACTGGTTCCGAACCCCTGAGTTCAAGCTGTCCTCCTGCCTTGGCTTACCAAGGTGCTAGGACATTTACAAGATACACAAGCAGTAAGGGTGCACCTAGCACAGCAGTGGTCCTCGGAAACCAAAAGTGTTCTCCCCACTGGAGGCCACATACAAGATTCCATCTGTATCTTTTTCCTTCTAGTAAAGCTCTCCTATAGTTAGGCTGGACTGTTTTTTGGTTTTTGTTTGTTTGTTTGTTTGTTTTTTGAGATGGAGTTCCGCTCTTGTTGCCCAGGCTGGAGTGCAATGGCACCATCTCGGCTCACTGCAACCTCTGCCTCCCAGGTTCAAGCGATTCTCCTGCCTCAGCCTCCCGAGTAGCTGGGGTTACAGGTATGTGCCACCATGCCTGGCCAATTTTTTGTATTTTTAGTAGAGACTGGGTGTTTCCATATTGGTAAGGCTGATCTCGAACTCCTGACCTCAGGTTATCCAGCTGCCTCGGCCTCCCAAAGTGCTGGGATTACAGGTATGAGCCACCATGCCTCACCAGGCTGGACTGTTTTATCCACAAACAGAAGATGCCTTTTCAGAAGGAAGATGGATCCTTTTTGTGATGATCCACAAGAACTGAGCCACAGATGGAACTGAATGGCTGTCAGATGGAACCAAGTTCTTCCGTTTGTCAGTGTCAACAATCTGAGAGCCTGAGACTTTTTTTTTCCACAATCACCGGAACCCGGTCAGGATATTTTACTCTGATCTTCGGGAACTGCACGCATCTGTTTTCTAGCGAGTGGTTCTCCTTGAACATCCACTTCAGGGTGGTGGCAGGGAGGGGACATAGCCGGCTCTAGAAACCACAGAGCTCAGCACAACCACCATGACAACAATGGCAGTGGCAACAACACACAGGCCTGTTCTTTACTCTTAAGGGAATGTCCTGACCACAGGATGTGCAGAAACTTTACTGAGGTAGAAAGTACCTAATTTTTTTACGGTTTATCTCGCTCTAGAGTGCATGTGCCTTACCAGCATTTCCAGCATGATAGTATTCTCTTACTAATCCTGGCCTGATCAGCATGATGTCATCAATGTAATGAATGAATCAACATGATATTCTGCAATTTGTCCAGATGGTCCCAATGTCTTCAGGCTATATTATGACAGATGGTCAAAGAATTAACATGGCCCTGGAGCACATTGTTGCTGATCTTCTTTCCTAACTGAGATAGAAGAGAACACATTTGCCAAATCAGTGGCTGCATACTGTGTACCAGAGACTGTATTATCTGTTTTAGGAAAGACACCACATCTGGCCAGGCAGCTGTGATCAGGTCTATTTCTTGGTTGAACGTTAGTCTCCAGGATCTGTCTGGTTTTTGCAAGGACCAGACCAGCAAATTAAACAGAGGTAGGTTAGGGACCAGCATGCCTGCATCTTTAAGAGTGGCCCTAACTTCTGCCATCCCTCTCCAGGATTATACTGGTTTTGATTCACTATCTTGGTGGGAGGGAGGCAGTTTGGGAGGCTTCTACCAGACCTTCCCCATTATCATAGCCCCCACCAACAGGTACAGCCTGTGGGTTACTCTGCCACAGTGTCAATCCCAATGAGATATTTGGGGACCAGGGAAATATTCACCAGGTAGTTTCATAGACCACTGGACTCACTCCTGGGCCAGGGCTTCATTTACTGGCCCCTGTAGGCCCCCCCTCTAACACAGCCCATGATGATGTTTCCAGTCATTGGGTATCTGTGTCAACTTGGACCCTGTCTCCAGAAGTTCCTGGAATGTTGGAGTAAATCCCTCACTCCAGTGAACAGTCACTCATGTCTTCCACAGAAGAACTGGAGAAATCACTATGTATTGCAGGGTTCTTGGTACTGGGATCTGGCCATCTCTTAAAGCAATGGGCACTAGGTCTGAAAACTGATTTAGGTGCAGAAACTGGGCAAGAGAGATCCTTTTGGGTAACTGCCCTCAACCTCCTGCTCATCTACCCTTGCTCTATTTTGATCATGTACATTAAGCAGTGCCTGTTGGCTGCCCAGCTATTTTGCCCCCAGGGATGTTGTTTTCTATTAACCATAACTGTGGACATTGTGACCCTCTGGCTTTTGGTGGTGAAGTGCTACCACCTGGCCTCTGTTGTTCAGGTCTTTTCATCGCCATTGCTATTCGTGAGCCAAATTATGTGACTGCTTCACTGACCATTAACCCTGGCCTGTGGAGGAGAGCCACACTGAACTTCATCACCATGCTAGGGCCCCTGCCATCATCATATTACTAATGCTCTTGGTAAATGTGTGTCCTTTGAGCTTTCCTGGAGAACATACTCCTTATTTTGGCCCCGTGTAATTTATCCATTCCAGCATTCCCACTTCCTGAGCCTTTTACTCCCTTTCTCTTCCCTATACCATGGGAAGCATTTTAATACAGTCTCTGTGAGGGCCATTGCTTTTTTCAGGCTTCTAGGAGTACCCTGGTAGCAAGTTTCATCATCCCCTGGATGCAGCCTCACTCCTTGCATTCAGTAGCAAATTCTTTAAGGGGGATCTGAGCAGTTCGTGTCCTGATCTGCTATGAGTACCCTTTTTGGTATTGTACATTATATCAATTATGGCCAATTATCCTTATTTTCAACTCCCGAGTGGCTAGACAGGAAAAAGAAAGAAATGATGTGAGGAAAGTTGGGAAGCTCTGCACAGTGATCCCTGAGAGCCCTGGCACCACTTTAGGAGACGTGGTAGGTCACTCTGTACATGTTCTTCCTCAGCAAGGGGGGTTTTCCCAAAAGGGACACAAGAAGAAATCTTACTCAGTGGAGTAAATGGAAAGAAGAGGGAGCATGTCTGTCTGGTTCCTTCCTATTTCTCCTTTCCTCAGAGTCAAGTTTCACCCCACAGGGAGTTCACGCTTCCATGTTGCCTCATCCAGCCCTTCAGGAAGCCAGAGTCTGTGCTCCAGTGTGGCATTTCAGCCAACCTAGAAATGAAGGGTGACTTAGCACAGAGAGGTTCAACAAGTGGGGCATGCAGGCCACTGATCTCTGCAAGGGCAGCAGTGCCGGGGTGCTCTGGGATACAGGCAGTGCCTTCGGAAAGAAGGGCAATTGAAGACAGTTGAGAAGGTGAACAAAGTTTACATCTAACAAATTTTAAAGTTTTATTATTTTTATTTTTATATTCTTGGGGTCTCACTATTTTGCCCAGGCTGGAGTGCAGCAGCTATTTGCAGGCTGAATCCCACTACTGATCAGTACTGGAGTTTTATTTTATTTAATTAACTTATTTATTTTGAGACAGAGTCTTGCTCTATTGCTCAGGCTGGAGTGCAGTGTTGCGATCTCGGCTCACTGCAGTCTCGACCTCCCAGGCTCAATCGATCCTGCCACCTCAGCCTCTGGAGTAGCTGGGACTACCTGTAGGTGCGTGCCACCACGCCCAGGTAATCTTTTATTTTTTGTAGATACCAGTTATCCTATGTTGCCCAGGCTGGTCTCCAACTCCTGGGCTCAAGCAATCCTCCCACCTCAGCCTCCCTAAGTGCTGAGATTACAGGTGTGAGTCACTGTGCCCAGCCAACCTGGACTATTCTAAATTTTAACAGTGCCTAAGAGAATCATGCTTAATTAAAAACTAGCTGGACGTGGTGGCTTACGCCTGTAATCCCAGCACTTTGGGAGGCCGAGATGGGCGGATCCCTTGATTCCAGGAGTTCAAGTCCAACCTGGGCAGCACGAAGAAACCCTCATCTCTACCAAAAATACAAAAATTAGCCAGGCATTGTGGTGTATACCTGTAGTCCCAGCTGCTTGGGAGGATGAGGCAGGAGGATTGCTGGAGCCTGGGAGGTGGAGGTTGCAAAAAAATAATGACTTTTAGTGTTACTGCAGATGCAACGCATGTTCACTGTAGACCAATTTAAAACTATAGATAAACCAAAACAACAAACTTTTTCTTTTTTTTAAGAGACGGAGTCTCGCTCTGTTGCCCAGGCTGGAGTGCAGTGGTGCAATCTCGGCTCGCTGCAACCTCAGCCTCCCAGGTTCTAGCAACTCCTGCCTCAGCCTCTTGAGTAGCTGGGACTACAGGCGCACACCACCACACCCATCTAATTTTTTGTATTTTAGTAGAGACGGGGTTTCACCTTGTTATCCACTGTGGTCTCAAACTCCTGAGCTCAGACAATCCGCCCGCCTCGCCTCCCAAAGCGCTAGGATTACAGGGGTGAGCCACCACACCCGGCCAAGAAACTTTAAATACTACCTAGAGACAATCCCTTTTAAAACTTTAGTGTATGTCTTTTTATACCATTTTCTAGGCTTCTAGGCTCATTTGCAAAAATGAGATACCACTGTAAATACTTAATCTGTAAATTATCTTTTTCAGGAGTCTCTCTGAGTCTTCTGGCTCAGGGAGCTGTCCTATAACATAAATAAGTAAATTTTTTTTTACAATGGTTGTTGAAGATACTAATAAATATTCAGGGCTGGGCACAGTGGTTTATAGCTGTAATCCCACCACTTCGGGAGGTCAAGGTGGGAGGATTGCTTTAGCCCAGGAGTTTGAGACCAGCCTGGGGAACATAATGAGACCCATCTGTAAAAAAAGAAAATTAAATTCACCTTTAGTATTATCTTATTAAAATTCCATTGTGCATTTACACAATCATTTACCTTATCAGTCCCTTCAGAAGAACATTTAAGTTGTTATCACTTACATCCTTGCAGCTAAATCTTTGAGTACATCCTAATACCTGTCTGTTTTTAATGACCTATCTAAGGAATCCTTTGAAACCTATACACTTAACCACTGTGTTAGCTAAGAGCCTCCAAAAAGGCTGGGTGTGGCGGCTCATGCCTATAATCCCAGCACTTTGGGAGTCCGAGGCGAGTGAATCACTTGAGGTCAGGAGTTCGAGACCAGCCGGGCCAACATGGTGAAACCCCGTCTCTACAAAAAATGCAAAAATTAGTTGGGCATGGTGGCTCACTCCTGTAGTCCTGGCTACTCAGGAGGATAAGTGGAAGGATGGCTTAAGCTCAGGAGGTAGAGATTGCAATGAGCCAAGATTGTGCCACTGCACTACAACCTGGGCAACAGAGCCAGACCCTGTCTCAAAAAAAAAAAAAAAATCCTCCAAGAAGCAGTCACAAAAATGGGATCAGATGTGCAAGAGATTTTGGTAGGGGAAATGCCTATGGAGGAAAATGAGAAGGAAGCTGGAGCAAGAACAGAGCAAGGATGATCCAGGTCAGACCCATATGAAGGAGAGGGAGAGGAAAGGAAATTTCAGTAAGAAGCATGTTAAGAGTAGAGTCCATCTAAGAAAGTTTTCACTAGGCCAATGGGGAATCCTCAAGGCAAAGTTACCTGAATTTTGAGTCTCACAGAAGCAGGCCTGCCTGTCTTCCTGCCACACTCAGTCATTGGCTGAGAGCAGCCTAGGGGAGTGTGGTGGATTCCAAATGCAGCAGTCAGGGCCCTCAGTCTGTCATGCTGGGAGATCTGAAAGGAACGTTCTCATGGCTGCCACGAACACCATCTGTGCTTTAAAAAGATTTGGTACTACTCATTCACTGATTCATGACACATTGAGAACACAAATATGAATAGGGATGTGGTGTTTACATTCTAGTAATTCACTTCAGTTTGAGTGGATTATTACAAATAGTTTTTTCAGAAGTAGACTTTCAGAATCTCCTAAGCAGATTTTCAGAGTGTGGCTTCATTATGTTGTTTGAAATAATTTTTCAAATTCCAAGCTAAATAATAAATGGAGTTTGAGTTCTTCCTCACTTTGTAGTACTCCTTTCTCTATTCATCTTACCTAATGTAAAAAATCTGAATATAACTTAATAAAGTTTAGAACTGAAAGCACCTGTGCAAAATTATGACAGAGAACTCTGACATAGTTGACTCCATCTTGCTTCTGACCTCCAAGCTGTCCTTGGTCATTCTTGTGCATAGGCCAAGCTAACGTTGGGAGAAATTTGTAGTTTAACTTGAAAGCAAGGATGATAAACAGTCTCTCCCTCCCTCCTTGCTCAGGGACTGACAACTGCCTTTGTAAGACTAATGAAAGGCCGAAAGATTAGGATTATGGGAGGGGTCTGAACTCTGATAAAATGTAGTATAGTTTGTATAATCCCTTACTGCTCAGGATTCATGTGGCCAGAGGTCACAAGGTAGGTATAGTCTCTACAGTCTCTTACAGCTCAGGAGTCATGCGGTCAGAGGTCACAAGATTTGTGACTTCCCCAATTGCTCCTATAGATAACATCACTATTGTAGAACCTAAAATGGGTTTTTTGAGAGATTTTTCAGACTTGATCCCACCTGGCCTGGTGACTCAACTGGTTCTATGGCCCCATCCAGAGGCAGACTCAGCACAAGGACCATTTTCCAAACGCCTATGATTTCCATCCCCAACCAATCAGCAGCACCGATTCCCTAGCCCCGTCACCAAATTGTCCATAAAAACTCTAACCTGAAAGCCTTTGGGGAGACTGATTTGAGTGATAACCCCAGTTCTCCCATGTGGTTGGTCTCATGTCAATTAAACTCTTGCTCTACTGCAGTGAATTCATTTTATCTGTGCAGTGGGCAAGAAGAACCCATCTGGCAATTACAGAACCTAGAACAATAACAGCATTTCTAAAAAGTGTTTTCGAGAAAAAGAATAATACACACATCCCCAAATGCACATTTTGTCTTACTTTTTATTCATTATATCCCTTATATATATAATATTACAATATATTTATGGTATTTTTTGTTTTTGTTTTTAAGATGGAGTCTGGCTCTGCCGCCCAGGCTGAAGTGTGGTGCAATCCCAGCTCACTGCAATCTCCGCCTCCCGGGTTCAAATGGTTCTCCTGCCTCAGCTTCCCAAGTAGCTGGGATTACAGGTGCCCACCACCATGCCCAGCTAATTTTTGTATTTTTAGAAGATACAGGGTTTCACCATGTTGGTCAGGCTAGTTTTGAACTCCTGACCTCATGTAATCCGCCCCTCCTCATCCTCCCAAAGTGCTGGGATTACAGGCATGAGTCACGGCACCCGACCAATATATACATATCTGGTTTTCTGTTAGAGTTTTATAGATGCTTTAACAAATTACCACAAACTTAAAGACTTAAAACTCAAACTTATTAAAGTTCAAGAGGTCAGAAGTCTGAAATGAGCCTTACTGGGCTAAAACCAAGGTGTCTGAAGGGCTGCATTCCTTCTGGAGGCTCTAGAACGGAATCCATTTCCATGCTCTCTCTAGCTTCAAGATACTCCCCACATTTCCAGGCTGTAGCCTCCTTGCTTCATCTTATAAGCCAGCAACAGTGGGTGAAGTTCTTTTCTCAGTACATCAGTCTTTCTCAGGGACAGATCCTACTTCTGTTACCATGTCTTTCTCTGACTCTTGACTCCTGCCTTCCTATTCCAATTCTAAGGACCCTGTGATTACATTAGTCCCACCTGGATAGTCCAGGATGCTCTATTTTTGTTTGCTTTTATTTTTAATTTTTATTATTATTTTTAAACAGAGTCTCACTCCGTCACCCAGGTTGGAATGCAATGGTGCAATCTTGGCTCACTGCAACCTCTGCCTCCCAGGTTCCAGCGATTCTCCTGCCTCAGCCTCCTGAGTAGCTGGGATTACAGGCATGCACTGCCACACCTGGATAATTTTTGTATTTTTAGTAGAGATGGGGTTTAGCCATGTTGGCCAGGTCGGTGTCAAACTCCTGACCTCAAGTGACCCACATAACAGCAGAGGTACTGCTCTTTGCAGAGAAGGGCTACCCCGTAGGCAATGCGCCCAGAGTAGCCGTGGATAATCTATTTTAAGGTCAGATGATTAGCAATCTTAATGCCATCTGTAGCCTTCATTCTCCTTTCTCCCTTTGCTAATTCACATATTCACAGGTTTCACAGATAAGCACACGTACATATTGTGTTGTGGGGGTATTATTCTGCCCCCAGGTCTTATAGCCAAAGCCTCCAATAGAGTGTTGATTAGGAACTTCTGGTATTTATTAGTCGTCTTCTGGACATTCACGAAAATAATTTTACAAATTTATCATTCTTAAGGTATTTGTCATAGATACCTTTTGGTAGTTATATATTATTATATAAGTTTTCTACTTCTTTTTTTTTTTTTTTTTAGTAGAGACAGGTTTTCCCCATGTTGCCCAGGCTGGTCTGGAACTCTTGGCCTCAAGTGATCCGCCCACCTCAGCCTCCCAAAGTGTGGGATTACAGGCATGAGTCACCACACCTGGCCAGAAAGTTTTCTTCTATTTTTTGTTGTTGAGACAGTGTCTCACTCTGTCTTCCAGGCTGGAGTGCAATGGCATGAGCACAGCCCACTGAAGCCTCAACCTCCCGGGTCAAGCAATCCTCCCACCTCAGCCTTCCTAGTAGCTGGGACTGTAGGTGTGCACCACCACGCCTGGCTAATCTTTGTATTTTTTGTAGAGATGGGGTTTTGCCATAGGCTGTTTTCTTCTATTCTATGGTTCTCATAATACTACTTTGTAACAAGCCATTCTAAGATTTAAAGTGATGCAAAAACAATGATTTATTATTGTTTCTCTTGTCTCTGTAGGGCTTGGTTGGTGGTTCTGGGCTTGCTTGGGTGGTTCTCACTTGGGGCTTGACCAGGCTGGACATCCAATATGGCTTCTCCACTCATGTGTCTGGTGCTTCCGTGCTCCTCCATATGGCCTCTCTCTCCCACAGAGTAACTTGTAGCATTTATTGAGATAATCACATTTTTCTTCATTAATCTGTTAATGTTGACGGAATTTAACGCACTGGTTGTTTACTAGGGTGTGCCCTTTGTTGAAAAGAATAGGAGGGAGTGGAGAGGGAAGATGAAGACATCATGCTGTGATGGGGGCCCAATAGCCCTGACTCCATGGGGAGCTATGGAGCTAGGTTGCTCCTACAGTGGGCTAGGTGTCTATGCATTCGCCCAGTCATGGGATGTGGGTTGTCCTTGGAAGGGTCAACCTTGGGTGAAACTGAAATGATTCTCTAAAGGGACTGAAAGCTGGATGAACGTTGTACACTGACAGCACTCTCAGCAGTTGAGGCAACAAGCCTTTCCTTGAAAGAAGATCTGGGCTATGCCTCTCCATGTCTGCCATAAGGTTCATAGTATTATTATTATTAAGTCAATAAATTTTCATTCAAGAAATTTCATGTTGAGGTTCCTTCCACTGTCCATCAAGGAACTAAAGTTCCTCTAAAGAGTTGGAGTCAAAAGTTATCTTCAATAGATTTATCTTCAAATTAGCCCTTTTTAATAGAAGTGATGCTTAATTCAGTTATCCCGTCATACCATAATTCTTTATTTTGGCTTCTTTCATCTCCTTTTAATATGGATATATTCACGGAGGCTTCAAAATTCACCTATGGAAAAAATCAATAATCTTTGGGATCTAATTTCTACAACCAATTTACTTTAGGGTAATTTTTAGAGTAGGTGGATCTTCCTGGTTCTCAATTTGACACCCTCTCTAAACATGTGTTCAATCATACTCATTTCTAAGCTATCACACTCAAGAATAATAGTACAGATCTGTGGAATATGCCAATATCTACAGTAAAAGATACATTATTAGGTCTTTCATAATTTTAGCAACTGTCTTGTAGTTCCTTCCCACAGACCTAACTAATAGTCCTGTGAGTAAAGCAAAACCACAGAGTTAGTCTATGAGGAGTTTCCAACAACATGCAGCTACAGGAAAAGCCCCATTGGAATAGACCTCCACCAATAATAATATTATCTATAATAGTAAAAATCTGGAAACAACCTCAATCTCCATCATATAGTAATCAATAAATGTATATAGGATAGTCCCTACAATAAAAAAATACAGAAAAAATGAATGAACTAATATGACGTCTGTGAAAAACTAAATTTACCATCTTTCAACATGATTAATTCTCAGAAACATGATGTTAAGTGACCAAAAAAAAAAAAAAAAAGAGAACAACCACAAACAGAAAAAAGCATGTAGGCAGGGCATGGTGGCTCATGCCTGTAATATCAGCACTGTTGGGGGCGCTGAGGAGGGAGGATCCCTTGAACTGAGGAGTTTGAGACCAGCCTGGGAAACACAGGGAGACCCCATCTCAAGAAAAAAGAGGTATATATGTTACTTCTATAAAATTTTAAAACATTTGAAGTACAACTATATATTGTTTATAGATCAAAAATATGTAGGAAAAGTATAAAAATATTCATAGAAATTTTAAACACTGAGGCTGGGCGTAGTGGCTCAAGCCTGTAATCCCAGCACTTTGGAAGGCAGAGGTGTGCGGATCATGAGGTCAGGAGTTTGCGACCAACCTGGCCAACATGGTGAAACCCCATCTCTACTAAAAATACAAAAAAATTAGCCGGGTGTGTTGGCGCGCACCTGTAATCCCAGCTACTCGGGAGGCTGAGGCAGGAGAATCATTTCAACCTGGGAGGTGAAGTTTGCAGTGAGCTGAGATCATGCCACTGTACTCCAGCCTGGGCGCCTGCCTCAGCCTCCCAAAGTGCTGGGATTACAGGCGTGAGCCACCATGCCTGGCCAAAAAGAAATTTTAAACACTGAATTCCTCATAGTGTCTACAAAGGAAGGGTGAGGACTAGGCTCAGGGTAAGGGATTCAGGGGGCCACAACTATATCTGTAAGTGTTGTTTCTTTAAAAACAAAATCTGTATTTGGGGAAAGAGAAAGAAAAAAAAAATAAAATCTGAATTAATACAGCACTACATAGCACAATGATAATAGATGATGAAGTTGGGTGTTGAGTACCTCAGTATTCATTATAATATTTATTGCATTTTAAAAGTACTCCATTATAAAATTAATAATTAAAAAACAGATCGGAGTGGTGGCTCACGCCTGTAATCCCAGCACTTTGGAAGGGCGAGGCGCGCAGATCACCTGAGGTGAGGAGTTTGAGACCAGTCTAGCCGACGTGGTGAAACCCTGTCTCTACTAAATAAATATTAGGCGGGTGTGATGGTGGACGCCTGTAATCCCAGCTACTCGGGAAGCTGATGTAGGGAGAATTGCTTCAATCCAGGAGGAGGAGGTTGCAGTGAGCTAAGATCCCGCCACTGTGCTCCAGCCGGGGTGACAGAGCGAGACTCCGTCTCAAAAAACAAACAAACAAAACACCAATCAACCAAACAAAAAAAAAAAAAACAAGGCGCGGGTGTGGTGGGTCACACTTGTAATCCTAGCACTTTGGGAGTCCAGGGCGAGCAAATTGCTTGAGCCCAGGTGTTTGAGACTAGCCTGGGCAACATGGCAAAACCCAGTCCCTATTAAAAACAAAAACAAACAAAAAAAAAACAAGCGGCTATTAAAACAAAATTAATTACAGCTACATTTGTTAACATGGACGTGGCCAGGCGTGGTGGCTCATGCCTGTAATCCCAGCATTTTGGGAGGCCGAGGCGGGCAGATCACCGGAAGTCGGGAGTGCGAGACCAGCCTGACCAAAATGGAGAAACCCTGCCTCTACTAAAAATACAAAATTAGCTGGGCGTGGTGGTGCATGCCTGTAATACCAGCTACTCGGGAGGCTAAGGCAGGAGAATCGCTTGAATCCGGGAGGCAGAAGTTGTGGTGAGCCGAGATGGCACCATTGCACTCCAGCCTGAGCAACAAGAGTGAAAAAAAAAAAAAAAACAAACACCTGGACGTATTTCAAAAGCAATGTTACATGAAAAAAAAAGTTGCAGTATGGTATATACATTATGATGCTATTTCTTTCAGTTTTAAAAATAAAATGATAATATTATTTATGGATCTATATTTGTATGGAGACTTACATGGTAAAAATATTTTTCTTTCTTTTTTTTTATTTTTGGGACAGGGCCTCTGTCACCCAGGCTAGAGTGTAGTGGATATGATCATAGCTCACTGCAGCCTCAACCACCTGGCCTCAAATGGTCCTCCCATCTCAGCCTCCTGGAGCAGTTGGGACTACAGGCACACACCAGCATGCCTGGCTAATTTTTTTTTTGTTTGTTTTTGAGATGGTTTCTTATTCTGTTGCCCAGGCTGGAGTGCAAAGGCTTGATCTTGGCCCACTGCAACCTCTGCCTCCCAGGTTCAAGTGATTCTCCTGCCTCAGCCTCCTGAGTAGCTGAGACAACAGGCACCCACCACCACGCCTGACTAATTTTTGTATTTTTTTTTTTTTCTTGAGACGGAGTCTCGCTCTGCTTCCCAGGCTGGAGTGCAGTGGCACCATCTCGGCTCACTGCAAGCTCCGCCTCCCAGGTTCGCGCCATTCTCCTGCCTCAGCCTCCCGAGTAGCTGGGACTACAGGTGCCCGCCACCACGCCCGGCTAATTTTTTGTATTTTTAGTAGAGATGGGGTTTCACCATGTTAGCCAGGATGGTCTCGATCTCCTGACCTCGTGATCTGCCCACCTCGGCCTCCCAAAGTGCTGGGATTACAGGCGTGAGCCACCACACCTGGCCTAATTTTTGTATCTTTAGTAGAGACAGGGTTTCACCATGTTGGCCAGGTGTGATTTTTTTTATTTTTATTTTTATTTTTGTATAAACAGGGGTGTCATCATTTTGCCTAGGCTGGTCTCACTCTTGGGCTCAAGGGATTCTTCTACCTTGGCCTCCCAAAGTGCTGGGGTTACAGGCATGAGCCACTGTGCCCAGCCCTCTCTCTCTCTCTCTCTCTCTCTTTTTGTGATTGCAAAAGAGTTAAGGGTTGCATGAATAAACTTTCTTTCCTGCAAAAATACTTCCAAATTAAAGGGCACGACACACACCAAGATCCAAATCGTTTTTCCTCTGAGAAGCAAGGGAAATGAATAGGATTGAGGAGGGATGCGAAAGAGATTTCCAAATATTTACATTGGTTAAATCTGGATATTGAGTATATGGGTGTTTATTATATTACCCTTTGTGCTTCTTGGTATGTTTGAGATTGTTCTTATTTTTAAATAAATTAACCCTTCCATTCTGCATGGTATTTCCCTTTGGTGGTAATGCGACTAACCACATAAGTATATCCTGTCACTTGGTTGGCATAAAAAGGGAAGGCTGGGCACAGTGGATCACACCTGTAATCCCAGCACTTTGGGAGGCCAAGGCAAGAGGATCTCGAGGTCAGGAGTTCAAGACCAGCCTGACCAACATGGTGAAACCCCGTCTCTACTAAAAATACAAAAATTAGCCAGGCATGGTGGTGCCCGCCTGTAATTCAGCTACTCAGGAGGCTGACGTAGGAGAATCGCTTGAACCCTGGAGGTGGAGGTTGCAGTGAGCCGAGATCGTGCCATTGCACTCCAGCCTGGGTGACAGAGCGAGACTTCATCTCAAAAAACAACAACAGCAACAACAACAGAAACGGAAAAGATGTCCTCTATCAATCTGCCATTTCCTTTTGTTCTGGTATACCCATTGCTGCACCCATTTTTTTCAATGACTGATTTGATATCATTAGTTAAAAACTACTCCCTGAAGGCTTATGCTCCCTCTTATGTCTGTGGGTGTGAAACTGCATTGCTGTCTTGGGAGAACAGTGGAGTACTAGGCACCGGCAATTAAGAGAATAAGCTCGATAGTTGATTCCACTACACCCGGGCCCTAGATGTTCCCCACAAAGGCTGAGGCGGTGGATCACTTGAGGTCAGGAGTTCGAGACCAGCCTGGCCAACATGCTAAAACCCCGTCTCTATTAAAAACACAAAAATTAGCCAGGCATGGTGGCACATGGCTGTAATCCCAGCTACTCAGGAGGCTGAGGCAGGAGAATTGCCTGAACCTGGGAGGCAGAGGTTGCAGTGAGCCGCGATGGCGCCACTGCACTGTAGCCTGGGCAACAGAACGACACCCCATCTCAAAAAAAAAAAAAAAAAAAAACCAGCCTAGGCAAGATGGTGAAACCCCATCTCTTAAAAAAAAAATCCAAATTTAGTCTATAACTATAACCTTTCGTGTGTGTGTGTTATTTTTTTAGACAAGGTTACACTGGAGTGCAGTGGTACAATCACAGCTCACTGCAGCCTTGACCTCCTGGGCCTAAGTGATCCTCCTTGGGCCCAGGCATGCACTACCATGCCAGGCTAATTTTTTTTTTTAATTTTTTTAAAGACAGGGTCTCAAGCTCCTGGGCTCAAGTGATCCTCCTGCCTTGACCTCCCAAAGTGCTGGAATTACAGGTGTGAGCCACCTCGCCTGGCCAGTACTCCATATGTTATTCTCTGATCTTTGTTAATTCACATATCCGTTTTGCATAGCTGCCATCTGTATGTGAAGGGCCAAGGGAAGACTTCCCCTTTGCCCTTGAAGGTTTGCTGAAATCAGCTGACAAAAGTCAGATTAGTAGGAGAAAAGACATAACACAATTTTATTTTAATGTGCATAGCATGGAATTGCAGATTGAGTACCCAGTAACCCAACCCCGAGTACAGAAGCTTACATACTCTTTTTTAAAAAACATTAAAATAGAGACAGGGTCTCGCTATGTTGCCCATGCTGGTCTCGAACTCCTGGACTCAGGGGATGCTTCCACCTCTTCCTCCCAGAGTGCTCAGATTACAGGTGTGAGCCACCAGGCAGGCCTACATCCTCTTTTTCAAAAGGGCGAGGGGAGATAGGGAATGTAGACAATTCATTTGAGAGGCGGAAAATGATTTGTTTTTTTTATTTGTTCAGACAGAGTCTTGCTTGCTGTGTTGCCCAGGCTGGAGTGCAGTGGCACCATCTTGGCTCACTGCAACCTCCACCTCCCCAGTTCAAGCGATTCTCATGCCTCAGCCTCCCAAGTAGCTGGGATTATAGGCACATGCCATCACGCCTGGCTAATTTTTTTGTATTTTTAGTAGAGACAGGGTTTCATCATGTTGGCCAGGCTGGTCTCAAACTCCTGACCTCAGGTGATCCTCCAAAGTGCTGGGATTACAAGCATGAGCCACTGTGCCTAGTCATGCCACTGAGGGTTTTTTTCTATTTTTATTTAATTTAATTTTTTGAGATGGGTGTCTCACTATGTTGCCTAGTCTAGTCTCGAACTCCTGAGATCAAGTGATCCACCCGCCTTGGCCTCCCAATGTGCTGGGATTACAGACACGAGCCACAGTGCCTGACCAAATGATTATTAGGGAGAATAAATACATAGGAATTAACTTCTAATGATCCTCTTTGTGAAAAAGTCCCTCCAGGTGTGGTTGCATTTCTGTCTTTTCTGAGATAGATACTGAGATTTCAGCGAGGGGAGGAAGGCAATTGTGTTTTTTGTTTTGTTTTGTTTTTGTTTTTGTTTTTGAGACGGAGTTTCACTCTTGTCGCCCAGGCTGGAGTGCAGTGGTGCGATCTCAGCTCAATGCAACCTCTGCCTCCCGGGTTCAAGCGATTTTCCTGCCTCAGCCTCCTGAGTAGCTGGGATTACAGTCGCCTGCCATCACGACTGACTAATTTACTTATTTATTTATGTTTTGTATTTTTAGTAGAGATGAGATTTCACCACGTTGGTGAGGCTGGTCTGGAACTCCTGACCTCAGGTGATCCACCCACCTCAGCCTCCCAAAGCAGTGGGATTACAGGCATGAGCCACCGTGCCCAGCCTTTTTTTTTTTTTTTTTTTTTTTTGAGATGGAGTCTTGCTCTGTCTCCCAGGCTGGAGTGCAATGGCATGATCTCAGCTCACTGCAACCTCCGCCTCCAGGGTTCAAGTGATTCTCCTGCCTCAGCCTCCCGAGTAGCTGGGATTACAGGTACATGCCATCACGCCCTGCTAATTTTTGTATTTTTAGTACAGACAGGGTTTCAGCATGTTGGCCAGGCTGGTCTCAAACTCCTGACCTCAAGTGATCCACCTGCCTTGGCTTCCCAAAGTGCTGGGATTACAGGCGTGAGCCACCGCACCCGGCCCCCAGTTGTGTTTCTTTTGGAAAGAAGCTCTCTTGATCAGATAGGGAAATTCCAGAGAGAGTCCAGGCAAGGTTTAAGGGACCTTGATTCTGAGGCAGCTTCTAAGCCTTCTCAGCATGTCAAAGCACAGTCTTTAGGGTATCTCTTTCTGAGGATTACCACCTACATAAGGATTTTGATGTCTTTTTATTAAACTTCAGCTACCACTTCTGTGTGTCCACCTAGTTCATGCACTAGTCAGTGTTTCATAGTTTTCTATCTTGACAATGTACCAGTTTGCTCAGCCTTACTTCTATTGTTGAACTTTTGAGATTTTTCCAATTTTCCAGTTTTATAAATAGCATTTCTATGACCATCTTTGTACACACTACTTCTTTTCTTTCTGGTCATTTCCTTGAGCTTAATCCTACAAGTGGAATTAGTGGGCTAAAGGGTATGAATAATTTTAGAACTCTAAATACATATTCCAATATTACATCAATTTACCTTTGACCCAACAATATTGAGTTTGCTTGTTTTCATATATTTCAAAAAAATGTAATAGACATATAATGGTTATTAAAAGTTTCTTAATTCAAAATTTTCCCAGGCTGGAGTGCAATGGCACCATCTCGGCTCACTGCAACCTCCACCTCTTGGGTTCAAGCAATTCTCCTGCCTCAGCCTCCAGAGTAGCTGGGATTACAAATGCATGCCACCACGCCCAGCTAATTTTTGTATTTTTAGTAAAGACAGGATTTTGCCATGTTGGCCAGGCTGGTCTCAAACTCCTGATCTCAGGTGATCCTCCTGCCTCAGCCTCCCAAAGTGCTGTGATTACAGGCGTAAGCCACTGCACCCGGCCCTTTTTGTCTGATTATTAAAAATAATACTCATTTTGGAAAAAAAAAACTCAAGTAAGTGAAAGTGCCCTGGAAACCTCCACCCGGCCAAAAGGTGACATGTTGCCATTTGGCTTACAGTCTTTCACTTATTTCATATACCTGGATAGTTTCGTTCTTTTGTTGTTGTTGTTGTTGTTTTGCTTTTTTGAGACGGAGTCTGACTCTGTCACCCAGGTTGGAATGAAGTAACGCAATCTTGGCTCACTGCAACCTCTGTTTCCCAGGTTCAAGCAATTCTCCTGCCTCAGCCTCCCCAGTAACTGGGATTACAGGTGCGTGCCACCACGACCAGCTGATTTTTTGTATTTTTAGTAGAGGTGGGGTTTCACCATGTTGGTCAGGCTGGTCTTAACTCCTGACCTCAAGCAATCTACCTGCTTTGACCTCCCAAAGTGCTGGAATTACAGGCATGAGCCACTGCGTCTGGGTCTGTCGCCCAGGCTGGAGTGCAGTGGCCCGATCTCGGCTCACTGCAAACTCTGCCCCCCAGGTCCACGCCATTCTCCTGCCTCAGCCTCCCGAGTAGCTGGGACTACAGGCACCCGCCATCACGCCCGGCTATTTTTTTTGTATTGTTAGTAGAGACAGGGTTTCACTGTGTTATCCAGGATGGTCTTGATCTCCTGACCTCGTGATCCACCCACCTCGGCCTCCCAAAGTGCTGGGATTACAGGCGTGAGCCACCTCACCTGGCCAAAACATTTGGAAGTTCTTTAGAAACCCACCCAATCGGCCGAGTGTGGTGGCTCACGCCTGTAATCCCAGCACTTTGGGAGGCCAGTGCTGGTGGATCACTTGAGGTCAGGAGTTTGAGACCAGCCTGGCCAACATAGTGAAACCCCGTCTCTACTAAAAATACAAAAATTAGCCAGCATCATGGTGCACGCCTGTAGTCCCAGCTACTCGGGAGGCTGAGGCAGGAGAATCACTTGAACCCTGGAGGCAGAGGTTGCAGTGAACTGAGATCATGCCATTGTACTCCAGCCTGGGTGACAGAGCAAGACTCTGTCTCAAAAAAAAAAAAAAAAAACTAAACTAAAAAACAAAGAAACCCAACCCACCCAATTAATATAGCCTGTGTGTTTGCTATTCTTCACTCTTGCCTTAGATTATCCCTTTTCTCTCTGAATCTATAACCCTAACCTCTTTACCAGCTCTTTTTCCTGAAACTTCCAAAATAATCCAATCTCCTTAAAGCTTTACCTACTACCATTGACCTTTCAGCTGCAAGTTCTTTTTTTTTTTTTTCTTCACAGTCCACTCTAAACCACAGCAGCAGTTCAGAACACTATGCTGGACTGTACCCCAGATGATTTAAATCAGGATCTTAAAGAATAGGGCCCAGGAATCTACACTTTAAAAAGTGCCCTGAGTGATTCTAGTTGTAGGTAGGGTTGAAAAGCCACCGAGTTATTCTGATTTCTAGAATGATTGATCTATACCTGCTTGTTTCTACTTTTTTACAAATCACTTTCTTCTTAATTCCCTACAAATTGGACTCTGAGTCTTCTGATTTTTTTTGAAACCCATAACTTCCCTTGGATCTAATTCAACAGTATTCAGTCCTGAGAGTGGGTGGTACATCTAGAAGTTGGCCTTTCTGCCTCTGATGTACTTTCAGTGTTAATTTACAAGTTTCATATTTGGTTGTTTCAGAGTTTTATGTTTGCTAGTGTATGATTTTTCTTTTATTTATTTATTTTTTTGAGATGGAGTCTCATTTGGTCGCCCAGGGTGGAGTGCAGTGGCACCGTGTCGACTCACTGCAACCTCTGTCTCCTGAGTTCAAGCAATTCTCCTGCCTCAGCCTCCCAAGTAGCTGTGATTACAGGAACCCATCACCATGCCTGGTTAATTTTTATAGAGATGGGGTTTCATCATATTGGCCAGGCTGGTCTCGAATTCCTGACCTCAGATGATTTGCCCGCCTCAGCCTCCCAAAGTGCTTGGATTACAGGCGTGAGCCACTGCGCCTGACATCTTTTTTTTTCTTTCTTTTTTTTTTTTTTTTGAGATGGAGTCTTGCTCTGTTACCCAAGCTGGAGTGCAGTGGCACAATCTCGGCTCACTGCAACCTCTGCCTCCCAGGTTCAAGCGATTCTCCTGCCTCAGCCTCCTGAGTAGCTGGGACTACAGGCGCATGCCACCATGCCTGGCTAATTTTTGTATTTTTAGTAGAGACAGGGTTTCACTATGTTGGCCAGGCTGGTCTCGAACTCCTGACCTCATGATCCACCCGCCTCAGCCTCCCATAGTGCTGGGATTACAGGCATGAGCCACCGCGCCTGGCCTCTCTCTTTTTTTTTTTTTTTAAACGGACTCTTGTTCCGTCGCCCAGGCTGGAGGGTAGTGGTGCAACCTCTACTCACTGCGACCTCTGCCTCCCTGGCTTAAACCATCCTCACACCTCAGCCTCCTAAGTAGCTAGGACTACAGGTGCATGCCATCATGCCCAGCTAACTTTTGTATTTTTAGTACAGACAAGGTTTTGCCATGTTGCCCAGGCTGATCTCGAATTCCTGAGCTCAAGAGATCTGCCTGCGTCAGCCTCCAAAAGAGCTAGGATTACAGGCGTGAGCTACTATACCCAGCCTAGTGTGTATTTATTCCTGTATTGCAAACTGCCCCCAAAATTTATCAGCTTAAAACAATAAAAACCAGGCTGGGGGCAGTGGCTCACGTCTGTAATCCCTGCACTTTGGGAGGCCGAGGCGGGCAGATCACGAGGTCAGGAGATCGAGACCATCCTGGCTAACACGGTGAAACCCCGTCTCTACTAACACAAAAAAATTAGCCGGGCGTGGTGGCGGGTGCCTGTATTCCCAGCTACTTGGGAGGCTAAGGCAGGAGAATAGCATGAACCCAGGAGGCAGAGCTTGCAGTGATCCCGGCCTGGGTGACAGAGCGAGACTCTGTCTCAAAAAAAATAAAAATAAAAATAAAAATAAAACAAACCACTTATTTGTTCTCATGCTGCCATTCAAGCAGGGCTGAGTGGGCCCTGCTAGTCTCTGCTCCATATTATGTTGCCTGGACATGCTTTACTCACACGTCTGCTGCCTCACTTGCCTTCAATGCTCTAACAGAGTAGTTGGACTGTTTTATACAGTGGCTCAAGGGCCCTTGAGAGAAAAAGTGAAAACCACCAGGTTTCTTAATACCCAGGCCTGCAATGGGAAGGGTGCCGTTTTTGCCACATTCTGTGGGTGAGAGCAAGTTCCAGGCCAGCCCAGATTAAAAGAGAGAAGAAATAGACTCCACTCTGGATAGAGAACAGCATATGTGAAGATGGATGGTAGGTTTCAAACAGGGAAAATATACCAGCCACATGGAAGATAATATTTTGAATCATGGATTGAATAAATAGATTAATGGATAAAATGGGACAAAAATATTTTAAAATATACAAATAGTCCTTAGACAAATAAAGATTTAAATCTTTTATATAAGGGAATGTATTATTTGTTATTTATTTATTTATTTGATACAGGGTCTTGCTCTGTTACCCAGGCTAGTGTGCACTGGCGTAATCTTGGCTCACTGCAACCTCTGCTCCCAGGCTCAAGCAATCCTCCCACCTCAGCATCCCCAGTAGCTGGGACCACAGGTGTGCACTGCCATGCTTGGCTAATGTGTGTGGTTTTTTAAAAAAATTTTTATAGAGACAGGATTTCACCATGTTGCCCAGGCTGGTCTCGAACTCCTGGGCTGAAGTGATCTGCCTGCCTCAACCTCCCAAAGTGCTGGGATTATAGGGGTGAGCCACTGCACCCCGCCAACGGAATGTATTTAATAATACAGACTGTATTTCATTTTGCACCAAAAGAGAGGCTGAGGGAAGCGATGGATATGTTACATCAAGACAGACTGTGTGAGGCCAGCCTAGATAGTGGGAAGCTAGGGACACTTCAGCTAGAACAGAAGGATATATCCTTAGCAGGCCCCTAAGTGAGGTAGAACAGAGGTCAGGTCCAGGCAGGTCAGGTCTGAGAGTGCAGAGCAGGGGCAGAAGTCATCAAGGATTGGATGTGCTGCAGGTTCAGGCAACAAGTCTTCATCAGTGAAGTCAGACCCTTGCACTAGAAACCTGGGACAACTGAAGGACAATGATCTGGGGGCTCAGGCCAACAGGAGACAAGATACTGGGAAACCAGCACTAAGCATGGAGATTGACCCTGGGCACACTGCCCTCTGAGCTCCTTCTCCACCCCTAGCCTGGGGCAGCACTGGCCTTAGATGATGTTGGGCCTTAGTCCATAAAAGGAGACAGTGTGGCTGGAGTACAAGAATGAAGAGGCCAGAGGCAGATAGTTCCCAACAGATTGGGCCCAGTGAAAGCCATTATCCTCCCTTTGATCAATAACTCCAAAAAGGATGCCACAATATTTAGACCATCCATTTCAGTGTTTTATCACGCTGCTACAAAGGGCCTTTTGTACAGATACATAGTCTTTGTCTTACAAAGCCCCAAAATATAGGAAATATGCTGAGTTTTCCTAACTGCCTAATGAATAACCATTTGTAATCAACTGTCCATACTGAAAACCCTTAAAGGTATTATGGAACACATTTTATATTTTTATTACCTGCCAAATATAACAATTCCATTTTAGAACTGAATCTAGCCAAAAGCATAAAGTGGGAAGAGTTTCCTGTGATGCTCTTGGCATATCCTTTCTTAACCCTTCTCTCTCTCTCATTTCAGGACTCTATTTTTTTTTTTCTTTTAGAGACTGGATCTTGCTCTTTCGCCCAGGCTGCAGTGCAGTGGCATGATCGGCATGATCACCACTTATTGCAGCCTCGACTTTCTGGGCTCAAGTGATCCTCCCATCTTAGTTACCTGAGTAACTGGGACTACAGGTGCATGCTGCCATGCCTGGCTAAGTTTTTTTTATTTTTTTTGTAGAGACAGGGTCTCACTATGTTGCCCAGGCTGGTCTCAAACTCCTGGGTTCAAGTGATCCTCCTGCCTCAGCCTCCCAAAGTGCTGGGATTACAAACAAGAGTCACTGTGCCTGGTCTCAGGACTTCTGTTTCCTTGCTGGTTCATCTGTTCTCTCTACCCTCTTTTCCAGAAGAAGCACAGCTCTTGGTATAAGCTG
This sequence comes from Homo sapiens, assembly GCF_000001405.40. Lineage (NCBI taxonomy): Eukaryota > Metazoa > Chordata > Mammalia > Primates > Hominidae > Homo > Homo sapiens. The sequence goes on along the minus strand of NC_000005.10, from coordinate 79,208,814 downwards.
GTGATAATTGTTTTTGCCAGAATAACTCAAAATATGATGCAGTAACCAGACTACCAGATGGCCTGCTGTGATCCCCACTTCCTGATATTCACAGCCTTGTCAAATTCCTTCCTACACTGTATGAGGGTTGGTCTGTGTGACCAATAGAGTATGGCAAAAGTATGTTCCTTCCAAGGTTATTAAAGACTAGGGCTTCCTTCCAAGGTTATTAAAGACTGGGGTTCTATCTTGGGTCTCTTTCATTCTATTTTTTTTTTTTTTTTTAGAGATGGTGTCTTGCTACGTTAACCCGGCTGGATTTGAACTTCTGGGCTCAAGGGATCCTTCTTCCTCAGCCTCCTGACTAGTTGGGACTATAGGCACAAGCCACTATGCCCAGGCTTGCAATCTATATTTTTAAGATGCTTATGGGGCAATTGTTACAAACTCTTAAATTTGAGATGTACTGTCGTCGTCGTCTTCTTCTTCTTCTCCTCCTTCTCCTTCTTCTCCTTCTCTTCCTTCCTCCTCCTCCACCTTCTCTTCTCCTTCTTCCTGTCCTTCTTCTCCTCCTTCTCCTTCTTCCTCTTCCTTTTCTTCTTTTTTTTTTTTTTTTTTTTGAGACAGAGTCTTGCTCTGTTGCCCAGGCTGGAGTACAGTGGCACGATCTCAGCTCACTGCAACCTCTGCCCTGCAGGGTTCAAGAGATTCTTCTGCCTCAGCCTCCCAAGTAGCTGGGACTACAGGCGCGTGCCATCACGCCTGGCTAATTTTTTGTATTTTTAGTAGAGACAGGGTTTCACCGTGTTAGCCAGGACGGTCTCAATCTCCTGACCTCATGATTTGCTCACCTCGGCCTCCCAAAGTGTTGGGATTACAGGTGTGAGTCACTGCGCCCAGGCTTTTTTTTTTTTGGAGACAGAATCTTGCTCTGTTGCCCAGGCTGGAGTGCAGTGGTGCAATCTTGGCTCACTGCAACCTCTGCGTCCTGGGCTCAAGTGATTCTCCTGCCTCGGCCTCCCAAGTATCTGGGATTATAGGTGGGTACCACCACACCTGGCTAAGTTTTCGTATTTTTAATAAAGACAGGGTTTCACCATGTTGGCCAGGCTGATCTTGAACTCCTGACCTCAAGTGATCCACCTGCCTCAGCCTCCCAAAATACTGGGATTATGGGCCACTGCACTCGGCCCTACTGACTTACTTTAATTCATTAGTATTACTTCTTCCAAATGTATTTGTATTTTAATTCTAATTTATAAGACGTAAAGCAACAAGTATTATCTGGGGGCTTAAACACTACGTCTAGAGATTCTTGATGCTTTTGGATTCTATACATTATTTCTTCTCTTTTGAGACAAGGTCACACTCTATTGCCCAGGCTGGAGTGTGGAGTGCAGTGGTGCCATCTCTGGTGTACTGCAACCTCGGCCTCCTGGGAGAATCAAGCAATTCTTGTGCTTCAGCCTCCTAAGTAGCTGGGACTACAGGCACGCGCCACCACGCCCAGCTAAATTTTGTATTTTTAGTAGAGACGGGGTTTCACCATGTTGGCCAGGCTGGTCTTAACTCCTGACCTCAAGCAATCTACCTGCCTTGGCCTCCCAAAGTGCTGGGATTACAAAACATTATTTTAAATACTGTTCATGGTATGCTTGAAGCAGTTAAAAGACTGAATGAATACTAGGCAAGTCAAAAATGACTACGATCCAATCCAGTCACTCCTTTTTTTTTTTTTTATTTTGAGACACAGTCTTTCTCTGTCACCCAGGCTGGAGGGAAGTGGTGCGATCTTGGCTCATTGCAGCCTCTGCCTCCTGCGCTCAAGTGATCCTGTCACCTCAGCCTCCCAAATAGCTGTGACTACAGGCACACATTACCACGCCCAGCTAATTCTTGTATTTTTAGTAGAGACAGGGTTTTACCATGTTGCCCAGGCTGATCTCAAACTCTTGGACTCAAGCAATCTGCCCGCACCGGCCTCTGAAAGTGCTGGGATTACAGATGTGAGCCACCGTGCCTGGCTCCAGTCACTCATTTAGTGTATCCTTGTCCACAAAAGTGGATATCCACACAACACACTTCTCCCTTGGTTACACTTTAGCCCTGTGCCACTGTTTGAACAGCACAATTTATTACTCTGTATGTGTTCACTCATAAACTAAAGGGGCCAGATTTATTCATACTCCAGCAAGATTATGCCAAGCTTTGTGCTGGACATGAGTTAGGCCTCACCATTATGCATTCTGGTATATGCTCTGCCTTATGTCAGGCTCTATGCAATGTTCCACTGGTAAAAGATTCAAACTGTTTAGAACCATAGCCCAAACTCAGCATTAGAGATGGTTGTTATATTAGAGTTCTGACACGAAAAAGACTACACATTCAAACTGTGATAATTTAGGAAGAGTTTAATGAAAGGGCTAGAAATGAAGGTGTGAGATAAGTGTAGGGAAACTGCAAGGCATAGTGCAGCACCCAGAGGCTAGTAACTGCACAGCTGTGTTACCACCTCTCATGGCTAAAGGAAGGGATCACTTCCTGGAAATGGAGACGGAGACAGGGGCTGTGTGTAGAGTCACCTTAAAGGAGCTGAGATCTTTGGTAGAGAAAGGTATCCAGCATCCCAACCACACCCTCCCTTCCTCTCATCTCCTGCCAGTGCTTTTCACTGGCCAAGCCCCAACAGGAAACCAGAGGGCAAGAGAGTCTCTTGAAACACTTCATAGAGGTCAGCTTGCTGGAGAAGTGGGGAGAGTGGATGTAGGGGTGGGATGAAGGAAATAGAAGATAGCTGGCACAGCCATCTATCCGTCCATGCATAAAGTTATCAGCATTTTTTAGTTCCAAAATCAACGACCCAAACTCACTAAGATACAGCTTATTTCATAATGGAGAATTTGATGAATGCTTGTTTGCTTTTCCAAACCTCGTGATCACAAATATTACAGTTATAGCCTCTTTCAGGCTGTATATTTTTCAGCAGAGTGTTAATATTTTTATTCTGTTTTAATATGTGACTCTCCTTGTCTATTTTAATTAAAAGTATTTGAGGAAATGGGCTATTAAAAGCTGTATCTATATAAGTAGAGGGCAAACTTACAGGAAGATGAAGGTGTCATAGACACATGGTGTTGAAGAAGGTTCAGAAGTAGAAGTGGGATATCTGGAATAAATGGTCCTTGAGCACACAGGCCTAAGGTGAGTGGAAGGAAAGAATGAACCAGGAGACAAGGAAATGGTAAATAGCTCAAGGTACATTTCTAAATATTTTTGAACACAAGAAACACATGGTTTTATTGACTTACCAAGTCTTCATAGTCACTAAGCATGGTTAGTAGATGTTTTTCTCTTTGCCATTGGGAGGTCGTCAGGGGCTTTATGAGTAAAATTTTAGTATGCAGTATTTATTTACTTTTATGGGCTTTAAACCTCTGAAATGTGGTATGGGTGGAGAGAAGGTACCTCTTTGAAATGAGAATAATAAAATCTGGGATTTGAAGGAGATCTTCCACTAGTATAAGAATCTAATTTACAACATTCTTACCATATAACTTTCCAATCATTTAAAGGAGGCCATTGCTAAGGAGCTCAATGTTTCCTTAGGCATCGTTTCAACTTTGTGCCTGCTCAGTCATTATAAAGCATTTTCTCCTAGAAGCAGAGATACATTTTTACAGCTTCTGCCTATGGGTTCTGGAGAAGAGAAAAAGTAATATTTTCCCTCACCCATTGCCAGGTACATGGCTGAGGTACATATAACAAGAGACAAATTAACAATAGAAAAACATACTAATTTGTTTAATAAAAATTTTATGTGACATGGGAGCCTTCAGAAATGGAGACCCAAACAAAAGGAAAAATCTGTGTATTTTTATACTTAGGTTTGAGGAAGAGTGGACAGTCATGAAGAAATATAATTGGACAAAGAAAGTATGACCTAATAGTAATAAACTAAGGGAAATTTAGCAAGAGCTGTTGGTTCAGATTCTTCTTGACATCTCTGAGTCTTCGAAAATAAGGATGTTTCTTTCCTCTTAATGTAGGGAAGCTACCTTTGTTATGAGTATTTTATGACCAGCTTCAGGCAGAGGAGAAGGACCAGTCAGAGACTTTCCTGCTTCTGCTATTTTCTCAAATACCAAAGTGACATATTTTGGGGTTAATGTTCTCCCCATTCTGCCCATCAGCTCTCCTGCCATTTGGATGGGCTTCTCATTGTCTATTCCCTCTTCTATACGAAAAGGTCTCCTGATAATCTTCTTTCTGTTTCTTCTAGCTTTCTTTTACCCTGGTGAAATAATTAACGCTAATAAGAGATGTGCATAACATTTTATTGGCACACTGTGAACTAGACAGTGGGCTAGACGTTTTATACATTCTATTGCCAGTCTTTACAAAAACATTACAAGATTGGTATTTTCTTTTCTTTTCTTTTTTTTTTTTTTTGAGATGGAGTCTCACTCTGCCACCCAGGCTGGAGTGCAGTAGTGTGATCTTGGCTCACTGCGACCTTTGCCTCCCGGGTTCAAGCTATTCTGTCTCAGCCTCCCGAGTAGCTGGGACTACAGGTGCCCACCACCACACCTGGCTAATTTTTGTATTTTTAGTAGAGATGGGGTTTCACCATATTGGCCAGGCTGGTCTTGAACTCCTGACCTTGTGATTTGCCCAACTCGGCCTCCCAAAGTGCTGGGATTACAGGCGTGAGCCACCGCGCCTGGCCAAGATCAGTATTTTCATACCCATTTTACAGGTGAGAAAGGTCATGAAACTTCTAAGTGGCTGAGCTGGGATTAGAAAACCGATCTGAGGTCTGGCATGGTGGCTCACGCCTGTAATCCCAGCACTGTGGTAGGCTGAGGTGGGCAGATCACCTGAAGTCAGGAGTTCAAGACCACCCTGGCCAACATGGTGATACACTGTCTCCACTAAAAATTAAAAAAAAATTAGCTGGGGGTGGTGGTGTGCACTTGTAGTCCTAGCTACTCGGGAGGCTGAGGCAGGAGAATTGCTTGAATGATTCTCGGGAGGAGGAGGTTGCTGTGAAATGAGATCGTAGGTTGCAATGAGCTGAGGTTGCAGCCAGCTGAGATCGCGCCACTGCACTCCAGCATGGGCGACAAGAGCGGAAACTCTATCTCAAAAAAGAAAAAAAAAGAAAGAAAGAAAAGATAACAGATCTGAGTTCAAGCGTACATTCTTTCCCCCAGTCTCAGTTCCTTCATTTCCCAGACATCCTCAGCATCCTGATCACTCTCTGGGTTAGTGTTTCTCAAACTGATGATTTTAAAAATCTGAACGGGGTACGGTGGCTCACACCTGTTATCTCAGCACTCTGGGGGCTGAGGCGGGAAGATCACTTAATCCCAGGAGTTCGAGACCAGGCTGGCAACACGGCCGAATCCTGTTTCTACGAAAAATACAATAATTAGCTGGGTATGGTGATACGTGCCTGTGGTCACAGCTACTTAGGAGGCTGAGCGGGGAGAATGGCTGTGCCTGGGAGGTGGAGGCTGCAGTGAGCTGTGATTGCACCCCTGCACCCCAGCCTAGGTGACAGAGCAAGACCCTGTCTCAAAAACTAAAACAAAACAAAATTCTGGTTGAGTAGGATCATTGTTGTTATTACAGAACAAAAAGAAAAATATATATTTGGAAAGTAGTGTGCTAAGCAAATTGAAAGAAGTTTCTATACTTTAGCACTTCCCAGAGCTTTGGATATGCTAAGTGCATTTTGAAGCTCTAGGAGGAATATAGAGGACTCAGGGTATTCTAATCCTATTTGACCCCGAGACTTTTTTTTTTGGTAGAATTATGGTCACCAGTATTCTCTTTGGTGTACACTGCTCTGAATTCATTTTTCTTTGTCAGTATTGTTTTGAAAATGTGGTATCTGCTGGGTGCGGTGGCTCACTCCTATAATCCCAGCACTTTGGGAGGCCGAGGCAGGTGGATCATGAGGTCAGGAGTTCAAGACCAGCCTGGCCAAGATGGTGAAACCCTGTCTCTACTAAAAATACAAAAAGTAGCCAGGCACAGTGATGGGTGCCTGTAATCCCAGCTACTCGGGAGGGTGAGGCAGAGAATTGCTTGAACCCGGGAGGCGGAGGTTGCAGTGAGCCAATCGAGATTGCACCACTGCACTCCAACCTGGGCGACAGAGCTCAACTTCCTCAATACTATAGCTATTTTCTTACTTGTATTATTTTAAAAATTTTATTCCTTGTCGTATATTTAAATCTTCTTCTTTTTTCAGACATGGGGTCTCGCTGTGTTGCCCAGGCTAATCTTGAACCCCTGGCTTCAAGTAATCCTCCCACCTTGGCCTCTCAAAGTGCTGGAATTACAGGTGTGTGCCACCATTTCTGGCCTGAATCTTCAAGGATTGAACAGAAAACCCTAGTTTGAGACATTTTAGAAATTAGTGACACAAAATTGACTCTTAGAAGATGGGAATTTTTTAGTATTAAGCTGTTTTGAAGGAAGAACAATGGACTATGATTCAACAGATTTTACAGGAACAACACCAACAAGAGTCATCAGGAAACTATTTCTTAGACCTTGCTTCACTCAACCCAGGAGATTTATGATCCTGAGTTGTTCAGTGACAAAAAATACCATTTATCTTGAACAAAATGGGGCACTGACTGTTGAATTTGACCTGAGCTTTGTAATCCTGGAAAAAGGTTAAGGTTAATAAATCCCCTTCCCTGGCTGGGTGGGGTGGCTCACATCTGTAATCCCAGCACTTTGGGAGGCTGAGGCTAGTGGATCACCTGATATCAGGAGTTGGAGACCAGCCTGACCAACATGGTGAAACCCTGCCTCTACTAAAAATACAAAAACTAGCAGGGTGTGGTGGCACATGCCTGTGGCCCCAGGTACCCAGGAGGCTGAAGCACGAGGATCGGTTGAACCTGGGAGGCGGAGGTTGTGGTGAGCCAAGATCGCGCCACTGTACTCCAGCCTGGGCAACAGAGTGAGACTCTGTCTCAAAAAAAAGAAAAAAAAGAAATTCCCCTACCCTTTGTGTTCCGGAAATGGGCTTATTGCAAAGAACCACACTTCCCCCTAGGATTTAGATAAGATTCACAGATGTCCCTCTTGTTCACCTATGCCAAGGCCAGACCCTCCAGGTTCCCATTGTCTGCCTCATAAAGACTAGTTGAATTGCTTATGTCCATGGAATCAAAACTGTAACAGAGTGCTAGTTAATCCAACTTTGATTAAGTTTCTCCCCTTCCCCCAGGCTCCTAAATTTTGGCTGCCCCTCAGTCTAAAAGTCCTTCCCTAAATGCCTCTCCCAAAAATAGGCTCACCTCAGGATAAAACATTGTCTGATCTGCTAACCAGTCATGCTACCCCCACCCTTTAATCCCACTTCTGCACGCCTGGTTCTTTCTAGCCTTGTTTACTCCTCTCTAAAAAAGAAAATCCCTTTTTGCCTAACCTTTCAGAGGCTTGCAGATGTTATTGTTCTCCCAGTTACCATTATCTTTCTCATACCCGCCACTTGCATTAATCCTTTCGAATAAGTTATCTCCTTATCTTAATCGGATTTGTTTTCTATGTGACTCACACAACTATTTTATTCCCTTGAAAGCAATGAGTTAGGTGGACACAGATAACATTTTAATGGAAACTTTTGAGGATACAAGAAGATATAGTTTGAAAGATTTGTTTATGGTGGTAACTAACGTTAATACCACAAACAAAAATAAGTAGTATAATAAAAATTCATTATAATAGGAATTTTCTGACAGAGTTGGAACTTAAAAGACTAGTCATAGTATAAACTAAATAGTGACATTTTCAATTCCAGGACCTAACTCTTTTAAAAATTATTCTGAAAATAATTTTAAAAATTAAGGTCTAAGCTATTTTGAATGATACTAAATGATGAATACATGTCATTATACATTTGTCAAAACTCATATAATGTTCAACATCAAGAGTGAATCCCTAATGTAAACTATGGGCTTTGGTTGATATGATGTGTTAGCGTTGGTCCATGGATTGTGACAAATGTACAGAATGTCAATGGTGGGGAGGCTGTGGGTGTCCAGTAGAGGGTGCATGTGGGAACTCTGTACTTTCCCCTTAATTTTGCTATAAACCTAAAACTGGTCTGAAAAATGGAGTCTATTTGTTTAAAAAAAAAAGTAACAAAACCAAAACCACGAAAAACAAAGTTCAGTTGATTTTCAAATTAATAACAAGCTCAAGCTCATTTTATACTGCCATGTCAAAAGGATATAATGAAATGGAAAACTTCTGAACTGAGTTTTGAATCATTGTTTCTTAGGTATATAGCTATATAAAGAAAGTCTTGTTTAACGTTTGAATCTAGAGACAACAACGCACTAGAAAAGTGGTTGTACTATCAACCCAGGCCCTATTCAAGCTGGAAAAATTGCGGTGCAGCTGGGTATGGTGGCTCATGCCTGTAATCTCAGCACTTTGGGAGGCTGAGGTGGGAGAATTGCTGGAGCCCAGGAGTTGGAAACCAGCCTGGGCAACACAGTGAGACCACATCTGAACAAAAAATAAAAAATTAGTTGGGTGTAGTGGCACCTGCCTGTGGTTCCAGCTGCTGGGAGGTTGAGGTGGGAGGATTGATTGAGCCCAAGCAGTTGAGGCTGCAGTGAGCCATGTTTGTACCACTGCACTCCAGCCTGGGTGACAGAGTGAGACCTTGTCTCTCTCTCTCTTTTTTTTTTTTTTTGCGGCAGACTCTCACTCTGTCCCAGGCTGGAATGCAGTGGCACGATCTCTGTTCACTGCAACCTCTGCCTCCCAGGTTCAAGCGATTCTCCTGCCTCAGCTTTCAAAGTAGCTGGGATTACAGGCACGCACTACTACGCCCAGCTAATTTTTGTATTTTTAGTAGGGATGTAATTTATATCATTTAATTTTTTTAATTTTTTTAAATTTTTTATTTTTTTGAGACGGGAGTCTTGCTCTGTTGCCCAGGCTGGAGTGCAGTAGCACGATCTCGGCTCACTGCAAGCTCCACCTCCTGGGTTCATGCCATTCTCCTGCCTCACCCTCCTGAGTAGCTGGGACTATAGGCGCCCGCCACCACGCCTGGCTAATTTTTTTGTATTTTTAGTAGACACAGGGTTTCACCGTGTTAGCCAGAATGGTCTCTATCTCCTGACCTTGGTGATCCACCCACCTCGGCCTCCCAAAGTGCTGGGATTACAGGCGTGAGCCACCGCGCCTGGCCTATATCATTTTAAAACAATGTATCAAAAACTATGGAAGACTATATCTACATTAATAGGCAATTTCAGAAAATTGGAAAATGCAGTTTTGTTTAAGAGTTCAATTTCTCATCATTTAATTACTTTTTTCTTTTTTAAAAAAAATCTAATGTATTTACTTATTATCATTTAATTAAAATATATATTTAGGCCAAGCACAGTGGCTCACGCCTGTAATCCCAGCACTTTGGGAGGCCGAGGTGGGCAGATCACTTGAGGTCAGGAGTTTGAGGCCAGCCTGGCCAACATAGTGAAACCCCGTTTCTACTAAAAATACAAAAATTAGCTGGGCATGGTGGCACATGCCTGTAGTCCCTGCTACTCGGGAGGCTGAGGCAGGAGAATCACTTGAACCCGGGAGGCAGAGATTGCAGTGAACCAATATCACACCACTGCATTCCAGCCTCGGTGACAGTGCGAGACTCTTTTTCACATACACAAAAAGTAAATAAATAAAAATAAAATAAAATAAATTAGCTGGGTGTGGGGGTGCACGCCTGTAATCTCAGCTACTGTGGAGGCTGAAGCACGAGAATCGCTTGAACCTGGGAGGCGGAGGTTGCAGTGAGCCAAGATTGTGCCACTGCACTCCAGCCTGGAGAACAGAGCGAGACTCTGTCTCAAAAAAACACAAAAATATATTTGTGTGTTAGAAAATTGGTGGTCCAGGTGTGGTGGCTCATGCCTGTAATTGCAGCAGTTTGGGAGGCTGAGGCAGGCAGATCAGTTGAGTCCAGGAGTTTGAGACCAGCCTGGGCAACTAAAAATACAAAAAAATTAGCCGGATATGGTGGTGCACGCCTGTGGTCCCAGCTATTCCAGAGGCTGAGGCGGGAGGATCACCTGAGCCCGGGAGGCAGACGTTGCAGTGAGCTGAAACCCCTGCCACCACTCAGCACTCCAACCTAGGTGACAGAGTGAGACCCTATCTCAAAAAAAAAAAAAAAAAAGTGAAAAAACCTTACATTATCCATAACATAAAAGTATAAATATGTGTATGTACATATTTTTTTCTCATGTATTAGCCAAAGGGTAAAAATAGTACTTTTTACAATATTTTTATCATAAACAATTTCAAAATAATTTAAAGAATGGTACAATGATGATTATTTATATTCAGCAATCGTTAATGTTTCCCCATATTTTCATTATCAATCTCTATGTGCTTTGTTTATGGGTGTGTTTCTTAGCCATTTGAAATTAAGTTGTAGACATTTTGAAACTTCATCTTTAAATATTTCAGCATGTATCAACCAAGAATAAGGGGACTGGTCTACTTAATCATATGCCAGTGGAGAGGGAAGCGGTGGAAGTAGTCTGCTCTGGGTGCAGGGAATAATTGGATACACTGTCTATAAAGAATTAAAAATACATGTAATAAAAACCGACCATACACCAGCAATTCTAAAAATGTCACTAACAAAATACTTCTTGCTAAGAAATTTTTTTTTTTTTTTGGTTTACACTGTCAACAATTGTTGCATTCTGTTGAATAATACATATAAGCTTCAAGTGACCTCTTTTTTTTTGAGACAGAATCTCATTCTGTTACCCAGGCTAGAGTGCAGTGGTGCCACAGCTCACTGAAGCCTCCACCTCCCGGGTTCAAGCAATTTTCGTGCCTCAGCCTCCTGAGTAGCTGGGACTACAGGTGCGCACCACCACACCCAGCTAGTTTTTACATTTTTTGGTAGAGACGGGGTTTCACCATGTTGGCCAGGTTGGTCTCGAAATCCTGACCTCAAGTGATCCACCCACCTGGGCCTCCCAAAGTGCTGGGATTATAGGAGTGAGCCACCGTGCCTGGCCAAGTGAGCACTTTTTATTATTTTAAAGTAAACATTGTGTTCCAATGGCAACTAAAGAGTTTTATTTTATTTTATTTTATTTTATTTTATTTATTTTTGAGACGGAGTCTCACTCTGTCTCCCAGGCTGGAATGCAGTGGCGCCATCTTGGCTCACTGCAACCTCCACCTCCTGGGTTCAAGAGATTCTCCTGCCTCAGCCTCCTGAGTAGCTGGGATTACAGGCACGTGCCACCACGCCTGGCTAATTTTGCGTTTTTAGTAGAGACGGGGTTTTACCACGTTGGTCAGGCTGATCTGGAACTCCTGACCTCGTGATCCACCCACCTTGGCCTTCCAAAGCGCTGGGATTACAGGCATGAGCCACCAAGCCAGGCCAACTAAAGAGTTTTAAATACAAACTTGGCCCCTTGGTGTCCTGGGATTGAAATACAAGCATTAGTTTTGAAAATAAATTCTAAATGGAAATGGCTTGGAATTGTGGAACTAGAGTGAGTGGGTATGGGGAGAGGGAAACACAGTTTGTGTTTCCAACCCCTGTAGTACTAATATTCCTGCATCTAGATGGTAGGTTTGAAAGGAGCAATGATGGCATGGTCATTGTAACGATAAGAAAAAGAATGTGAATTACAGCAATTCTGTCACTCAGCACGACCACTTGGATATTTTATTCGAGAGTAAAATTAAGTACAGTGAAACAGAGGTGCAATATTTTTGTTTGGTAATTTTACAACATTTTCTAAAGTCTAAACATCTTTTTGTGGATGGAATTCAGCCATGGGTCAGGCCTAGTTTTGTAAGGGCTGGGTCTCATGAAGTGTTTGGGGACAAATACCAGAACACATAACTTTAGAGAGGCTGGAACTCCTGCACAGAAAGCTAACTAGTTTTAGTTGATAAATAGACTATCCTGGTTAACATAAATAATATCTTTATATTAGCTGGAATTCTTCTTATTTAATTGCAATGAAATGCTAACATCATTATTCATTACTATAAACAACCAATATGTAGGTATAATTTTCACCTTAACAATTAATGCGATTACAGTAAATAGTATTAATGCTTTATAATTTCGTGTATGTGTGTAATTTTTTTTTTAATTGTATTGCATTTGTTTTTTTGTTGTTTTTTTTTTTTGAGACGGAGTCTCACTCTGTTGTCCAGGCTAGAGTGCAGTGGTGCGATCTTGGCTCACCACAACCTCCGCCTCCTGGATTCAAGCGATTATCCTGCCTCAGGCTCCCGCCTCAGCCTCCTGAGTAGCTGGGACTACAGGCATGTGCCACCATGCCCGGCTAACTTTTGTAGTTTTAGTAGAGATGGGATTTCACTGTGTTGGCCAGGCTGGTCTCAAACTCCTGACCTTTTCATCCCAAAGTGCTAGGATTACAGGTGTGAGCCATCGTGTGTCGCCTGGTTTTTTTTTTTTTTTTTAATTTTTGGTAGAGATGAGGTCTTGCTATGTTATCCAGGCTGGTCTCAAACTCCTGACCTCAAGCAATCCTCCCTCCTTGGCCTCTCAAAGTGGGATTATAGGCATAAACCACCACTGCTGGCCTCCTGGCATGTTTTATACATATGAAATTTTATATATATATGAAGTTCAATAAAATAAAATTTCAGGCCTGGAGGCTGAAGCAGGGAGATCTCTTGAGCATAGGAGTTCAAGGTTGCAGTGAACTATGATCTCACAATTGCATTCCAGCCTGGGTAACAGAGCAAGACCCTGTTTCTAAAAAATATTTTTAAAGTAAAAAAGAAATTAAATTTTACTGTATTTTTCTGGTTATTATTAATTTGATTTCATGATTGTTACTGAAAGTAATTTTGTCGTATGAAAAAAGTAGGGATTTAAAAATGATTAATTCTAGGTATCAGATAAACTAGATGTGCCATTGATCATGCCCTGAAGGATTAGCAATACTTCCCTATTGTCATTAACATTCACCCAACTGGCACTTTTTAGACTTTAGATTTTGCAAAATTTGGTCAGATTGAGGAGGAAGGAAGAGAATATTAGATATTTCTACTATCTTACTTCTCCTAGAAAACAAACTAGAGGCCAGGCGCGGTGGCTTACACCTGTAATCCCAGCACTTTGGGAGGCCGAGGCAGGCAGATCACGAGGTCAGGAGTTCGAGACCAGCCTGGCCAATATGGTGAAACCCCGTCTCTACTGAAAATACAAAAAGTAGCTGGGCATGGTGGTACATGCCTGTAATCCCAGCTACTCAGGAGGCTGAGGCAGGAGAATCGTTTGAACCAGGGAGTTGGAGGTTGCAGTGAGCCGAGATCGCGCCACGTCTCAAAAAACAGTAGAGCAAGAATGAAGAAACAGAATTGCTAAACATTAGTAATATGATAATAACAATAAAACCACCCACAATGATAATGTATTTAGAAAACACTTGCTAACTGGTCTAGCAGAAAATGAATTACAACAGTTTTGCAGAATTTATAGCCTCTTCCACCTAGAAATAAAGAACCATTTGTAACAGAATGGGGACCCTCCAGAGGGCTGGATCCATTAGGATGGAAGTAGGGCCCCTTGGCTGCTGTCTGTGTGCCAGCACAGGTGACCACAAACTCTGCTGACAGCAAGACAATAATTTTAGGAGGTAAGAATGTTTTCCTTCTGCTATTGCATCAACGATCCCTAAGGTTTGAGAAAAATGAAAAAGCACTTCAGTTCCTGTTTTACCCCCCTTAAATTGTGGACAGTAACTCTGGAGAACCTATCACTAGTTTGTCGAATATTTCTTCCAGTTTATACTCCTCCCCACCCTCACTGGGAAGTATAGTAGAGTGGAGAAAAGCCTGCAATTTGTGTGGATTCTAATTTTTATTTACTTGGGTAAATTATTTACCTTCCTAGTACTTCTGGGCCTTCATTTGAAAACTGAGGATAATAAAATTCCCTCCCTAGGACCATTTATTGAATACTTAGGACACCCAGAGCTGTTTGTGAGCATTTCATGTGTATTAACTTGTTGAATCCTCACAACAGATCCTATGAGATCAGAACTATTAGTAATCTCCCTTTACCGAGGAAACTGAAGTTAAGTAATTTGTCCAGGTTTGTCTTATTAACACTTCCTTAATCACTCTACTTATTCAAGTAGCCTTTGAAGCTTTGTCACAAAATCAATGTTTCACAAATTTCTATAAAATCATGACATTAGAGAAGCACCTAATCCAGCGGTCCCCAAACTTTTTGGCACCAGGGACTGGTTTCATGGAAGACAGTTTTTCCATGGACTGGGAGGGCAGTGGGCAGGGGTTGGTTTCAGGATGAAACTGTTCCACTTCAGATCATCAGGCATTAGATTCTCATAAGGAGTATGCAACCTAGATCCCTCACATGTGCAGTTCAAAGTAGGGTCTGTGCTCCTATGAGAATCTAATGCCGCTGCTGTTCTGATAGGAGGTGGAGCTAGGGTAGTAATGCTCACTAGCCTTCGGCTCACCTCCTGCTGTGCAGCCCGGTTCCTAACAGGCCATGGACCAGTACTGAGGGCTGGGGACCCCTGACCTAATCCAGTGATTCTCAAACCTAATGTACATGAGGATCACCTGCATGGCTTGTTAAAACTTAAGTTGTTGGTCCCCACCTTCAGAGTTTCTGATGCCCTAGGTCTGGTATGGGGCTCAATAATTGCATTACTAACACATTCCCAGGTGATGCTGATGCTGCTGGTCTACACTTTCTTTGAGAAAGCTACAGCTCTAAACTAACTTTGTCAACTGACCAGTCTGCTTGTTATGACACTTTGGTCGCGTCTGCTCTGAATGTTGTTGGCAAATGTGCAGAATGGCCTCAGGAGTGTGAGGCTGACTCATCAGGTTACTGTGACCTGTATTAGCTGCAGCTGGTGGCTGATTTCAAAATGGAGCAATTAAAGATTAAGACATCAAATCACAGGAAATTAAGATGAAGCACCACCAAGTATAAAACTCATAAAATTGCTAGCATTCCCCTGTTTTTGTCACACACGTGCATCCTGTTTTGCTCTGTTATTCTATCTGACATAAGACCACACCCTGAACAAACAAAAGACTGTCTCTGCCGTCAGAAACTGATCAGGCTCACAGGTGGGCAAGAAAATGGATATATATTCAATGAAATACGATTCTGGTGCTGATAATTTTATTTATTTATTTATTTATTTATTTTTTGAGACAGAGTCTCGCTCTGTCGCCCAGGCTGGAGTGCAGTGGCACGATATCGGCTCACTGCAAGCTCCGTCTCCCGGGTTCACGCCATTCTCCTGCCTCAGCCTCCCAAGTAGCTGGGACTACAGGCACCTGCCACCACGCCTGGCTAAGTTTTTTTGTTTTTTTTTTGTTTTTTGAGACGGAGTCTCGCTCTATCGCCCAGGCTGGAGTGCAGTGGCGCGATCTCGGCTCACTGCAAGCTCCGCCTCCCGGGTTCACGCTATTCTCCTGCCTCAGCCTCCGGAGTAACTGGGACTACAGGCGCCCGCCACCGTGCCCTGCTAATTTTTTGTATTTTTAGTAGAGACGGGGTTTCACGTATTAGCCAGGATGGTCTCGATCTCCTGACCTTGTGATCCGCCCGTCTCAGTCTCCCAAAGTGCTGGGATTACAGGCGTAAGCCACCGCACCCGGCCCGCCTGGCTAAGTTTTTGTATTTTCAGTAGAGACGGGGTTTCACTGTGTTAGCCAGGATGGTCTCGATCTCCTGACCTCGTGATCCACCTGCCTCAGCCTCCCAAAGTGCTGGGATTACAGGCATGAGCCACCGCGTCCGGCAGTGCTGATAATTTTAAAAATGACATTATAAAAAGACATATTACCCAAATTTTATAAATATCCATACTCTGTAACAGTGGCAGAGTATGAATCTGAATTTCTGTTGCCTCCAAAGAGTGGCTTCTTTATGCCAAAATAATTTCTCTGAGTGTTTTCTGAGTTAGAACTTCATGTAACTATTTCATATGGATTCATTATTGACTTACATGATATGGCTTCTTAGGATAAAAAACTGAAGCATATTTTAAGACAAATATATGAATTTGAAATATAGGCTAAGATGGAAACAAGATGAAATTTCATAATGCTAATTAATAATTCATTTAACTTCTTAGAAGTATATCTTCTGGGCCAGGCGTGGTGGTTCATGCCTGTAATCCCAGCACTTTGGGAGGCCAAGGCGGGAGGATCACCTGAGGTCGGGAGTTCGAGACCAGCCTGACCAACTTGGAGAAACCCCGTCTCTACCAAAAATGCAAAATTAGCCAGGCATGGTGGTGCATGCCTGTAATCCCAGCTACCCGGGAGGCAGAGGTTGCGGTGAGCTGATATTGCGCCATTGCACTCCAAGCTGGACAACAAGAGCGAAACTCCATGTCAAAAAAAAAAAAAAAGTAATGTATCTTTTGCATTTTTCTTTTTTTTTTTTTTTTTTTTAGTTTTTTTGCAGATCACAGAACTTTACTAAGATGGAATCATGGCTGGGAGCAGTGGCTCACGCCTGTAATCCTAGCACTTTGGGAGGCCAAGCGGGCAGATCACCTGAGGTCAGGAGTTCAAGACCAGCCTGGCCAACCTGGTGAAACTCCCGTCTCTACTAAAAATACAAAAAAAAAAAAAAAATTTAGCCAAGCATGGTGGTGGGCACCTGTAGTCCCAGCTACTCAGGAGGCTGAGGCAGGAGAATTGCTTGAACCCAGGAGGTGGAGGTTGCAGTGAGCCGATATCACACTACTGCACTCCAGCCTGGGTGACACAGCTAGACTCTGTCTCAAAAAAAAAAAAAAAAAAAGATGGAATTACCGCTAATTACATAAAAGCTACTTGTCTAAATCAAAACCCATGAGTTTCACATAAATTCATAGTTATAAAACTAGAAACAAATGTCATATTCAGAACCGTAAGGAAATATCCTGACGACTAGGTGATGAAGGCTGGCGTGAATGAGTCTGCCCATTTATTTCGAGCTGTTATTATCACTTGTCTTATCTGCAGCTGGTGCCCATTTATTTCAAGCTGCTGTGGGCCATGCAGTAGTCGCTTGCATACAAGAAGTCTCATCACAGAGCTGTAGCTGCTCTCAGGCCTTTACTCTTTTCTCCACCTGCTGGCATTGCTCTCTCACTGTTAGGGGATTCACTCATTCCTCTCCCTTGTCCTCCTCCTTGGGATCTCTAGGCCCAGTCAGCATCTTTTACTCGTCCTCCACTCCCATGTCCGGCTAAAGTTCTCAATTCAACAGCATCAGTGGCACCTAATCTACTTCAGGATCAATAAGCTGCATTTCTTCTTATATACACTCATTTTAAAAATTTAACTTGATTAGCACCAAGTAAAATGTTGCAAGTAATTACTTCCCTAATGTTTTTTCTAGAATTAGAACAAGATGAGTTTCTATTTTTGTTTTTCTGGGTTTTTTTAAATGTGCTTTTTTTTCTTTTTTTCTTTTTTGAGACAGAGTCTCCCTCTGTTGCCCAGCCTGGAGTGCAGTGGTATGATCTCGGCCAGCTCACTGCAACCTCTGCCTCCTGGTTTCAAGCAATTCTCCTGCTTCAGCCTCCCAAGTAGCTGGGATTTACCATACTCAGCTAATTATTATTATTATTATTTTTTTTTTTTTTGAGAAGGAGCCATCACGCTCAGCCCCTAGATGAGTTTTTAAATTTTTATTTTACTTTTTTAAGAATTCCAAGGGGAGCCGGGCGTGGTGGCTTACGCCTGTAATCCCAGCACTTTGGGAGGCCGAGGCGGGCGGATCACGAGGTCAGGAGATCGAGACCATCCTGGCTAACACAGTGAAACCCCGTCTCTACTAAAAATACAAAAAAAAATTAGCTGGGTGTGGTGGCGGGCACCTGTAATCCCAGCTACTCAGGAGGCTGAGGCAGGAGAATGGTGTGAACCCGGGAGGCGGAGCTTGCAGTGAGCCGAGATTGGGCCACTGCACTCCAGCCTGGGTGACAGAGCGAGACTCCATCTGAAAAAAAAAAAAAAAAAAAAGAATTCCAAGGGGAATCAAGGCAGTTTTATAAAAAATTCATTCTACTAATCTCTGAGTAGTACTTTTCTGAATCTGTTCAGTCTACTATTTCAAATGACTGCAGTGATGCACATAATTTAGGATGGAATTGATTTAAATAAAATTCATCTAAAATTCACTAAATTTAGATTTAGATTACTACCCAGGAAGGTGAAATGTAATGTTTGCAGCTTCCTATCTCTTATTTGATTTAACTATAATATGGTTCTCAACTCATAAATGTTTCATTTTTGGAAGGCCTATACAATACATTTCAAGTGGTAATTAGTTTTGATAATTTCTCCAATTATTTTTGCTCTCTAATCAGGAAAATGAAGCATTTGAAACAAATAATTGTGAATTCATTGAGAGGTTTAATCACCTCTGAGTCAGTAGGCTTATCATGATTTTGTTTGGCATGCTTTACGATTACGTTAATATATCAACCAACACCTGAAAAACCATGCACATGTAAATGTTTAGTTTGATTATAGCAAAAAATGCTGAAATTTTTCTGAAGACACACAAAAATGTTGTCGTTCATACAACCTGGAGAACAAATCTTTTACCTCCACCCCCTGACTCCTTCGGCGCTGAGTACAGCACAGGAAGTTAGTAAGTCCTCATGTTTGCGATCATTCCTTTGCAGAAATTAACATAGGAGATGACAGATGTCTTGCTGCTGAAACTAATGCTGCTTAAAGAAAGAAAAAACTGCAATTTTAGCATTTTGGCTTGGTATGTGTACAAGATAATAAGCTGTGTGAGTTTAGAAGCTTGGAACCAATTCAACTAACAGATGCCAGTATGGCTCAACAGTAATGTCACATGCCGTCTCCACTGTGATCTGTATCTCTGTGCTGATCATCTTGTATTAAAAGGGCTATTTTTACTCTTGATATGCCTTACTAGAAGTACGCTACCTTTGGAAATTATTGTTTATCCTTAGAAGAAGGTATTGTGTGTGTGTGTGTGTGTGTGTGTGTGTTTCATTTAATACACAGCACTAGGATGCTCTAGGGTGAGGGGACATGCCTTCAGATTACACTGACAGAAAGACTGGAGAGCCCTGGTTCTTGGAATACTGAAGCTCATGCTGGGCTGTCCTGGACTATCTCAGACATTTAATTGCTACCCTATGATTGGACTTGAGAAATTTTTCAAGTTTCCTCAGCAAAACATTTATAAATCATCTCTCAGGGTGAGTTAATTTTGCAGAACTAACGCTACCTATGACAAGAGCTAACATTAAATGCTTAGTATGGGCCAAGAACAGCCGAGCACAGCAGCTAACACCTATAATCCCAGCACTTTGGGAGGCTGAGGTGGGAGGATTACTTGAGCCCAGAAATTTGAGACCAGCCCTGGCAACATATCGAGACCCTGTCTCTACAAGAACAACAAAAAAAAGCATGGTTTTTGTTTGTTTGTTTGTTTTGAGTTTCACTCTGTCACCCAGGCTGGAGTACAGTGGTATCATCATAGCACTGCAGCCTCGAATCTTGCAGGCTCTAAAGATCCCTGACATCAGCCTCCTGAGTAGCTGGGACTGCAGGCATGTACCACCATGCTGGGCCAATTTTTAAATTATTTTTTAAGAGACAGGGTCTTGCTGTGTTGCCTAGGCTGGTCATGGACTCCTGGCCTCAAGCCACATCTCTACAAAAAAATTTAAAAATTAGCTGGGCATGGTGGAGAAAGGATCACTTGAGCCCAAAAGTTTAAGGCTGCAATGAGCTGCGAGTGAGCCACTGCACTCGTAGGCTGCCCACTCCAGCCTGGGCAACGGAGTGAGACCCTGACTCTTAAAAAAAAAAAGTTCCTATTGCGTGTGGCTGTTGGGAAAACAAAATTAGTTAGCATATATGAGCTCTTTAAAACAGTGCCCAACACTTAGTAAGCACTCAATAAATGTTAGCTTTTAATACTGTGGGTATCTGTTGTAGTTTTGGGATCAAACTTCACATAACTGCGAATATTTTAAAATGTCAAAACTTTGGATCCTTTTTCTTGGTATTTCCTAGCTTAGGAGCCTTAAGAAATCAGAATTCTCATTTCAGTCTGTCTCCACTCCTGCCCAAGCAGGAACTCCCAACTTTAAGGTATTGCGTAGGCAGGGATTCAAACAGGTAAAGGCAAGAGTTTGAGCAAGAGAAGGAGGAGGAGGGACAATAAGCTCAGAAGAAGGGCTGAGTGGGCATACTCAAGATGGGCATATCAAGGAACTGGTTACATACCAATACGTATGAAGCTTGTTTCCTATACACAAAGTCCACACTGATAGCTTGGCCAGCTGGAGGTGTCACTCTGTCAGTGGGTCCCACCCATTCCTCTGCTACCACCTGTCTTACTCCTACCTCCTGTCCTTCAGATACTCTCCATTTCCCCTCAACACTGGCCATTGCCACCACCTTCATGTTACAATGTCAAGGGGTGTCCTGATGCCACTGCAGAAAGTACCTATCTCTGTTCAGCCTCAAGAGAGGAACTTCATAAATCCAAGACATTGCCAGAGCTAGGCTCATCCTCCTGAAAAGGGTGACTGAAATGAGATAATTTTTTTTTAATAAAATGGGGGCTGGGCACAGTGGCTCACACCTGTAATCCCAGCACTTTGGGAGGCTGAGGTGGGCGGATCACTTGAGGTCAAGAGTTCGAGACCAGCTTGGCCAACATGGTGAAACCTCGTCTCTACTAAAACTACAAAAATTAGCTGGGCGTGGTGGCAGGCACTTGTAATCCCAGCTACTCAGGAGGCTGAGGCAGGAGAATTGCTTCAACCCAGAGGTGGAGGTTGCAGTGAGCTGAGATCATGCCACTGCACTCCAGCCTAGGTGACAGAGCAAGATTCAGTCTAAAAAAAATAAAAATAAAAATACAGATGGGGTTTTGCTACATTGCCCCATGGTCTTGAACTCCTGGCCGAGTGATTCTGCTGCCTCAGCCTCCCAAAGTTTTGGGATTATTGACCTACACCACCACACCCAGCCAGATAATTTTTAAGTTGATTCATTTTATTAAAAGCCAATGTTTAATTTTTTATTTATTTTTTAAAGCCAGTATTTTAAAGCCCTCTATCAGACAAAAACTCTTGGCGTTTTCCTTTAAGATATACTCATGTTCAAATACATCATTATAGACTAAGACATAATTTAAATTATGACATGTCCCATAATTTCAAATATATATTCCTTAATTTAGAATATATACTTCTTTTTTTTTTTTTTTTTTTTTAGACGAAGTCACGCTCTGTTGCCCAGGCTGGAGAGCAGTGGCACTATCTCAGTTCACTGCAACCTCTGCCTCCTGGGTTCAAGCCATTCTTATGCCTCAGCCTCCTGAGTAGCTGGGATTATAGGCACACGCCACCACACCCAACTAATTTTTGTATTTTTATTTTATTTTTTTTATTTTTATTTTTTTTATTTATTTATTTATTTTTTTTTTTTTGAGACGGAGTCTCGCTCTGTTGCCCAGGCTGGAGTGCAGTGGCGGGATCTCGGCTCACTGCAAGCTCCGCCTCCCGGGTTCACGCCATTCTCCTGCCTCAGCCTCCCAAGTAGCTGGGACTACAGGCGCCCGCCACTACGCCCGGCTAATTTTTTGTATTTTTAGTAGAGACGGGGTTTCACCGTTTTAGCCGGGATGGTCTCGATCTCCTGACCTCATGATCCGCCCGCCTCGGCCTCCCAAAGTGCTGGGATTACAGGCGTGAGCCACCGCGCCCGGCCCAATTTTTGTATTTTTAGTAGAGACGAGGTTTTACCATGTTGGTCAGGCTGGTCTTGAACTCCTCAACTGAGATGATCCACCTGCCTTGGCCTCCCAAAGTGCTGGGATTACAGGCGTGAGCCAGCACACCCAGCATGGAATATATACTTCTTACACCTTTGAATTTTAGGAACAAAAGGTACTTTTGAGAGCATTCCATTTCATGTTAGCATTTTTTAGTTGAGGAAACTGAGAGGTGGTGAGGTAAAGACATTTGTCCTCGTTCACAGGGCTAATTAGTAGAGCTGAGACAAGAACAGAATTCTCAGTCAAGAGTTATTTTTATTACATCATAGAGGACCTGTCCTCCAAAGTAATTACTGTCATTTTGAAGGGTTCCAGAATGTGAGGATATGTGGAAGAGTAGCATCAACAGCTCATGCAGAATGGGAGTTAGGGGTACTAGTGTGTAATCTTGGGAAAGTTATTCCCACCTCTTTGCAAGTCACAGTTTACCTGATTGCAAATGTTTCAGTGTGTTTGTAGAGTGTCTGCTCTATATTAGGGACAGAATCAGTATTAGATGCATGTAAATAAAAAACCATGTATGTATTTTGGCACCCAATAATTGTTAACTGTCATTTCTGAAAGGCACATTGTGGGAATCTAATAAAGTAACACCTTCCAGCTTTGCAAAATTGAGAATACCTAGGAACATCTACATCCTGGATCCTTTTCTAGGTCTTTCCCAACTGGGAGAAATAAGAATTATCTTCCTAACTCCAGCCTGTCTCCACCTCAGCCCAAGCAGGCACCATCCAACCAGTGTTCAGCCCAGTGCCTAAAAAAGAAATGTTTGTAAAAAGTAAATGCAATGGTATCTCTGGAATTTTTTTCTTTTTCTTTTTCTTTTTTTTTTTTTTGAGACAGAGTTTTGTTCTTGTTGCCCAGGCTGGAGTGCAATAGTGCAGTTGTGGCTCACTGCAACCTCTGCCTCCCGGGTTCACGAGATTTTCCTGCCTCAGCCTCCCGAGTAACTGGGATTACAGGTACTCACCATCATGCCCAGCTAATTTTTTTGTTATTTTTAGTAGAGACAGAGTTTCACCATGTTGGCCAGGCTGGTCCCTAATTCCTGAACTCAAGTGATCCACTCACCTCGGCCTCCCAAAGTGTTGGGATTACAAGCATGAGCCACTGCGCCTGACCTATACTTTTTTTTCTTTTTTTCATTTTTTGAGACGGAGTCTTGCATTGTCACCCGGACTGGAGTGCAATGGTGCGATCTTGGCTCACTGTAACCTCCACCTCCTGGGTTCACGTGATCCTCCTGCCTCAGCCTCCTGAGTATCTGGGATTACAGGCACATACCAGCACACCTGGCTAATTTTTTTGTATTTTTAGTGGAGACGGGTTTCACTATGTTGGCCAGGCTGGTCTCAAACTCCTGACCTCGTGATCCACCCGCCTTGGCCTCCCAAAGTGCTGGGATTACAGGCGTGAGCCACCGTGCTCAGCCTAGAATTTTTTTTCTAGACGGAGTCTTGCTCTGTCACCCAGGCTGGAGTGCAATGGCGTGAGCCACCGCACCTGGCCAGTATCTCTAGAATTTTGATATAAAAGTGACTTAGAGGTGATCATCTAGTTGGAATTGGAGATTAGCGGGCTTGAATGGAAACTGGATTTTCTAAAGGAAATGATGGTAATAAAATGGGTGTGGTCAATGTTCCCTTAAACCAGCCGTTGAAGTCACCGATGAATGAATCTGTAAATGAATGAATACAGCAGAGCCAGAGTTCTGTCTTAGCAGACACCACCACTGCGATGCAACCTCCAACTATACCGGGGATGGAAGGAATCTCAAAATGGGACCTCAGATGGCCTTTTCCTATATTAATGTATATTAATTGCATATTAATGTATCATTTTTACCTTTGACACCACCAGGCTAGAGAAGACTGCACTGTAATGGTTACACAAGAGATGCGTTCAATGGCTTCAAGGAAGATAACTTGAACATGGCTTTTGACCTAAGACTTGTGGCCCACAGCTTAGAAAACAATGTTCTAGAGTGTATAGTGTATATACTTTTTTTTTTTTTTTGAGATGGAGTCTCACTCTGTTGCCCAGGCTGGAGTGCAGTGCCACAATCTTGGCTGACTGCAACCTTCGCCTCCCAGGTTCAAGTGAGTCACCTGCCTCAGCCTCCTGGGTAGCTGGGATTACAGCTGGGTAGCTGGGATTACACCACACCTGGCTAATTTTTGCATTTTTAGTAGAGACAGGATTTCACCATGTTGGCCAGGTTGGTCTTCAACTCCTGACTTCAGGTGATCTGCCCACCTCGGCCTCCCAAAGTGCCGGGATTATAGACGTGAGCCACCACGCCCTGCCTACAGTGTATATACTTTTTTAAAAAATCTTTTCTTTGTGACAGGGTCTCTGTCACCAGGCTGGAGTACAGTGGTATGATCTCAGCCGTGAACACTGCAGCCTCTGCCTCCAGGGTTCAAGTTATTCCTGTGCCTCAGCTTCCCAAGTAGCTGGGATTACAGGTGTGCACCACCATGCCAGGCTAATTTTTGTATTTTTAGTAGAGATGGGGTTTTGCTTTGTTGGCCAGGGTGGTCTTGAACTCTATACCTCGGGTGATCTTTTCACTGACTGTAATGCACCCAAATGGTGGCTCAGCCTTAATCCAATGAGGTGGTTAGGTTAGCAGTTTTTGAACTGGTAGTGCTGGCTTTAAATTCTTGTTTTACTACCTGTTCTTCAAAGTGGTATGAGATTAATGAACCATTTTACATCTTGATGTGAAAGAAAATCATATGTATGAGCTATTATTGTTCTGTTTATAATCCAGAATGATCTGATGAGGTAGCATGTTTAGACACCTAAATGATAATGGAGAGTTTGTGTTGTTTTTAATTCATTTGATTGATTTGTTGAGTTTTTAATTAATTTGAGTTTTTATTTTTTTATTATTATTTATTATTTTATTATTATTTTTAACCCAATGGTTCTTTCAGATATATAATTTGAGTTTTTAATTGAACAGTGAGTTTTTAATTCACATGGAACAAGAATTACTCATCTTCTCTTTGTTGGCAAACTCCATCTTATCCATTTAATGCTGATCTCTTTTTTTTTTTTTTTTTTTTAGATTTATTTTTATCTCCATCTGGAAACTTGTCTGACTGGTCTTTGCTTCTGAAGACATCAGGTTATTAAAAAGTCTTGGCGTTCCTTCCTTGATGACTGCCCAAATGACTAACTAAGTTTGAGGCAAATTCTTTTTCTTTATTTTTTCACTATTTTAGTTCACTGCACAGATGTATGAGGCAAATTCTTGTTACATAACTTTGTCATATAATTCCAGAGAATCAACAGACATCAGTCATTAAAGTGTTTTTTTTTTTTTCATTACAAAGGACCACCATATTTATTAAAATTTATTAAATAGAATAAAGCAAGACTTTATTCTAGACTTTTAGTTTGTCTTCTTTGGTCTTCATGATTAGACTTTCTTTAGAAGATTGAAAGCAATTTTTCCTCTGTTGCTGAGACCTTTTCCATCTGGCAAATGCTGCCTTTTCAATGGAGCTGAAAAATGGCTTGATTTATTTTTGTTTGTTGTTTCTGCGTTTATTTACCAACGTAATTAATATTATCAAAACTGTTCTTGGAACACAGCTTAATCCCTCAGCTTTTGTTTTTGATGCTAGGATGATTAGCTCTAGAAGAAAAAAATTATACGCCAGGCATAATAGCAGCGGTAGCATTTCTTAACCTTCCTCCTGCCCACGTTTGTTTACTCACACATCCATCTGTAATGTCTCAGAATTAATCACTGTTCCTTTAGTCTAAAGATAATTGAGAGGCCTCTTTTCTGAGTCTTTACAATTGAATCTCTTCTGATAAATGGACCATAGGAACCATTCACTGACACAAATTCCCTTTTCTGAGAAAAGGAAGTTACTGTTTTTTTTGTTGTTGGTTGGTTGGTTGTTTTTGAGACAGAGTCTTACTCTGTTGCCCCAGGCTGGAATGCAGTGACACAGTCTCAGTTCCCTGCAACCTCCACCTCCTGGGTTCAAGCAGTTCTCCTGCTTCAGCCTCCTGAGTAGCTGGGACTACAGGCATGTGCCACCACACCTGACTAATTTTTGTATTTTTAGTAGAGACAGGATTTCACCATGTTGGCCAGGCTGGTCTCGAACTCCTGACCTCAGGTAATCCATCTGCCCCGGCCTCCCAAAGTGCTGGGATTACAGGCGTGAGCCACCGTGCCCGGCCAGAAGTCACTGTTTTTAACACAGCACTCCTTAGCCCCTCTCAGCCAGAATATTTTATTGTCATATCCCCATTTAAAAATGTTGGGTTATTTAATAAAAATGAATTTCAGCAATGCTGTTTTCATTCCATATGTCTTCCCTTCCCTTTATTTTTTAGAGACAGGGTCTCACTGTGTTGCCCAGGCTGGGTTTGAACTCCTGAGCTCAAGGGACCCTTCTGAATAGCTGGAATTACAGATGTGAGCCACTGTACTTGGCTCTCTTCCCTTTTCTTTTTAATTCCATGCTTAACCCTTTGTGACTCTAGTAAAAATATTTCCATAGTCCAACATGCTGGGATTCTGGACTAACAGGACCTAAAGTGCCAAATGTCCTGTGTTAACTCATAAGTTCCACTGATGATAAATTGTGCAATAAACAGTGCAATAGTGAGTTACTGATTTTTCTGCCAAAAGGAGGCATTTCTTTTCTCTATAAGAGCACCTGATTTTGAGTTGTTAAGGAACCACAATTCAGTCCATAATGGCTATTCTCTTTATTTGGCTCTTTCTCAATTATTCCATTTCCTTTAGTTTATTGTTCTTTTCTGCCACTAAACTAACTTTTTCATCTCTGCCTAAGATCATCTTTTTCACCCTCCCCATTTTGGTTTCTAAAGAAAACTTAGAAAAGGAAAGTGCAAAGGTAGAAATCCATGGTCAAGACTGTGAGAGAAAGAAACAGAGAGGAAAGAGAGGCTGAGGAGGGCCAGTAGCTGGTGAGTGGGTGGAGTAGATTGTCATTAACACTTCAGGGCTCCTTCTTCCTCAGCTAGCTAATCTAAAGCCAGGACTTGGCCATTGCAACTCCCTAGGGCTTCTGTTCACAACTTCAAGACCATTTGCAAGGCAGACTGCCTTAGAAGGCAATTGGTTAGTTATCTCCCTTGTTGGCCCACAGTGTGATTTTGCCACAGTACCCGCTGGCCTGGTATCATGGATATCTGACAAGCCTGCCTCATGGAGACCTAACAGATCTGCTTCTCTCTCTTCTTTCCTTTATTACACTCAGAGAGAGGCCCAGAGGAGGAGGAAGCTGCAGGCATATATGTCTCCCTCTATGAGAGAGCACTTGTGAAATTCACTGTGCAGAGAAAACAATGCTGTGGGGGTGTCATTTTCAGTTGTCCTATTGCTGGCATGACAATTTAAACAGTACTATTTCCCTGATCTGTTTGGGCTTGGTTTCCACTCTTGCATAATGTACATGCCAGATTCTTTGTACTGTGGACAGCAGAGAGCCCACAGATATCTGGGCTTGGAGAGCTGTAGGGTTCTCTAATTTTATGAGTCAAGCAGAGACTACTATATATATATGTAATCTCATATTCTTATTTCTCAAACAATATCTCAACATTAAAGGCCAGTTTTAATTGTTCTTACATATTTTATTAATTTATTTACATTTAGACTGGCTTATTTTCATCCACATAATCTGTCAGCATATCAACAGTTGTTTCAGATATTTAGATACTTTGATAATGCATTATTTACATTTCTCTTGAACGACAAAAACAAAACAGTATACAGTGCTATTTTAATCACAGTAGTGGCTCAAAGATTCTAAAAAGAAAAAAAAGGAAGCTCTTTCTTAACACAAGGAAACTAAGTGTACTGTGTTCTTTCACCTGCTTATAGGAATTTATTGGAAAAAATGGAATCAGAGATATTTGCCCTTTTTATTAAAATCAGCTTAATAGTTCTTAGCACCACTTTCTACCACATTGTATAATTAATCTTGGGGTACTAGATTCTCCAGATGTGTAGCTTTTTGTTTTCCTGGGGATTGTGACTTTTTTAAGTGGTTTTATTTTTTTAATTTATTTTAGGTTTAGGGGTACATGTGTAGGTTTGTTATATAGGTAAACTTGTGTCACGAGGGTTTGTTGTACAGATTATTTCACCACGCAGGTATTAAACTTACTAACCAATAGTTATTTTTTCTGCCCCCCTCCTGGCTCCCACCCTCCATCCTTAAGGAAGCCCCAGTGTCTGTTGCTGACTTCTTTGTTTTCACGATTTGTCATCATTTAGCTCCCACTTATAAATGAGAACATGTGGTAGTCGGTTTCCCTTCCCTTCCCTTCCCTTCCCTTCCCTTCCCTTCCCTTCCCTTCCCTTCCCTTCCCTTCCCTTCCCTTCCCTTCCCTTCCCTTCCCTTCCCTTCCCTTCCCTTCCCTTCCCTTCCTTTCCTTCCCTTCCCTTCCCTTCCCTTCCCTTCCCTTCCCTTCCCTTCCCTTCCCTTCCCTTCCCTTCCCTTCCCTTCCCTTCCCTTCCCTTCCCTTCCCTTCCCTTCCCTTCCCTTCCCTTCCTTTCCTTTCCTTTCCTTTCTTTTCTTTTGTTCTTTTTGAGACGGAGTCTCGCTCTGTTGCCCAGGCTGTAGTGCGGTGGCTCAACCTCGGCTCACTGCAAGCCCTGCCTCCCAGGTTCACGCCATTCTCCTGGCTCAGCCTCCCGAGTAGCTGGGACTATAGGCGCCCGCCACCAGGCCCAGCTAATTTTTCGATTTTTTTTTTTTTTTTTTTTTTTTGAGACAGAGTCTGGCTCTGTCCCCCAGGCTGGAGTGCAGTGGCGCAATCTCGGCTCACTGCAAGCTCTGCCTCCCGGGTTAACGCCATTCTCCTGCCTTAGCCTCCCGAGTAGCTGGGACTACAGGCACCCGCCACCGCGCCTGGCAATTTTTTGTATTTTTAGTAGAGACGAGATTTCACCATGTTAGCCAGGATGGTCTTGATCTCCTGACCTCGTGATCCGCCTGCCTCGGCCTCCCAAAGTGCTGGGATTACAGGCGTGAGCCACCACGCCCGGCCTCTTTTTGTTTTGAGACAAAGTTTCCCTCTTGTCTCCCAGGCTGGAGTGCAATGGCACGATCTCGACTCACTGCAACCTCCGCCTCCCAGGTTCAAGCGATTCTCCTGCCTCAGCCTCCTGAGTAGCTGGGATTACAGGCTCCCACTAACACGCCCAGCTAATTTTTTTTGTATTTTTCGTTTTTAGTAGAGTCGGGGTTTCTCCATGTTGACCAGGCTGGTCTCGAACTCCTGACCTCAGGTGTTCTGCCCCCCTCGGCCTCCCAAAGTGTTGTGCTGGGATTACAGGCATGAGCCACCGTGCCCAGCCCTGGGTTCTTTTTAAATATTTATTTATTTATTTATTTTTTTGAGACAGTGTCTCACTCTGTTGCCCAGACAGGAGTGCAGTGGCATGATCACGGTTCCCTGCAGTTTCAACCTCCTATTATATATATATATAATTATTATATATGAATATAAATATATAAATGTATATAAAATAATATACACATATATACACATATATACAATAAACATACATATATATAAAACTTGTCCAAGTGAGCCACTGCACCAGCCTATATGTATGTTTTTATATATATAATATATAGTATATATACTTAGTATATATACTAGTATATATACTTAGTATATATACTAATATATATACTATATATAATATATATTATATAATATAATACTATATATAATATATAGTATTATATAATATAATACTATATATAATATATAGTATTATATAATAAATATACTATATTATATATAGTATATATATTATATAATACTATAATACATATTATATATAGTATTATATACTATAATACTATATTATATATAGTATATTATATATAATATATAGTGTATATAGTGTATATATAATGTATATAGTATATATACACCATATATTATATATAATATATAATATATGGTGTATATATTATATATAATATACAATATATTTAATATATTATATATAATATACAATATATTTAATATAATATATAATATATGTAATATAATATATAATATATGTAATATATAATATATATGTGATATATAATATATGTAATATATAATATATGTGATATATTATATAATATATGTGATATATATGTGATATATAATATATGTGATATATATGTGATATATTATATAATATATGTGATATATATGTGATATATTATATAATATATGTGATATATTATATAATATATAATATATGTAATATATATTATATATTGTGTGTGTGTGTGTGTGTGTGTGTGTGTGTGTGTATACATTTTTTTTTTTTTTTTGAGACAGAGTCTTGCTCTGTTGCCCAGGCTGGAGTGCAGTGGCATGATCTCGGCTCACTGCAACCTCCACCTGCCGGCTTTCAAGCGATTCTCCTGCCTCAGCCTCCTAAGTAGCTGGGATTACAGGTGCACGCCAACACACCTGGCTAATTTTTTAGTATTTTTAGCAGAGATGGGGTTTCACCATGTTGGCCAGGCTGGTCTCAAACTCCTGACCTCATGATCCGCCCACCTCAGCCTCCCAAAGTGCTGGGATTATAGGCTTGAGCCACCGTGCCTGGCCTTATATATATATTTTTAAATTTTAACTTTAATTTTAATTTTTTTTTTTTTTTTTAGAGACAGTGTCTTGCTCTGTTGCCCAGGCTGGAGTACAGTAGTGCCACCACAGCTCACTGCTGCCTCAAACTTTTGGGCTCAAGTGATCCTCCTGCCTCATTCTCTCAAGTAGCTAGGACTACAGGTGTGGGGTACCACACTCAGCTTATTTTTGTGCTTTTTTTGGTAGAGATAGGGTCTCGCTGTGTTGCCCAGGTCTTGAACTTCTGGCCTCAAGCAGTCCTCCTGCCTTGGCCTCCCAAAATGCTGGGATTACATATGTGAGCCATTGTGCCTGGCCTTTTATTTAATATTATATCATAAATTTCTTTCCGTGATTTTATGTATCATAATGATTAATTAACTATATAATTTCTTTTTATGTTTATTATAATTTACGTCACTATACCCCTAATATTTATCTCTAATATAGTTTGGGGAAATTCAGCTGGTAATGCTATAAGAAAAATTTGGGAATATGTAGCTTACTCATTTTGTTAAATTATTTCTGGAGGATAGCTTTTCATAAGAAATATTATTGAATCTAAGACTTTGAGAGTGGGATATGGAGATGTGTGTGACTGCAGTCCCAGCTACTTGGGCGACTGAGGCAGGACGATTGCTTGAGCCCAAGAGCTCGAGGCTGTAGTGTGCAATGATTGTGCCTGTGAACAGCTGTTGCAGTCCAGTCAAGCCTAGGCAACACAGCAAGACTCAGTCTCAAAAAAAATGCTTTGAACAATTTTATGATTGTTGATATATTTTGCAATATTGTTTTCCAAACATACCTGTACCATCTCTAGATTAATGCGAGATTGTTTTGTTTCACGGGAGGACAAACACTGGAAAGAGTTCCTGGAATTGAATCTGTTTAAAAATAGACTAAAGCCAGGCCTGGTGGCCTGTGCCTGTAATCTCAGCTACTGGGAGGCTTTGAAGCCGGAGGATCACTTGAGCTCAGGAGTTTAAGACCGGCCTGGGCAATATAGTGAGACCCTGTCTGAAAAAAAAGAAGAAAAAAAAAAGAAAATAGACTAATGTGCAAAGCTAAATAAAATAGCAAATGCACAATAAATAGCAAACACTTTGAGTAATAAACTGATTTCAGATGTGATCTAACAAGGATAATTGAAAATCCCATCCTCAAGTTGCCTAACCTTTTTACTAAACCTCAATCTTTTTATCTGTAAAATGGGAGTAATAATAGGCCAGGTATGGTGGCTCACGCCTGTAATCCCAGCACTTTGGGAGGCCAAGGCGGGCGGATCACCTGAGGTCAGGAGTTCAAGACCAGCCTGGTCAACGTGGTGAAACCCCATCTCCACTAAAAATACAAAAATTAGCCAGGCGTACTGGTGCATGCCTTTAGTCCCAGTTACTCTGGAGGCTGAGGCAGGAGAACCACTTGAACCCTGGAGGCAGGGGTTGCAGTGAGCTGAGATCGCGCCACTGCACTCCAGTCTGGGTGACAGAGCAAGACTCCGTCTCAAATAATAATAATCATACTAACAATGAGCAGCACAACAACATTTTTACAGTTTTTATCATATGCTAGGCACTGTTCTAAACACTTTACATACACTGGCATTTAATTTTCATAATCCTACTAGGTAGACCTTATTATTATGTTTATCCCTATTTTGTATTGTTGAGGAACTGAGGCATAGACAGGTTAAATGACTTGTCCAATGATTACAGCTAATAAATGGCAGAGTTGGAATTCTAACTCAGACAATCTGGTTCCAGAGTTTATGCTCATAATCACTAAATAAATAAGATAGTTCATATAAAAACACCCAGTCCAATACTTAGCATATAGTAAGTATTCAATAAATGCTTGCTATTATTATTATAATGTATTTTTTAAAAACCCAACTAAACTAGTAAAGGGAGTGGCAGAATTGATTTAAAAGCTCTACAAAACAGAGTCAATGAGTGCAAGTTTCAGCAAAGTAAATTTTGGCTCAGTGGCGGTAGTTTGCATTGGGATGCTGGATATAAACAAGGAGAGGCTGAATAACCACTTGTCAAGAACTTTGTAGAATAGATTTCTTCATCAAGTGGGTAGCTGAACTGGATGACCTCTAAGGCACTTTCCAACTTTGTATAGAGTTCTGTGATTCTAGGCCAGAATCTTTTCTTTTTCCATACAGTAAAGCTTCATTTTTTTTTTTTTAACACTAGGTTTGGTTTACCAACTTTGTTGATGTTATTGTCATTTTAATTGTCTGAATCATTTGCCAAGGAGATTGTGTCTTTGTAGCATGCGTTAAGTCTTTGGCAGTCTCTCCTGTTGTAATATTTGATGTGTTACAACACCTGAACATTATAATGATAGGTTCTGGGGAAACTGACATGTAAACATGTAAGTAACTATGCAGTGGTGGTCAGCCGTCCCAGGCAGGGTTCTTCAGGATTACTGTCACTTGGCTGAATATCATTTGGAGTCTGTCGTCTTTATCCAGATAACTTGTAGGCCCATGAAATAATCATGGGGGGCTTAAAATTAACATTAAAAATTATGGGATTATGATTGTGGATGAGAGTTCATGTCACATTTATAACAACATTGTTCGCAAGTGACTCAGGGAAATTTCGGTGAGTTTCCTGCTGGGAAGGGGAATTGCTCCCTTGATGGAAGTAATAGTTTTGCTCAAGTCATGGGAAGCTCCTCTTGATCCCATAATTTGTCTTCCCTTTGGATTTTAGTCTAGGCAATTATTTGTCTTTACCATTACATCTTGAGCAGTCCTTCAGGATAATGCACAATTTTACCATCAACTTTATGTCATTTCTCCAAGAGGGGTGATTTAAAGGGCACAGCTAATTCTGTTACAAAAATGTTGATGATGGAATCTAGATCAAATGTACCAGACTGACTCAGAGTAGGTGCTAGAAAACAGTTTCTTCTTGGCTATGTTTTTGTCTTTGGTCTAATGTTTTACAGTGTGTGCGTGTGCGTGTGTGTGTGTGTGGTTGTTTTTTTTGTTTTTTTTTTTGAGACAGAGTTTTGCTCTTGTTGCCCAGGCTGGAGTGCAATGGCACGATCTCCGCTCACCGCAACCTCCGCCTCCCAGGTTCAAGAGATTCTCCTGTCTCAGCCTCCCTAGTAGCTGGGATTACAGGCATGTGCCACCACACCCGGCTAATTTTGTATTTTTAGTAGAGACGGGGTTTCTCCATGTTGGTCAGGATGGTCTCGAACACCCAACCTCAGTTGATCCCCCTGCCTCGACCTCCCAAAGTGCTGGGATTACAGGCATGAGCCACTGTGCCTGGCTACAGTGTTCTTAATGTAACTAAACCAATGTAACTAAACACTGGTTTTGTTACTATGGAGACAGATTAAAATAGACATGGAGCTTTAGGTATCAAACTGTCAATAAATTTACTATGTAAAAAATGGAAAGTAGAATCAGAAGGAAGGCCAGACAAAGGTTTTCAAAGCAATGTTAGGAGATTTAATCTATAATATAGTAGGAAATGAGAAGGCCAGGGAGCAGAGAGACCTTTAGACATTGGATCCTCAAAAATCTTAAGATAAGAAGTTTGAAATGATTATTTTTGAATCACTATCACTGAGACACGTAATCTGCCTTATAAGGAAAATAATCTCTTTTTCTTTGGTGAGATTTGATTATTTTCAACATTAGTAATAATTATCCTAAAACAACAGTTGTTACATGCTGACTTTTCATTAATAATGGTACTTTTCAATTTATGTATCCATGCATATACACTGTGGTTTGTTTTGTTTTTTTTTTGTTTTTTTTTTTTTGAGACAGAGTCTAGCTCTGTCACCCAGGCTGGAGTGCAGTGTTGCGATCCTGGTTCACTGCAACCCCCTGGTCTCCTGGGTTGAAGCGATTCTCCTGCCTCAGCCTCCCGTGTAGCTGGGATTACAGGCACCCACCACCACACCTGGCTAATTTTTGTGTTTTTAGTAGAGACGATGTTTCGCCATGTTGGCCAGGCTGGTCTTGAATTCCTGACCTCAAGTGATCTGCCCACCTCGGCCTCCCAAAGTGCTGGGATTACAGGCATGAGCCACTGAGCCCAGCCTCCTGGGTTTAACTTAGAAACATTGTCACTCAAATTTTAAAAATGAACAAATGCCATTTAATTTTGAGGAAACAAAAATTGGCTTTGTAAACTGACCAACTAATAAACAATTATGAGCATACATTTGGAGCATTTTGCTTTTGGGAACTTCAAAGAAGGTGGCAAACTGTCAGTAATTACAGGCATCATTATCCTTGTGTTATTCATAATGAATCAAATAGAATGAGGGCGGTGCCTCCAGTCACGCAGGAAACTTGAGCTGGAACCCTCAAGACGTGAATGACAACACTAGGGCAATTAGAATCAAGGCTTTTTTAGAATGTAAGTAGCACTACTTACAGGAACATTGTTATTTACATACACAAAGTAAATATTGAAAGATTGGCTTAGGCTAAAAATACTCCAGGTGAGGTTGTAGGACTGGATACTGAAAGAATGAGTTCATATTGTGGGCTTTCTTTTTTTTTTTTGAGACAGAGTCTTGCACTGTCACCCAGGCTGGAGTGCAGTGGCGTCATCTCCGCTCACTGCAACCTCTGTCTCCTGGGTTCAAGCGATTCTCCTGCCTCAGCATCCTAAGTAGCTGGGATTATAGGCACCCACCACCATGCCCGACTAATTTTTTGTATTTTTAGTAGAGACGGGATTTCACTATATAGGCCAGACTGGTCTTGAACTCCTGACCTCGTGAACCACCCGCCTCGGCTTCCCAAAGTGCTGGGATTACAGATGTGAGCCACCACGCCCGGCCTTGTGGGCTTTCGAAATAGAAAAATACTTTTTTCTCATGTTTATTTACGATTAAAGCCATTTTTTAATTCAAGACACATAGGCAAACGTAATTTAGAAGAGAGTTAACCAAAAGTTTGTCCAAGAAATGACAAATGTAGATTATAGCCAAGTACATGTCTCAATTTATAATATTACAATCTTAGGCAAATTATACTTTGCTACATTTTAGCCATCTTATAGGTATTATATTTGAAAATTATTTTGACATGCTCTGTTTTGTGTAACTTTTTTTTAAAAAGTATCCTGGGCAAGGCAATTTATGTATCATCTATAAAACATGGCAAAGTAATTCAATTTAGAATATTTTTCTGGTAGGTCAGTCGAACAAATAAAACTTTCCTATAGATCAAGAAGTTGCCATTGGTCTTCCTGCCCATAGTAAAGCCTTGAATAGAGCCAAGGTGCTTTATTTGGAAAGGAATGAAGGAAGTGTCTCTCCTCTGCCAGGGAAGGAAGCCCACAGTGATTGAGGCAGTTTGAATCTATGCTTTCTATTTTAAAAAGTTCTTCTTGTATAGGCATTTCTCTTTGCCTTTGACACTTTCTGTTGTGGGATAATCCTGCCAGAGTGTTACTTGGAAGAATATATCTATATATCTATATCTATCTATCTATCTATCTATCTATCTATCTATCTATCTAAAATAGATATATCTGTGGGTTTTTTGTTTTGTTTTTTTTATAAAAAGCCTCCAGTGGGATATATCTATATCTATATCTATGTGTGTGTGTGTGTGTGTGTGTGTGTGTGTGTGTGTGTGTGTGTTTTAATGCAGGGAAGGCTGCTCTATAAACATGACAAATGTATGGCATCATTCATTCCATTAAAAGAAAAAAGACAAGTGTGCTGTGGAAATCTTGATATTCTTTGGTTGAGTCCTGAGGATCAAGGCTGAGGAATGTGACACCAGTGAGCTCAGCAGCCTGCATGCAGCAATAGTGAAGAGAAATCTGGCCAGTGGGGCAAAACTTCCCTATCAACCTCATGGCAGCCTGACCCTGCAGACTCCTGTCTCCCAGCCCACCCCTCTAGTCAGCTCCCATTTCGGGGCTGCTTATGCACCTATGAGGAAATAACAGGTTTCTCCTCTGCTCATTTTATTAAGGTGGCATAAATTTCTCCTATGAACAGACTCTTCCAAAGAGTAGGGAAACTCTTCATTAAATGCTCGTGCAACTCGACAAACCGTGTAGGTGGCTTGATACTCTACTGGCTAGAATTCAGGCCTGAATCAAAGGACTGGGAGCTGGAGGGAACTTTAAGGACTTAAAAAAATCCAATCTCCTTGATTTACACATGAAGAACTGAGACCCTGTTACAGCCACAGAGTCAATTAGTGGCAGAGAAATGGGACAGGAATGGAGTGTCTTGACCAGGATTCTTGTAAATAAAAGAGCAACTGATTATCTCAGAAGAGCTGAGAGTGCTGCCTCCAGGCCTATGCACATTCCTATGTGTAGTAACTAAGCAATCTTGGTAGGAAACATAATTTTAGATGGGTTGATTTGGGGCTTCATATTTAAAGAAATGAATTGTGAGCCTGTCATGTGCAAACAGTGCCAAACAATTCTCTTCGCACTGTTTTATAAAACAATCATACGCCCCACAGCTTTTCCTTATTGGGATGTGTCCTTAAGCGAACTCACGCAGATTAAACATTTCATCTTCTATCCCTTTGAGTGTCTCACTCACACACTGTGGAAACTAAACTTGAAATCCTGAATTATCTGTACAGTATTTAAAGATAATTCCTTTTCTAGAAGATATTCTTTTTTTTTTTTTTAAGAGACTGAGTCTCTCTATGTTGCCCAGGCTGGTCTCAAACTCCTGGGCTAAAGCGATCCTCCTGCCTTGGCCTCCCAAAGTCCTAGGATCACAAATATGAGCCATCATGCCCAGCTCCTAGAACATATTATTTATCTTCACCTTAAGACTAGACAGTTGGTTATATATAGTGGGAAGCCCTGTACTTTGTTTTCCAAGGCATCCTACCCAACTAACAAGTTGGAAATTCTTGCAACTCTGTCTTTCATTTTGTCTGATATGTTTTGTGTGGTCATAGTAAATTTACACAAAGCAAAATATGTTCAGGAAGCAGGAACAGACAAAAAGAAACACTTTAGTACTGGCATCCTAGCAGCAAATTACGTTGCTTTGGTCCTGCTCTCCATAAATACATAGAAAGGCAGGTTGCAGATATTGGCTCTATGAAAATCATAAAGCAGATGAATTTTTACAAAATTGTGAACCTATTATCTGCCAGGCATTTTTCATATGTTCTTTCATTCTAGAAAATGTTTTATTTTTCTGCTGGTTGATATCTGTCATAAAAACTTATTCTTGGAAAAGGATTTTATGTTGGTTATTTATATTTTAACTTATGCATTTATTTACTCAGTAAATATTTTTTGACCACTTCTATGTACCAGACACTATGCTAGGTGTTTGGATGCAGTGGGGAGAAAAAAAACTGCACATGATCCATGACTTTATGGCTTAGACTAGTGAGGGAGATGATATAATAACACATATATATGTGTCAGATTCCAACTTGATGAGCACTATGAAGGACTGTACAAAGTACTAGGAGATAGGAATTTGACCTGGTGATAAAAGCCAATAAAAGCTTCTCTGGGAAACTGATGCTTGAGCAGAAATGTGGAGGAGTTGGAGTTATTAAGGAGGGAATAGTGTTTTAAGTCAAGAAAACAGTATATAGCAAAGTTTCTGTGATAGTGGAGGTCAAGGAGTATAATATGTATTAAAAATTTTGCAGGCCGGGTGCGGTGGCCCACGCCTGTAATCCCAGCACTCTGGGAGGCCGAGGCAGGGAGATCACCTGAGGTCAGGAGTTCGAGACCAGCCTGGCCAACATGGTGAAACCCTGTCTCTATTAAAAATACAAAAATTAGCCAGGCATGGTGGCGGGCACCTATACTTCCAGCTACTTGGGAGGCTGACACAGGAGGACTGCTTGAACCCGGGAATTGGAAGTTGCAATGAGCCAAGACTGCGCCATTGCACTCCAGCCTGGGCAACAAGAGTGAAACTCCATCTCAAAACAACAACAACAACAACAAATTTTGCAGCTGGTCTGAGTGCAGTGGTGTTTACAACTAATTGATCACAACCAGTTACAGATTTCTTTGTTCCTTCTCCACTCCCACTGCTTCACTTGACTAACCTTTGAAAAACATGAGCTTTTGCTCTAATATGTTATATAGGTGTGGCTGGGGTTAGAAGGGCTCTAGATAGACTGGTTAGGAGGTTATTAAATTAGACAAAGTTTGGCTGAATGATATGGAGAAGATGGAAGACACTGGAGAGTTCTGACAGAATTGAGGGATGGTGTGGGCATGGAGGAGAGAGAGAGCTGTCATGGATGACTTCTGCCTTTCAGGCTTGTTCAACCAGATGACTAGCTCACTGGGATACGGGACCATAGAAACCAAGTTAGGAGTATCAGTGAGTGTGGGGAGTGGGGAGAGCATGAACTCATGTTAAGTTTGGATGGCTTTGAGAATCCCAGGAGGACAAGGCAAGTTGTGAGTTGTATAATCGAGTTTGAAACCTGAGGACACAGAGCCTTGCACTGGAGATATAAATTTGTGAGTCCTCTCTGTGTGGATGGTGATGAAGAAATTGAATAGAGCACCTGGGAAGATAATATTTTATAATGAATTTAAATAAATGTTTTTGCTTTCCTTTGAGGATGTGTCTTTTAAGCTTTGTCTCCAAGTACAGCATATATCACTTTGATTCCTGATCAAGGTCTTTCAGGTTTTAGAGCAGGTGGATAAACTCATGAACCTGGGCAGAAATGTCCCTAAAATTATACCACATAATTCAATCCTGCTGGGCTTGTTTAAAAGTTAACTGAAAAGACATGAAAGTTTTTGGTGTGTGTGTGTGTGTGTGTGTGTGTGTGTGTGTGTGTTTTGCAAGTGGCGGGTGGTGCAGGGGAAACAGGGTTTCGCTTTGTCACCTAGGCTGGAGTGCAGTGACGTGAACATGGCTCACTGCAACCTTGACCTCTTTGGCTCAAGAAATCCTCTGCCTCAGCTTCCTGTGTAGCTGGGACCGCAGGTGCACATCACCACACCCAGCTAATTCTTTTTTTATTTTTTTCGTAGAGATGGGCTCTTGCTGTGTTGCCTAGGCTGGTCTCGAACTCCTGACCTCAAGCAATTCACTCGCTTTGGCCTCCCAAAGTGCTGGGATTACAGGCATGAGCCACTATGTCCAGCCTGAAAGATATTTTTTTGAATATTTAGGAAAAATCAAATTTAGCTGTCTGCTTGGGAGGCAGATAGTATGCATGGAGAGAAGGATAGGTAAAATGCAGAGGCCTACACAGAAAATTAAATCCTATGTTGGCAAACAAACCGGTTAAGATGATGGAAGATGTCCTTTCGATCTAAAGCAGTTTGAAGATGTTTCTTGCATGAAGACTGAATTAATCTGATTAAGCAATCTAATTAATCACCCCTATTGTCTTTTAGTAAGTTAAAGGTATTTATTCTATGTCAAGGTGTTCACATTCCTTTGAAATGTAATCTTTCAAATTTACTTCATTTTTTATCTTATTTTATTTTTTGAGATGGAGTCTTGCTCGGTCACCCAGGCTGGAGTACAGTGGTGCCATGTTGGCTCACTGCAACCTTCACCTCCCAGGTTCAAGCTATTCTCCTGCCTCAGCCTCTTGAGTAGCAGAGACTACAGGTGCACGCCACCATGCCTCATTTTCGTATTCTTAGTAAAGATGGGGCTTCACCATATTGGCCAGGCTGGTCTCAAACTCCTGACCTCAGGTGATCCACCAGCCTTGGCCTCCCAAAGTGCTGGGATTACAGGCATGAGCCACCACATCTGGCCTCAAATTTACTTTAATTAATTAATTTTTTTGAGACAAGATCTCACTCTGTTGCCCAGGTTGGAGTGCAGTGGTGTGCAATCATAGCTCACTGCAGCCTCGAACTCCTGGGCTCAAGTGATCTTCCTGTCTTAGCCTCCTGAGTAGTTGGGACTACAGGTTCACACCACCACATCTGGCTAATTTTAAAATTTTTGTAGAGACACTATGTTGGCCAGGCTGGTCTCAAACTCCAGAGCTCAAGCAATCCTCCCACTTCAGCCTCCCAAAGGGCAGAGATAACAGACATAAACCACCACTTCTGCCTGGCCCAAAATGTAATCTTTAACAGCCAGCACAGCTAGGAGAGGTGTGGCTCTTCCTTACTCCATATCTGGTTCCCAATATCCTGGGGCTGTTGCTCTTACCTTCTCTGCCAGTGAGTGGTTGATTATTTCTTTTATGATTTGTTAATTTTGAGTAGAGAAATTATCCATTCAGGTACAATAAGCATGTATTGATTACCTATAATGTGGCAAACATTATTTTCACCTTTATTATCTCTTTTTTGTTTGTTTTTAAAATGCTCCTTGTGTCATACTCCTTTATCTCTTTTAAGAACAAACAAGTATTTGTTAGGTGTCTGCTGCATGTTCACTGCAGTACTAGGCATTGTGAAGAATGTGAATAAGTATAATCAAGAGTTTTACCCTCAGGATGCTTATAATCTGATTGGAATGAAGAGACAAGAAACCAGAAAGCAATGAGGATACACCTAAGTATAAGATAGGCTAGAATAATCCCAATAGGCTGCCTGGAGGAGGTAGGAGCTGGGTTGGGCTTTGAAGGAAGGAGGGGGTTTGGAGGGGCAGAATGGGGGACATCCCAAGTGGATGCATACTATGAGCAGAGGCCGGGCCTGGTTAAGCCCAGGAAAGAGGTGGACCCAGCCTGGTTAAGCCCAGGAAAGAGATGGGCCCAGCTGCCTGCTGAAACTATGCCAGTAGAGTATCTTCCTTAATGATGTTGATGCTAAAGCTCATATTTAGTGCCTGGAACTCTTTTACTCAACTGAATGGATTTATTAGTCTGTTCTTGCATTGCTATAAAGAAATACCTGAGACTGGGTAATTTATGTATGTATTTATTTATTTATTTAATTTTTTTGAGATGGAGTTTCACTCTTGTTGCCCAGGCTGGAGTACAATGGCGCAATCTCGGCTCACCGCAACCTCCGCCTCCCGGGCTCAAGCGATTCTCTTGCCTCAGCCTCCCGAGTAGCTGGGATTACAAGCATGTGCCACCATGCCCAGCTAATTTTGTATTTTTAGTAGAGACGGGGTTTCCCCATGTTGGTCTTGAACTCCCGACCTCAGGTGATCCTCCCGCCTCGGCCTCCCAAAGTGTTGGGGTTACAGACGTGAGCCACCGCGCCTGGCCAGACTGGGTAATTTATAAAGAAAAAAGGTTTAATTGGCTCATGGTTCTGCAAACTGCACAGGAAGCATAGTGGCATCTGTTTCTGAGGAGGTCTCAAGGAGCTTTTACTCATGGTGGAAGGCGAATCAGGAGCAGGCACACCACATGGTGAAAACCGAGCAAGAAAGAGGGCAAGGTGCCATACTTATAAACAGCCAGATCGCCGCCAGAGAACTCATTCATTATTGAGAGGACAGCACCAAGAAATGGTGTGAAACCATTCATTAGAAATCCAACCCCAGGAGCAATCAACTCCCACTAGGCCCTACCTCCAACATTGAGGACTTTTTTTTTTTTTTTTTTTTTTTTGAGACGGAGTCTTGCTCTGTCGCCCAGGCTGGAGTGCAGTGGCACGATCTCGGCTCACTGCAAGCTCCGCCTCTCGGGTTCACGCCATTTTCCTGCCTCAGCCTTCCAAGTAGCTGGGACTACAGGCCCCTGCCACCACGCCCGGCTAATTTTTTATGTGTGTGTTTTTAGTGGAGACAGGGTTTCACCGTGTTAGCCAGGATGGTCTCGATCTCCTGACCTTGTGATCCTTCCGCCTCAGCCTCCCGAAGTTCTGAGATTACAGGCGTGAGCCACTGCACCTGGCCATTGAGGATTACGTTTTGGCATGAGATTTGGCTAGGGACACAGATCCAAACCATATCAGTGGAGAAACGTACTAATAATTTTCTTTAATGTAAAAGTAATATAGTAGTTCTACAGAATACTTGAATAAATACAGCTGAGAATAGTGAAGAAAATCACCTATAATCTCACTACTTAGACATAATCACTATTACTATTTAGGTGTATATCCTTCTGAAAACTCTTGTATGCATCCATATGGACAGACCTATACACACAAAATTAGTCAACAACCCACTGCAGATATTGTTTTCTTTTTTCTTTCTTTCCTTTCTTTCTTTCTTTCTTTCTTTTTTTTTTTTTTTTTTTTGAGATGGAGTCTTGCTCTGTTGCCAGGCTGGAGTGCAGTGGCGCAATCTCTGCTCACTGCAACCTCCGCCTCCCAGGTTCAAGCGATTCTCCTGCTTCAGCCTCTAGAGTAGCTGGGACTACAGGCGCGCACTACCACCCTCAGCTAGTTTTTGTATTTTTAGTAGAGACGGGGTCTCGCCATGTTGGCCAGGATGGTCTCAATCTCTTGGCCTCGTGATCCGCCTGCCTCAGCTTCCCAAAGTGCTGGGATTACAGGCGTGAGCCACCGCGCCTGGCTGCAAATATTGTCTACGGTACTATGTTGTTACATCCATTCAATTAGAATTCTGCAAATAATAAAATCAATTATTTATTTATGAAGTCCAAAGTACTTCCGCATCATGAAAGACTATGAAACTTTTTTTAAAGATGAAAGATAGAAGTAGATTATTTGTATGTATACTTTCATGTAAGGATTCCATCATATATTAGGTTTAAAAAAAAAAAAGGGCCAGGCAAGGCGGCTCAGGCCTGTAATCCCAACACTTTGGGAGGCTGAGGCAGGCGGATCGCTTGAGGTCAGGAGTTCAAGACCAGCCTGGCCAACATGGCGAAACCCCGACTCTACTAAAATTACAAAAATTAGCCGAGCGTGGTGGCACATGCCTGTAATCCCAGCTACTTGGGAGGCTGAGGCAGGCGAATCTCTTGAACCCGGGAGGCAGAGGTTGCAGAGAGCCGAGATCGCTCAGCTGCACTCCAGCCTGGGCGACAGAGCGAGACTCTGTCTCAAAAATAAATAAAATAAAATAAAATAAAATAAAGCCAACAAATGAGTTATACCTCAATAGTGTTTGTAATTTTTTTTTTTTTTTTTTTTTTTGAGATACAGTCTCGCTCTGTTGCCCAGCTGGAGTGTAGTGGCGCAATCTTGGCTCACTGCACCCTCCGCCTCGCGGGTTCAAGCGATTCTCCTGCCTCAACCTCTGGTGTAGCTGGGATTATAGGCGCCCGCCACCATGCCTGGCTAATTTTTGGAATTTTTAGTAGAGACGGGGGTTTCGCCATGTTGGCCAGCCTGGTCTCCAACTCCTGACCTCAGGTGATCCACCTGCCTCAGCCTCCCAAGTAGCTGAGATTATAGGCGCCCGCCACCACGCCTGGCTAATTTTTTTTTTTTTTTGAGACGGAATCTAGCTCTGTGGCCAGGCTGGAGTGCAGGGGCGTGATCTCGGCTCCCTGCAACCTCCACCTCCCAGATTCAAGCGTTTGTCCTGCCTCAGCCTCCCGAGTAGCTGGGACTACAGGCACGCACCACCATGCCCAGCTAATTTTTGTATTTTTAATAGAGATGGGGTCACCTTGTTGGCCAGGATGGTCTCAATCTCTTGACTTCGTGAACCACCCACCTCAGCCTCCCAAAGTGCTGGAATTACAGGTGTGATCCACCGCCTCCAGCTGCCTGGCTGATTTTTTGTGTTTTTAGTAGAGACGGGATTTCGCCATGTTGGCCAGGCTGGTCTCGAACTCCTGACTTCAGGTGATCCGCCCACCTTGGCTTCCCAAAGTGTTGGGATTACAGGCATGAACCACTCTGCCTGGCCATTATTTTAATTTTTAAGGAGCATATCAGGCTGGGCTCGGTGGCTTATGCCAGTAATTTTAGCACTTTGGGAGGCTGCCAGGCTGATCACCTGAGGTCAGGAATTTGAGACCAGCCTGGCCAA
Organism: Homo sapiens; assembly: GCF_000001405.40. Lineage (NCBI taxonomy): Eukaryota > Metazoa > Chordata > Mammalia > Primates > Hominidae > Homo > Homo sapiens. The sequence continues at coordinate 79,164,440 of NC_000005.10, read as the reverse complement.
CATGGCGAAACCCCATTTCTACTAAAAATACAAAAATTAGCCAGTCCTGGTAGTGCACGCCTGTAGTCCCAGCAACTCTGGAGGCTGAGGCACAAGAATCATTTAAACCCGGGAGAGGATGTTGCAGTGAGCTGAGATGTTGCTACTGCACTCCAGCCTGGGCAACAGAGCCAGACTCTGTCTCAAAAACAAAACAAAACAAAAAAAAAACAACAAAAAACCATATTAGAAAAACTCAATAGGATATTCACATTTAAAAATCATGAGTTAGACACATTCTTATTACTAAATATTCCTCAAAATTTTATTGTTACATAATATCATATGCAACAATTTAACCATTCATTTGTTCAAATTTTTCGTTATTTTTCATTACAATTACACACACACAAACTTTTAAAGTATAGACTCCTAGAACAGAACTATCTGATTAGGCAGGCATCATGGTGCATGCCTGTAATCCCAGCTACTCAGGAGGCTGTGGCAGGAGGATCGCTTGAGAACAGGAGTTTGAGACCAGCCTGAGCAACATAGTGAAACTGTGTCTCAAACAAACAAACAAATAAAAACTATTGGTTCAAATGAAATAAACACGTTTGAGGTTCTTGCCAAATTGCTTGCCAGAAATGCTGTCATAATTTTTCATTTCTACTAACAGTGCATAATGATATAGATCTCTGTATTTAAAATACTTTAAAATACCTTTTCAAAGTTAATGGAAGAAAAAGAACAACAACAAAAAAAAATTAAAACACAAAAAAAGGGAAAAAATGTTAGCGGCCAGGTGTGGTGGCCCATGCCTATAATCCCAGCAGTTTGGGAGGCTGAGGCAAGCGGATCACTTGAGGTCAGGAGTTTGAGACTAGCTTGGCCAACATGGTGAAACCCCATCTCTACTAAAAATACAAAAAGCTGGGCATCGTGGCACCTGCCTGTAGTCCCAGCTACTCTGGAGGCTGAGGTGGGAGAATTGCTTGAACCTGGGAGGCAGAGGTTGCAGTGAGCTGAGATCGTGCCACTACACTCCAACCTGGGCGACAGATCGACTCTGTCTCAAAAAAAAAAAAAAAAAAAATTAGTGGAAGAAATAGCTGGGCACAGTGGCTTGAGCCTGTTATTCCAGCACTTTGAGAGGCTGAGGTGGGAGAATCACTTGAGCCCAGGAGTTAGAGACCAGTCTGGACAACATAGTGAGACCCTGTCTCTAAAAAAAAATTTTTTTTAAAAATAATCCAGGTGTGGTGGTGCACCCCTGTAGTCTTAGCTAGTTGTGAGGCTGAGAAGGGAGGATTGCTTGAGGCCAGGAGTTTGAGACTACAATGAGCTATGATCATGCCACTGTACTTCTGTCTGGGCCACAGCATGAGACCCCCTCCCCTTTCCAAAAGAATTATTTTCTGAGCTGGGCCTGGTGACATGTGCCTGTTGTCCTAGGAGGTTGAGGCAGGAGGATCACTTGAACCCAGGAGTTTGAGTCCAGCCTTATTTTCTAAGTTTTAATAAATTTGCTGCACTCCACAACATCAAATAGAACACAACTCACATTTTTCTGTGTTTGTTACACAATAGGAAGATCTCTCACCAGTCAATTTTGCATGCAAGAATAATTCACTTGGGTGTGTAAAACAACTACAAAGGCTTAGAGTGTGTTCTGCAGAGTTATTTTTCAGTTCATGCAAACTATTTTGTTAATGTAATTTTCAGATTACCTATCTAAACATTCAAAAGAGACAATGAGACCTTTAACATTGTCAGTGCAAGGCTCATCTGTGCCTTCTTTGACCTAGGAGCTAGAGGGACTCTTTTTTTTTTTTTTTTTAAATGGAGTTTTGCTCTTGTTGCCCAGGCTGGAGCGCAATGGTGCCATCTCGGCTCACTGCAACCTCCACCTCCCAGGTTCAAGCAATTCTCCTGCCTCAGCCTCCCGAGTAGCTGGGATAACAGACATGCACCACCACACCAGGCTAATTTTGTATTTTTAGTAGAGACGGAGTTTCACCATTTGGGCGGGCTGGTCTTGAACTCCTGACCTCAGGTGATCTGCCTGCCTCGGCCTCCCAAAGTGCTGGGATTACAGGCGTGAGCCACCGCGCTTGGCCATAGAGGGACTCTTAAGATGCTTTTAGTTCAACGATCAGCTTGACCCATTTAAGCCATGTCCAGCAGAGGATGCTTGCCCATATCTTCTAGAATTCCAGATATTCTAGGCTTACTGAAGCAGAAAAGTTCCCAACTTTTTCTTTATGAATATATTCTTTTTTAGGCCAAAACAAACTTCTTTATGAGAGTTAGAAAATTGTTTCTGTGCTCTGTTTTAAAAACACCCATGGGCATTTCTCTAAAAATAATTCTTTACATTAATGAAAACAGGTTCCCCTTTTCCCCTCGCTTTAAAAAAATTTAAATTTTATTGATACATAATAAATGTACATATTTTCAGGGTACATATGCTAATTTAATACATTCATGTAATTTGTAAAGACTGAATCAGTGTAATTGGGACACCTATCAGCTAGAACATTTGTCTTTTCTTTATGCTAGAAACAATCCAATTAATCTCTTCTAAGCTATTTTGAAATATACAATAGAGGCCGGGAGCGGTGGCTCATGCCTGTAATCCTAGCACTTTGGTAGGCTGAGGCGGGTGGATCACCTGAGGTCAGGAGCCTGGCCAACACGGCCAAACCCCGTCTCTACTAAAACCACAAAAATTAGCCAGGTGTGGTGGCAGGAGCCTATAATCCCAGCTACTCTGGAGGCTGAGGCAGGAGAATCGCTTGAACCCAGGGGGCGGAGGTTGCAGTGAGCTGAGATCGTGCCACTTTACTCCAGCCTGGGTGACAGAGCAAAATTCTGTCTCAAAAAAAAAAAAAAAAAGAAAAAGAAAAGAAAAAAGAAAAAAAGAAAAGAAATATACAATAGATAATTATAAAGTATAGCTATCCTACTGATCTATCAAATGCTAGGTCTTATTTCTTCTATCAGACTGTTTATTTGTACCCATTAGTCAACTTCTCTTCATCCCCTCCTTCTACCTACTCTTCTTAGCCTCTGGTAAGCATCAGTTTACTCTCTGTCCTCATGAGATCCACCTTTTTTTTTCAGCTCCTACATGTAAGTGAGAATGTGTGATCATGTCTTTCTGTGCTTGGCATATTTCACTTAACATAATGACCTCCAGTTCTTTCTTTTTTTTTTTTTTTTTTTTTTTTTTTGAGACAGGGTCTCATTCTGTTGCCCAGGCTGGAGTGTAGTGGCTTGATCAAGGATTCTGGGTTCAAGTGATCCTCCCACCTTGGCCTCCCAAGTAGCTGGGACTACAGTGGCACCCCACCACGCCTGGGTAATTTTTGTATTTTTTTTAGAAATGGGGTTTCACCATGTTGCCCAGGCTGGTCTTGAATTCCTGGGCTCAAGCGATCCGCCAACCTCTGCCTCCCAAAGTGCTGGGATTACAGGCGTGAGCCACAGTACCCAGCTCTATTCTTTTTTATGGCAGAAAACTATTCCATTATGTATTTCTACCACATTTTCTTTATGCAATCGTCATTGACTGGTACTTAGATTCATTTCATATTTTGGCTATTGTGAATAATGCTGCAGTAAAATATGGGAGTGCAGATATCTCTTCAATATACTAATTTCATATATATATTTTATATATATATATATCCAGTAATGGTATTGCTGGATCGTACCATGGTTCTATTTTTGGTTTTTGAGGAACCTCCATACAGTTTTCCATAATGGCTGTACTAATTTACATTCCCACCAACAGCATACAAGGGTTCCCCTTTCTCCACATCCTTGCCAGCATTAATTATTTCCTGTCTTTTTGATAAAAGCCATTTTAACTGGGGTGAGATGATATCTTCTTGAGGTTTTGATTTGCATTTCTCTGATGCTTTTTGATGGTGAGCAGTTTTCCATATTCCTGTTGGCCATTTGTATGTCTTCTCGTGAGAAATGTCTATTCAGATCTTTTGTCCATTTTTAAATTGAATTTTTTTTTTTTTTTTTTTGCTATTGAGTTGTTTGAGTTTCTCATATATTCTAGTTATTAATCCTTTGTTGGATGGGTAGTTTGCAAATATTTTCTCTCATTCTGCAGAATGTCTCTTCACTTTGTTGATTGTTTCCTTTTCTATGCAGACACTTTTTGATATAACCGTTTGACTATTTTTGCTTGGGTTGCCTGTGCTTTTGAAATTTTTTTTTTTTTTTGAGATGGAGTTTTGCTCTTGTTGCCCAGGCTGGAGTGCAGTGGCATGATCTCTGCTCACCGCAACCTCTGCCTTCTGATTTCAAGCGATATTCCTGCCTCAGCCTCACCTTCTGAGTAGCTGGGATTACAGGCATGTGACACCATACCCGGCTAATTTTGTATTTTTAGTAGAGACGTGGTTTCTCCATGTTGTTCAGGCTGGTCTCGAGCTCCCAACCTCAGGTGATTCGCCCGCCTTGGCCTCCCGAAGTGCTGGGATTACAGGCATGAGCCACCGCACCTGGCCGCTTTTGAAATCTTACACAAAAAAGTCTTTGCCCAGACCAATGTCTTATTTTGCCTGTCTTCTTCTAGCAATTTTATAGTTTGTTTCTTACATTTAAGTCTTTATTCCATTTTGAGCTGATTTTTGTATATGGTGAGAGATAGGGGTCCAAGTTTCATTCTTCTGAACATGGATATCCAATTTCCCCAGTATACTTATTTATGTTTGAAAAATCTATACAAACACTTATTCTATTGCTGCCTGGGGGTCGGGGGACAAGGGGATACAGAGAACCTCCCAGAAGAGAATGGGCCTTCGGTGGAAAGACTTGTCCAGAGGCTGGTGGACCCAGCACCATTTATTGAAGAGGGTGTCCTTTCCCTAGTGTATATTCTTAGTGCCTTTGTTTAAAATCAGTTGACTATAAATATGTGAATTTATTTCTGGGTTCTCTATTCTGTTCTATTGGTCTGTGTGTCTATTTTTATACAAATACCATGCTGTTTTGGTTAATATAGCCTTGTTTTGGTTAATATAGCCTTCTTATATATAACACATATGTATATGTATACATATACATATGTGTATATATGTAATATATATGTATACATACAATGTGTGTGTGTGTGTGTGTGTATATATATATATATATATATTTTTTTTTTTTTTGAGACAGGATCTCGCTCTGTTGCCCAGGCTGGAGTGCAGTGGCGCAATCTCAGCTCACTGCAACCTCCGCCTCCTGGGTTCAAGTGATTCTTGTGCATCAGCCTCCTGAGTAGCTGGGATTACAGGCATGTGCCACCACGCTGGGCTAATTTTTGTATTTTTAGTAGAGATGTCTTGCCATGTTGGCCAAGCTGGTCTTGAACTCCTGGGCTCAAGTAATCCTCCTACCTCGGCCTCCCAAAGTGCTGGGATTATAGGCCTGAGCCACCACATCTGGCCTATAGCCTTGTAATATATTTTGAAGTCAGGTGGTGTGATGCCTCCAGCTTTGTTCTTTTTACTTAGAATTGCTTTGGCTATTCGGGGTGTTTCATGGTTTCATATTAATTTTAGGAATTTTTTTTTCTATTTCTGTGAAGAATGTCATTGGTAGTTTGATAGGGATTGCATTGAATCTGTAAATTTCTTTGTGTACTATTATCATTTTAACCATATTAATTCTTCCAGTCCATGAGAATGGAATACCCTTTCATTTGTGTGTGTGTTCATTTCACCAGTTTTCCTTGTATGGTTTTTTTTTTTTTGAGATGGAGTCTCACTCTGTTGCCCAGGTTGGAGTGCGGTGGCGCAGTCTTGGCTCACTGCAACCTCCACCTCCCAGGTTCAAGCAATTCTCCTGCCTCAGACTCCCAAGTAGCTGGGATTATAGGCACGCACCACTACGCCTGGCCCCTGGTTTAGATCTTTCACTTATTTGGTTAAATTGATTCCTAGGTATTTTATATTCTTTGTAGCTATTGTAAATGGAATTGCTTTCTTGGTTTCTTTTCCACATTGTTTACTGGCTGTGTTTACAATCAGTTGCTATTGACTTTTTGTGTCCTGTAACTTTACTGAATTTGTTTATTAGTTCTAAAAGTTTTTTTTGGTGGAGTCTTTAGGCTTTTCTTTCTTTTTAAAAAATTTTTTTCATTTCCACTTCAGGAGGCTTTTCTAAGTATATGATTATGTTATTTGTGAACAAGTCTAATTTGACTTCTTGCTTTCTAATCTGGATGTCCTTTATTTTTTTTCTCTGGACTAATTGCTCTGGCCTCCCCTTGCCAGTATTTTTAAATGTTCCTTTGTGTTTCTGGCCTTTTCTCTTATTCTTGAACCTATATACTTGAATCTTTCTAGATAATTCAATCAACATTTACAGAGCACCTATCTGCCAGATGTTGGGCTAAGATCTGGGAATCCCTTCAATGAACCATCAAAGAGAGGAGTTGGCAAACTTAGTGGACCAAGTATTTTAAGCTTTGGGAACTATGCTATTTCTGTCCCAACTACCCCACTCTGCTGTTGTCTGTGAAAGCACCCATAGACAATATGAAAACAAATAGGTGTGGCTGTGTTCCAATAAAATTTTATTAACAAAAGCAGGACATGGGTCCCTGATGGAGAAGATCACTGAGACTTTTAAAACAAACTAGAATGTAACATAAAGAGTGCTCTGTGTGGGTGTGGTGGTGCATGCCTGGGGTCCCAGCTACTCAGGAGGCTGATGTGGGAGAAGCATCTGAGCTCAAGAAGTCAAGGCAGCAGTGAGCCGATCATGCCACTGCACTCCAGCCTGGGTGATATAGCAAGATTCTGTCTCAAAAAACAAACAAAAAAACACACAGAAAAGGAGTGCTCTACACTAGCAGTACAAATGTGATGTGATAAGTAAACTATATTAGCAGTATGAATTACTTGCTATGAATGAATGCAGCATAAGGAATAATTCATTTTGCCTGAGGGAGCTGAATCAGTATTCCTTTAGAAGGTAACTTTTAGTATTTAAACAATTTCAGGAGGAAGAAATAATTTCAAAAGGAGAATTTCAAGTCGTGCAACAAAGGATGTGGGCATGAAATAACATGCCATGTTTGGGAAGTCTTGAGTTCTCCTTTTGTGGCTAAAACACAGCATATTTATAGAAAGATTTGGGGGAAAGTGATGCTGGAGCCAGACTGCAAAAGGCCCAGAGGAACTGGATTTTCGCTGTAGGTAGAGATTGGGACATAGCTCTGTTTAAAAATTAATTCTGGAGGTCCACACTACATGGAGGGCATTTTGGAGTGGGACAGAGTAGAGTTGGGGAAACAAGTTATAAATCTGTTTCCATTGTCTGGGTGAGAGAGGATAAGGGCTGGAACTGAGTTAGTAGCTATGGGATAGAGAAAAGACACAGTGGGAGGATGAATCGACAGGTTATAGTGACTGAATGATGGTTTCCAAAATTCTGGGAAGGTCAACTGGCTGGCTAGCATGCCAATTATTTAGCTCTCAGATTCGTTGCAGGCCCATTCCCTGCCCTTTCCCTGCTCTGCATCTTGGGGAAAAGACCCCTGCAAACTATGTTTCCTAGCTCGCTTGTCAACTGGCTCCTGGTTGGGAACAGCCAAAAAGGAGGTAGGAGAAGGAGAAGCCAAGGTGTCTCTTCCTGACTCCCTGCTCCAGTGTTATTACCAGCAGTGGCTGAGTCTCCTTTGTATGTTTAGCTGCTGTTGTGGTCTGAAGTTCCAACTCCTTTGGCTCAAGCAATCTCCCCACCTTAGCCTCCTAAAGTGCTGAGATTACAGGTGTGAGCCACCACATCCAGCCTCTACTGTCTTTTTTGATGGAAATCTTGCCATAATTTCAGACATATTTTTAGTTAAAACACTTAAAAATATCTTAGCTCTATTAAAGCAACTGTGAATATTTTTGCTAATGTACAGAGCCAAGTTTTGAAAGAAACCCAAGTAGGCCTTAAAAAAATTAAAAAGCATTAATCATCTGCTTCCCCCAACTCCCTGCCTTTTAAAAATTAGGTATTCTAAGAAAATTTATGTGAGCGTTTGGCACATTAGTTGCTCTTCTCTGTGCTCCCATATTTCTGTGTTCCTTCTTGTTCTTCCTCTGTTTGTTTGTTTGTTTGTTTGTTTGTTTGTTTATTTTGAGATGGATTCTCGCTCTTTCGCCCAGGCTGGAGTGCAGTAATCTCGGCTCACTGTAGCCTCAGTCTCCGGGGTTCAAGCGATTCTCCTGCCTCAACCTCTGGGGATGCTGGGATTACAAGTGCCTGCCACCACACCCAGCTAATTTTTGTATTTTTAGCAGAGACGGGGTTTCACTATGTTGGCCAGGCTGGTTTTGAACTCCTGACCACAAGTGATTTGCCCACCTCAGCCTCCCAAAATGCTAGGATTACAGGCATGAGCCACTGCACCTGGCCCATCTTCTTGTTTTTTAAAAATAGCATATTTCATTTAATTGTACCTCCATCTCTCGCATTAGACGTGAGCTCCTCTGGGTCTTACCTGTCTGGATTCGTCAGTGCCTGTGACAGTGCCTAGTGCAGAGTTGTTTATCAAAATTTGTTGAACGAATGAAATGTCATTTTCAGCTCCCAGCTGTTGCTTTGCTTTCAGCCTAATTATTTTTAATTCCTAAGAAGCACTAGCTCTTAATCAGATCAAATCTGCTCAGGATCACTTTTACTAAAAGAAGTGCAAATTAAAACTCTACTGAGATACCAATTTTTTTATCTGTCGCATCCTTGCTGGTGGTTATGTAAATTAATACCACTTCTAGGGAGGGCATTTTCACAATATCTATCAAGTTTCCATACCATTTGACCTAGCAATCCCTTTTCCAGTAATTTGATAGATATTCTCCCACATGTGTCAATGATATGTGTAAGAACATTCACTGTGGTATTTTTTGTGGTAGCAAAAGCCTGGAAATGACCTAAAGTCTATTAAATACTAGTTAAATACATAATAGTATTTCCATACAATAGACAATCTAGTCCAGAGGAAGAAGAACGAGGCAGATCCGTATGCACAGACGTGGGATGATTGCTAGAATACATTAAGTTAAAAAAACAAGATTCAAGATAGTGTATACAATATGCTGCCATGTATTATTACAAGATGAAAAGATAACATACTTGCATGTGTATACACAGCATCTCTGAATAGATTTATAAAACCCTAGTGATATTGGCTGCCTCTGCAACTAGGCAGATAGGTGACAGGGAGCTATGGTTTTGGTCACTCACAAAACAAAAAGTCCTATTTGACCCACTTGTTTAACTATTTACCATTTTCCCACTGCTCTTAGGATGAAGTCCAAAATCCTTATGGCCTGCAAGGTGCTTTGTGACAGAATCCTTGCCTACCTCTCCTGCCTCATCTTTAGTCCCTCTCTCTTTTGGCTTAATCTTCTTTAGTTTCTCAAAGGCCATTCTTTTCCCATCTCATGGCCTTTGCAGATGCTGTTCCTCTACCTGGAATTAGTGGTCCTTGAGACAGCAACTTTGAGGACACTTCCTCAAAGTGACTTTTCCTAATTGCCCGGAGTAGGCTAGTTCCCTGATAGATGCTCCTATGGCATCCCAAACTCCTTTTCCAGTAGCAGACACCACTGTTGCAGTCAATAAATTATTTGCTTGATGTCTGTTTCCCTTGCTAGGCTGCAAGCTGATATCTGTCTTGGTTGCCTGTGTACCTGTACCTAGCACAAAGCAGGCACTCAATAAACATTGTGGGAGGGAGAGAGGAAGAGAAGAAAGGAAGGGTGGAAAGAATGATGGTGGGAGGAAGGAAGTAGGGAAGATATCTAGCTGGTAAGGGAGAAGGGAGGGAAGGAAATAACTACCAAGACCTTAAAGCCCATTGTAAAGAGATAGCTCTGTGTGTGTTGTTCTTCATTAGTAATTAGTTTGTGGATTAGTATTCTCAGATTTACTTGAAAATTACATTGTTGGCCAGGTGCAGTGGCTCATGCCTGTAATCTCAGCACTTTTCAAGGCAGAGGTCGGCAGATTGTTTGAGTCCAGGAACTTGAGACCAGCTTAGGCAACATGACAAAACTCCATCTCTACTAATAATACAAAAATTAGCTGGGCATGGTGGCATGCACCTGCAGTCCCAGCTACTTGGGAGGCTGAAGTGGGAGGATTGCTTGAACCCAGGAAGGTCAAGGCTGCAGTGAACTGTGATCGTGCCACTGCACTCAAGTCTGGGTGACAGAATGAGACTCTGTCTCAAAAAAATAAAATTACTTTGTTAAGTCTGTGACCTTAGAATTTATACTTTACAGAAACTGGTATTTTGGGCTTGTTGTTTAGTGAAAAAATTAGTTAAGCCCAGTGGATTTTTGTTTTACTTTAGTTAAGAAATCATGTTATTCTATTTTTTTTAAGCCACTGAGAGACAGTAACTTTTCACAAAGAAAGCAATGATTTCTATTTCTTAGGAGTGGGAAGATGGTTCAGTATATACATGTTAGGACTTTGGGCTGTTTTTAATATTCTGCAATTTTTACATCAATGCTGCTATGTTTAAATATGAATCAGAAGGTCACAGGTTGTGTTTGGTATGAGATTCAAACTTCTCCCCCAGCTCCAAGGCCCTGAGTGAGCTGGCTGCTGCCCCTCTCTACTCCAGCCATGTTGGCTTCTCCAGCCAGGGGCGACAACTTGTCCCTCCAGACCCTGTCCCTTCTTATCTCTTCCTGGAATGCTCTGCTCATTTGGGTCAGCAACTCAGTAAGGGCTTTCCAGATCCTTCCTTCTAAAGTAGCTCTACTCAGGGACCAGACAGGATTTGTGGAAGTTGAAGCTTATATAAAAAAGAATACAAAATTATGAATATAAAAATTTATACAAAAGTGAGCACTTATTTAAAATAATAAATCTCAACATAGAACAAAATAAAAAAGCTGACAAATACCCCAACTACCTGAAAAACCATTAAAACAACATATATTTTTATTAATTAACTGCCTGACAGAATACTTTTTTACCTACAATTTTGGCTGCATTCTCTCTGATCACCTCTTCATATGAAAATGATTGTGTGGGCTGGGCGCGGTGGCTCACACCTGTAATCCCAGCACTTTGGGAGTCCGAGGCGGGCGGATCATGAGGTCAGGAGATCGAGACCACGGTGAAACCCCGTCTCTACTAAAAATACAAAAAAAATTAGCTGGGGGCATGGTGGCGGGTGCTTCTAGTCCCAGCTACTCCGGAGGCTGAGGCAGGAGAATGGCGTGAACCCAGGAGGCGGAGCTTGCAGTGAGCCGAGACTGCACCACTGCACACCAGCCTGGGCTACAGAGTGAGACTCCATCAAAAAAAAAGAAAAGAAAAAGATTGTGTGATATTTTCTATACAGCAATTAAAGAGATAATTCAGTCTTCAGCATATTATCATTGATTGGAAAGTGTTTGTTTTTGACAGACAGAATTTCACTATGTCAACCAGGCAGGAGCACAGTGGCTATTCACAGGCACAGTCATAGCTCACTAAAGCCTTGAACTCCTGGGCTCAAACAATCTTCCTGCCTTCACCTCCCCAGTAGCTGGGACTACGGGCTGTGCTACTGTGTCTGGCTGAAGGATGTGGTTTTTGTTTTTGTTTTGTTTTTTTACATTTTATTTTATTTTATTTTTTAGCGATGGGGTCTCATGGTTGCCCAGTCTGGTCTCGAACTCCTGGCTGCAAGCAATCCTCCTGCCTTGGCCTCCCAAAGTTGTTGGTATTACAGGTGTGAGACACCGCACTTGGGCTAAAAAGTGTTTTTGTGATTGATAGTTTAGAAAAGTTTCTTTGGTTTCATTACTCATTGTTGGTAATGTCATGTAAATTTTTAGGATTGTTGTAAAAATCTGAGAAATCTATTATGCTTTTTTCATATATGAGTTGTAAGACTTTAGAGTGTTTCAAGTGTGTTGGCTTTGGTTGTGTGGTGTGGTGTGTAGTGTGTGTAGGTGTGTCTGTATGGTGGGTGTGTCTGTGTGGTGTGTGTGTGGTATATGTGGTGTGTGATTCGGTGTGTGTGTGTGTGTGCATGGGGTATGTGTGGAGGCATGTACACATGTGCCTTCATCCTGGGGTGCAAATGTCCCTCCCGGGGCCGCAGAAGGGGCCTGTGCAGATAAAGAGCTGTGAAACTGCAGCTTCATTAGCTTCACAGGAGGTCCGTCTCTGTCTCCACTCCACAATTACTTGTTAGCACTCTGCCTGGTTTTCATTTTCCTCTGCACTTAACACATTCTGACTTTATTTTAGTGATGTGCTCGCCTGTTTACAGACTGCCTTCCCCGAACTGCTGGCAAGGAGTAGGGCCCTGGTCTCTGTGGTTCAAGCTGCATTCCTGGGGCCTCCCACTGTGCTCTGCCTAGGAGAGGGGCTCAATAATTTGTTGAGTGAGTGAGTGAATGAATTTTAGAGGGATTTAATGTCAAACTCTAGAATTTGTTCTTGAAATTTATGAATATTGATTTTTTCTAAGTGCCATTTTAATTAAACTTGATTGCATATAAAGTGCTATGAGCATTAATTGGACTAATGGGATAATTTTCTGAAATGGTAGGTTTTATCTGGTCTCGCAATGTGTTCATTTCTTTGACTAGAAGTTTGAAATAGTAAAGCCACAGATTCTTTAAGGTTTGTATGAACCTCAGATCTTTGATAACAGCAACTTTTAAATGTTTTTGCTCCCTTAGTCCTCCACATAATTTTAAAACAAAACAATTGACACCCTCACATATTTTCAAGTTATTCATTTTTTTAAAGTCATAAGTTTAAATATTTGCAAAGACAGAATTTCTTTTTTTCTTTCTTTCTTTTTTTTTTTTTTTTTGTTGAGATGGAGTCTCACTCTGTCGTCCAGGCTGGAGTGCAGTGGCCCAATCTTGGCTCACTGCAACCTCCGCCTCCAGGGTTCAAGTGATTCTCCTGCCTCAGCCTCCTGAGTAGCTGGGACTACAGGCACGTGCCACCACGCCCAGCTAATTTTTGTGTTTTTAGTAGAGATGGGGTTTCACCATGTTAGCCAGGATGGTCTCAAGCTCCTGACCTCCTGATCCGCCTGCCTCGGCCTCCCAAAGTGCTGGGATTGCAGGCATGAGCCACAGCGCCCGACCGCAAAGACAGAATTTCTAACAGTGTAAATCGATACTTAAAAAAATTATATTAAATATCAAATCAATTTGATTTCTGCTTTCATTCCTTTAAAAAACATATTAACGAGCTTATCTTTAACAATGGAAAATATTATAGTGTCCATTTTTTTTTTTTTGCCTTAATCCTGTTTTGTGTTGTTGTTGTTTTTTGAGATGGGGCCTCACTATATAACCCAGGCTGTGTGAGTAGCCGGAACTACAGGCATGAGTAACTGCTTCTGGCTAAACTTGTGTTTTCATTCCACTTCTCCTCCCACTCCCAATGTCATATATTTTTATGTCCAAATGTTTTCTAGGGGTAGACCTATGAAATTTTTCTACAACTGAAATATGTGTATACATTTAAATTTAAATGTTTGAAGTTTTTGATGCTGGGCGTGGTGGCTCACACCTGTAATCTCAGCACTTTGGGAGGCTGAGGCAGGAGGATCACTTGAGATCAGGAGTTTGAGACCAGCTTGGCCAACATGATGAAACCCCATCTCTACTAAAAATACAAAAATTAGCCAGAGTGGTGGCAGGCACCTATAGTCCCAGCTACTTGAGAGGCTGAGGCAAGTGAATCGTTTGAACCCAGCTGGCAGAGGTTGCAGTGAGCTGAGATCTTGCCACTGCACTCCAGCCTGGGCGACAGAGCAAGATGCCATCTTAAATGAATAAATACATGAAAAATTTTTGGTGATTGCAAGTCTCAAAGTGTTGAAAACTTCCTCTGGATTGAGTTATTATAATTATTAGTATATGGATGATCAAAAATATAAATATATGAAACATGTTTGTATGTAATTATAAAATGGACAGTAAAATTTTATTAGAAATACATTTTTTTTTTGAGACAGAGTTTCACTCTTGTTGCCAGGCTGGAGTGCAATGGCATGATCTCGGCTTACTGCAACCTCTGCCTCCCAGGTTCAAGTGATTCTCCTGCCCCAGCCTCCCGAGTAGCTGGGATTACAGGCATGCGCCACCACATCCGGCTAATTTTGTATTTTTAAGTAGAGGCGGGGTTTATTCATGTTGGTCAGGTTGGTCTGGAACTCCCGACCTCAGGTGATCTGCCGCCTCGGCCTCCCAAAGTGCTGGGCTTACAGGCATGAGCCACCATGCCCGGCCAGAAATACATTTCTTAATTAGATGGGTGGAACTATTTTTTCTTTTTTTCTTTTCTTTTTTTTTTTTTTTTTTTTTTGAGACCGAGTCTCACTCTATCGCCCAGGCTGGAGTGCAGTGGCGCCATCTCGGCTCACTGCAAGCTCTGCCTCCCGGGTTCACGCCATTCTCCTGCCTCAGCCTCCCGAGTAGCTGGGACTACAGGCGCCCGCCACCACGCCCAGCTAATTTTTTGTATTTTTAGTAGAGACGGGGTTTCACTATATTAGCCAGGATGGTCTCGATCTCCTGACCTTGTGATCCGCCCGCCTCGGCCTACCATAGTGCTGGGATTACAGGTGTGAGCCATTGCGCCCAGCGGAACTATTTTTTCAATTAACTTATGTATCCATGTTTGAATATTATTTGTTGTTAGAATGAAACGGTTTAGCATTGATTCTGTGCTTGCTTATTATAGATGTAAGTTCTGAGAAACCTTGTTCACAAAAATAAGCAGACGGGAAAGGAGTATTTTGTTATCATAACATTGCTCAATTCTCTGAACTCATGCCAAAGTTTACATCAGAAATAATTCAATGATATATCACCAAGAATTATAACTAATGCTCCATCAGCTAACATGTCCTGCTTCAATTATATTGAGAGCAAATAACTGGGAAAAACCTGACTTGCAAAAAGATTATTTAACCAGTCTGGGCAACCTAGTGAGACCCTGTCTCTACAAAGAAAATTTAAAAATTAGCATGGCATGGTTGTACATACCTGTAGTCCTAGCAACTAGGGAGGCTGGGTGAGAGGATTGCTTGAGCCTAAGAGTTCGAGGTTATAGTGAGCTATGATTGTGCCACTGCAACAGAACGAGACCACATCTAGAAAAAAGAAGATTTAATCAATCGTTAAAGTCATTCACTTTCTCAGCACCAGTATTTAGGATTCTGCCCGTGTGTGTTACCTCAGGGTTTTTACCTCTCAAGGCAATCCCAGGTTTTACATTGAGGTGCCATAGAAAGATTTGGGGTGAGTGGAAGGTGTTTTTTGTTTTGTTTTGTTTTTATTTTTTAAATGGTGGGAAGTGGTCCTTAAAGAAAAGGTGGGTGAGAAAACCCACACAACACCTGGACCATAGGTGTGTTTTCAGGCAGATTAATCGTAGGAAACAGTCCTTCCAAATGGAAATAGATTCCCTTTCAATAACCTCTGTCTGTGTACCCCAGAGGAGAGTCTTAGAGTCACACAGGCAGCTGGAAGGCTGTTCATTCCGAACCTATTTCAGAATCAGGTGTAGAGGGGCACGCACCACTAGCCCATCGCAGACCTGGAAAGGGACGTAAGCGTCCCTAGGTCACAAACCTTTCCTAGCCCTTCACTCTGATAGAAATTAGTGTTTTTCTTTAAAATATATAAATAAATGAAATGCTTAATTTCAATCAGCTTGTATAGCTCCAGTAACTTCAACCAAACTAAAATATGAATAATCTGCTGAGGGAGAGGAGTGCTAAGCTCTGGAATCATAATACACCCACTTCTAAATTCTGCAACATACTATTCAGACCTATTTAATCAGGTGCTTCAGGCCTGGCTTCTGTAGCAAGACTTTTACATGTGACCAACACAATATTTGCAAGCAATTGGCAAGATTGTAATTATTTACAATCACATCCACCAGAGCAAGTAGGTAACACATTGTTTTACACAAGCCAAAATTAAAATACAAATTTGGCAACTCAGTTTCCATTCATTTAGCAAATATTTATTGAATCTGCTATGTGCCAAGAATATATTGGCTCCTAGAGATTTTGAAATAAATTCTACACTAATTAGCTTCTTGCAGGAAGGTGTGCATATAGTGATTAAGAGCAGCAGACCAGGTGCGGTGGATCACGCCCGTAATCCCAGCACTTTAGGAGGCCGAGGCGGACAGATCACTTGAGGTCAGGAGTTCGTGACCAGCCTGGCCAACATGGTGAAACCCTGTCTCTACTAAAAATACAAAAATTAGCCAGGTATTACACGCTCCTGTAATCCCAGTAACTTGGGAGGCCGAGGCAGGATAATTGCTTGAACCCGGGAGGTGGAGGTTGCAGTGAGCCGGGACCTCACCATTGCACACCAGCCTGGGCAGCAAGAGTGAAACTCCATCTCAAAAAAACAAAAAGGAGCAGCAGATGCTGGGCCCACCTCTGGCTTCACTCTTGCTCTATCCTTCTGGTTTAGGTGGGTTCAGGCAAGTCTCAGTTTCCTCTTCTGGAAAATGTAAATAATAATACGTAGCCATTCTCTTGTTGTGAGGTTTGAGGAGATAGTCATGTAATAAGCACTCAGGAAATGGTAGTTATTATGACCATTATTTTTATTCCTCCTTCCACCCGAGCACCTGGCATAGTGTCTGCACATTGGAATAGACACTCAGTTAATGCTACTGAGTCAACAAATGAATGGACAAATGACAACAGCAACAAATATTTGAATGTGCCACTCCACTTGTAGACACATCGCATTGATAAATTGGGCACCATGACACATGCCTGTAATCTCAGTTACTTGGAAGGCTGAGGCCAGAGGATTCAGAGGATTGCTTGAACTTGGGAGCTTGAGACCAATCTGGGCAACATCTCAGCAATATCTTGTCTAAAAAAAAAAAAAGGAAAAAAGAAATTACGTTTTTGCCAAAACAGGTTATTCTCAAAAGTACGGGTTTATTTACAACATTTAGGCCACTCTAATGCTAAATATCTTTAAAAATATTTCTTCCTTCCTTTTACTATTCAATGGAGTCATAGGTCTTACTTCCAGAAAGCTTTCTGTGTATTCAAACATTTTCCCATCTCTTTCATTAGCAGAATCTGTCATGTAAGATTTATTGTAGATTTTTAAAAAATTATACAAAATAGTTCCAGGAAATCCAAAAGTTTCCTAGAAACATAATGATCTAGCAAGAAAAATATTTTAATATGCACTTTACACTGACTTGGATCCTATTTTTTGCTCTTAATCATTAAGTAGGGTTATTACAATTTGGAAACATAAATAAAGCTGAGGAACTGGAGAGCAGGCTTGTTAATCACTCTACCTGGTTTTATGGATCCAGTCCTGAGTGTGCTTAAGGAAACAGTTTAAAATTTTGCTCAAAATAAATGTCATTAGGGCTGGGTGCGGTGGTTCACACCTGTAATGCCAGCACTTTGAGAGGCCAAGGTGGGTGGATCACTTGAGGTCAGGAGTTCGAGACTAGCCTAACCAAAATGGTGAAACCCCATCTCTACTAAAAATACAAAAATTAGCTGGGTGTGGTGGCACACGTCTGTAATCCCCAGCCACTTGGGAGGCTGAGGCAGGAGAATTGCATGAACCCAGGAGGCGAAGGTTGCAGTGAGCTGAGATCATGCCACTGGACTCCAGCCTGGGCAACAGAGCAAAACTCTGTCTCAAAAAAAGGAAAAGAAAAAAAAAAGTCATTATTCCCGATTATACTTCCTTTCACATGCAAAAATATTTAAGCCATTCTTTAGGTTATGTTAATACTTTAGGTGATGTCATTACTTTCCATCTCTTATCCTGTTTGGAAACTTAAGCCCAGCTACTGAATTGCACAAGCAGTTGAAGAAAAGAATTAGGAATTTGTTTTGTTCTCTTTCCTAGTTCTGTTTTTCATTCTCTGCATGCCTACTCCTGCCCACAAATCCAAGGCTACAGCCTTTCTCTCTAAAACATATTTCTGCCTACACTGTACCCACTGGTTAATTTACACAGCTCTGATTCATCTTGACAGTCATATGTTTCCGACAGGTGAATACCTCTGGGCAGTCACCTGGAGACGGTTTTCTGTAATCATACAAGTTTCATGTTGTGCTGTGTACCACCCTTATTTTCCAGGCATAGATGTGACAGAATTCCCAATTCTTGTCCTATACCCTTAAGATATTTGTGCTTTTTTTCCCTGTTTCTTCTTATGTGTGTCTTGGCAATCATTTTTAGTTTTTCCAAGCTTTGCAATGTTCCTCCAGATAGTTTATTGACCCTGTGTTGTTTTTTTCTTTTAGCTTGTAATATAGTCATATGTCGCTCTAGTAATATATTAGTCAAAGATGATTTCTGTGGGGCCATATAAAGTATATAATAAATGGAGAAACCTGCAGATAAAAATGTGGAAGTTACAGGAGGAAATCTGTTAACCAAAAAGGAATAAGCTTGGGCTGGCTAAATTTACATAAGTGAAGGGTATCTTTCAGCTTCCCTTTCTTTGTCTTGCTTCTTTATTCCTTTCTACCTGCAGCATTACTTAGCTTCTCAGAAGCTCAGCATTCCCAATTTGTCCCAATTTCTGATCAGGAAGAAAAGAAACTCCTGGAAAACCACCTCTGAGGTGGCTGCCATACTTACCATCTCTCTGCCTGTCTTTTAAGCCTGACTCCCTCCTTCATGGGGTGGCTACCGGGTAGCCATTTTGACACTAGATAACCCAGCCCTGGCCATGGTGGATTGTACTAGGAGTGAACATCTGACCCAAAGTGACAATCAGATTCTTTCTCCACAAATCCTGATTCCATTTTAAACTTCAAGTTCATGTTTGATTTAAAGTTCTCCCTTTTCCTTCAGTACATACCAGGTTTGTAGCCTCGGTGACTGTGTGTGATTTTGTGTTTGTATGTGTGAGTGAGAGAGGGGTAGGGTGTGTGCTGTTCTCTCACAAGAGCCCACCCTTTTCCATCGTGTACCCTTCTAGCATGGGGAGAGGGAGGAGGGAAAAGGAAAAGATACCTCCTGAGGTGGAATTGCAGTCAGCATTGCTGTGGGGCTCATTGTCTCTGAGAGACAAGGATGGAAGCCCTAAAGGGAATCAAACCCAAAGAGTACCAGAGGTAGACCTTTGAGAGACTTAGATAGGTTGCAAACCAGAGGTAGACCTTTGAGAGACTTAGATAGGTTGCAAACCAGAGGTAGACCTTTGAGAGACTACCTCTGGTACTCTTTGGGTTTGATTCCCTTTAGGGCTTTAGGGCTTCCAGCTGGTGGAACCACCTTCTTCTAAGGCCAGAGCCTCTTTGCCTCATGCCGTGATGGCTTTGACAAGGCCATGGCCTCCAATCTCACATACTTTCCAGGATTCCAACTATGGGGCTTCTGGGGAGGAAGCAGCCTCGTGTTCTCTACTTTCAAGAAACTGGGAATTTGAGGGGGTGTTATCTGGCCCCTCTTTTTCTGATCATACCATTCCACTTTTGGCCTCAATGTTCCTTCTCCTGCTGGTAGCTCGAGGTAGATAGGCAAGAACAGTGTTCACAGGTCATGCAAGCAGGGACCAGGGGAAAGGCTTCCCTCTTCCCTGAAACCTGTAACCTTGGTTTGGTTCCGTTGAGTTCCTCTCCCTTAGTTTTGAAGAAGAGGCCCAATCCAGGGACTGGGGTCTCTTATCAAACCTTATCTTTGCCCCCAAAGGGGAAAGTTCTCCTTTAGACATTTTCATAATATTACCTGGCAAACCAGTCTAGTCTCTCCTGGAAGTACAGGAGTCTCTAGTTAGCAACTGGGCCCTCTTTATTTTAGCTCTGAGAATTTCATAATTTTTTCTCAATGCAGAACTAACTGCACTATTCTGGTAACAATAGGGGTAGGACTAGCTCTCAATAAGGAGCTAGATGTCAATGTGTGTTGCAAAGGAATGATCTTGAATTGGTGGTATTCTTCAAATCCCACTATGTTAGTGCCTTATGTAAGACTCATTCTCATGAGAAAGCTAATGGTTTGGTGATTTTCCTCCATCAGAATTCAGCAGCTTCCTTATAGGAATAGAGAAAGTATGCAGCAGGATTGCTCCAAGGCTGAGGGGCTTTTGGGGAGTATGTGGCAGAGAAGAAAAGAATGAGGAAGTGAAGGTGCACTGGAAATTGGTTAAAGTGATGAACCATGGAATCTAGGTTGCAGGGCACTGAGTGGTTCTCCACCGTGACTGCATGTTGGAATCAACTGGGGGGAGCCTTAAAAGCCCTGCTGATTGAGCCCTTCCCCCAGAGCATCTGACGTAATTGATTAAGCCAGCTTAGTCATCCTGAGTCATGAAAGCTCCCCAGGTGATTCTAATATTTAGCTAAGGTTGCAAACCAAAGCAGTACATCAGGAAAAGAAGTGAAGTTAGATTGGGGCTGATAGATTGAAAAAAGAATGAAAGGCGAAGGGATTGGGGATCCCGGATGTAGTAGGACTCATTGAGGCCTGGATTCAGGAGGGAGGCTGCCTCTGAGAGTGGGATTTCAGGGTGGAAGGTCATTATGAATTTCAGGTGTGGCTTAGCAGGGAGTGGGGGCAGTTGAGGTGAGCTGGGAGGGAGACAAAGTGGCTGCTAAGACAGCTTCAGACTGGGTCACCTTCGTGGGTGTTTGGAGTTCTCTGGGATTGATGGCTGGGGTTGATAGAATTCGTAAGGAGGTGTTCAAGCTTTTGCTGACTGTGGTGGAGAGACATGGAGGCAGAAGGTTGAAAGAACAAGGACAGGAAGAAGGTGGGCTATTGTTAAGAGATGATCCTCAGAGAAGAGGCTTTTGATGGGGTGGTGCAGGGGGTGGAAGAGGAATGGTTGGAAGTTGCAGTGGGAGCATGGAAGAGCTGCAGCCAACTCCTTTGCCTGTGGGGAGTTTTGGAGAAGGTAAGAAAATGAGCAGTCTGCCATAAAACAGAGCCATAACAGAAGTGAGGTTCTGGAAAATAGAGGTACTCTTTAATATTATTATTTTCTTTTATTATTATTTTGAGACAAGGTCTTGCTCAGTCACCCAAGCTGGAGTACAGTGGCTCAATCTTGGCTCACTGTGACTTCTGCCTCCCAGGCTTAAGCAGTCCTCCCACCTCAGCCTCCTGAGTAGCCGGGACTACAGGCACATACCACCACACCCAACAATTTCAAATTTTTAAATTTTTTTTTGGTAAAGACAGTGTTTCACCATGTTTCCCAGGCTGGTCTTGAACTGCTGGACTCAAGTGATCCACCCATCTTGGCCTCCCAGAATGCTGGGATTACAGGCATGAGCTGCTGTGCCTGGCTATTATTTTAAATTGAGTCATAATTGTACATATTTATGGTGTACAGTGTGATATTTTGATACATATATGCAATGCATAATGATCAAATCAGGTAATTAATATACCCATCACCTCAAACATTTATTATTTCTTTGTGTTGGGAATATTCAAAATCTGCCCTTTTAGCTATGTGAAAATATGTAATAAATTGTTTCTTCAATATTACTGAGGTTTGGTCTCCAGATGGTTGAGGATTTCTGTGTAAACATTTTTCAGAATAGAGTGAATAGATTATTTGGGATCCATGTCTTAGCCTATGGTGTTCAGGGGTCACAAACTGGCTGAATTCAGGCTCTGGTGTGTTTAGCTCACACCAGAGTTTGGGGAAAAAATAAATTTGAGTATTTTTTATGCAGAGCCTGCTGTTTCCGGTTTATGCAGCTCCACCTTTGGGTTGAAAACTGAGCTGTTTCATACATCTATATTACTTACTTGCCTCCAAGACTTTTGTTTCCTTAATATTTTATTATGAAAAATTTCAAGATACAAAAGTTGAGAGAATGGTATAATGAATCACCATATCCCATTACCCAGACCTGAAGACTTCTGATGTTGGGACTCCTGGGGAGATAAAAAACAGTAGTGCATTCTGGAATCTTCACAGAAAGGGCAAGATATTTTAAAAAGGAAAGAAAGAAAAAAGAGCAGTGCAGGCCGGGCACGATTGTTCACGCCTATAATCCCAGCACTTTGAGAGGCTGAGGTGGGTGGATCATCTGAGGTCAGAAGTTCAAGACCAGCCTGGTCAACATAGTGAAACCCCATCTCTACTAAAAATACAAAAAATTAGCTGGGCATGGTGGCGGGTGCCTGTAACCCCAACTATGTGGGAGGCTGAGGCAGGAGAATCACTTGAACCCGGGAGGCGGAGGTTGCAGTGAGCTGAGATCACGCCACTGCACTCCAGCCTGGGCAAGAAGAGCGAAACTCTGTCCAAAAAAAAAAAAAGGCAGTGCAAACCATTTTTTTGCAGAAGCTTTTCCCCTAATGTGGAACGTGGAATGCCTTGCTCTCACACCCACCTTGACTTTCTAGTCACTTTTTTTTTTTTCCTTTTTCTGAGACGGAGTTTTGCTTTGGTTGCCCAGGCTGGAGTGCGGTGGCATGATTTCGGCTCACTGCAACCTCTGCCTCCCAGGTTCAAGCGATTCTCTTGCCTCAGCCTCCCAAGCAGCTGGGATTACAGGTGCCCGCCACCACACCCAGCTAATTTTTGTATTTTTAGTAGAGATGGGGTTTCACCATGTTGGCCAGGCTGATCTCAAACTCCTGACCTCCAGTGATCCACCTGCCTCAGCCTCCCAAAGTCCTGGGATTACAGGCATGAGCCACTGAGCCTGGCCACTAGTCTTTCTTTATGTCTCTATAGGAGCATTATCTTTTTATTCATTTTTCCACATAATCATTCAATAAATATTATTAAGTCCCTTGTGTGTGTCAAGCCCTCTCTTGTAGGCACTGGAGTTGGGACAATAAGTAAGAAAAACAAGGTTCCTGTCCTCTTAGGACTTATAGCACAGGGAGGAAGAGATAGAATGTATACAATAATTAAATAACCAAATAGATCATGTGAAGTGCTATGAAGAACAAAAGTACCTGGTGCGGTGGCTCATGCCTGTAATCCAGTCACTTTGGGAGGCCAGGGTGGGCAGATCACATAAGGCCAGGAGTTTGAACCAGCCTGGCTAACATGGCAAAACTCTGTCTCTACTAAAAACACAAAAAAATTTTAGCTGAGCATGGTGGTGCGTGCCTGTAATTCCAGCCACTTGGGTGGCTGAGGCATGATAATCACTTGAATTCAGGAGCCAGAGGTTGCAGTGAGCCAAGATTGTACCACTGCACTCCAGCCTGAGTGACAGAGCGAGACCCTGTCTCAAAAAGGGAACAACAACAATAACAACAAAACTAAAGCAAGGCTACTTGACAGAGTAACCAATCAAGGTTTAGGGGTTGAGGGGATCGGGGTGGATGGAGAACTTTAGGTATTCAAGAGGGCCTCCCTGAAAGGGTGACACTTGATCTGAGACATGAATAACAGGAAGGTACCACCACTTGAAGATCAGGAGGCAGAGGGAACAACCAGTGCCAAGGCTCTGAGGTAGGAATGAGCTTAGGGGGTCTGAAGAACAGAAAGAGGTGAGCAGAATGGAAGTGTTTCTCTGGGCTTCCTCAGGGCACCGCAGCCCTCACTATGCTGGTGTAAGCAGCTTTTCTCTGTGCCTTCACAGCATCATTTGTGGCATTTATGGTCTTAGTCTGTTTGGGTTGCTATAATGGAATACCTGAGACTGGGTAATTTATAAATAAAAGAGGTTTATTTGGCTCGTGATTCTGGTGGCTGGGAAGTCCAAGATCAGGCAGCTCATCTGGTGAGAGTCTCCTGCTGCTTCAACTACTGGCAGAAAGCAGAAGCAGGATGTGCAAAGAGACACATAGGAGAAGCTGGGCTCACTTATAACAACTTGCTTTCTTGGGAACTAATCCATTCCCATGAAACCGAGAACTCACTCACTCCCACCAGAAGGCATTAATCTATTTATGACAGATCTGCCTCCATGACCATATACCATCACTAGACCCTACCTCCCACGACCGCTGCACTGGCAATTAAACTTCAACATGGGTTTTGGTGGGAGCAAACCACATCCAAATCATAGTGTCTATTAGAGCACTTAAGTCCTTTAGTGAGGGCTTGTCTCCCTCACTGATCCAGGAACTGACAAGTGGCATCTTTGTACCTCTCAGCCCTTAAGTCCAGTGTCAGGCCTCATATAAGGTGCTCAAATATGTGAAGCATAAATATGTGCATGTAGGAATGAAGAGAATGGGAGTGTAGGTTCAAATTTGGAAGTAAGCCAACCACAAACATTTTCAGCTCCTAATAGTCTGATGTCTGAGAAAAAATAATGAAATGTTTCTGTAATTTTCAAGTTTTCTTCTTTCTAGCAAGGGTCTCCCAAATATGCATTCATGTTTTTTCATTCATCAAATATTTACTGAGCTCTTACTATACCCAAGGCATTATTCTAGGCACTCAGGTATGGAAGTGAACAAAGTCAAGTTCCTGCCTTTGAGGAGCTTATATTCTAATGTTGTGGGGAAACAATGAATGAATGAGTGAATGAATAAAATATGACCAAAAATGCACAGCAGGTGGTAACAATCACTATGGAGAAGAATAAGCACCCCAATGAAGATAGAGGATATAGAAGAGGGGTGTGTTGCTATTTCACATAGGGCAGTCAAGGAAAATGAGCCATTTTTTGTCCTCTGGGAATCACATGCTGAGAAGGACATAGAAGTGCAAGATTTTGCTGGAGGGGCAGTGGAAATACTAGTGAAAATTAAAGGTAGAAGGCACAGGAGTAGGCAGAGACACCCTTCAGACTGCAGTGCAGTCTGACACTTTTGAAAAGAGAGGAAGAGGAGATAGGACTGGGCAGAAGTAGAAGCTGAACTGCAATGCAGGTCAAAAAATGCCTAGGCCAATCTGGTGGTGAGTTCTGGAGAGAATATCTCCTGTCAGAGTTGCCGCTAGTCAGGCCAGAATGCCAGGGTTTTATGCCCTTGCTTTGCTCAGGCATCAGATGCAGGCTGGCCTGGGAAGGATGTGACTTTGAACAAAGGGTCTGCAGCTTTGACATTGAAGGGGATGGCAGCTGGGGGCTGCAGTCACATAACCCACAGATGGGCAGCCTGTCCTTCCTTGAAGGGACATCTGAGTGCATGACTCAAGATCTGTGACACAAGGCAACTGCAAAGTTTTGAAATGATGACTGACATGATATGACTTAGTTCTTAAAAGAATCATTCAGGACACTCTATGGAGAATAGATCTGAGGGAGACTAGGGAGGAATTAAGGGAACTTGTAGAGAAATTTATTGTGAAATATTCTAGGTGAGAGATGATGGCAGCTTAGTCCATTACTCCCTAGGAAATAAGGAGGAGGAAGTGGAACGCAGTCAAATTTGGATGCATTTTGTAGGTAGATCTGACAGGCTTTGCTGATGTATTGAATGTGAGTATAAGAGGAAGAGAAAAGTCTAGGATGACTTCAAGATTTTGGCTTGAGCAACTAGAAGAGTAGAACTTCCATTTTCAAATATGAAAGATCCTGTGGGAGAGACAAGTTTAAGTGGGCAAGGGAAGATCAGGACCTTGTTTTCAGAGTCCAACTGGGCTGCTCCTTGGGTGTGGAGAGCTCTGGGAAAATATTTTTATGGAGCACCTACATATATATATATATATATAAAATTAGATTTTAAAATATATTTTTAAAGGTATTTGATTTAAAAACATATCTAAACATTCATGGGCCTGTGTGAGGTATAGTGAGTGACATGTTCATGAGGATTTAGAATAATGGGTTGAGAAGAGGTAACTGCTTGTTGTCCAATTAGTGCACATAAAGATTCTTCATAGTATCCAGACACCATCTGTCCCTATTGAGGAACAGGGACAATCTCTTGTTCTTTATTGTCACATGTGATACTTTCATATCTCCCATTGTGAGAAAAACATAGCAATGCCATTATTACTGACAATGCCATGCTTCTTTGGAAACTGTATTGAGACAATATGGATCTTGTTTCTGTAGCTCCCCAACACCATTTGTTTAATACTGGTTATATCATTACTCCTGGTGGTACATTAAGCATCAATGGATGCTTCTGAAAACTGGCATCCATTAAATGACTCTCTGTGAGGTGGTTACTGTGCTTTGTTGATGATGACCACAACTGCAAGTCTTACCAAGAATATATGGGAACAGGCTGGGCACAGTGGCTCATGCCTGTAATCCCAGGACTTTGGGAGACAGAGGTGAGCTGATCACTTGAGCCCAGAGTTTGAGAACAGTTTGGGCAACATGGTGAATCCCCATCACTACAAAAATACAAAAATCATCCCAGCTTGGTTGTGTGCACTTGTAGTCCCAGCTACTTGGGAAGCTGAGATGGGAGGATTGCTTGAACTCATACTACTGCACTCCAGCCTGGGTGACAGAACGACTGTCTCAAACTAACATATATATCTATATCTATACCAATATATATATTCATATACATATTCATATATATTCATATACATATTCATATATATTCGTATATATACATATATTCATATATATTCATATATATTCACATATATATTCATATATATTCACATATATATTCATATATATATTCACATATAGATTCACATATATATTCACATATAGATTCACATATATATTCACATATAGATTCACATATAGATTCACATATATATTCACATATATATTCACATATATATTCTCATATATATTCACATATATATACACATATATTCATATATATATTCGTATATATATTCACATATATTCGTATATATATTCACATATATTCGTATATATATTCGTATATATATTCGTATATGTATATTCGTATATATATTCGTATGTATATTCATATATATTCGTATGTATATTCATGTATATTCGTATGTATATTCATGTATATTCGTATGTATATTCATATGTATATTCGTATATATGTATATTCATATGTATATTCATATATGTATATTCATATATATTCATATATTCATATATATTCGTATATATATTCTTATATATATTCATATATATATTCATATATATTCATATATATTCATTTATATTCATATATTCATATATATTCATATATATTCACATATATTCACATATATTCATATATATTCACATATATTCATATATATTCACATATATTCGTATATATTCACATATATTCGTATATATTCGTATATATTCGTATATATTCATATATATATTCGTATATATTCATATATATATTCGTATATATTCATATATATATTCGTATATGTATTCGTATATATATATTCGTATATGTATTCGTATATGTATTCGTATATATATATTCGTATATGTATTCGTATATATATATTCGTATATGTATTCGTGTATATATATTCGTATATATTCGTTTATATATTCGTATATATATTCGTATATATTCATATATATATTCGTATATAATATATATATTCATATATGTATATTCATATATATATTCATATGTATATTCATATATATTCATATATATGAATATATATTCATATATATATATATATATATACATGAAGTGTCAATAATTCATTTTATGTTAGATTCTTGTTTACGCTTGAGTGCTGCAGACCATAGGTATTGCTGCAGTCAGAACCCTCACAGGTGAGAGCCAATGAAGGCCTACGTTCACTGCTCAAGGCAAGGGGCAAAGGTCCTGAACTTGTCCTGTGTCTGATGTGAGTCAGCCAAAATCAGAGTGTCAGCACCATACTGGGTAGCCCAATCTCACCAGATCTTGGGATAAAATACAGTTCCTGCCAGCAGAAGCCATCCTATCACCAGGGCTCCCTCCTGGAACCAGGACCAACATAAAGCCTTAGGCTTCTTAGGGCACTTGGTCACTCCAGGAGTGGGGTGGGTGTGAGGGACATGGTACGGGGATGTACAGGGTCACTGAACACTCAGAAGGAGACAAATGAGGACTGGGTCCCATGCTGACTGGTCCAGGCTTGGGGTTCCCTTCCTAGATGGCACAGCTGGCCCTGGCTGCTCTCAGCCACTGGAGGAGGATGTAAACAATTTTGAGGAAGGTGCCTCTGACAACCAGGATCCATGTGGGACCTGCTCCAGACCTGGGGCATCTGCCTGAATGGCCATGGGAAGTGGCTTGGGGCCTGAGGTACAGGGTCCGGGCCACGGACCGCTGGCTTGGGTCTACAGGCCAGGCTGATATCATGTGCCTGAATGCTGGGGAGTAGTCCAGGCTGGAGAGAGAAATCTGGGAGTCATCAAGCTGCTGAGAATGGCCTGATGGAAGGAAAAAAATCCTGAGGTGTCTAGCTCCCAAATTCCACTCTCCTATTCTCAAAATGTGAGAAGCCAGCTCTCTCCCTTCCTAGGTAGATGAAGGACTCTAAACCAAAAATTACTCACTTGATGATTTTTAGAATATTTAGCTTATGCAAATCTACAAAGAATTCTGAACCTTGAAAATAGAAACAGTTCATAATATGAAAAACCACAGACCCAAGTCTCCTTAGAAAACAGTACCTGTGGGGAGGAATGACATTTTCATTTTTCAGCACCAGGCTGAGTCTAGGGTAGTAACATTTTCCCTGCCCTCTGAACAGTGTTACTTGTTTTAGTCGGCTGTCTGTTTAGCCAGGGGAATAATTAATTAACAATTTCAGTCCGCTGGAAACATACCACCAAGTGGCATTCAGTAAATATTTATTGACAATGATGAGGCTATTATTTATTTATATCATCAAATCGCAAACAACTGTGGAGTTTTCCAGCAAGGCATTAGAAACTTGTTATCCTACAGTTGAGAAAATTGAAGGACAGAGAAGTGGGGTGATTTACCCAATGTTCTGCAGGGAGTTGGGGCAAAGCTAGGACTTGCACCCCAAAGTCTTGATTCTAAATGTCTTCCTTGCTTTTTCTGCTATGTGCCACTAGTGTTTTTGAGCCATAGGTGAATTCCACTAAGCTACCTCAGGTGTTTAGGACGTTAACTTTTGCAAAGAACAGTAAAATCTCATTAAGTCAGAATAATTGGAAGAATGACCAGGCTGACTTGAGAAAAAGTCTGAACTATTTAAAAAGATATTCAGCTTTTTCCTTTCAAGATCATGTAGTAAATTGGAACAAATAACCACAGAATGGGGCCAAGCAGAGGTCTTACTGAACCTGCCCAAAAGAACAAACTGGAATAATTTCTGAAGGGTACATTAACAGTTTGCATGCAAGTGATGACTGCTAAAGATAGTTCAGGCATTTAGAGAAATATCTTTTTATTAAAAATAAGTGAAATGTTTCCCTTAATACATTTCATGTAAGTATTTACATAGGAAACTTTCATAAATTTATTTATTTTTATTTTTATTTATTTATTTTTTTGAGATGGAGTTTCACTCTTGTTGCCCAAGCTAGAGTGCAGTGGTGCGATCTCGGCTCACTGCAACCTCCGCCTCCCAAGTTCAAGTGATTCTCCTGCCTCAGCCTCCCAAGTAGCTGGGATTACAGGCGCCTGCCACTACGCCCAGCTAAGTTTTGCGTTTTTAGTAGAGATGGGGTTTCACCATGTTGGCAGGCTAGTCTTGAACTCCTGACCTCAAGTGATCTGCCTGCCTTGGCCTCCCAAACTGCTGGGATTATAGGCGTGAGCCACCGTGCCCAGCCTGGAAGCTTTAATAAATTTAAATGTAAACATCTAACCATCTAACCACAAGTTAAAATGATCATGCGTTTGATTTCATGGCATATAAATTAACCTGTTTTTACTGTTTTGCTGTACATGACTTGTTTGGTATTATTCCTGTAACTCACAGCAGCATAAATGATGACATCTGTCTCTCTCATTTTCCATCATCTTAATTTTTCATCTATCCAATGCCAACAGAATGCCTCCAGCTGCTTGAAAACCGGAAGCATTTTCTGGCCATTCCTTTCTCTCACCACACTCCCACCAATTTTACCAAAGGATCCTACCCTTCCTGTTACCATTTTTGAGAATTCTTTGCATTTGCCTGCCTTTCATCATTTTCTGTTCAAACACTAAATATTCCTTCCTGAAGATGTTTAGAAATATTATACCTTGCTATCTCTAATTCTGTCGTTTAACATCCCACCAGGCATACTATTTCTGAAGCCGTTCATAAGTCCTATTTTTCTCTCTTGAAATTGACTTCTTCCTCCTTTGTTATCTAAGAGCCAGGGTCCTTGACCTGGCAGGTAACACGTGGGAGGTTCCAGACTGACTGAGTGGATGTTATTGACTATCAAGGAGGCTATTTGGGAGAACAGTCTATAAAGCCCTCAAGCCCTTCAGTGTGCTGAAGGCTGGAAAAAAAAAAACGTTTCTGGGGAAAATGGGGATCTAGTTGGAGATGCATAAAGCCTGCCTGCCTGCCTGCTCTCCTGCAGTCCCTCCCCGCCCTCCTTCCTCCCTCCCTGCCTCTCTCCTCCCTCCCTCCCTCTCTCCTTTCTTTCCTTCCCTCCCGTTCTCCCTCCCTTTTTCCCTCCCTTTCTCCCTTCCTTCCTCTTTTTTAATTCCTGACTCAAACTTGTTAAAGGCTTTTCTTGATGGGTGCGTTGTCCTGGATGTGATTCAAAGATCCACATGTCTTAAGAAAAAACTGACCAAAACTGTTAGAGCTTAGCCTGATGAAATAACTTAAGTTCAAACAAAATAAGGTTACTCATGCATTTCCTGCTGGCGACCTGCTGCCCCCATCTGGAGAAGTTGGGAACGGATGTTCTTGATTCATTCCTGCGCAGTTCTTGTTTCCTTTAGGGGTCTGCGTTGGCTTGGCTGTCTTATCCAAAGGTGGTTTGCTACAGTGTGTAGAAGTGTCAGAGTACAAACTGCAAACAGTTTATTTAGTGAGTTCATGTTTACTCTGAGTAACGCCAAAGACCTTTATTTTATTCCTGGCTGGAGGATGACTCCTTAGTTTTGTGGACCATCTGTTCTGGTACTGCCCCCCAGCTTCCCCAACCCTTCCTACAAAAGGCTAAGCTAAAGCCGTCTTTCTTGACAGCCTTGGAATAGTGAGAAGTGCTTCCTGACTTTGCATCCTGCCTTGGTAATCTTATCCTTAAAAGGATAGTTTGGACTTTTGATCTCTAAGGTCCCTCTGGTTCGGAGTCCATAAAAAATATTTACCAGTGAGAAATGTCTATTTAACATAAATCAACTCTTAGGTATTAAATGAGCTTTCTCTCTTAATGAACAAGATTTCTGGAAATAAAATGCACATGTTTGGAGGAGGGACTGAAATTTTAAAAACAATTTCAAAATATGAACTATACCACTAGGAGGCAGTGTTGACATATAATTTAATTCAAGAATGTCTTTACCATAGCTCCTTTTCAGAAAAATATTTTAAAAAACGATGGATATAAAAATGATTAAAGGTTATAATATTTTGGTGGCAACAAAACTCTGAAAAGAATATTAAAGGAACATGCATTTTACACAGTAATAGAACAGCAAGTCCAATAAAATGTCATCTGTGAGTGAAAGCTTTAAATACTGAGCTTGGTTTGAGAATATAAGAGAAATGATAGATAACAACTTTGCCAAAAAAAAAAACAAAAAACAAAAAACAAGTGGAGTTCACTCTTGTTTCCACTAGCCATATGCAGCCTCTGAAAGTTGTGCTGCTTTGGCTCTGTTTCTGTGCATTGAGGGATTAGGGGTGGATTATTAACTCTTAGTAACAAAATTCTAGCAATTTCTTTGCCTTTCCATTTATTTATTTATTTGACAGAGTCTCACTCTGTCTCCCAGGCTGGAGTGCAGTGGTGCAATCTCAGCTCACTGCAGCCTCTGCCTCCCAGGTTCAAGTGATTCTCATGCCTCAGCCTCCCGAATAGCTGGGACTACAGGTGTGTGCCACCACACCTGGCTAATTTTTGTATTTTTAGTAGAGACAGGGTTTCACCATGTTGGCCAAACTGGTCTTGAACTCCTATCCTCAAGTAATCCGTCCACCTCCCAAAGTGCTGGGATTACAGGCGTAAGCCACCACACCTGGCCTATTTTTGTTTTCTAGAATTCCCTGACTGGCTCTCCAGAAAGAGCCAGTAGGGCCTCTTTTCCTTTTAAATACTGCCACCTGCTCCTTTAAAATTCCAGCATACTTGTGAAGTAGGTTTTTCTTTTAAATAGGTGAAGAAATTGAGGTATAGAGGTTTCATGTAAGACTTAGCAAATTGTAGAACCAGGATAAGAATAAAATACAAGCAATATAGTCTCATTGCTCTTCTTTTTAATAGCTGAAAAGAATTACAATTTCAAAACAGCTCAAACAATTCAATAATGTTTAGAAAGCTGCATGACCTCTTTTCTAATACACTGAGGGTAGTCATGTTTCTTCTAATAGTCTTGTATCTTCAGGCTTGAGCTTTTGTAGGAGAGTAGATATTAAATTATCAGAGAAAAATATCATAGTTCTCAATCTAGGAAACCAGGCTAGAGTTTGGAGAATCTCTACTTTTTTCTTATTATATTTTTTAAAAGCTACCAACTAATACAAGCTCACTCTGCTCAGCCTTATGGCCCAGAGGCACTAGGTGGATCCAGTGTTGACTAGGATGGAGAGGGCTGAAATATCCATCTCTCCTCCCCTCCTCCCCATTGGTCTATGTCTTTTACTGGTAGAAAAGTGGGTCACGAAACAGAAGAACTCTGAGAGCAGGACTCTGGGTATTGGATATTTATTGATCAGGTCTCATATGACTGACCTACTTATAAGAATAAACTTAAACAGGATGGTCTCCTTAAGTGTCTTGTAGCAATATTTTTCAAACTGTGGATCCAAACCCAGTAGTGGGTCATAAAAATCCATTTGAAAAGTCTCAACTAGCATGTTTTATAAATGAAATAGAATGAAAAGGAATGGAACAGAAAATACTAGGATGGATCACACATTTAATTTCGACAGTAAGATGTGATGTGTTTTGCTGGGTCATTATATAAATTGTGTTTGTTACTAAGGGTCATGTTCAAAAGAACTTGGAAGCCCCTTTCCATAGCGCTTTATCTGTCCCTGGCTGGTTGCTGAGTCCTTTATGACAGTTCATGTCTCATCCTCTTTGCTAGCCTACCAACTTCTTCAAGTGGCATTAACATCTGAATTACTTTTCCTGTGCAGCAGTGATTTCCATAATACTTTTCACAGGGTGGGTGCTTAGTGAACCTGTTCAAGATTTACTTTGTACTTATTTTGCTCCTAAGAAAATTTCTAAAACATACTTTAAAATTATCAAGTGCTATTTGTAATTCTATTTTGTTCAGGTAATAGCAATAATATGTGTAGGATGGCATTCATGAAAGCACTGCTTTTTAACCCCCTTTTCCGTATTTGTAGGAACTGTGACCCAAACACCTAGAAATTCATCAAAAATAGCTTCTATCGAGGCTACTGTGATTTGAATTTTTGTTTTTCAAAGAGCTCTTTCAGCTGCTGCTCAGTTGTGGCTTCTTTCTGCTGCATCAGCTCGGCTGTTCCTTTGGTCACTCCCCAGCCATCTGGCTTTGACATTGAAGGGTTGTATGGCCGGCCTGAGGCTATCCGAAGATTCTCCCAGTATTCCTTCCTGGCCCTGTGTGAACAAAACACATGACACCAGACAACAGACTCCTCCCCTAGCTTTGGTCTTTATATCATGGAACCATTTAAAAATTATATAATATTTTAAATAATTTCACGCAGCACACAAAGTTGCCTATCAGACATTAAAAAGCAAAGGTGTCAATCTCAGCCACCTGTGTGGGCAGTCTGTGGTTGTTTGGCTTCACCATGATTCCTGACTACGAATTTATATGCTACTGATAAACAATCATTTGCTTACACTTATCCACACATTAATACTTAACAGGAAAAGTATGACATACCATTAACACAGTGAAAAAATCATGTGCTCAGGGTAACTAAGCAGCACAGTAGCATCACTAGAATACCCGTGTCAGCTGCTGAACAGCAACAACCATCAGCAACAGGCTTTGTCTCCATCCATGATGCTGTGTTTTGATTAAAAGGTTACTGTACACTGTATTTTACTTTTGTAGATGAGAAGAAACATCAGAAGCAGTTGAGGGACTGGGAAGCGGTCCATTCTGCTGGAAGGCTTTTTACAGTGTTTCCTCCAGAGGCATCTGCCTCATTAACAATGGTTTTTGTCATAGAAGGTGCCCTTTGATGTAAAAACTGATGTGATTTCTTGTTCTGTTATGAGTGCACATTGAGGGAGCCATCTTTGGATTCTCAGAGTGCATCCATTAAAACACACATTAATCTGGACTAAAAATTCCACCCCCTCCCCTCAATCTGTAAGTCTAAAGTTACTTTGAATTTCTTTTTTGAGACAGGGTCTTACTCTGTCACCCTGTCTGGAGTGCAGTGGTACGATCTTGGCTCACTGCAACCCCCGCCTCCCAGGTTCAAGTGATTCTTCTGCCTCAGCCTTTTGAGTAGCTGGGATTATAGGCCTATGCCACCACATAGGTACAAAATTAGTACAGCTAATTTTTGTACTTTTTGTAGAGACAGGGTTTCGCCATGTTGCCCAGGCTGGTCTCAAACTCCTGAGCTCAAGTGATTCGCCTGCCTCAGCTTCCCAAAGTGCTGGGATTACAGGTGTGAGTCACTATGCCCACCTTGAATTTCTTCTTTTAATATATGTACAGGGAAAATTTGGGATAGGAGTACTGTCTATTCCACTTACACTACCTGTCCTTCCTCACATCCTCATGAGCCAGCTGAGTTCACCTTGGTTATTCTTCCCCAAACCCTGGATAACTTCTGCACCTCTCACTCTGCAGGCTCCACTTCTGCCCTTCTATTTCCTTTGCTTCCTTCTAGCTCAGGCCTCAACCTGTCTGCTGTCCCTCCTAGCAAGTCTTCCTCACATGGCGATTACAACTTGCTAACTTGCTAATCTAACCTTGCCCTGGGCTACCTGAGACCACCCAGGCTCCTCTTTGCCTTTGGGATGGGGTCCTACATAACTCCTGAGCATGAATAAAGAGGCTGCCTCCTCCTCCTGGGAGGTGTCTTTCACCAAATTCTGTCTCTGCTATTCTCAAACTTCCAGTTTCTCAATGTGTCATTCTCTTTCCACTTCTCAGTGCTTTCCTGAGGGCTGTTCCTCTAGCAATGTAATTCCTCTCGCAGAATTCAACTCAGGCATCAGCTTTCTTAGAAATCCTTCATTCACCCTCTCTCTGCCTTTTGCCCCTTGGGACATTAGCTCAGACCCTGCACACCTATGCACATCTTCATCCTTGGACTTACTATACTCATTGGACATTACCTGCTTATCGTTCTGCCTGCTAGATTGCTAGCTCCTTGTTTAGCTTGCTACCTCAGCATCCACAACAGCATCTGACAGATAGCTGTGCTCTGTTAATAGCTGCTGAACAGAGTGGAACTGCTACCTCTCCTTGGAGCACCTGTCCTCCACCCGCTTCCTAGTTCTCTATATGGTAGGAGCCTATTGAGCCTTCAAAATCCAGCCCCAAAACCCTTCTTTTAAAATATCT
Organism: Homo sapiens; assembly: GCF_000001405.40. Classification (NCBI taxonomy): domain Eukaryota; kingdom Metazoa; phylum Chordata; class Mammalia; order Primates; family Hominidae; genus Homo; species Homo sapiens. The sequence goes on along the minus strand of NC_000005.10, from coordinate 79,128,993 downwards.
TTCTGTTAGGCAGAGATAGTCATTCTCTTCTCTTGTTACTTTTCTATCCATACATCTACTAAAGCAGCTACCACAGTATAATACATTGGCTTTCGTATTCTTTTACCCAGTAGACTGTGAGTCTCTAATCCACGGCTTCTCATTTCTATATTCCTACTGCCCTTCCCAGTGCCTGACATACATTTTTTTTTACTAGTGTATTATTCATCTTCCCCATTGGAATGTAAACTCTGAGGGCAAAGACCTTGCCTGTCTTATTTGCCACCGTATTCCCAGCTCTGAAAATCATGCTTGATATAGAACAATCAGTATTAGCTATACTTAAGTGGTCCTTAACTCTTAAAAATCAATGCAATTTAAGAGTATTGTGCACCACACTAATGGTGCTTTACTAGAGCACAAAATCACATTTCATTGCCACTTACGTTTATTTACATGCTATATTCTTTTTTTTTTTTTTTTTTAAAACAGGGTCTCACTCTGTTGCCCAAACTGGAGTGCAGTGGCGTGATCTTGGCTCACTGCAACCTCTGCCTCCCGGGTTCAAGCAATTCTTGTGCCTCAGCCTCCCAAGTAGCTGTGATTACAGGCATGCACCACTATGCCCAGCTAATTTTTTTTTTTTTTGTATTTTTAGTAGAGATGGAGTTTTGCCATCTTGCCCATGCTGGTCTCAAACTCCCGAGATCAAGTAATCCTCCTACCTTGGCCTCCCAAAGTGCTGGGATTACAGGCGCGAGCCACCGCACCCAGCCTATATTTAAAAACAATTTTTAAAAAAATTTTTCTTTTTCTTTTCAAAATCCAAAATCAGGTCAAATACGTTCTATATTCTTAAAACAATCTCCAGAAATCACCTAATAAGGATGCTTTGTAAACATCTCTGGGAGAGAATTTGGGGATGACTGATTCTTCATCATCACACAACAAATTTGCTGCAGTCTTCTAAATGGCCTCACTTGAACATATTCATAATCTAAATTAGTTTGGGTTAGTAAAAAGATGCTTACCTTGCTCTAACCCAGGGTTTGGTGTGCATGTCCAAACCACTTCCCCAGCTGCCATGTTTTTCTGAAGCTGGTGGCAAAAAGCCCCTTTCTGGGGCCAGCTCCTCTGCAATTGCCCTGATGTGGTAGGGCTCAAATCCACAGCACCCGCCAATGTACCTGACCCCCAGGTTGTAGGCCTCTCTGGCGTATTTTTGAATATCCCATCTGGTGGCAACTCTGGGTTCCAGTCCTGTAATAAGTGGCATTATGCCATTAGGCATTATACATTCTTTTCATAAAAATTCAAGATAAGTAGCTACAAGTATGTAATTTTCAATAAATGAATTGTTTTCAATATTCAATTTTTACATTTAAGAAAAAACTTTGCTACTTTGTGTTGTATGTTCACTTTTACATGCTGTGGTATCCAGCCTTCAGGAGGTTCCAAATGACCCCTGCCCTTTGATGTTTTTCTTCTTGTGCAGTCCCCTCTTGCATTATAACAGGGCTGGTCTGTGAGATCCATAGAATATGGCAGAACTGGCATGTGACTTCAGAGTCTAGGCTATACAAAACATCATGGTTTCTGCCTTGCACTTTCTTGGAGCACTCACCCTGGGGAAAGCCAGCTGCCATGTTGCAAGCATCACATGTTTCAAGCATGTTTTCTAGCATCACAGTGAAAAGGCCCATGAGCTGAGGAACTGAGGCCCCCAGTCAACAGACAGCAAGAAACTGACACTAACTCCCAAAAACCAATTAAGTGAGCTAGGAAGTAGATCCCCCAGCTCCCAACAGGCCTTCAGGTGATAATAGCCCTGGCAAATATCCGGACTCCAACCTCTTAGGAGACCCTGAACCAAAACCACCTAGTTATGCTATCCCTGAATTCTTGACCTGGAGAAACTGTGAGATAAGAAGTGGTTTTTCAAGCCACTACATTTTGCATTAATTTAATGTGTTATACAGCAGTAAGTAACACAAATGCCTTGCCTTTCTTCCTCTGTGGCTCCTCCAGAGTGATTGTATTTTATAATATCTTACTTGTCTAAGGGTCCCTATAAAATATAGGATAGGGTGTAAAGACCTTAGAAGGAAATAGGAGGCTGGGCATGCTCTGCCCCTGCTGACCACTCTGGCTTAATTTGTGAGATCAACCCACCCGCTCTTCCCAATCATGCTGGGAAAGTTTTTCCTTCTGCCTGGACTGCAAGTATCCCCTCACTTCATCTGCTTGGTCTCTTCATTAAAACTTGTTATACAGTCACTCGATGATGGTATCTTGCCTGCAATCCCAAAACTCTGGAGTAGCTGAGCCATATTAAAAATTGGAGAAAAGGACCTTAGAGATAACTGGTCTGATCTTATTTTCCCAATAAAGAATTTGAGAGCTAGAGGAATTTAAAGATTTTCCTAAGGTGACAGGACTTAGCAACAGAGCTGGAACTAGAACTAAATATCTGTTGATTCTCCCATGAAGGGCATCCTCACCAACCCCAAAGTATGACTCACTAGTTGTCTGTTTAGATGCTGATTCACCTTAGATTTTATATTTAAATTCAGAGATCTTTTTTGCTAGCTGGGACCATCCTTTCCTTCTGCTCTTCTCTAATACGAAGGGGCTTTTGGCTGCAGGGACAGAAACCAGGGACAAGACATGAGGAGACACCAAGCCATCTCTTCACTATGACAAAAGATCTCTGGGTATAGATTTACTTGAGTTTATATGCATATCAAATGAAGATATTGAGATGATTCATCAAATGTTGGTCTTACCAAATGGGAATTCTGGGAGATCGATGAATCCCTGCTTGTTGCAGTCAGGAGTGTGGTAAGCCAAGGGCTGGCTCATCAGGTGAGCTTTCAGTCGGGCAGCCTCCAAGCCCTCCTTCATGAGCTTCACTGTTTTTAAACTAATGGTGGGGTCAAAGTGGCAGTTCACACCAATGATGGATGCTCCTGTGAGTGGGAAGAACATGATAGACTTAGGGATGCACCAGAAACCAGCAGGGCCAGCTCTCCTCTCTTCATCAGGAATCAGGAAGTTCTTTTTTCATTTTTTGAGACACAATCTCACTCTGTTGCCCAGGCTGGAGTGCAGTAGCGTGATCTCAGCTCACTGCAGTCTCCACCTCAAGTGATCAAGCAATCCTCCCACCTCAGCCTCCCAAGTTGCTGTGACTACAAGTGTGTGCCACCACGTCTGGCTAATTTTTGTTTGTTTGTTTGTTTTTTTATAGATATGGGGTTTCGCCATGTTGCCCAGGCTGGTCTCGAACTCCTGAGCTCAAGTGATCCAACAGCTTCCCAGACTGCTGGGATTACAGGCATGAGCCACCACACCCAGCAGGAAGCTTTTAATTGGAATGATGAACTGGAAGCATAGCATTAGGTCCTCATTCCCCACAAACCTCTTACCTTTGAGTGAGAATGATTACTAGCAGGCAGGAAGTGCTTTCTGTGAAAGTGCTTTGAAGAGTCTGGTATAATTGAAGTGTAATTTGTGCACATTTGGCTGTCCATCTCTTTTTTTTTTTTTTTTTTTCTGAGACACAGACTCTTGCTCTGTTGCCCAGGCTGGAGTGCAGTGGCACGATCTCAGCTCACCACAGCCTCTGCTTCCTGGGTTCAAGTGATTCTCCTGCCTCAGCCTCCTGAGTAGCTGGGACTATAGGCGCACACCACCACGACAGGCTAATTTTTGTGTTTTTAGTGGAGACAGGGTTTCACCATGTTGGCCAGGATGGTCTCCATCTCCTGACCTTGTGATCCGCCCAGCTCAGCCTCACAAAGTGCTGGGATTACAGGTGTGAGCCACCATGCCCAGCCCTATCCATCTTTTTTCAAAAAAAAATTATTAGAATTTTTTTAAACTTCAAATTTTAGTAGTCAAACTTTCAACGTTGGACATTATGTTGCAAGCACAATAATTTTTCAACACTCCCAGCTGCTAGACTACACCTGTGTTTACCATACTGCTTGCTTGAGGTGTAAATAAATATTCCTTTTCACCAGGCCAACTTAATAAGTTCATTAGCCTTCTTGGGCACAGCAGCAGAATGTAATTTAGAAAAAAGTTTTTTAGACACGTGTTTGCTAGAAGGAATTTTGTGTCTAGGATTAATAGTTTGGGGAAAAAGAATCTCAAAAATCCTTTGACTTCAGCTACTCAATGTGGTTACTAGCCTATCAATCATTTTGACAAGCTTTTAATTTACATTTCAGCCTCCCCAGACTCACAACTATATGGGATTGTCTTCCTACAGTATTCTTGTAAAATTTGGTGCTGTGAAGTTTGATTTAGTGAGAACAAACTATGTTTTAGATATTTCATTTTCTTCAAAAACTTTCTTTATAGTCATTATGTTCTTAACTATATTTGGACCACAGATGATTTACCATGGCAATCACTAGACATGATTTTGGAAGTTTCCTCCTCCAGAAGATTTGAGAAGGCATTATGACATTATAATTCTTTTACTCTCTCCTCTCAAAGTGGGAGGAATTCCCAAATAGGACTTTTCTTTCCTTTTTTTTTTTTTGCATTTTAAAAATGGTGGTAAAATATATATCATGTAAAACTGGGCATTTTAACCTTTTTAAAAAATTTTATTTTTTTGTAGAGACAAGGCCTCATTATGTTGCCCAGGCTGGTCTTGAACTTCTGGCCTCAAGCGATCCTCACACCTTTGCCTCCCAAAGTGCTGGGATTGTAGGCATGAGCCCCTGCATCTGGCGCATTTTAGCCATTTTTAAGTGGCATTAATTATATTCACAATGTTGTGCAACCATTATCACTATTTCCACATTTTTTCGATACCCCAAAGAGAAACTCTACCCATTAAGAACTAACTCCTTATTTTCCCCTTCTGCTAGCCCCTGGTAACCTCAAATCTACTTTCTGTCTCTGTGGATTTGCCCATTCTAGATATGTCATATAAACAAAATCATATGATATTTGTCATTTTGTGAGTGGCTTAGTTTACTTAGCATGATGTTTCCAAGGTTCATCCCTGTTATGGCATGTTTGAGAACTTCATTTCTTCTTATAGCTGCATGATATTTCATTGTATGGATACACCACATTTTGTTTTATCCATTCACCTGTTGATGAACTCTGAGATTGTTTCCACCCCCAAAAAGGACTTTTTTGGGCCAGGTGCAGTAGCTCATGCCTGTAATCTTAGCACTTTGCGAGGCTGAGGCGGGTGGATTACCTGAGGTCAGGAGTTCAAGACCAGCCTGGCCAACATGGTGAAACCCCGTCTCTACTAAAAGTACAAAAATTAGCTGGACGTGGTAGTACACATCTGTAATCCCAGCTACTTGGGAGGCTGAGGCAGGAGAATCACTTGAACCCAGGAGGTGGAGGTTACAGTGAGCCAAGACGGTGCCATTGCACTCCAGCCTGGGCAACAGAGCAAAAACTCTGTCTCAAAACCAACCAACCAACCAACGAACCAACCAACCAACCAACCAACCAACCAAAAAGGACTTTTTTGGATGGACTCATGGCCTAGGATTTTGTATTTTGTATATAGAGATACCAAGAACAAGAGCAAGAGAGATTATTTCTGGATGCAGCATGAGTGATGAGTGACCCCAGTGTTCAGCTCCCAGGAGCAGCAGAGCTGGTGCCACAACCCATGGAATCCAGTGGTGAGTGGCAGGTGTCTTTGCTGTTGCTGGGCTGGGTCTGCAGTTTGCTCTTCATTCTTGTTCCAAGTAGGCCTCACTCCCCTTCATTCCTCTGAAACAGCTTTTGTTAAGGTTACCAATGACCTCAACCTTGCCAAATCCAGCAGCTGCTTCTCTGTTCTCATCTCACTGAAGCTCTCAGCAGTATGCAACCTAGTGGACAACTTCCTCCTTCATTGACACTCCCCTTCTCTTGGCTTCTGCAACTTCCCACACACTGTCCAAGTATTGTTTCTACTTTGCTGGTTTATTATTTTAATAAATGTCCTGTTTAATATTCTTTTTAAAAATGTCTTCATGTTCTGTGCTGTCTCCTCCTCAAGGCTAAAACTCTCAACTGGAGTGTTCCAAGATTGCACTGATTCATCTTTTCTTCCCCATTTAAACTTCCTTTTCTGTCCTAGGCTTTCAATACCATCTATATCCAGGTCTCTCCCATATTCCTCTCTCTTACCCTGACCTTCCCATTGGGCTCCAGATTTGAATATTGTGGATATATGCAAGTATCCAGAAGTAAATATACTTGTATGTGTGTGTATACCTATGTAGCCAGAATATGTGTGTGTATATATACATATACTTATATATTTTATATATATATATTCATCAGATTGTGTATACATATACTCACAAGTATATATATCCACAATATCCAAGTCTGGAACCAAGTGGGAAGATCATTGATATCAACTAAGCTATAAGCTGTTGAAGATTTTTGGCTACCCTTTTTTTTTGGATGTTGTGCTGCCAGAGTTTCTCTTTCCTTGCTTAATTAACTTCATTATATTAATAAATTAATAATATGTTGGCTATTTATTGGATGTCTTTTAGGTGTAAGCCTCCTTGCAAGAGATTATAGAGAAGTAGAAATAAAGGACATTGTTCCTGACATCAACAATTTTATAATTTAGCACAGGGTTTTCCAAGGTTTGGTCCATGAAAATAATGTTCCATGATCAATTAAGTTAGGAAGTAGCTGTTCACCACATCACCTTCTTGGAGACTAGGAATATATGTGAACATATCAAAGATATTGATAAGTTCCACAGTAAAGATATCTGCCTAAGGCCGGGCGCAATGGCTCACACCTGTAATCCCAGCACTTTGGGAGGCCGAGGCGGGTGGATCACGAGGTCAGGAGTTCGAGACCAGCCTGACCAAATAGTGAAACCCCGTCTCTACTAAAAAATACAAAAAATTAGCCAGGCATGGTGGCGGGTGCCCATAATCCCAGCTACTCGGGAGGCTGAGGCAGGAGAATCGCTTGAACCTGGGAGGCGGAGATTGCAGTGAGCCAAGATTGCGCCATTGCACTCCAGCCTGGGCTGCAGTGTGACAAGACTCCGTCTCAAAAAACAAAACAAAACAAGATATCTGCTTAATTTGGTTTAACACAGCATTTTCTAAATGTATTTAACCACAGAACCCTATTAACATTCTCGATGATTGGAAACTATAGACTGAGGATATTCTTTTTTTTTTTTTTTTTATTGAGACGGAATCTCGCTCTTTCGCCCAGGCTGGAGTGCAGTGGCGCAATCTCGGCTCACTGCAAGCTCCGCCTCCCGGGTTCACGCCATTCTCCTGCCTCAGCCTCCCGAGTAGCTGGGACTACAGGCGCCCGCCACCAGTCCCGGCTAATTTTTTGTATTTTTTAGTAGAGGTGGGGTTTCACTGTGTTAGCCGGGATGGTCTCGATCTCCTGACCTCATGATCCACCCGTCTCTGCCTCCCAAAGTGCTGGGATTACAGGCGTCAGCCACCGCGCCCAGCCATTTTTAAAACTTTTCCTCTGGGATTCAATAATATCAATATTCTTACAAAAATAAATTAATGGTTTTTATGTTAACGAAAGTAGTATACACTGATTTGTAGACAGATGTGCACTAGTGTGTTCTTTTAAGACTTACTAATCACAAACTGATTGAAATCTATCATCACCTGCTTTCACCAGGCGCACTGCACACTCGCCGGGGGGCACGCCATGCAAATCTCCTTCTGGGCCAATGCACATGGTTGCTGCCACAGGTTTACCGGATGCTATCAAGGTTTCAACTGCCCACACAGCTTCTTCAACGTGTTCAAAATACTGGAATCAGTTAAGGTTAGAGTACTTTTAATCTCGTTTCTCCCAAAACAATTTTTTTTTTTTTTTTGAGACGGAGTTTTGCTCTTTCACCCAGGCTGGAGTGCTGTGGTGCGATTTCGGCTCACTGCAACATTTGCCTCCCAGTTTCAAGCAATTCTCCTGCCTCCGCCTCCCAAGTAGCTGGGATTACAGGCGCCCGCCACCACGCCTGGCTAATTTTTGTATTTTTAGTAGAGACGGGGTTTCACCATGTTGGCCAGGCTGTTCTCAAACTCCTGACCTCGTGATCCACACGCCTTGGCCTCCCAAAGTGCTGGGATTACAGGTGTGAGCCACCGTGCCCAGCCTTTCCCAAAACAATTTGAAAATGTATTCTATTGCTTAAAAACTTCATTATTACTGTTTTCAAACTTTGAATTGTGACCCATTAGCATTTTTAAAATGAAATAGAATGATTTCTTACTGTAAATTGCAGTCAAAAAGTTTGAAAAACACCATATCAGATTAATTAAATCAAATTTAGTAGTAGCCCTGAATTGGAAAACGATTTCAAAAACTAAATATTACTATTGCTAGTTATGATTGTCACCTAACCCCACACAGTACTCTTGAAAGCAAAAGGTAGAGAAAATGTACTAGGTGTATTTGTCTTATCTTTCACCACATCTTTCTTTACCTCTGCAATCAAGAAGTCCACGTTCTTCTTCATAAAGACCTCTAACTGTTGCAGAAATACTTTTTTGACTTCAGTTTCACTCTTGCAGCTAAGGTATGAAGGTGTCTGACTCACTCCTCCTGCTACCAAAGCATCTCCTTCATCAGCCACTTGTCGGGCGATGTCGCAAGCAGCTTCATTGACTTCCTGCCCCTAAAATGGGTGAGTATATGAGACATCTAAATTTTCATGTGAAATTGAAATAAAATTATTATTCAAACATTCACATCTTAGTTGTATATTTACAATAGTATCTTATTCCAGAAAATGACTGTTATGGAATAGTTCAAAGCTTTACCAAGTTGAACAGTTTGCCATAACAATAACACTAATAATAGTGATAGTAACAATAAATATATATATGACATTACATTGTACCAAAGATGTGTGAGATGGTAAAAGTTTTTACATTGAAGGATGTTATCTGGTATCTTCCAGTGCCTGAGATGCACTTAGAAGAGTACCTAACAAATAGTAGTGGTGGTGATGATGATTTGCTTTTATGATTGAGAAGATTAAAATTAAATTTAAATACCTGTAGAATTCAGGATGTTTTTGTATGTATATTCTCAATTAACAGATACATGCATAACTAATAAGGTCTTTTCTAATTATTTAGACTTTAAAAGTTGTTTGTTATGCTCAACAAACAAAAAGCTCCCCAAACCTAGCACTGTACACTCGTGGAATTTTGGAAACCTCAGCCTTGATGGGGTAAAGGGGTTGGTTCAACATCACAAAGTAGACATGCTTGAGTCAGGCACTATTCCAGGTTTACTGATTTATTATGCCTATGATCTTTCCTCTAGCCATGCTACATTTAAAAACATTAAGGACGAAAGAATTTGTAAGGTTGCCCAATTTACTCAGCAACTTAGTCAAGAGACTGGGAGAATCATTAATCATTAAATACCTCTTCTTCATCTGCTTCGCTAAATGCCTCTTTGTTAATTTTGGGGATTCCAGCTAAATAAAACCTAAGGTTGTTATTCACGCCTCTCATTTTTGTATTATTAGAAATAAAACAAAACTCTGAAGAGGTTGAACCCTTTTCTCTATGGGAGCTTTGTTGATGCAATAGGTCGACAATATCCTTCTAAAAGTCCCACGGCTGGTTTTACTCACAGATATCTTCTCTAAGACATAGTTGCCCCTGTTCTCCAGCTTGTCTTCACTCGCATAGAAGGTGAAGGTCTGCATGACGTTTGAGCCAGCTCTGAGGAACTCTCGATGAAGCTGGCGAACTGGGAGAGTGAATGAGGAAAGGTATAATTTCTGTTTATTAACACACGATATTTTCAAATGGCTCTCAGATAAACAAGCAGGAAAACAACTGCTTGAATTTCTGGTTGCTTGACATTTGCACATCTTAGGGGTAGATGAGAGGTAGATCTGAAGTCTCTTGGAAACTCCTGTGAACCTGCTATGACTAGATGAATGGGTGGGCAGGGGGTGCTCATATTCCTGTATTTGCTCATCTTGTTCATTGTTTATTTTGTTTATCATTCATTGACTGTATTTGTGGATGGCACCCATGGACACAAGGATAAACAATCCATTATTCTGTCTTTGGACAACTTCACAGTCTGTCCAGAAATAACTGACTACAGCACTGCATGGTTGGGCTATGCAGGAAGAAGGGATCATTTCTACCCAGGACATGGGGCAAGGGGGCGAAGGAGGTCCAAAGATGAGGAATCATTTGAGCTGCACTTGGAAGAATTCAATGCTACTGCCAGGCAGAGAAGGTGGGGAAGGGAATTCCATCCAGAGAGAATAGCCTGAGCAAAGATAATAAAGCGGGAACAGGCATGGCATTTGGGGGAATGACAAGTACCTTGAGTGGCTGGAGTTGATGAATCAGGGAAATATATAGTTTTTAAGCAACTGGATGATGTAATTAATACAGTGTTTTCAAAAGATAATTCTGGTAGCATGGTGAAATAAGAATTGGAGCAAGATTTCCAAGCACAGTTCCATGGATGAATACCAAATGGCAAAGTTTGTTTGTTTGTTTGTTTGTTTGTTTGTTTTTTGAGATGGAGTCTCATTCTGTCACCCAGGCTGGAGTGTAGTGGCGTGATCTTGGCTCACTGCAACCTCTGCTTCCTGGGTTCAAGCAATTCTCCTGCCTCAGCCTTCCAAGTAGCTGGGACTACAGGCACCTGCCACCACGCCTGGTAATTTTTTTGTATTTTTAGTAGAGGCAGGGTTTCGCCATGTTGGCCAGGATGGTCTTGAACTACTGACCTCAAGTGATCCGCCCACCTCAGCCTCCCAAAGTGCTAGGATTACAGGCGTGAGGCCTCCAAATGGCAAAGTTTTATCAGCTGGAGGAAATATGGTGGGATTTTTTCCCCATATAGCTAAAAGTATTCAGTTTAAGAAATTATCATTTGTTTTAAAATAGCTGTCCTAAGCTGTGGTTGCCCATTAGATCCCCTGCAAATTAAAATTACGGATTGGAATGTCAAATCCACAGATATTCTGACTTAAATGGTTTGGAGTGAGGCATAGGCATCTTTTTTTTTAAGTTTCCCCAACCCATCTTTGTTTTCAGCCTTGTCAAAAACTGCCATTGTAAGATAGTGGAAAAAAACTCCTTTTATAAAATGACTGTGAAACTTGGATTTCACAAAAACTTGGTTGTTTTCGTTAGGAGAATTAACTGGGCAAAGTAAGAAATCAGCATGCTATTAATATATCAGCTCCTGAAAATTATTTTGAAATTTCAGAGGTTTATGAAATCCAAAGGTCCAGGAGCAACTATATGACAGGCTAGGAAATTACTAGGACACTGAAGTTCTTAGCTCTCAGCGCTAACGCTGGAGATGAGTCTATACTCATCTCTTGTCTCCCAGACGACTAGTAGAGTAGAGTAACTGGAACATAGAAACCTTGGTTTTTGTTTTTAAAGAGATGAATACACAAGTGAAAAAAGCTTTTAAATTTTAGAAAATGCATTTGTAAGCTTGTAGCCAAAGATTTTCCATGATTTTTTAAATCATAGAAAGTTCTCAGTGGGACCTCAAAAGCATCCCTAAATTAGCGGGCTTCAAACTTGTTTTAATTAATAACAGAACCAATGAAAAATATAGGGAGTTCCATATATCAATCAGATAAACCCAGAGCTGCTGTGGCTGGAGAGGGCTGAAAGGCCTATATACTAGGTTTCTGGACACTAGGAATAAATGGTTTATAACTACGAAGTCCACTCACATGGTCCTTGGGTGGAGTTCCAGAGGTTTCATGAAAAAAACCCTGGAAATGTGTGCAAATTGTTATGTATAAATACATTTTACAGTGCAGAAGGTCTATAAAATTTTATCAGATTTTTCCACAGGGCAGTGATCCCAAACAGTTGAAGACAACTCCTCACTCTTGATTATTCATCATGCTTCTAAAACTGCAGTGATTCTCTAAGTATGATCCATCTTAGAGTCACCTGGGGGCAATTATCAGAAAGGCAGATTCCTCAAACTCTTCCAGACCCCGATAACCTGAATTCATTGCTGAATTAAAGCTGCTTCCACTGGGTGCAAGAACCATAACTTTGGGCATAAACTTTAGCAAGAGAATGAGGCTGGTAATTTGAGTATCCTTTCACCTACTTTTTCCTGACCACAAGGTTCCTACTCTAACCCATAATACAATAGGGCTAGTCCCTTTTACTCAATGACGTCGCTTATACTAATTGATTACCTTCATTTTATGGCCTTAACTCCTCATTATATTACTTATTTTAAAATCATAGAAGCTAAATGTACATTGATACATGATTATATATGTACATGGCATAGTTGGAGATTAGCCTTATAGATTTAGCTTGAGAAATGCAAGTTTTTAAAATTCCACAGCAAACTCTAAAAGGTCAAATAAAATTCTGAAGTATTTCTTCAGTTGGGTAAGTTTGCAGCAAAACCATTTGGGGGCAAAATATGACCTGAACCAACATGAAGGTATTGATAAACATGTTTCAATTAGTAAGGGTAGTCATGTATTTTGATGCAAAAATGTATTAATGTGTTTCAATGGGAGCTGCTTCAGGGCCCATTGGGAGTGTTACATAATATGCTACATTTGTACTGTATTAACTTTCTAACATCCCCAGATTCCTGGATTCCAAGATATGTTTGACCCCAAAATGTGGTTTGGACAGGGGATTGTGGGCCTGTAGCATAACCACTCCTTTCTTTTTGCCCAGAACATGAAAAAGTCAGGCCCAGGCATGAGATATATAAAAATGTTGCAGGTGAAGTCCAGCTTGCAGGAAGACTCTTCAGGGGTTTCCATCAATTCTAGCTACCACTCAGTCTAAATTACAAAAGCGCTGCAGATACACAAAATCATTTGCATAAAATAGCTCAAGCGATCCTCCTGCCTCAGCCTCCCAAGTAGCTGGGACTACAGGAGTGCACCACCATGTCCAGCTAATTTTTAAAAAACTTCTGAGAGACTAGGTCTCCCTATGTGCCCAGGCTGGTCTTGAACTCCTGGGCTCAAGTGGTCTTCCCACCTCAGCCTCCTGAGTTGCTGGGATTACAGGCATGAGCCTCCACACCCGGCTCCTTTATGAGAACTTACAATAGAGCTCTGCACCAACCTGCTTCTGGGTGCTCCACAGCAGCTTCAGGAGTCCAGGGTCCTGCCTTTACGTAGCCCCTCTTCTCCAGTGCAAAGACAAACCCTCCATCTCCAATCACAATCTCTCCAGCATTTAAACGTTCTAGGATGCCCTAAAATTACAGATGAGGGAGGAAAAGGAGTTACTTGAGTGTTTAAGATAATTTTCTATTTTTATTACTTTTGCTAACATATTCTTGGAGATGTGTGGTTATTTTAGAATTTTCAGAGAAAAATGTATATTTTATATATACATTTATGGCTATCTATAAGACAAACAACCAGAATGCTCATAAAATAAACATTTGTGTATTCCTTTGTATGTGCTGTGGGTGGGGGGGTCTTTCTTAACACGTTAAAGAGTATTTGAAGAACACCGTGGGAGGTGTGTTTGAAGAACTGTCTGCTGAGGGATTAAATGAAAAGATTTTGTTGTAAAGCCTCAAATCTGCACTTAAGCACAGATTCTTAAAATGGTAAATACTAGTCTTCTTACTCTATCAACAAACTAAAGAGAGGGTTAAAAAATTGTTAAAGAAGTTGAAATGGCATAGAATGCTATTTTTTTTTTTTTTTCTTAGAGACAGCATCTCACTATGTGCCCAGAGGAACTTGAACTCCTGGGCTCAGAAGATCCTCCAGTCTCACCCTCCCCAGCAGCCAAAACTACAGGCTCGTGCCACAGTGCCCAGCAATGCTATTAAGCCATTTTATTTTAAGACTGAAAAGGTGGCCAAATCACTCAAAGACTTCTATCTTTGGTGTTAAAATTCAGTTTCCACAACAGTAGCTATGCTATACAGTCCAGGTTATGAGTGTGCACATGCTGTACTCTATGATGAGAACAAGGAAGAGACAACTAAAGTATTTGTTGAATGATTTTTCAGCCCAATCTCCATACTTATTCCATTTACAATACTGTGCAGTAATCACCCTGGTGTTGTTCTATGGATAACTTTGGAATTAAGTATTTTGAAAGGGTTTTGTGAATTACAAAGTAATTCTCTAGTTTAATAGATTTTTTGTAATTTCAAAGAATCATAGACTTTAAAAATAAATAGTACTCAATTCAATTGAGATCTCTCTCTCATTTCACAAATGAGAAATTAAGACCCAGAGTCCCTGAGTAATTTATACATGGTTTTCCAGATGGGGAGCATAGGGCTTCCTGACTCTTTTATGCTTAAATAACATCTATATTTGATTTCAAATGGGATTGGGGGTGGTGGGACAGCCCTGAAAAAAACTGTATAGTGTAAAGGAATAACTTGGGACGTATTTACCCAGTGTGTTCCACTTACTACCAATAACAGTGGATAAAACAAAAGCTGACATAATAACAAGATTCCAGAAATCTGTGAGAGGCAGTCACAGGATTTTGCATCCCAATTCCTTGCCACCTTCTTAGAACCTCCCTCATTTTCATTCTCTTCCCCTCCACTGCCCCTTCCCATGCCATTTGGACAGCTGGTGCTCAGAGAGAGGAAACAATTGACATTTCACCAGACAGAAGCAAAGTGGTAGGATTATGCTGTGTGTTCCCTAATATACCTTTCAGATCAAAACATTTTCAAGCCATAGTGTTGAAGCCTTGTTATCTTATGGGAGCCCATAAGATAACAAAGCACAACAAAAATATAAATGGCTCACACGTCATTTTGAAATCCAAATATTTGTCATGATTGCAATGTATCTAAATGTCACATCTGAAAACTGCAACTTTGATTATGACCTAATTAACAACAACAATAATATATATATGTATACATATATATAAATATATATATATATATACTACTGCCAGCACAGTTACATAAAAAACATAACAAGGGTCACTTAAATGAGATATGACTTGCTACTAACTTTTATTTGGATAAAATAATTCATGACATTTGGGCAGTTAGCAGCTCCCATTGAACGTGTGTGTTTTCAAATTTTAGTACCACAGCATTTTAATGTGCAGCATAGCTAAGGATCTGATGCTGGGTGGCAGGGTGGGTAGTGGCGATTCAATTACTATGTGGCTCATGCACTTGTTGAGTGGTTACCTCTGGAAATATGATCTCTTACATTCTATTGCATTTTAAAATTATCTAGACTTCAGGATTTTCTGTTCCCAAGCTAAACAGACTTTTTAAAAGGTGGAATGTGCTATGAAAAAAATATACCATTTTGTGAAAAAGTATTACAAAACAGTATATGTAATATCAGCCCATTTTTGTCTAAGAAGTGCATATTTGCCTCAACAACAAACTAGCAGAATATACACCAGAATTTAACAGGCACTGTTCTTTGTGCTTTCCCTCATTGTTTATAATGAACATGTGCAAACTTTGTAACATTTATTTTAATTTTAAACTCAAATGTGTAGACATGTTATTGTCCATATATTGTTTTAACACTGACATATGCACGGAAACAAGTTACTAGGAAACTGTTTTTTCCATCTTACATTCATCTGTTGCTTAGATAATTCTACAAAGATAATTCTTTAAAATGTTAGATTTTCTGAGTTTGAGTTTGGGGAATAAGTTAGACTTACGTGGCTATGAGAATGGGGACAAACAAAAAATATCTATATCTATAGGAATCATCCTTCCCAGTCTCTGTGGACTATTCATTTAGTACATTTAGGGACTGGCGAAATTCTCACCCTCCTTTGACTGGTGATAGTCCATAGTCCTTTGCCATCTCAACACCCACTCATGCCATCAACATGCATCCACGATGCTGCATTTAGAATCTGTAACCGAATTGACCTTCTTCCTTGTGTAGAGGTCTTTTTGATTTGGGAGGCCATCCCTTTAGAAACTGGGCACACCTCAGCTGGTTCTCCAGCAGGGCAGGCACTGGGATGAGAGCTGGACCTTTCTCACTGTCCTTACAGCCCAGAGGATACAGTTGGCCTGGCCCCATCTGCCTCCCTACCATTTTCCGGGGGCCTCTGTCGTGCCAGGCCTGGGACTGGGCATTTGACCAAAAGGTCAAGTTTATTCTCTCCTCCCTCCATCCTTCTCTCTCTCTTCCCACCTGTCCAGTCTCATTCCACGGCAGTCAGTCCATCTATCCATCCGTTCCCCAAATTAGAGGAAGGCCTACCGTCTGGACTGAAAATACCCCTCCCAACAAGCCACTGGGATAGCCAAGAGATGGACTTGTTCATCTGGAGCTGGAATTGGGTTTTACAATTTCATCAACAGCCCTTCCTCAGTATCTTACAGCCACTCTGCCCATTTTTTCTTAAACCATGTTTTCGAGGCTGACATTTCGGATGACATTTTTCTGTCATCACGGACATCAAATTGCCTGTGAAAATCTGCAATCACCCAACCAGCGCCTGGGCCTTGGGTGCAGCGAGAACCCGGCGGGGAGGCGGCCCCGACACCCGCGGTGCAGATCCAGGCGGGAAATGTCGGAGCCAGCGCCGTGCACTCCTCCCTGTTCTGGGCGCGCCGGGTGCAGAGGGCGCTCGCGGCGGCCTCGGACACAGATGCGGAGGGGCTCCGTGGGGACGGGATATCGCGCCTGCGGGGCTAGGAGCAGTATCTCTAGGGAGTTTTCTGGTCTTGGGGTGCCAGATTCAGAAGATATTGGAAGGCTCGGAGTTCTGGGGACACCCAGCCGTCAGGGAGGGCTCAGAGGGTGCCTTTGGGTCTGAGAGGCAAGGATCACATAGATCTGGGGCGCACTCTGGTCCAAGCTGGGCTGGGGCTGGAGGGGACAGAGGCGCTCTGGGGGCGCGCTCTGAACGTGGGGCAGGAGTGGGGAGGCTCAGAGGCGCCTTGGGGTCCTGCTGGAGAAGTTCTGGAAGCACATTCTGGTCTGAGGCTGAGGGAGGGGAGGGAGTAGGAGGATGATGGGTACCAGGCAGGGTCCGAGGGCCCCTCTGCGCTCCCAGAGGCTGGGATACAGAGCAGGTGGGAGGGGAAGGAGAGCGCCCTCGGGTCCCCTGGAGACTCACCTTCTTGGCCTTTTTGCCCCCAACGGGTGGCATCTTCGTGGTGTCCAGACAGGTGGTCGACACGGATGCGGACCGACTAGGCGAGCCTTCCCGCTGCGCAGCCCCGAGCTGCTCCGAGTCCGCAGCCTGCCTCTTTATACCCGCAGTTGGGCGTGGGGAGGGCCTCCCAGCCACCGCGCGGGCCAACACGGACCTTGGGCGGGAACACGCCCACCAGCCCTTCATCAGGCCCGCCTCCTGTTGGGAACCTGGCCTGCCAAGGAGGTAATCCAGATTGTTCACCCAAATGGGTGGAACCACCGAAAAGTAAGATAAGAAAAAGCGAGGTTGCCACTCGCTCAGATTTCAAACCTGCCTAGCGTCCCTTTTGCCTCTTGCACTTTTGCCCCGACCCTGACCGTCCTCTCGCTCACCTGGGATCATGCACCATGGCCCACTTAGGCTGCCAGAGAGGCCTCTGAGAAGTCCATTCGATGCTCAGATATTTGTCAAAGGCCAAGGCGTCAAGATTATGGAATCAGGGGATGAAGTCCTGGAAGATCTTCAGCCTGGAGTGTGATCTCCTGTGTGATATACATCCAGTATAACGGGACACAAATGCGGCTTTAGTAGAGGAGTCCAATACTAACCCTGAATTGGCGGGTATGTTCAAAATGACCTTCTACCCCTATACCCAAACATGCCTTGCAGTTTCTAATAACACAGTAGTTTCTAATAAGAATATGTTTGTAATATTTAACAAGGACAGACTTTTAACATTTATAAATGGAAGCAGAAATGTACTTTGAAGACTTCAAAATTCAGCATGAAAACGATATAAAAACATAGACATTAGAAGAACTGGAGGGAATAGAGATGTTAACAGTAGTTACCTATTGATGGCGGAATTAAGGCTTGTTTTATTTTATTCTTCATGTTTCACTGTATTTTCCAAAATATTTTTATAATGAGAATACATTGATTTTAAAATAATAAAAACATTACTTTAAAAAATGTACAGCATGGCCTGCACGGTGGCTCATGCCAGTAATCCTAGCACTTTGGGAGGGTGAGGCGGGTGGATCACCTGAAGTCAGGAGTTCGAGACCAGCCTGGCCAACATGGTGAAACCCCCGTCTCTGCTAAAAATACAAAAATTAGCCGGGCATGGTGGCAGGCGCCTGTAATCCCAGCTACTCGGGAGGCTGAGGCAGGAGAATCGCTTGAACCCTGGGGGCAGAGGTTGCAGTGAGCCGAGATTGTGCCATTGCACTCCAGCCTGGGCAAAAAGAGTGAAACTCTGTCTCAAAAGAAAAAAAAATGTACAGCATGACAGTAAATAGCCTACAGAACAATGAAATATCTGAAACACAGTTCAGAAAATTTTACCCAAATAAAAGCATGTAAAAAAATTCTGTATGTGGACAAACAACCTCCATTTCAACACATGCAGAGAAGAAAGTTACTGCAACACCTGATGAATTAATACAAATTTAACGGCTAAAGTGACATGTGTTTGAAATACAACTGAGAAAGTAAAAATGTCCTTTTGCTTCTAAGTATGTCAAGTTTAAAATGGAAAAAGAAATGAAAAGGTGAAAGGATATACTGTTATTCAAGTGATCTATTATTTCATTGGCTCCTCCACCCCCAACTGTGATCTGGGGTCAGCAAGAATGAGGCATGAGGTAAAGTCATTCTTCACAGTACCTAGATTAAAAAAAAAAAACACCTTGAAGGCATTGGAGTATCCGAATAGGTAACAGTTTAGTTAGTTAATGCGTTAACTAGTTAAGGTATTCACCTGGTGAGCACTGGTGAGATGAACAGGTCTAGAGTGAGCCCCGCGGTGGCTGCAGGGAGCAGCCGCAGTCGTGGGTATCTGGCACTAGGAGGCGGTATAAGCACTCTAACACTCAATAAAGGCTGAAAGCCGACGTTCCCAATTTCAGTTTCCTCAAAATGTGGCAAAACTTGGGAGAAATTTTAAACTAGTAGCATTAAATTTAGAAGTGAATTATGAATTTTTAATAGGTAATATAGACACATGGCAAAAATTTTACTTTTTTAATCTTTATTTCTCCAAGAACAAACATGGCAAAAAAAATTTAGAAGCCTTTCCCCAGCTGCTGTTGCAGATCAAGTCCCCTCCCTGGAGGTAACCACTATTGCCTGTTAACCGTTCTTCCAGAGGAATTTTATGCATACCTAAGTGTATAGATGTATATAAAAGGATTTGTACTCGAACGTAGGGAATTTTCGTTTTTTAAAAAAATTATCGACTCCCAGCTTTTCCAGAATGATTTATAGGTGCTGTCAAAATATTTTTGTTTTTTCTGGGCCTCTCAATTTGTTGTCCTAACTATCCCATGCCCCCACCCCCAATTAGGTCCATTTAAAAAATTATTCACTTATTTCCATAATAGATGATAATATCCACCATGTATGTAAAAGGCACTAAGCCTTTTACTTACACAACATTATTTACCCCACACAACTCTGTGAGGTGGGTGTCCCCTCTTTGTTCTCAAGAACCACGAAGTTAGGGAGTTAGATGGATCATCAGCATGCTCCCTGAAGTTTCTTTGCCCCATTCCCAGAGAACTAAGTCTGCTTGGATACCACTTAGGAAGTGAGGTTTTTTGCTTGTTTGTTTGTTTTTTTGAGATAGAGTCTCACTCTGTCGCCCAGGCTGGAGTGCAGTGGTGCAATCTCAGCTCACTGCAACCTCTGCCTTCTGGGTTCAAGTGATTCTCCTGCCTCAGCATCCCGAGTAGCTGGGATTACAGGCTGGCGCCACCACACCCGGCTAACTTGTATTTTTTGGTAGAGACGGGGTTTCACCATGTTGGAGAGGCTGGTCTTGAACTCCTGACCCCAGGTGATCCATCCGCCTCGGCCTTCCAAAGTGCTGGGATTACAGGCGTGAGCCACTGCACCTGGCAGGAAGTGAGTTCTGCAATAAACTGTCCTTGGGAGGCTGCCTATGTTCTCTGATCTCTACTGGAGTCAACCAGATGAGGGAGGTCATAAGACTGAAGTCCATGGCTGTGTACAAAGATGTTGGGGGTTAAAAATAAATCCCAAAGAAGAAGAGGAGACTTAGAGCTGGCGATCCACCCCCTTCATTTTACAACCTCAAAAGATACTCGGTTATTGTTCTGTCTCTGACCAGTGCTTTGTTCTATTTGAAATCCTATTTATTCACTCAATAAACATTTAGGTACCATTAATACAATGTTTTAAACCCTATGCTTGGTGCTGGAAGTAAAGGATATCATCTCCTTTTTTTTTTTTTTCAAGGAAGAGATAGAAACCATCTCATATAAGTGCTAAAATGTTCCTTTTACCAATATGTAGATGGAAAAATGTCAGGACTTTTCATTTCCCACTCAACTGGGATCTCTTTTAAAATGAAACTGACTTTTCACAGGCCTTTTTAGACTAAATATGTTTCATTTAGCCTTAAACCATTGAAGATACTTTAACACTGTGTTTAATGATGTTTTATATTTTAGTATGATGTTTAATGATGTTTTAACACTGTGTTTAATGGTGGTTTTACATGTTAACACTGTACAGAACAGTGTTTGCAAACTGCTGATGTGGAAATGGAGCCAGCTTCTGCGTTTCCTTTGGCAAGGCCAGTGTTTTTAAAAAATTGAATGTGAATTCCTTTATGTGGCGCTTCCACCCTTCCCATTTGCTGGTCTGTACCACACCCAGCTGCCCTGCACTCTTCTGGTTCACATATTTACCTTACCTTAAAGGCATTTGGGCTTTCAACTTCTGCTATAAATAGAAGGTATATTTGGGGTTACGGAATACATGTTCCCCCAAGTAGCCCCCAAACCGAAGATTTCATTTGCCTTACATTTTCCTACTGCCACTAACCCCCGTTATTTTTTCTTGCCAGGATGACGATACTAAAAGGTTGATGAGGTGGATTTTCCTTCTAAAACTCTCTTCTGCAGGTGCACAGGTTTTCCTCAGTTTACCTGTCCTGTCCAGCACCCTGTCTATTGCAGTGGCCACATACATGCATTTGTCCCAACACGTTCATGCATAGCCAACCACTGCACAATTACTCCTCTTTAAAGGGTCTTGGTTTCTTCATATGGAAAATTAGAAGTTGAAGCTGGGTGACTTTTCAGATTTGTCTTTGCATTTGGTTTGGCATAAACTTAGAGCACAAAACAGCCTCTTCCCAGGGTGCTTTCATTGCCTTTCCCTTGCCATCAGCGAGCCCTTCCTGAGCCCGGCTCTGACCGTGCCTGTGGCTCCTGCTGGTGCCTCCAACTGCTGCCCATGCTTGAGTTTTTGCCTTTAATTTCCTAGTTCTTAGAGAAACAGCTGAGCTTTTTGTTTTTGCTTGTTATCTCAGAGCTTCCTTCCACCACAGGTGAAAATGCTTCCCTCAGGGCTTGCAGATTAGCCAGCATATCCAGCGTCTCCAGCATCTCCTGGCTTTCCACAGAGGAGTCCTCCAGCTGATATTCTTGTTCATTCTGGACACCTCCAGTTTCCCAGAACTATCCTCTCAGCATGGTAATTGCATCCTGAGTTCCCTTTCTAGCTCTGAAATTTCCTCTCTTCTGCTTTTCCTCAAATGCTTTCTAACAGGATGATTAGCCTGTCACATGCCCTTTTGTGGCTTTTTTTTTTAAGCAGATAACTGTAACTTTATGAGCACTTCCTATGTGGAGTTAGCTGTGCTAAGTGCTTTGTAAGCATTAGTAATCCTTACAATAGCCCTGTGAGGTAGGGATTTGACCAGCCCGATTTTACTGATGACAGTGCTGAGGCCCATGGAGGCCAGATGAGAACTTTCCCAAGATCATGTCAATAGTAAGCACAGAGCTGAGAGAGGACGTCAGCTGGGCCGAATGAAGCCAGAGATCACACTCTTTAGAGTTACTCTATGCTTTCTTTTCAGTAGATTGTTTTTCTCAAAAGCTCCCCAAACTTTTTATAACCTCATCTGACTCATGGACATTCCCACTCACCTGGCCCGACCCAGAGGTCCCTTCTCCTGGTCAGAAGTTCCAATTCATTGGACATACAGTTAGTGACAGACAGAAAATAGTCTGTCCTGACCAGGCTACCCCACCAAATACCCCATGACTTCTGCACTGTGTGTAACCCTTGGGTTGCCTAGTCATTCTGAAATGTTGTTGTTTTTGATAGGCATTGGAAAACAGAAGCACTAAGTTCTGGGAATAGCCATTCAAATCTTAATTTCTATCATCTTTGTGAGCTGCTAATAGATGTCTTAGTTCATCTTTCTCTGTCTTAATAGGAAACGGTTGGAGTGGATGCTATAGGTCCCCTTTTTCCCAGGGGTCTGGTACATGATGTTTAAGTGGTCCATCAGCTCCAGTATGTAGCTCCTGATCTGGGTAGTCATACCCCAGGGACAGCCCTGCGACTTGGTCTCAACCCTGCAGAAGAAAGAAATACACAGCAGCCTGGCGGGTGTGTGGTGTGAGAAGGGAGAGATGGCAACAGAAAGATCAACAGCAACTCAGGGATAGCTGGTTATAGGGGATAGCTGGTTATAGTGGGATGAGATGTGGATTCTAACCCGGGGGAACTTAGACACCAGCACCACACTGAGGAGCTTACATGTGACGGGAAATTCACTACCAGGTTGGAATCCACACCCTGCCACCCCTTTTTTTTCTTACACAAAACATGCTGTTTTCTCATTTCCATTTCCTGATGGTTTGCACATAACTGTACTAGTCAGCTGCATCTGAAGAGGATTTTGTGAGGGCTTTAGCTGGTGCTGATGCTGGAAATCTTTGCCTATGTAAAGCGTTTCTTTGGCGGTAAACTAGTACATGACTTTAGTCTACTTTGAGATTATTATCAGTACATGGCCCCCTGTTGACTTAGAAAAGTAGTGACACATTTCTGACTAGCAAAATGGTCATCACTCAACAGCTTCTGAACTTCAAGAATAGAGGAACATATATTTATTTTTTCAAGTTAATACATGCATATAATAAGAACCCCCAAGTATTAAATAAGGGTATACATAAAAGTAGGGTTCTCTTTGACTTGCATTTTCTCAGCTTCAACTTATTTGGTATTTATAACCTATCCAGCTTAAAGAATTTTTGAAAACAATTAGAATTTCCAAAAACCAGCTTCTGGTGATACCCTACACACCCACCAGAATAACTAAAACAAAAAATATGAAATTTGGGGGGAGGATGGGGAGCAACTGGACTCTCATTAGTGCTGATAGCAGTGTAAATTGGTACACCTGTTTAGAAAAAAAATGTTTGGCAGCATCTATGAGAGCTTCACATATCTGTATCAAATGATTCCACTCCTGGGGGGATAATGTATGCAAATGCTCCCCCTGAAAAACATGCACAAGAATGTTCAAAGCAGCTCATTCATAAATGACCAAGACTGGGAACTACGCAAATAGCCATCAGTAATAGAATAGGTAACTAAGTTGTGGCATATTCACACAATGGAATGCTATATGCAATGAGAATGTATGATTTATAACTACAATATGGATGAATCTCACAAACATAGTATTCACTAAAAGAAGACAGACACAAAAGGGCAATACTGTAAAATTACATTTGTATGAGGTAAAAAGCAGGCAGTACAAAGCTATGCTCTCAGAAGTCTCAATATTGATTATCCCAGGGAAGAGGAGAGTAAATAGAAGGAAATGAGGTGCTGGTAATGTTCTATTTCTTGATCTTACTGCTGTGTACATGACAGTGTTCAGTTTATGAACATTCATCAAGCTGTACATTTGCAACTTGTATACTTTTTTGTATGTATCTTATACCCCAATACAAATTTAAAAGTAAAAATCAAAATGACATGAAACAGCTTCTTGACATTTTATGAATTCCAGGAAAGCCCCAGTTAAATTAAATAAACTAAAAAAACTAACACAAACCAGTCTAGATTTTGAATACCGTCATTTCACTTGTGGTAAGCAACTATTTAGGTAGACAGTGTTAATTCCAATAGTTTCTTTATTATAAAGGTAATCCATTTTGAAAAATAAATTCAGATATATATGAATAAATTCAGATATATCTATATAACCCAATGTTTAAAAGGTCATTAATTGTTAATGAGATGAACTATATAATCATGATCTAGAATAAAAAATAAAAAGGAAAAATTAAAACACTATTTTATATTGCCAGTTTCATTTTATTTTTAAGTGTCTGTTAGAGGAGCATTGCATAATGTATACAAGATTCATTTTTAAAAAGTTAATCTCATTTTAATTAATTAACTAAGTAAGACAGTCATGTGGCTCAAAATTCAAAAGTTAA
This sequence comes from Homo sapiens, assembly GCF_000001405.40. Taxonomy (NCBI): domain Eukaryota; kingdom Metazoa; phylum Chordata; class Mammalia; order Primates; family Hominidae; genus Homo; species Homo sapiens. Next base: position 79,104,617 of record NC_000005.10, on the reverse strand, counting down.
AAAAGGGTGTCCCGTCCCTCAAGCATCCAATTCCCCCAGTCAACCAAGTTTCAGTTCTTTCATGTTCAGTCAGAAATGTATGTACAAGAAATATGTATAAACACTCTGCCCCCATTGAACCAAGTGGTAGTACAGTAAAAACACTGTCTCCATTTTTTTTTTTTTTTAAGAGGCAGTGTTCAAATCTGTCACTGAGGCTGCTGTGCAGTGGTGCAAACATACCTCACTGCAGCCTCAAACTCCTGGGCTCAAACAATCCTCCTGCCTCAGCCTCTCAAGTAGCTATGATTATAGGTGTGTGCCACTGCATCTGGCTCATTTTTTTTTTTTTTTTTGTAGAGACGGGGTCTCCCTGCATTGCCCAGGATGGACTGGAATTCCTGGCCTGATACGATCCTCCTGCCTTGGCCACTCAAAGTACATCCTTAACACCCCTCTATGGCTGTACATTCAGGTAACTGTGAGAGTTTCAATTTAGTTAACACTATTCATATTCTTCATGTTTGAAACTGCTTCCCTCTCATTGTAAAATGGAAAGTCAATAGTTGCAATTGAAGCAGGAAAGAATGAAGACTCTTATCTTTTTTTTTTTTTTTTGAAAAGATAAAACCAGCCAGGCGTGGTGGCTCATACCTGTAGTCCCAGCACTCTGGGAGGCCGAGGCGGGTGGATCATGAGGCCAGGAGTTCCAGACCAGCCTGGCCAACGTGGTGAAACCCCGTCTCTACTAAAAATACAAAAATTAGCCGGGCGTGGTGGTGTGCGCCTGTAGTCCCAGCTACTCGGGAGGCTGAGGCAGAAGAATCACTTGAACCTGGGAGGCAGAGGTTGCAGTGAGCCAAGGTCGCACCACTGCACTCCAGCCTGGGTGACGAGTGAAACTCCATCTTAAAAAAAAAAAAAAGAAAAAAAGAAAGAAAAATACTGAGCACACAAAACAGACCATAACCATTTCCTCAATTTCTCTCATCAGGAAAAGCTATTCTCCTTGGGCTCTAAAATGCTATATATCTATTTTAGTATTTTATTTGAAAGAAAATGTGGAAAAATAAATTTAGCAGGTTAACAGTTAAATGTAAATACTCTATTTTAAATCAAATCCTCACGATCGTTAAAATTTCTGGAAAATTTAAATGGATTCCCCTCTTCCATTTGTTTTTTTTTACTTCAATGTTCACTAACTTGTAGTCTCACTTATGAACCCATATATGTACTAAATATGATATATATCTCATACACAGGATTAGATTCTAATATAATAACCTCATAGGAGTATTTCTAGTCGAAATATGATGATAAGATATAAGCCCTGTCTCTGAAAGCCCACATCTATTGCAAAGCTGACCATCTATTCTTGGGCAACTTAATAGTTGTAATAATACTAAACATTAATGAGCACTCACTCTGCTCCAGGTACATGGGTTAACTCACCGAATCCTCCCTATGGCCCTAAGAGTAGGTGGAGCTATAATTCCTACAGATGAAGACAGCAAGGAACTTCCTCATGCCAAGTCAGTTGTTCAAAGCACCTAGCTAGAGGTAGCAGGGCTGAGATCTGAACTCAGGCAGTCTGGCCCACATTCCTAACACCCCTCTATGGCTGTACATTCGTGTTACAGTAAGAGTTTCAATTTAGCTAACACCATTTATGTTCTTCATGTTTGAAACTGCTTCCCTCTTATTGTAAAATGGAAAGTCAACAGTTGCAATTGAAGCAGGAAAGAATAAAGACTCCTACCCTGTTTTTTCAAAAAAGATAAAACTGAGCCCACAAAACAGACCATAACTGTTTCCTCAATTTCCTTTGGAACAACTCAGTGGGACTAGAACTTTCAAAAGGATTATTTAAATGCTTAGCTTCCTTGTCTCTCTGATCTTACCTCTTTGTGGCTTATTCTTAACACAACAGCCAAAGTAAGCCTGTTCTTTCCCTGTTGAAAACCTTTCAGTATCCTCTCATGTTGCTCAGAGTAAAAGCCAAAAATCCTTGCTAAGACTCACAAGTCCTCACATGATCTAACTCCTGGTATTTCTGAGATCTCATCTCCCATTGTCCTCCCCTCCTCTCACTATGTCCCCAGCAACCGTGGCTTCTTGGCTGTCCCTGGAACATGACAGGGAAGCTCCTGCCTGAGGCTTGGACTTTCTGGACTGCTCTTCCCCAAGATATCGGTGCAGCTATTGTCCTTATCCGCTCCAGGTCTTTTCTTGAAAGTAACCTTTCTAGTAAAGGCTTTCTGGGGTCTCCCTGGCTAAAATTTCAATCCTACGTCACTGATGTAAGCTCTAGGATGACCAACACTGGCCCAGGACAGAAGGGATTCCCAGGACACAGGACTTTCAGTGCTAAACCCGGGTTAGTGGGGAAACCAGGACAGTTATTTACCCTATGTAGTCCCAGCATCTGAAACAGTGACTGTCTCATAACAGGCTTAACATATATTCGTTGAATTGAATGAACGAATGAATTGAATGAATGAATGAGCAAGTAGGTAAGAGAAAGTAGTACCTTTGGAGGGGAGTGTAAGATGGTATTTATTGCCTCTAAAATCAGAACATATAGATGTATCTGTCCATTAGGGCAAGTTGTAAGGCTTCTTCAGCATGGAACGAGGCCCAACTTCTATGAATGGGGGATCAACCTTTCCTTATCTTCCTATCAGAAAAGTATGCTTTATCAATTTTGCTGTTATTGAAAGCGGTTTGAGGGGGAGGAGCCAAGATGGCCGAATAGGAACAGCTCCGGTCTACAGCTCCCAGCATGAGCGACGCAGAAGACGGGTGATTTCTGCATTTCCATCTGATGTACCGGGTTCATCTCACTAGGGAGTGCCAGACAGTGGGCGCAGGTCAGTGGGTGTGTGCACCGTGCATGAGCCAAAGCAGGGCGAGGCATTGCCTCACTCAGGAAGTCCAAGGGGTCAGGGAGTTCCCTTTCCTAGTCAAAGAAAGGGGTGACAGACGGCACCTGGAAAATCGGGTCACTCCCACCCGAATACTGTGCTTTTCCGACGGGTTTAAAAAATGGCGCACCAGGAGATTATATCCCGCACATGGCTCGGAGGGTCCTATGCCCACAGAGTCTCGCTGATTGCTAGCACAGCAGTCTGAGATCAAACTGCAAGGCGGCAGTGAGGCTGGGGGAGGGACGCCCGCCATTGCCCAGGCTTGCTTAGGTAAACAAAGCAGCCAGAAAGCTCCAACTGGGTGGAGCCCACCACAGCTCAAGGAGGCCTGCCTGCCTCTCTAGGCTCCACCTCTGGGGGCAGGGCACAGACAAACAAAAAGACAGCAATAACCTCTGCAGACTTAAATGTCCCTGTGTCTCACAGCTTTGAAGAGAGTAGTGGTTCTCCCAGCACGCAGCTTGAGATCTGAGAACGGACAGACTGCCTCCTCAAGTGGGTCCCTGACCCCCGAGTAGCCTAACTGGGAGGCAGCCCCCAGCAGGGGCAGACTGACACCTCACACGGCCGGCTACTCCAACAGACCTGCAGCTGAGGGGCCTGTTAGAAGGAAAACTAACAAACAGAAAGGACATTCACACCAAAAACCCATCTGTACATCACCATCATCAAAGACCAAAAGTAGATAAAACCACAAAGATGGGGAAAAAACAGAGCAGAAAAACTGGAAACTCTAAAAAGCAGAGCGCCTCTCCTCCTCCAAAGGAACGCAGTTCCTCACCAGCAATGGAACAAAGCTGGGCGGAGAATGACTTTGACGAGCTGAGAGAAGAAGGCTTCAGACAATCAAATTACTCTGAGCTACAGGAGGACATTCAAACCAAAGGCAAAGAAGTTGAAAACTTTGAAAAAAATTTAGAAGAATGTATAACTAGAATAACCAATACAGAGAAGTGCTTAAAGGAGCTGATGGAGCTGAAAACGAAGGCTCGAGAACTACGTGAAGAATGCAGAAGCCTCAGGAGCCAATGCGATCAACTGGAAGAAAGGGTTTCAGCAATGGAAGATGAAATGAATGAAATGAAGCGAGAAGGGAAGTTTAGAGAAAAAAGAATAAAAAGAAATGAGCAAAGCCTCCAAGAAATATGGGACTATGTGAAAAGACCAAATCTACGTCTGATTGGTGTACCTGAAAGTGACAGGGAGAATGGAACCAAGTTGGAAAACACTCTGCGGGATATTATCCAGGAGAACTTCCCCAATCTAGCAAGGCAGGCCAACATTCAGATTCAGGAAATACAGAGAACGCCACAAAGATACTCCTCGAGAAGAGCAACTCCAAGACACATAATTGTCAGATTCACCAAAGTTGAAACGAAGGAAAAAATGTTAAGGGCAGCCAGACAGAAAGGTCGGGTTACCCTCAAAGGGAAGCCCATCAGACTAACAGCGGATCTCTCGGCAAAAACTCTACAAGCCAGAAGAGATTGGGGGCCAATATTCAACATTCTTAAAGAAAAGAATTTTCAACCCAGAATTTCATATCCAGCCAAACTAAGCTTCATAAGTGAAGGAGAAATAAAATACTTTACAGACAAGCAAATGCGGAGAGATTTTGTCACCACCAGGCCTGCCCTAAAAGAGCTCCCAAAGGAAGTGCTAAACATGGAAAGGAACAACCGGTACCAGCCGCTGCAAAATCATGCCAAAATGTAAAGACTGTCGAGACTAGGAAGAAACTGCATCAACTAACGAGCAAAATCACCAGCTAACATCATAATGACAGGATCAAATTCACACATAACAATATTAACTTTAAATGTAAATGGACTAAATGCTCCAATTAAAAGACACAGACTGGCAAATTGGATAAAGAGTCAAGACCCATCAGTGTGCTGTATTCAGGAAACCCATCTTACGTTCAGAGACACACATAGGCTCAAAATAAAAGGATGGAGGAAGATCTACCAAGCAAATGGAAAACAAAAAAAGGCAGGGGTTGCAATCCTACTCTCTGATAAAACAGACTTTAAACCAACAAAGATCAAAAGAGACAAAGAAGGCCATTACATAATGCTAAAGGGATCAATTCAACAAGAAGAGCTAACTATCCTAAATATATATGCATCCAATACAGGAGCACCCAGATTCATAAAGCAAGTCCTGAGTGACCTACAAAGAGACTTAGACTCTCACACATTAATAATGGGAGACTTTAACACCCCACTGTCAACATTAGACAGATCAACGAGACAGAAAGTCAACAAGGATACCCAGGAATTGAACTCAGCTCTGCACCAAGCAGACCTAATAGACATCTACAGAACTCTCCACCCCAAATCAACAGAATATACATTCTTTTCAGCACCACACCACACCTATTCCAAAATTGACCACATAGTTGGAAGTAAAGCTCTCCTCAGCAAATGTAAAAGAATGGAAATTATAACAAACTATCTCTCAGACCACAGTGCAATGAAACTAGAACTCAGGATTAAGAATCTCACTCAGAACCCCTCAACTACATGGAAACTGAACAACCTGCTCCTGAATGACTACTGGGTACATAACGAAATGAAGGCAGAAATAAAGATGTCCTTTGAAACCAACGAGAACAAAGACACAACATACAAGAATCTCTGGGACACAATCAAAGCAGTGTGTAGAGGGAAATTTATAGCACTAAATGCCCACAAGAGAAAGCAGGAAAGATCCAAAATTGACACCCTAACATCACAATTAAAAGAACTAGAAAAGCAAGAGCAAACACATTCAAAAGCTAGCAGAAGGCAAGAAATAACTAAAATCAGAGCAGAACTGAAGGAAATAGAGACACAAAAACCCTTCAAAAAATTAATGAATCCAGGAGCTGGTTTTTTGAAAGGATCAACAAAATTGATAGACGGTTAGCAAGACTAATAAAGAAAAAAAGAGAGAAGAATCAAATAGACGCAATAAAAAATGATAAAGGGGACATCACCACCGATCCCACAGAAATACAAACTACCATCAGAGAATACTACAAACACCTCTATGCAAATAAGCTAGAAAATCTAGAAGAAATGGATAAATTCCTCGACACATACACCCTCCCAAGACTAAACCAGAGAGAAGTTGAATCTCTGAATAGACCAATAACAGGATCTGAAATTGTGGCAATAATCAATAGCTTACCAACCAAAAAGAGTCCAGGACCAGATGGATTCACAGCCGAATTCTACCAGAGGTACAAGGAGGAACTGGTACCATTCTTTCTGAAACTATTCCAATCAATAGAAAAAGAGGGAATCCTCCCTAACTCATTTTATGAGGCCAGCATCATCCTGATACCAAAGCCGGGCAGAGACACAACAAAAAAAGAGAATTTTAGACCAATATCCTTGATGAACATTGATGCAAAAATCCTCAATAAAATACTGGCAAACCGAATCCAGCAGCACATCAAAAAGCTTATCCACCATGATCAAGTGGGCTTCATCCCTGGGATGCAAGGCTGCTTCAATATACGCAAATCAATAAATGTAATCCAGCATATAAACAGAACCAAAGACAAAAACCACATGATTATCTCAATAGATGCAGAAAAGGCCTTTGACAAAGTTCAACAACCCTTCATGCTAAAAACTCTCAATAAATTAGGTATTGATGGGACGTATCTCAAAATAATAAGAGCTATCTATGACAAACCCACAGCCAATATCATACTGAATGGGCAAAAACTGGAAGCATTCCCTTTGAAAACTGGCACAAGACAGGGATGCCCTCACCACTCCTATTCAACATAGTGTTGGAAGTTCTGGCCAGGGCAATTAGGCAGGAGAAGGAAATAAAGGGTATTCAATTAGGAAAAGAGGAAGTCAAATTGTCCCTGTTTGCAGATGACATGATTGTATATCTAGAAAACCCCATCATCTCAGCCCAAAATCTCCTTAAGCTGATAAGCAACTTCAGCAAAGTCTCAGGATACAAAATCAATGTACAAAAATCACAAGCATTCTTATACACCAACAACAGACAAACAGAGAGCCAAATCATGATTGAACTCCCATTCACAATTGCTTCAAAGAGAATAAAATACCTAGGAATCCAACTTACAAGGGATGTGAAGGACCTCTTCAAGGAGAACTACAAACCACTGCTCAAGGAAATAAAAGAGGTTACAAAGAAATTGAAGAACATTCCATGCTCATGGGTAGGAAGAATCAATATCGTGAAAATGGCCATACTGCCCAAGGTAATTTACAGATTCAATGCCATCCCCATCAAGCTACCAATGACTTTCTTCACAGAATTGGAAAAAAATACTTTAAAGTTCATATGGAACCAAAAAAGAGCCCGCATCGCCAAGTCAATCCTAAGCCAAAAGAACAAAGCTGGAGGCATCACGCTACCTGACTTCAAACTATACTACAAGGCTACAGTAACCAAACAGCATGGTACTGATACCAAAACAGAGATATAGATCAATGGAACAGAACAGAGCCCTCAGAAATAATGCTGCATATCTACAACTATCTGATCTTTGACAAACCTGAGAAAAACAAGCAATGGGGAAAGGATTCCCTATTTAATAAATGGTGCTGGGAAAACTGGCTAGCCATATGTAGAAAGCTGAAACTGGATCCCTTCCTTACACCTTATACAAAAATCAATTCAAGATGGATTAAAGACTTAAACGTTAGACCTAAAACCATAAAAACCCTAGAAGAAAACCTAGGCATTACCATTCAGGACATAGGCATGGGCAAGGACTTCATGTCTAAAACACCAAAAGCAATGGCAACAAAAGCCAGAATTGACAAATGGGATCTAATTAAACTAAAGAGCTTCTGCACAGCAAAAGAAACTACCATCAGAGTGAACAGGCAACCTACAAAATGGGAGAAAATTTTCGCAACCTACTCATCTGACAAAGGGCTAATATCCAGAATCTACAATGAACTCAAACAAATTTACAAGAAAAAAACAAACAACCGCATCAAAAAGTGGGCGAAGGACATGAACAGACACTTCTCAAAAGAAGACATTTATGCAGCCAAAAAACACATGAAAAAATGCTCACCATCACTGGCCATCAGAGAAATGCAAATCAAAACCACAATGAGATACCATCTCACACCAGTTAGAATGGCAATCATTAAAAAGTCAGGAAACAACAGGTGCTGGAGAGGATGTGGAGAAATAGGAACACTTTTACACTGTTGGTAGGACTGTAAACTAGTTCAACCATTGTGGAAGTCAGTGTGGTGATTCCTCAGGGATCTAGAACTAGAAATACCATTTGACCCAGCTATCCCATTACTGGGTATATACCCAAAGGAGTATAAATCATGCTGCTATAAAGACACATGCACACGTATGTTTATTGTGGCATTATTCACAATAGCAAAGACTTGGAACCAACCCAAATGTCCAACAATGATAGACTGGATTAAGAAATTGTGGCACATATACACCATGGAATACTATGCAGCCATAAAAAATGATGAGTTCATGTCCTTTGTAGGGACATGGATGAAATTGGAAATCATCATTCTCAGTAAACTATCTCAAGAACAAAAAACCAAACACCTCATATTCTCACTCATAGGTGGGAATTGAACAATGAGAACACATGGACACAGGAAGGGGAACATCACACTCTGGGGACTGTTGTGGGGTGGGGGGAGTGGGGAGGGATGGCATTCGGAGATATACCTAATGCTAGATGACGAGTTAGTGGGTGCAGCGCACCAGCAAGGCACATGTATACATATGTAACAAACCTGCATGTTGTGCACATGTACCCTAAAACAAAGTATAATAATAATAATTTTAAAAAAAAGCGGTTTGAAATAGTGTATCCCACACTCATGTTTTAGTTGAACAGTTAAAATGCTTGTGTTGGTTTTACTTTTTTAAGACATTAAAATGGTTCCCATATTTTAATTTTTTTTTTTTTTTTTTTTTTTGAGACAGAGTCTCACTCTGTTATCCAGGCTGGAGTACAGTGGTACAATCTTGGCTCACTGCAACCTCCACCTCTCGGGCTCAAGCGATCTTCCCACCTAAGCCTCCTGAGTACCTGGGACCACAGGCACACGCCACCACACTCCACTAATTTTTCCTATTTTTGGTGGAGATGAGGTTTTGCCATGTTGCCCAAGCTGGTCTCAAACTCCTGAGCTCAAGTGATCCACATGCTTCAGCCTCCCAAAGTGCTAGGATTACAGGCATAAGCCACCATGCCCAGCCAATGATGCATTTTTGAATGTGCACTTTTGTCTATTGCTAATGACCCTGAGTCCTAACTCTCTCCTCTGTCCTAAATGCTTCCTCATCTACTCTGGTCTGGGCCTTCTCAGGGTTGCCCCCTGAGCCATTCTGTTTGCACAGCCTGCCATTTCACTTTCTGATGCCCCCCATTTCCTCCTTCCAGTCTCTTCAACTTCAGCTTCTTTAAAAGAGCACAATCTGATGCTGGTCTGTCCTACACCATGTGCGTGTTCTTCAAAATACTTTTGACAAGAGGATTCAGCAAGGCAACATAAGAGAGTGGCTTATTCATCTTTGCATCCTTTGACCTTAGCATGGTTTGTACATTCATTTACTTATTCATTCATTCAACAATTTTTTTTTGAGTTCTATAATGTGCCGGATGCTGAGAATACAACAACTAACAAGATGTTTTCACTGTCCTGTTGAGTAGGGAATAGGCAAGTAAACAGGAATGACCAAGGGAGTATTAAAACTACATTGAACTGGCCGGGCATGGTGGGTCATGCCTGTAATCCCAACACTTTGGGAGTCCAAGGTAGGTGGATCGCTTGAGCTCAGGAGTTCAAGACCAGCCTGGCCAACATGGTGAAACCCATCTCTATGAAAAATACAAAAATTAGCCAGATGTGGTGGTGGGCGCCTGTAGTCCCAGCTACTCAGTAGGCTGAGGCAGGAGAATCACTTGAACCCAGGAGGCGGAGGCTGCAGTGAGCTGAGATCTTGCCACTGCACTCCAGTCTGAGCAACAAAGTGAGACTCTGTCTCAAAAACAAACAAAAAAACCAAAACAAATAAGCAAAAACTACATTGAACTTATTAATGATAAATATAGGGTACTATGGAACATATAAGAGTGACTATCATAGTCAAGCACTAAATAAATGTTATTTGAACAGTGAATGAATGAGTGATTGAATGAGTGAATAAATTAAAAAATGGTTGAACATGATTAGTTATGAAAGCACAGAACCCTCGAGGTGAGTTGCCACCACCAGATGAAAAGATTCTCCTCCAACTTCACTATTTTGAAAGGCGGGCTCATCTGCACCTGTATCATGGAAAATACAACTTTTATTTCTCTTTCTCTCCTCTTCCCACCTCTGTGCTCCAGATAAATAATGGAGGTTATAAATGAAACGTGACTGCCAGCAATAGCACCACTAGCATGCCCCATCTACTTTTCTCAAAATCCTTTCACAAAACAACACTGATATGAGGCAAAATTGCACCCTTCTGCAACTCTTTTCAGGATTTTCATTACTGATTAAATAAAATATGTGCTCACCTTCAAGGCAGCTGACTGTACAGCCAAAGTGAGTTGCTTAACTTTGTTTATGATTTTGCATAAAGTATCAAATCATGGCTGTGATCATTGCAAAGCAGGAATTGTTTTTCCAGCTGACCCTCGCCCCTAGTTTCAACAAATCTCTTCGATCCCTTTCAGTTGGTTTCCATGCCAGCTATTTGCTGGTCTGCATTGCTGAGTCTATGCACAGCAGGGTTTATCAGAGGGCCATCTGCTCTTCTTGATAACTCCAGTACAGCAAACATCTGCTGTAGAACTGGAAAGAGCTAGTTCAAGCCAGTTTTTCTTAATTGCACTGTTTTTTTTTGGCAGACAATTACCTTCTCCTTAATTTCCCCCTACAAAATCAAAACCTGTGGAAATCTTGCCTTTTAAAAACGCCTCCTTTTTATATTCTAAAATATTTAGCATAAATTATAAATAGTAATCAACATTTAGTATGCATTTTAAAAAATTGCATTATTTCCAGAAATTAAGAACATTTTCCTGCATTGCCAAAATTAACCTGATTCCTTAGTCAAATTTGCCCAGTTGTTCCCAAAAGACCTCTTATAGCCAGTTTGTCTCAACCAGGACCATGCATTGCATTGGTTTGTCATATAAAGATGAGCAACTCCAACACAATGACCTGTGGAAAAGACCAGGCCAGCCAGCCTGTAGAATATAGGATTCACCTGATTGTGGTGTTTACCTTGTTCCTATATCCCTTGATTTCACTGAACTGGAAGTGAAATCTAAAGGCTTGATTAGATTCCCCCAGGCACTTCTGGCTGGTGTACATCATTGGTAATGTAGCGTTTCCCATTCTGTATCACAACAGGAAACTCATGTTATCTGATTTTTCCCCTTGGAATCAGAAATCTTGACATATGTTTTAAAACTAATTTATTTTGTAGAAAAAGTAATACCAAACCATATTAACAAATGTAGACACTAAAGAAGGGCATCAGAGAAAAGGAAGTCTTCCTCCTACACCACACTTTCTATCACCAGTCTTTCTCCCCTAGGAGGGAGATATTCCTTCCTGAAATATTCTATGTACACACAATGGGAGCATACTTTCATTTAACAATATATGGAGGAGATCCTTCCATCTTAGCACATATTGATATAATGTACTCTTTGTAATGATGCCATGCTTTAACATCCTGTAGATGTTCCATAATTCATTTACTAATATGTCATTGATGGATATTTAGGTGGTTTCCAGACATACATATTTGCATATATATGAACATAATTGCAGATTATATTCCTAGAAGTAAAATTGCTCATCCAAGGGCATGTGAATTCTAAATTTTGTAAATATGGACCAATTACTTTCCAAATAGTTTGTACCAGATTATGCTTCTACAAAAAGCATATGTATGAGAAAGTCTTTTCCCCTGCACCCTCATTGACATATTATCCACTTATTGATCCTAGTTGATGATAGGTGAAAAAAGGTATCTCGTCACTTTGCTGTGCATTTACCTAATTTTGAATGTGTTTATCTTTTTCTATATTTAATGGATTAAGGTAATTATTTCCTAATTTATAGATTAAGGAAACTATCCCTTAGCTTATCAAATGTATGCAAATATGTGTGGCAGGATATTAGTACTCAGATTGTGTTATTCTGTTCCCCCCACCCTTTTTTCCCAGCACTGGAAAGATATAAGGCAAATATTTCCCCACCTCTAATAAGGATGCCATTGAGAAAAGAGGACTTCACTTTCCTATTGCTTTTGGAGTGATGTCCTATTATAATAACATATGAAGAAAAGAAAGTTTTTCTGAAAACCTTACATAGTTGTGGGGATTGAGGGAGGTGGGGAGGAGGCAGTACAAAGTGCACGTGGGGGCGCACAGGAGCTGACCATCAATCCCCAGAAGTTGCCCAACAAGGGAGAGGACCTGCTTCTTGGGAAGGAAAGAGTCAAGTGGGGCTGGCAGGTACCATGTTACGGGATAACATATGAATGCTCAGAAACTGTCCGAGCTCTGTGTCAGTGCCTGTAGATCCAACGACCTGGCCCTCACATCATCTCCACGAGGTGCACTGTGCTTCCTGGGGCACCTGATCCACAACCTCATATCCTACACCTGAAACAGTGACCATCAACATGGCTGATGGTGTTGATGCTAGTGCTGACCCCAAGGCTTTGCTTGGTCCCAGCTGGGTACACTGTCCTCTCATAATACCTGTAAGCCCAAGAAAATGGAGTGGAGTGGGGTTCTGAATGCCAATCACATAGGCGAGCCCCCCTCACAACATCTGTTTGGGTTCGGGGAGGTTTGAACAAAAGCAGCTCAAGACCCCTTTACTGGAAGAGTGGTTTCTGACCTCTGTTACACAGTTTTCCTATTTGCCTTTGCCTTTGTTTAGAGTATTTTTGTGTGAGTGTTCATACATTTAAAGTTTTTATATGGTAAAATTTATCTTTTTTTCTTTCTTAATTTTTATTTTTATTTTATTTTATTTTATTATTTTTTTTTGAGACAAGGTCTTGCTCTGTCACCCGGGCTGGAGTGCAGTGGTGTGATCACAGCTCACTGCAGCTTCGACCTCCCGGGCTCAAGCTTCAGCCTCTTGACTAGCTGAGACTATAGGCATGCACCACCATGCCCAGCTAATTTTTGTATTTTTTTGTAGAGACAGAGTTTTGCCATGTTACCCAGGCTGGTCTCAAACTCCTATACAGTTTAGCACACCTAAACTGTACAGTAACTAGATAAAAGCCTTTGTTTGTGCTGGTGCAGACCCAAGGAAGGGATTCGGTGTGGAGACATCTCTCCCTCCTAATGTACCTTCTTCACTCTTGCTATTCTCATGATGTCCTGCACTGCCCTCTCCACAAAATCTATGAAGCAAGCAGGAGATATTGTGTAAACGGTCCTCCCCTGGAATGTGGTGTTCAGGACTACATACTAAAAATAAGCAGAGGCTTTGGTACCAGAGTGTTCCCAGAAGACAGTCACCATGAGGATGAGGGGATTGGAAACCAAGTCAACATAATTATATTATACTATATAATGTGCAATGAATGCCTGTTATACGACATGCACTGTTTCTAAGAAACTTATCTCATTTAATCCTCATAGCACCCTAATAAGGATGGTTCTATTTTACCCTCATTTTACAGATGAGGAAATTAAGGCATAAAGCTTAAGTAACTGTACAGTGTCACACAGGTAGATTTGACAAAGCACATCTTAGCCTATGCCTTTTAGTTGAAGGAAATGAGGACAAGTAAGTATAGGAAAGCCATACAGCTATCTTTAAATTTCAAAGAGTTATATGGAAGAAATTATAAATTTGCACTTTAGGTGCTCCAAGTCTGCAGGTGAGGGTCATTAATAAATAGATTTCTAGTTAATACATGGAATAACTTTCCAGAGAATGAAGTGTTTCTTAAAAAGGAGTAAGTGATCTCGAGAGGTAGTGAGTTACTATTTAAGGGATTCAAACAGGGACTGGATGGTCCTGATGAAGATGCTGGCGAGGATATTCAGGTATTTAATTGGTGGTTTGGATTAGTCACCCTTAAGGACCCCAAAGGCCTTGAGATAATAGTAAATGATTCACTTTCTAATTTCCAGCAGGGTGGGGTTGTGTATTATGGGTAAAGTGGCTATATCAAATAAATTCCAGGTTGTCAACATTACAGAAACAGTCATGGCAGGTTTGAAGAGTTAATTCATAATAAGGAAAGTTGATAAAAAATACTTTGAATCCAGCGACAGAAAAATTTGGATAGATTTTTGACAAAAAGCAGCAGCTGTGTGCATGACAGATGCCGTGTAGTGCAGTAGCTAAGGGCATGGATTCTAGAGCCAGCCCCATGGGTTCAAATCCAAATTTACTAATTTCACATTTACTAGTTGTGTGACCTCAGGCAAGTTACCTAGCCTCCTTAAACTTCAGTTTCCTTACCTGTAAACTACTGTGTTAAACACTATCTAATTTTGAATCCCTGTTGGGGGGTATATGTAGATGAGATCATCTTTAGAACAAAGACTGCGACATAGTGAGTAATAAATATTTGCTAGTATTATTCCAAAGAATGTTCATGACATTTTCGACATTCAAACACTATAAAAGGTAAATCATTTTTATTGCCACAAATTGATAAATTGTTGTGAAAAAAAGAGAAACTGGCACACATGAAATAACACAAACATAAGAAGATATAAGACCAAAATAGATTTGAATTATGTCTCCCAGGCTGGATTGCAGTGGGGCGATCTCAGCTCACTGCAACCTCTGCCTCCCAGGTTCAAGCAATTCTCATGCCTCAGCCTCCAAGTAGCTGGGATTACAGGCATGCACCACCATGCCTGGATAATTTTTGTATTTTATTTAGTAGAGATGGGGTTTTGCCATGTTGGCCAGGCTGGCCTTGAACTCTTGACCCAAGTGATCTGCCCGCCCTGGCCTCCCAAAGTGCTGGGATTATAGGTGTCAGCCTGTGCCCCTGGCCTAAACTCTGACTTTTGAAAAGGTTTTCTAAAACTTTATTTTTAAACAATCAACAATAAGTATTTCACTGTGCACCTATTAGTATGTCTAACACAATGCTAAGTAAGGGGAATTATGAGAAGATTATAAGCTTATCACGTGATCTTGTCTTTAAATAGTTTATAACCTAGCTACCTATGATTATGAAGACACATTTTAAAAATTCTAGGACCTAATATCTTTTTTTTTTTTTTTTGAGATGGAGTCTCACTCTGTCACCCAGGCTGAAGTGCAATGGCCTGATCTCGGCTCACTGCAAGCTCCGCCTCCTGGGTTCAAGCGATTCTCCTGCCTCAGCCTCCCGAGTAGCTGGGATTACAGGCACCCGCCATCATGCCCGGCTAATTTTTGTATTTTGGTAGAGACAGGGTTTCACCATGTTGGTCAGGCTGGTCTTGAACTGCTGACCTCAGGTGATCCGCCCGCCTCGGCCTCCCAAAGTGCTGGGATTGCAGGTGTGAGTCACTTCGCCTGGCCAGACCTAATATCTTTAAGTAAAAATCATCTTTGAAAGTAATCACTTTGGATAGTTAAACATTTATTTCAATAATGCTACCATTGCTCAAAACATTCTTTACATCTTTTCTTTGGGATTGCCTTTGGAGTCATTGTATAAATCATTAAAAAAAGCAGACTCATTGCTTTAGTTTAGTGTTGCTCTATCATCCTCAAGTATCTAGCTTAGTCACTTGAATTATTCACTAGCTTTGGGTCTCAGTGACTTCTGATTATTTTAAAGTGTCAAATTCACCCTCAAAGACAAGTTTGGCTATTCTTCATGATCTTCAAAGGAATGCACCACAGCATGATTGGACAGTAAGTTCTTGGAGAACAAGGTGCCTCTCTCGCTTCTCTTTGCATCTCTGGTAGAGTCTGTTGCAGTGCTTAACCACAGCAGGAGCTCAATATGCACACACTTGTGGGCTGGAAGGGAAGGGGCTGCAGCACCTCAGCTGCTCAGCAGCTGGAGATAGCAGGGCATGGTGAGGATGAAGGTGAGGAACGGTTCCAGGTCAGGCTTGAGGGCAACTTTTTCCTGTTCGATTATTTCAGGGTTTTCTTTCACTACTCCTTAGAAGTCTGGCTTTGACAGCGAAGGACAGAAAGGTCTGCCTGAAGCTGGCAGCAGATTCTCCCAATACTCCCTTCGAGCCCTGTGTTTCAATATATACATAATTAATTAATTAAAAGTCTTACCTATAAGTCCAATATGTCATATATGTATATATGTATGTATATGTATATAACCACACACACACACACACACACACACACACACACACACACAGTCAAAACTTGGTGGATAATCAGGCTAAAGCAGAACTTTTGTTTTAACATACAGACGGAAAACTGTGTCCATATCCATTAATGCCAGGGGCCTTTCTTACATTTCAATAACAATCATTAGGTTTCATACCACCTTTCAGAAAAAGACAACGTATTTCAATTTCATATACTTTTTATTTTGAGACAGGGTCTTGCTCTGTTGCCCAGGCTGGAGTGCAGTGGCACAATCTTGGCTCACTGCAGCCTAGACCTCCTGGATTCAAGCAATCCTCCTGCCTCAGCCCCCCAGGTAGCTGGGACTACTGGCGTGCACCACCACACCAGGCTAATTTTTGTATTTTTAGTAGAGACAGGGTCTCCCCATGTTGCCCAGGCTAGTCTCAAACTCCTGAGCTCCAGTGATCCGTCTGCCTTGGCCTCCCAAAGTACTGGGATTACAGGTGTAAGCCACCATGCCCAGCCTTACATTTCACATACTTTTATGAATTATATTTATTCTGAAATTTCTAACAGAGTCCTTCTAACTCTATCAATATTTTAATGTAATGAGAAGAATACGAGAACAGTTTTTAATGTAATGAGTCAAAGTATAATTCTCCAAAAAGTAACTAAGAAAATAATACAAATTACTTTACCAATATTTGTTTCTTGTTGTTAGACAAAGGAAGAAGAGTACAAAGGTCCCTGGTCGTAGCCCTTTCTGATGAATATATTTTTATTGTTTTTTCCACTTTACTTACAAAACAATGAATAAATCAATATTTTTGGATGATGAGATGTCAGAAATCTAGTGTTTATTGTGTAATCATAAATTTCTGTGAATATCAGTAGGTTTGGGAGTCAGGGTAAAAAGGGTGTCTTCTTGCTTTGGTCTACAGAATAATGTTTTAATTCTAATAGCTAATGAATTTTAAGGATTCCTAGCAGATGATAATTAAATAAACTACTCACTTATTTAAACTATTTTAATCATCACCAAAGTATGTTTTCCTCACCTTTTAATTATATTTATATTTAATACTTTTTAAAAAGTATGACACATATACAAAACATCTTCTCTGGTAAATATCCATATCTCCTAGAAGAAAGCTTTGGCTAAGTGATTCTTGCCTACTTTTACAACCTAAGTAAATTTGCATTAGGCAAATTTTTCCAGTTCAAAAATGAAGACTTTCAAATCCCACTGAAATGAATAAATAAGCACAAAATGGGTGAAGTACATGAGAGTACTGAACAGAGAGAAGACAGCAGAGATTGTGACTAGTTCTAGAAGATGGAAGGGGGATGGAATTATATCAACAGATATACATACATATGTATATATATATATATATATATATATATACACACACACACACACATACATACACAAAAGATTATCTATATGGAAAGATAGAGAGAGACAGAGTATGAGTGTGTGTGTGTGAAATACAATGATCCATAACAGAACAGTAATTTTCTTGAGGCCCCAAGAAAAATGCCTTCAATAATAAAGTGACTTACTGTAACAAACAATATAATTTAGAAATTATAAGACCTCAGGGAAAGTGAAGCCCTGTTATTTTTCTTTCAACAATGGAAAAGGAAGTTAATCAGAAATCCCTAGAAAACCAAAGGCTATACAAAGAAAGTCAGACCAAGTATGAAGCAAATTGAAATATGGCATGGATTTGGACAATATATCCACGGGAATGCAAGAGAAGAAAATTCATTTGACCTTGATGCTTGGAACATTCTCCAACAAGTAGCTCAAGTTTTGTAAATAGGATTATTTCTCTTTATCCATGGTCCCATGCATACTACTTTGTTCTGCAGTGAACGTTTTTCTAAATGCAACAATTTTCTATTATTCCTGCAACAGAGTATTAGATTGGAAGTTTGACTGGAAACACCAAGGCATGATGGATTTTAGGTATCAAGGGGAGTTGCAAGACAGACACTGCACAGAAGTTAAAAGGAGGTGGCCACGAACCAGCCAGATGACTCATTTGACTGTCCCCTGGAAAATCTGGACCACAAGAGAACAATGGGCCAGCTACTTTGCTTGTGGGCAAAAGGGGTGCTGTTAAATTGGGGTCAGACCACACTCTCATGGCTTGTCTGCAGAAAGGGTGAAAGCTGTTTTGAGCCTAATGAGAGTGAGAGAGCCAGCCTGAACTATCTAAAATCTGGCCCAAGAGAATTACCGGGGAGGACAACAGGACCCCCAAATCAGAGTATATCTGGAGTGACCTGGTTGAAAAAGCCACTGTCTGAGGCAGAAGTCACAGTCAGAAAAATGCCTGTGGCATGAGAAGTACAGACAAAAGTTTCCAGTGGGAGCCTCTGAAGACCCATGAGCGTGCTCACAAAGATCTGCCAGGGTCAGAGGATGCCGGCTTCCTATCAGGGTGCCAGGCAAGCAACAACAGTCTTACTCCTTTATCCATCCTCTTTCTTCTTACTTTGAATCTGAGGAGGCCAGAAACCATGGTAGCAAGATGGGAAGGGAAGTTTGGGAGCATAACAGAGAAAGAGAAGCAGCGCGCTGGCCTCTCCTGGTTTCCTGTCTGTGGAAGGCTGTTGCTGGACAAAGGGAGAAGCTTCAAGTTTCAAACATGCTCTGAGTTTTGATTTGACATGAACCTGAACACTTTTATTTATTTTTTATTTTTGGGGTTTTTTTGTTTGTTCATTTTGAAATGGAGTTTCGCTCTATTGCCCAGGCTAGAGTTAAGTGGCACAATCTTGGCTCACTGCAACCTCCACCCCACTGAATTCAAGCGATTCTCCTGCCTCAGCCTCCCGAGTAGTTGGGATTATAGGCTCCCGCCACCACGCCAGGCTAACTTTTGTATTTTTAGTAGAGATGAAGTTTTGCCATGTTGGCCAGGCTGGTCTTGAACTGCTGACCTCAGGTGATCCACCAGCCTCGGCCTCCCAAAGTGCTGGGATTACAGGCGTGAGCCACTGTGCCCAGTCCTAAACACTTTTAATTACTGAACTGAGACTATCTGTGAAATAAAGTGATTATGGAACTTTCCATTGCCTAAGAGCACCCAGAGAAGTTCTAGAGCTGGTCAGTATTTTCAAGTAGGAACAAACGAAGGAATTCATTGAGTAGGTTTAAAGGGATAGAGGGAGACAAAAATAAAAGTGAATTCTAATTATGTCTCATGAGTCCTGCTTGTTTAATATAACAATTATAATAATATTGTAAATGTTATTCACTGATTTTATATTTTTAGGATCAACCTACAGAGAAAGCTTGAAAGACAATTATAACTATAGAATAGAACAAAATGGTTATAAACCTTGATGATAGTAAAGTATGGTAAAACTTAAAGACACCAAGGGGTAGATGAGAGAGGGAAGGTGGAAAGAAGCAGAGGGGAATCTATTCTTATTTTACAGAGAGTGGAGTCAAGAGATTCCTGCCTTATATTGATGAACTAAGAAACAGGTGGTTAAATATATAATTTTAACTTAAAAAGATATCCAACAGAAGAAATAAAAGTGTAACGAATCAAAACTGGAAAAAGGAGAACGGGGAAAAGGGGAAGCCTATGTGATTTAAATCCCTCAGCTTTCATAAAGGGTTATCAATAGTTACCACTTAAAACTGATGACAAAAGAAATAGAGGTACAAGATTTCAAAACACAAATGACAAACAGGTTTCCTCTGTGCCATGGTCTGATTGTCTGTGTCCCCACAATGCACATGTTGAAACCTAGTCACCAGTGTGATGATATTAGGGGGTGGAGCCACTGGGAGGTGATTGGGTCATGAGGATGCATCCCTGATGAATGGGACTAGTGCCCTTAGAAAAGAGGCCCCACTCTAACTTTGGGAGGCCAAGGCAGGCGGATTACGAGGTCAGGAGTTCGAGACCAGCCTGGGTAACATAGTGAAACCCCGTCTCTACTAAAAATACAAAAATTAGCCGGATGTGGTGGTGGGCGCCTGTAATCCCAGCTACTCGGGAGGCAGAGGCAGAATTACTTGAACCTGGGGGGCAGAGGTTGCAGTGAACCGAGATTGTGTCATTGCACTGCAGCCTGGACAACAGAGCCAGACTCCATCTCAGAAACAAACAAACAAACAAACAAACAAAAAAGACAAGAGGCCCCAGGGAGCTGTGGTGCCCCATCTACCATGTGAGGACACAGCAAGAAGGTATCATCTATAAGGAATGCCTGCTTCCTTATAGATGGCCTTTATCATCTCTAAGGCCTTCACCAGAAATTGAATCTGCTGACACCTTGATCTTGGACTTTGCAGTCTCCAGAACTGAGAAAGAAATTTCTGTTGTGTATAAGCCACCCAGTTTATGGTATTGTTCTAACAGCCCAAATGGACTAAAGACAATTTTGGGAATGGAGCTGGTATCAGGAAGGGGATAATTTTTACTTTTCACTTTATACATTTCTATACTTTTTGTCATGTGCATGCATGACATTTACAACAATAAATAAAATGAGATTAAAGGAAAATAATAAGAATGTTAATTTAAAAATGCTTACCTTGCTCTAATCCAGGGTTTGGTGTGCATGTCCAAACCACTTCCCCAGCTGCCGTGTTTTTCTGAAGCTGGTGGCAAAAAGCCCCTTTCTGGGGCCAGCTCCTCTGCAATTGCCCTGATGTGGTAGGGCTCAAATCCACAGCACCCGCCAATGTACCTGACCCCCAGGTTGTAGGCCTCTCTGGCGTATTTTTGAATATCCCATCTGGTGGCAACTCTGGACTCCAGTCCTGAATCACAATAGTTAACAGCATTTCTGTTACTGTTCTCATTTTCAAATGATGGATGCTCTAATGAGCAGTTTTTCCAATTAAAAAAACTATAAACTTTAGATGATGCATTCTTCTGATAGCTCATTTTTGGTTAACTCTGAATGTTTTGTCATATGCAGTCTCTTATTGTAAAACTGGGCCACAATTTATTATAGCCATTTGGATTTTGTCACGAGAAATACAAGGACCTCTACTATGCACCTGAGCTTACCAAAGGGATATTCTGGGAGATCCACAAACCCCTCTTTGCCACAGTCAGGCGCGTGGAACCCCAGAGGCTGCACCATGAGGTGCGCTTTCAGCCCTGCCCACTCAAGACCCTCCTTCATGAGCTCCATCGTCTTCAAGCTGGTGTCGGGCCCAAAGCGGCAGTTCACGCCAACGATGGAAGCCCCTGTGCAAAGAAATAACACTTACATTTTATTATTTATTTGTTTATTCTTTTTTTTTAATAGTTGGAAGGTACCTTAGAGGTTAGCCATTCCCCTCCACCTCCCACAATTTACAGATAAGAAAACTGATTGGAGTTCATTCTTCTATTTCCAAACTGCTCTCACAATATCAAGCACACTTTGTTAAATTTCGTAAGCAACAACTGAGCTGTGTATCACGGTATGGGTCCAAATTACCTGCCTTCACCAGCCTCACAGCACATTCTCCGGGGGTTATATCATGCATGTCTCCCTCTGGGCCTATGCACATGGTAACTGCCACGGGTCTATCTGATTCTTTTAAGACTTCCACAGCCCACACAGCTTCTTCAACGTGCTCAAAATACTAAGAGAAATGTCACTTTTTCTACTGGTCCAAACATAAAGCAGATTTTGAATGGTAAAGGTAAATATAGCAAAACAGTTATAAAAATTACCAAATAGAATATAAACATATGCATAATAAAACTTGCTAAGGAATGTGTGTCTATCAGACTGACTAAAGAATACCTTTCTGAGTAAACATTTTCATTCCTATAACAATAACATATAGTTTTTCATTCAGGGTTCATTGATTCAGTGAGATGATGCCTATTAGTAAAAAAGAAGAAAACACACCCAGAGGTTTTCAAAGTAATTGAGTATTTAAAATCATAATTTTGTAATTTTGAAGGAGGAAAAGTTTTGCTAATAAATTTTAGATTCATCTCTTATAAAACTGGGGTAATCTCTGAAACAATGAGTAGCTTATCATGTGTTATAGTTCAAAGAGCTTTTATATTCACTTCTAGTTAGATATTCATAAGTGCTCCATAAAGTAGGAAGGGAAGCACCATTTCCCCGGGTGAGAAGATTGAGGCACAGCATAGGAGAAATAGCTACTCCCTGTCTTTGCCAGTGGTGGACAGGACATCTTGTCTGGTAAACCCATGTCATTTTCTTGGGTGCTTCCCAGGAAGCCCCTTCAGTGCCACAGCTGAAAAGCTGACCTTAAGGCAACTAAAGAAAAGCCAGAAATCTTCCTGTTTCTTCCCTCTTGAGTTAGAAACAAATTCTGCAGAAGCAGTGTGAGGAATTATGAGAGAATCAAAAGACGGGTTCTTAAACAAACAGAGTGGTGTCATCATCCATCTGGAAAGCACAGAGGGTGGAATTTGTGCTTGTCCCTGCAGATGACTGTTCCCAGTGGGGTTGGCCAGGCGTGGGCAGGAGGATGAGGCAAGGTTTTCAGTAGAGTTCAGTGGGGTCACTAGGGGGAATAATGGTGGCGGCTATTCTCTCTCTCTCTCTTTTGAGACAGAGTATCACTCTGTCGCCCAGGCTGGAGTGCAGTGGTGCCCTATCTTGGCTCACTGCAACCTCCGCCTCCCAGGTTCAAGCCATTCTCCTGCCTCAGCCTCCAGAGTAGTTGGGACTACAGGCTCCCACCAACATGCCCAGCTAATTTTTGTATTTTTAGTAGAGATGGGCTTTCACCTTGTTCACCAGGGTAGTCTCAAATTCCTGACCTCATGCCATCCACCTGCCTTGGCCTCCCAAAGTGCTGGGATTACAGGTGTGAGCTACCGCGCCAAGCCAGGGGATATTCTCTTGTTTGGAGTAAAGTTGTGGGTTGAAGGCATGACCCCAGGCAGTAGCAGTTATGTTGGGAAATGGGGAATGAGGACTTTCGTTTTGGAAGTGGAGGAAAGAGAATGTTCTGGGCCTTCATGTCCAATCAATGACCAATTCTTACTGATTCTTTCTTCAAAATGTAATTCACATGTCATAGCTTGAGTGAAAGCAGAGAGGCAAGAAGAGCAAGACATGGATGGAGAAGGCTATGGAAACTACTGGGTGCTGAGCATTATTGGTGGGGCCTAGACGAGCCTGGATAGCCACCACCTTCCAGGCCTTGCTCTCTCAGTCCCCAGCCCACACATGCAGTGCCCTCCTGTGTGGATTCTCCCTCTGGAGAGGGTGCTCCCGGAGGCACTGTGCCCTATGCTTCCTTATAGGTTGTAGAGTCCCCCAAGTCAGCTTCTGCAGCCACCCAGACCTTAGAAGATAAAAGGCTATGGTCAGGCCTCTCTTGGGTCTGTCCTTTGGCTCTAAGAGAACCTAGCATACCAATGAGGGAATGTTGGCCTTGACTACCATGCATTTAAATAAACCTTTGACCATCCACATGGAAGAAATGAGGGCAGAATGTTGTCCAATACCCTCATGAAATGTGAAGACTCTGCAGTTATGCTTGCAAAATAGGTTCAATCCTTTTCCTCCAATACTAGCCTCACCTCTGCAATCAAGAAGTCCACATTTTTCCAGGCAAAAACTTCTAGCTGTTGTCGAAAAAGTTTTTTAATTCTAGCTTCATCCTTCTGGTATTTGTATATTGATGTCTGGCAGATCCCCCCTGCTACCAAAGCATCACCTTTGCCAGCCACTTCCCTGGCGAGGTCACAGGCAGCAGCATTTACATCTTCCCACTGAGGTTAGAGAGCAAGAGTTCAGATAGTGAGCCTAGCAGTTTGAAGGTAAAATATAAAAGATAACTAAAGGGACAATAAACAAGTAAGATGAGTATAAGCCACTCTCTTCAATGCAAGCAGAAAAGACCAGCAGAGTTGGGTACAATCTCCTCTGTTACCATGACCTTATATTTCCATTATTGTACTTACCACATTGGATTTTAATAACTATTTGTTTGCCTCCCATACTTGACCTTGCACCTCCAGATAGGGTCTATGCCTTTGTATCAACTTTGAGTCTAACATAGAGAATGGACTGTAACAGATACTCAGTACATGTTGGTTGGTTGAATGAATTAATGGGCATTAACATTTACACGTATTAACATTTTACATTTGCAGAATATTTCACAATACTTTCACATCCTTGGTCTTACTTACTCTTCTCAACAGGTCTATGAATTTAAGCACTACTGTTGTCTCCATTTTACAGAGAGAAAACCAATGCTCAATGCAGGTAGGTGTCTTACACAAAGCCACACAGCCAATAGGTGGCAATGCTGGATATCAAACCCGTTTTTTCTCATTTCTACTCCAGTATTGTTTTTTAGGGCCTCCCTGTCTCCAGAAGAGAAAAGTGTGAAATGAGAAGGTGAAAAGAGCATCTATGAAGTGCTTTCTCTCTAAAAAATAGCACAAGAAGACAGCCATGCCCTTCCAATGGTTTATTTTACCCCTAGTCCTGACCCCTCCTCTACCTAAATGGGAAGAGAAAGCTAATTCATTTAGTATATATTAACTTCTTTTTTTTTGCTGACATGGGGTCTTGCTCTGTCACCCAGGCTGGAGTGCAGTGGTGTGATCTCGGCTCAATGCTATCTCCCAGGTTGAAGCCATTCTCATGCCTCAACCTCCTGCGTAGCTGGGATTACTGGCGCCTGCCACCACACCCAGCTAATTTTTGCATTTTCAGTAGAGACAGGGTTTCACCATGTTGTCCAGGCTGATCTGGAACTCCTGGGCTCAAGTGGTCTGTCCACCTCGGCCTCTCAGAGTGCTGGGATTACAGGTGTAAGCCACTGTGCCCGACCTATTTAGTATATATCTTCACGTGAAAATTAATACATATTTATATGGACTTTGTAATAAAGTATAGTAACACATAATCAATTCCATAGCTTCCCATGAAGAGGTTATTTTTTAATAGATGACTCCCTCCCCCACACCCAGCCATTGCCGTTTACCTTGCTTTCCATATTGTCCTCACTGGCAGAAAAGGTAAAAGTCTGCATGACATTTGATCCTGCTCTCAAGAATTCCATGTGAAGTTGACGAACTACAAAGTAGTTGGGTTTTAAACATTGAAATAAATGAATAAAGAAATATTACAGAAGCTATCATTTTCAAAAGCAGCAGTAGCTCACTGACTCCCATCTCTTTCAATCATACCTCAGTTCAAACCTAGTAGTAACAAAAAATTATAGATTAAGGTCAGTAGAATTCATAGGCAGGATGTACTGTTTAGAGCAGCCTTGTATTGTTCTGGTGATGGGCCTCAATGACTTGGTGCAGTCACATGCAGAGATTAAGGCCTGACTGGCCAATTAACCCTTGGTCTCTTGGTCTAGAGAGGTTTATTCTATACCTGTGTTGTAAAGGACAGAGCTGGTCTACTATAGTCAGCATTGGCAGCCCTTAAAGTAAAGTGAGGAGCTTCTCATAGAAAGCAGAATGCATGTGGGTGGCACCCATATCAGAGTCAGAGCAAGCAGTTTGGGAACATCAGAAAGCAGTCTGGAAGCTTTTCCTGGCTATCTGAAAGTCATTCCTTCCTCTCCTTCACCACTTTCGCCCCTCCTCCCTTATCCTTACTCTTGTTATTCCAGCACTTTCTTCCCAGTTTAGCAAAAAGGTCTTTTAACATTAAGAACAAGTTCTTCTTGGGCCAGATGAAAACATCCTGTTAAGCACCAAAGGAACAAAACTTGGTCCTGCTCTACCACAGAACTCTGGGTGTCCGATGCACCAATCATAACGGCCATCGTACTGATGATACGGGCACTTCACACGGGTTAACTTGTGAGTCCTCACACCTAGCCCATGTTGTGCCCCCATGAAACAGATTAAGATATGGATCCTTGGAGAGGTCAAGTGACTTGTCCAAGGTCACACAGCTGGTCAGTGGAAGAATCAAGACAGGACCCTAGGTTTATCTGATACGCTGTGTGAATATACATAAAATCAGAGTGAATCAAAAGTTCCAGTCTCAGCTAGTGTTCTCTTACACCCATTTCATTCTTTGGCTTTATTTTCTCACTTTAATTTAGGAGAACAAACACACAAAAAAAGAGTTAGAAGAGAATTAAAGTTTTCATTTCAGGTAACTATCTAATCCCATCATAGTTCTTTACCTCTAGCTCTTTTTTTTTTTTTTTTTTCCCAGCCAGGAGGATGATATAAAACTGTGTTGACTTCCTTGCCCTCCCAACCCTGGAACCTGGCTGTCTGTGCTCTGTTACACTGTGACTACCATTAATCACCCTCACTATAAACGCTGTTACACTTAACCATGCACATTGTCAGCAGGGTGAATCAGAAGCAGGAACAGTTTTGCTGTTTTAAGGAAACTCTGTATATCTACAAGGTAAATATTCATGGAACAAATATTAAGATGTCTATTTTAGCACTGCCTGTACATTAAGATGCAGATGTGTGTGTGTATGAGAGTGTGTGTGTGTGTGAGAGTGTGTTGTGTGGGTGTGTATGTGTGTTTGTGGTGTATGTGGGTGTGGATGTGGGGTGTGTGTGGATGTGGGGTTGGGGTGTGAGTGCATGGATGTGTGTGTGTGGGAGTGTGTGTGGGCGTGTGGATGGGTGGGTGTGTGATGTGGGTAGGTGTGTGTATGAGAGAGAGAGAGGTCATTTTCTTCCATATACTTCCGCCTGTATACTGCCATTATCTCCACATCTTGGCAATCTTAGCAAGCAAAACACCCCTTTGAAACAGTTGTTATTTTTTTCTTGATCTTCTCTCAATCAGATTTAAATAAAATACCACTCAGGTAGACACTCTTGGGGATGTGGACACCAACCTGCGTCTGGGTGTTCTATCACTGCCTCTGGAGTCCAGAGCCCAGCCTTCACATAGCCTCTCTTCTCCAGAGTAATGAGAAAGCTGCCATCTCCAATCACAACCTCCCCACTCTCCAGGCGCTCCAAAATCCCCTGAAGAAGAGAAAAAAAGCACCTAAGCTCCGCTCTACTTTTTTTTTTTTTCCTAAAAGCATTTTCTAATTTTAGGTGAAGTGGTATTACGTTCTTAGAGCTGTAGTTTTGTTAAAATCATGTGCTCTAATAATATTTCAGAAAGATTGAGCATACCATATTTCTTGGCCGATCCAGGTTCCTATTTTGTACAATGAAAGGGCTGAGACTATTTATTCTTAAATAACATTTAATCTGAGTCAAATTATAGCACTGATTCCACGATAGTTATTTTGGCTTTTCAACATGTTTGTGACAACACAGCTAGTTGTCTACCTAGTGTGCATTCTCTCCCCTGTTTTTGTGTGGGGGGACAATGCCCCTAACTTTCAAAAAATTCCCAGGTTCCTTTGCCTCTGGGAGCAGCCCTGTGACACAGTGCTGGCCAGTGAGACACATACGGAAGCTGGTGGAGGATTTCTGGAAAAGTTTTGCTTTCCTGACATAGACGCCCACTCCCTTCCCTTTTGTCTATTTTCCTCCTTCCTGGCTGGAATGCCAACATAATGCCTGGGAATACAGCAGTCATCTGACAGCCATATGAGGCAGATTTCTTAAGACATCCTTGGGTGGCTGCGGCAGCCATGGGCTGTTACCCCTGGACCTCTTGTTAGGTGAGAAAAATAATTTTTCTTCGTGTCAGCCACTGAACAGAACGGTAGTGGACACAACGCTTTGTAGTCATGCAGTGTGTTCACACGTGTCTTATCATTTGGCACTCCCAGCAACTCTGCCAGTGAGGCAGGACACAGTTTTTATTCTCAGGTGTAGATGAGGAAACTGAGGCTCAGAATGGTTGACTTGCCCAAGATCACAGAGCTAAGTAAGTAAAAAATCAGACTAGCTTCTAAATTCCTACTCTCTTTTCCTTCTATTTTACCACCTTCCTATTTAGCCCACTCATAACTTATTTAAAAGGTTCCATTCAGAGCAGTTAGCCATGGGGTGCAGTTTCCTTTTGATACAGAAAGGCCTCAGGCCTGTGCCCACAGACCCTGGTGAGGATAGGCACTCCTGTTTTTGCGCCCAAATGTTGCATTTTCCAAGACCACCCTGGCCCGCCACACCTCCATCCTGTGCCTATAAAAACCTCAAGACCCTAGCAAACACAAACACAAGCAGCTGGACGTTGAGAGGAACACACTGGCAGAAGAACACACAGACTCTGGCAGGCCATCGGTGGCAGAATGACACAGACGAAGTGGAATTCAGCCAGGGGTAATCAGAGGAGAGTCTGGCTGCTGAGCGGCCTGACTCCAGGGGAAGACCGCCTTCCCACTCCATCCCCCTTCTGGCTCCCCATCCATCTGCTGAGAGCTACTTCCACCATTCGATAAAACCTTGCACTCATTCTCCAAGCCCATGTGTGATCCAATTTTTCCAGTACACTGGCAAGAACCCCAGGATACAGAAAGCCCTCTGTCCTTTCGATAAGGCGGAGGGTCTAATTGAGCTGATTAACACAAGCTGCCAGTGGACAGCTAAGCTGAAAGAGCACACTGTAACACACACCCACTGGGGCTTCAGGAGCTGTAAACATTCACCCCTAGATGCTGCCATGGGGTACCTGCATGCTCCCCCTAGGGGTTTAAGCTGTGGGGTGCTGAAGAAGTGATCCACGCCTCCATCACACACCCTGCAAGGGGCATAAGGGAACTTTTCCCATTTCACTTGGTCTAAAGCACATCTCCCCAGGTGCCTGCAGGGTCATCCCCTCACTGCTTTCTGGTCTTTGGTCAAGTGTCACCTTTTCAGAGATGCCTTCCCTGAGCAATGCAAACCACCCACTCCTCCCAACTCCCCACAGCAATCCTGATCCCTCTTTTGTAGGCTGCATCAGTGGAAGATGCAACCTTTTATTGATAATAGGCCAGTTCATTTCAGGCCTGCCCATAGCTGGACACAAAGCAATGAATGGATCAGGGAGAAAAGCCTCAGATGCCTCTTTTAACTAGTCTTATCTGTTCTATGAAATCAACATAAACCCCCTCAGTTCCTGAATCCAAGGGAGACATCAAGCAGGGTACATAGGCAGCTTACTGGCCTACGTGTTGGGTGTAGGGTAAAACTAAGCTGTGTAAAAAAGAGGCCCCCACAACAGTGGCTTTAAATAAAAGTAGTTTCTTTTTCCTCTGTAAGAGGAAAGCCACTGTTTGTGGGGGACTCTTTTTTACAGAGTGTGCACCAAATTGCACAGTCCTTTTATCTTATTGCTTTGCCATTCCCTACGGCAGGGGTCAGCACATGACAGCCCACAGACCAAATCTGGCACATCACCTGTTTTTGTAAAAACAGTCTTAGGTAAAACCCTGCCCATTGATTTACATATTGTCTAATGGCCACTTTTCCACTACAGTAGCAGAGTTGAGTAGTTACCACTGAGACTGTATGGCCCCCAAGGCTAAAAATAATTACTATCTGACCCTTTACAGAAAGCGTTTGCCAACCCAGCCCTAGGGTACTGTCCTCCTCAGCATGGGGGAAACTGGATCAGAGTCACGTTCATACTCTGTCTCAAACGATGAGGAAACAGTGTGGCAAAGCTCATCCTAAAGTTTTTAGCTCAGACCTAGAAGTGACTCATCTCATTGACATTTACATTTCCTGCGTGAGAGTTTAGCCACATGGCTCTACCTTGCTGCAAGGGAAGCCAGGAAGTATCATCAGTGAATGTCCATGTGTCCAGCTCCAACGCTAATCCTTCGGAAGGAGGGGGAACAGATTTTGGAGAGAAACTGCTTCTGTTCTAGTGTCTGGCATCTGCTATTTCTCCTTTGCTTACTCCCCACACAAAGTGACCCACCCAGGTGTCAGGAGCGAGCTTCCTTGGATACCAAGGAACAAAGAGATCCCAAACACATTTTGGCCATATTGCTTGATATACTATTTTCTTCAATCTTTTCCCAGGAGGCTGGAAGGCCATAAAGGCAATAAAGAATAAGAGGGAAGCTAATTTGATCTTGGTTACAGGAGTCTTTGTCCTTAGCTGGGTCAATCCTGGATCTAATAAAAGCAACCAGAAATTAAAGCAGACGTGAGGATCTTCCCACAGAGCCTCCCAGGACAGTCCTGTTAACAGTATGGAACCAAACATGAGAGGTCAAATATGGCTTGAATAATCTCTTAATCTCCATCGAATGGCATGACTAGAGAGGGGGCTTATTCTAGCTTTCTCCCCATGTTCAGTTTAGCTGCAGAAGTACAAACCACTCTGACTAAGCAGAAAGGAGTTTAATATTGAGAAATGGGTACATAAAAAATTTACACTGGGCTTCCAGAAATGACCCCTAGAAAAACATGACTGAATTGGCCGGCTGGGGCTGCACCCTCTGCCACAACTAAGAGAAGCCACTATTGAACTGTTGGCTTCAGGACACAGCTGTCATATAGGGAGAAGGAGGCTGCTCCAGCGACCTCAGCTGCCCCTCACGTGACCCTGGAATGCTGCACTATGGCCACATTTGCTATGCTTCCACCTTCCCAGACTCATACTGGTGCATCTGATTGGGGATGCTAGTTCTTATCCAGATCCTAGCTGCAAAGGAGTCTGGCAAAGTGGTTAGTTTTCTTTCCTCTGCAGTGCAAGAAGGTCCATCAGAAGGGGTTTAACTAGAGGTAAATACCAGGTCACTCTACCTACAGCATCTTTTTACTGTGCACTTGGAGGGCAGGCAAATGGAGCCCAGCTGTGTGAACTATGTTAAACATAAACACTATTTTGGCAGAGAGAGCTCTCAACTCTGGTTATTTTTCCATATTTTATATCTAAAGCTGAATTTTAGCTGAATGCAGAAGAAATGTTAATATTTACTGATTCTCATCTCTTTCTTTCTCCTCCCTGCATCAAATGCAATTCACTCTTTTCAATTTGTACTTTTGAAATATAAAAAAGGCCTTAAATTTTGGACGTTTATTGAGACCTTCCACATGTCAGGTATAGTTGTGGGCAAGTGGGATAAACATCAGAATAAGACAAGGTCTCTGCCCTCCACAAGCTCAAAGTCTGGCTACTTTGGGGAAGGCCAATAAATCAACAAATAATCACAGCAGAATGTGACCAATAAATGCTACACAGGAATACAGAAGAGAAAGTCAGAGGTACAGTTACTGTGTACAAACTGTTTTCCTGAAAATCCCATACACTTCATTAGGTTCACCATGTTAAGAATCAAATTTAGGCCAGGCGCGGTGGCTCACGCCTGTAATCCCAGCACTTTGGGAGGCTGAGGCAGGCAGATCACTTGAGGTCAGGAGTTTGAGACTAGCTTGGCCAACATGGTGAAACTCCATCTCTACTAAAAATACAAAAATTAACTGGGCATGGTGGCAGGTGCCTGTAATCCCAGCTACTTGTGAGGTGGAGGCAGGAGAATAGCTTGAACCTGGGAGTTGGAAGTTACAGTGAGTTGAGATTGTGCCACTGCATTCCAGCCTGGGCAACAGAGTGAGACTCTGTCTCAAAAAAAAAAAAAAAAGAATCAAATTTACTCAAACAATTGTCGAGGGAAAACATTGGCACAGAATTCAGATGTTGTAGGTTAGCTTCTCACCTCCCACATCCAACCTATCACAGGGTTATGCCAAGTGTATTACACATTTCTCAAATGCCCCACCATCCTCACTGCATTTGATTATTGAAATGGTCTCCAGTTCTCTCCAGCCCTACTCTGAACTGTCTTCCATTGCTACCAGAGCACAGGCTCACTGACCCAGTCTCACCTGTGATTATACCCCTTTTGTGTCCTGCTTAACTTCACAGATCCTTCATTCATGCATCCCCCTGTACAGCAGTATCTGGTTACTTACTTGTCACCTCAGTTTGACTGTAAGAGGCTTGGGGGCAGGTGACATATCTTATTGGTCTATATCCCTACCACCACATATAACAACTAAAATGAGTAGACACTTAAGAAACTATGCCAAGAATTAGCAAATAAACAGGACTGTTTTGAAAATGTCAGATGTATTGCATATGCTAGAATTTTTGTCCTGAAGAAGAAAAAATGTTACTCTTTAGCAGACAATTAGGTAGGTTTTAAGAAAATTGTAGTATATATTTTGACTGTGTCTTTATGAAACCAAGTAAAGGGAGGACATTTTCATTTGTTATCTGGATGTTTGTCCACCATTTTAAATTTGCCATTTTTCTTTTCTTTTCTTTCTTTTTTTTTTTGAGACAGAGTTTCACTCTTGTCGCCCAGGCTGGAGTGCAGTAGCGCGATCTCAGCTCACTGCAACCTCCACCTCCAGGGTTCAAGCAATTCTCCTGCCTCAGCCTCGCAAGTAGCTGGGATTATAGGTGCATGCCACCATGCCCAGCTAATTTTGTATTTTTTAGTAGAGACAGGGTTTCACCATGTTGTCCAGTGTGGTCTCGAACTCCTGACCTTAGATGATCTGCCTGCCTCGGCCTCCCAAAGTGCTAGGATTACAGGTGTGAGCCACTGTGCCCGGCCAATTTGCCATTTTTCTACATAGCCATTAGCAAAATAACTAAGTTATCAAGATTTGAGATCAGAGCATCTTTTAGCCCTTCCTTCACTGCTATTCTAACTACCTCAATTAATTACTATACCAGTATGATCCCTTCTTTAGTTTTTTTTTTTTTTTTTTTTTTTACTTTTAAGTTCAGGGGTACATGTGCAGGATGTGCAGGTTTGTTACACAGGTAAATGTGCATCATTGGAGGTTTGCTATATGGGTTATTTCCTCACCCAGGTATTAAGCCTAGTATCCATTAGTTATTTTTCCTGATCCTCTCCCTCCTTCCACCCTCCACCCTTCGATAGGCCCCAGTGTGTGTTGTTCCTCACCATTATACTAGTACGATCTAAAGTCAACTGTAAAATTATAAAGACAGGAACATGTAAAATAAGGAACCCTGTAAATTAATTTTGCAGTACATTTATATTTTCATTCCCTCCTCCCCATCAGTTTGGCAGTGAACCTGCCTTGCATCTGACAGCGAGCTCTAGGGTGCATTTATGCCCCCTTTTTGCAGATATCACTACGTAAGACCTCTGGGTTTAAGATCTGGCTTCAAGACATCTCTATTCATACTCAGTGGGGATCAACTTCACTGTGTAGTAGGAGGTGATCAGAAAAACCCAGTCTGTCTAAAATAACTTCCCCTTTTCCTAGATTTGCCAGCAGAACTGCTCTTTTGGATTTAAGACCTAATTGGAGGTCTTGTCTGTGGCAATTAAATGAATTCTTAAAATGTACCTGCTAGCTGAGGAGAGAGGTGAGATTAGTTCCTTCCCATTAACACCTTAACTCCCAGGTACACATTCACATGGATTAGTGTGTGATAATCTTGGTGTTGTAACAGTAGAGGCCCCAAAGACACTGAACAAAAACAGGGCATTTTAAAAACGTTTAAAAATATGAACTGTAAAGATGAACATAGCATTAGAGAAAGTTGAGAGAAAAAAGCACAATGTTCTTTGATTATTTTTATTAACTGTATTCTTTCAATGCTCACATTTTGCTTTTATAACCTGAAAAAATATCCTAAAACATGCTTTTTAAACCAATATTCCACATCTTGTGTAACTATTACCATTATTGTGTCCTTCCTTACAGTGTGTATATAAATATTTGTATATGGTTGGGATCAGTTTGTGATATATTTCCTTTTGCAACTTAACATTGCCAAGGCACTTAGCTGGTTCTCATACTAAGTTATTTAACTGTCTAATAACTTAAGTAGATGAACCTTAATTTATTTAGAATCCCGTATTGCAGAGTATCTTGGTCGTTTCTAACTTTTTAGTATAAATAGCTCGGTGGTGCACATTTCCACGCATAAACTGCCCCTCCTCCCTTCCTCCCATTCTGAATGACAGGGCTGGAGCGGGTGGGGGTCTCTGAAGGGTCCTGGGGATGTCTTTCGTCCAAGCTCATGCCCTTCCTAATTTTGCTTAGTCACTCCTTCATCCCACCCCCACACATACTCGACGTAGAAATGGCTGGGCATAAAGCCAACATCTGGTGACCAGACCAGGAAAGGGGCCAGGAGCTGGGGACCACCGGGTGAGAGGAGGTTGAGGGGTGCTAGCGAATCCCACCTACCCTCCACCCTGCACCGCAGCTCTGGGGGCGTCCTTGCCCAGGACTAGTTTCAGACCAGCCGGCGACTCGCAAGGCCAGGCTGCTTGGCCAGGCTGCTGACTTTTCCAAAACGCGAGGGGACAGTCCGAAGAGTTCCCGGACGGATTAGCCCAAAGAGCTGCGGGCGAGGGTCGGTTGAGGGAAGAAAATGTGTGCGCGACATGCGTCCGAAAGCTAGACTTCTGATCCTCGCTCCCCGCGGGGCTGGACCCGTGACCCTGAGCTAGTCGCCTGACTCGCCGAGCCTCAGTTTCCTCACCTGTGAAATGGGGATAATTGTGAAGATGAGGAGATAACTTGAGCACAGCACTCTGTGCAGCGCCAGGCACCGAGTAAGGGCTCCATAAACGCTAACCAACCCGTGACAGGGGAAAATTGAGGCTCAGGGCCATCCCGTCCAAGTGTTTTGCCGAGGCCCCAGGGCTTGGCTAGGGATGGACGCCGGGTGTGAACGGAGTCGCTCGCAGCCCAGCGGCCAGGAGCTCCGCGAGGATCGAGGGGACGAAACTCACCTTCTTGGCCCCCGGGCGTCCAGCAGGTGCCATGGTGCCGCGGCTCTGTGGGCGCCGGGTTCCCGGGCGCGCGGCCGTCTAGGAGCCCGCCCCCAGCCCGGGGGGAGGATCCGACCCCCGCCCCGCCGGCCCCGCGGCCTCAGGCTGCCCGCTGGCCTCGGAGCAGGCGCCTGCGCCCTCGGCCTCGGCCTAGTCATGCTCCGTCCCGGCGCGCAGCTGCTGCGGGGCCTCCTGCTGCGGAGCTGCCCGCTGCAGGGCTCCCCCGGGCGCCCGCGCTCTGTCTGCGGCCGGGAAGGGTGAGTGGGGCCCCGTCCTGCTCAGAGGCGACGGGGCGGCTGCGGGGGTGGGAGCCAGAGGCTGAGGCAGGCTCAGGGGTTAGGAGCGCTCTGGCCTCCAAGAAATAGGCCTTGATATATCTTCTCGAATTATCTTTTAATTATAAAGTGAAACAGTATCCAAAGGTTCCCCGTGTAAAGTCTCTCCTGCCCCAATCCCCTTGGCCAGTGAACAATTGTTAATAGTGTCTTCTGAATCTAACCAGAGACAGTCTACGCATAGGCAAACACAGGTCAGTATAGGTTTTCCTTTGGCTTTTTGACATCTTGCTTTTTACAATTATCAATATATCTTGGAGATTGTTCCATATCAGCACACACTGACTTGCCTTGTTCCTTTTAATGGCTGCATAGTTTTCCATCCTGTCAATATTCTACACTATCGTTAGTCTATTCATTAACATTTAAATGGTTTTTGGTTGTTTATTACTGCAAATAACGTGCATGTGAAAATTCTTAGGCATCTATCTTTGAGTACATATGGGAGTCGGTAGCAACAGTTTTTAAAGGTGAACTTGTTAGGGAAAAGGTTACGTGCATCTGAAAGATTGAAAGACAGCAACACATTCTCCAAGTGGGTGGCAAGAGTTTGCATGCGGCACACCAGTGTGTGTCTGTTTCCCACATCTTCCCTGGTTCCCAGAATAGCCCATTTTGTTATCTTTGCTAAATCTGATAGGTAAAAATGGCATGTCCTTGTTTTGATTGGTCTGTATTTAAATATGAGCAATGCTGAACATCTTTCGACTTCTTATATTTGTAGATTATTCCTGGTTGCCAGGAAAGGCTTGTTTATCAGCATCACTCAACATTATTATGAGTTGATTCGAATTTTATTTTATGTCCTATGACCTGAAATTCTGGAATCAGAAGACCTGCTTTTGAGTTCCATCTATCCATTCAACAAATATTTACTGGGTGTTGTGATGTGCTAGGTTTGTCTCCAGTACTGGGAATGCAGTAGCCACCAACTCACAGTTCCTGCGCCATCTGTTACACAGAATGTGACCTTACACTTCTGAGGTTCAGTTTCCTCATCTATAAAATGAGGATACTAATTTTGCTCTATATAACTCACAGGATTGCTGTGAATATTAAATAAGAGAATGCATGTGAAAGTGCTTTGTAAATTGTAAAGCAATGCAAAAATATTTATAATAATGATGTTTTTAATCCAGTGCAAAATAAAATGGAAATTTAACAAACAAACTGATTAGATAAATAAGATACAAATTTCAAGACTATCCAAAAAATTCATATTTTGGCTGAGTGTGGTGGCTCATGCCTGTAATCTCAGCACTTTGGGAAGCTGAGGTGGGCAGATTACTTGAGGCCAGGAGTTTGAGACCAGCCTGATCAACATGGTGAAACTCTGTCTCTAATAAAAATGCAAAAATTAACTGGGTGTCATGGTGTGCACCTGTAGTCCAAGCTGCTTGGGAGGCTGAGGCGGGAGAATCGCTTGAACCTGGGAGGCGGAGACTGCAGTGAGAACCGAGATTGCACCACTGCACTCCAGCCTGGGCGACAGGGATTCCATCTCACAAACAAAAACAAAAACACCCAAAAGTTGAGTTATTTCAATTGCATATTCTTTATATACCCAATTTCAAACTATCAAAAAATGTTTTATTTTGGAAAGCAGTTGAACAAGCATACAGTTTGTGCTTATCATTTCTAATACAGAAGATAACTGACCTGGGTTTTTTGCATGGCTCCTAAGTTTTATTTCAAATACTCTTATAAACATCCTCGACTACATTCAGAAGGATTTTAAGATAGTTATCCACATAATCAAAAACACTATACCTAGTCTGAAACCTATTATGGCATGCTGGGCCGAGGAAATACTATATATTTGATAATGCTTTATCATATGTTGCCAAACAGAACCTTCACAGCTCCGTTTTGCAAATGAGAAAACTTTGAGACCCTTGTGTAAATTTCTCTAAAATAGCTGTTCAGTTGGATTGGGGACTCAAACCCAGGTTTCCTGATCTTAAGTTCTCTTTTGTTGTTGTTGTTTCAACTGACCACTGTCCTGAAAGAAATAATTCTTTCTTTTGAACACACAAAAAAGAACCTTTAAGATTATTATTTTTGTCACCACTATAATGGTTTCAACTAAAGTACAAGATATGCCCAGTCTGTTTAAAAATGGATTTCCGTCCAAAGTAGTTGGGTCATATGTACATTATTTTTTTCTCACACAGCATACAAAGAGACATTAATAGTCATCTAAAAACCGGTGAAACAAAACTGCTGAAACATGTTGTGGCACCAGGAAATAAGGACATGCTCTAAGAATTATGTAGCCATGTCAAAAGCATACAGGAGTCAACTGAAAGAACCTCCTGCTGGCCAAATCTAGGACAATTTGGTATTCAAATAAATGATGACTAGTAATGGATTAGAAACCACTGAAAACAATAAATATCCATAAATTCATGTTAATATAAACAACCAACAAACAAGGGTGAAAGAAAATTACTTCCTTACAGTAGAATGCCAACTATTAAATATAATAGGAATGATGGGGTTAGGAAATAATCAATAGATGTTAAAGCCACTCAGTAAAAGTTTGATAAGGACCAGGATATTTACATGGTCTCAAAGTAACACTTCACATTATTACTTATACAAAGGAAAAAATGGTAGCTTTACTAGACAAATCAGACAGACACCACCTTAAGCAAGTCATCAGACAGAAACAACACCAATATCAGGACAAACCAACATCATACGCTTCTTAATCATATACACTGGGAAGGAGTCAACATCAGTTTCATGATGTTTTTGCCAAAAATGCATAACATAAGTCTCATCATGAGGAAACACCAGACAAACTCACAGTAAGAACTGTTCTATAAAATAACTGGCTAGTACTGGCCGGGCGTGGTGGCTCACACCTGTAATCACAGCACTTTGGGAGGCTGAGGCAGGCGGATCACGAGGTCAGGAGATCAAGACCATCCCGGTTAGCATGGAGAAACCCCGTCTCTACTAAAAATACAAAAAAAAAAAAAAATTAGCCGGGCGTGGTGGTGGGCGCCTGCAGTCCCAGCTACTTGGGAGGCTGAGGCAGGAGAATGGCATGAACCTGGGAGGTGGAGCTTGCAGTGAGCCGAGATCGTGCCACTGCACTCCAGCCTGGGCAACAGAGCAAGACTCCATCTAAAAAAAAAATAAAATAGAATAACTGGCTAGTACTCTTCGAAAATGTGAAGGTCATAAAACACAAAGGAAGTATTAGGAACTGTTCCAAATTAAAGGGGATTAAAGAGACAGAATCCTGGATTTGATCTCTGACTGGAAAAAAGTAGCTATAAATTGATTGGAATAATTGATTAAATTTAAATATGGACTATAGATAATAGTATATCAATGTTAAATTTCTTGACTTTGAAAACTGTACTGTTGTTATGTAAGAGAATGTCCTTTTTCTTACCAAACTAGCAAAAGAATATTTAGAAGTAACTGGGTATGATACCTACAATTTACTCTAAAATGTGTATACACATAGAATATACATATTATAATATACATATATGTATAGTCATGTGCCTTATAATGATGTTTCGGTCAATGATGGACCACATATACAATGGTGGTCCCGTAAGATTATAATGGAGCTGAAAAATTCCTATCACCCAGTGATGTCATAGCTGTCATAATGTCATATGCAACACATTGCTCACGTGTTTGTAGTGATGCTGGTTAAACAAACCTACTGTGCTGCCGGTCACATAAAGCTATAGCACATGCAATTACATACAGTACATAATGCTTGACAATGATAATAAATCACTGTGCTACTGGTTTATGTATTTACTACACTATACTTTAAATCATCATTTTAGAGTATACTCCTACTTATAAAATAAAAAGTTAACAGTAAAATTGGCTCAGACAGGTCCTTCAGGAGGTATTCCTGAAGAAGGCATTGTTATCATAAGACATGACAGCTCTGGCCGGGCATGGTGGCTCATGCCTGTAATCCCAGCACTCTGGGAGGCCAAGGCAGGTAGATCACTTGAGGTCAGGAGTTTAAGACCAGCCTGGCCAACATGGTGAAACCCCGTCTCCACTAAAAATACAAAAATTAGCTGGGCGTGGTGGTACGTGTCTGTAATCCCAGCTACTCGGGAGGCTAAGGCACAAGAATCGCTTCAACCTTGGGGGTGGAATTTGCAAAGATGGCGCCACTGCACTCCAGCCTGGGTGACAGAGTGAGACGCTGTCTCAAAAAAAAAAAAAAAAAGGAAAAGAAAAGAAAAAGAGATGACAGCTGTGTATGTGTTATTGCCCCTGAAGACCTTCCAGTGGGACAAGATTTGGAGGTGTGAAGACAGTGATATTGATGATCCTGACCCTGTGTATGCCTAGGCTAATGTGTGTGTTTGTGTCTTAGTTTTTAATAAAAAAGTTTGAGGCCAGGCACAGTGGCTCATGCCTGTAATCCCAGCACTCTGGGAGGCCAAGGCTGGAGGATCACTTGAGGTCAGGAGTTCAAGACCAGCCTGGCCAACATGGTGAAACCTCATCTCTACCAAAAACACAAAAATTAGCTGGGTGTGGTGGTGCACACCTGTAATCCCAGCTACATGGGAGGCTGAGGCAGGAGAATTGCTTGAACCCAGTAGGTGGAGGTTGCAGTGAGCCAAGATCAAGCCACTGTACTCTAGGCTGGGCAAAAGAGTAATACTCTGTCTTGGAAAAAAAAAAGTTTGAAAAGTTAAAAAAATATATATATTTTGTAATAGAAAAAAGGTTCCAGAATAAGGATATAAAGAAATAAAATATTTCTATATAGCTGTAGAATGTGTTTGCATTTAAACTGTTATTACAAAAATCAAAAAAATTTAAAAGTTTATAAAATAATGAAGTTACAGTAAGCTGTTAATTTATTATTGAAAAAAGAAAAATACATTTAAAAATAAACTTAGAGTAGCCTAAATGTACAGTGTTGATAAAGTCTACAGTAGTGTACAGTAATGTCCTAGGCCTTCACATTCACTCACCTCTCACTCAGACTCATCTAGAGCAACTTCCAGTCCTACAAGCTTGATTCATGGTAAAGTACCCTAGACAGCTGTACAATTTTAAATCTTTTTTTTTTTTTCCTTTTGAGACAGGGCCTCACTCTGTCTGCTAGGTCTGAGTGGAGTGGCGCACTCATGGTTCACTGCAGCTTCAACCTCCTAGGCTCAAGCAGTCCTCTTACCTCAGCCTCCCAAGTAGCTGGGACTATAGGCATGTGCCACCAAGCCTGGATAATTTTTGTATTTTTTATAGAGACGGGGCTTCGTCATGTTGCCCAGGGTTGTCTTGAACTCCTGGGCTCAAGCAATCTTCCCATCTCGGCCTTCCAAAGTGCTGGGATTACAGGTGTGCATCACCAAACCTGACCTGTTCTCTAGATTCTTTGAAAAAAAGAAGCTACTTGTTCATTTCTTTGGCTATAGTAGCTACAATGGACCAGAATCATTATATGGAATGGGGCTCAAACACCCCTCCCCCAACCAGGTTGCCTAAATCACAGTTTAGATGCTCCAAATTATTAAATCAGTATCATGCAAATCTCAGTCAGTGGGTGTTAAGTACTAGAGAAACGGGTAAGGGGAAGTGCTTTAGGCCAGAACTATAGCTACCATTGCCGATTGAAGTTCCCATTTTAACTTTCCCTCTTCCAGAGAGGAAAAACCACCCTTATCTGCAGAAACACAATGGAAAGACAGAGCAGAAACAGTGATAATTGGAGGTGGCTGTGTTGGTGTGAGTCTGGCTTATCACCTGGCCAAAGCAGGGATGAAAGATGTGGTCCTGCTGGAGAAATCAGAGCTCACGGCTGGATCTACCTGGCACGCAGTAAGAAAAGCACCCCAAACTGTCATAAGCGTGGAATTGTGCATGAGTAAAGTCCATTTCCTTCCCGTTCACAACTCCCAACTGTGAGCTCTTTAGAGTGCGTTCCCCTTCAATAGCGTTGGAAGTGCAGTTGTAGTTTAACTGGTGTACTTCCAGATGACAACCAATATTTATGATGTCTTTATCTTGAACAGATGGCTTCTGGATTCGAATCCTGGCTTTGCAATTTTCTACCCTTGTGTGACTTTTGGCAAGTTACATAAGTTTCCATTTTCTGATGTCTTAATAGGAATATTAATAGTACTTACCTAATAGGATTGTGATGAAGATTGAGTTAACATGTGCAAAATTATTAAACGCAAGGTATTGGATAATAAATGTCAGCTTTATATGGAAGGATACTGTCTGGGTGAGCCTGGATATGGGCCCAAGATCTTTACCTATACTCCCCTCACCTGCATTTGGTGGTCCTTTTATTTACTTATGGTTTTATTTATTTTTATTTTTTATTTTTTATTTTTTTTGAAATGGAGTCTCGCTGTTACCAGGCTGGAGTGCAATGGCGCGATCTCGGCTCACTGCAACTTCCGCCTCCCAGGTTCAAGCGATTCTCTTGCCTCAGCCTTCCGAGTAGCTGTGACTACAGGTGCACACCACCACACCCAGCTAATTTTTGTATTTTTAGTAGAGACGGGGTTTCACCGTGTTGGTCAGGCTGGTCTCTATCTCTTGACCTCATGATCCGCCTGCCTTGGCCTCCCAAAGTGCTGAGATTACAGGAGTGAACCACTGCGCCTGGCCTTATGGTTTTAATTTTATGCTGTGAGATGACAGTTTGGCCCCCTGAGGACTTGAATATGAGGACTGCAAAAGTGTAGCACAGCTTTTGTGTTACATGAGACACAGGCCAAGTCAGTCTTGCATTCTTCATGGTATGCATAATTGTTCCAGGGCTGCGCCATAATTGACTAGGCTTACCTGGAAAGCTGCCCAGGTAGATGAAGGGATTGACACTGCTGTCATATTGCCAAACCAGGGATTTCTGACATCATTTAGGGATGGGAGAGGAAGTTTTTAGGACTGCTGGTGCAGTTTTCTTTTGGGCAGCGTTAGCCCCTGCTCATCATCCCATTTCATCATTAGCCTTCCTTGGCTGAGAAGAGGGAACCTCACTTTGAGGGGCTTTTTGACATCTAGTATGTGCTCAAAGTATAGGGTGGAGAGTCTAGCATGAAAAGGATTGCCTGCTTCCAGCTGAATCTGGGGGAGAGTGCTGCCCAGACATAAAAGCCCAAAGACCTTGCCCTTGTGGAACTCACATTCTGGTGGGGCAGACAGAAAACACCTATCAATGCTAGAGAGTAATCACCATGAAGAAAAGTAAAGTACAGTCAAGGATGCAAAATGATGGAGGAGGAGAAGAAGGAGGTGCTAGGGAGGATGTTTCAAAGAGGCGACCTGCCAACAGAGACCAGGGAGCAGTGAGCCAGGGGGCCATGAGGCTATTCTGGAAAGATCATTTAGGCAGGGAAATGTAGGCAAGTGGAAATACCCTTCGAGGGAGGGCTTACACCCTCTCACCACTTCTGAATTGTTACTGAGGGCATACGCTTTAATGTTTGAATTACTTATTTGCTCACTTATATACTGATTTAATGTGACCTGCATTGGATTTTATTACTATTATTATTATCATTATTTTTTGAGACAGGGTCTTTCTCTGTTGCCCAGGCTGGAGTGCAGTGGTGCAATCATAGCTCACTATAAGCACAAACTCCTGGGCTCAAGCAATCCTCCCAGTTAGCTAGGATTATACAGGTGTGCGCTAACATGCCCAGCTATTTTCTTAATTTTTTTAGAAATGGGGGTCTCACTATGTTGCCCGGGCTGGTCTTGAACTCCTGGCCTCAAATGATCCTCCAGCCTCAACCTCCCAAGACTTTAGAATTACAGGCATGAGCCATCGCACCTGGCCTGGCCTGCATTTTAGAAGAGGTTACGGGATTCCTTGAAATTTTATTTCTTAGATGTCCCATGAATAAAAAGCAACATACCCTTAATCTAAAAGTTAACTACGCAAAATATTTTTTTCTTAAACACAAAGATACCAAAGTGAGTGGGGAAAGGCATTATCCTGCTTTGCATACAAGGTATTAGGCTATGGTTTACAAAATAAGGATCCATGCAATGTGAGTTCAAGGTGGAATCAGGCATCAGAAGCCAGGTTATTTGGCCCCCTTGGAATAAAAGACAGTTGTCCTAGGAAGTTGATTCTAGGGTTTTTTGCAAGTCAAAGATGCCTCCCTCTGAGCAGCAGCATGAAGAAATCCAACATATTAGGTGTTTGTGTGTGTGTGTGTGTGTGTGTGTGTGTGTGTGTGTGTGTGTGTGTTTGAGACAGAGTTTCACTCTGTCACCCAGGCTGGAGTGCAGTGGCGTGATCATGACTCACTGCAGCCTCAACCTACGGGCTCAAGCAATGCTCTCACATCAGCACCTGTAGCTGGGACCACAGCTGTGCACGACCACGCCTTGCTAATTTTTAAAGTTTTTTGTAGAGATGAGGTCTCCCTACGTTGTCCAGGCTGGTCTCAAACTCCTGGGCTCAAGCAGTCCTCCCACTTAAGCCTCCCAAAGTGCTGGGATTATAGGCTTGAGCCACTAAGCCTGGCCGCATTGATTTTTTTTTTTTTTTTGAGACAGAGTCTCACTCTGTTGCCAGGCTGGAGTACAGTGGCATGATCTCAGCTCACTGCAACCTCCATCTCCTGGGTTCAAGTGATTCTCTGCCTCAGCCTCCCAAGTAGCTGGGACTACAGGTGCGCACCACCACACCCAGCTAATTTTTGTATTTTTAGTAGAGATGAGGTTTCACCATGTTGGCCAGGATGGTCTCAATCTCTTGACCTCGTGATCTGCCCTGCTCGGCCTCCCAAAGTGCTGGGATTACAGGCGTGAGCCACCGCGCCAGGCT
The DNA here is from genome assembly GCF_000001405.40 of Homo sapiens. Classification (NCBI taxonomy): domain Eukaryota; kingdom Metazoa; phylum Chordata; class Mammalia; order Primates; family Hominidae; genus Homo; species Homo sapiens. Next base: position 79,060,638 of record NC_000005.10, on the reverse strand, counting down.
GATATTAAGAATTTTTAACACCGAGATATTTGTGGAGTAGATCTGAGAATAAGGAAGGTTGCAGAGCCAGCTAACAAGAGGCAGACTATAAAAATAAAGGCAGTTTCCCTGAAGCACGATATGTGCTCCATGAGAGAAGTGTCTGGAGAGTGTGGGAATCAAATGCTTGGAGAGGAAAGCACAGCTTGCAAAGTGAATCTTCTAAATGGAATCACAAATCCATAAATCCTAAGGTTTTAACAAGACTGCTTTGTCAGCTCATGATATACCTAATAGGATAGAGCATTTCATGTGGATGCAGGGAAACAAGAGAGGATGGAGTAAGAAGGAAGTTTTGAGCTTGGGATCCCGAGAAGGGGCTGCCCTTGGGGATGGTACCAAAGTAGATGTTTTGAGAGCTGAGGACTAAAGATTCAGGATGATCCATTTGGGGTGTAGGAGGTGATATAAGAACTTTCCATTTGTTTTTGTCTGCAAATGTAAGAAAGAAGTTAAGCTTTACTGATATTTATAAATAACCCTCACATTTGATGTGGATGATGTGTTGTGTATGATTTCAAGGTTGACTACGCGGGAGGTTGGCACTTCATGGTGGGAGTGTCCTCATTCTTTCTCTTGTCTTCCGTATACCATGACATGGTGCAGATTGCGTGCTATAGGATATCACCATTGTGATTAGCTTTATAGAAATAGGGCTTTAAATAATATCATGTGTGATGAAAGGGAGAGGGGTGAACTTTGGAGTGTTGTATTACATACAGGTTTCCTGGTTATCTACTAGCAGTAGCTAAAAAGTTGTGAATGCAAATGGCTGCCAGTGATTTCTACATAGCAGATTATATATTTAAAAAAATAGATGCAGCCTGTCCCTTCACAGAAAAAGTGATGCTTTCAGTAGGTGAGAAATAATTGCCTTTTGCAAAATAGTCCTGTTGGGAAAACAGCATTTTGAAAAGGGATGTTTGGAAATGTTGGTATTATTATTAGGTTTTCTGCCCCAAAATGATATGTATCACATAGAAAAACTCTCATATATGTGAGAAATAAACTTTTAATCCATTTCAATTTTTTTCTAAATGAGGAGTTTCAACAGGATTTGTTCCCATTTACTTAAAATACAAAAAATGCAATACCTTCCAACTAGTTTGTAACAACAGGCAGACACAAGAACATGAAATGTCATAGTCAAATGTGAAGAGAAACCTTCATATGGGTGTTGACTGAGGTAGAGGAAGGGGTGTCAGGATGCAGAGACACAGCCAATCGTGCACTTCTCTCACTTGGGTGTGTGCCTCACTGAGCGGTGTCTTCTGCAGCTATACCACCATTGAAAGCAGTCTCAAAATAACGTAAAGCCAGAACCAGGCCTTCACATCGCTGTATTACAAACGTTAAGGTAGCACAGATATTTTAATAGTGAAATGTATTAATCACATAGCTCTTGCTAAAATGTTCTTAATAAGCTTCATATTCAAAAGCTTTTCTACACAGTATATAAAATAAAAAGTGTTTTTGAGTACTTCACTTATTCTCAGTTGTTTTGTGTGTTTATGATCTCTATTAATATTTACATATCACATGTAAGGAAAGAAATACACGTATTTTAGTGGTTATATTCCAAACTTTGTATTGGGTGTAAATGTATGAGTGAAAGATTTGGAGCCACTGGAATATAGGATGGTTTGACATCAGTCACTGGACTTTTTGAGGTAGTAGAGGCTCCTGAGAGAGGGAGAGGTTTGTTAAGGAGACAGGGGAAGCACTAGTTAGCATCCGTTATGCTATCCATTATTTAGCATCCAGGAATGAATTTTCTAACTCCATCATTCCTTCTATCTTATTAATTGTCAGTCTAAGGAAGACCTTTACATTCTCCTGTACTTATTTGTTTATTTATCTCAAGAAAGATTTACAAATTCTTAATTTATTTGAAGGGTTGTAATTCTTAATGATTATATCTCCGTTTCATCTTCCCTTCCTTATCTTCTCTACCAGCTACAATCACTTTTTCCAAACGACAGCTAAACTCCTTTCCTATGACTTCTGTGACCTTTCTGGCATCTTCTCTTTCCCTAGTTTCATAGTTACTATGTGTCTAGGACTCAATCATTTACCCTTGATTTAATTGTTTCCTGTATGAAAGTTTCATAACCTCAGACTATAAAATCCTGAGTGATAAGAACAATGTTTTCTCCTTCTTTCAGGCTTCTCATTTAATATGTCCTCGTTGAAGTCACAGAAGATTAAAACATTGTGCCATCTTCATATTCAAGCCTGGCACTTACATTAACAAAAGATACCATGTGCAATATCACTTTCAAATAATTTAAATGGAAGCGCTAATATGGGTAGCCCCAAATTTTAAACACAGATTTTAAAAGCCAATATATAAAAGAAAGGGTATAAAAATTAAATAATTTCTATGTCTGAGTGAGAAAATTGAGTCCATATCTTACTTCTGACTATCGTAGCAGCAAGGAAAAGAGGGTAGTGTAAATTGTTTAGTAGAACTGGGTATACTGTTGCGGTAAGGGAGACTAACTTTTCCTTGACAACGAATTTCTAAAATAATTTGTTACCTACACAAAGTACATTGGGCTAAATGTCTTCAGTAAGAGTTTTTGAAAAAATGAACCAATGTGACCTTTTCACATGAAAGAGAATTAACTTAAAATTTCTGGAGTGAGGGAGAAGAGGATTGCGTAGTGTAGATAGATAATTTTCCAGTGGTCTAGCTTAACCCAGGTATAAAGCTTACAGGATCTTGAGGAGTGGATGGTGATCAGTACCCTAGGCCAGTGCTTGTGATGACCAGATTTCTCAACTGAAAATATATATTGTCAGTTTTATATAGGACATATATATAGGAGATATGTTTAAGACAAAATGGGGGTCACTAGCAGATACCTGAAGGCCAGAGATTCTCTATTATTGAACCAGGAAAGTTTGCATGCACACTGGATACCAACATGTTAAAGCAGCAGGGCATGTTTGGCCATGAAGTTGAAGAGTTTGGCTTACAGGTGCATTGTAATGGAATCCCTTCTCTACTTCCACATGGAGCTGTGCTACTGGATGACCTATAAGCTGGGCCAGGATTTTTCTTAAAAAAAAAAAAATCAGCCATGGATATGTCCAGATGTTTGAACAAGTACTGGATGGAAGCCTCAGGGTTTTGGTTATAAAGGATGATTGACAAACTTTAATGGCATATTTGAGTGCAGGAGGATGAAATGCCCACCACTACCATAGAAGTACCTTATAAATACTCCTAAGTAGATTTTACTGTGAACAGATTGTGTTCTGATGAGCTTTCCAGGATAAATTAGCTGCCCAGTGAGGCCCCAGATATTTGAGAGAACCTGCTTCAAATAATTGCTTAGAATTCTTTTTCTGGATTCCACATTACATCTGCCAGATTTGAGAAAAGGAGTTTTAGTGTAGCTAATATTTAGATACTTTTTTCTGAGAATAATCAATCAATATTTATTCAACAAAGATTTGCAGTGTACCACCTATGTGCTCATCAAACAGGTTAAACTTTGACAAAAGTCTGTTCACCTATTCTTCAGGCTCCAGTGATAAGGAATTTTCTAATTCTTAAATTTTGCAATTTCAGGAAAGGGCCAGGAGGGCTGCTCCATTTAAGAGAAGGGTGGAGACTGGGTCAAAGAAGATCCTGTGCTAGTCCATGGTCCTTCTGCTTAAGGGAACACACACATGGTTTGCTGGCTTGAATCCACATTGTATGCCATTCCCCCATTACTTTTTTCTGTTCTTTTTTGAGACAGAGTCTCACTCTGTCACCCAGGCTGGAGTGCAATGGCGTGATCTTGGCTCACTGCAACCTATGCCTCCCGGGTTCAAGCTATTCTCCTGCCTCAGCCTCCCAAGTAGCTGGGACTGCAGGCTTGCACCACCATGCCTGGCTAATTTTTTGTATTTTTAGTAGAGAAGGGGTTTCTCCATATTGGCCAGGCTGGTCTCGAACTCCTGACCTCAGGTAATCCACCCACCTCGGCCTCCCAAAGTGCTGGGATTACAGGCATGAGCCACCACGCCTGGCCTCCCCCATAGTTTTATTTATTTATTTATTGAGATGGAGTTTTGCTCTTTTGCCCAGGCTGGAGTGCAGAGGCGTGATCTTGGCTCACTGCAAGCTCCGCCTTTTAGTTTCAAGCAATTCTGCTGCCTCAGCCTCCCGAGTAGCTGGGATTACAGGTGCCCGCCACCACGCCCAGCTAATTTTTGTATTTTTAATAGAGACGGGGTTTCACCATTTGTATTTTTAATAGAGACGGGGTTTCACCATGTTGGCCAGGCTGGTCTCGAACTCTTGACCTCATGATCTGCCCACCTTGGCCTCCCAAGATACTTTTCTATATAGTCATACATAGGACTATATAGCACATAGTCCTAAACCTTCCATCTAAATCATCCCATTTCTGAATCTCTGTACAACGCTATCCATGTTAACTTGTAGGGACTTAACATGTATGTTTATTGGCTGGCTCTCACTTTACTCACATAGTTCACATTGCTTCTTAAAACCTGTCATGAGCCTTATGCTCTGGTGTGCTCAAACTGGTGCTGATGTGTTCTCATCCCAAAGGACTGGCTGGTGCTTCTCAGTTTCTTTCCAGCATTAAATTATTGCTTAACAGATAAACTGTCAACATTTTGAGAATGTTAATTTTTTTTCAGTATTTCTTTTCCTCTCTGCTTTTAAGGCAGGTTTAACAACTTACTTTCATCCTGGAATAAACTTGAAGAAAATACATTATGATAGCATCAAACTTTATGAGAAACTGGAAGAAGAAACTGGTCAGGTAAAGGCATTTAACTTGAAACTGTCTGTTAGGTCGGCTTCTCAGAAACATGTAAGATTTCTGAAGGATTTTGATGCATCATTGTGTATGACCGTGTGGAGTGCTTAATGTAGTAGAGGAATATGATGAGAGTTTAAGGTAAGAACCTCTAGAGTCTGCTTTAAAATCAACTTAATTTCTCAAAGTATATTATTCATGTCATGAACCATTCTTTATTTTTTAAATGAAGAAAGAATAAAAAGCAGCTTTCAAAAGTATCTTTAGCCAGTTACTATATCTAGAAACTAAGAAATTGGAGTCTTTCAGCAATTGCATTGCAAAGGATCTGACGATAGAATGTACCAGATTGTCCCATGACTCTGAACAGTACTTCATTAAGAGCCCCTCACTTTCATGTTTATCCCTTCTCATATTTACTCAAACTCTCAAAATAAAATGGCAGGCAAAAGAGTATCCATAGGCTAAGACTGAGGTCTCAAATTTTCCATGTCACTTCCCTTGCCTAAACCATCCAATGGCTCCCCACAGTCTACCAGACAAAGCCAAAGGATTAGCATGGCCTTAGGAACATGACCTTTGTCAGCTGACCTCTGCCTGCTGTCCCAACTGTTTCTTTTTCCATTCTTCCCTCTGCTTATCTGCTTCAGCTACTCTCAATAACATATAGTTTTGGAATGTGCTGAGCTCTCTCAAATCACTGCTTTTTGTTTTTGTTGTGTTCTGTTTTCTGCTGCTTCCCCTGGCCCCATCTTCGGCATCCACCTTCCCTGGGGTCACCACCTTTGAGAAGCCTTCCTTGACTTTTCCTGCCTGCTAGGCAAGTCAAAGCTGGAGGTCCCATCTCTTGGTTCTCAGAGCATTTGTGCACACCTCTTTTATAACTTGAATCTCTCTCTATTGTAATTGTTGATTTACTTGTTGGTCCTCCCTACAAGTAACTTGAGGGCAAGGGCTATATCTTTTATCTCTGTAACTGAGTGCTTGGCAAACTGAAGGACTTTAATAAATGTCAAATGAATGTTTACTTCAATTCAGACAATCTAAGCATTGCAACATTTTGATTCTACATGATCTCTCCTTAAATTTTTTGTCTTTCTCTTTTTCATACAGTTTTTGTTCACGCTGTACATTAACACTCATTCCATGCTACTGTGATTTTGCATTTAGCTGTCTGTCTTCAACTGTGGGGTATAAATTCCACTTAGGCAGAGTCTTTACCTTTCTTGTTCACCCCTACACCTGTGGGGCTTAGAATAGTGCCTGGCTCCGAACAGGCACTTAGTAAATATGGTAGTTGCTGAATAAGTGTCTTTTAATAAGATGCAAATATTTTAATAGTTATTTCTTTCACTCGTAATAAATCTTTTTGTACAGCTGCATTTTCATTATACTGGAGCAGAACCATGTTTGAGTACCAAACAATGACTTATTTATATGCTCTCACTGGAATTATTGTCACAGGTGGTGGGATTCCATCAGCCAGGTAGTATCAGACTTGCTACCACCCCTGTAAGGGTAGATGAATTTAAATATCAAATGACTCGGACTGGCTGGCATGCAACAGAACAGTATCTCATTGAACCTGAAAAAATTCAAGAGATGTTCCCTTTACTCAACATGAATAAGGTATTTATCTTAAGGGCATTTTTACCATTTGTTGACTTAAGTAAAAATTAGAAAAAGTTATTAAGAAGTTAACTAAAAACAGAAAACTTGGTACACACATTTTAAATGTGACAAAATCATATGATTAATTTTGGAATTTGGGTAACTTACAAGATAGGCTGTTATATACAGTAAATGATATATAAAAAGGTAATGACAAATCTTGTTAGTTTTTCACCTTTGACAATTGATTAAACATTTTCAATACCTTTCCATTATTGTGTCCCCCAGATCTAAGGGTTTCCATACACAAACCTTCTGTTTGAGAACTGCAGAGAGAATGATAACCTGATATGATAAATGTCTAGAAAGACTGTGGTATTAAAATGTTTTAAAAATCAAATTAAGAAATGCCATGGTACGTTGCTCTACAAATATCACCTAGCTTATAGCTGTACTCCCCTTACAGACTCTGTGCTAGGTACGGATCTAGATTTATACCACATTTGCCTGAGAGAACCTACTTGACATGAAATTTAGTGTTTTTTCCTAGTGGGTAATAATTCCTTTTGAATAATAATAACAATGGCTAACACTTACTGTAGCACATATTTATGTACCAGTTAGTATGCTAAGTCCTTACATGCATAATTTCATGGCACGTATTTATGTACCAGTTAGTATGTTAAGTCCTTACATGCATAATTTCATGTAATCTTCACAATAATAGTATGGGGCAGGCTGGATGCCATGGCTCACTCCTGTAATCCCAGCATGTGGTAAGGCCAAGGTGGGGGGATTGCTTGAGGCGAGGAGTTCAAGATTAGCCTAGGCAACATACTGAGACCTCGTCTCACACACTCACACACACACACAAAATTAACTGAGTGTGGGGTAGTAGGATTCCGTCTGTAGTCCTAGCTACTTGGGAGGCTGAGGCAAGAGGATCTCTTGAGCCCAGGTGTTTGAGGTTATAGTGAGCTATGATTACACTACTGCACTCCAGCCTGAGCAACGAAGTGAGAGCCTGTCTCTAAAATTTCAGAAATAAAAAAAAAGTTTATATCTATATCTATGTTATGCGGTATATATTATTGTTAAACAGGAAATTTTAGCTCAGACAGTTTACATAGTGAGCCCAAGCTCATTCACTAGAAAGAGCTGGAGTAGAGATTTAAACCCATGCTCTCTGACTCCCTTGCATTATACATCTTGCCCAAGTGTATCAGATGGGGCTGTTGGGGAAACACATGCTTATTTCCCTGCTGGTGACCACTGCAGCAGTTCCCATCTCTGAGGGTTTGTATCATTGACTTGGGTGCTAGGGTTGTTTGCCTTTGCGAGTCTTCACAGGCTGCTGGCACTCCCTTGTCTATAGTTGTGTGTGATACCAGTGTGATGGCAGATTGGTGTTGCACTGCATTGTCTGCATTGAAATTTTACCTCCACTACCAGTAAGGATATACTTACATTTGTTTATATGTCAATCCTGAATGCTTTGCTGGAACTCCTCACTATCATGAATTTTTCTCAAGGGCATTCATTAAGCAATGGGAATATGTGTGAAGGGTATTCTCTGCATCTGGGAGAAGGTACCAAACCAAACAGATGTGGGATTACTACAACGAGGTCCTATCCATTATAAAACACCTGTGTGACATTTGGAAGTCTTTAGAAATGTGAATTCCCTTAAAATAGAAAGTCCCTTGCACAAGACCTATAATAAATGAAAGGATTGAATTCGTAATCAAAAACTTCCCACAAAGAAAACCCCAGGCCTGGATGACTTCACTAGTTAATTTGACCAGATATGTAGAGAAGACTTAATGCCAATCTCTCTCAAACTCTTCCAAAATAGAAGAGTGAATGCCTCTCAACTCATTCTATGAGGCCAGTATTGCCCTGATAACAAAATCAGACAAAGGCATCCCCCCAAAAAGAAAGACTGGTATCCCTTTTGAACATAGATACAAAAATCCTCAACAAAATACTAGCAAACTGAATTCAGTAACATATAAAACAGATTATGCAGTATGACCAAATAGAATGTATTCCAGGAATGCAGGGTTGGTTTAACATCTAAAAATTAATCAATGTAACAATACCACATTAATAGAATAAAGGACAAAACTACACAGTTATTTCAATAGATACAGAAAAGACATTTGACAAAAGCTCCTTGCTTGTATTTGGTGCTCAGCCAATTTTTGTTGAATAGATGAGACCCATATATAATATTTCACTGATCATTCTATCAACGTATCCCATCTGAGTTTCATTCTTCTTTGTTTTCCCCACAGTACCTTGCCTGAAGGCCTAAAACAAAGTAGATATGCAAGAATTAATTGTTGAATGATTGAATCAAACATAAATTTCCTGACACCAGATATATTATTTAATGTGAATTTATTAACAGTATTAAAAATTAAATATAAATTATAATTGATATATCAGTTGGAATTAGATTTGTCTTCAAATGTCAGAAACCAAAATAAGAAGGTGTAAACAAGATAGAGGTTTATTTCTCTTTCTTTTCAGCAGTCCAGGACTTGAATGGTGGCTTTTTCATGAAGTCTTCAGGGACCCAGTCACTTTCCAGATCAAGAAACACTTTTGAAGTCCAGTTTTACTAAACGTTTACTAGCAGGATATATTTTTACTGAGTAATAAGTATATATATATTTGAGTATTGACTCTGGTATGATTGATTTAGGTTTTAGCTGGATTGTATAATCCTGGAGATGGTCACATTGATCCTTATTCTCTAACTATGGCACTGGCTGCTGGGGCTAGGAAATGTGGTGCCCTTTTAAAATATCCTGCACCAGTAACTTCTCTGAAAGCCAGGTCAGATGGAACATGGGACGTTGAAACACCACAGGGGTCTATGAGAGCAAATAGAATTGTGAATGCTGCAGGTAAGCATATCATTTTTTTGAAATTAGTGTTTTTTAAGTGCCAAAGAAAGAAGATATTTAGCCGTAATGTTTCGTACGATGGACATTGTCATGAAGCACTGTGATGCTCCCAAGTTAAACATTTTGTCTGTTTCTAAGTGACAAAGCCCTCCCTCTATCACTTTGCTCTTGGTGGATGCGCTATCACTCTGTCCTTGGTTATCCAAAAAAAGTTGCTTATTTTCTCCATTCTGCATTTTATTTTGCTCCAGATTGTGTTTTTCCAAATTATGTTTATTTTTCCTTCCTGTATTCACTGTTTCTCTATATGAATAACCAGATTCTAGTGTTGAAGTTCATAAGCATCCTCTTTGTGTCCAATTTGCTTTTTAGGGCAGATTTGATCATTTGGGTTCTCTCTCATCCATTTCTGATGACTTTTGACTCTAGTTGAAAAAGTTTTTAAATGCTTTTCCTTCTAGAACATTATTAAACATATTTCATAATCTTCTCTTTTTGTTGTTCTGTTACGTTTGGACTCAGAGTAGTGAAGCCAAAAGGGATATTTGGGATAATCCAACAACACACTCATTTTCATTTGCAGAGGCAAGGTCCAAAAGGGTCATGTTACTTGGCCAAGCGGCCACTGATCGTTATGTCAGAGCCAGGACTGGGATCTGGCCTTTTGATTCTTGAGTTAATACACTTTCTAATAGGTGGATTGCATGTCAAGTCATTTTCAAGTATCACACATGCAAAATAAATTACAGTGAAAATGCTTGTGCAGTCTAAACTGGGATAATAGTCTATATTTTCCTATGGTTTATAATGTTTCCTTTAAAACCTAAAATAAGCATGAGGCAGTGACTGATTTTCTTTGAGCTCTTGCTTAAATTATAAAATGAAAACAATCTTTATTATTTATCAGATCAAATGATATCCCATGAGGACAAGCCAGAAACCCATACCCTTATGATTCTTTCCTCTGTATTGTAACTTTTGAGGTATATATATATATATATATATATATATATTTTTTTTTTTTTTTTTTTTTTTTTTGAGACAAAGTTTTGCTCTTGTGCCCCGGGCTGGAGTGCAATGGCGCGATCTCGGCTCACTGCAACCAGGTTTCAAGCGATTCTCCTGCCTCGGCCTCCTGAGTGGCAGGAATAACAGGCGCCTGCCACCACACCCGGCTAATTTTTGTATTTTTAGTAGAGACGGGGTTTCACCATGTTGCCCAGGCTCCTCTCGAACTCCTGACCTCAGGTGATCTACCCGCCTCGGCCTCCCAAAGTGCTAGGATTACAGGCGTGCGCCACTGCGTCCAGCCGATTGATATTATTTTTAACAAAGCATTTTTAGTGGTCCTAGAGAAAAAGTCATGTCTTCAATATTTAAGTGTCTAAATTAGTTATTTCCGAATTTCTCTCACCCATGCCTCCTATTTGAAAAGCCATAAAATCTCATGCTTTCTTTAATATAATTTGAAATTTGCAATAATATAAAATAACTTGCCTAAAAAATAAGAGCAGTGGTACAATACAATGTTGCATTGTTTTTAAGGCTCACTTTCCCTCCAGTCTCCATCTGACACTATCCTCTCTTAATGTCCTTAGGAATCTCTGGTCTAAATTCTGTCAGAAAACTTAGGGCAATGAAATAATTCAGACTTTTTTCTAAGTAGCAAGGATTCTTTGTAATTTTGCAACTTTTTCTATAGTCTCATGAATTCAGGCCCTAAAAACATTTGACTGTTTTCATCATTATAGCAAATACTAAAGTAACATACTGAGACTTCCACATCCAGCACCTGTGGCAGACATTGCTAATTAATCGCTGCACTCATTTCAGATGGACTTGGACAAAGCCCCACCATTTTTCTCAACACAGTACTTTAGGCAATCATACATTCCTGATTGACATTTTGAGAAATAACATAGAAGACCTTAATTTAACACATTTATGCATTGTTTTCCTAAAATGGATAAACATATGTACATAATGAATTGTCATTGTAATACATTTTTTTTCTAAACTACATACTGTAACAAAAAGGAATCACTGAAGAGGAAGATAGAATGATCTCCAAAGAGATCTGACCTAAACCCGTAACACTAGTTACCAGATGAAGCTTTCTCTGCAGCTGTGAAATCTTGTGGGGTGATGGGGTGCAGGAGGGCAGGGAAAGGAGGTCCTTGAGAACAGCTTGTCTCGTACGAGCCTGGAAAACAAGTCCCTGGTATTAGGACAGTGTGGCCCTGCATGGAGTGGTAATGCCTCCCTTTTTCCCTTGTTCTTGTGCTTTTTGCCCAGCCACTTCCAATCCCTTTTCCTAGTAACTCCAGGCATTTCTTTGCTGAAACTTGTGGGAAGTAGCTTATCTCAATTCTTTATCTCATTTAGACCAGATCTCTGCTCCCTAATCTTTTTTTTTTCTTTTTCTCTTCCATCGGGCAAAATTACCAAGAAAATCTAACTGATTACATATTAGTAGTCCACAGGAGGTGTGGAGGGGTGTGTGTGTGTGTGTGTGTGTATGTGTGTTTTTAATTATCTGTAAGTCTGTTTTCAAAACATCTGTATTTAAAAGATAGAAGATTCCCCAAAGGGTAAGCCTCAGTAATTGGGAACAAAAGTTTGGATATGCTCCCTTTTAGAACTGAAGCTAGCAAAGACCAGTTTTATGAACAAAAGCAACTATCTGCAGAAGTCATCATGCTATAATAAAATGAGTGGAGAGTGTGTGGCTGGTGGAATGTTTCCCACAGTTTCTCAGTGTGACCAGGGTATCTCCCAAATTCAGGCAAGGCCCTCAGACCAGCACTGAAATATGATTAAAGGAACCAGGATATGGACTTGGAAATACAACCAAAATGAAAAAGATGTAAAGGCTGCTGGGGTCTGCAGGGTATCCATAAAAAGAAAAGTCTAAGAGTAAAAATTTGTCAGCTGATGTGTTTTCGGCATTGTCCATGGCAGTGGCACTCTGTGGCCCAGAGACATAGACATTGCCAACTGAGTGACTTGGGTAAGTTACTTATTTGTAAAATAGGGATAATAGTCCCCATCTTGAAAAGTTATTATGGGTAGTAAATAAGCTAATAATGTAAAGTACCCAGAACGGGGCTCACCAGGTAGAAAGCAGTAAAAAAAAAGGTATAATAATTATTATGATCATTGCAATTATTTCCTTGATATTCCATGCCGTAGTCTGGGAGACACTAGCATCAGGTTATGATAGCTTCTTGGTACCAGACTTAAGACTGCTCAACTCCTTTCTTTTCCAATTTACTAGCAGAGTGGGTGCAGAATCCAGCACCGATTCTGCTGGTAAGTTGACTTCCCAAAGAGCTTGGTAATCAAGCTAGTGTGAGTAAGAATCACCTTGGGAAGTTTCCCAAGCTTCAAAAAGATTCTAATTCAGGTGTTCTGGGTGGGTTCTCAGAAGCTGCATTTTAAATAACTACTCCAGGTACTGTACTGTCTGTACCAGATGATTTGCAAGAAAAATCTTTGAAGAAACACTATTGTGTAGGTGTTTCTAGGAGAGAGAATATAATGACTGTATTCGGAGCTAGCAGAACTGGGGAAGTTTCTGATGCTTCCGACCTCTTGATGGGCAGTAGTCTAACTTGCCTTTAGTTACCAAAGCTTTCCAAATTGGCTTCACTCTACCCTTTCCCTCAGGTACAGCTCAGGGACGCGGGCAGGTACTAGTTATTATGATGCAGGCTTTTTCTCCGCATGGTGTTGAACGTTTTTCTTTACCTCATTTCCAATTGACTCATTAAATCTGAGATAACTTTGTAAAATTTACTTAAGAATTTTCCTAACATGGCAAATCAGAAATGTGATTGGGTTGTGCTCACCTGAAGCTCAGTGTTCAGCCAAAAAGAATTGCTTAATTTTGCCTGATACTCTGCGTCAAAGCATGAGGCCATCATTGTCATCATATAAACCATCTAGTAGAAGTAAACTTGTCCATGAACCTTCAGCCTGCATTTTAACCTCATTTTTATTAATCACTGCATTTTTAAAAAATGGAAGCCATTTCCAGTAGTCATTTTTAATTGACTCTTCTCTTTAGTTGTTTTTCAGGTGATAATGGTAGATTTTAGAATGAGTCTTCCACACTTGTCTCTCTTCCCTTGAACTTAATGGGTGGGTGATCAGGCAGGAGTTGAAGTGTAACTCTAGCTAGATTTAGGTTAATTTGATTGACATATGGAAGAAGAGAATGCTAAAGGACACCAGCCCCATAGATATCTATGGGTAAAACAGCTTGCTATGGGATTTGAAGTAATATAGTGATAAGATATTTCTGCATACATTTCCACTTTGTATTCATGATGAAGTGCATTAGTAAGCAAGCAGTTGGACTCAGAAATTCATAAATATGTTTGAATAGGGCAGAACTTATTTTTTTCAATTTATGTTTTTAATTGAAACAAATATATTGGGGATACTATAGCAGTTTGAATTGCTTAGCTAAAAATTTTGATTTTTGTATATTTAAAAATTGTCCTAGTGTATATAACTAGAATATGTGGCTTTACTATATTTTTGTACACAGTCCTGACATTGGTAATTCACATCTTCCTACTAGCAAGAGTAAATTAAGTCTCAAAATTACTAAAAGACCAAAACGCCTGTACTTGGGGAGGCTGAGTTGGGCAGATTGCTTGAGTCCAGGAGTTCAAGACCAGCCTGGGCAACATGGCAAAACCCTGTCTACATAAAAGATACAAAATTAGCCAGGCATGGTGATATGTGCCTATAGTCCCATCTACTCAGGAGGCTGAGATGAGAGGATCACCTGAGCCTGGGAGGTCGAGGCTGCAGTGAGTTATGATTGCGCCACTACACTCCATTACAGCCTGGGCAACAGAGTGAGACCATGTCTCAAAAACAAAACAAAACAGGCCAAGCATTGTGGCTCACACCTATGATCCCAGCACTTTGGGAGCCCCAGGCAGCGGATTACCTGAGGTCAGGAGTTCAAGATCAGCCTGGTCAAAATGGTGAAATCTCGTCTACTAAAAATACAAAAATTAGTTGGGCATGGCGGCGGATACCTGTAATCCCAGCTACTCAGGAGGCTGAGACAGGAGAATGGCTTGAACCCTGGAGGCAGATGTTGCAGTGAGCCAAGATCGTGCCACTGCACTCCAGCCTGTGCAACAGAGCAAGACTCTGTCTCAAAAAACAAAACAAAACAAAACAAAACAAAACAAAACAAAACAAAACACCGGCAAATAGCTCTGATGCCCACAGTTAGATTTCTGGTTTGCAAATGGGTACCCGTTTCTGGATTCATTATACAAGTGTGACCAACTTAGCCATTGCAACAAACAAAACAATAGAATGCAAAGGAAAGGTTTAGATGGTTACATGGAAATAAACTTACACACACAAGTACATAATCTAGGTTCCCAGACTGACTCATAATTGATGATTCTCTGTCTAGCTTGGAACCTCATAATGATAGAGACTTCAGAACTCCTTATTAGATTCAGAAAAACAGCAGAGACAGTACTGGTTAAAAACTTATTGTGTAACCCCTAAAGAAATAAATAGGATCATGTAATCATTTCAATGATCACTCAAAATTATTATGAAACAAACAAGCAAATAGAACTCCCTGCCCCCAAATCATCTAATGGTGGTCAGTCAACACCATGTCCTTGCCAAATAATAAGCATTTTTATTATTTTAGATTCTAAAATCCCTTTATACAGTGAAGGTGCCTTGGATTTTTAAAATAAAGTCTGCAGCAAGAAAAACCAATAAGATGTGATGATTACAGGATGTCCAGTGTGGCCTGGGGCATGTCTTACCCTACTAGCCTTTAGCTCCCACATCTATGTACTGAAGGGTCAGCCTGGGAAAGAATCAAGGGTCCTTTCAGCCACAAATTATCCAGTTCTATCTTTTGCAAATGAAAAAAATAACATTCACCTCCGCAAATAAAACAATCTCTGTGCTAACGGTGAAGTGGGAAACATTCGTCTGGGGAACTCCCTGCCTACTTATGAGACCAATCTCCCCTTTCCTGTGGCTTCTCTTTCTCCCTGGTTTTGACTTCTGGTGCTTTTGTGCCTTTACAATAAAGGATCTTACAAACTTATTCAAACTAAACTTTTAAAACAACAGATAAAACTTAATGTGCTTTCTCTCCCGAAGTATGCACCATTTTCAATTTTAGCTTAACAGAACAATCTTGTACTTTTGGAATTTTAGGCATCAACAATTTGGGGAGAATAGGGCTTAGAGGATAGAGGAGTTGGCTTGTAGGGCTTTCTTAGGTATATCATTATGTATTATGTTGGTCACAGCAACACAGGGGCCTCTTCCTTTGCCTGACTGTCCCTGTCCACAAATATGGGCAGTCTTGTTACGGTACTTCTTACTAACATTTGTGCCTTTTGTATATTTGGGTTGTTCGTTTTTTCTTTCAAATAAATTTTTTTGTTTTTTTCCTGCCTACCTTTGCTTATGGGCAATAACATTTTCAGGAATGGAGTTCCCCTAGATCACAGATATCTTCAAATCTCTGGGTAATGCAAAATATTGTCTTCTCTTCCCCCATTCAGTTTTGCAATGACAAAAGTTTAGATTGTTATGACATTTATTAGACTTTGCCATGAGTACTTAAGCCTTCTAAACATTTTATTCTAATATAAATTGCTATATGAGTGTCAGTTATGTGTTTATATATGGGCTGACACTTTTAAATGATTTTTTTGTTTAAGGATTTTGGGCTCGTGAAGTAGGTAAAATGATTGGACTAGAACATCCTCTCATTCCGGTTCAACATCAATATGTTGTTACATCGACTATATCTGAAGTGAAAGCTTTGAAACGAGAACTGCCTGTGCTCCGTGACCTGGAAGGATCATATTATCTCCGACAGGAAAGGGATGGGCTTTTGTTTGGTCCATATGAAAGTCAAGAGAAAATGAAAGTTCAGGACTCCTGGGTCACCAATGGAGTTCCTCCAGGTGGGTTCAGCAAATGAAAGTGTGTGCTAGTCAGACATGAATGGTTCATCCTCTCCATGGCTGGAGGATGGCTGTAGAATAAGACAACAACATAATACTAGACTTTCAGATACCTGGGACATTGGAGGTGACAGGTTTGAGGTGAGCTCTGTTCTCGTATCCCTTTGAACAATCACAGCAGGGAGTAGGGGAAAAGAAAGATGTAGTTGATGGTAGAGAAGCTGAAGTAACATTTCCAGCTGCTTTGAAAGGTTCCAGATACATTTTTACCTGCCCACACAACCTCCTGCCTCCCCGTTTTTTCCTCAATCCACTGCCAGCTTGGTCTGCTTTCAAGATTTGAATATAGATGCTATTGTGCTTTTACAGCTGGAAACACAACTGATATCAGAGGCCAGATATCCATCCTAATAAGAAGGAAAACCCAAGAGTCTATAACAGAGCAGGGTTTTTGGTACTGTAAATGGAGTACTTCCCATGCTACATAAGTGGATATGGAAAAGGCTTGTGCCTCTATGCCAAAGCAGGGGATACTATAGTTTCTCTTTCAAGTTCTTTAAGGGAGATGGTTCTGTTTTTGCTTTTCATGAAATACTTCCACAGAGCCAGATTGAAGATTGGGTCATCTAAGGAGGTACCTCAGCTTTTAATCTATAAAAAGAGCTAAAAAATCACTGGGGCATTGAAATATTACAGGGAATACAAAGAAATGTAGGAAATGGTACTTCCTAAAATTATACTTTGATAAGCTTCTTGAGATAGGAAATGAATCCCTCCACTCTACTCCTCAAAGAGTAGGCCCAAATAATAGCAAATGATCACTAAATTGCCTTCTACAGAAGTTAGGCCAGCTGGTTTCAGGGCTTTGGTTGTGCTGAGTGGGCTCTGCACATTTGGGCCTGAGCAGAATTGCTCCTGATCCCACAGGGAGGGTTGAAATGCCACTGAGAGCCTCCCTCTCTGCTGTTCCCCCATGCTGGCAGCTTCTCCTTCAAATAAATCTTGAACAAATATTTAAATAATGCCATTTGGAGGGAGAGCTGGATTGTTAGCTGTCTGTGAGCATGGGTACCCGTGTGTGCTAGTCCACCCTGATGGTCTGCAGGCCTCCATGAGACTGACCCTACCTGTAGTCCCCAGGAAGGGCAAGAAGCTGGCTGGCTGCTGTGTGGAAAAATCACTAGTGTTGGTAGAGACATTCTTTTAGAAGCTCATCACAATGACTTTTAGGACAAGAGGAGGATTGCACTTCAAGACCCTGCCTGTTTTCAGAACTCTAGCCCTTGGATGTGTATGGGGGCAGGCTGGAGGAAGGAGGCCTCCACACCATTCCTTTCTTGCTGAAAGGAGAGTTAAAAGGGGTCTAAAATCCATCATCTTAGATCTTGGAGGAGTGTTCCACTTTTTCCAGTATTCTGCCATGACTTTGTAAACTCCCATTTGCCCTCATCTCAGGGGATGAAACAGGTTCTTATGGTTAATTGAAGCATAACGATCTTCTTGACAAACCAAATTATAGTTTTTTTTTAAAAAAAACTGATTGGATTAAATATCAGAAACTATATTATTCATACATTTAAATTTTATATTAATTAAAGGTTAACTTTTATGATTTTGTTTCAAGAACAATACCATTGTTTTCAGTAATATAAATGGATACTCATCTGTTGATAGGGAATATGAAATTTAGACTTTAACAAAAAATGGCAGTACTTTCCTAACAGGCCATCTTTAAATGTAGGCCATGTCAGAGGCTTAAATCACTTTACAGGACTTGTCAGCTCAGCTACGGCATCCTGACCACAAGGGCAAATCTTTTTAGGTTTTGGAAAGGAACTCTTTGAGTCTGATCTAGATCGAATCATGGAACACATCAAAGCTGCCATGGAAATGGTTCCTGTCTTGAAAAAGGCTGACATCATCAATGTTGTCAATGGTCCTATCACGTATTCTCCTGACATTCTGCCTATGGTGGGGCCCCATCAGGGGGTCAGAAACTACTGGGTGGCTATAGGCTTTGGGTAAGTATCTTCATGTAATTCAACATTTATTGTAGAATCACTTATTTTAGCTAAATCTAGTTCCATATTCTCAGGATGCAAAAGGGAAATGTGGGAGGCTGAGAGAGAGAGAAAGAGAAACAGAGAGAGACCCAGAGAGTTTTCTCCCTTTCATGACCAAGGATTCATACAATGAATAAAAAATACTGGTTCAATCACTTGTATATGTTTTAAAGAAGGGCAACTATTTCCTGGAACACAGAAGGGCAATGATTTCCTGGAGCTTTCTCTCTTTTATTTTTTCAGATGGAGTTTTGCTCTCGTTGCCCAGGCTAGAGTACAGTGGCGTGATCTTGACTCACTGCGACTTCTGCCTCCTGGGTTCAAGCGATTCTCCTGCCTCAGCCTCCTCAGTAGCTGGGATTATAGGCACCCGGCATCACGCCGGCTAATTTTTTGTAATTTTTTTTTAGTAGAGACAGGGTTTTACCATGTTGCCCAGGCTGGTCTCAAACTCCTGACCTCAGGCAATCTGCCCACCTCAGCCTCCCAAAGTGCTGGGATTACAGGTGTGAACCACCGCACCCGGCCTCCTGGAGCTTTCTCTTTGCATATTTCCTGCCATTTCTATTAACTGTTTCTGGTTTTATGCTGTGTATCTTCAGATAGTCAATTTGCCCCAGTTTTACAAGGATGTTTTCATAACACGATGTGACAAAGATAATTCAAAATATCAAATGTATAACATGTCTGCTGCATTTTTCACCATAATTCATGTTTGTCCAACATGATTTGTTTCTTTATAAGTCCTCAGGTTGCTTTCTATTTATGACTCCATTGCCTCTTTGATGTTTCATTTCTGATGTTTGTTCCATTAATTTGGTGAATATTGATGTCAAGCCCACTCAACTATCATATCACATCTTCTAATATTCTATTTTTCTTCCCCATTTTATTTGGCCATTTATTCAACTAATGTATAATAACTGCTAGCTCTGTGCCAGGCCTAGGGCTAGGCATTGGAATACAGCTGACAACAAAGCAGTGAGGTCTGATTGGAGCTGGAGGGCTGCCTGAGGCACAGCTCTGCTGATCCAATAGAGAAGCTGGGGTCTCTACCAAGGTAGCAGCAGTGAAGACTGAGAGATGGGAGATAAAATCATCTAGATTTGGTGATCAATTTCATAAGATATTGAAGGGAAAGAGAAAAATGGCAAATGATGGCAACCTTTCTAACTTGACCACCGTCTATATGTTGGAGACATGGAGAGAGAGACAAGAAAATAATGAGTTCCATTTTTGATGGGTTGGGCTTGAAGTGTTAAGTTTAGGTATGTGGGACATCCAGAGGGAGAAAGTCAGATGGAGATTTGGGATGGGAAGTTATAATGTAATTGAGGGTTTTATAGTCACCTATAGAGTCCATATGCAGGCATGTGGAAGTAGGAGTGCTTCTCCTGCACATCACTCATGTATCTTCTTTGGAGAAATGTCTATTCATATCCTTTGCCATTTTCATAATTGGGTAATTTGTCTTTTTATTGTTTAGCTATGGAAGTTCTTTATATATTCTAGATATAAGAACCTTATCAGGTACATGATTTGCAGAACTTTTCTCCCATTCTGTGGGTTGTTTTTTTACTTTCTTGATGGTGTCCATTGAAATACAAAACTTTTTAATTTTGATGAAGTCCAGAATATGTATTTTTCCTTGGTTCACATGTACTTTTGGTGTCATATACAAGTAACCATTGTCTAATCCAAGTTCGTGAAGATTTAAACCTATGTTTTCTTCTAAGAGTTTTATAGTTTTAGCTTTTGCATTTAGTTCTGTAATCAGTCATGAGTTAATTCTTGCATATGACGTGAGGTAGGTGTCCAACTTTAGTCTTTTCATATGTATAGCCAGTTGTCCCAGAACTATTCATTGAAAAGACTATTCTGTCCTCATTGAATTATGCTGGCATCTGTAATGTCTTTTTTCTGATTCCTTTTCTTACACCAAATGTGTGGTATTTTCCAGCACCAACAACCAATTCTCCAATTCTCTAGTACTAACTGGGTGTCCAACAATTCCATTCAATTCTGACACCAACTCCTGGAATTAACATAGACCCCACAGGTTAAGGGATCCGTTCCACAAGACTGCTCTCACTTCGGACAACAGTCTCAAGTCTCGGGAGACACCCATACTTCTGACCAACTGGGTGTTCCCACAACCCTCTCCTCAGATTTGATAATTTGCTAGAACCAATCACAAAACTCAGGAAAATACTTATGTTTACTCTTTTATTATAAAGGATTCAGCTCAGGAGTAGCCAAATGGAAGAGATACATAGGACAAAATGTGAGGGGTTAGGGGTGGGTGGGGCAGCACCACCAGGCCCTTTCCAGGTGCCTTCCTAGCCCATCACTGTGTTCACCAACCCAGAAGCTCTCTGAACCCCATGCCTAGGTCTTTATGGAGGTTTCATTGCATAGGCATGATTGATTACATTATTGGTGACTGCACTCAATATCTCTTCTCCACTCCCTGGAGGTTGGAGTAGGGAGTGAGACTGAAAGTTCTTTATTATTATTATTATTTATTATTATTATTATACTTTAAGTTTTAGGGTACATGTGCACAATGTGCAGGTTAGTTACATATGTATACATGTGCCTTGCTGGTGTGCTGCACCCATTAACTCGTCATTTAGCATTAGGTGTATCTCCTAATGTTATCCCTCCCCACTCCCCTGACCCCACAACAGTCCCCAGAGTGTGATGTTCCCCTTCCTGTGTCCATGTGTTCTCATTGTTCAATTCCGACCTACGAGTGAGAATATGTGGTGTTTGGTTTTTTGTCGTTGCGATAGTTTACTGAGAATGATGATTTCCAATTTCATCCATGTCCCTACAAAGGACATGAACTCATCATTTTTATGGCTGCATAGTATTCCATGGTGTATATGTGCCACATTTTCTTAATCCAGTCTATCATTGTTGCACATTTGGGTTGGTTCCAAGTCTTTGCTATTGTGAATAGTGCCACAATAAACATACGTGTGCATGTATCTTTATAGCAGCATGATTTATAGTCCTTTGGGTATATACCCAGTAATGGGATGGCTGGGTCAAATGGTATTTCTAGTTCTAGATCCCTGAGGAATCACCACACTGACTTCCACAATGGTTGAACTAGTTTATAGTCCCACCAACAGTGTAAAAGTGTTCCTATTTCTCCACATCCTCTCCAGCACCTGTTGTTTCCTGACTTTTTAATGATTGCCATTCTAACTGGTGTGAGATGGTATCTCATTGTGGTTTTGATTTGCATTTCTCTGATGGCCAGTGATGATGAGCATTTTTTCATGTGTCTTTTTGCTGCATAAATGTCTTCTTTTGAGAAGTGTCTGTTCACATCCTTCGCCCACTTTTTGATGGGGTTGTTTGTTTTTTTCTTGCAAATTTGTTTGAGTTCTTTGTAGATTCTGGATATTAGCCCTTTGTCAGATGAGTAGACTGAAAGTTCTAACTCTCTAATCACATGGTTGGTTTTTCTGGCTACCAGCCCCCATCCTGAAGCTACCTAGGACTGCTCTCCTCTCCACAAGAGTCATCTCATTAACATTCAAAAAATAGTAAATCTCAAATGTTTTATGAATTCTGTGTCAGGAACTGGGAATAAAGACCAAATATTTAATTTTTATTATACCACAGCATCTTTATAAAAAATAAATTGACCATAGATGTATGGGTTGATTTCTAGACTCTCAATTCTGTTCCTTCATCTGTGTCTATTCTTATGCGACTACTATACTGTCTTTTATTTATTTATTTATTTTTGAGACAGAGTCTTACTCTGCTGCCCAGGGAATGGCACGATCTTGTCTGACTGCAACCTCCACCTCCCGGGTTCAAGCAATTCTCTTGCTTCAGCCTCCCAAATAGCTGGGATTACAAGCACGCTCCACCATACCTGGATAATTTTTGTATTTTTAGTAGAGATGGGGTTTTCCCATTTTGGCCAGGCTGGTCTCAAACTCCTGACCTCAAGTGATCCACCCACCTCGACCCCCCAAAGTGCTGGGATTTCAGGTATCAGCCACCACACCCAGCTGACACTCTCTTAATTACTGTTACTAGAAGTTACTAGCTTTGTAGTAATTTCTGAAATCAGGAAGTATGAATCCTCCAACTTTGTTCTTTTTCAAAATTGTTTTGGCTGGAAGTCCCATAAATTTTAGGACTAGTTTGTCAATTTATGCAAAGAAGCCAGCTGAGATTTTGATAGAGATTGCATTGAATCTGTAGATCATTTTGGGGAGTATTGACATCTGAACAATATTAAGTATTCTGATCCATGAACATGAAATGTCTTTCCATTTACTTAGGTCTTTTAAAATGTCTTTGAACAATGATTTGTAGTTTTCAGAGTAAAAGTTTTGCACGTCTTTTGTTAAATTTATTCCTAAGTATTTTATTCTCTTTGATATTCCAATTGAATTTTAGTATTAAATAATAGAAATTGAGGATCATTGACTGTAAGGCATGTTCTGAGCAGATAGAGTCACTGATCTCATGTGGAACACCTATTAACTAATTGCTAAAGAAAGTAGGAAGTTGCTTCCTCTAGAACAAGTTACTTATAACCTAGAAATCACATCTGTTTGCATGTGACTGATGTCAGACTCCTCCCCTGATTGCTCTGGCTAATTTTCTCAGGTCATAGATACTGGGAGGTGGGTGGAGAAGACAACAGGTGGGAGTGGGGGTGGGCAAAGTGCCTCCCTGTCTTTGACAGGTTTGGTCTAAACCAAAAAAGCCTTCCCGTTACCTAAAGTTGAGGTTTCTAAGATATTTCTTATGTAATATAATGGAATACCCCCATTAGCTGCCCCTCCTGGCTTATATCAGTGCACTCATTCCATGGCTCTGGAGGCCAGTGGTTCCCATACCTGGGTGAGGAGCAGAATCATCTGAGGAGCACGTTAAAAAGCAGAGTCTTGACCATGTGGTTAGTCACATGCACATTTTTTATCTCCTATACCTCTCATCTGTGAAATTCCTATTATTTGTCACTAGAACCCATGTGGCTTAGTCTGCTTGGGCTGCCATAATAAAGTACCATAGACTAGGTGATTTAAACAACAGAAATTTACTTTCTCACAGTTCTGGAGGCTGGAGGTCTGAGATCACAGAGCCGTCATGGCAGAGTTCTGGTGAGGGCTCTCTTCCTGGGTTGCAGATGGCCACCTTCTGGCTGTGTGCTCATGTGGCTTTTCCTTGGTGGGTGGGTGTGTGTGGAGAGAAAGCAAGCTCTCTGGTGTCTCCTCATAGAAGGACACTAACCCTATCATGAGGGCCCCACCCTCATGACCTCATTTAACCCTAAGTACTTCCCAAAGTATTTAGAGTACCATCTCTAAATACCGTGACATTGAGGATTAGGGCTTCAACAGATGCATTATGGGAGGACACAAACATTCAGTCCATAGCACCATGAAAGATGTATTGAATTGCAACAAACAAGCAAACAAACAGATTTCCAGACACTACTCCTATAGATTCTGATTTAGTGGTCCGGAGAGGGGCCCAGGAATCTGTATTTTATTATAATAATATCTGTAATTCTTGGTACAGCCAGTTCAGGGAATAGGTGTTTGCAAACTGCTTACATATGTGCCAGTGCCCATTTACCTTACTCGCAGAATATCCTCAGCCACAGCTATTTTACTTTGGACATTTGTTTTGTCACAATTCCAACAAGTTTTTCTGCTTCTAGGTAACTAACACAATGCCCAAAAAAGTCTTATGAATTGTATTTAATTGAATCTGATTTTCTTGGCTTAGAACGGATTATAAACAGCAAATTTAAAGAGGGGAGAGTGCTATAAGATGTAACATCCAGTCATTTAACAGAGTTATAAAAAGCAGATACAAACACTCAAAAAGCATATAGGCCTAGGGTCATTGAGAAGAATCTAGAATTCTGCAGATTAATGCTAGAGACAGAAGAAGAACCTAATTGTCCTCTCCTCTTTAAGTTCCCTTCTACTTTCACTTCACACCTTACTTCCTTATTAAAATCCTTTCAACTGGTCATACAAGGGCCCAATAGCCACCATGTATTCCTTGCCCACTATGTGCCATGCAGTATACTAAGTGCTTTTAAATGCCTTGGCAATTAATTCTCCACCAGCACCATAAAGTGTGCACAGGAGAAGAATGAAGCGCAGGGTGGTTACATAACTTGCCCAAGGTCACCCAGCTAACAGTGGAAGAATAAGAATCATACCCAGATCTTTTCCCCATACTTTTATACTTTTAGCTGCTAAGCCAGGGATTCTCCAGAGATGTTTTCTATTTTCCTAAGATGATACTTTAAAATCAAGAACATGATATGGAAAATAAAGGGGTTTTGACATCAGAAAAGGGATTGGTTTTACATTGGCCATGTGTAGTTCATAACACTCAGTTGTATGGAATTTTATGTAAAGCTTGTTAATGGTTGGATAACTTGTTTGTAAAATATTTACTTTTTAGAAATAAATTAGATTTGATTCAGGATTCCCCCCCCGCCCACCACTCCCACCCAAATAACAGCACTCTGCCCATTTATTTGCTCATGTGCATGGTTGAAAGGGAAAGAACATGATGGTATAGCAGCCAGGCCATAGGAAATCAAAGCACCCCTGGCTCTGCCCTGGAAGTCTGTCAAAAATATAGACAGTGCTGTATCTGCTATGTGTGTCTTGGCTGAACAAAGACTGAGAACTACTGAAGATAGGAAAGTCCGATAACAAGGAGCATGCGTTCCAGGGTCAGATAAATGAATTTGTATCCTGAATCTACTCTTTACTGCTGTGTGACTTTATTTAGCCTCTGTGTGGGGGCTGATCTTTCTCCTTAAAATAGACTTGCTAAAGCATAAATCAGCTTCTATGTGTTAGACGGAAACTATGCCTGGTAAATGGGAGGCACTCAGTGTTGGTAGAACTTCATAAGCCTTCAAGTCTTATCAACAATATAGCTCTCAAAAATGGTACTTGATCTATATGGGCATTGGGCCTGGTTAAGTGAATGTGCTAAGTTTAATAAACATTTTAAGCATATATTTAATAATTTTTCTTGCTTTCTTAAAATTTAGAGAGGTTGTTTGTGGATAACTTGGATGCCCCATGTCTATTAAAATGCCCAAAGGAATGTAAATTGCTGGGTTTTTATTCTCTTTGAGAAAGTCTTTTTTTTTTTTTTTTTTTTTTGAGATGGAGTCTCGCTGTGTCTCCCAGGTTGGAGTGCAGTGGCGCGATCTCGGCTCACTGCAAGCTCCGCCTCCCAGGTTCATGCCATTCTCCTGCCTCAGCCTCCCAAGTAGCTGGGACTACAGGCGCCCGCCAACACGCCCGGCTAATTTTTTGTATTTTTAGTAGAAACGGGGTTTCACCGTGTTAGCCAAGATGGTCTCGATCTCCTGACCTCGTGATCCGCCCGTCTCGGCCTCCCAAAGTGCTGGGATTACAGGCGTGAGACATCGCGCCCGGCCTGAGAAAGTCTTTTATAAAATGTAGGCACTCATTTTTATGAAAGCAAAACAGGTGTCTTGTTGTGGGAAAAGTTAGTTAACATTTTCAGCATTTGCTAAAGTTCCTCCCATGCTCTTAGAAGCTGTGGTTCTGGCTAAGTTGTTGTTGTTGGGGATACTAGCATTTCTGTGTCTTGATGTCTGCTTTGTATCCCCTTTTCTTGCTTCTCTCCCCATGACTCTCTGCTCATTCAGTTCCTTGGAAGCTCCTGACTTAAACCACACATAAACCCACAGTAGAGGCCTTCATTAGACAAGACTGAGTGGGTAGAACTACACATGGCCAATGTAAAACCCATCCATTTTCTGATGTCAAAACCCCTTTATTTTCCGCATCGTGTTCTTGATTTTAAAGTATCATCTTAAGAAAATAGAAAACAAGCCCACCTTCCCCATCAAGTGGCCTATTAGTTGCAAAATACAAGAGACAGTGTTCCTTTCTACCTCTTTCCACAAGTCCTCAGGTGAGGGCCTCTTTGCCTGAATGTTTCTAAGATAATGGCTCAAGTTCCTTGCGCACAGGTCATTGTCTAAGGAGGTCAGAACTAACTTGAGTCTGAGAAGAGATGGATGGGACACCACAGTACATATGTTTCTCCCACCGTGTTTCCTACCAGTCAGGATAATCATAGCTCAGGAGGGCTGTTAGGGTACCAGCCACATCTGTCTGTTTGCATTCTGGCTCCAACCCCTAGTTTTCCTAAAGCAAAATTCTTATTAGTTAGGAGTCAAGGATCACCGAGCCTTTTCCCCATAAAGAGCTATTTTGTTTGTTGTTGTTGGTTTTTGTTTTGTTTTGTTTTTTGAGAGAGGGTCTTGCTTTGTTACCCAGGCCGGAGTGCAGTGGTGCGAATATGGCTCACTGCAGCCTCTACCGCCTAGGCTCAAGTTATCCTCCTGCCTCAGCCACCCGTGTACCTGGGACCACAGTCTCGTGCCACCATGCCGAGATAATTTTTTAATTTTTTTGTAGCGATGAGTTCTCACTTTGTTGGCCAGGCCGTTCTCGAACTCCTGGTCTCAAACGATCCTTCCAAAGTGCTGGGATTACAGGTGTGAGTTAGTGTGCCCTGCCCAATAAGGAGCTATTTCGCAGGTGTACATCTCTTGAAACTGTAAATAAACTAGCTATCAAGTCAGGCACATTTAATTTGGATGCCTAAACATGTCACTTTTAAGGAAAAAATTGTTCCATAGAGATTATGTTACTTGTGTGTTCTGATTAGCACAGAACAGTCCAACTTTGAAGCCCTATAAAATAGTTTGATTATGTTTCATTTGAAAACTACATGTGTTAGTAATGGGTTTTCTATCCCTGTATTTGAAAGATATGGCATAATCCACGCTGGTGGGGTAGGGAAATATCTCAGTGACTGGATCCTGCATGGAGAACCTCCTTTTGATCTGATAGAATTGGATCCTAATCGCTATGGCAAATGGACAACAACCCAGTACACTGAGGCCAAAGCAAGAGAATCATATGGATTCAACAATATTGGTAAGGTACAAATGTACTGTTGTCTACAAAGTGTTGACGGAATTGAATTGTAGCATCTCTGACTTTAGATGGTCTTTATTCTATTCACTGGGATGGCGGTAGTTAGGGACTCCAAAAAGCATTGTGCCCCTGAGACATAACAAGGAATATATATGGATGTATATATTTAACACGTGGAATGCCTCACTGGTTTTAAATTTTAAATATATTTTTACTTTACTCTTTGATGAGTCATATAAATGACAGCTCTGTTTTCTACATGAATCATTCATATATATGTATGTATGTATGTTTATGCATCTGGATTTTAAGTACTGTATTTCCATATTTGGAATCCCATGTAAGTATCTTGTTGTTTTGGCTATATGTGATTTAAAGTACCAATTTTTCCTTTTCAGTTGGTTATCCTAAAGAAGAACGGTTTGCTGGGAGGCCGACTCAACGAGTCAGTGGGCTCTATCAAAGGCTGGAGTCTAAGTGTTCCATGGGGTTCCATGCTGGCTGGGAGCAGCCGCACTGGTTCTACAAACCAGGCCAGGACACTCAGTACAGGTGGGAGAAGGACTTTACCTGCCTGTGGTTCTGACCGAGGGGTGAAACAACGGGACAGCAAAAAGCGCTGATTCTGCCTTACACTCCATTGCTCCACCCTGTTCCAAGGAGCACTGAGCTTTGTCCTACAAAAATTACTCTCTGGCAGTGGTGGCATTAGTCTAGCCCACGAGACACTGGCCCACATCTAGGACTCACGTGACCCTGAGAGTCCTATAGCCAGCCTTGGTGAAGCCTCTTGGCATTTACCAGATGCTCGGAAGAAACTTGCGACCGCCCTCCAAATTCCCACCTGGCTTCAGTTGGCTCCTAAAGGTTTGCTGTACTTTAGGGTGCTCAGTGGAATCACATCGTGTATAACCACAAAATGTACCTGGAGTTTTGGATTTTCTGTTCATCCTGAAATTGCTCAAAGCAACTGCTTTCTAGAGTGTGTGCACTGAGTCATGCAAATTATATGTGCAGTTGATAAGGTCATTTGCATAGCATTCCAGGTTAAGCGAAAACATAAAGTATGCCACTGAAACAGTTCTCTGAATTTGGGTAAAGTGCTACCTGCCATTGTTGTACTTTGGATTAATAGTGATTATATATTTTTTTCTCAAGAGAATCCACAGATCAAGGGAAAACAAGTTGCAAATTTAGAAGTTACATTATCCTTATTTTTATGCTGTCATTTTGCTTTTTACAATAGGTTTTGCTATTTTAAGACTAGATCTAATTCATACAAAGTATAGCAGAGAACCCGTTGTTGATGAATGAATTTGGGCTTTATAAGCAGCCAATCTAGATTATTTGGTGGCCAAATACTGATTTGGTTTTTCCTAAATTACTCTAACACATCACTTTTACTCTTCACTTAGTGCTGATTGGATCTGGCCTAAGTTTTTTCTACCATTTAATAATTAAACTATTGAAAATTCATGTTACAGACATAGCATCCTGCTCTGAAGTTAAAATACCACATTAGAAGTCCACTTCATAAAGCAGAAAGGACCTTTAGTAATGAGTCAAGAGACCTTTGTTCCAGGTCTGGCTCTGTCATTAATGTGAAGGCCTTGGAGATCATTTTGTGCCTTTTCTCTGAAAAATGAAGATTTGGGACCAGATCCTTATGTACCCCAGGTGTGGACCAACAGCATAGGCATCTCCTGCGAGCCTGGCAGAATGCAGACTATGGGGTCCCACCCCATACCTGCTGCTTCAGAATGTGGAATTTAACAAGTGCAAGTGATTTGTATTCCCATTAATGTTTGAGAAGCACTGGACCAGACAGCTCCACCCCGCCTCCCAACCCAGACACTCTGATTTAATTAGGGCCATTTTAAAATGCTCTCCAGATGATTCTAATATGCGTCTAGAGTTGAAAACCACCAGACTGGTTGACTTATAAACTCTCTTCCAGATCTGAGAGCCCATGAATTATATCTTATTTTCCAGTTAATCAGCACTTTACTCACTGAGAAATAGGTCAAAGGGATAAATGAGTAACTTTAAAGGGTCAGATTCCAACATACATGAATGATTTGCAGAACAGAATTTCAGGTTGCATGGTCTCGCCTCCCATAGTCCCACTCCCCGCTGCCCGTAGGATTTTCTAGATGAGTAGGGCTTATTAAAATATCGTATTCTGTAATTTTTGAAAAATGAACGGGAGTTGTTTTATGACACTAAATGTTGTGTTTCAGGCCAAGTTTTCGCCGCACAAACTGGTTTGAGCCTGTGGGCTCGGAGTATAAACAGGTTATGCAAAGAGTAGCGGTAACTGACCTATCACCATTTGGCAAGTTTAACATCAAAGGCCAAGATTCCATTAGACTACTGGACCATCTCTTTGCAAATGTCATTCCAAAGGTAAATAGCCTTGTAGGGATACAAGGTCCAGGATTCTGACCTATTTAATTCTTCATCCCATATGTTATTTTAGTTCACCTAATGATTTCTGGATGAACACTAGAACTCTTCAACTGACCAAAAGTATACAAGTATACAAGCTTATTTACTTTCTTTTTTTCTTTTCTTTTTTTTTTTTTTTTTTTGAGAGACAGAGTCTTGCTTTGTCACCCAGGCTGGAGTGCAGTGGTGTGATCTCGGCTCACTGCAACCTTCGCCTCCCAGGTTCAAGCAATTCTCCTGCCTCAGTTTCCCAAGTAGCTGGGACTACAGGCATGTGCCACCATGCCCAGCTAATTTTTGTATTCTTTAGCAGAGACAGGGTTTCACTATATGTTGGTCTCGAACTCCTGACCTCAGGTGATCCACCCGCCTCAGCCTCCCAAAGTGCTGGGATTACAGGTATGAGCCACCACACCCAGCCTACAAGCTAATTTTCAAATTTAAATTTTTGTTGAGTGAATTCTCATCCAAGGACCTTATGACTTTGCTTAATTGTTTCGATGGGAACTTAAAATTGAGTTCTGCAGTTAAATGAAGAAGAGCTTTTTAATGGCAAATAGTTTTAAATGATTGTTTAAATGGAGAACTTCAAATTACTGTTGGGTTTAGGTTTACAGATAATTCATACGATTGACACAAACAGTAAGATTCAGATACTTTTCATTCTTAACACCCACATTGTTATTTCAATAGGTGTTAAAAGGATGCATGTGATTTTTAGTTCATCCTAAGGTAATTTTTAATTTTTTTATGTAGGTGGGTTTTACAAATATAAGTCACATGTTAACACCCAAGGGTCGAGTGTATGCTGAGCTGACTGTTTCTCACCAATCTCCTGGGGAGTTTCTTTTAATTACTGGCTCTGGATCAGAACTTCATGATCTTAGGTAAGTGCACACCTAGTAAGAAAATTTTGTACACATTATATATTGACTCAATCTTACATTAAGTTTTTCTTTTTACCAGTACTCGAAAGTACAACTTTATTTCTTCTTAAACCTGATTGTTTCAAATAAACTTTATTTTTTTTAATACAAAAATATTTGAAGTGAGGGCCCCTGCCCCTCCCAAAGGTAATTCATCCATAGGTTACTTGTTCTAATAATATTAATCCATTTATTAGGCATCATCAATGTGCCAGAACCTTTTTTAGATATTACCTTAATGAATTCTCTTAATATTTTGCAAGGTATATATTATTCCCATGATCAGATGAGGAAACTGAGGTTTGGGATAAGGGAACTTACTCACACGAGCTTTTTGATTCTGATGCCCGCATTTGGTCCACTTCTGTAAGCTGTCTTCCTAAATTATCTTTGTCCTTTGTGATGCTTTGTGCTTTCTGGCCCACAGCTGGATCTAAGTTGCTGACCTGCCAAGTCCAGCCTTTACATGAATCTTCATTCTATTATAAAGTCTTTAGTCTAATATTCCAAATATTTTTGGAATATTATTATTTAATACATGTCTTACTCTGACAGATTCTCATCTTAGTTGTACAGTGATGCAAATTATATGCTCCAATCCAAGATGTACTGGGACCATCTTAATAGCTTAGCTTTGTGTAAATCCAGATGAACATTTTGTGATAGACTTAGATAGCTCAAGGACTGCTCAATAAATTAGAAACCAGCCCTATAGCTGGGTCCCAATAACTCATCAAGCCATAGAAATTGAAACTAGAGTTTCTGTCTTTTCCTTGTGATTCTCAGAGCAATTACGTGTCTTGTGGCAGGCACATTATTAACCTTTAGCAACATAAGTGTGCCTCCTGTGTACAGGTATTAGAGAAAATTTGGGTTTAAATTAATTTTGCAAGGCTGAATCATTAGTTTAAATGCAAAAGGGCTGTGTCACTATTTAAAAGAATTGTGTGGCAGAGCTCATTAAATTGAAGGATCCTTCTGTACTGTGAAAAATTACCCCCCAAATTTATAAGTGGGTGATTTAAAGAGAATCATCACTTAACATCTCAGGGGCTTGGTTTCCTCAACTTTAAAAATCAGTGTGATTTCATGAAATGACACTCTGGGGACTTTCTGATAACTCTAGACACAAAGCATGTCTTCAGAGAGATAATTTATTACCAAAGTACATTATTCAAGCAATATTTAACACCATGTTCATGACTAAAACGCAGATGGATTGAAGAAGAAGCAGTCAAAGGTGGATATGATGTTGAAATTAAAAACATAACTGATGAGCTTGGAGTTCTTGGAGTTGCTGGGCCACAGGCAAGAAAGGTCCTTCAGAAACTGACCTCTGAAGATCTTAGTGATGATGTTTTCAAGTTTCTTCAAACCAAGTCCTTAAAGGTTTCCAACATTCCTGTCACTGCTATTAGGATATCTTATACTGGTAAGATTGGAAAACAACCTGGACTAAGTCTCTGAAATTTAAAAGGTCAATTTAAAATTTAAAATTTAAAATTAAAAGGTCATGTCACAAGAAATGTGTGAGTGTGTATGCATGTGCACACTCACACTCACTTTTGTCCATGCGACTTTGGAGGAAGATTTTTGTTCTGCCCAGCTCTTATGTCTAGTCTGTCTATTCACTCCTCATCTTGAAAGTGGTTCCACAGATTTCTAGTTGTTGCTCCAGTCCCATCGCTGCCTACCATCTGGAAGGGCAGATAAAAAAAAAGTGGGGGCTGGGTGCAGTGGCTCACACCTGTAATCCCAGCACTTTGGGAGGCTGAGGCGGGCTGATCACCTGAGGTCGGGAGTTCGAGACAAGCCTGACCAACATGGAGAAACCCCGTTTCTACTGAAAATACAAAATTAGCTGGGCGTGGTGGCACATGCCTGTAATCCCAGCTGCTCTGGAGGCTGAGGCAGGAGATTTGCTTGAACTCGGGAGGCGGAGGTTGTATGAGCCAAGATGACACCACTGTACTCCAGCCTGGGCAACAAGAGTGAAACTGCATCTCAAAAAAAAAAAAAAAAAAGAAAAGTGGGGAAGAGGATTGGCTGAAATAGTCGGGCCAGCCAACTCTATTTGTGAACATTCAAGATGGTCTCCTGGAGATAGAATCTCCCATAGAGACCATTTTGAAGGTATCAGGTACCTCTCCTAGAGCATTGCCAACAATCCTTCTTTCCTTCCAGACTGTAAGTTCACTGAGATGTCTTCCTCTAGCACCTAACCTTGCACATGGTAGGTATTTGATACAGAGATGAATGAATGCTCTTCAGTTCCCCAGTGGTGCTCTGGGCTCCCTTCTAAGTTTTTCTAGACCTCCTTGTCTCTCACAGGAGTACTGCATGCCCAGGCATTCATTCAATTATATGTTGCTCCTATTCTGTGGTATCCCATAAAAACACCTTACCATGAGCCCTCCACCTTGGGAAACAGGAGAACACAGAGATTAAAGACCATAGCTCTTTCTCTGGGCTGCTGCTATACCTTTTCCCTGCCCTTCTTCCACCCAACGTTGGCAAATTCTAGAATAAAAAATGAGCAGGGCTGGATGCAGTGGCTCATACCTGTAATCCCAGCACTTTGGGAGGCCAGAGTGGGAGGACTGATTGATTGTCCCAGGAGTTCAGGACCAGCCTGGGCAACATAGTGAGACCCTGTCTCAACAAAAAAACAAGACAAAAAAACAAAACAAGAACACAAAAATAAGCAGGATTTTTTGGGTTACATTTAATTTCTTTTGATTTTTGCCCACAGCTCTGTTGGTGAAGGAAATGACTAGGGAAGAAGTGGGAGGGGGAGAAGTCAGAGACTATGGCTTTCTCACTATGAGGATAACTTGAATAATTCTTAGTTAACTATATTTTTAAGCTTGTGATTTTTGGGCAAGGGGTTGGTTTAAACCTTGAACTCGTTGCCCTGATAAACTGTGCCATGCTAACTATTCACCTAACGTCATTGTCCCAGAAAACAGTCAAGCCTCATTAGAAAGCTGGGGTCCAGGGTGGAGATTAATTCCTGTATTATAGTCTTTCTGTGTCATGACAAGAGGTGTCCTGCATACCACCATCTACATGGGAGTCAGGATCGGCACAAATGCATCTGTGATATGGTGGGCTTCTTTGCAGTGGGGTCTTGTAACTTTTTGTGAGCTGGTCTTTTTAGAGACTGACAATGTCTGTGTTGCATAAGTGGAATTTCTCCTGCTTATATGTGTTCTAGCTAATGCACATTAGATCTAGTGATCATTGTTCTTGCCCTGCTGTGGCACCTGTGGGTTTATTTCAGGTGAGCTGGGTTGGGAGCTGTATCACAGAAGAGAAGATTCTGTGGCGCTGTATGACGCTATCATGAATGCAGGCCAGGAGGAGGGAATCGACAATTTTGGAACCTATGCCATGAATGCCTTACGCCTGGAGAAAGCCTTCAGAGCCTGGGGGTTAGAGGTTTGAAATGCTAGCATCTTTATTAACATTTTATGTTTATTTATCTCATTTTTATATAAGGGCTGGTTTGAACTGCAATAACATTGGTTTTGGCTGTAAGAGAAATTACATATCATTAGATAACTTTATTTCATTAGGGGAAGAGGTTTTTCTCCTTAATTTCTCAAGTGAAAGTTCAGTGGAATTCTGACATATGTTTATTCTGCCTTAATTCATCCTAGTTGGCTGACAGCCCTAGATAACTGTCTTGGACTTTGGGGAGCCGGCTTGCCTCATGGGATTAGAGTAACACTTTTCAAAATCTCTCCTCCTCTGTCATTTTGCCCGTCTTCATTTTCTTCTTATCTTATACCTTTTGGTGAATTAACACTCCTTTCTGAGGGGCAGGGTTGATGGTCCAGAATGTGGTGGTCCAGCCTTCCTCCACCATTAATAATGGTTATTAAGAGTTTCTATTTGTATAGTGCTTTAACCATTTACATATTTTCATATGCATGATTTCATTTTCCTTCTCAACTCTCCATTACCTCTATTTTACGCATAATAACACTGAGACTTAGAGAACCACTTGGTCCAGATTACCTAGTAAGTGGCCAGCCTGTGGTTTAAACTCTGTTCTCCTACTTTATTTCCAATATGGCAGGCTATCCCTGGACCCAGTCACTATTTCAGATTCAGTAGTTGTTTCTTTGGAAGACACTGAGGTTTTAGACCTGAAAGGTAAGATAAGGGATAGTGGTAAAAGATGAACTCAGAGCGGGGACTCTTGGGTTTGAATTTTTCCTCCACCACGCACCAGCTATCTGGCTTAACCCTCCAGAACTTCTGTTTACTTTTCTAAAAAATGGATTTTTTATGCTACAGAATTATCATAGATAGTAGAGAGAGTCTAGGAAGTGCCAAGCACATAATAAAGTGCATTTGATTGAAGGGGAGAGTGTGTTTCAAAGCCCAGGCAGAGACCCAAGGGCATTTAGAGTGCGCAGAAGCAAGTGGGCAAGCTCTCCACGAGAGATCCCCTATTAGGGGATTCTCTAGCTACAACTGGGGACTGAGGCGAGGCTAGGCGCAGGGACAGAAACGGAGGACAGCGCGGTCCCCACACTCTCCGAGGAATGAAGCAGCAGGAGCAGCCCTTTGGGAGTCAGACATTTCTCCATTCTCCTGCCTTTTATTTTCTCAGATTTCCTCTCCCGGCGACCTCCTCTGGAGAGCTTTTCTCCTTCTCCCGTCCCTCCGATTTCCCAGCAGTGCCAGAGCGCCCTCTAGTGTTGGCACTGCAATCCTCTGTGCTTCATTTTTATTTTTTTCTTTGAAGAAATTCTGAAATTTTGAACAGATAAATATAATTTTAGAATAGCTCAAATTGATTAAGAAATATGAGGCAACGTTTTACGTCATATAAAACAAGCGTACTTTCATTTAGTTTATGCAGGTGCTGTGTTGCTTTAAAAGTTTGACTGCTTGTAGGGGGTTTAGACTAGTTCTCTCACTGCGAAGAAAACAACAAAACGAAGAAAGAAACAAAAACCATTAACTTCAGGTCTATTACCAAATATTGGCGTTAGCCCTGACTTGGTAGCTATTACAGTGACTTGGCCACATTTGAAGAGATACAGATTCAAACTCCGCTTATTCCTTTCTCCTCTCCTGAACTCTATCAGCCACCTTCCTACTATCTGCTTTCCCTCCACCTTACCCTGATTCTTGGTGAATTGTAAGATAAGTAAATTGTTTAATAACTTTTCAAAACGTAGTTATGTAAAATTATTGCAGAAAAACATGTGAAAATCTTGTTTCTAGAAGAAACATCACGTACATTCCCTCAGATGTTTATTAAAATGGGAGAGCTGTGGAAACACAGTGAATTTTAGTTTCTATATTTGTTATATTCAAATGACCAGTTTTGCTGAAAGGCTACATCGAATTTTGGATTAAAAAATTGTTTTCAAAACCGGTCTATAGTTTGCCTTTCTTTAGAATCTGTGTTGAAAAATCAAAAAGGGTTCTTTCTCCTAAAAACAAATATGAAAGTGATGTTACCAAAATGACTTGCACTCATCTAAGATTTAAAATGTGTGTTTCCTTTTTAGATGAACTGTGATACAAATCCTTTGGAAGCTGGACTGGAATATTTTGTGAAGTTAAATAAGGTATGTTTACATTCCAAAGTGTGCTTGAAGTAAATCTTAACATTATGATGCTATTTTGTGACAGAGCCATTCTTTAAAATTTAACCAAGTATGGATTATAGGAGAAACAAGGTGAACATAAATACTAGCATTGCTCAATTGTGTCATATTACTCTTTTGTCAACATTTGCTTAGTTCAAACTATTGGAGTGTGCTTACAGATTTAAGATAGCAGAATCCAGCATCTTTAAGGGCTAAATCTAAATTCTAAGATAAAAATTAGTAAGGATAAGAAGATTATCTGTCAGATTCTAGTAGACATTTATGTTGGAAGTGCGCCATGTTGTGTATTTTGCAGTAACTCCTGGTGACTTGGGAAATTGCACATTAGCTGATCAAACATAGTGCATTCATTGATCCTTCTGGATACTCACAGTGTGGAGCAGCCTCACTTCAGCATATCTGTCCATCTGCTTATCAAGCATCTTTGTGGGTAACTGCAACATCTGAATATAAGCAAATAACACGTTTCAAACGTTTTCGGCATAAAATGGGTATTAACTGAGAAGCTAATATAAGCCCAAATAATCATAACCGATAAGACACTCCAAAGGGAACTCCTACATCAGTGGTTCTTAAAATGTAGCCTTCAGACTAACAGCATCAGCCTCATTGGGAGCTTGTTTGAAATGCTAATTCTCAGGTCCCACCCTAGAACTACTAAATCAGAATCTCTGGGAGTCAGGCCAACAAATCTGTTTTAACAACCCCTGCAGGGGATTCTGATGCATCTAAGGTTTGAGAAGCATTACTCTAAATAATTATAGTGGAAAAGCATATCATGAGGCCAATTTATTACAGCCAAGCTCATCTGTACAAGCCTTACAAATATAAATGAGGTTACTCCATTGAGCAGTGCCTAAGAGTTATAATAAAACAACTTAATAGAGCTGGGGTGAGTGGTAGTATTGAAGAATAAGGGCAGCAGCGGCTACTGTTTAGGATATTTGTTAGAACTCCAAAAATAAAATGTCCTGCCCTAGATGGTTGTAAACTAAAGACTGATTTCCCATCCTGTGGAAATACGTGAATACATGTATATGACTCAATCAGGCCAAGGAAACCTTTTTCATGACCCTGTGTCAGTTCCCAAATTCTGAGCTATAATATTAAAATAAAACATGTGTATTTATAGTATGAGATTTTAGGAAAACGAACCTCCTAAAGGGTTTTAAAGGGAATATCTTTCTGTACATTCTCCCCATGGCTTTTATTTTTATGATGTACCATCTGCCTCCAGACCAGAGAAAGCAGGTGCTTGGAATTTGGGCAGACCCTAGCAGCAGATTGCTCCCTCTGATAGCAGAAGCCTTACTTTAGCTGTTTCAAATAAGGTTAAAAATGGCCCAACTCTTGAAAGTGCTAAATTTCTGTTATTGGTCACCAGTAGGTAGATAGATAACTGATTCTTTTGCTTCAGTGTTCGGATATTATTGTTTGGGGATAAGGCATAGATAAATAATCCCTTCGTATTGAAATGGGATTTTCAAATATCTTTTATGATTATTAGCAGGGGTGGATTGTGTCTTTGTTAGTTAAGTTATACAGCCAAATAACCAAAGCTCATCTCAGAACGTAGTTAGTTGTTTAGAAGATACTAATTTTGATTTCTGGCATGTTTTTATAATTTCTGAATTGTTGTTTCTCATTCAAGTGTCACAAAGTTAATTCCTAATGATTTTATAGGGTAAAGGTCCTTGTAGCCCAAGGACCTGGCCCCCAACTGAGCCAGTCTTTTTCAATTATGTCAATTCAAGTGGCTAGTTGGTATTAACCTACTCATAATGATGCTTGCTAATCTCCAAGACAGGTGAATAGATTAGATCAACTTTGGTGGTTTTGTAGCAGTCTATAATGTGAAACGGATGCCTGGAAACCTTATTAACATTACAAACTAAGCTTTGTAACTTGACCATTCAAGTCCTGTGCCTAAAAACCAAAATGTTACCCAAACTAGCTTCATACAACATTTTAAATACTGTAAGCCTATAATTGCTTCGGAAAATCGATGCTATAGGAGAACAGAAGCAACAGCTAATACAGAGAGATATTTATATTTGATACCAAAACAAACACAGCAAAAACCCTGGCATTTTACAATTGTTTGAAATCAGTTATTTCTTTCCCTTCAGAGCAAACATTTAGAATTCTCTGGTTGGCCCTTAGGCATTTACACTATGATCGTTTAAGCCATAATGTGAAGAAAAGGTAGAAGCTGACTGTATCAGAGCTAGATGGGTCCCTGGGGATCAGCTGGTACTCCCCTCCCCCATCTGAAGCAGAGGAAACTGAAGCACAGAGAGGGAAAGTGACCTGGGGGAGGCCACTGCTTTAGCTTAGGTCGAACGCCACCCTCTGACCTCATCGTGGAGCTTTCCCACCCACCACTTTCCCCCACAAAGTCCTTTTCCACAGTGGGCTTATCAGACTTGAAAGACTGCCCAAGAATTTCTCTCTCTGGTAACATATATTGTTTGTATGGACTACCTTTTATTAATAGACACTTCCCCCACATGTTTTTGCTGTAACTAATTTTGTGTTTTATGATAGGATCAGAATAGCTGCTTTGCCCATTTTAAGGAGGAAAATGGCTGGGTGAGCAGATGGGCCATCAGGCCTTATTAGGGTGAATCGTGTTCTTGTCAAAACCTGTCAGCAAGTAGGGAAAAGAACAATGGAGTACTGAAGAACTCTTTCATCACAAAGGGAGACGGCGCAGTGGCCCTTGCTTCCTTCCGTCTTGGAGTTGTTCCAGCCTCCTTCCCCTGCTGTTGGCTTATGTGAAGTTGATACACATGTATCATTCATTCATCCGTTCATCTAGTAGACATTTATTAAGTACCGCTGATTAGACACCTTGCTAACCCATAGATCTAAATGTTAAAGATATACTCCTGATGGCTCTCAGATCTCATGAACCTGGAAACAAATAATATTTCAGGAACTAAAGCTGTAGGGATACGTTCTTAGCCGTAATTGTGAAGATAACCCTTCCGCAAGTGGAGGGCTCTCCAGCCGCATACAACACTGCCATCTTGTGGGAAGTGCTCCGTAGAGCCACTTCAGGAAGCCTTGACCAAAGCTGCGGTAAAAATAATTGAATCTGTACTTTTAAAATCTTCTTAACTAAAAACGCTTCACCTGAAACGACTCATATCATTGTTCTCAATGGTATTTTTGGTATGTTCCAAAGGAAGTAACTTTTGGGAGGAAAATCAGTAGCCTTTGTTTAGTTGGAGATGGAAGAAATGCATTAATCAAGAGCAAAAGGAAAATCAGCTGCCTTTGGATGGAGTCATAGGCATTCCTGGAATTTTCATGGTGGAAATATTGAATTTTTGTCCATTTCTGGAGAACCTCCACGAAGATTCACAGAGACTCAAGTATTAAACGTAATGTGTTGAAGCACATCAGAAGAATTTGTTTTCTATAATATGTTTCTCCCTCTTTTTCTCACTCTCTCCTTCTCCCTCTCTTTCCCTTTTTCTCTCTCCTTCCCCTCTCTCCCCGTGTAGAGCTTCTAACTAGTAGAAACAGAATAAAATGTAATCTCTATTAAACATAAGTTATAAGACAATGTTGATTCTAGAAAATGCAGGGTCTCTTTTGGAAGAAATATTTAAAGCATAACTGTTCGATAACCAAAAACAAAACAACCCAAAAAAGCTGGTAAAGAGGCAAAGCGCTTAGTACCAAGCCTTCCACACCCCAGGTGTTCAGTAAATATTAGCTATTATTAAAACATCAGAGTGCTAAAAACAAAAAAATCCAAGTGGAATCAAACCATTGTTCACAGACAACAAGCTAGAAAGAAATTGTTAATATAGTGGTCAAAGCATCCAATTCTCTTTGGGAAATTTGAGGTAAATGGTAATAAGAATTGAGGAGGCAGAAAATTTTCAGTGATACTTAGCCCTGGCTGGACATTAGAATCATCTGGGGTATGATTCTTTTAAATAATATTTCGCTGTTTAAAATCCCAAGGCCCAGGCTACACCCAAGATCAATTTAAAAAGAAGCTCTTGTAGGGACTCAGGCATCAGTTGTTTTTAATTCCCCAGGTGATTCTGCAGAGATGGAGAATTACTGTCTTCAACCAAAGATTTTCAACTGGCTGAACATATTATCCTGAAGAACTAAAAATTACCTGAACTGAAAGAACTAAAAACTACTCAAGTAGTTCTCAAGGTGTGGTCCACAGACCAGCAGCATCACTGTCACCTGGGACCTGCTAGAAAATTCAAATTGTTGAGTACCATCCCAGACCCCCAAAATCAGAAGCTGCCAGGGTGGAGCCCAACTATCTATCTATCTATCGATCTATCTGTCTATCTAACTATTTTTATTGAGACGGAGTCTTGCCCTATTGCCCAGGCTGGAGTGCAGTGGTGCAATTTTGGCTCACTACAACCTTCGCCTCCCAGGTTCAAGCAATTTTCTTGCCTCAGCCTCCCCAGTAGCTGGTATTACAAGCACCCGCCACCATGCCCAGTTGATTTTTGTATTTTTAGTAGAGACGAGGTTTCACCTTGTTGGCCAGGTTGGTCTTGAACTCCTGACCTCAGGTGATCCACCTGCCTCAGCCTCTCAAAGTGCTAGGATTACAGGCATGAGTCACCGCACTTGGCCCAACAATCTATTCTAATAAGCCCTCCAGGTAGTTTCAATGCAGTTTATTTAAGTACATGGACCTACCCCAAATCAATTAGATTTTCTCTAGGTGTA
Source organism: Homo sapiens (assembly GCF_000001405.40). Lineage (NCBI taxonomy): Eukaryota > Metazoa > Chordata > Mammalia > Primates > Hominidae > Homo > Homo sapiens. The sequence goes on along the minus strand of NC_000005.10, from coordinate 79,019,506 downwards.
AGGTCCATGGTTCCTTTTTAAAGCTCCACAGGTGATTTTTTTTTTTTAATGCAGTGAATATTGAGAACCACTGTTTTAGTTCTTATAACTTCATACCAACTTCAGTCTTGAAAGTACATAGGAAAGTAGAAAAACATGTGGATTGGTCAGAGGATGGTGCTATAGAACTGTGGTGGAAAGGATGTAAATTAATAGATCTAGAGCCTATTCCAGCTAGGCTACAGGTTCGTATTCTGCCCCATATCTTTGTTTTTTCTTTTAGAACTGGGTAGTAAGTGAATTTTTTTTAAGTCACCAAATTCTAACTGCGTGGCCCAGGAAAGCCATTTAACTTGATTTTCATGCTGAGATTTTTAATCTGTAAAAGAAGGCTACTTTTGCAAGTCTAAAATCCTATGGAATGCCTCCAACACAGTGGTTGAAGACATTGGTGCCATGTTATCTTTATGAGCCACATAATTGTGTCATCTGAATTAAGCTATCCTTATTCTGTTACCCATTTTCATTGCTGAGTGATAAGGGGAAGGAGAGGAGAAAGGAGGGGAGGGGAAGAGAAGGAAAGGAAGAGGAAAGAAGTAAAACCTAGCTGAAGTGTAGTTGACCATTCCTGAAACACCTGTCAGGATACATTAAACTAAAGCCATTGAATCATTATTTTCATATATATCCAATTTCTGTTATGAAACAGTACTTTGTTTCTACCCTAAGAGCTGAAATGTGAAGTTTAGCTGACTGCTTTCAAATTTGGATATCCATGGAAACCCAGGTCTAGGAATGAATTGAAATAATTTTTAAGATTGCTTTTATTTTTATTATTATTTTAAGTGTATTTGAACATGCAATAATTGACATATTTAAAGTAAGCAATTTGATAAGTTTTAGTACATGATACAGCAGTGAAACCATCACCGCAGTGAAGATAGTAAACCTATCCCTCATCCCCGGGGTGTCCATGCCCCTTTGTGATCCCTACCCGCCACCCTCCCCACAGCCTCACCTACCCCCCAGGCAACAATTTATGTCTGAGACTATAGGTTATTTTGCAATTTTTAAAATAAATGCAAAATCTATAAAAATGGAATCATAGAGTATATACTTTTTTTGTGTGTTAATTCTTTCCCTCGGCATAACTTGAGAGTCATTTGTGTTGTTATGTTTATTAATAGATCATTCCCAGTGGCATCTCATACCTGTAATCCCAGCACTTTGGGAGGTGGAGGTGGAAGGGTTGCCTCAACCCAGGTTTGAAACCAGACTGGGCAACATAGTGAGACTTCCATCTCCACAAAAAATTAGCCGGGCATGGTGACACATGCCTGTAGTCCTAGCTACTTGAGAGGCTGAGGAAGGAGGACTGCTTGAGCCTGGGAGGTCAAGGCTGCAGTGAGTCATGTTTGTGCCACTGCACTCCAGCCAGGGCAACTGAGCAAGGCTCTGCCTCAAAAAAATAATAATAATTCCCTTTTATAGCAGGTAGTATTCCATTGTATGGATATACTACAATTTGTTTGTGTACTCACTCATTGATAAATATTTGGGATGTTTCCAGTTTAGGGCTATTACAAATAAAACTCCAGTAGTCTCTTGGTATACCTGGAGGATTGGTTCTATGACTGCCCAAGGGTACCAAAATTTGCTTGAAGTCCGGCAGTTTGTCTGTGGAAACTGCCTATAGAAAAAGTTGGGTTTTGCATCCTGCAAATACTGTCTTTTTGATCTGCTTGGTTGAAAAAAATGCACATATAAGTGGATCCGTGCAGTTCAAACCTGAGTTGTTCAACAGTCAGCTGACACTGTGAACATTTGTGTACAAGTATTTGTATGAACATAGGCTTTCTTTTCCCTAGGTAAATACCTAGGAGTGAAATGACTGAATAAAATGAAAGTGTATGGTAACTTTGTAAGAAACCGTTTTGCCAAGCTGTGTGCCATTTTATATATTATAGTCCTACCAGCAGTATGTGAAGTTCCAGCTCCTCTACATCCTTGTCAAATACTTTTCATGGTCAGTCTTTTTAACTTTAGCTATTCTAAGAGATATGTAGTGATGTCTCATGATGGTTTTAATTTATTTCCTTAATGTCAAATGATGTTGGACATTTTTTGATGTGCCTCCCTGCCATTTCTATATCTTTTTTTGTGAAATGTCTGGTTAAATCTCTTACCTAGGGTTTGTTTTTTTTAATTGAGTTTTTAAAGTGCTTTCTGTATTCTTTATCAGATACATGCTTTGCAAATTTTTTTCAGATGTCTTGACTTTTCATTTGTCTCATGGTGTCTTTCAAAGAGCCATTTTTAATTTTTGAATTTTAAAGTTCTTATCAATTGTTCTTTTATGAATCATGCTTTTGGTTCATATCTAGGAAATCTTTGCCTAATCCAAAGTCATAAAGATTTTCTGCTATGTTTTCTTCTAGAAGTTTTATTATTTTACTTTTTACATTTAGGTCTATGATCCATTTTTAGTTGATCTTGTATCTGGTATGAGGTATGGACTGAAGTTTTATTTATTTGTACTTGGATAACCAATTGCTTTCAGCACCATTTGTTGAAAAGACTATATATTCTGAATTTCATTGCCTTTATATCTTCGTCAGTATGTTTATATCTTTGTCCATTTGTTTGTAGGTCTATTTCTGGACTCTGTTGTATTCTGTATATCTGTTTATCTTTCCAAATGCCAATACTACAGTGTCTTGATTACTGTTGCTCAAATAAGGTTGTGATAGCCCTGCAACTTTGTTCTCTTTTTTAAAGCTGTTTTGGCTATTCTAGGTCCTTTGAATTTCATTAATTTTAGAATCAGCTTGTCAATGTGTACCAAAAAACCTGCTAGACTTTATTGGAATTGCATTTTATCTACAGGTCAATTCAAGTATTACAATTCATGAACAAGTTCCATCTCTCCATTTATTCAGGTCATCTTTTATTTCTGTCAGGAATCTTTTATAGTTTTCAGTATACAGGTCTTACATATCTTTTAACATATTTATCCTTAAGTATTTCATGTTTTGATACTGTTGTAGATGGTATTTTTAATTTCAATTTTCAGTTGTTTATTGCCAAATTATAGAAATACAATTGGTCTTATATGTTGATCTTATATTTTGGAACTTTGCTCAATCTGCTTAGTGGTTCTAGTAGCATTTTTGTAGATTCCATCAGATTGTCACATGGACAATCATGTTGTATAAAAATAAAGCTTTTCTTTGTCTTTTCTAATTTGGATATCTTTTTTTTCTTTTTCTTGCCTTATATTCCTTTTTTTTTTTGATGGAGTCTCACTCTGTCTCCAGGCTGGAGTGCAGTGGCGCGATCTTGGCTCACTGCAACTTCTGCCTCCCGGGTTCAAGCGATTCTCCTGCCTCAGCCTCCCAAGTAGCTGGGACTACAGACATGCACCACCACACCCAGCTAATTTTTTTTGTATTTTTTTAGTAGAGACGGGGTTTCACCATGTTGGCCAAGATGGGCTTGCCTTATATTCTTGCCTGGAAGTTCTTTATCAAGTTGAAGACATTTGCTTCTATTCCTAGTGTTAACATTTTTAAAAAAGATCAGGAATAGATACTGGATTTTTAGCAAATGATTTTCCACATCTACTGAGATAATCATTTTGTTTGTTTTACTTTGTTATATGGTTTATTACATTTATTAATTTTCTAACATTATGCCAGCCTTTCGTTTTTAGGATAAAACCCACTTGGTGATGATATGTCACCTTTTAAAACATCATTGGATTTTACTGGATAATTTTTAAAAATTTTGCAGCTGTATTCTCCTTACAGCACTTAGAGCTTGCCATTATTTTGTTTATTTTTCCTGTTTTTCTTTTGAACAGAATGTAAGCTTCCTGAGTACAGGTGCTGGCCATACAACATATGTTTTGTTTATTATTTTTATCCCCAACACCCAGCTCAGGGCTGGCACATAGCAGATGCCCAGTAAATATTTTGTTGTTGAAAGTAATGTCAAAAGATGATACTTGAAAAGTCCTGGGCCCTCATTATGAAGAGTCTCATGTGCCAAGCTAAGGAATTTGGAGTGTATCCTGGAGAACCTGGGGAGTGACCCAAGAATTTTGAGTAAGGAGTGACACTCTAGTGATGGGAAACAGATTAAAAGTGAGTTCGTCTGATGACTGGGAGATCATTCTCCTAATTATCAAATAAATCCAGTGGAGAGAAGGCGAAGACTTCAACTAAAGCAGTGGCCATAGGATGGAGAAGAAAGAGCAATGAGTGCTATTTAGAAGGAAGGGTGGATACCACATGAGGGACTGCATGTGAAGGGGTGAGAGGAGGATGTTAATGAACTGTGGATTAACTAGGAAACACAGGTGGAGGGGTGTGGGTGGGAAATTGTCAGGACTTGGGTTGGAGGACTCTGGGGTAGCCAAGCAGAGAGTCCCAGAAGGCATCTGAGCATGTGGGTTTGGAGAGCTTAGCTCTGCAAGTATGGCTTTGGACCCTTCAGATATAGGTGGTCATTGAGGCAGGTGAGTGTTGAGAATCCGTTTTCTATAGCACTCTGCACTTGCCTCTGCCCTGGTACTGACCACGCCTTATATTCCTGACCACCTCCTCAACTTTGAGGACAGAGGCCAAGAATCCTTAGCCTCACCCCTGTGTCTGATCACTAGTGAGGGCTCTGTAAATATTTGTTGAAGGGTTTGAATTGTGACTCTGACATTTACTGATTCTGACTAGATGTATTGCTTAATCTATGAGCATTTCAGTTTTCTCATCTGTAAAATGAAGAAAATGTTCACTCCATAAATTTGTCATAAGTATTAGATGAGATAAAGAACATTTGGTACCTCACTAAGTGTTAGTTCCTTTCCATATTATTGATTTGAATCTAAATAAGTCATTTAGAGTAAAGGAACTATACATGAAATCCTTTTTCTTTTTTTAAGATCCCAGTAAGGAAGATCTTGGGTCCCTATTGAGGCCTCATTTCTTCATGCTTTTAAAATTTCCTTTGATTATTATTTACTTTGCATTTAGGCTTAAGTGCTATGCTTAAAATATCAAATGGGCAATTGTTCTTCACTCTACTCTAGAGAGATGAAATCTATTATGAAAACTCTATATTATAGTTGTTGGCCAAAGCAGTTAAACATAAATCTGATAAAGCCACAGGTCCATTTCACAGTTTTCCTTTGAATCATCAGATTAAAAAACCGAAAAATTAAGTGTTCTCTTTAACATCAAATCTAGTAAGATTTAATATTAAAGACATGTAATGGGGGCTTTAGTTTTGAAAATCTGGTTTGATTTGAACGCTAATTAGCCTGATTACTTGCCTGGCTTAGGAACTATATTTTAGTTATTTTCCCAGGTTTCTATTTTATCCCCCTTTTTTAGTGACTATGGTTCCTGTTCTAGTAATATTAAACATTTTTGAGAAGGAATTTTAACTGGTCAGTAATTTTGGTTAGAAAAATGCTATATGAGTGCTTTCTTTTAAATTGCTAAGGGCAGAGAATGAAAACTACCTGTGTGTGGGAGTGATATGATTTGGATCTGTGTCTGCACCAAATCTCATGCCAAATTGTAATCCCCATTGTTGGAGGTGGAGCCTGGTGGGAGGTGATTGGATCATGGGGGTGGTTTCTCATGAATGATTTAGCAACATCCCCTTTGGTACTGTCCTCACAATAGTGAGTGGGTTCTCATGAGATCTAGTTGTTTAAAAGTATGTAGCACCTCCCTCCTGTCTCTTGCTCCTGCTCCTGCCATGTAAGACATGCCAGCTCCCCCTTTGCCTTCTGCCATGATTGTAAGTTCCCTGAGACCTCCCCAGAAGCAAAGCAGATGCCCACATCTTGCTTCCTGTATAGTCTACAGAACTGTGAGCCAATTAAATCTATTTTCTTTATAAATTACCCAGTCTCAGGCATTTCTTTATAGCAGTGAGAGAACAAACTAATACATAAAAATGGTACAGAGGAGTGGGATATTGCTATAAAGATATCTGAAAATGTGGAAGCAGCTTTGGAACTGGGTAATGGGCAGAGGTTAGAAGGATGTGGAGGGCTCAGAAGAAGACAGGAAGATGAGAGAAGGTTTGAAACTCCCTAGAGATGTGTTGAATCGTTGTGACCTAAATGCTGATAATGATATGGACAGAGATGGCCAAGCTGAGGAGGTCTCAGATGGAAATGAAGAACTTATTGGGAATGGGAATAAAGGTCACTTTTGTTATGCATTAGCAAATAACATGGCTGCATTGTGCTCCTGCCCTAGGGATCTATGGATCTTAGAAACTGAGACTGATGATTTAGAGTATCTAGTGGAAGAAATTTCTAAGCAGCAAAGCATTCAAGATGTGGCCTGGCTACTTCTGACAGTCAATGCTCATGTGTGTGAACAAAGAAATGACCTGAAGTTGGAACTTATATTTAAAGGGGAAGCAGAGTGTAAAAGTTTGGAAAATGTGCAACCTGACCATGTAGTAGAAAAGAAAAGCCCATTTTCTGGGGAGGAATTCAAGCAGGCTGGAGACATTTGCATAAGTAAAAAGGAGCCAAGTGCTGATAACCAAAACACTGGGGAAAAAGGTCTTGAAGGCATTTCAGAGACCTTCACAACAATCCCTATCATCACAGCCCCAGAGGCCTAAGAGGAATGAATGTTTTGTGGGCCAGGCCCAAGGCCCCACTGCCTTGCATGGCATTGGGACACTGCTCCCTGCATCCCAGCTGCTCCAGCTCTAGCTGTGACTCAAATGAGCCCTAGTAAAGCTTGGGCTGCTGCTACAGAGGGTGCAAGCCATAAGCCTTGGCAGCTTCCACATGATATTAAGCCTGTGGGTGCACAAAGTGCAAGAGTTGAGGCTTGGGAGCCTCCACCTAAATTTCAGAAGATGTATGGAAATGCCTGGATGGGCAAGTAGAAGCCTGCTGCAAGGGTGGAGCCCTCATGGAGAACATCTACCTAAGACAGTGTAGAGGGGAAATGTGGGGTTGGAGCCCCCACACAGAGTCCCCACTGGGGCACTGCCTAGTGGAGCTGTGAGAAGAGAGCCACCATCATCTAGACCCTAGAATGGTAGACCCACCAGCAGCTTGCACCCTCAGCCTGCAAAAGCTGCAGGCATTCAACACCAGCCCATGAGAGCAGTTACGGTGGCTGAACCCTGCAAAGCCACAGAAGCATAATTGCCCAAAGCTTTTGGGCACACCAGTGTGCCCTGGATGTGAGATATGGAGTCAAAGGAGATTATTTTGGAGCCTTAAGATTTAATGACTTCCCTGCTGGGTTTTTGACTTCTGTGGGGCTTATAGCTCCTTTCTTTTGGCTGATGTTTCCTTTTTGGAATGGGAATGTTTACCCAGTGCTTGTATCCCCATTGTATCTTAGAGGTAACTAACTTGTTTTTGATTTTACAGGCTCATAGGCAGAAGGGACTAGCCTTGTCTCAGATGAGACTTTGGACTTTGGACTTTTGAGTTAATGGTGAAATGAGCTAAGACTTTGGGGAACTCTGGGAAGGCATGATTATAGTTTTCAATATAAGAAGGATGTGAGATTTTGGGGTCAGAGGTGTAATCATATGGTTTGTATCTGTTTCCCCACCAAATCTCATGTTGAATTGTAATCCCCAATGTTGGAGGTGGGGCCTGATGAGAGGTGATTGGATCATGGGGGCAGATTTCTCATGACTGGTTTAGCACAATCCCCCTTGGTACTGTCCTCGCAATAGTGAGTGAGTTCTCATGAGATCTGGTCATATAAAAGTGAGTAGTATCTTTCTGCACTCTATCTCTTGCTCCTTCTCTGGCCATGTGAAGTACTGCTCCCCCTTTGCCTTCCACCATGATTCTAACTTTGCTTGCTAAGGTCTCCTCAGAAGCCAAGCAGATGCCAGCATCATGCTTCCTGTACAGCCTGCAGAACTATGAGCCAATTAAATCTCTTTTCTTTATATATTACCCAGTCTCAGGTATTTCTTTATAGCAATGCAAGAGCAGACTAATACAGGGAATATTCATTTTCTAGCCAATAATAACCAATTTAGTTGCTAAACTAATAATTTAACATTTTGCTATCAAGGAGATGTTGAAATTGTGGTTATTGTTAACTTATGTGGAATGTTAAGAAGCTCTGAATAGTGGAAAAGGAACCAAGAGTTGAGAAGCTTGGGTTTAAGGTTTGGTGCTAACTCACTTTGTTGCTGCTGGCAAGATCCATAATTTTGTAGGGCTTTAGTTTTCTCATATGGAAAATGAGTTTGGACTAAGTTTTCTGCTTGCTTTAAGACTCCTGTGATTCTAAGTCTGTAAATATGAAATGAATAATGCTGTAATTTGTCTATTATGGGGGTTGGGGATGTTAAATGAATTCATTCCCCCAAATGAATGAATCCAGTTTATGGCTTTATTATAAGTTTCCTGAGGCATAAACAGTGTCACAGGTGCACAGGGTACTGCACAACTGAGTGAAGAAAGTTCAGATTGTCATAGACTGTAGGTGAGTGATGGCCATAGGCTTTGCAACGGGATTCCCACCCAGATTGCTTTAAATGATGATCCAAAATCCATTCTAAATGAGAAGCTTTTCAGGAAAATATTGAAGGATAGTGGCACAGCCTGTCATCTGGATTTCCATCTCCACTCTGCCACTTACAGTACCTGATGATCACAGTCTCTGCAGCCCTTCCCCGCCTATAAGACACAGTAGCCTGATTCCACAACCAGTGCTGTGCCTGATTCCCAAGGAAGCTTTACTGGGACAGAGGATGTTACACGGATTCCCTTATGTCTCTAGAACTTTCTATGAGGGTGTAAAAAGTCACAAAAGTTTTATAAATTTAAAACAAAGAATAACATGTGGAGGCAGAAATGCAAACAAACAGAAGCTATGATAGAGGTATGGACAGTGGGGGCTCAAGGAAGAATATGACTCAATTCTACCTGGGGTGGCAGAGTGGGGCTGGGGACAGCATTCCATCATCACCAATTGTATAGAGAAGTTGCTTGAGCTGAGTTTTGAAAGATGAGTAGATTTTGACTGATACAAAATCAATCAAAAAATTGATGACTTCTTTGGATTTTCTGATGGGTTTTTGACTCCATATAGATGGAAAAGAAAAGGTCCAAGACTGTATTTTCATAATCTCTACCCAGTGTCTTATAGCCCACTACCCTGACTCTCCATATCAGACCCTGCCTACCGTGCTGCTGTCAAATTTGATTTTAACTACATATCTCAGAGCTCTCCATTGCCCTAAGAATCACAACCAAAAATATACTGATTTACTTTCTTTCATTTACATGTGCTTTTAGGTAATATGGTTCCTTTAATAGAGCTAATGAGAGATGAGTAATTATATTTCACTTAAAAATCTACTTAATGTTTTCATATAGGTAGATATTATATTTAGTATGTATTACAGGTGGATGTTTTAATGACTCATATTGCTATTTAAAATTAATAAATTTTAAAAACAGAAGCCAAGACTATTTTTAGGCTACAGTCTCAGTGTTCCAGAAATTTATACATTTTTCAAAGATATTAATAGCTATTTATATAGTTAATTTGGCAATGACTTATTAAAGAAATATACTTCTGTTCTTGGGTCATCCTGAAAGCACCTATTTTAATTACAGCATTAACCTTCAGACACATTTTCCTCTCATTTATAATTAATAATTATATAGTAGAGTAAAATCTATAATCTTGGGAGCAAAGCCAAGTAAAATGAAAATGAAATGCCCTCATTTTACTTAAATCTTCCTAAGTCAGGAGCCTTGTTGGTTTGAGACAGGGGGATTGTGCCAATGGGCAGGTGCAGCCTCCTGTCTGTACTTATGGCACTTATTGAAGTGTTCCAGCTGGGTGCGGTGGCTCACACCTGTAAACCTGTAATCCCAGCACTTTGGGAGGCTGAGGTAAGCAGATTATCTGAGGTCAGGAGTTCAAGACCAGCCTGGCCAACATGGCAAAACCCCATCTCTATCCAAAATACAGAAATTAGCAAGGCCTGGTGGTGTGTGCCTGGTCCCAGCTAGTCAGGAGGCTGAGGCAAGAGAGTTGCTTGAACCCAGGAGGTGGAGGTTGCAGTGAGCCAAGATTGTGACCACTGCACTCCAGCCTGGGTGACAGAGAGAGATTCTGTCTCAAAAAAAAAAAAAGAAAAGAAAAGAAAAGAAAAGAAGAAAGAAAGTAAGTGTTTCTTACTTTCAATAAGATTTTTGCTGTTGTTTTTGTTAGAATATGTTTTATTTCATGTCTGAGGATGAAATTACTGAAAAGACCTAATTCCTAATTTAGGGATATACAAATACAGATATCAAATTGCATTAATATTAACATTCTGAATGTTTTCAGATACTTTTACATAGTACACAAATATTATTTTATAGTAAATTCATTCAAAATAGGTTCCGGCCACCTAAAAGAAATTTAAAAGAAACATTCTTTATTTAGAGTATTTAAAGCACTTTATTTAGAGTGCTTTCTAATGATAGACTCCAGGCACAGGCATTTAAAAAAATATGGATAAAATCTAAAGGTGCAGGTTTATCTCGTCATGTAACTGAGCCTCAGTTTAGTCTTTCATAAACTGGGGATTAAAATATCCATCTTAAAGTGTTGTCATGAGGATTAAATGAGCTCTTGAATGTGAAGCCATCATTTTAGTATGTGACACAGCAAGGGCATAAGAAATTGTAAATGTTACTGATTAATATTTTATTATTTTTTAAACTGAATTTACTACTCTATTTTTTTTTCTAGAGAAAGTTTTTGCCCACTCTCCCCCCACCTTTCCTGTTTCCCTCATGGTTAGCTAATACCTGATGTTCCTTCTTAGCCTTTGGTAAAATTGTGAATTTGACAAAGGTAGAGTTAGTCTCCTTTTCCAGCACATCTCAACCCTCGCCTAGCTCTGCCCCAATAGCTCTCATCCAGCACCCCCAGCTGGTCATGGCCAGCTTCCACCACATCGCCTCCAGAGGTGTAGCAGATATTGATTTAAGTGGCTCCATTAGGGCTGTTCAGAGTAGGCGAAATGAACAGGGCTAGGCCTCCTGAGATCTTGGTTCTTAACCAGTTTGTTGATTGCCTGTCTTTGACTGAGTTAATGCACTGCTCTTGGACTCCAAATCCAGTATCTGTGGGGTGTTTTTGTGTAGATCAGATTATAATGTAAGTACAGACACTTTTGGGAAAGGCTGTACAGACAGTAGTTTTATGAAACCTACTCGTCTTTCAAAACTCAACTCAAAGAATGCCCCGATCCCCGCTCTCCCATCCCAGGCGGAACTGGGTCATTTTCTTCCTTGGGCCCCCACTGTCCATACCTCTATCAAAGCTTCTATTTGTTTGCATTTCTGCCTCCACATATTAGATATTCTTTGTTTTAGATTTACAAAACTTTTGTGATTTTTACACCCTAGAACACAAGGAACCAACCATGAGTCATATTTCAAAATTTGTATTGCTAATTGATATGCTACTGTGTGTCATGTTCTGCTATGTTTCCAATAATCTCAAATTGTTCTTTTTTTCTGTTAAAACATTGAGGAAAAACATTTTCCTGTTAAAACATTGTTTTCTGTTAAAACATTGAGGAGATGTAGTAATTTCAGGACTGGGCCCAAGATCATGTTCTCTGAAGCTCTGAATACCCGCTGCCTAACACAGTATCTGATATTCAGCAGGGGCTTAACAATAGTTGAATAAATAATTGAAAGAAAATTATTTAATAGGGGACTCAGGAAGATTAAGAACCTTCAAGCTGTAAATGAATCTCTAATGGTAAAGATTCAGATTCCATGATGGTAGGTGAGGAAATAATTTCAGATCTGCTGGCATTCCATAAATCACACCGTGTAAGTCAATTTGGTCACTGACTATTGTTTAAGTGCTTCTCTGCACAATAAAGCATAAAATTTTTTCAGTATAGTTATTGATTCCAACATAGACAAGAACTCTGAAAAGCACCCCTTGTCATCATTATTCTATGATTGCAAGTCTCCTTTTTAAAAGATAGCAAAAAAAAAATGTTGCTGTTATAGAATTCTTTCTTAGATATAGTCATCCCTCTGTGTATGTGGGGGATTGGTTCCAGAACCCCCACATATACCAAAATCTGAGTTTACTCAAGAACCACCAACCCATATATACAAAAAGTCAGCCCCTCCATATACATGGGTTTCAAATCCCACGAATACTGTATTTTCTATTTGTGTTTAGTTGAAAAAAATCCACATGTAAGTGGACCTCCACAGCTTAAAGTGGTATTGTTCAAGGGTCAACTCTGCCTGTTTTAACTATAGTGAACTTTGGTTTGTTATGACTTGTTATCATGAATTTATCCTATATATGAATTCAAATGAATCAAGCTCTTCCTGTGACTCCCCACCCCCATTTGTCCTATATTAAATAACACGGGTTCCAATCTTCTTTAAATTTTCATGATCTGGCTTCATAATAAAGCTTTATAGTTGGTTCTTACCAGTTGTATCACCCTGGGGAAGGAGAAAGAATTGGATGTTCATTTTGCACATTATTTTAACCTCGGCTAATGGAAACTTTCTCTAACTTCCTGTGTAGGTCAGCAATTTAAAGTTGGATTATCCATAGAAATCATATTTCATTGTAGGTTCATCCTAGAGGTTCTAAACTAGGAAAGGAATGGACTGGGGGGGTCTCAGGTGAGGGTGTGTGAGGACCCCTGCTGCTGCTTCTCTGGAGGTTAAGGGGATTTATTACACTCAGTCCTAAATGTTTCAAGTGCAGAAAGAACTGTGTAAGTCCTAAATGTTAGCGGTGGAGGACATCTTAGGCATGAAATACTCTTTCTTATTGCCAATAAAGAAATTAAAGCTTTTGGTTGTTTCCTTTCTTTGCGTTCAGAGAGTAGTCTGTCTGTGGGAACTGTTTGGAGAATCTTGTTTTCCACATTGTGATCTCTGATTAAATCTTATTCACCATAGATACGATTTATATATCACAAATTTCCTTTCCTTCACATAAGAGATGCTTGTCTAGGCAGAGTATGCAGAAGTCTCATACTAACCTCCCACGGATGTCAGCCCTCCCTCCAGGGCGCTCACTCTCAGTGCTCTCTCTTCACCTCTGACTAGTTTATCACACTTATCATGTGTCTCCTGGCATTTGGTTGAGTAGAATTCTATCTCCCTTATTAGCTAAGTGTCTCTGCTGAGGAGTCATTGCTCACTTGTGTGTCCTACTCACAGGTAAGGTGTATTAAGGTGTATTACCAGTAAGTGCGAAGTCTTCCAGTTTGCCTGATTCCTACTTTTTTTTTTTTTTTTGTAACACATAAGAATGAATTCAAGGTTATCCCTATAACAATGTCGCTGTCATTCCCTTGCATTGATTGCATTGGGAATGGCCCTGAGTGTGCCCATGGGAGTGTATTAGGAATAGGAATGTCATCTGTCATGTGTTGCACGGAAGAAGTAAAAAAAAAAAAAAGGTTGAAAAGCACAGTATTAGAGAATAAACTCTTTGATAAAAATGTCTGTGTCTAACTCATTTTGTTACCCACACAGGGCCTAGCATTATGCCTCACACATAGTAGGGGCTCAATAAATGGTTTCAGAATGAACTAATGAATGCAATCCAATAGGTAAATACATTCCAGAGACATTATTCTGAAGAAGCAAAAGAAAAAAAATACTGCATTTTGGGTTTGTTTTAGCACCATGTTTCAAAAAAGTGAATTTTCTTCAGGTAAAAGACTTTCTATAGGTAGAAATTGAGTTGCACATTGCTTACCGACAGCCCGTACCACTGTCCAGACCCATTAGACACAAGGGTCACTTTCATAATCCACCATTGCAACATGCCTTATGTTTTTCTGCCTAGGTTTCTGCCTGGTTCTGGTAAATTGTCATCACAAGTTATTACCCTTAAGTCTAACATATTCTGAAGGAATAGGTGGCTGATACTCTCATTTGAGGACTAAGAAATATTTGTCTAGACATATGATCCGATCTGTATTTTTATTTAATGTGTAATTGGTGAGAAAATAGGAAAGACAAATTTAAATGCTTGCATCTCTAACCTTGTCACAGTGTCTGAGCATTCATTCATCATCATTATCTTGGATTCCTGCAGCCAGCAGACTTCATAGGAAAGCAAGCACTGAAACAGATTAAAGCCAAGGGGCTGAAACGAAGACTGGTCTGCCTCACCTTGGCAACGGATGATGTTGATCCAGAGGGAAATGAAAGCATCTGGTACAATGGCAAGGTGAGTGCTGAGGACCTCACTGCCAGGGGCTGTGGCATCTTCTGCAACAGAAACTCCCCTTGTTCCTATTTCCTCTTAAACCCTTTTGCTATTAATTATTTGTTGGAGGGATGACACGCTTTTGATTTCTGAGCTGACATTCAAAAGACAGAACGCAATTGACTGAAAGGAAAATGCAATGTTGCTCATTTTTGAAAACATAAAATTCTATATATTCTGTTTAAAGAAAACAAACCCAAAGACTTGAAACACACTGGACAATGAGAAGGATATGATTTAGAGGGTAAATGATCTATTTGCTCACCACATCCATGTCTGTAAATGCAAAAGATGGATTTTATAAAAAATTTGGCATTCTGATTTAACTTTTTATGGATCTTTCAGAAGGAGGCAATTAGCATATTAACAGAGAAAAAATCCAGATGAAAACATTTATGACAATAGAGGGTAAAACCTTAGAAAATAAAGTGAAAAGTGGAAACCATTTGGTTCTTCAGGAAGAGTAAAATCACCTTCTCATTTTGGAATGTTACTTTTTATTCTTTCTATTTGTGTTCAGTAAAACCAGAGTTAGTCAGATAATGTATCAATGGGACTTTATTTTCTCCATTTTTTCTCCCAAGCTTTCTGCATTCAGTTACTTTCTCCATTTTTTTATTACTATTTGTAAAACCCAATTTTGTTGAAACTGAGTGTGGGTGTGTTTTTCCTGGTGTTAGCAGGCATATGTGGGACACCCAGCTTAGACCATGGGGAGGGAATGGAGCCTTCAAAGCTCATCTAAGCAGCTGTTCCACAATGAACAGGGTCAGCTTGGTCATTACCCAAGACTCAGAGCTTCTGTGCCTGGGTTTTTTTCGTATTCACTGCAGCCTACTTGATATTTGTTTCCATTTTCTCTATCTCATCAGTAACACAAAGAGTGCTAGAAGTGGAGAAAGCCAGTGGTGTCAAATCACAGCCTTTGGGGCTAAAGCATGGGTCAATTTGACAAAGAACTAACATCTACTGAGTTCTTACTGTATACCAGATATTTTTCATGTGCTCTCCCATTTAACTTTGCAGCACACCTGTCAGATATATATGATCATTTCCATTTTAAAGATGAGGCTTTGAGGGGCTCAGAAGTAACTTGCTTGAGGTTACGTGGCCAGTGATTGATAGAACTGATCTCCAACCCAGGTCTAGTTTCCAACTTTGAATTTCTGGTCCTTTCTTCTAAGACATGTTGAACACTTCAATTTGATCTCTTTTCTGTCTCTGTTGATGTCCCCCTGTAGTTTCTTAAGAATTTATTTTATTTTTATTTATTTATTTATTTATTTTGAGACAGAGCCTTACTCTGTTGCCCAAGCTGGAGTGCAGTGGCGTGATCTCAGCTCACTGCAACCTCCGCTTCCCGGGTTCAAGTGATTCTCCTGCCTCAGCCTCCCCAGTAGCTGGGTTTACAGGTGCGTGCCACCATGCTTGGCTAATTTTTGTATTTTTAGTAGAGATGGGGTTTCTCCACGTTGCCCAGGCTGGTGTTGATCACCAGCCAGGTGATACACCCACCTTGGCCTCCCGAAGTGCTGGGATTACAGGAATAAGCCACTGCCCCTGGCCTTAAGAATTTAATTCTATGCCCACATTCTTGTGCATCTGAGTATCAGGTGGATGTTATTAGAGCCTGTGAAGCCAACTGACTTTTCTCAGATCTCAAGTGCCTTCGCCTGTCTGTAAGCCTGGATGGGCTGACCTCCACTTCCTTCTTAAATTGGGCTGAGTTTGCTCTTCTGTTTGAACTGTTGCTACCTTTCTCCCTATCTCTTCTTTCTCTTTCTGTTCTGTATCTCTGGTTCAGCCCTCTTTTCTCAATATGTATTCTTCCTCCAATTCATATTTGCCCACAATTCACATGATTTATACTTATAACCAGCTCTGCCATTAATTAACTATTTGACCTGATCCTGAGCTGATCTCTGGGCCTCAGCTTTCTCATCTGTAAAATGAAGCCATTGGATGAGATAACGTCTTCTTGTCACTACATTTCCTCCCACCTCATCTTCCCTTTGTTTTATATTTTTCACTCTATTCCCATTCAGTTTTCTCAGTACTTCTTAATACAGTCTACACTTACCCTTCCACCAACCTTCTGTTTTACTCAGCATGGAATGAAAGAGATATTATGCTATATTATTCTGTATTCCCACGTCATCCACAATCAACTGATTTTTAGCCACCTTAAATATGATGATAACAAAATTAGTTTTAAAACCCTGAAAACCCAAGGTCTAATCTAAAGGTTTTTTCCTTTGCCCTATGCATATACTGCATTTACATGCTATATTCCTTGCCATCTGCTTATAAAGCTGCTAATCCAATTATAGGATTCTATCTCTTAGATTTCCTAATATGAGTTTGCCTGCTCTTTGATGCTTAGTAAGGTCATCATTTTACATACAGATAGTCTTCTTTTTGATCCTTTTTCAGAGGCCCTCCTTGGATCCTCTTTACTCTGGACTGATATGAAATAATTTTTGCTTTTTCTTTTCAGACTTTGTCTTGACTTGTGTTGCTTTTGGTATTTAGTATTTTATTCTTGCAAGCATTTCCAATGCTGGAGATAGGGTACAAATGTATTTGTTTATTGACTTTTTTGTGTGTGTGTGTGTCTACCATATGCCAGCGATATTCTAGGCACTGGGAATACAGCAGTGAACAAAACACAAGAATCTCTGACCTCATGGAGTTTACATTCCAGAGGAGGGAGAGACAGACAATGGACAAAATAAATAAAGTATATTGCATGTCAGATGGTCTTTAGTGCCTTGGGGAAAGGTCAAGTCCAACAGGGAGCTGGGCAGTGCTGGAGAAAGGGATTATAACCTTAAATGAGGTTTAATTTTTTTGAAATCAAGGCATAAAGATGGTCATGAGAAAGGCTTTCTTTATATTCGGTGGCTCAGTTATTAAAAGATGCTTAGCTTGGAAGGAAGTTTTGAAAAAGAGGTTTGTGGAGAGGTTTGGAGAGCTTAGAAGGTTTTTTAAAATTATTATTTGTAAACTAAAACACACGGGGACAGTCAAAGAAAAACACAATAGAACATCAAACTTAAATTATGTTAACTTCCTTCAAAGGCCATTTGCCATGTTATCTTCTGGAAGTCAGATAGAGACTTCTCATAATTTGCGAGAGAAATGAGAAAAGGCTAAAAATAAATGAGAATTATTCACATTGGTAAAAAGAAGGTCAATGTTTGTTTTAACAAAGAATGAGAATTTGCCAGGCAGAGGGTGGGGACAGATTGTTCTCACAGTTCACTGAACTAAAAGGCAGAATGGATCTAATTGAACCTGGAAGATTTTAGGTAGAACTATTTAAAATTTATGCAAGGGAAAACATTTCCCTGGAGATTTAGTAATAAGGTAAAAGGAAAAGCCAGATTTCTGAAATATCCTGGGCTTCTAAACCTGGATTAGAGAGAAATTCAAGTAGAAATGAAAGTAAATTCTAGCAGAAAGCAAGGCAAATTTTAAAAATAGCACTCATAAATAAGGACTCTATTTTTTTAGGTTACTAATGCAGAATGACTGCAAGACAAATCACTGCTGGGATGTTAGGAGATGAGAAGGGCTGAGGATTGTGTGCTTTTGACCCAGTGAGTCAGGGGATCACACCCTGAGACTGGCCTAGGTCTCTTCCTGTTTTCTGAAGATGCTCAAGCAAACCAGCTTAACTCTTCCAGGGCTCCAAACCCAAATCTCTTTCTTACAGATGGGGAAATGAAAACAAGGTTATCAAGAAAGTCTTTCAAAAAGCAATGATTAAGCCAGGCATGCTAGCTCATACCTGTAATCCCAGCACTTTGGGAGGCCAAGGCGGGCTGATCACTTGAGTTCAGGAGTTCGAGACCAGCCTGGCCAACATGGTGAAACCCCGTCTCTACTAAAAATACAAAAATTGGCCAGGCATGGTGGTGTACACCTGTAGTCCCAGCTACTCAGGAGGCTGAGGCAAGAGAATAGCTTGAACCTGGAAGGCAGATGTTGCAGAGAGCCAAGATTGCGCCTCTGCACTCCAGCTGGGGCAACAGAGCAAGACTCCATCTCAAAAAACAAGCAAACAAAAGCAATGATTAGGTGCAGCCGCAGAGCTGCTTCCAGGGCTACATGGCTGAGGGGGACGCAGGGAGTAACCAAAGGCAGGATGAGGAAATTGAAGCAATGGTAGCCATTGATGGCGAGGAATGGTGTGTCATTGATGACTGTGCCAAAATATTTTGTATTAGAATTAGCTACGATATAGATGACCCCAAATGGACACTTTGCTTGCAAGTGATGCTGCCAAATGAGGACCCAGGTACAGCTCCACCTGTCTATCAGTTGAATGCTCATTGGCTTAAAGGGCAAGAACTTGTCCATTTATTGAATAGCCTGAGGAAATATATATGTGGCCACCCCATCTGGTTCGGTGAGAGTACCTGCTTTGTGTCCCTGGGATCCAGGCTAAGTTTCTTTTCCTCCCAAAATATTTAATGAGAAAATGACAGAATATTGGTGAAAGTATTCTTTACCTGTGAGTGGAGAAAATAAGAGATGTTCCAATACAAAAACCTCAGATGACAGAACCAGGCCCAGAGGCAAAGAAAGAAACTGAAGAGGAAGATGTTGAATGTGAAGATGATCTCATTTTTGCATGTCAGCCAGAAAGTTCGGTGACAGCACTGGATTTTGATATCAGTGAAAATCAAAGAGAAATAGAATTATCTCTGATTGATCATGGCATTTCTGTTACAGACCGAATAAGTACTTTTCAGGCAGACTTTGATCCAGTAGTTTGTCCCAAACAGGTGAAAATGGTTCTTTCCAACTTGTATGAGAATAAGAAAATAGCTAGTACCACCCACAGCATCTATGCCTACAGAGTATATTGTGAGAATAAACAGACCTTCTTACAGGATTGTGAGGATGATGGGGAAAGAGCAGCTGGTGGGCATCTTCTTCATCTCATGGAGATTTTAAATGTGAGGAATATCATGGTGGTGGTATCACGCTGGTATGGAGGGATTCTGTAGGACCAGATCACTTTAAACATAACTGTGCCAGAAACATACTAGTGGAGAAGAACAACACACATTCACCTGAAAATCATCTAAGGCTTTGGAAAAAAAACAAAAAATGTTCATCACTGAGTAATGGAGTAAGTGAAAATCCAGGAGTATCCACTTGCAGTTATGGGCTGAGGTGACAATTCTTCCAACATATTTGTTAGCGTAAATATTATGCCTCCATTTCTGTTGCAAATTGGTGATTGTGAAATTTCCAAAAGTGATTTTCTAGTCTCTGCTTCTTTAATTCTTATAATATAAAGCAATAAATATGGAGTGTCAGTAGTCTTACTCCACACCAGAAAAAAAAAAAAAAAGCAATGATTAAAATTCTAACCTCTCTGACCCTAATCCCTGCCTGTATCACTGAACTATGATCTAAAGGAGAAAAGCAATTTTAAAGCATGTGTTATACCTTGGCAGTTATTAATCAGCCAGAGATAAACTTTTACTAATGAATGTATTCACATTTTATTTTTCACAGTCAAAAAGTTTTCTTTTTTCACGGTCAACCAGTTTTCACAGTAAGTTTAGAAATCATATGGAGAACAGCCGGGCGTGGTGGCTCATGCCTGTAATCCCAGCACTTTGGGAGGCCAAGGCAGGCTGATCACGAGGTCAGGAGTTCGAGACCATCCTGGCTAACACGGTGAAACCCCGCCTCTACTAAAAAAATACAAAAAAATTAGCCGGGCGTGGTGGTGGGTGCCTGTAGTCCCAGCCACTCGGGAGGCTGGGGCAGGAGAATGGCATGAACCTGGGAGGCGGAGCTTGCAGTGAGCTGAGATGGAGCCACTGCACTCCAGCCTGGGTGACACAGAGAGACTCTGTCTCAAACAAAAGAAAAAAAAGAGAGAGAGAAATCATATGGAGAGCTTCTGATTTGGGGTTTCAAAGAGAGAATTAAAAACTGGGACTACAGAGATAGGAGTCTGCAATTAAAGTCATGAATGTGTTAGCATCTAAAATACTAGAAGTGCTATAGTAAGATTGTTGTTTGTAATGTGCTCTTTGCTGAGGCAGCTGAATGATCACCAGGCTGATTTCCATCCATGAATGTCTTGAGCTCCAGCTGTAAGCAGTCCACTGTGCCAGACGGTAGGACTTTAAGGATTAGTGCAATGTTGTGTGGCCAGGAGAAGCCATTTTGAGCAGGGCTATATATCGTGTTTTACTTTTGTTGTCTTCCTTTTATTTTTGTTCCATGTAATGTTTTGATGTAATGTAATGTTTCTGTATTTTCTGCTTTTCCTTCTTTTTCATTCTTTCCTTTAGACCTGATTTCCAGTAACCTTTTTATCTTTTAATCAAGCTTGTTATATAGACTTTTTTTTCGAGACAGTCTCACTCTGTCATCCAGGCTGGAGTGCAGTGGCCAGATCTCAGCTCACTGCAACCTCCACCTCCCGGGTTCAAGCAATTCTCATGCTTCAGCCTTCTGATTAGCTGAGAGTATAGGCGCCCGCCATCATGCCCAGCTAATTTTTGTATTTTTAGTAGAGACGGGGTTTCACCATTTTGGCCAGGCTGTTCTTGAACTCCTGACCTCAAATGATCCGCCTGCCTCAGCCTCCCCAAGTGCTGGGATTACAGGCACGAGCCACCACTCCTGGCCTAAACCAAGTATTACTATTTTAAAAATGAGAAATTTCAGAGTAATACAGATGTGTACCTTGATAATTACTTTTCATAATTTGTAAACTTTCATTCATCTTCTCAAAATGTGAAGTTTTCCTCCTGTGTCTCTGGCGTTGTCCCCCCAGACAGCACTTCATAAAACTTCCATTTTGTAAGTTGAATCTGTATTTTAGTTTTTTTTCACCCAGAGATGAGGAGCACAGAGCTGTGACCAAGATGCTGAGGACTGTTGGGTCTTGTTTTCCAGGTGGTTGGCAACACGACATCTGGAAGCTATAGCTACAGCATCCAGAAGAGTCTGGCTTTCGCATATGTCCCTGTACAACTAAGTGAAGTGGGACAGCAAGTGGAAGTTGAACTATTAGGCAAAAATTACCCAGCAGTCATCATACAAGAACCTTTGGTATTGACCGAACCAACCAGAAACCGGCTTCAGAAAAAAGGTGGAAAGGACAAAACTTGAAAAAAGACCTTCAGCAGTCAACTGAATTAGAGTTGCTAATGACTGTCCTTGAAATTATTATAACTGGCTCCCAGGGGAATAGAGGAAACCAGGAATTCATTTCAAAATCATCAAAGTCTAAATTTAGAATCTTAATGAAACCTTTCTGTTAAGTGTTTTCTAAGCAAGACAGAATAATAGATAAATGATTTACATTGTTCTTTTAAATGAAGAAATTTGAAATGAATGTTTTTTTATTTACCCCACATTACCCAATCAGTAAAACATTTAGGTGTTTGCTAATATACACAATCATTACTATAACCTAATTAAGGGACATTTTATAATTTTAGTAACAAATGCATTCGGTTCTTGACAGCTGAAAACAAATTAATAAATTATCTTTTACATAAAAACATGTACAATATTGTTTATGGATTTACTTCTTTGAGAAATCTTTCCTTAGATGAATAAATGAAAGTTTTAATTTTTCATGATATATCTGTGATGAAAATAGTAAAACTTAACATTGACATATAGCCAACATTTTAATTCAATTCTGTGAAATATTTATCATTTTCTTAATGACTTCCCTGAAAGGAGCTTTATAGGACATTATTATTGTCCTTTCAAAGGTTGTTTTAGAAGAGAAATTGCAAGAAAGAACAGAGTCTTCCAAAGGAAGAGGTACTTGTAAACTTTCAGAAATGAAGCTGACACATAAATAGATTGTGCCAGTATAAACACAGTTTGAATACTGAACACCTCTCTTTGGGAAAGAATTAATGCAAGTTGACATCACATGGTGCTGTTCTGAATATCATTTCACAAAGCATTTGACAAAGCAGGTCAAACAAAAGCTTAAGAGCTGACAGGTTTTCCTTAGCGCTACGTACAGCAAGAAAAAAATCAATTTAGAAATAATTCTTTGATATACTTTTTGAAATTATTTGGGTGTAGTTGATGGAATAAATAAATTTTTTTTGTAAAGGGTGGTTTCTCATTTATAATTAATTTATACATACATACATTTGTTACACATTTATAGAAGTTTTCTTAAGTATTCAAAAAACAGAATGTGAAGCATGATAAGATTCTGTCATTTGAATAAACTTTAAAATGATTTCTTAATGTGTAAGTTTTGAAAAGGTGCCAATTTTACATTTTAAATGTTTTATAACAGTAGTTACATATTAGAACTCTTCACATGTTCATTTCTCTTTGGCATATCCTCTTAGATGAGAAAAGAAGGAAATCCCTTTGGTAACAAACTAATTTCCTAATTATTGGGAATATTATCTAGGTTCTTTAATCCAGTTCATGTTAGTGCTGGGAATTTGGGATATCCGCTTTTTTGACTGGGAATTGGGATATCTGCTTCTCATTCTCTGCCTTTCTATAACCCCATGACTTTAGGATAGTTACATACCATCTCTGGGTTCCTCCTCTGTGAAATAGGTCTAGACTCTTTTTTGGATACTATATTATCAAGAAGCAATAATGAAAGTATAACATTAAATTCATATCATATAGTTAATATAGCGCTAAAACTAATGAATAAAAGAATAGACTATTCAGATGAATGTTAAAGTTTTAAAGAAATCCTACCCACAATATAAAAGACGTCTACTCTGATTTCCTTAAGAAGTTGCCCTCATTCTCTCTTTTGTTGTATGTTAGGTGCTATTAGGTTTTGTAGGTTACCCCAGCACCCCCACTCATACCCAGCCAGTCATCCTGGCCTCAGCACCGGGGTTGGCATCAGCCAATTCATGGGCTGACAATGACCTTCAACACAACTTGGCCATGGAGAATTGAGATGAGTTAACCAGATTTCTTCCATGGGAATTTGGATTGTGAACTATCAGAGGAAAAACTGGTTAGTACTAAAAGCTGAAGCTGAAAAGATGGATAGAAATAGAAGCCATAAAGCCAAGGGGGCAATGAGAGCTCCCAATAAGGAGGGAGACATTGAGAGAGAATGAAAGACCAGTTCCCAAAGCTCTCAGCTCCTGATGGTTTGCTGGCCAGTTCTTGGGTGAGAACCTTAACTTAAAAGGGTCCAACTAAAACCACTAGCTTCTGAAAAGTGGAACATACACAGAGAGAGGCCTCAAAGGAATGGGTCCAGGGAGGCCTCAAAGGAATGGGTCCAGGGTTAGCGTCAGACATGAACAGCAAACAGCCAGCATACTTGAAAACACTCTGGTGATGTGCAGAAGTCCGTATCTACAGCTCAGAAAAACATTCTCAAGAATGTGATGATGAATGATAGGCACTTTCTTCCCTTGAGTGAAGAAAGCTTTTTAGAATTGCAAAAACAGTTTCTAGTTAACACATTACCAAAACATGAATGTGTGGTGTTATGTTGCTAATGTTCACATCCTAACTAATCTGTGTCTTTCTTCTTTTCTACTGATAAGGAAGGATAACAGAAAAAAACATTTTAAAGTATACCATGTGGGACATTAAATAGCAGACAGATGAGATTCTGGAATTTTACTGAGAAGATTTTGTGCATATTTTACTTGAACAAAAGGAAAGGTTGATATTATCAGGAAACACAGCAGTTGTGAAAGGAAGAAAGTTTTGGCTATGCAAACAGCATTCTTTAGCCAAAGTCCCAGGAAAGCAGAGCACCAAATATCAAATTAATTATATCCTTCTTCAGATGAATCTTCATATAAAAAATATAAATTATTGTCCTATTTTTATTTATCCCCCTGCCACTAATGAATTAGAATAGTAGTAGTGTATTTAGTTTGTTTTCTGCTGCTATAACAAAATGCCTGGGTCTGGATAATTTATAAAGGAAAGAGCTTTATTTAGCTCATGGTTCTGGAGGCTGGGAAGTTCAAGACCTGGTGGTTGCATCTGATGAGGGCCTTGTGCTGCTTCATAGCATGGCAGAAAAGCAGAAGAGGTGAGAGGGCATGCTTGTGAGAGAGAAAAGGGGGCTGAAATCCTGCAATAGCTAACCCATTCCTGAGAGAAAGGTAATAATGAGAAAGGCCATGACCTAGATACCTCTTACTAGGCCCCACCTCCCAACACTGCCACACTGAGGAATGAAGTCTCCAACAAATGAAGTTGTGGGGAAAAATTCAAACCATAACATGTATGGAAAGCTGCATTATGAATGATAAAAGGGTAATACATTATTTAATTGTATTTTCTCCAGGAAAAGATTTTGGAAATATTAGCATGCCATGAAGCACAGAGGTGGTGGGGTGGGTGATACAAAAGCTACTGGGCTAAAAAATCACAAGACCTGCTTTTCCCAGGTCTGCCACCAACCAAGCACAGTCTACATAACATCTACTAATGCCTCTCCTGTATTTTAAGTTCTATGAGTAATTGCTTTTCTTAGTATTCATTAGTCTACACATGTTTGTGGAGTACTTACTATAGGCTAGGCACTGAAAGAGCAGTGATAAACAAGACAGACATGGCCCTGCCTTCATGAAGTTTATAGACTAGAGAGATCAAGCATTTAACTAAAAAAAACAGGGAGGTGTTTAATTACAAATCATGATGTCATGAAGGCCAAGGGGAGAGAACATTTTGAGAAGGAGGGGATGGCTAACAGTGTCAGAAGATAAAAAGATGTCAAATAAGACTAAAGGCTGAAAAGCATCCCTCAGGTGAAGCAGAGTGGTCATGGGTGCTACTGGCATGAACAATTTCAGGATACCAGTGAAGGCAAAAACCAGACTGTATTGAAAAATGAATAAGAGGTAAGGGTAAGAGACAGGAAACATGTGATCTTACCATCCAGGAGCAGTTTGCTAATAAGACAGGTTATAGTGGGCATCAGAAAGCATTTAGCTGCAAGTAAAAAAAAAAAATCCTATTAACAGTAATTTAAGCAATTATTTATTTTATGAATTCATGTAACAAGAAGTCTGGTGGTAGGCTTGATGACATCATTAAGTATTTCAGTTCTTTTTTATTTACCCTACCAAGTCCTCCCCTCCCCCAATTTTAATCATCTCATATATACATGTATATGATTAAACTGGCTTTAAATTAGCACATTTTAATTGCCTATGCTTCGGCAAACATTGTATTCTACAAGTAAGTTAATTCGGAGAACTCGCAGCTACACCAATAGGCCTCCAACAC
The DNA here is from genome assembly GCF_000001405.40 of Homo sapiens. Taxonomy (NCBI): domain Eukaryota; kingdom Metazoa; phylum Chordata; class Mammalia; order Primates; family Hominidae; genus Homo; species Homo sapiens. The sequence goes on along the minus strand of NC_000005.10, from coordinate 78,993,977 downwards.
TCATAGACTCAGCTACATGCATTCATTTTGAGAGTTCTTAACTTCTAGAATCATTCAGACTTACCTCCTTTGTCTTTTAGAAATTAATGGTATATTAATGGAGATTATTCCATATCATCCTTTTTTTGTCATACAATATGACTATTTTAATTTTTTTAATACAAGTGCTCACATTGGTTTTAGATACTTATGCATGGTTAGAAGGAATTGGCTTAGAGCTGATGCTTAAGAAATGGACATACAATGGACTGGGCATGGTAGCTCACACCTGTAATCCCAGCACTTTGGGAGGCTGAGGCGGATGGATTGCTTGAGCTCAGGAGTCCGAGACCAGCCTGGACAACATAGTGAAACCCCTGTCTCTATTAAAAAAAATTAAAAAAAGAAATGGGTATTCAATGTAAAATGTCCCATACAGAAAAAACAGATGCAATTCAGTAGTATATTTTGAGTACTGTGCCAACTCTAAGGCTCAGGCTGTATGAAAGGTAAAGAAAGGAAAAAAGCAATAAGATAAAAGGCCAACATCCTGTTTCTTGATCTGACTGGTGGTTACATGGTGGTTACTTTGTGATGATTCCTTGACCTATGTACACTTTCATGCAATTGTCTTATGCACAAAAAAGTGCTATGCCAGAATATTTTTATAAGAATGGCACTATTTTGCCCTGTCTTCTCTCTCTAGTTAGTTGTCTTTTAAGGAAGTAGGAGGTGGTAAGCAATGGGTGGGATGAAGTGGTCAAGGGAGTTTCAGTTTGAATTGGCCATAGTGGTTCTTATTCAGACTATCAAGTTCATAAATTTGGAGAATCTCAGAACTAAAGTAAATCTTTCTTTTTCTTTCTCTGACCCTTTTCCTCCCAATGCTCACACATACACTAACTCAAGAACAAAACCAACAATAAATTGAAGATTCTTCTTACACACAATTTTTTTTTCTTTTTCCTTTTTTTTTTGAGATGGAGTCTCGCTCTGTCACCCAGGCTGGAGTGCAGTGGCGCGATCTTGCCTCACTGCAACCTCCACCTCCCAGGTTCAAGCAATTCTCCTGCCTCAGCCTCCCAAGTAGCTGGGATTACAGGTGCGTGCCACCATGCCCAGCTAATTTTTGTTTTTTTTAGTATGGACGGGGTTTCACTATGTTGGCCAGGCTGGTCTCAAACTCCTGACCTCAGGTGATCCGCCTGCCTTGGCTTCCCAAAGTGCTGGGATTACAGGTGTGAGCCACCACACCTGGCCAGAGAATTACCTTTCTATATGCTTAGAATCTTGATGGTTCTTAATGCATTGACAGTAGTTAACACTAATGAATAACTTATATTTGTTAGCTAAAAGAAGGATAAAAGGACCTCAAAAACACCTCTATAAGTTTGGTTTATGATCTTAAAGGCTTTTAAGAAGACTCTCTGCTCCTCACTTAGATAAGGTAGTAATAAATCCATTCCTATCTGTTTCTAAAACTAAATAGATCATAAAAATATTTAATAGCTGGCATCTAAATTAACAAAGTTTAATCTCCTTTCTGATGTTCAAGTCTATCTCCTTCTGGACAGTTCAGGGTAGTAATGAAGCAATAAGTAACACTAACCACAATTTGCCACATGTAGTTAGTGAACTTCAAGTTTTCTCTCTGAAGAAAGACCTCTTACCACGCTTATCTCTCCAGCAAGGAAGCTCTTGTTACTCTACCCCAACAGTTAATCATTTAGAGATAAAGTATTTAAAATTGTTTAGTCTTTGTATGTCATATTTATCATATTCAAAGACATTGCAACAAAAACAGTTAGAAGAAACACCGAGATGCAGGAATCATGACTTCTTAATGTAGCTTATAACCAGTCAGCACAAGCCAAGAACGTTGCAAACTGCAGAAATCAAGAGGCACAGCCCTAGCATCTATATGATTCTCTTAGTGCATGGCCTGCAGGCTTTACAAAGGTGTTCACTGGGGAAGACTTATTCTTGGTCCTCTGTTCTCAATTATGATGAACTTTACTTTTTGTTGAAATGTAAACTATGTTATTACATTATTATTATTATTTGAAATAGATGATATATGCACAGAGTTTAACATTTAGAAGATATAAAAGGGTATATGGTGAAAAGTTATTCTCTTTCCCATCCCTGTCCCCAGTTAACCAGTCTATCCAGAGACAACTAATGTTATTATTTCTTCCGTACATTCTTGAAATACTGTATAAACATGCATGCACCTCTCTCTATATATATCTATATACATGCATATATATATACACACATCTATGTTTAAGCAAACGAGAGCATACCAACCATAGTGTCCTTTGCCTAACTTTTAGAAATTAACAGTATATTGGAGATTATCCATATCATCCTTTTTAATGATTGCTTAGCATTCCATAATTAATTTAACCAGACCCTATTATTGGCCTTTTTCTATTACAAATAAGGCTAAAATTATTATCTTGTTGTATATTTCTCACATTGAGTATCTCTATAGGATAAATTCCTAGAACTGGGATTGCTGAATTAAAGTGTATGTGCATTTTGATGGATGTGCAAAGTTGTTCCCCTTAGAGGTTATGCCAAATTTCATTTCTTTGATGAATGTATAAGAGGGCTTGTTTCTTTACACTCTCCCCAAAGCATTGGGTTATCACTGGTATATTATTGATGTTTCTGTTTGAATTTCTCTTTTTGAGTGAGATTGAGCATCTGTTCATATACTTAATGGCCACTTGTATTTCCTCTTCTGTAAACAATTATGTTCCTATACTTTACCCATTTAAAAATTGGTTTGTTGGTCTTTTTCTTACTGACTTCAGGAGCTGCTTTTATTTCTGTCCCAATTTTTGCACCTTCTAACTGGCTGGAATAGTTTTTACTGATATGACTATGTACTGGGAAAACCCTAAAAGAAACTAATGATTAAACCAACTCAAACAATAAAGAGTTCAGTAATTGGTAGATGCAAATTGGTAGATACAGTAGCCTTCATGTCCACAAATAATAGACAGTTAAAAGTTATGATGGTAGAGAAAGCCCCATTTCAATAGCAAAAGAGAAGATAAAAATATTTAGAAATAAGTTCAAGAAAAGTGCAAAACTGATATGAGGAAAACAGTTCTAAAAGGTGCAAAAATAGACCTTAAATGGAAAGGGACTCCTTATTCTTAGATATGACAACTGAATATTATAAAGACTTTGGGGCCAGGTGTGGTGGCTCACGCCTGTGATCCCAGTACTTTGGGAGGCCAGAGCAGGAAGATCACGTGTGCTCAGGACTTCAAGACCAGCCTGGGTAACATAGTGAGACCCCATCTCTACAGAAAAGTTTTAAAAATTAGCTGAGTGTGGTGGCTCACACCTGTAGTCCCCAGCTCCTCGGGAGGCTGAGGCAAAAGGATCACTTGAGCCCAGGAGGTCGAGGCTACAGTGAGCCATGATTGTACCACTGTGCTCCAGCCTGGGCAACAGAGGGAGACACTGTCAAAAAAAAAAAAAAAAAAAAAAAGAGAGAGAGAGAGGGAAAGAAAGAAAAAGAAAAGGAAGAAGACATGCAGGAACAGCCAGAAAAACACTGAAAGTGAAAAGCTATGAAGAGTCATTAGCCCTACCATACATGAAAACATACTGTAAAGCCTATAATCTGAGACAGTCTGGTGCTATGAGTAAACAGACAGGCAAGTAGAATCTAACTAACTGAAAACCTAGAAATAGAGCCAAGTATATGTGGAAATTAAGCATATTATAAATGTGGCATCTCATATCATTGGTACAAAAATGGAATTCCCTATGAATGGTGCTGAGACAACTGGCCAGCCATTTGGAAAAAGAAAAGGAGATCCATATTCCACACTGTACACAAAATAAATGCCCATGGATCAGGGATCTAAATATAAAGATGCAACTATACAATTACTAGTAGAAAAAATGGGTAAATTTTACTTTAACTTTGGTATAAGGATTGTTTAACTGTGACTCAGAATCCAGATGTAATCACAGAAAATATTGATAAATTTGTCTAACATTAAAAAATAACTTTTCCATGTTAAAAACACCAATTTGACAAGTGACATACTGGAAGAAAATATTTGTGATAAATATCACAATCAAAGGGGTAACCTGTGTAATATATAAAGAATTCTTAAAATTGAATGGGAAAAGACCAAAAAACCAATTGAAAATAATACAGACAATTCACAAAAGTGACATTAAAAAGGCCCTTCATCACATGAAAAAATATTCAGTTTTATTCATAACAGAAAAGCAAAACGAAAATACTATACTGATATATCATCTCATATCAGATTAGAAAAAAAGTACAGTGCTTTTTAAAAAAGACTTAGTTCTTTTAGAGCAGTTTTAGATTCATAGCAAAATTGAGAAGAAGGTACAGAGATTTCCCATATAACCCTTGTCCCCACACATGCTTACATCCCCCATTATCAACATCCCCACCAGAGTGGTACATCTGTACAGCTGGTGAACCTACATTGACAACATAATCATGTAAAGTTCAATTTAGTTTTGGGTTTATTCTTGGTGTTGTACATTCTATGGGTTTGGATGAATGTATAATGACATGTATCCACCATTGTAGTATCACTGGTCTAAAACAGGGGTGACACTGGTCTAAAACAGGGGTCCCCAACCCCCGGGCCATGGATGGTACTGTCCGTGGCCCATTCGGAATTGGGCCGCACAGCAGGAGGTGAACAGTGGGCGAGCGAGCAGAGCTTCATCTATACTTACAGCTGCTCCCCATCACTTGCATTACCGCCTGAGCTCCGCCTCCTGCCAGGTCAGCAGAGGCATTAGATTCTCCTAGGAGCACAAACCCTATCATGAACTGCGTGTGTGAGGGATCTAGGCTGCGTGCTCCTTACGAGAATCTGATGCCTGACGATCTGTCACTGTCTCCCATCACCCTCAGATGGGACTATCTAGTTGCAGGAAAACAAACTCAGAGCTCCCACTGATTCTACATTATGGTGAGTTGTATAATTATTTCATTATATATTATAATGTAATAATCATAGAAATAAAGTGCACAATAAATGTAATGTGCTTGAATCATCCTGAAACCATCCCCACACCCCTGCTGCCCGGTCAGTGGAAAAACTGCTTTCCACAAAACCAGTTCCTGGTGCCAGAAAGGTTGGTGACTGCTGCCCTAAAAAAATCCCCCATGCTACGTCTACTTATCCCCACTTCCCAAACCTAGCAACCACTGATCTTTTTTACTGTCTCCATAGTTTTGCCTTTTTCAAAATGTCATAGCTGGAATTATATAGTATGTAGCTATTTCAGATTGGCTTCTTTCACTTCATAATATGCATTTAAAGTTCCACCATGTATTTTCATGGCTTGATAGCTCCTATCTTTTTACCACTGAATACTATTCCATTGTCTGGATGTACCACCGTTTATCCTTTCACCTACCGAAGGATATCTTCATTGCTTCCAAGTTTTTGAAACTATGAATAAAGCTACTATAAACATGTGTGCAGGTTCTTGTGTGGATATAAGTTTTCACCTCCTTCAGATAGATACCAAGGAGTGTGACTGCTGGATTGTAGGCTAAGAATAGGTCTAGTTTTGTAAGAAATTGCCAAACTGTTTTCACTATACTACTCAGTTGCTAGTGATGAAAACTGGTACAACCCATACACATATAGAAACGAGGGGAAATAGAATTAGAGGTACTCATTATAAACTCATGGTTTTATACATATGTTTAGATATAGTATGTGGGTGTGGTGTATGTATAAACACTTATATATGTATGTGTGAGTGTGTGTGTATATATATATATATATATAGTTCCTGTCTTTGTCTTGAGAGAGATCCCAGAAGTGATGACAGCCCAGTAGCAATGAGCACATCTAAAACACAGAGATTGGTTTCTCAATGTCATCCCTAAAAAGAATAAGCGTTCTGGCCAGGCGTGGTGGCTTACACCTGTAATCCCAGCACTATGGAAGGCCGATGGGGGTGGATCACCTGAGGTCAGGAGCTCGAGGGCATCCTTGCCAACATGGTGAAACCCTGTCTCTACTAAAAATACAAAAATTAGCCGGGCAAGGTGGCATGTGCCTGTAGTCCCAGCTACTCGGGAGGCTGAGGCAAAAGAATCTCTTGAACCCTGGAGGCCGAGATTGTAGTGAGCTGAGATCGCGCCACTCCACTCCAGCCTGGGCGACAGGATGAGACTCCGTCTAAAAAAAAAAGAATCAGTGTTGCTTGGAGAAATGTCTGATTCCAGGATTGGGAGAGGAAAAGTGCAAGTTGAGGCTAGAAAATCTCATTGTATCAAAATGTGTGGACATGCTCAAAGATTCAAGAGGACATGCCAAAAGGATATGAGCCAGATTGTAGGGGCTCCCACTGGCCAAAACAGAGAAAATTTGAGCATTGAAATAACTATAGCAAAGGATTATAGCATATTGATTAAAACAAGAATTCATGAATTCATAGTGAAATAAATAAATGAGAAGGGAAAGTTCTTCCTTACAGTAGAAAGGCAACTCATAAATATAGAGGAAATGAAGGAATTAGAAAATCAGCATTTGGTAGCCATCCTAATTATAACTAATTGAAGCAAGAAGCAAGATACTAAAACTGGTAAGCAAAATAATGTGTGTGAGGCATAATAGGATATTTACATATTCTCAAATTATCTCTCCATAAAATATTTATTAATTACAAGAAGAAAATATTAACCTTACAATGAGGAAATGTTTACCTTAACAAAGTTATCCCATAAGAAAGCAATTCAGCATCATGTGCCTCTTAATAGGAAGCACCGAGAAACATACCACATCACTTTTTGTGGTATTCCTGCACAAATCCATAACCTCTATCTAATTGTGAAGAAACATCAAACTCCAATTGAGAGATTTTATAAAATAACTAGCTTGTACTGCACATTATGTGTTCAATACATAGATGGAAAATAGAATTAACTCTTCAATTTGCACATTTCCAGAGCACTATTAACATATGCTTTTATTTTAAAAACATAGGACGTAAGAATCTGTGCAAGTTTAGCTAGTTTCAGGGGAAGTTGGTTAAAGGAGGAATTGTTCCTGCAGATTAGCACCCATCAATTATTTCTTCTTAATTTTTATCAAGGAGAATAGGAAGGATTACGGGGGAGAAAGACACAAAACCACAGCGGAAATTCTCAGTCCTTCAAGGTCTTCTACAGGGTGTTTAAATGAAAAGTTCAACCCTTGACATAATGAGTCAAACAGTTCTCTCAAAAGTTATTCTTTGAATTTAATGCTAAAATTTTCACTTTTTTCTGCTAAATTTCATTGATTCCACTAGAGATTAAAGTGCATACAACATAAACTAATCTACTTCATGCAAAGAAAAAAAGTGTATGTAAGAGGCAAACATTTCATGTGTTAAAGGATTCTTGGGGAAAAAAAGGTAAAATCATGACCCTCATACAAATATAAAAGTGAATACATGATTTTATTTAACTCATTAATAAGGAAATTGGTAAGGTGTTAAAACCAATTCAAAGGACAATCCAAAGAACAGATCAGGAATACTAAAATAAATATGCAAGCGGAGGTGAAACTGTTTTCCTTGGTAGTGGTGGAGGGGAAGGATTGCTACTCCGCTGGATAAAGTTCATTTGTGTATATATAAATAAGAATTATTTTCCATTGTTATTTATCTATAACTTATAAAGTTGTAAACAACTTCCACGGAATCAGACTCAACCTGGAAGGGTATGGTCTCTAGGCAATGCAAAAATTTTCCCCTACACCTGTTAACAACTATAATATCTCCAGACAGAGTAGACAGAAAGTCTGGATGGCAACGGGAATCTACTGGTCATACGGCTAACTTCCTAATTCAATAAGCACGTGACTAAAGGATTTTTTCCTTCCACTCAGATATTTCAGGCTAACTAGATACTGTGTGCTTCTTAGTGTCACTGCTTAGTGGGGGAGCCAGCTCTGAGTGGGGTCATATCCGGACAAGCGAATGAGCTATTTATTCAATGACCACGCAACACTCCAAATCCTCCCAGGGCAACTTGAAAGTAACCGCACCTTCCAAAGGGCACCGTGCAATCAGACTGTGTGTTTGGCCTCCTGTTTGCTAGTGGGGAGGAAGCGGCTTCATGGGTGTACACTACGCATAAATGAATGTGAAAGGCTATTTAGACCTCTGCCTTTTCACCGTCCTCCCACCTGCCACAGGCTGGGCTCTTGTGCTAGAAATGACTTGCTAGCTAGACATCATGGTTCAGGATCTGAGTCAGAGGTTTAACCATTTATAAGCTTTTTTCTTATGAAAAATTGGCACTAATTATAATGTCTAACTGTCAGAGTTGTTGCAGGCTTTACAGGAGACGCGGGCTGTGAAGATGCTTTGTAAATTGTGAAGCGTTATTAAAGAACACATCTTTTTTTTTTAGGAAACCACAGTGCAAATTTAATTGCCGGGGAAGATAACGGGCCTTGGTGCCCTCCAAGCGTCAGCTGAGTTTCCAAGAAGCCGGGCAGCGGGCGCCCGCGGGTTCGTCTCTGGCTCCTCCTCCGCCACAGCAGCCGGGGGCCCGGGTCGGAGGCGGCGGGGGCCGAGCGCCCGGCCTCGCAAGCCCACGGCCCGCTGGGGGTGCCGTCCCGCGCCGGGGCGGAGCAGGCCCCGGCAGCCCAGTTCCTCATTCTATCAGCGGTACAAGGGGCTGGTGGCGCCACAGGCGCTGGGACCGCGGGCGGACAAGGATGGGTCCGCGCGGCGCGGCGAGCTTGCCCCGAGGCCCCGGACCTCGGCGGCTGCTCCTCCCCGTCGTCCTCCCGCTGCTGCTGCTGCTGTTGTTGGCGCCGCCGGGCTCGGGCGCCGGGGCCAGCCGGCCGCCCCACCTGGTCTTCTTGCTGGCAGACGACCTAGGCTGGAACGACGTCGGCTTCCACGGCTCCCGCATCCGCACGCCGCACCTGGACGCGCTGGCGGCCGGCGGGGTGCTCCTGGACAACTACTACACGCAGCCGCTGTGCACGCCGTCGCGGAGCCAGCTGCTCACTGGCCGCTACCAGGTACGCGGCGCCCCCGCCGCCCGCGCCGCCCCCGCCCCGCCTTTCGCCGGCGCCCTGCCGCTCCTACCCGGCCCTTGAGGCCGCGGGCGCTGGCAGGCGGGGCTCGGACCGCCGACCCAGTTATGGGTCCCGGCGGCTTCTCGCCCCAACCTCGCTCTTCCAGGCCGGCAGCCCGCCGCGGCCTCTGCGCATGCCCGGCTCTGGCGCCCCGCGGACCCGCGCCCCGGCCGCCGGGTTGGGCGGGTGGCTTTGTCTTTCGTTTTCTGAAGCTCCGGGCGAAGGGGTTTATGGGAATGCCGGGTGCTGGGCGCCGCGGCCGGCAGGCGGAGCGGTCCTGAGGTGGGAGGCTGGGGAGGGCGTGGGCTGGGAGCAAAGACGAGGGGAGAGGTAAAATGAAGGGGTGCTCGCCGTGGGTGCGACCCTGGCCCGTGGGAACCCAGCGGTGATAGGTTAGGAGTGTCCCACCAAAGATTATTTTTTTCCAGGTTCTCAACACCCCTGGAATGAAACCTGATGCTAGGTTGATTTTTCTTAGGCTGCTGACATTCCTTTCACATGTAACCTTGTATTGAACTCTTCTGAGCATCTTCATTATCGCTTTAAAAGCTTCCCTTTAGGAACGGCTCCACAGTTAACGAAGGAAATATAAATGTAGAGCGTGCATAGATGTTAGATGGCTAAGAATATCAAGAACATTTGCATAGCACTTTGTTGTTTTTAAAGTGAATTATTGAAACAGTGCATGAGGTAGTTGTTTTTACCCCGTTTTACAGACGAGGCAGGAAGCCTGTAAAGGCTCGTTGGCATAAGAATCGCACAGCTAGAAAGTGGTCAAGGCAGTGTCCGTTGTGCTTTTCCTGCATCCACTGGTCGTCCCGGGCTTATGAAATTGGCCTTTTTTCCCCTCAATCTGAATACGATTGTCATATTTCTAAGACCCTGAAGTTATTATGACCATATTAAATACAGTAAATGGGAACTGTTGGATACCACCTGCATGCCTTCACAGAGTACATATGCTGTTTACTCAACAAAAATATTTTGAGCTTACTGTGCTACTGACAGGGGATATATATTTGAATGTTGCCCTCCCAAGTGTGTGTTCGCATAACCTGTCAGATCAACCCTAGCCTCACGTGGTCCTAAGATCAAGAGAAGGGAGGGCTTACTTGTGATAAAGATATGCGCAGTGGTCTGAAGGCTTTTATAAAGAGGAAAGATTGGGTGTTGCTAAGGGTGAGAAATAGCTGTAGCCAAGGTTAGAAATGGGAGTAAAGGATGCTTCCCTTCACCATCCACCTTAGTACTTTTGGCGGTTCTGACCTTGGCTGCTACGTGTAATTAGGAATCCCCTACATTGTGTAAATCTCACCCTGGACACTTTGTGGGAGTAAAGGGATGTGCCAGTAAAGAAGAAGAAGAAGGGAAAGGTGAGGTTTGCCCAAAGGGTTCTGCATTTGCTTTGAAGTAAGAGAACTGAACTCAGATTGCAAAAGAATGGAAGGGCCATTCATTTCTCCAACTTCCTCCCTTCCAACAGAGTTGGACAGGAAAGCAAATACCAACTTCAGAAACCCATTCCTGGGCCGGGAACGGTGGCTCACGCCTGTAATCCCAGCACTTTGGAGGCTGAGGCAGGTGGATCACCTGAGGTCAGGAGTTCGAGACCAGCCTGACCAACACGGCGAAACCCCGTCTCTACTAAAACTACAAAAATTAGCCGAGTGTGGTGGCATGCGTCTATAGTCCTAGCTACTCGGGAGACTGAGTCAGGAGAATCGCTTGAACTCGGGAGGCAGAGGTTGCAGTGAGCCGAGATCGCACCACTGCACTCCAGCCTGGGCGACAGAGCAAGACTCCATCTCAAAACAAAATAAAATAAAAAACCCATTCCCGTAATCAGTTGCTTTTGTCCCCTAACATCCTCCCCCACCAGTCACCAAAATTATGTCTTGGAGAACAAACTTTAGTATTTAGAGTACCCCATGGTTATGAAGTAAAGGATGAGTAGAGAAGCTGGGCACTCTGAAAGGTTTAGAGGCCTCTCAGTGTAGCTGATTCTAAAGCAGCCTTGCTTCCCCAAACATTTTTTTTCCTCCAGTTTTCTCACCCACTTTATTCTCTTAGAGTTCATGAGACCCAAGTAGATGTTACCCAGGGTGAGCAAGTGTCCACTTTTAATGAAGTAGAAATTTCAGGGAAGGCTCAGGAGTCTCCGTCAGATACTATATGCTGGTATTGTTCTGAGCACTTACAAGTGTTAACTCATTTGATTCTCACAACAACTCTATCATCTCTGTTCTGTAACAAGGAAACTGATGCTGGAAGAGGTTAAGAAACTTGCCCAAGGTTACAGGGCTAGTATATGTTGGACCAGGATTTGACCCAGGGCACGTGGCCCTAGGGTTGATGCCTATAACCACTAAGCCATATTGCCTACTCAAAATTATTAAAAATAACATCCCAAGGACTGCTTCATACATACTAAATAATCCCTGTATTACTTTTGGACATTTGGGTCATTCCTAAATATCTCAAGGTAAAGAATCAACCCATCATATTTCTGAGTTAGGAATTGCCTATATTCCATGTAAAATAAAAATAGATTTTATTTCTGAGTCATTTGTTATGCATAATTTTAGACAATAAAATGAAGGAATTTTTTGACTGTCTCAAAATGAGTTACTTGAAGGAAGTTGTTAAGAGTCATATCTGGCCGGGCGCGGTGGCTCACGCCTGTAATCCCAGCACTTTGGGAGGCCGAGGCGGGTGGATCATGAGGTCAGGAGATCGAGACCATCCTGGCTAACAAGGTGAAACCCCGTCTCTACTAAAAATACAAAAAATTAGCTGGGCGCGGTGGCGGGCGCCTGTAGTCCCAGCTACTCGGGAGGCTGAGGCAGGAGAATGGCGTGAACCCGGGAAGCGGAGCTTGCAGTGAGCCGAGATTGCGCCACTGCAGTCCGCAGTCCGGCCTGGGCGACAGAGCGAGACTCCGTCTCAAAAAAAAAAAAAAAAAAAAGAGTCATATCTATGAACTTGGCAGTCATGCTTTAAGTTAATATTTACAGACCCCTTTCCCATAATTATTTAACTTTAGAAAAGAAAAGCACAAGTTGATAAACAAGCCTAGACTGACTGGACTTTATACTCTCATGAAATCCTGAGTTTTAGTTTTTTTGGTTTCAGAAATTATTTATTGAGTAAAGAGGACTGGTTAGGAACTGAGATGTAGGTTTTGGTCTTGGCTGGTCAGACTGTGACCTCGCTGGCCATCATTTCCACATCTGTGAAACAGAGGAGTTGGGCTGAACTCTAGACTTTGTCTAGCTCTAAATTAATTTAACTCTAAGGCTCTTGTGTCCATTAGGGCGAGTTTCTAACTTGGCAAATGCACATTATCATACCTATCATACTAACCCCATCTACTGGTAGAAAGATTAATCTTGCCCAACACAGTGTATCTTACAAATTGCGTGTACTACTTGTTCTGCTGCTAGGAACTTACTTAATTCAGCCTTTTATAGTGAGACATTTAATTGTTCACAGCCCTCACAAATGAACTATTTTAAATGTGCATGCTATGGTGAAATATGTGTAGGGACTGGGTACAGGTTGGAGGCAATGGAGGAGACTAATTAGCAGATGGGGTAAGTAGTTACTGGTAAATTCAAGAACTAGAAATTCGGCCGGGCGCGGTGGCTCACGCCTGTAATCCCAGCACTTTGGGAGGCCGAGGCGGGCGGATCACGAGGTCAGGAGATCGAGACCATCCCGGCTAAAACGGTGAAACCCCGTCTCTACTAAAAATACAAAAAATTAGCCGGGCGTAGTGGCGGGCGCCTGTAGTCCCAGCTACTTGGGAGGCTGAGGCAGGAGAATGGCGTGAACCCGGGAGGCGGAGCTTGCAGTGAGCCGAGATTGCGCCACTGCACTCCAGCCTGGGCGACAGAGCGAGACTCCGTCTCAAAAAAAAAAAAAAAAAAAAAAAAAAAAAAGAACTAGAAATTCAGGTCTCTCTACACTCAGGCTAGGGGCCTTCCCACAGCCCTATGACTCATTCATTCATTATTTGTGAAATCTTTAAAAAAATCCGTATTTTATTTTTAAAATAGAAAATACATTCACATGGCTTAAAAACTTAAAAGCTGCAAAAGGGCTTACAGTGAAAATCTACCAAAACACACACACACACACACACATACACACACTTCCTTAGACATTCAGTTCCTATGTTTGTAGACAAATAATGCTCTGAATTATATATTTTTATATATCATTTCTCTCTTTTTTCTGTATGAATGGTAACATACTCTTCACACTGATCTGCAGCTCCTATTTTGTTTGTTTGTTTTTACTTAACATTTGCAATCATTCCATTTTGTTGACTAAAGATTATCCTCACAGCTTTTAGGGCTGCATAATATTTTGTTAAATGGATACATTGTAGTTTATTTAGCCAGTTGCATACTGATGAACATGTAGGTTGTTTCCAGCCTTTTGATATATCAAAGAATGGTGAAGTGAATACTTTGCACATATGTCATTTTGTACATATTGGAACGTATATGAAGGATAAGTTCCTAGAAATGGAATTTTCTGGGTTTAAGGATAGATGCATTTGTAATTTTGATAAATATTGCAAAATTGCATCTTAAGGGATTGTACCAATTTACATTCCCACTGGCAATATTAAGTTATAGTTCACATCCTATATAATTTACCATTTTAAAGTATCCAATTCAATGGTTTTTTGTACATTCACAAGGTTGTGTAACCAATATTTTCATCACCTCAGAAAGAAACCACTCAACTATTAGCAGTCACTCTTCATTTCCTCATTCCACCAGCCCTTGGAAACCACCAGCCTTCTTATTATCTATGTGACTTTACCTATTTTGGACATTTCATATAAATGGAATACAATAGATGTCCTTTCATCTATGTTGTAGCATGTATTGTTCCCTTTTATGGCTCAATAATATTCCATGATATGGACATGCCACATTTTGTTCATACATTCATCAATTCATGGACATTAGGTTGTTTGCGCTTTTTGGCTATTATGAATAATGCTGCTGTGAACATCCATGTACAAGTTTTTGTATCAGCATATTTTTTAAGTTCTTTTGGGTTAATATGTAGGAGTGAAACGCCGTATTGTTGCAGGACTTCTCCTTAGTTCAGCTAACGATGAGGTCCTTGTCTGTCCCATGGCCATGAAAATTCAGGCTCGCAGATGGTTTGAAGGGTGAGTAAAGCAGGGTTTTATTGGGTGAAAAGGAAAAAAGGGGGAAACAGGGACCCACTGAAAGGTCAGAGTCCCTGCTACAGTGCTTCCCTCATTGCCCGTTTGAATCCCAGGTGCCATAGGAAGAGGAGAGGCCAGGCGCCACCTCCGTGGCTCCACCCCAGTGCACAGTCCAGCTGGAGTTTTGCCAGGGACCCCCTCCCACCTGGCTGTCTTAGTATCATGTGGTAACTCTATGTTTAACTCTTTGAGGAATTGGAAATTGTTTTCCACAGCAGCTATACCACGTTATATTTCCACTAGCAACGTATGTGGGTTTTAGCGTCTCCACATCCTTGCCAACACTTGTCATTATCTTTTTGATTATAGCCTTCAAGTCATCCTAGTGAGTAGGAAGTGGTATTTAATTGTAGTTTTGATTTTCATTTCCCTAATGACTAATGATGTTGAACATCTTTTAATGTCTTATTGATCATTTTTATGTCTTCTTTGGAGAAATGTTTACTCAGATCCTTTGCCTGTTTTAAAATTGGGTAATTTATCTTCTCATTCTTGAGTTGTAAGATTTCTTTATGTATTCTGGATACTATTAAATAAACCCTTACTAGATAGATTATTTGCAAATATTTTCTCCCATTCTGTGGATTGCTTTTTACTTTCCTGATAGTGTCCTTTGATGTAAACAAAAGTTACAAATTTTTATGTACAACTTACCTATTTTTCTTTGGTTGCTTATATTGTTGGTACCATGTCTAAGAAACCATTTTCTAATCCAAGATTATGAAGATTTACCTCTATGTTTTATAGTATTTTATAGTTTTCAGTTTTTACATTTAGGTCTTTGATCCATTTGGAGTTCATTTTTATGTACAATTTGAGGTATGTGGATGCATGTAGGTGTCCAAATATTTCAGTGCTATTTGTTGAAAAGAGTGTTCTTTCCTCATTGCACCCTTTGCACCCTTGTCAAGACTCAATTGACCATAGACGTATGACTTACAATTCTATTCCATTGATCTACATGCCTATCCTTATGCCAGTGCCTCACTGTCTTGATTGCTGTAGCTTTGTATTACAAAGGTTTCAGAATTAGAAAATGCAAGTCTTCCAATTTTGTTATTCTTTTTCGAGATAGTTTGGCTATTCTCGGCCCCTTGCATTTCCACATAAATTTTAGGATCAACTTGTACATTTCTATTAAAAAAAAGGGAAGTGGAATTTTGGTAGACAGGGATTTCAGTGATCTGTAAAACTATTTGGAGAGTATTACTACCTCAACAATATAACTCTTCCAATTTAAGAATATGAGATGTCTTTCTGTTTATTTAGAGGGTTTTTTTTTTTTTTTTTAAGACAGAGTCTCACTCTGCTCTGTTGCCCAGGCTGGAGCACAGTGTTGGCTCACTATAACCTCTGCCTCATGGGTTCAAACAATTCTCCTGCCTCAGCCTCCTGAGTAGCTGGGACTATAGGCACCCACCACCACGCCTACCTAGTTTTTGTATTTTTAATAGAGATGGGGTTTCACCATGTTGGCCAGGCTGGTCTTGAACTCCTGACCTCAAATGATCCACCTGCCTTGGCCTCCCAAAGTGTTGGGATTATAGACGTGAGCCACCACACCCAGCCTATTTAGGTCTTCTTTAATTTCTTTCAACAATATTTTATAATTTTTAGTGTGTAAGCATTGTGCTTTGGTTAAATTTATTCCTGTTTTACTATTTTCAGTGGTATTGTAAATGGACTTCCTTTCTTAATTTTATTTTCAGTAGTTCATTGCTGTTACATAGAAATGCAACTGATATATGTACATTGATCATTTTGCAACCTTAATGAACTTGTTAGCCCTAATTGTGTGTGTGTGTATAATCTTTAGAGTTTTTTAGTGCAAGATCATGTCATCTGCAAGTAGAAGAAGTTTTACTTCCTCCTTTCTAATCTAGATACCTTTTATTTCATTGTCTTGCCTAATTACCCTGGATAGGACCTCCAGTGCAATATTGAGTAGAAGTGGCATGAGTGGACATACTTGTCTTGTTTCCAATCTTAGAGGGGAAGCTTTCAGTCGATCACCATTAAGTGTGATATATTCATTCATTCTTTCATTCAACAAATGTTTACTGAGCAGCAAGTTACGCCACTGTACTCTGGGAATCTCTTGGTGCTTATAATCTGAAGGGGGTGAGGTAAGGAGAAGGAGTAACCAAGAGGGAAGTGAAATAAATACAAACAGGCCAGGCGTGGTGGCTCACGTCTGTAATCCCAGCACTTTGGGAGGCCGAGGCAGGCGGATCACCTGAGGTCAGGAGTTTGAGACCAGCCTGGCCAACATGGTGAAACCCTGTCTCTACTAAAAATACAAAAATTAGCCAGGTATGATGGTGCGCACCTGTAATCCCAGCTACTCATGAGGCTGAGGCGGGAGAATTGCTTGAACCCGGGAGACGGAGATTGCAGTGAGCCGAGATTGCGCCACTGCACTCCAGCCTGAGCAACAGAGCAAGACTCCATCTCGCGGGGGGGAAGTGGGGAAAGAAAGAAATACAAACAAGTAAGGTGAATTTAAATAGCATGACAATACATGTGGAGAAGAAAATAAAGTAGGTCAAGTGATCTTGACTCAGGAAGGTGTCTTCAAGGAGGTAGTATGAGCAGAGGCCTGAATGAAGGGAGTCAGCCATGCACATATCCTAGCAAAGTTTAACGTGGAGGAAGGAGCAACAGAAGCAAAGCTCTTGAGGCTGGAACGAGCTTGTTGTAAGAATGAGATGGTAGCTGAGTGAATGAGGGTGCCAGAGGCAGGCCAAGAGCTAGAGGAGGGAGGCTGGGTCTCCCTGGGTTTAATGCTGCCCACCCATTAAAAAGTGTTAAAACTTGAACTTTTTTTGTGTCAGTTTTTATAGTAAGGTGACATTGAGGCTATTATACACTAAAGAACATTTCGAATCTAACAGTGTTCTAAATGGGCATATTTTAAGGAAATACAGTCAAGTGCCATGTGGCATTCTTTGGATGCATGTAATTCCAATTAGAATTAATTGTACATATTCTCTCTTTTTCTTTAAAAGAAATAAGCTTGGCTGGGCGCAGTGGCTCATGCCTGTAATCCCAGCAATTTGGGAGGCCTAGGTGGGTGGATCACTGGAGTCCAGGAGTTCGAGAGCAGCCTCGGTGAAATTCCATCTCTATAAAAAGTTAAAAAATTAACCAAGTGTGGTGGTAAGCGCCTGTAGTCCCAGCTACACAGGAGACTGAGGTTGAGACCCGGGGGCAGGGGGGTAGATGGCGGGAAATCGCTTGAGCCTGGGGAGGCAGAGTTTGCAGTGAGCCAGGATGGTGCCACTGCACTCCAGTCCAGGTGACAGAGTGAGACTCTGTCTCAAAAAAAAAAAAAAAAAAAAAAAAAAGTAGCCTGTTTTTAAAATCATCTCCAGGAAATACATTCAAAACCTTCAAATATAAAAGATGTAAAAAATATAAACATGTAGATGAGGATCTTTTCAGCCTGTCTCCCCACCCTCCTTCCCATAGGCAGCTCCTGTTTATTGGTTTCTTGATATCGCTTGGAGGCATGTTATGCATATGAGAAAATCGATTTTATATTTATTTTTCCCTTGTTTAAAACCTCAAGATTAAAAATATTAATTTAAAAATTCTCCAGCTTTTCTAATAGAATTTGTGTACTGCATTTAGTTCAAATAGAAAACTTAATATTACTAATTTTCCATATTCTTACAAATTGACTTTATTCTATACAAAATATTCATTATACCTTTGTTATTCCTAATACATATTTTAATTGTGATAAGTGGTTCTGAGGTCTGACTTCTCCATTAGATTGCCTTGTCTGTCTCTGGGCTAAAGAAGCACTCAGTGTTGGACAATTAAATGATCAAATGTGAGAAGCACTTTTACACAGTTCGTGAAAGAGCTCACCATCTTAATTAAACTGCTTGAAATTGCCATGTCATTTCTAATGCCTTTACTTCTTTTTTAAGAAATTGAAAAGATTAAAGAGTAAGAAAGTGATAGGCCTTAAAGGAAAACACTCTTCTGGGAAAATAGTTAAGAAAAGTAACTCTGGTCCTCAACTGGGAATGTCCTTACCTTGGGTACCAAGGGGGCCACTCCACCAGAACTCCATAAACCTTGGCACAGAATAGAAGCAATGAAAGATGACTCCAAGGTTTCATTCTTAAGGGATCCAAACCACATTTTTCTTAATCACACTGATAAATGGACAAGACATTTTCACGGCTTTTCACTCACCCCTGAGGCGGAACCTTGGACAGGAAATATAGGAAGGAGGCTGTGCTGGAGCATCGTGGGTAATTTTTGACTTTTGCTTCAAGTTTGCTTCAAGAAGGTGAGCAGGAAAGATGCATGCTGCAGGCAGAAGAGGGCATGGTGGTGCAGGCGCTCTGCCTGAGCATGCCCTCCCTTTCCTGCTTCTTGTCCTCCTCGCCCTCACTGTCCTGCCTGCTCCTCGCCTGCTGGCCTCTCAGTGGACTCCTGCCAGTGGTCGCCTCTCCCTGGACTTTGAGGTTCAGAAGTGGGGCACAGGAGAGTGCAGAGCTGGAAGAAATGTTTACAGGGTGCAGGGATTGGGGAAAGTGCATGTCTCAAGGTGGGCGCTCCTAGGATCCCCTGGCAAAGGCACAGGAGGAGGGAGCTGTCAGAGGACCATGTAGCCTTGAGACCATGGGTGCCTCCTAAGAGAAAACAGTGTCTTTATTTCTGTGCTCCTTTAGGGGGAGAAACAAAGGATGCATTAGCTCCATAGGGACAAGCAAGATGGCCTCACTAAAGCACAGCAGAGCCCTGGGGTGACTTTCATGGGTTTGCTAAAGCCAGGTGTCCTTCCTAAGCCTAGCCAAATCCAAGAGACATTTTCCCAGGAGGGAAGGGGAGTGCGGAGGCCTCATTCTGCAAACATTGCAGCTATTTTAAAGAAACAATTCCAGATTTTATATCTTTTACCTGCCAGGAAATTGCAAATGAGGAAATAAGGAAATAAGTTTGGAGCTAAGTGGAATATGACCAGTGGAGTTAGAGGATTTTCTGGTTGCTTGATTTACGAGGTTTGTCATTTCAGGAATCACTTTGAGCATAAGCTGTTGCTCTCTGGTCATTATCTTTTGTTTGCGTTTCCTTAATCATATCACCTTTTGAGAGATTCCTTTCCCTCAGCTTTCTTCATATTTTCCTTCCTTTTCCATTTGGGCTTTCTTTGGAATTATAATTTAAACAGAGGGAGGCACTGAAACCCTTTCTGACTTGTTTATTCTTTTTTACAAACAACATCCCTTTGTGGGTTTAGTCAGAGATTTGCACTCTTCACTAATCAACACCAAAATAAATAGACTCTTAAAACTGTCAGTGACACGGGCCAGTTCTGCAGCCCGAGTCCTGAAGGGCCAAGCCAGATGGCAAAGCCAGGCCCCTAGCACACATAATGCGTGTCTGTAGGCTCTTGGCTTCAGCAGCATGGGCAGCTGACTGCTTTTCAGATGGCTTCTGTGGGGAGGGAGCAGATTTTCCACTATCCATTTGTTCTTTGGGCATCTCCAGGAATAAACCCTAAGGTGGCACAAGTGTTACTTGACCGTGATTAAAACCTGCTGTGTACTGGCCGAGGCACAGGCTAGAAATTCTGAACTCCTGCTTTGCCACCAGCATGTTCTGTGATTGCGTTCTGATCATGAAGCTTCCCATAGGCTCTCTGGTGTATAAGGTGGAGGGGTAGAGTGGCCCATTTTTCTGAATTTTTAAGTACTGCAGCAGGAGGTATTGCACACATATGTGGGCACATGAGGATATGAGTTCATTTTGCTCAGACCAGACTGACTGGACAGAACCTCCCTTCTGTTCAACGGGATATTATCTCAACACTGTTGAGGTGAGGAGAGAAAGAGCATCTATCGCCTTCTGTGCAGCAGTGGTTTGCTTCGCTCTTGGGAGAGTTTGAGTGTAGCTGAAATATTGTGCTCTGAACTCCCATATAGATAACTAATCAATTGACTGTCTGGACCTCTGAAAGGGGAGTTGAAAGAGATTCTGATATGGGAGCTGCCATCTTCCTCTCCCCCAGCAAGAGATTGGATTTTCTCCTTTAAGCTCATGAGACTATACTGCAAGGAACTCCTAGGTGTGCAGAAGACAGAATAACACACTGGACCAAATAAATTGTTACGTGCAACCAATATGTAAATAAGGATCTCTCAGTTATGTCACAGAAAGAGCCTAGAACAAGCCAGGTCCTCCACTGGATTTGCAGACCTTTTGCCTTTGTGGAGAGGATTTTTGATGGTCAAGTAAAATCTTAGGAGAAGTTGTTTTTTGAGAGAAGATTTGGTTTAATGAAGAGGAGACAGCCACACATGGTAGATAGGGAAGTAACCCCTTGGACTTTCGTATATTACATGTAGAACCTTCTCCATTCACACACACTTCTTTGGACATTGCAGATGGGTGTTAGAATGAAATTGTTTTATATTCTGTTGTGTTTATCAGGGCACCCTTATTTTTTTCTTTTGATTCCTATTGGTGCCCGGTTGCCTTCCTGCCCCTTGCAGCATGGCGTGGCTCTGTAGTTCTGTGCTGAAGTGCTGGGTTGGAACCAGTTCGGCATTTGCCTGTTTACTGCTTCTCTACACATTACAGCTTCCTTCCTTCAGATAGTGTTTGAACAGACCGAAAACATGTTTTTGGATGTCATCCAGGGTTTGGCTTCTGCTTCCCAATAATGCCATAAAAATGCTCTGTCAAATAAATTCTCAGGAACTGAAAAGAACACATTCCCTGCTCCATATGATTGTCAGTAATGGAGGAAGGCTTCAGCTGACCACCTGGCTTGGTGCCCACGGCTTAGGAAAACCAAATCACACAACATCTCTTGGCAGTGCTTTCTAGCAATCAGAATTAATTCTCTGCATGTGATGGATGAGCTTTCCATTTAAGGGAATTTTCGCAGAGCATTTATCTCCACTGGGGCTTTTGGATTCCATAAAATATTATCTTTACTTATCCTGCCTGGTTGCCAATTAGCATACTATATGCTATGAAGTTTTTGAGTCCTAGGGTCAATTTTCTCTTCAGTAAGCTTCCAGAGTTAACCATGGAAAGAATACTTTGATTTGGGGTGTGTGTGTGTGTGTGTGTGTGTGTGTACGTATGCGTGCAAATGTGCTAAGAGGAATGCTTCCCTTTCCCAGCCTGGATATTATAACATCCTTATCATTCAGGGTCCCAGCTGGAAAGAGGTGGCACATTCAAATTAGGGAGGGTTTATTTACAAAGGGACCATTTTAAAAGGTGTGAATGTGTGGGGCAAAATGCTAGGGATAGTGTAGTAATCCAGTGGAGCTGTTACTACTCCTAGACCAGAAGAGAAGAAAGGAAGGGCCAATTACCAGAACCTAGAAGGAGAGAGGCAGATAGAGAAAGAAGTCTGCTTCCAGAGTGACCTTTGGTAGAGAGACTCATGTAGCCAGGCTAAGCAGCGTGTCAGGTGAGGCCATGCACTCTCCTCTTTCCCTCTCACTCCTGCCAGGGCTCCCCATTGGCTAAGCCCAATCAGAAACCTGAAGACAAGTGTCCTTTGACTTGATCCTCATAGGTCAGCCTCCTAGGGCAGAGAGCAGGACTGAGAAAGCAGCGTGGATTTGAAGGGCAAACAGAAGGTATCTGACACATCTCCCAATGTAGATAGGTGTCTAATTATTTCTAGGAGAGGCATAACAATCTCAGTAGGAAACTTAAACTCACTTTTATTTTTAAACAGTTTTATTGAGATATGATTGACATACAATGAACTGTACACACTTCAAGTATACAATTCGATAAACTTTGATAGGTATATACCTGTGAAACCATCACCACATCAAGATAGTGAACTTAACTATCATCCTCAAGATAAACCCACTTTAACTTAACACTTAAGATATTCCATGTGGTTCTTTTAGGAGGATGTGGAAAGAGATCATGCAGTAAAGCAATAGCAGGTGCAATTCCTAACTTACTAAAGTTATTGAAGTTAGTGAGTTACTGAATGAAGTTACTGCCCGGGGTTACAAAGCTCATAAGTGATAAAGCCAGGATGGGATTTAATCCTCTGAGCCTTATGCTATTCCACTTTAAATTATAAGGCAAATAAAATACTCACAAACACTTATAAAAATCATTTGTTAGCAACAAGTTTCTTGCTCTCCACCTTATAGCTGATGAAGGGACCAGCCGTGGCCTGGGTTGAGAACTGGCACTCTTACCTCCTGTGTCCCCAGAGCCTGTTTATTCTATAAATCAAGAGCTCCCAGGGCTGGGGAAGGCTGGTGTCTGGTGCAGAGTTGAATTTGAGACCCCAGTCCCACTTTCTACAAAGAAGAGCATCTCCCTGGCTAAGCCAGGACAAGGAGGCAGGAGGTGTTAAGTTTTAGGGAAGGGTGGGACTGGGTAGACAAGGAGGGATACCCTGTCATGCCGCAGCAGGGGCTACAGTGGCACCCACCAGCACAAGAGCTGTGACAGGGCCAAACTGGGTTCTGGGCGGGCCTTTTGAACTTGTCTAGTAAGCTCAGGTCTCAGGGCCTTTGAAGTTTTTATTCCTTAGGTCTGGATTGCTCTTACCCCGGATTTCTCCAAGTCTCACTGCCTCACTTTATTCTGGTCACTGCTCAAATATCTCCTCTTCAGAAAAGGTTTCTTTCTTTCTTTCTCTTTTTGAGACAGGGTCTTGCTCTGTTGCCCAGGCTGGAGTGCAGTGCAGTGGTATGATCACAGCTCACTGCAGCCTCGACCTCCCAGGCTCAAGTGATCCTCCCACCTCAGTCTCCTTGGTAGCTGGGACTACAGGCACAGGCCACCATGCCTTGCTAATTTTTTCTATTTTTATTTTTAGTAGAGATGAGATCATGGCATGTTGCCCAGGCTGGTCTGGAATTCCTGGAGTCAAGCTAGCCTCCTGCCTTAGCCTCCCAAAGTGTTGGGATTGTAGGGATAAGCCACCCCGCCTGGCCCAGAGAAGCTTTCTTTTGCCACTCTATCACAAGTGCCACCTCTGTCACTGTCTCCCTCTCCTTCTTTACTTTTCCTCATGGCAATGATCACTGTTGGACATTAGAGTATCAGTTCTCAAACTTTTTGGTCTTAGGGTTTTGCACTTGCTTAAAAATTATTGAGGACCCCAGGGAGCATAGATTTAAATGGGTTGTTACCATTCAAAATTTGCCCCATAAGTTAAAACAAATTATAAATTTTTTTATTCAATGAAAAATAGTAATAAACCCACTATATTAACATAAATAACTTATGAAAAAAGCTCTATTTTTCAAAACCAAATAGTTAAGTGAGAAGAATGGCATTGTTTTATATTTTTTGTACATCTTTTCTACTAATAGAAGTTTGCTAGGTTGTTGTATCTGCTTCTGCATTTAACCTGTTATGATATATTATTTTTAGTAAAAGTTGAAGAAAAATCTGGCCCCACAAAGATGTGTAGTTGGAAAAGGGAGGGCTATTTTAATATCCTTTTCATATAATTGTGGGTATTCTACTCAATATTACACCAAAAGTTAAGAAGTGGTCATTGCTTAAAGTTTAGTTGCTGTATGGACCTTATGCCCTGGGCATACTTGTGTGAGCCACTCCCAAGCAGCAGTCAGATGGCCGCTTTTTATAAGAAAAAGTTGAACACTCTCTTTTGAGATAATGATTTACATAAAGTAGAATAAAAAATGCAATAATCGTTTTATTATACTGTTAAATAACTCAGCCAGGCACGGTGGCTTAAGCCTGTAATCCCAACACATTGGGAGGCCAAGGCAGGCAGATCACCTGAGGTCAGGAGTTCGAGACCAGCCTGGCCAACATGGTGAAACCCCGTCTCTACTAAAAATACAAATAAATTAGTTAGGTATGGTGGTGGGCGCCTGTAATCCCAGCTACTCAGGAGGCTGAGGCAGGAGAATCACTTGAACCTGGGAGGTGGAGGTTGCAATGAGCCAAGATTGCGCCATTGCACTCCAGCCTGGGCAACAAGAGTGAAACTCCATCTCAAAACAAAAACAAAAACAAAACCACTTGTAAAAAAATCACCAAGTTTTCGAAGATTACAGAAGTGTCTTCTAATCAAACACCAACTTCTTGTGTGCCCAAAATTGGAACGCTTTTTTCTTGTTAGATTCACACCACATATTATTGCTACTTTTTTTGAGGCAAAAAGTAACAAGTTAATGGTTTCTAACATAGTGCCTTGATAAATATTGAAAATATCTGTTCGTTGGAATGGTTTTATTTGTCTTTCAAATCCTGTTTATGTCCACTACTTCATTTGAATAAGAGAATTCTGCCTTTCAGAAATATCCTCAAGCCAGTACAGGAATAGAGTTAAACATCCAAGTCAACAGATATGATCAGTAAGGTAGAAGGCCATTTTATCTGCTTGTTCACAATATTTCAATGTCATTAATCTATAATTTTATGTTTATCTCTGTAAGATCCGTACAGGTTTACAGCACCAAATAATCTGGCCCTGTCAGCCCAGCTGTGTTCCTCTGGATGAAAAACTCCTGCCCCAGCTCCTAAAAGAAGCAGGTTATACTACCCATATGGTCGGAAAATGGCACCTGGGAATGTACCGGAAAGAATGCCTTCCAACCCGCCGAGGATTTGATACCTACTTTGGTAATGGAAATGCACATGTTTCTTTAACAACTTAGACTAACTGCAGCCATCTCATAAAACACACCCAAGTGCAATCAAATGAAAGAACTGGATATTTGAACACAGAGTGAATCAGTCGGCACTGTAATGGGGCTGCTTTCTAATGTTACCTCTGTAAACAGGGCTCTGTGCTGACCTTATGGTGGGCAAACCCATTACCTTTGTTGGAGTTCTAAATGCCACCTTAGGGCCTTGCAAGAGTTTACTATCCACGTTGGAGACCGCTGTACTCTCAGAGACCCTTATTACCAAAAAGGGATATGGATTGATTTTTTATTTTTTTAATGCCTGGCAAAACCTAATGTAAGAATATTTCCAGGCTGGGTGCGGTGGCTCACGCCTGTAATCCCAGCACTTTGGGAGGCCGAAGCAGGCGGATCACGAGGTCAGGAGATGGAGACCATCCTGACTAACACGGTGAAACTCTGTCTCTACTAAAAATACAAAAAAATTAACCGGGCATGGTGGCACTTGCCCATAGTCCCAGCTACTCAGGAGGCTGAGGCAGGAGAATGGGCATGAACCCAGGAGGTGGAGCTTGCAGTGAGCCGAGATCATGCCACTGCACTCTAGCCTGGGCAACAGAGCAAGACTCTGTCTCAAAAATAATAATAATAATAATAATAATAATAATAATAATAATAATAATAAAATAAAAAATGAATATTTCCTTCACAAAGGTTTGGTGTGTTTTTTTCTCCCTGTGGAATGTATTCACAATTTTTCCTTTTTTTTTGAAGGGGGTGGGGGAAGACTCTTCCATTGGCATTCTTCCACCTGTGAAATCTGTTTTTGCAATCACAAAGTTGGGGAAGATAGGTTTTAAAAAACAAAGGAAAATGAGGAGGCCAAATAAATGGTAATAAGAAGGATAATAAGAAATAATAATAAGTATTTTATAAACTTGATAGCCCTATGAAACTAAATGTGAAACCTAGAGTTTGTTTTAAAATATGCCCTCTTTAAACCTGTAATAACCTGTGCCTGAATTAATAACCTGTGTATCTTGCCAGTAGCTATATATCTTTCTTTCAAGTTCTTTTTATAGTGAGCTATCTGTTTAGCTATTTAGCTACCTACCTACCTCCCATCTGTTCATTTATTTATTTACAACCCTCCGTAGCCAAAAAGGAACACATATTGAACATAGAAAGTTTAAACAGGATTAAATAATCAGGATGAGTAGAAAAAGATGGAATAGGTTAATGGCATCAAATTACAGAAAAGTTGCATGGCTCTAGGCTGTCTTCATATTCATCTCTGATATTTGAAATTTCTTTTTTTTTTTTTTTTATATACGGAGTCTCGCTCTGTTGCCCAGGCTGGAGTGCTGTGTCATGATCTCGGCTCACTGCAACCTCCGCCTCCCGGGTTCAAGCAGTTCTCCTGCCTCAGCCTCCTGAGTAGCTGGGATTATAGGTGTGTGCCACCACGCTCAGCTAATTTTTATATTTTTAGTAGAGATAGGGTTTCACCATGTTGGTCAGGCTGGTCTCGAACTCCTGACCTCGTGACCCACCCATCTTGGCCTCCCAAAGTGCTGGGATTACAGGTGTGAGCCACCGCGCCCAGCCTGAGATTTGAAATTTATTTGTCCGAAGAGGGAGAAAGAAAGGAAAAGACTATAAGAGTTACATTATTTACAAGATAAATGGAAACCAGATGTTCAGGAAAAGCAAAAGCATTTTCTGGCTCTTAGGCCTGACAGAAATTTCTCCTTTGGGAGAAGGAGAAGGTAAGGTGGACAACATCTTTAAAAATGTCATTTTAATAATACGTTAGGTGGTTTTCTTGTAGATGTTTTGAGGTATTTTCTTCTGTTCAAGCTAGGGCCAGAGCACCAAAGTGCAATTCAGTAAAAGTAATTATATGGGGGCCAAAACAATGCAGCTGAAGCACATGGCTCTGTAATGCCTCATTGGATTCAGGGTTAAAATCAAGATGCAAGGATGTCAGACAGGAGGGTGTGTGTGCCCCACTCTCATCCAGGTCCACCAGCAGACCTCACTACTCAATCTTAGCTTTTTTTTTTTTTTTTTTAAATGGACCCGGATGTATTCTCAGTACCTCAAATAGCTGTTAAAATTAGACTTGATGTAAGATCACTTTGTCATCTTGGAAATTCTAGAGGAGCAAACAGCCTGTACATCCTTAGAAATTTTTCAATCAGGCCTTTGCTAAAAGATGAGTCAATATCTATACTCTGGGAAGAGGATGGGCTGTAGATATTTTGAATTGTTTATTAAAACCAAGTTAGGTACTTAAAAATTCAGCTGGACAGAAGGTAGAAATGATATCCTTTTATGAGAATTAAGAAGCCTAACCTGGATTTAGATGAACACACACCCCAAATTCATTTGAAGGGAGACTTGCAGCCAAGAAGGTTATGATGACCACACAGCTCTTCTCACTGTTACATCTCAGCTCTTTTGCTAAAAATCAGGTGATGGTGGGATAGTTGCACAAGCCTGTGAATACACTAGAAACCAATGTCTTTTACACTTTAAATGAGTGACTTGTGTGGTATGTGAATTATATCTCAATGCAGCTGGTACATAAAGCATCAGAGAAGATTTGGTTGTTCAAGAAGCATTTTCTATTTTTTTCCCCCAAAAGCATAGGCTGCCATCATCTTTAGGCTCAGTATTGAAGTTCAAATTTGTGAATCATTATTATGAAGAAAAGCTTCATGTGATTGTCACATGGTTGCTTGGTATTAGTTTTGCCAAGTATGTGAATAGTTTTATTTCTGGAATTCTCCTATCTGTATTATCTTTTAAATATTTGTAGTTCATGCCTTTGCTAATGAAGTGTATCTGTCCTATATTCTGCTAACTGATAGAAAGCAGCTCACACTTAACAGTTAAAGAACCTGAAGTGATTTCCTCAAGCTTTAATGCCCAGTAGTTATTAAAAACCTTAAATAGACCTCCAGTGTTCTGACATTCTAATCACCCATGTAAGGGCTGAAATTATTTTTATGGATACATTTCTTTCTCTGTTACACATTAATTAACAAGTACTTTGTATTTCGTTTTCCATTATATACATAGGAGAAAAGATTGCCATATAAAAGTTATTTTAAGACCAAAGTATTAATTGTATTCAAGATCTTGAATTTATTGAGTCATAGAAAAGGAGAATTTAATTTAAAATGAATTGATTTATTATATAAACTATGTAAAGCTCTTAATTTTCATTATAGGGAAAGTTCAGGACTGAAGAAAGAGCTAGGTCAATTTTATCATCCTCATTTTAAGGTTAATAAGCAGTATATGTCAGGAGATAGCTAAGAGTCTAGCAAATATTTCTTTTTAATAACTTTATCAAAGTATAATTCACATATCATACAATTCACCCAATTAAAGTGTACAATTCAATGATTTTTAATAAATTCAGAAGGTTGTGCCACTATCATGGCAATCCAATTGTAGAACATTTTTATCATCCCCAAAAAAGAAACTCATCCACCTCAGCAATCACTCCCCATTTCCCCCTAGTCCCTCCAGCCCTAGGCAGCCACTAATCTATTTTCTGTCTCTATAGATTTACATGTTGTGGGCATTTAATACAAGTGGAATCATACGTAGCACAGCTTATTTTAATACTTTAAAATATAGAAATATAATATTTTAAAATATAGAAAAGATGGAACATTTGCAGAAACAACTATATTTGAGAAAACCCATTTTCTTCCATGTGAAGTCTAAATTATGGGATAGGCCGTTGATGCCATTTAAATCTGGGGTGAAATTGAGATCATTTTAGGTAGAAAAGTCTTATTTCAGTGCTCACTTTAGTTTGATCTGTTGGCTCTGTTATGTCTAGAGATCCTCTATTAGGAAAGGTTTGTATCTTTCACCAGTGGGTGTCAGCATCTGACTAAAGATGACTCTTCCTAGAACCACTTCTGTAAATAACCTTGAAGCCAGTCTCGCAACATCAGTAACAACAAACATTGTTTGAATCCTGCACTCATTTATGTGATCACCTTAGAGTAAAAACCTGTAACAAGTCACATTAACTGTACATTATTTTTACCATTATATAGCTTTGAAGGATTGAGATTTTATCACCCTTACTGAGTTTCAACTCTGATAAAAAAAAAAACTGTTAGTGTTACATGATAGCGCCTATATTCTAAAGGCGAATGAGGAATAGATTTGAGTTTTTATGCAGTAATGTTTTAATGCCTTCTGCCACCAGATATAGACATGTTGAGAAATGGTGCTGATTAGCCTTGTCATTTGATTAGCCTCGTCACGGGTAATCAATTGCATTAGGCAATTAAATGCTGAAACATTAGTTTGTTTAACAAGTTTTATGCTATGCTGACTATTTTCGTCTTCCATTCTTGCAGGATATCTCCTGGGTAGTGAAGATTATTATTCCCATGAACGCTGTACATTAATTGACGCTCTGAATGTCACACGATGTGCTCTTGATTTTCGAGATGGCGAAGAAGTTGCAACAGGATATAAAAATATGTATTCAACAAACATATTCACCAAAAGGGCTATAGCCCTCATAACTAACCATCCACCAGAGAAGGTAAGTTTTGCTTCTATTTACTGATAGCAAAATCTTGTTACACTAATGTCTTTTCAGACAAATGTAGGAAAAGGCCATTGTTGTTTAGGGAAAAATCTAATAAATTCTAGGGAAGTCCTTTTCAAATTATACAGTATCCCAGAATCAGCCTGGGAAGCTTGTTAAAAAGGAAGATTCCTGGAGCCCACCTCTAGGGTGTGATTTATTAGGCGTGGGAGAAATCCGTACATCAGCATTTTAGAGAAACTCTTAAAAGGTGATTCTTAAGAGTGGTCCCCAGATCACACTTTGAGGAATACTATGTTGGTAGTATTTCAATAGAAATATAGTTTAAAAATTTTGGTATATTACGTGCATGTGCTGTGAGTAATTAATAAAATGACTTAAAAAATGATTGGCTTAGGTGTAAGGTGAGGCTTTATTATGACAAACTTTTGGTTAAGGGATCCATAAATTTTGGGATCAGGGCAGTTCCTCTAACCTTGTACTTCCTCCCTACAAGAATATTTTGCTATTCTAGATCTTTTGCATTTCCATGTTAATTTTAGAATCATCTAGTCAATTTCTATATGCCAGCTCCCCCCTGCCCAAAGTGTCTGCTTGGATTTATATTTGAAACTATAGAACAACTTGGGGAGAATGGATGTCTTAACAATATTGGGTCTTCTAATCCATATACCTGGTATACCAATGAGCTTATTTTTCACATTTACTATACTGATGCTTTTGTGTAACACATGAATAATCTTATTATTATGATTATTTTGTTAACCTAGAGTTAACTTCATGAGGTAAAGTTTAAGCTAAGTTCTCTGGATTTAGCTTATAAATGCTTTTGAAATGGGAACAAATATTTGTATTGTCAGACACTGGGCTCAAAATATGGCTTCATTAAGAACACCCATAAAAATAATACTTCAGTGGGACCCTGACACAACAAATTATAGAATATGCAGTGCTCCCTGGTTCTTCCAATTTCCTGCACTTTGCCTCTTTGACAATGCCTGAAGGTCCTTGGTGCAGGTCTGTCTTAGTCTGTTTGTGTTGCTATAAAGGAATAGCTGAGGCTGGGTAATTTATAAAGAAAAGAGGTTTATTTGGCTCGTGGTGCTGCAGACTCTACAAGAAGCATGGCACCAGCATTTGCTTCTGGGTAAGGGCTTCAGGAAGCTTCCAGTCATAATGGAAGGTGAAGTTGAGCTGGCGTGTGCAGATCACATGGCAGGAGAGGAGAGAGAGAGAGATGCCAGGCTCTTTCTAACAACCAGCCCTCTCAGGAACTAATACAGTGAGAACTTATAACTGCAAAGATGGCATGAAGCCATTCGTGAGGGATCCACCTCCATGACCCAGACAGCTGCCATTAGGCTCCCACTGGGGATCAAATTTAAACATGAGGTTTGGAGGAGGGTCAAATATCTAAACTATAAGAAGATCACCGTGTGGATTCTGGTTTACATACCTGTTTGGACTTGGTATGTGGCTGCTGGTTCCCCTTCCAGTTTCTGCCTGTTTGAACTCAGTATTGGAAATCTTCCCTGAATGAGTTAAATGCCAGATTGCTGGCATCCTTATTTGACTTCCACAAGCTAAGGTAAAATCTTTCAGAAGACAACTTTACCTCGAACTTCAAATTATATTTACACTATCAAATGTTATACAACTCCTGACATTCATTAAAAAATAATAGAAACCCCGTCTCTACTAAAAATACAAAAAAAATTAGCCGGGTGCAGTGGTGGGTGCCTGTAGTCCAGCTACTCTGGAGGTTGAGGCAGGAGAATGGCGTGAACCCGGGAGGCGGAGCTTGCAGTGAGCCGAGATCGCACCACTACACTCCAGCCTGGGCGACAGAGCAAGACTCCGTCTCAAAAAAAAAAAAAAAAAAAAATCGAGCACATGTAGAAGTGAAAACACAGATAGAGGTGTCTGTCCTCAGCTGCGTCCCACTTTTGGCGATCACTCTCCTATGCTGATATCTTGAAGCAACCATGCTTTCTGTGGAACACGAAGAAATGGGAACATTCTCTCAAATATGTGGAAATACACAGATTTTAAATTTAAATCTAAACAAATATTCAGATAATTGGAAAAATAGTTGCTAGGTAATTGGCTTAAATCCTCAGTTTTCTTCTACATATTTGACATTTTATGGATGCACCTTAACACTTAACAAGGTAAAGTCTTAAGAGAACTGTGTATTATTCTTTGAGGGAGCCACCATTTTACACATAAGCAAACTGGCTTAGAGAAGTTAAGTAACTTGTTCAAGGTCACAGAGCTATTGAGAGTCAGAATCAGAATTTAAACTCATGCTCTCTGACTCCAGACCTCATGTACTTAATCAGCCTCCCTAGTTCACAGCTAATATCCAAGACCAGAGATTCTGAGTCCCAGCTCATGATTCACCTTAATGATTTCAGTCCTGACCATATATTAGAATCATCTGGGAAACTTATAAGAAATACTGATGCCAAATATTGTGATTCATTGGTCTGAGGTGGGACCCAATCATTGGTGTTTCATTATTCCTCCTCCTGGGCTCCTACCAGTGATTCTAATGTGCAGTCATCACTGACACCTGGTGCAGTGACAGCCATTCTCGGATGGGTCATTCAGGGCATTCCTCTCAAATATGGAGAGGCAAGCAGAAGCCAGCTACCTATTACAGGTTCACAATCTGCCATACCTTAATCTGTGCAACAACTGTAATCTGCCCACAATACAAATTCATTCCTACTGAAGAACGATGGAATATTCCCTCACAGGGTTCCATAACATTAAGCAGATAAGAGGAAGCAACTGGAGTGAAATAATAGATCTTTGTGGGTGGGCTCTCTTAACTAGGGTGGTGGGGAAAACACGGAACTGAGGACAATAGGAGGCCCTAAAAGCTTGCTAGCCATGGAAGGAGTGTTATTACCATAGCCGCTGTTCGTAGGTAACTGTTTGGAAATTGCCAGATGAGAGGATGGTCATTTTCCTATTGTGTCTGAAACATGCTATAGCAGTATCCAGCATTCCCAGTATCTTCAAAGGAAAGTTTCAGTCATAGACATAAGTGAATGAAATAATCAATAGTCAAGCTGTAACCCAAGAATGTTTAAGACAGCTAATACATGTTTACATTTTCAATTCTGTATAAAATGATGCAACTCACCAGTTTGAGGAGCTGAGCTTTTCACGATTTTATCCCGATGTTGAATCTAATTCTGGGCTAATTTCTCAGGTACTATATATAGATTGTAGCATAAGGAACTTGTTCTAAGATAAAAATCATTAAAGAAAGCCACATGAAGAATCCACAGGCTAACTTAAAATTGTGCCTATTTTAAAAAGCACTTAAGAGGAAAAAAGCATTTGGAGGCAGTTCATAACTGAAACACAGTTGCTGATGCTGGACTCAGGAAGGTACTGCTAATTACCATTTCACATATGTTAAGAAGGAACCTTCTTTCTCTTTTTCAGCAGGATAATTCCCCATACTAGTGACACTACAGACTGAAAGTAACATATTCATAAAATATCTTTCTTTTAAAAACAGCCCCCCGTCAGCCGGGTGCACTGGCCCACACCTGTAATCCCAGCACTTTGGGAGGCCGAGGCGGGTGGATTGTGAGGTTAGGAGTTTGAGACCACCCTGACCAACATAGTTAAACCCCATCTCTACTAAAAATACAAAAATTAGCCAGGCCTGGTGGCATGCACCTGTAATCCCAGCTAGTCAGGAGGCTGAGGCAGGAGAATCGCTTGAACCCGGGAGGAAGAGTTGCAGTGAGCCAAGCTCGTGCCACTGAACTCCAGCCTGGGTGACAGAGCAAGACTCCATCTCAAGAAAAACAAACAAAAAAACACCCCCATGTCAGCACTTTGCAGAATGGAAGCAAATGTAATGTTATACACCTGATCTACTAGAAGCTTCTTAAAGAAAATGTTAATTTCTAGTGGAAGACTCTTACTTTTCTGTGACACAATTTGGAAAAGAATGTCTTAATTTAGAAGTCAAAGAAAAACAATTTCAAAACCTATCATATGCTTTTTTTTTCATTTATACTTTAAATTAGGAGAATACACTAAAGAAATGAAAATAAGACTTTCTTCCTCACTGAAATAAGTTTTCTTAGCATGGTGAGGATATTTACAGTATATATCTTAGGAACCATGTAGCATAAATAAAGGGAAAAGAACCCCCAATATCTCAAACATGAATATGCTAATAGCTCTAGGTGATAATGTCTTGCTTTTATGTAATACTTAGATATTTAGTAATGATTTCATGCCTAGGATTTCATTTCACATTCCCAAGACACTGGAAAGGGTTACAGGTAGGGTTGGAGCTAAGGCAGTAACTGTGACAGTTGATGAGAACAGGGATCTGGACCTAAGAAAAAGCAGGGGAGAGATCAGGCTCCAGTGATGGCAGCTGCTGGCTTTAGGCTGACAGTGAGCCGAGCTCTGGTTGGCAGGAGTGGGAAAATTGACCACAGCTGTTCACAGGCAGGGTCCTAGGAATAGTGGCTGCAGGTGGGGTCCTCACTGTGATTGGAGAACCTTGGAGTCCTAGTTAATTCATTCCACTAGGCTACCATATAGTATTAAAAACACTACTCTTTCTCTTTTTTCAATTTAAAAATAGTATAGAAATATTTCACATTTACTACTGTTGGGGAATGAGTTATAATATTTCATGAATAAAGTTCACCTTCTGAGTGTTGAAACTTTATTTTTTGTAGTATGGGATGGAAATATCTAAAATGTGCATCAGTCCTGACCTCTTGAAATGGGCTATAGTACCGACATGGACTGGTATAGTTTCTTATTTTTAACCCCTCAAGAGTGTCAACTTAAAATAATCAAAAGGATCAGAATCTAGTTTAAAGAGAGTTTATTCAAGTACAGAGTTTAAGGATGGCCTCTTGGGAAGCACAGATTCCAAAGAATGGAAGTCCGTGTTTCAAAGTGTAGAAGTTTGGGATTTCTTACTGTATTAGTCCATTCTCACGCTGTTATAAAGAACTGCCTGAGTTCCACTGGCCCTCCAGTGAGCTGAGGGTTTTTGCAGGAAAAAAAAAAAAGCTGCCTGAGACTGGGTAATTTATAAAGGAAAGAGGTTTAATTGACTCAGTTCCACATGGCTGGGGAGGCCTCAGGAAACTTACAATGGTGTGGAAGGGGAAGCAAACAAGTCTTTCTTCACGTGGCAGCAGGAGAGAGAAGTGCCAAGCAAAGGGGGAAAAGCGCCTTATAAAACCAGCAGACCTTGTGAGAACTTATTCACTGTCAAGAGAACAGTATGGGGGTAACCACCCCCATGATTCCATTAACTCCCACTGGGTCCCTCCCCTGACACATGGGGATTATGGGAACTACAATTAAAGATGAAATTTGGGTGGGGACACAGCCAAACCATATCACTTACATAGACAAAATTTAGGGGAGCTTAAAAGAATTTCAACATCTTTCTGTACAAGGCTTAATGCATAATTACAATGATCTGATTAGTCAAGGTGGTGGTTTTCTTTTGGGAAAGGTATGTTTAACATTCCACACTGAAGATGTAACAGTCATGGTGTTTTTTGGGTCATCTGGTCTGAGTTAGGTACAGGACAATAAAGGAGGTGGTTAATCTATAACAAAGATCTTCAATAAGAAGGGGAGGAGTCCTGGTCTCTGGTCTTTCCTAGTTATTTACAGAAGAAGAACAATAAGGAAGAGAGTTACTCTATAATCTAAGAAACAGAAGTTGCAAACATGCTACGTGACACAGTCTCCAGGACTTAATTTTCCCCTTGGCATAATTTAGAGGGTCCTGAAAATTTATATTCTTTTATAAAAGTGATGGTAATGTCTTTAGCTACTAAGGAATAATTATAGGAAAGATTTTCAGATTATTTTTCACCATATTTAACAAAGTGAGTAGAATGATTTCTATACTGAATATTTATAAGAACCTTTAATAATGATCCCCAAATCTTTTTTTCCCTGGTCATTGTTCAAGAACTCCCCTGTCCGCCTTCCCAGCCATTGCCTTTAGTAATCAATTGCTGGCTGGGAATCACCTACCCTCTTTCTCCTTTCTCTCCTTCGCCAGGTGGTTGCCATGTTGCTGCTAATGACCTGGATGAGAACATCTTCTCCTTAAGCTGTGGGCCCCCTCTCTCCCCACTGTATCCCCTGCCCCCTGCCACTGTTAAGAGTCCAGATCAGAGTCACAAAATCTCGTGTTTGCAAGGGCCAGGCTGCTAACCTAAAGAAGTGAAGCAGTTTATGTAGAACAGTGGGAAACTAGAAAATTGGATAGCATTTGAGGGGGATGGGGCCCCTGTTTCTCATACTCCAGCCTTTTGTTACCAGATGGAGTGTGGACAAAGAGTAGTCAGAAATTCTGATTTTTCCAAAAAAGTTTTTTTATATAAAAACAGATCGATGTGATATTTCCTGATTTTTTTTAAAACTTTACGTGGGCTGCAAATTGTTGTAGACTTCCGATTTTTAATCCTATCCCCATCTGGACCTTGGCTGGTGGCTGGAGTTGGCTCAGTCTAGTGCTGAAGACCCAGATAGCAGTACCCAGAGCAGACCCATACTGCACTGTCAGGTCAGCGATGCACCTGCACGTTCTTCCCTCCAGACATCGCAGCCAAGACCTTCATCACCCCCAGGCAGGGCATCTGTTGGGATGTCCTGCACCATGGTCTACACGAACATAGACGCTTCAGCATGACCATGCAGCTGGAGTAGAAGGTGTATGTGTGTCGAGTGGAAGCAGAGGCAGAACTGAAATGGTGTCAGAGGTTATAGAATAGACTTTTGGAGTGGGAATTTGGAATGTTTTCCCATGGAAATAATGGAAGTACGGGTTCTACATTATCATCATTTTCACTCCATCAGCTGCGTCCTTAGTTTAATAGGTTTTAAAGCAACGACTTTGACATTTAGCAGCTATTTTTAACTTTGTGAGTTTAGGGAAAACGTATTTCTGAGTTCCAAAGACCTGAACAATAAATAAACTTTTGGGGGGTCTATTTGAGCTCTATGTATGGATACTCCTTTTTGCATTACAAGGATGTGTAATATAAAATTTAAAACAACTTGTCAACAATGAAGAATGAAATATGAGCACCACCCCCCCACCAAAGTCTGTTTCTAACCATTTTCATTCATTTATGAGATTTAAATGCCTCAAATACTTTAACAGAATTATACGTTTATTTTTGGGTTAAACTAGTTGTTGTCTCTTTGAGGCTTTTCAACTCATTAAAGAATTCTGTAGCACTATGAAGAGAATGCCTTCAGAAAGGCTCATTAAAAAGGAGAAGCTGACCTGGTATGCCACTAATGTTAAATGTTGCAAATTGATGTAAGTGGTAAAATAGAATCAGTGTGTCATACTTCTTAGTTTCAGGAATTAAACTGGTCTTATGTTTGGTCCTGCATCAAAGACTAACAAGGCATGGTGTTCACTTTTTTTCTCATAAAATATAGTTTAAAAATACTAAACCTCTTCTAAAAGATGAGGGCTTATTTTCAGCTAAAGCAAAAAGCTAAAGCCTCTATTGGTACACATCCATATCGTAATAGTGGGTTTTCCAATAGGAAATTGCTCTTCGGTTAATGTGGAGTTGGACAAGTCACACATATAACCTTTCTAAGCCTCAGTTAACTCATCTGTAAAATTGCTGTAACATAGGGTGGTTTCATTAAATGAGATAGAATGTGTAAATTATTATCATACTGTCTAGTATGTAGACAACATTTAATATGTGGTTGCCATTACTGATATTATTATTTGTTTGGATTAGGTCCATTGAGGCCGTTCTGGGACTCTGGCTTTTATTTTCAATTTTTTGTCTTGTGTCTTTTGTTATATTTTTTAATATCTTTATTGAAACAAAATTTACATATCATAAAATTCACTCATTTAAAGTATACAGTTCAATAGTAAATTTTCAGTTATGCAACCATACCACAATCTAAGTTTAAAACATGTTCATCATCCCCCCAAAAAAACCTTGTATCTGTTAGCAATCACTCACCATTCCTCTCCCCCACAATTTCCTACAGCCCCAGGCAACCACCCTCTGTCTCTATAGATTTGCCTATATTTCTGGAATTTCATATAAATGAAATTACATAATATGAGGACTTTTACGATTGACTGATTTCACTTAGTATAATGTTTTCAAGGTTTATCTATGTTGTAGTATGTATCAATACTTTATTTCATTTATTGCCATATGTTGCTGAAAATATACCATATTTTGTTTATCCATTCATCAATTGATAGATGTTTGGGTTGTTTCTACTCTTTGGCTATTATGAATAATGTTGCAGTGAATATTCATGGAAGTTTTTGGGTGGATGTATGCTTTGATTTCTCTAGGAATGGAAATGCTGGGTCATATGGTAACTCTATGTTTTACAATTTCAGGAACTGCCAAAATGTTTCTTCAAAGTGGCTATGTGTGCCATTTTACATTCCTGCTAGTAATGAATGACAGTTCCAATTTCTCCATATCCTCACCAATACTTGTTCTTTTCCATTTTTAAATTATCACCATCCTAACAGATGTGAAGTGTTACCTCATTGTGGTTTTAATTTGCATCTTAATAATGACTGATGATGTTGACTGTCTTTACATGTGTTTATTGCCTTTTGTGTATCCTCTTTGGAGAAATTGCTATTCAGATTCTTTGCCCATTTTGTAGTTGAGTTATCATTGAGTTGTAAGGGTTCTTTATATATTCTGGAGATGAGTCCCTTATCATACATGTGATTCACAAATACTTTCAATGCATTCTGTAGGTTGTCTTGATATTATTTTTATTAATGCATAAATCTGAACTGTCTTATCCTTCTATATTTAATGCTTCAATATCCTCTTAACTGGTTTGCACAAACTTTCTTTCCAGCCTCTGTTTCTCTACCTTGCTCTCCAGTCTGTGCATGAGCCCCTTCAGGTCCCTGAGGAATACTTGAAGCCATATGACTTTATCCAAGACAAGAACAGGCATCACTATGCAGGAATGGTGTCCCTTATGGATGAAGCAGTAGGAAATGTCACTGCAGCTTTAAAAAGCAGTGGGCTCTGGAACAACACGGTGTTCATCTTTTCTACAGGTAAGTCTGTCAATAGGAAAATCATCTCTTGGCAAAGCCTAGGACATGGTATTTGATAAGTGGAATGAAGACAAATTGGAGCGGTTAGCATTGCCTTATTAAAATAAATGCAAACTGCAATAGTGGAGACATGGTAATTGTGGATGGAAAGATATATCTAAGGAAAAAGAATGATGGGCTTCCCCCGTTCCCTCAGATATCAAAATATTCTGGGACTGTGGCTTGAAAACACATGTTCACTAACTGAGTAAGTATGAGTGGACATCACTCATATACAGGGCTGCTGGGTAGTGAATCCCTAGAGTGGCTTGTTCCCAGCTCTCTCTACAACCCAGACATCCTCTATGGTCACAACTCCCACCAACTAGAAGGGTCTCTGTATCACTGCAAAGAGACAGATTGTGACATTATGAAGACAAATAATGGAGCCATTTAAATCTATGAAAGTGTCTCCAAGTTTAGATTTTTTTGGTATTAAAATTGTTTTTGGGGCCGGGCGCGGTGGCTCACGCCTGTAATCCCAGCACTTTGGGAGACCGAGGTGGGTGGATCAACTGAGGTCAGGAGTTCGAGACCAGCCTGACCAATATGGTGAAACCTCTTCTCTACTAAAAATGCAAAAATTAGCCGGGCATGGTGGCGAGTGCATGTAGTCCCAGCTACTCGGGAGGCTGAGACAGGAGAACTGCTTGAATCCAGGAGGCAGAGGTTGCAGTGAGCCGAAACTGTGCCACTGCACTCCAGTCTGGGCAACAGAGTGAGACTGTGTCTCAAAAAAAATATTTTTTTTCTGACAGTAAAAGTTATATATGTTATTATAGACAAATTAGAAAAGGGAGAAATAAAACTCATAATCTCAGAGATTACTTTTGAAAATCATTTTCATTATGGCGATGCCATTCTGTTTCCTAATCTGTTACATGTGCAACTTCCCCCTCTCATTAGAGACGGTTTTCTGAAATTTCACTGTGATGTGCTTTGGGTGTAGATCATCATTTATTCATCATGCTGAGTACTCAGAGAGCACTTTCAATCTGAAAATGCAGATCCTTTTGTTATGGGGAATTTTCTTATATGATTTATTTTGGAATTGTGTGGCCCTCCGTCCCACCTTCCCCTATTTTTTCTGTACAGAACTCCTATTATTTGGTCACCAGGTCAGTCCTCTAATTTTTCCTAGTTTTTTTTTTCCCTCTCCTGTTTTCTTTATTTTTCTTCTAGTATTTGGGAAATCTTACTGTTTTGTAAGCTTCCTATTGAATTTATTTTAACTGCCATGTCTGTTAATTACCAGCAACTCTTTTGTGTTTTCTGATAATTCCTTTTTTGTGAAGTTCTGTTTTTAATTTATAGATGTCATAACTTGTTTCCCCAAAGCCTGTGCTCTTAACCATTACTCTTAAATGTGTATTATGTGTGTGTGTATATATATGTATGTATATACTTTTTTTAAAGTTTGCTGATATTGCCAACATTATCTCTCTTCCTTTTGAGTTCTTTTTTTCAGTTTGTTTATATCTTTGTTATAGTCTGTCTTTAATGAGAGTGGTTTGGTTTTCTCAAATCCCTAGAGATTCTTGGCTGAAATCTAACAATTTGATTGGAAACTCCAAGTGCCAGGTCAGGGCTTGTCATCTGGTGAGTTTTACTGTAACATGACCATGTAGGGGTGAGGTGACATGTTGAGGAATTCATTTTGGTATTCTACTCATACTTTTGTGGTTTTGTTTTTTCACGAGTTGTTTTGTTTTGCTTTCAATCAGGCATAGTTATTGAACGTGGCATTTGTTGAGCAGTTACTATGTGTGGGACGCAGTTCTAAGTGTTTCATGCGAATTAGTTCAGTGAATCCTCATGATAATGGATTCTCTGGGAACTATTATTGTCCCATCTTGCAGATGTGAGAACTGAAGCACAAAGGGCATAAGTAACTTGCCCCAGGTCATGCAGCCAGGCAGAGCCTGGCTCCACTACAGTATCCTGCCTCCCAGATGATGATCTCAGTGTTCTCATAGGACCTCATGGTATAGCAGAGCTTTCCATATGGTGTGCTGCAATATTGATCTACTGAGGAGCCTGGGCAGGGCCAGAATAGCATCTACCCTGAGCAGCCTTGTTCACTTGTGTGGGTGCTATCCAAATACTATAATTTTCTAAGTATGTCCTGCTGTGAAAAAGGTTAAAATTTGTTTTTCTCCCAAAACTTACTCTTCAGAAAAAAAAGGTAGACATATTTCAGCCCTTAACAAGATCTCTCAGATTCTGGGAGTCATTCTCAATTTAATTTATTTTGAATATCCTGGCATAGCATTTTGATCAGTGCTGGTTTTGAATGCCTAGAGAAGTCACTAGAAAGAATCAATTAAAAAAAAGATGCTAGGACATGTAACACTGGTGTAGCAAAATTATTCCTGGGAAATGACCTCATTGTTGCAAGAATTGGAAGTCATAAGTTTATAAAACAAGTCTTTGTTCTAGAGATCACAATTAGACAATTTCAGGACAAATGATTTTCTAAAGTGAAAGTATATATGGATTAATGTATTGTACGTGGGCTTAAATGTGCTCAGACAGAAGTGAAGATGCTAGTTCTGGAAGACTGTATTAAATATCTCTAAGTGGCTCTTGTGATAACATTCCCATCAAGAATGCATGGGAGGCTGGGTCTGGTGGCTGACGCTTGTGATCCCAGCACTTTGGGAGGCCGAGGCAGGCAGGTCACTTGAGTTCAGGAGTTCAACACCAGCCTGGGAAACATGGTGAAACCCTGTCTCTACAAAAAATACAAAAATTAGCCAGGTGTGGTGGCATGTGCCTGTAGTCCAAGCTACTGGAGGGGCTGAGGCTGGAGGATTGCTTGAGCCTAGGAGGTTGAGGCTGCAGTGAGCTGAGATTGCGCCACTGTACTCCAGCCTGGGTAACAGAGCGAGACCTTGTTTCAAAAGAAAGAAAGAAAGAAAGAAAGAAGAGTGCATGGGAAGAGGTGGAATACAATTTTTTTCATGATATTTGAGAATGGAAAAATATTTTAAGATAAATATTTCCTTTATTATATGATTGCAAATGTGTATGTATAATTGTACTTTCAAACAGATAGTTGACTATTTCATAAACATCTATATTTATTCAAGCTGGTAGTAGTAACATTTGGAGCTTCTCACTGAGAAAATGAGGATCACCTTAAATAGGATTGTCTTATATTTTGATACTATATTAATAGATATCTTAATCTTGGATCATCTTTGCTTTGTTAGGTTAAATCCAACTTGACCGTGCCTATGTATTTTTATTATACTGATGAATTCAGTTTGCTAGGGTTTCATTTAGGATTTTTGCATCAATTCAGAAGTGGAAGTAGAGTTAGTGGTTTCTTTTTTGTGTCAGGTTTTGTTGTCTTGGTTGTGCTCACTTCATAAAATAATGTGGTTAGTTTTGCCATCTTTTTCTATGCTCTGGAATAGTTTATAGAATGTTGGAAAGATCTTTCTGTTTAGCTGGTCCCTGAAGCCTTTTGTGGAGGCATTTAAAAAATTATTTCCATAGTTTACATTTTTTGCTGAATTATATCTAGGTGTGTGTCTTTAAAATGTTTTGAAATTAATTTTGCCTGAAATATAGTGAGCCCTGAAACTGCATGCTGAGATGATTATTCACTCCAGGAGGCTTTCCTTGTTCCTATTTTAGCTTATTGCTTTTGTTCTACTTGATTTATGTCTCAAAAATATCTTTAATTACTGTGTTGAATCCCTGATTCAGCTTTTCTCTCATCCTTTTCATTTTTTTTGTCCTTTTTCTCAGGCTTTGGAGCTCTTCTGCATTACCAGTTTAGACACTTTTGCAATTTTAATCCTACACCTTAATATCTCCAACATAGATTATTGTTGATTGTATTTTTAGTTTTTTTGCAATGCTGTCTCTGTTTCAATCAGTACCCTTTTCTTCCAAGCTTGTTAGTATAGTATAGTATAGTATTTAGTAGCATTAAACCTCAATGTAACCCTGTGAGATAGTAAATGGTTTCTTGATCCCATTTACCAATGAAGAAATCAAAACTTCTTTTTAAAAAATAAAATAAAAAAATAAAGATAGGGTCTTGCTATGTTGCCCAGACTGGTCTCAAACTCCTGGGCTCAAGTGATCCTCCCACCTCAGACTCCCAAAATGCTAGGATTATCAGTGTGAGCCGCTTAAAGAAATTAAGCGATTAGTCCAAGGCCACACAGCTAACAACTGAAAAAGCCAGAATTCAAACCCAGATCTACTTGAGGTCAAAACCCAATTAACCTAATCAGTTGTCTTTTTGCATCTCATTTTCTTTTCCATTTATTTCATCCCATTGTACTGCATTTCTACGCTTGTGTTCACAGGACCCATCCTTTTCCTGAACCTTTCTGAATAGAACTTTTCTAAAATCTTTATTTTTATAGGAAGTCATTGCCAGCTAGATGCTCTTCCTTGGAGTATAGTGGTGAAGGATCTGCACACACAGAATGTGTGGCCGTCTTGTGGCCTCTGGTCACTGTTTCCTGGTTGATTCCTTCTCAAATCTGCAGCTTGAGGTCAGGTTGATGCATACACCTCACAGAGTTCCTGGTGGCATATAGGCATTAAGTGTTCTACTCTATTGAACCTGACCCACCTAGTTACAGTTTCTTCTTTTTTGGCACTCTAATTCTTTGACAGGCTAAAAGAACCCCAGACTCTTCCTATCTCCACATTTTCAGGGCTTTATTTTTGGGGACATTCCTCAGGATACAGTGTGCCAGCACTGCCAGACCTTCTCTTTTCCTGCCTATTGTCTTCTGGGAGTTGTGATCTCTAAGCACACAGAAGTAGAGGAGGTAATAATTCTCCTCTGCTTAAATTAGTGCCATCCCTTCTCAGGCTGTCTTCCTGCCTCTCTTAATCTAGGTGAAGGGCTCTGTGTCATGAGGCAAAGCAGGGTGGGCCAGTTCTTATTTCCTCAGCCCAGCTTCTCTGGTCTTGTAGTTTCTGGACATGTTTCCAAGATTCTGGCATTATAAGCTGTCTGTCCATCTTGGTTTCTTATGTTGTGATGGGGTTTCATCTTGTTCTGTGTTTGTTGTTTTCGCAGGGTAGTGGTCCAGAGAAGCAGCACTAGTGGCTGTTAGGAAGACACCATTGTATTCTGGATGCTTGTCACCATGGCTGATCTTTGTAGTTGCTAAATTCCAGGAACCTGCACAGGAATCTGACCTGGAGTAAAATGAGTTAAGGTTAGGGACAACTCTTGAGTAACTAGGTCATGAGTTAAGACTAGGAAAACCGATTCTGCAACCCTGAAAACAGTGATTGACCTCAACATCTTAATGCAGCCATTGTGTATTTATATTAACTCTTTTTTTTGTTTGTTTTGTTTTTTTTGAGATGGAGTCTCGCTCTGTCACTCAGGCTGGAGTACAGTAGCATGATCTTGGCTTGCTGCAATCACTGCCTCCCGGGTTCAAGTGATTCTCCTGCCTCAGCCTCCCAAATAGCTGGGATTACAGGCGTGTACCACCATGCCTGGCTAATTTTTGTATTTTTAGGAGAGACAAGGTTTCGCCATGTTGGCCAGACTGGTCTCGAACTCCTGAGCTCAGGCAATCCACCCACCTCAGCCTCTCAGAGTGCTCGGATTACAGTCATGAGCCACCACGCCCAGCCTGTATTAAGCCTTACCAGAATAATTAGTTTTACTTACATTTAGATGAGGGTTTGAATATAAGGAGAAACCTAATTTGCATTTCTTTCTCCAGAGACTTCTGTGTTTATTGACAATTTCATTTCCTGAAGTTGAAATTAATAATGTGCTATAATAATGTAATTATAACCCAAGGACCTGGACTAACTAATCACAGAGCAGTGATTCATTTTTTCCCACTTCTCTCACTTTACTTCACTTAGCCCTGTACTTCTTTATAAGGATAAGAATACTGGTTGCATTCAAATCAATAAATGTTGAGTCCATTAGTACAGAAAACCATGAAAACAATCTAGCTTCCTGGTGTTGGATTATATTTGGTGATCGGTAAAGGCAAAGGCATAATTTTTAGATTTTGATGTTTGATAAAGCTAACTTTTAAAAATTTCTGTTATAATCTGAGAGAAATCCATGATTCATTCCTTGCCACCTCTACCCATCATCTTAGCATAGTTATTCTCAGTGCGCTGTCTGGGGACCACCTGCAGCAGTGGAGCATTTGTTAAAAAT
Source organism: Homo sapiens (assembly GCF_000001405.40). NCBI lineage: Eukaryota > Metazoa > Chordata > Mammalia > Primates > Hominidae > Homo > Homo sapiens. Next base: position 78,949,080 of record NC_000005.10, on the reverse strand, counting down.
GCAATTTTCAAGGTGATGGCTGCACAACATTGTGCCATGTTCTAAATGTCACTGAATTGGATACTTTAAAATGGCTAATTTCATGTAATGTGAATTTCACCACAATCTTAAAAATTCAGTTTCTCAGACTCTATCACAGCCCAGCTGAATTAGAAACCCAGAGGCCCAAAAATCTCCATTTTTAACAAGAATTCAGGTGATTCTTTTGTACACAGAAATTTGAGAACCTCTGAGCTAAGGTAACTCTTATTCAAACTTTAGGAATTTACCTTACAAGGAATGTATGTGGTTATTTAAATTTGACATATATTTATGTTTATACATATATCCTCCTCACTAGGAGGAATATATATATGACAGCTGGAAACCAACTGGGTTTGAAGTTCAGGCGCTCCTAGGTAGTTTTCATTTCAGGTAAATGCACCTATTTCTAGAAATAGACTCTTCAAAAAGCTGACGAGAAAAGTTTAAATTTAATTATTCTGCTTTCCATGTTCTTACTGCATATAAATCACAACCTTAATTGATTCATGCCATTTCTTCTGCAGTGTGTGATTAATACCACTGTTAACAAATATTGTCTTTCTCATTACACACATACTATTCTGGGTTTGTTTTTTTATTTCTATTTTTTATTTTTATGGGTATATAGTAGGTATAAATATATATTTATGGAGTACATGAGATATTTTGATACAGGCACACAATGCATAGTAATCATATCTGGGTAATGGGGATATCTATGCCCTCAAGCATTTATCATTTCTTTGTGTTACCAACATTCCAATTAAACTCTTTTGATTATTTAAAAATGTACAATAAATTATTATTAACTGTAGTCACCCTATTGTGTTATTAAATACTAGCTCTTATTCATTCTATCTAAGTATATTTGTGTACCCATTAACCATACCCACTTCCCCCCTACCCTCACCCCACTACCCTTTCCAGCCTCTAGTAACCATCCTTCTATTCTCTACCTCTATGAGTTCTATTGTTTTAATTTTTAGCTCTTACAAATAAGTGAGAACATGTGATGTTTGTCTTTGTGCTTGGCTTATTTCACTTAATATAATGACCTCCAGTTCCCTCCATGTTGTTGCACGTGGTTGATCTCATTCTTTTATGTGACTGAATAGTACTCCATTGTGTATATGTAGCACATTTTCTTTATCCATGCATCTGTTGATGGACACTTAGGTTGTTTTCAAATCTTGGCTATTGTGAATAGTGCTGCAATAAACATGGCAGTGCAAGTGTATGTTTGATATACTGATATTCTTTCTTTTGGGTATATACTTAGCAGTGGGATTACTGGATCATGTGGTAGTTTTGTTTTTAGTTTCCTGAGGAACCTCCAAACTGTTCTCCATAGTGGCTGTACTAACTCACATTCCCACCAACATTGTACAAAAGTACCCTTTTCTCCACATCCTCGCCAGCATTCATTATTACCTGTCTTTTGGATAAAAGCCATTTTAACTGGGGTGAGAGGATATCTCACTGCAGTTTTGATTGGCATTTCTCTGATAGCCAATCATGTTGAGCACCTTTTCATATACCTGTTTGCCGTTTATATGTCTTCTTTTAAGAAATGTCTATTCAGATCTTTTGCCCATTTTTAATCAGATTATTAGATTTTTTTTCCCCATAGAGTTGTTTGAGTTCCTTATATAGTCTGGTTATTTGTCCCTTGTCAAATGGATAGTTTGCAGATATTTTCTCCCATTCCATGGCTTATCTCTTCACTTTGTTGGTCATTTTCTTTACTGTGCAGGAGCTTTTTAACTCAATGGAATCCTATTTGTCCATTTTTGCTTTGGTTACCTGTGCTTGTGGGATATTACACAAGAAGTCTTTGCCTAGTCCAATGTCCTGGAGAGTTTCCCCAATGTTTTCTATTAGTAGTTGCATAGTTTGTGTTCTTAGACTTAAGTCTTTAATCCATTTTGATTTGATTTTTCTATATGGTGAGAGATAGGGGTCTAGTTTCATTCTTCTGCATATGGATATCCAGTTTTCCCAGCACCATTTATTGAAGAGACTATCCTTTCTCCAGTGTCTGTTCTTGGTACTTTTGTTGAAAATGGGTTCACTGTAGATGTATGGATTTATTTTTGGGTTCTCTATTCTCTTCCTTTTGTCTAGGTGTCTGTTTTTATGCTAGTACCGTGCTGTTTTGGTTACTATAACTCTATAGTATAATTTGAAATCAGGTAATGTGATTCCTACAGTTTTGTTCTTTTTGCTCAGGATAGCTTTGGCTATTCTGGGTCTTTTGTGGTTCCATATAAATTTTAGAATTATTTTTTCTCTTTCTATGAAGAATGTCTTTGGTATTTTGATAGGGATTGCATTGAATCTGTAGATTGCTTTGGGTAGTATGGACGTTTTAACAATATTGATTGTTCCAATCATGAACATGAAATATCTTTCCATTACTTTGTGTCTGCTTCAATTTCCTTCATCAATGTTTTATAGTTTTCATTGTAGAGCCCTTTCACTACTTTGGTTAAGTAGTGATCTACTTACTACTTATTCCTAGGTATCTTATTTTATTGGTAGCTATTGTAAAAGGGATAACTTTCTTGATTTCTTTTTCTGATTGTTCACTGTTGGCACATAGAAATGTTACCGATTTTTATATGTTACTGATTTTTGTATGTTGATTTTGTATCTTGTAACTTTACTGAATTTGCTTATCAGTCCTAATAGTTTTTTTGTGGAGGCTATAGGTTTTTCCAAATGTAAGATCGTATCATCTGCAAACAAGGATAATTTGACTTCTTTCTTTCCAATCTGGATGCCTTTATTTCTTTCTCTTGTCTGATTACTCTAGCTAGCACTTTTTAATTCCAGGTTTTTTAAATCCAAGGATGACACTTCTAATCCTTCTCTGATAGAACATGATCAGAGTTTGAGTCCCAACTTTCCTGCCAATGAGTTATATGTAGAGTCTAGCCTCGGTTTCATTATCTGTTAAACGCAAGTTGATTGACCATTCATTTATTCACTCCGTCTTTCATTGCAGATAAAAAGATAACTGGGACATATTGCTCCCTTAGGAAACTCACACTCTAGTGAAGTAGACAGGTACATGTATTATTATTATGCAGTGGGAATATTAGGATGAAGCCCAGGGTGCTGTCTGCACACAATAAGAGCCACCTCTCAGAGCCCAGGGTGTGGGGAGGCTTTCTGAGATGGAAAGGTTGGGAATGGCTTGGCCAGATAAGCAGAACACAGGTGGGGAGGAGATTGGGCAGCATTCTAGCCTGTGAGAAAGGAACATAAATAAAGACAGGGAGGTTGGGAGAGCAGTCCTGGAGGGGGGTCTGCATTGCTGGAGCCTGGACTGCAAGGTGGAGAGCAGCGAGATGTGAGGCTAGAGAGCATGACCCAGGGGTCCACTCAGAAGGGGCCTGTGCACATGCAGGGAGGAATTGTGAAGGGTCTCATGGTGACAGTGAGGCACTTAAAAGTTTTAAGCAGGATCAGATTTTCACTTTAGAACTGAAATGGAGGGTGATTGGAAGCAGGCCGACCTTTTAGGAGGCTCTGACAATAAAGAGAGGAGAGAAGATAAGGAGCACTTGAGTAAAGGCAGAGGGAAGGTGGATGGAGATAAGAGGACAGATTTAAGAAATACATAGGAGGGGTGGAGCCAAGATGGCCGAATAGGAACAGCTCCAGTCTACAGCTTCCAACATGTGCGACGCAGAAGACGAATGATTTCTGCATTTCCAACTGAGGTACTGGGTTCATCTCACTGGGGATTGTTGGACAGTGGGTGCAGGACAATGGGTGTGGTGCACTGAGCCTGAGGCAAAGCAGGGCGAGGCATCGCCTCACCCGGGAAGCGCAAGGGGTCAGGGAATTCCCTTTCCTACTCAAAGAAAGGGGTGACAGACGGCACCTGGAAAATCGGGTCACTCCCACCCTAATACTGCGCTTTTCCAATGGTCTTAGCAAACGGCACACCAGGAGATTGTATCCCGCGCCTGGCTCAGAGGGTCCTACGCCCATGGAGCCTCGCTCATTGCTAGTACAGCAGTCTGAGATCAAACTGCAAGGTGGCAGCGAGGATGGGGGAGGGGCGCCCACCATTGCCAAGGCTTGAGTAGGTAAACAAAGTGGCCGGGAAGCTCGAACTGGGTAGAGCCCACCGCAGCTCAAGGAGGCCTGTCTGCCTCTGTAGACTCCACCTCTGGGGGCAGGGCATAGCTGAACAAAAGGCAGCAGAAACCTCTGCAGACTTAAATGTCCCTGTCTAACAGCTTTGAAGAGAGTAGTGGTTCTCCCAGCACGCAGCTTGAGATCTGAGAACGGACAGACTGCCTCCTCAAGTGGGTCCCTGACCCCCGAGTAGCCTAACAGGGAGGCACCCCCTTGTAGGGGCAGACTGACATCTCACATGGCCGGGTAACCCTCTGAGACAAAACTTCCAGAGGAATGATCATGCAGCAACATTTGCTGTTCACCAATATCCGCTGTTCTGCAGCCTCCACTGCTGATACCCAGGCAAACAGGGTCTGGAGTGGACCTCCAGCAAACTCCAACAGACCTGCAGCTGACGGTCCTGACTGTTAGAAGGAAAACTAACAAACAGAAAGGACATCCACACCAAAACCCCATCTGTAAATCACCATCATCAAAGACCAAAGGTAAATAAAACCACAAAGATGGGGAAAAAACAGAGCAGAAAAACTGAAAATTCTAAAAATCAGAGTGCCTCTCCTCCTCCAAAGGAATGCAGCTCCTCACCAGCAACGGAACAAAGCTGGATGGAGAATGAGTTTGATGAGTTGAGAGAAGAAGGCTTCAGACGATCAAACTTCTCCGAGCTAAAGGAGGAAGTTCGAACCCATGGCAAGGAAGTTAAAAACCTTGAAAAAAGATTAGATGAATGGCTAACTAGAATAACCAATGCAGAGAAGTCCTTAAAGGACCTGATGGAGCTGAAAACCACGGCACGAGAACTACGTGACGAATGCACAAGACTCAGTAGCCGATTTGATCAACTGGAAGAAAGGGTATCAGTGATTCAAGATCAAATGAATGTAATGAAGTGAGAAGAGAAGTTTAGAGAAAAAAGAATAAAAAGAAACGAACAAAGCCTCCATGAAATATGGGACTATGTGAAAAGACCAAATCTACATCTGATTGGTGTACCTGAAAGTGACAGGGAGAATGGAACCAAGTTGGAAAACACTCTGCAGGATACTATCCAGGAGAACTTCCCCAGTCTAGCAAGGCAGGCCAACATTCAGATTCAGGAAATACAGAGAATGCCACAAAGATACTCCTTGAGAAGAGCAACTCCAAGACACATAATTGTCAGATTCACCAAAGTTGAAATGAAGGAAAAAATGTTAACGGCAGCCAGAGAGAAAGGTCAGGTTACCCACAAAGGGAAGCCCATCAGACTAACAGTCGGTCTCTCGGCAGAAACTCTACAAGCCAGAAGACAGTGGGGGCCAATATTCAACATTCTTAAAGAAAAGAATTTTCAACCTAGACTTTCATATCCAGCCAAACTAAGCTTCATAAGTGAAGGAGAAATAAAATACTTTACAGACAAGCAAATGCTGAGAGATTTTGTCACCACCAGTCCTGCCCTGCAAGAGCTCCTGAAGGAAGCACTAAACATGGAAAGGAACAACTGATACCAGCCACTGCAAAAACATGCCAAATTGTAAAGACCATCGAGGCTAGGAAGAAACTACATCAACTAACGAGCAAAATAACCAGCTAACATCATGACAGGATCAAATTCACACATAACAATATGAACCTTAAATGTAAATGGGCTAAATGCTCCAATTAAAAGACACAGACTGGCAAATTGGATAAAGAGTCAAGACCCATCAGTATGCTGTATTCAGGAGATGCATCTCACGTGCAAAGACACACATAGGCTCAAAATAAAGGGATGGAGGAAGATCTACCAAGCAAATGAAAAACAAAAAAAGGCAGGGATTGCAATCCTAGTCTCTGATAAAACAGACTTTAAACCAACAAAGATCAAAGGAGACAAAGAAGGCCATTACATAATGGTAAAGGGATCAATTCAACAAGAAGAGCTAACTCTCCTAAATATATATGCACCCAATACAGGAGCACCCAGATTCATAAAGCAAGTCCTTAGAGACCTACAAAGAGACTTAGACTCCCACACAATAATAATGGGAGACATTAACACCCCACTGTTAACATTAGACAGATCAATGAGACAGAAAGTTAACAAGGATATCCAGGAATTGAACTCAGCTCTGCACCAAGCGGACCTAATAGACATCTACAGAACTCTCCACCCCAAATCAACAGAATATACATTCTTTTCAGCACCACACCACACCTATTCCAAAATTGACCACATAGTTGGAAGTAAAGCACTCAGCAAATGTAAAAGAACAGAAATTATAGCAAACTGTCTCTCAGACCACAGTGCAATCAAACTAGAACTCAGGATTAAGAAACTCACTCAAAACCATTCAACTACATGGAAACCGAACAACCCGCTCCTGAGTGACTACTGGGTACATAATGAAATGAAGGCAGAAATAAAGATGTTCTTTGAAACCAATGAGAAAAAAGATACAACATACCAGAATCTCTGGGACACATTCAAAGCAGTGTGTAGAGGGAAATTTGTAGCACTAAATGCCCACGAGAGAAAGCAGGAAAGGTCTACAATTGACACCCTAACATCACAATTAAAAGAACTAGAGAAGCAAGAGCAAACCCATTCAAAAGCTAGCAGAAGGCAAGGAATAACTAAGATCAGAGCAGAACTGAAGGAGATAGAGACACAAAAAACCCTTCAAAATATCAATGAATCCAGGAGCTGGTTTTTTGAAAAGATCAACAAAATTGATAGACCGCTAGCAAGACTAATAAAGAAGAAAAGAGAGAAGAATCAAATAGATGCAATAAAAAATGATAAAGGGGATATCACCACTGATCCCACAGAAATACAAACTACCATCAGAGAATACTACAAACACCTCTACGCAAACAAACTAGAAAATCTAGAAGAAACGGATAAATTACTGGATACATACACCCTCCCAAGACTAAACCAGGAAGAAGTTGAATCTCTGAATAGACCAATAACAGGCTCTGAAATTGTGACAATAATCAATAGCTTACCAAACAAAAAGAGTCCAGGACCAGATGGATTCACAACCGAATTCTACCAGAGGTACAAGGAGGAACTGGTACCATTCCTTCTGAAACTATTCCAATCAATAGAAAAAGAGGGAATCCTCCCTAACTCATTTTATGAGTCCAGCATCATCCTGATACCAAAGCCAGGCAGAGACACAACCAAAAAAGAGAATTTTAGACCAATATCCTTGATGAACATTGATGCAAAAATCCTCAATAAAATACTGGCAAACCAAATCCAGCAGCACATCAAAAAGCTTATCCACCATGATCAAGTGGGCTTCATCCCTGGGATGCAAGGCTGGTTCAATATATGCAAATCAATAAAGGTAATCCAGCATATAAAGAGAACCAAAGACAAAAACCACATGATTATCTCAATAGATGCAGAAAAGGCCTTTGACAAAATTCAACAACCCTTCATGCTAAAAACTCTCAATAAATTAGATATTGATGGGACGTATCTCAAAAGAATAAGAGCTATCTATGACAAACCCACAGCCAATATACTGAATGGGCAGAAACTGAAAGCATTCCCTTTGAAAACTGGCACAAGACAGGGATGCCCTCTCTCACCACTCCTATTCAACATAGTGTTGGAAGTTCTGGCCAGGGCAATTAGGCAGGAGAAGGAAATAAAGGGCATTCAATTAGGAAAAGAGGAAGTCAAATTGTCCCTGTTTGCAGATGACATGATTGTATATCTAGAAAACCCCATCGTCTCAGCCCCAAATCTCCTTAAGCTGATAAGCAACTTCAGCAAAGTCTCAGGATACAAAATCAATATACAAAAATCACAAGCATTCTTATACACCAATAACAGACAAACAGAGAGCCAAATCATGAGTGAACTCCCATTCACAATTGCTTCAAAGAGAATAAAATACCTAGGAATCCAACTTACAAGGGATGTGAAGGACCTCTTCAAGGAGAACTACAAACCACTGCTCAATGAAATAAAAGAGGATACCAACAAATGGAAGAACATTCCATGCTCATGGGTAGGAAGAATCAATATTGTGAAAATGGCCATACTGCCCAAGGTAATTTATAGATTCAATGCCATCCCCATCAAGCTACCAATGACTTTCTTCACAGAACTGGAAAAAACTACTTTAAAGTTCATATGGAACCAAAATGAGCCCGCATTGCCAAGTCAATCCTAAGCCAAAAGAACAAAGCTGGAGGCATCACACTACCTGACTTCAAACTATGCTACAAGGCTACAGTGACTGAAACAGCATGGTACTGGTACCAAAACAGAGATATAGACCAATGGAACAGAACAGAGCCCTCAGAAATAATGCCACATATCTTTAACTATCTGATCTTTGACAAACCTGACAGAAACAAGAAATGGGGAAAGGATTCCCTATTTAATAAATGGTGCTGGGAAAGCTGGCTAGCCATATGTAGAAAGCTGAAACTGGATCCTTTCCTTACACCTTATACAAAAATTATTTCAAGATGGATTAAAGACTTAAATGTTAGACCTAAAACCATAAGAACCCTAGAAGAAAAAAACGTAGGCAATACCATTCAGGACATAGGCATGGGCAAGGACTTCATGTCTAAAACACCAAAAGCAATGGCAGCAAAAGCCAAAATAGACAAATGGGATCTAATTAAACTAAAGAGCTTCTGCACAGCAAAAGAAACTACCATCAGAGTGAACAGGCAACCTTCAGAATGGTAGAAAATTTTTGCAATCTACTCATCTGACAAAGGGCTAATATCCAGAATCTACAATGAACTCAAACAAATTTACAAGAAAAAACAAACAACCCCATCAAAAAGTGGGCGAAGGATATGAACAGACACTTCTCAAAAGAAGACATTTATGCAGCCAAAAGACACATGAAAAAATGCTCATCATTACTGGCCATCAGAGAAATGCAAAACAAAATCACAATGAGATACCATCTCACACCAGTTAGAATGGCAATCATTAGAAAGTCAGGAAACAACAGGTGCTGGAGAGGATGTGGAGAAATAGGAACACTTTTACACTGTTGGTGGGACTATAAACTAGTTCAACCATTGTGGAAGTCAGTGTGGCGATTCCTCAGGGATCTAGAACTAGAAATACCATTTGACCCAGCCATCCCATTACTGGGTATATACCCAAAGGATTATAAATCATGCTGCTATAAAGACACATGCACATGTATGTTTATTGCGGCACTATTCACAATAGCAAAGACTTGGAACCAACCCAAATGTCCACCAATGATAGACTGGATTAAGAAAATGTGGCACATACACACCATGGAATACTTGCAGCCATAAAAAATGATGAGTTCATGTCCTTTATAGGGACACGGATGAAGCTGGAAACCATCATTTTCAGCAATCTATCGCAAAGAGAAAAAACCAAACACCACATGTTCTCACTCATAGGTGGGAATTGAACAATGAGAAAACATGGACACAGGAAGGGAAACATCACACACCGGGGCCTGTTGTGGGGTCGGGGGAAGGGGTGAGGGATAGCATTAGGAGATATACCTAATGCTAAATGATGAGTTAATGGGTGCAGCACACCAACATGGCACATGTATACATATGTAACAAACCTGCACGTTATGCACATGTACCCTAGAACTTAAAGTATTAAAAAAAAAAAAAGAAATACATAGGAGAGCTTGGACCACTTGATGTTGAGAGCTCTTTTTACTAGGAAAGCTGATGGTTTTGTAATTCTGCCAGTTTTCAGGATGTTGTCAGTGCTAATGAAAGCCTTTCATGTTCTCCCCATGGCATGGATACATCTGCAAAGAGCTGGAAAGAGTGAAGCCCATGGCCAGAGTACCCACATAATCCACATAGCAGTAGTGCATCAGAGTGCATAGATTCATAGTACACATGAGACGGAGAGCAGAAGTGGTTTGGTTGTCACAGTGACTTGAGGGTGAAGTTTCCATTTAGTGAACAGGCATCTGCAGTGCTCAGGCCAGTCCTGCAGTGAAGTGTCCTGCCTCAGATGTCAGTAGCACAACCATTAAGGGACAGTGACCGGATCCTGTTCAATAACACATTTCTACTTAGACAAATAGAGCAATTTATTGCAGAGTCTAAACTTTTAGCACTTATTATCTGAGCTTTCACAATATTACATGTGATTTAATACTCAAATGGAGTTAATAATCTTAACTAATTCCTCTAAATCTTACGTCCCTTTTCCCCTTACATATAAGAATTTCCTTCAAAACTGGTAGTTGGCAAAGAGAGAGCTCATTCAAGGTTTTAAATATACTTATGCAATTGGCAGACTTATAAAATATTATAGAAATTCTGTGCCAGGAACAAAGTTATATGTGCTAGGAAACCAATCTCACTGGGTTCTTCAGACACTTAAATGAATTTCTGACAAAGCTAAGGAAAAGCTGTTATGTGAATAAATCAGTGAGTGTGTCCACATTCTATTACTCTTTGCAATTATGCATTTATTTGGCGCGTCTATCATAGAGGAAAATTACAACCCATGCCTCAGAATAATGAGACTTGAATGAACTTTTCCATAGCCAGTCATTAATTCATGCCACCTCTTTAGATTTCACCTGTTAATGTCCACACTGAGAGCATGTTGGATCACTTTAAAATTTTATTAGTAATAGGTACTAATTTGTTGATTATTTTATTGAGTGAAAATAATAACCAATACATTTTACTGAACAGCCATGCTGATTTGGTGTCCCTGGCTGAGTTACAAAGCAGAGGTTCCAGGGCTGGGGATGGTAGTCCCACCTCCCCTCTTTGTCTCTGGCTGTTCTCAGGGATGTGTTGCCCTTTGGGTACTCGTGTTGCTTCCCATGGGTTAAAGCATGGGCAGGCCTCCTGCCAGGGAACCCAGGATGGTGGGGAAGCTGGTTGTTTACCTCCATCTCACTTTTTCCAGTGTAGAAACCATGAGTTGGGCCACAGTGGGTGGGGGGTGTAGCAGATATGGACATTTGATTCTTTTACCATCTCCTCAGAGTTTTTCACTTCTCTGTGACCCTGGAAATGGAATCATCCTCATGTTTGAGTTCTGCGATGTTGCTGGTGATAATCTTGGCACCTTATATTTGTTTTGGTTTTCTGTGGAGAGGAGTGAACCTAGATTGTGTCTGTGTTATCATTTTGGAACTAGAAGTTCCGAAATCAATAACCAATACATTTTAAAACCACCCCCACCCCGCACCAAAGGGTCTTGCATTTGTATTCTCTGTGTCAAACCATTGAATTCATAATCCCAGAGTCGAAGGAAAAAATGCCTCTCAATCTCTATGTTTATCAGATCTTCAATGTTTTATTATAGTACTTAATATATACTATGCTATAATGTCTTATTGTTGATATTATGAACTTTTAGCAGGAGAAACATGAAGTAGTCATGATTTTCACAATTCTGTGAGAAGAGAGCACTGTGGCCTTTCTATGAGTTTATAATTAATGAATATATATATTCATTATATATATAAGATATATATATCATATATATGATATATATATCTTACATATATATATCTTACATATATATGATATATATATCTTACATATATATATCTTACATATATATGATATATATATCTTACATATATATATCTTACATATATATGATATATATATCTTACATATATATATCTTACATATATATGTAAGATATATATATATCGAACTTCCTTGAACTGAGCATATTTATTGACTAAATTGCAAGAAACTTTCCAATTTGTTTGGGTTTACTTTAATCTCATCTTTTGCACTCCATTTTGAAGGTCACATTTAAGATGAATCCGTTTCTTATATTTTATGCTCCTCTCAGAACTCACTGGAGCCAAAATTCTCTGTGAGGCAAGAGCTATGTTATGTTGGACAGGCTGCACTGGAGGATGAAGCAAAATGAAAAGTAGATTCTATGTAGAAATAATCACCTGGAAACTACAGTGACAGCAAGAAGAAGGAGCTGAAATAAATTCAGGTTGTCACAAGCTGCTAAAAAAATGCATTTACTTACATTGCTTCTTATCTGGTACCCATATCTGCTGTCTCCTACAGTCGTCTAGCCAAATATTTAAAGATATAGAATCTACAAAGACAAACTAATTATTAATGTGTCTGTGAACTCTGCAAACAAACATTATTGAATGCATTACTGTTAGGACTCCTATTTGGACAAGTAGCTAGGTGAGCCCTGTCTAAGCATAAAGACCTATGCAGGGCTTATCAAACTTCAAGACTCTGCTGACTAGAGATGCAAAATAAAATCATGAGGGAATTAGCAGGCACCAGTGAGACCTGCAGGCTTTGAGAAATCTCTTGAGGTAAGTGAGAAAGACAGCTTCCTATGTGAGCAGAGGTTCATTTATTTTGATTCAAGTTAAGGGTTAAGGGCAACTTGACATTTTGTATTACACCTATCCCTTCCCCACCCCTCTTTTTTTTTTTTTCTTAGGAGTTGTAAGGATCTTACAAGATCATCTGATCTTAGAAAGAAATAAAGACCCTGGCCAGGCACAGTGGCTCGCACCTGTAATCCCAGCACTTTGGGAGGCAGAGGCAGGCAGATCACTTGAGGTCAGGAGTTCGAGACCAGCCTGGCCAACATGGCAAAACCTTATGTCTACTAAAAATACAAAAATAACCCAGCATGATGCCTTGTGCCTGCAATTCCAGCTACTTGGGAGGTTGAGGCAGGAGAATCGCTTGAACCCGGGAGGCGGAGGTTGCAGTGAGCTGAGATAGCGCCACTGCACTCCAGCCTGGGCAATAGAGTGAGAATCCACCAAAAAAAAAAAAAAAGAGAGAGAGAGAGGAAGGGATGGAGGGAAAGAGAGAGAGGCGGGGAGGAAGGGAAAGAGAGGGAGGGAGGGAGGGAAAGAGAGAGGGAGGGAGGTGGGGGGGGAGAGACAGAGAGAAAGACAGAAAGAAAAGAAAGGAGGAAAGAAAAGGAAGGAAGGAAGGGAAGGAGAGAAGGGGGGAGGGGAGGGGAGGGGAGTGGAGGAGAGGGGAGGAGAGAGAACGAAAAATACCCAGAGAGGGACGTTGGGACTTTTGTAAATACTCAGGAGGCAGATGGCCTGAGTCCAACACTCACTGATGCCTATGCAATCTTGGGTAAGATACTTAAACTTCCAGTGCCTTATTTTCTTCATCAGCAAAGTGTGGATAAAAATTATAACTACCCGATAGTACTGATGAGATTGCAGCACTTCCTGACACATACTGAGTGCTTTATTGTTATTAGGTTGTGTGATATAATAATAGCTAAGTGGCTAGAGATTAAACCATTTCTAGCCTTTGGTCTCCGGTTTGCTTTTTATTTGTTTTTATGGCTTCTGTTTCCTCTTGTTACTCTCATCAGGCTATTTGCTACTACCTATGCTTATTATTCATTCATTCATTCACTTGTTCACTCATCAGCGGCACACCTGCCACGGGCCAAGCTCTCTGCTAGGCCCTGGGAAACAGTAGGGAATGAGGCTGACTATGCACAGGACGAAGTGGCTTATTTCCTAATTCAATAGTCTGTTAATGAGCATCAGGAATGTCAAGAATCCTCCTTCTTCTACTGAAGATGGTTAGCAGCCTGTAACAATTATTATGACACATTTTTCATTTATATTTTAGCTTCTGAAAATCATGAGGAATTATTTTTTAAAGCAGTCTTTGATTTTGATTACTGAGAATACAATATGTTTTGAGAACCTCATTATTTCCTCTGATACTTTCTTCTTTTCTTCATATTTCTTATATTCTTTATGTTTAAATTGAAGGTGATTTATTATGCAAGCTATTGGATATGATTTTGGAGTTTTTTGTACCATTAATTATTGAGGGAGCAAAGTTGAAATTCTGCTTTTAATTCATCTCCTTTTTTTGAAAAATGTATGACTTAAAAATGAAATTAAATAATCAAAAATTAAATGTGATGCTTAAAGGTCATTTTGTTTAAAGTGATGAATGCTAGTTTACCATATACTACTAGAAAAATCAAAATTATATAATCTATTTGCCATGTATTATTATTTAATTTTAATAAATATTTATGGTTTCATAAATATACAAGGTTCTTCCTAAAGTTATCTATCTACCACATTTTCTCATTTATTTATTTATTTTTATTTTTTATTTTGGAGACAGAATCTCGCTCTGTCACCCAGGCCGTAGTGCAGTGGCGTGATCTCAGCTCATTGCAACCTCTGCCTTCCCAGTTCAAGTAATTCTCCTGCCTCAGCCTCCACCTCACAAGTAGCTGGGATTACAGGTGCCCACCATCACGCCTGCCAAATTTTTGTATTTTTAGTAGAGACAGGGTTTCACCATGTTGGCCAGGCTGGTCTCAAACTCCTAGCCTCAGGCAATCCACCTGCCTTGGCCTTCCAAAGTAACATTTTCTCTTTCATTAACTATTCATTCATTTTCCTATTTTTTAACTCTGAAAGTTCTTAAGTATATATATTATTATAATATCAGCAATCATATTTATAACAAAATATTAACCATTAATGATTGTAGTATTTTATTTTTATTATACTAAACAGCTATACTTTGATTAAAATTGTAACATATATAGTAAAGGACATAGGAGGTTTTTTGCTCCAAATGACATCCAGAATGCTTATCTATATTTGAAAGAGACTATTCAGATATTAATACTAACACCAAATAATGTGCCTTGTTTTACTGTGATGTAGCTACACTGATTATCTGTGCTGGTAAACTGTACCTCACCATTATTGATGTTCCAGGATGCCAGAAATGGCATTAAAGTAAGCATTGGGCTATTTGGTCTTCTAGGGCTAATGCAGAGACCATTTGGGTTTTTTGGGAGAACTCAACTCCCTGTGGTCCTATGACCAAGACCCTCATTGTCTGGCTGTCAGCTTAAGGCTCATTCTAGCTTCTGGAGGCTTCCCCTTATTCTTTGACTTTCTCCTTCCACCTTCAGAGCCTTTAACAGTGGGTTGAGTCCTCCTCATGTTTTGAATCTCTCCTCCTTTTTCTTCTCTCTCGTCACTCTAGTCTATTCTTCCTTCTTTAACTTTTAGAGCTCATAACCTATGCCCTCTCCAATAATCCAGGATAATCTCCCTATATTTAGGTCAGCTAGTTAGCAACTTCAATTCCATGGCAACTTTAACTCCCCGTTGCCATGTAAGGTAACATATTCACAGGTTCTGAGGTTAGGACATCTTTGGGGACCATAATTCCATGCAGTCACTTTGGAATGATTGAAATTTTTTAGTATTCTTTCTGATCACCTCCCATCCTCTACTAGTTCTTTTCCTAGGAGAAACATTCACCACACATGCA
Organism: Homo sapiens; assembly: GCF_000001405.40. Taxonomy (NCBI): domain Eukaryota; kingdom Metazoa; phylum Chordata; class Mammalia; order Primates; family Hominidae; genus Homo; species Homo sapiens. The sequence continues at coordinate 78,933,615 of NC_000005.10, read as the reverse complement.
AATGCTCGTCCTAATACTTGTGTGATAGTCCCAGTGTCCCCATCCACAAGGCAGCTCAGCAGACTTCTCTGAAAAACAGACAATAGCGACTCTATCGCCATTGACCTCCACAAAAAAAAGTAATTGTTGTGGGCCTGGGAATAATTGTTTAAAATATTGTGACTTGTGAGTGACTGTGAAGATAAGAACAACTTTGGGCAAATAGATGCTTTTAACAGCATCACACCTCAGAGCCTTTGAAACTTGAGCGGGAGCTGGCTCTAGTTTTCTTGGGGATCCATGGACTGATTTCTTCTACTTAGGGATTTTGTTGTAAATCCAGAAAAATACGTAGGAAGCTGTAAACGATTATAAAAATTCAGGCCCATTCTTCAATCCATGGGTATATATTTGACACCTTGGGAACTTGCATTAATACTTTTTCGGTAAAATAAAAACCTCAACTCACCTTCATTTATTGAGCATCTTCTGTGTGATGAGCAGTGTCACCTCTGTGTTTACGCACATATAAAAGTTCCAGGTTCTGCTTTCAAGAGTTTACATTCTTATATGAGCAGTAAGGCTAGCTATCCAACCCACTTGCTAATAGTGTAAGACTTTATACAACTAATTTCTAAATGGTGTGACATTGACAATGACAGTAAGTGCTGTTTCGTAGTAGGGAGGGGAAATATGAGTGGAGTTGTGTGAGAAGACTTCACAGAGGAGCTGGGGCTTGAGCTGTTGGCGGAAGGATGCTAGAGTTTGAATAGGCAGAGAGAGAGAGAATGGTCCATTCCAGATGCCTCCATGGAGAAAATAATGGAGAATGATTATGACAGTAACAACCAAAAATTTATGAGTACTTCCTGTAACCTAGTTGTTGTGCCAAGCACTTTACATGTATCTACCCATTTAATAGGTACTACTATTATCCCCAATTTCTAGATGAAGAAGTAGGTGCTTAGAGAGTAATATAACTCATTCAAAGCATAGCACTTCCTAAGTGGAGGAATGGAGTCAAACTCAGGCCTGTCTGATTTCAGAGCTCAAGCTTATAATCACTGTGTCAGTAGGCTGTGATCCAGGTCAGCTTAGAGTATGGGAGCCATGCAGAGAAATCCTGGATAATTGAAGTTCTAGAAAGATAGAGCTGGAAAGGGTTTTAGAGACAATCCCCACACAATGTTTTCATTTTAAAAACAGAGACCCAGAGAGGCTAAGTGCAACCACTTATGTTAGAATGGAGACTTAGCCTTGTCTCTTACACTTGTCCTCTTACCACAGTTAGGTGAGTCCATCTGATAATGATGCAGAAAGGTTAGCGTTGCCTTGATGACTGTCAGAAGGCAGCTATAGGCTGCCTCAGTCACATGGGAGGTAAAGCGGTATCTGACATAATACCCCTGGGAATGGATTCCACCATGGGAGAATGTAGTTCACTGAATTCCAACTAAAACAAAGAGCTATTAGACTGCTCGTGACTTTTTGGCTGAAGTATGCCTTTTTGATACATATGCAGCCATCTTTTGGAATTGGGTGAAAATCAGTGTATTAGTCCATTCTCACACTGCTATAAAGAAATACCTGAGCTGGGTAATTTATAAAGGAAAGAGGTTTAAGAGCCAGTTCCACATGGCTGGGGAGGCCTCAGGAAACTTACAATCACGGCGGAAGGGAAAGCAAGCACATCTTACATGGTGGCAGGAGAGAGAGAGAAAGTGAAGGGGGAAGAGCCCTTTATAAAACCATCAGCTCTTGTGAGAACTTACTCACTATCATGTGAACAGCATGGGAGAACCAGCCCCCATGATCCAGTCACCTCCCACCAGGTCCCTTCTTCAACACCTGGGGATTACAATTCGAGATGAGATTTGGGTGGGGACACAGCCAAACCATACCAATCAGCATAGGACAAACTATATTTGCCAAAGAATAATGAAATTTTGTAGAGTCATGTTTTCATATCACTTCATGTGAAAACATGACTCTCTACAAAATTTCATATTCTTTTCTAGCTTGCATTCTACCCAGAAACCAGTGGTAAAAATGGGCTGATTGTGTTTTTTATCTTTCTCAAGTTCTCCTCCCCTTCCAGTAGAAATATTAATGAGCAGTGAAATGGCCAGAGACAGGCAGCTGGAGGAAGATGGGGGCACTAAGTGAGGAATATGCATTCATGAATGAGCGGAAAATAGATGCTGGTGCTTTTGGTCTGGAATCTTTTTAACATTGTCATTAGTAATAGATTCAAGATAGACATTTAGGTTTCAAAGGGGGCACCAGTATTATCAGTTGAAAAAACAAAAGTGATGCATTGTTTATACTCATCTCTTCTAGAATGTAAAAATGAGGATTTACCCTGTAGTAATATTTCTAAGAAAAAAAATGAAAGTTGGTTAGATTTTAGCTACTAAAGAACCAAAACAGACTAATACTTTCCCATTTTACTCTCCTTGTGTGGGGTTCTCCTTGAGGGCAGTGGTAACTGCTGCACATATGTGTGCAATATATTTGTATCAAGGCATTCGCTCCAGAAAACGAGAGAGAGATTTCCCGGGCTAGCCTTTGTTGGCATTCTGTCCCAGATTCCTCTCCGCTTTGGGGTTATACAAAGATTACTGTGGTTCTCTGACTTGATTTGAAGCTCTGGCTTAGTCAGCTGAGGAAAGACTACAGTCGCCTTCCTCCCCAGGAGTTTATCAGAGACTTGCTCTTCCGTGGAGGGCCTGGGAACGCAGTGCCTAAGCTCTTGGTGGGGGACCACCCCGCTGTGCTTGGCTTCAAACAGGCTGCTGTCCATTGCTTTCAGAAGCATGAGATTGCCCCATCAGGCTTAAAAACAATAATAAAAATATATTTGAAAAAAATCCCCAGTCGCTTCTCTTGCTGTCTTTGGCAGTTAGGTACAAAGCATCAACAAAATGTTGTATACAGAAATTCTGCCTTCCAGGCTTGTTCCTTTCTTACAGAACAATCCTTAACCTTGTAGGACTCTTTTTTCATGTTTTCTTAATGAGAAAATATTTCAGAGATTATTGGCACCACAGGTTTATTCCTTTCCAGTGGTTTACACTCTTAACTGACTGTAATCTTTATGATCTTTTTTTGTATTTTTCTTTCACAGTATGGGCCATATCTAATCAGCCTCTCCTACCGTGACTATTCAAAGAAAAGGATCTTTTTTTCTTTTTCTTTTTCTTTTGTTTCCATCTCAGAACACTTTCTTGTCAATATCTTCTTTTTAAAAAATGAGGATTGTTGTAACAAATTTAGCAAACATTAAGAATGACATCCATTGCCGTGGAAGCTACCAAAAAAGTTATATACCTGTCCTCAAAATAGCCTGTGATCTGGTGAACTATTCAGATACATGCAAATTAGTCAAAATATAAAAGAAATAGAGGTGGGGAACAAAGGGAGTGCTGTGTTTGCGCTGACAGTGCTGGCCGTAGGTTGCCATTTTAAACTCCCACTTTGGTGTCCCCTTTTGTTTGAAGGTCCCTCTGGAGTCCAGAGGTAATAGAGCAGGCTGAGTAGTGGGGCCTAAGGAAAACTCAGGGCTGCAAATAACCCTGTGTACAGTGCATTCAGATCACATCTGTGAGTCGCTGGAGGGAGTGGCCTGACCGGTTGGTGTCTATGGTGGGTTGTGATCATCAGGCTGGTCCCAGGTGAGGTCACCTGACCACTCATTATTTTCTTTTTGGTAACAGAAATTAGTCAGTTAACAAGCATAACTTTAACAAGCATAACTCTACTTGTTATTTAAGACAATGTACTGTCCTGAGGAGTTCTGAAGATCAGTAAGATACAGTCTCCCTCTTTTTTTTTTTTTTTTTTTGAGACAGAGTCTTGCTTTGTCACCCAGGCTGGAGTGCAGTGGCGCGATCTCGGCTGACTGCAATCTCAGCCCCCAGGGTTCTAGTGACTCTCCTGCCTCAGCCTCTCTAGTAGCTGGGATTACAGGCACCCACCACCACACTGGGCAAATTTTTTTGTATTTTTAGTAGAAACGGGGTTTTGCTATGTGGGCCAGGCTGTTTTCTAACTCCTGTCCTCAGGAGAACCACCTGTCTCGGCCTCCCAAAGTGCTAGGATTACAGGAGTGAGCCACTGCGCCGGGCCAGTCTCCTCTCTTAAAGCACACCTAGAATCATGGTAGTGGTCTCTAATTCAGTGTGAGGCACAAGTCTCAGATTCCTCTGTGGGTGAAGAGGGGGTCAGGCAAGTGTGTGGTGTGGAGATTTCCTTTCCCGTGTCTGAGGCCATGATCCATCCCCTGTAAAGACTGTGTTGATTCCTTGCCCTCTAGACTGAAAATCACTTAGTATGAGAAGAAATGTTACCAAAGGGAGTGTGAATTGTGAAGGAGGGACCAAAAACATGTCAGGCACTAGTCTAGCACAATGCCTAGCAAAGAACTCGGGGACTGTGTGAGGTACAGGAGTATGCGTGGATTCAAGATTCAGCTACACATCTGCAGGAGCCACGGTTCCCCAGGTTAAGGGCAGAACAGAAAGATGAAGTCTGGACAGCAGAGGGGTCATTGAGGAGCTTCTTAGGGGAGGCGGGACATCCATTAAACTGTGCTTGAGTGATTGTTAAGATGTAGGTAGGCAATGGACACGGAGAGCAGGACGTTTTGGGCATGGGGAGTGAGCAGGGATGTAGGAAGAGGAAGTGAAGGTGTGTTCTGAGCATGTTGACTAGGCCTGTCCAGCCTTTGGTGTTCAAAGAGGCACACAAGACCACAGGAGAAATGGGGCACATCTTCCTGGAGTGTTCATTTTGCTTGAATATATAGAAGGGAAAATAAATAATTTATCTGGTTAATAATTTAAAACATTGTTATATTAAAACAGGCAAATTATGGAAGAGAATACAATTAATTTCATGGATTTTTGTTAAAGTTCAAAATCTCAGGTTTCCATTGTTTTCTTTTGATTCTTCGATGGAAGAATTTTAAATTCTTTAAAGGAGATCAACTTTATTCCTTCATTCACAAAAATAGCAAAAGCAGCCGGGCATGGCGGCTCACGCCTGTAATCCCAGCACTTTGGGAGGCCGAGGTGGGCGGATCACCTGAAGTCAGCAGTTCGAGACCAGCCTGGCCAACATGGCGAAACCCCATCTCTACTAAAAATATAAAAAATTAGCCAGATGTGGTGGTATGCCCCTGTAGTCCCAGCTACTCAGAGGCTGAGGCAGGAGAATCGCTTGAACCTGGGAGGCGGAGATTGCAGTGAGCTGAGATGGCACCACTGCACTCCAGCCTGTGTGACAGAGCAAGACTCTGTCTCAAAAAAAAAAAAAAAAAAAAAAAAAAAAGCAAAAGCAAATGGCAATCACAGTTGCCCACAGATCCTTACTTACATCATGAGGCACGAGCTATGGTTTCCCTTAGCTCCCTGTGGGCAGTGGGGAAGCAGTCTAGCATGTGGCCATGGGGTTTGCTTGGCTGTTAGACAGCCCTCTTCAGGTCCCAGGCCCTTTGGACCCATCATACTCATCCTGTGCTTCTTGACACTGGCAAATCTTGATGATGGTTAATGTGACTCCCCGAAGGATGTGCCTCCATCCCATGTGACAGATATGAAGTCTGTCTGCGCACAGTCTGGGCCATGGAGTCTGCACTCCTAAGAATGCACAGAGGCCTGGCTGCCTTGGTCTCTTGAGATAATGAAATTAAGAGTCTTCAGAGGCATTTCTTGAGTCTTCAATTTCATCTCCTTTCTCCCCTTCTGGTCCTAAGCATGACATTCCTGTCTCAGCTTTTTCTGGCCCCCTGCTGTCTCTGGATTCTGGTCTTGTGAGTTTCCTTTGTTTGGGTTGTGAATCATTAGGCAATTTAGATAACAGGTTCTGTTTTTCCTAGGCAGAGGCAAACTCCTCTGGTTCAAAGCTGCCTCTGGCCTTTTCCCAGCTTTGAGGAAGCTGCATACAGTCTCTCCAAGCTAGTGTGGCATCAGAGGCCAATCAGAGGCAGAATTGGTGGTGGGTGAAAGAGCCTCTAAGCCTTTCTTTACTATCTCTGTTTTGACTTCTATTCTTTCCGGTGTGTGTTGGATTGACCTAAGATTTTCTTTGTTAGAACACCAAACTGCCCAGTGTTATAGATAGTGTTTTTATACTTTATCTACTCATAAATTAAAGGAATTAAGAAAATGGCAGGAAGAGCTCAGTTATTCAATACTAAATAGTGCCCTGGCCTTCATTATTCAGGGGAGAAAAGGGCCTGGGTCTGTGCTGTTCAACAGGTAGCCACTAGTCATACATGGCTATTGAGCATTTGAAATGTGGTAAAGTTGAATTGAGATGTGCTGTAAGGGTAAAATACTGAATTTCAAAGATGATATGAAAAAATAATGAAAAATAATACCTCCATAATTTTTATATGAATTACATATTGAAATGATAATATTTTTATATATTGGGTTGAATAAAATATATTATTAAAATTAATTTCAGCCAGGCAGGCGTGGTGGCTCACGCCTGCAATCCCAGAACTTGATCACTTGAGCCCAGGAATTAGAGACCAGCCTTGGAAACAGGGTGAAACCCCATCTGTACAAAAAGATACAAAAATTAGCTGGGTGTGATGGCACATGCCTGTGGTCCTAGCTACTCGGGAGGCTGAGGTGGGAGGATTGACTGAGCCAGGGAGGTCAAGGCTGCAGTGAGTGGTGATCATGCCATTGCACTCCAGCCTGGGCAACAGAGCAAAACCCTGTCTCAAAAAAAATTAATTTCAACAGTTTATTTTTATCTTTTCATGATCTGGCCACTAGAAGATTTTAAATTACATTTGTGGCTCACATTTTGTTTCCATTAGACAGTGCTGCTTTAGATGGTAGCTTCATAATTGCAGTAATTCATACCTCTTGAGAGTTCTCCAGGGATTATTTTGTTGAAGATTTTCTCTTGCAATGATCAGGCTGGGTGAGAATAACACATAGTAGACTGTAAGAGTCTTCAAGGCAAAAGCTGTGTCTGTTTAATGTACTTTGGAGGCAGGAGTAGTAAAGTCATTTTGCTTAGGAAACTCATAAACTGGCTTCGAAGGCAATTCCAAAACCAGTTTTGAGCATCATCTTTGAAATAAGGGTATTGCCTCCCAGTGACTCCATTGAAAGATGCAATTCATTTGGTTGCATAAGACTGGGGTTGGAATGTTAAAGAAAAAAAAAAAGTGGGGGAAGCAAGTTTCATTTCTTATAGTCCATACCTCCAGTGGGGACTCAGCATGTAGAAAGGCACTTGGACAGGAACCACGATCATACCTATTGTTATTTCATCAATGCAGAATGCAACATAATGGAGGCAGAATGGGGAAAGAAAGCCTTTCCAGCTGCTTCAAAGAAAACCCAGATGCTTAACTTGTTTGCTGTGATGTGCTATCCTTTCTTCCTTGGTGCCAGAAGAGAAATTATTACAACATATAAAAAATAGGATTATGGCCGGAAGAAAAGTTATTATAACATACAACAAATAGGATTGTGGGATCCTGAATATGTTATTCAGGATCCATATTGTAAAACATATTTTCTTTGAAATTTTAATCATTAGAAACTATATAGTTCAAATATATTCTCAAGGCTAATCCATCCATATTCAGGAATCTTTCTTTTTTAATATTATAAAATCTTTCTATGGACAAACTCACGATTAGTAAAGTATTTCCCCATAAAATAGAAACAATCTTTTTTTCCAAAAAAGAGGGTTGTTATTATTAAGGTCTTTTAAAAATACTTTTTGTTCTGGAGCATGCTTTATCTTCTACTTCTCTGGGGTAGGTTAGAAATAATTATCACCGTTTTGTAAATCGGGAAATAAACACAGGGAAGTCATTTGTCGAAAAGCACAGGGGACCAGTGCCAGAAATGGTTTGAAAATTTAGATCTTTTACTTTCCATTTCAGGTGCTGCAATCATAGTATCACATGGCTATGTGAATAGTAAAGTGTCTTGTTTACGACAGAACATACTGTTCTGAAAAGTGGGGAGGTATATCTCATTTTTAGGGGCATTCCTTTTTCTTAAATTCTACCCTGTGCTTTGCTTAGTAATACAGTTATTTATAAAAATTTATAGAACTGTAACAGAGGTAAAGAATTCTCAATCTTGCTACTTCTTTCCTCCCAATAGTAATAAAAAGGATTTAGGCATCCTTGCTAGCTTCTCGGAGGCAAAGTCCCTGTGAAGCTATGAGACCTTCATTATCACATTCCCACTGCTTTGTCAGCTTATATTTGTGAGGAATTTAATCAGTTTTATTGCTGTATATGACTGGAAATGAATGGCATTTATTTTCTCTGCAGGGATTTATTTGCTTTTTTCCTTGGGTGGCTATTCCTTTGTTGATAATATTTTCCCAAGTCTTGAAGCACTAATTGATTTTGGGACTTAAGCAAGATCACTTTTTACATTGAATGCAGAAACTGTGTTCCTATGGATTAGGGCACGGTCTGTGTAGCCATCAACTGGAGATCCTGCTGAGAACTGTAAATGAGGAAGAAATTATGGGTCATGATAATAAGGTGTTCCAAGTCTCAAGATTCAGACAGGAGCAGACATAAACAGCCTCTTCCTTGGAGATATGCAACCAGTCAGCCAAGGTGTATTTTCTTAAGCATTGAGGCCTTGAAAAACATATGGAACTTTGAGAATATGTTTGCAGGTGTGAAAATAATGGTCGGTGGATCTTTCTCCCTGTCATGTATATATACAGTGTGTAGAGAGTAAGAGACACATTTTGGAAAAGAAAAATGATTTTAATTGTTGGTGTTTCAGGACAATGCTTTGCTTTTAAAGTTACATGTCATTATCTCAACCCCAATTCAGTCTATTCCCTGAAGCACATTCTCCTTGCTCTCTTACTAGTCTTAGCTTTGGGCATATATTGCTCATCGTAGGAACTTGGTAATAAACCTAGATTTAATCGTAACTCAAAGAATACATGAGGACTTTATATCACTTTTTGATTTCAAAGACTGCTCAAGTCAAATGACTGATACGGAAATGTACCAAAAAGATTCCAGGTCCAGTCAATTCCTTGGAAAATATTGTTAATAGTAGACTCAACTTGGCATGTTGGGAACAGGGAGAAGGTGGGAAGCCAAGGCTGGGCAAAGCCATAGATAGGAGGCTGAGCTGGCTATAGGACAGGCTCCAGAAAATTGACAAGGAGTCTGACTTATCACGGCCAAGTAGACATGGCAGGTTTAGGACCCATCTTGGAGAGACTGTGTAGCACAATGATTAAATCGGAATAGAGGCTCTGTAATTGTACAGACCTGAGGCTCAGGCCCTCATTCTACCACTTACTAATTTGGTGATATGGATAAATTACTTTTCTGAGCATCTGTTTTGTTATCTGCAAAATAGGGATAAAGCTTGCTCAGCGGACTATTGTGAGGATTAAATGAGAGAATTCACATAAAGCACCTAGCACCAGGCCTGGCATAAGCAGGAATTTAATAAATACAGCTATTATTATTATCTTCATCATCATCACTATCTGGGCTTTTGCCATTTTGCACTGGTTGGTGAGGATACTGCAGCAGTAATCTCTGGGCAATTACAAATATTATATCCATGTTTAGGTTCCGTAGGTCCAGGAAGAAGCAGGATCATATTCAGCCATGCTATGTGGACAGAGCCCAGCACCCCCTGGAAAAGGAGGTTCATAAGGGCTGGGCAGGCCTTGGAACCTCGCTTTCAGGAAACTGGAATGTACATTTGGAAAGCAGGCAGATGCCCACACATAATACTGTAGGGTAGCAGAGAAAACTGTAGACTCAACATGAAGCTGTCAGTCTCTAGGGCCTGAGCAGAGCTGAACCTATTCACTGAAGTCCTCAGAATTTGCAACTGGGTAGGATTGGGGCAAGCAGGAGCTAATGACTCAATAGCCAATTGCTGTCTTTAAATCTTACTGAAATTCTTAAAACTATTGAATGGCAGCATTTTAGTTTTAAGTCTTTTCCAGAATGTGAGGTAGGTATGTTATTCTCTGTTTTTCAGATGACGACGTGAGCTTAAGGGACTGTGATCCATAGTTAAAGCAAAAGCCACAATTGCATCCTTCAGCTCCAGGCTGTCATTTAGAAACCACACTTACTAAGACAGTGTCTCTTGTAGACGCGTCTATGCATCACTGCAGATGCTTGAAGCACCATATTTTGTTCCAGCTGCTGCTATGGTGACCAGGTCAGAGCAGGCTTTCGTGAGTTTCTCACAGGGGCAATCACAGTGCCTTGCCCTGAGCCCATGTTTTCTGACACTGAGGGGCTCACATGTGCATAACCCAGGTGTGCTGGGAGTCAGTGCCCATGGGGCCACACTTACTCATTGGGAACCAGTGGATGGATGTTTCCCCCATGGATCCCCCAGCTGTGAGATGAATCTTATTGGAATTCTCAAAGGGTCCCAGTGAGATGGAGCATGAGCCACCTGTGGCGGTGGTCAGCCAACTTGATAACACATCCAGGTGTTGCTTTTTCCCTCCCTCCCTGTTTGGCTCTCCCAGCCTTTCCCTCCTGCTCTCTGGGATCACTTCCAACATAAACTACCTACATGCAAACTTCTGCCTTTGGTCCAAGCAAAGATAATTTCAAAAAGCGTTTCCTTATAGTCACATGTTCATACTGACTCCCTTGTCCTGACCAACTCACAGCAGGTTGGAGCTTGAAAGATTAAGAATCTGTTATTATAGTCCAGGTGCGGTGGTTCATGCCTGTAATCCCAGCACTTTGGGAGGCCGAGGCGGGAGGATCACGAGGTCAGGAGATCAAGACCATCCTGGTCAACATGGTGAAACCCCGTCACTGCCCAGGGGCAGCTCCAGAAATGCTAAGAACCAAGGCCTGGAATCAGGGATATCAAGAGTCAGCTTGGTACTTTACCTCACTGTGGCTGAGCTGATGCTTAAGCTGCAAGACAAAAGTCCGCTTTACAATTCCCTCTCCTTTTCTCAAGCAGAAGACATCCCTCCTTATAGGCACCACAGCTGGGAATGTGCTGGGTCACACCTGAAGCCAGCCTGGCTCTGAATCCCGTTCAAGGCCTACTGCAAGTACTGCCTGGGTATTGCTGCTGACTATTCAGAGCCCAAGGGCTCTTAAGTTAGCAGGTGATGAATGCTGCCAGGACTGGGTTCTTCCCTTCAAGGTAGTGGGCTCCCTTCTGGCCCAGGATATATCTAGACATGTCCTCCAGGAGGTAGGGCCTGGAATGGGGACCTCAGGACTCTGTCTGGTGCCCTATCCTGCTGTGGCTGAGCTGGTATCCAAGTTGTTAGACAGAGGCCTCTTTAGTCATCCCTCTCCTCTTCTTGAGTGGAAAGAAGTAGTCTTTCCCAGGGCTGCGAGCTGCACTCCCTTGGCCATCCTAGCTGGTGTCTCAGTAGGTCACGTGCCCCCTCCTCCCCCCCCACCAAATCCACTGGCTCTAAGCCCAGCATGGTATTAGGATTTGCCTAGAAATTGCAGTCCTTGTACCCTGGACTACCTTAAAGTTTATTTAGAATCCCAGAGCACTTGAGCCCATGGTGGTGAGCCTTGCTGGAACTTCGATTCCAACCACTGGGATTGTTGATCCCCTCTGGCCAGGGCTGGTCTAAATGCTCCCTCCACGGGTGCCAGCTGAATTCTGCCGGTGTTGCTTTCCACTGTTTTAGGGCAGCACTGAGTTCCAGTGCACAGTCCCACAATCGCTACACCTTCCTTCCCCCAAGAACACAGATTCTGTCTCTGTGCCACGCAGCTGCTACTGGGGAGATGTGTGAGGCATGGCAGCAATTCGTGACTGTCTTTCCTACCCTCTTCAATGCCTCTTTTAGTGATATGAAGGAGACATTTAAGTGATATGTCTCAAGATATTTTTGACTTCCCTTTTGATTTCTTCTTTAACCCATTGGTTATTCAAGAGCATGTTGTATAATTTCCACATACTGTATTTGTGAATTTTCCAGATCTCTTCTGTTACTGATTTCTGGTTTCAAAGCATTGTGGTCAGAAAAGATACATGATATGATTTTAATCTTCTCCACATATGTAATTTTAAATAGCCACATTAAAAAACTAAAAAGAAACACGTGAAATTAATTTTAGTAATTAGATATTCCGTATATCCAAAATATTATTTCAGTTTATAATCAATATAAAAAGTTATTGATGAGATGTTTTACAGTCTTTTACACACACATATATACACATACATATGTATGTACATACACATATATGTGTGTGTATACACACACACACACGCACAGTCTGTTGTGTATTTTATACTTACAGAACACCTCAATTCAGACTAGCCACATTTCTAGCCGCATGTGCCCAGTGGGTATTGTTTTGAACAGCTCAGCTCTAAAGGAAGTGAGCTGGAAGATGGTTGGTGGTCATTGGAGAGTGAGACTTGAAACTGAGATTGTGGAGGGTTTGCAAATATTTATAATCTTAAGATCTAGGATACAACTCTGGGATTGAGTTTCTTTAGCAGAGTGGAAATTTAGATCATGGAAGGAGAAAAGGACAGGTCATTGAGCGTCCAGGTTTTGGGAAAGATCATCTGTGTCAGCTTTGAATTCATCAAGGTTTATGAGAGAGTGGAGAGACTGATAGGATGTTAGGTCTTAAAATCTTCAAAAGAGAATCTACAAACTCCTGGCAGGTCTGATCCAGGAGTTTGTAAATCCCTGTAATCAAGTAGTATAGTCTGATAGCATGGGCTTCTAACCTGGCGGGGCAGCAGTTAGAAAGGAGGGTGGGAAAAAGTTAGGAAGTGCAGTAACAAGCAACAAGGCTGCAGAGGAAGCAGTTGTCCTCTGGGGAGAGCCAGATCTCAATGTGAGCCAGAGGTTCTGGCTGTAAGGACTTCTGATGGTGATCTATGAGGAGCTGAAGCACAGAGGAATGGTTTTAGGAGTCAGATCACCAGATGTGCAGAGCTCTATGGGGACAAGAGTCCAGGTGCCGAGGGATGCTCACCCCATCCCCTGTGGTGGAGGTGTGTCCCCCACTGCTGTCCCAGCCTTATTGCCTTCTGAGGGTTCTGATAACCCGCCGCAGGTATGGCCTGTGGCTAGCAGGGTAGAGGACCACTAAGACCTAAGTCTCACAGTGTATCTTTCTACCCCTGACTTCCATCCTGTCTCCTGTTTGAAGTGTTGCTCAGATGACTGCACAGTAGTCTTATTCCAGATAAATGACTTCATCCAGAGTTCACTTTTAAATAATAATTTATTTTATTTTTTATTAGAGACAGTCTTGCTATGTTGCTCAGGCTGGTCTCAAACTCCTGGGTTCAAGCGATCCTCCCACCTTGGCCTCCCAAAGTGCTGGGATTACAGGTGTGAGCCACCGCATCCAGCCTATTTTATTTTTGAACCAACAGTGCACAAAGTACAAAATTTTAAAATGACAAGAGCATCTGAATGAAAAGTAAGTCTGCCTCCCTCCAGCCACCCAATTTCTTTTCTCAGAGAACACACTTGTTACCCTTTCTGGAATTCATTTGTAACAGGTGGCTCCTCTGTCCAAATTCCCTCCTCCTATCTCTTGGGGGTTTGGATGTGAAGCTGGCCTTTTTTTCCCTGAAAATGCATTCATGCTCCCTAGGACACTGGCTTGCCAAACAGGAGTCTGGGCACTTAGCAGCCAGTGCTCTGTGCAAACCAGCCAGTGCTCTGAATTCAGATGAGAGCTTTGTGTTTGCCTTATTGGAAAGCCCTTGATTCCTGGGCTTCTAGAGGTATGTATCACTCAAAATCTCTGCAGTTCTTTTAGGGTAAGTGAACGCTTTACTTCTTCATCTATTAGAAAATTATTCTCTCAGCAGGGTGCGGTGGCTCACTCCTGTAAACCCAGCTCACTCCTGTACTTTGGGAGGCCGAGGCGGGCAGATCATGAGGTCAGGAGTTCGAGACCAGCCTGACCAACATGGTGAATCCCCGTCTCTACTAAAAATACAAAAATTATCCGGGTGTGGTGGCACACACCTGTAATCCCAGCTACTCAGGAGGCTGAGGCTGGAGAATCACTTGAATCCGGGAGGCGGAGGTTGCAATGAGCCAAGATCGTGCCACTGCACTCCAGCCTGGGTGACAGAGCGAGACTCCCTCTCAAAAATAAATAAATAAATAAATAAATGAATAAATGAATAAATAAGTAACTCTCTCAGTGGTTCCTCAATGCAGGGCTGCACACTAAGCACACAAAAGTGAATCAAACTTGACCAAACTTGGGTATTTGGATCATACATGAACTCTGCCTGAAGTCCAATCCCAGGCTAGCTACTGGCACTGGCAGCTTCTCCACATTCAAGAACCACGGGGATGTTGCAAGTGCGCTGATGTTTGTGGTAAGCAGACATTAATGGAATAAGGACTATGTGGTCCCCACAGCTTGCCCTGTCATGATCATTCTCCAGTGTGGGTCACAGGTTCACCGGAACATCAGCTAACATGCTGTATAAAGTCACAGCAGGTGAGCCCACGAGGGAATATTGAGCTCCATTCTCTCTGCAACTCCACCTTCTTCTCTCAGATTGGAGAGTGGGGTTCCTAGCTTCCTGTATTGAAATTGTAGCCAATCAATAGGAAATCTCACACTTATGGAAAATCCCAAATCTTAATTGACTCTGTTCCTTATCCTCTATTACCAGTACTCAACTGCAGCATTTTATGTTGCTGTTGTCATGCAGAAGAGAAAGGATTAATCACGGTAACTTTCATCGGCAGAGGGGTGAAACAAATGAAAAAAATGTTCAGGCACTTAATGCTTCTGTGAAAACCCAATTAGCACCCCTTCATGGTTATAATTTCTAATTACTTTTTGAACTGAGAAAAAAATGTTCTTGCTAATTAGCTAATTATTTGGTAGTGACCTTTTGATAAAAATTGCTTTGACTCTAAAAATGTCTGAAGAAGAGTTACTTAATTTAATAAATCACTGTTATTCTAACATTTTAGAAAATCAGGCATTAAGAAGAGGTCTTGAAAGTTTCTAAGTTTCAGAAATACCATGTTGGGTTGAAAGTTCTTTAGATGTGTATTTGTGCATGCATGTGTGTGTGTGTGTGTGTGCACATGATATTGAGATTTTTGCCACTTAAAATTTATGAGACTAATGTCAGTTGTTAGCAATAGAGAAAACTGGGCTTGGGGCATATGGAAACTTTCTGCAACATTTCTGTATATCTAAAACTATTCTAAAATAAGGAATTTATTTTTTTCAGTGTAAGAAAGTCCCTTGAAATAAAATTTGATACAGTCTGCAATGAACTGAATTAAAACATCCCTGAAAAGTTTCTATAAAGTTTAATTCCACGTAGAAAATAACTTAATAAAAAAACCTCACAATGTGTTGCCTTCCTAAAGCTTCTGACTTCAGCTAACAGAAGCATTAAGAGTAGTGGTTTTAATATGTATGTAATAGTGCCATCAGAAATCCCTAATGTGCAGATATATTAACTATAAAATTACATGTCAAATATTTAGTTGCTGTATTTAGAAGACAATACAATTCCTAAGAGAAACAATAAGCCTATTTACTAATACATCTATTTTCTACACCTCAGTCAAATTTATAGTTAAAAACTAGAATGAATTGTCTTTAGGGTTGAAAGCCTGTCTCATGATGCTGATGAGCCAGCGTAAGGAAGTGTGGTGACTGTTTGAGTTGTGTCTGTCTCTTGGTCTGTTCTCTTATAAGTTTCTAAGAAATTAACTGATGGTGGCCAAATTTGATTGAAGTATATCTAGTCTTCCTTGATTCCCCCTTGAACCTGTGGTTTAATATTCCACCTTTAAACATAACTGCAGGCTGGGCACAGTGGCTCACTCCTGTAATCCCAGCACTTTGGGAGGCCGAGGTGGGTGGATCACTTGAGGTTAGGAATTCGAGACCAGCCTGGCCAACATGGCAAAACCTCGTCTTTACTGAAAACATAAAAATTAGCTGGGTGTGGTGGCACACAACTGTAATCCGAGCTACTCTGGAGGCTGAGGCATGAGAATCACTTCAACCCAGGAGGCAGAGGTTGCGATGAGCCAAGATTGTGCCACCACACTCCAGCCTGGATGATAGAGTGAGACTCTGTCTCAAAATAAAATAAAATAAAATAAAACAAACACAATTGCATTTTAAAAAACCAGTGATTTAATTGAGAAAAATGCGTATGCTCAGACAAAAAAGAAAAAAAAATGACTTCAGATGGGCATGTATCCTATCAGATAAATAAATTTCAATAAAATTAAGTAGGTGGGTTATACAGATAATGAGAGAGAAGTAATGATAATCATAAAATTTGAGTTGACGTTCCTTTGTGCTTTATGCATTTAGCTTAAGTTTTTCTTGACAACAGACAACTATAGGAATATAGAATATAGTCTGTAGTTTAAAAGGAACTTTGGCACAATGTATCCAACTACCTAATACTGTATTAGAGAGGGCCTTTGAACTTGAGCTTCCTCTGCCTAGAGCTCTCTTCATCCTGACCTGACAGGGTTGACTCCTGGTCATTTTAATTCTCAGCTCAGAAGTCAACTCCTCTATCTTCTGCACCCTCTCCCTTTTCCCTCATGGTCTGCCCCATCACAGTGTTTGGTTTCTGTCCTGGCACTCACCACAGTGGGAATTCTCTCAACGTTTATTATTTGCTTTCCTTATTTATCACCTGTCTCCTTCACCAGAATTCAGCTTTATAGGAGCAGGGGCCTTGTCTGTCTTGTTCACCACTATATCATTCCCTGTGCTTGGCACATAGCAAGTTGGTAATTTAAAGTTTGACATTGAAATACATGTGTGTGTGTATCTATGTGTTTATAATTACTGGTAGAAACAGGCCAAAAAGATCCCCCCAAGAATGAATAACAACCTCCACTTACTAAACCTTTGTCTCATTCTTTGCTCCATTCCTGATTTTCTTACACACTTGTATTGCTTTTAGGACATGATAAATGATACAACTTAATAGGAAAATGATAAATCTCAAGGAGAAAACTTGGCATTAATGTAACATTTAATCTGCAGAACAAATTGATGTTGTAGCTTCCTTCTTATCTTTCTGTTTTTATCAATAAGAGAAAGATGTCTTTGGGGATGGGAAGGAAACAGAGGGTCTTGAGGTAGGATTCCCAGGGGTCCTCATCTCAGTGACCTCTTGTTCTACGTGCATTTTCCCGGAAGACAGGCAAGTTTAGTGTTTTACCACATTAACCCTGAAATCTGATAAAGTCTGTTCTCCTCTTTAAACTAAAGACAGTTTGTCTGTGTGCCCAGGCCCAGTCTCCTTTCTTCTGGACTGGAACAGGCCAGGGAAGATTTCTGGGCCTTTTTTCTCTTTCTTTCCGTAGTCAGGGCACCTGGCCACAGCTTTGTCTCTTATCTTGCCTTAGAACTTGCATGGGAAGCTGTCATAGACCGCCTGCTGAGAGCCTTAAAAGAAATGTAAGGTAGAGTGTGTAATTATTATCAGCTGTTCACATATGAGATGTAAGTATCTTGGATATTTTGGATTTTATGGAAGTCATACGCGCTTACCACATTATATTCATCCCGAACTTCAGTAATTTTACAATGAATCATTGATCTTAAGGAAGACTTGTAATAAATGCTAATCTCAGAGCATTAATGAAGACACAAACTAAGACTACATAAAGGCTATACAGGATGAGCATCCCTAACCTGAAAATCCACCATCTGAAATGCTCCCAAATCTGGAACTTCTTGAGCCGATATGATGCCACAAGTGGAAGGTTCCACACGTGACCTTCTTTGACTAGTCGCATTCAAAATGCAGTCAAACTTTGTTTCATGCACAAAATTATTTAAAATATTGTATAAAATTACCTTCAGGCTATGTGTATATGAAACATAAATGAATTTTGTGTTTAGATTTGATCCCAGCCCCAAGATGTATCATTATGTATATGCAAATATCCCACAAAAAAAATTTTAAATCCCAAACACTTCTGGTCCTAAGTGTTTTGGACAAGGAGTATTCAACCTGTAGTGTCCACTTAGATCTGGTTGGTGTTAGCTTCCATTTTACCTTCTTATTCATACCCTCACTCTCCTTTTCTTTTTTTCCCCAAATTAATGTAGTATCCATATTTAGTAGAAAGCCTATTTGACCTTTCTCATTATTGCCTGTAGGACATCTTTTCTTTTAGTGTGTAGAGTTAGCTTGCCTTCGACTGACATTAACAAAGTGCTTTCCTAATCACGATCCTCAATGCAGATAGTCTTTTCCTGGAATCACTTGTTTTCCTTTTAGTTACGGTATCAATGCAGCTCAGAAAGGTCCTAAGGTCATGACTGATGAAACTTCAAGAAAAAAAAAAAGCCAAGGGCCTAGAAATTGTGTCAATTTTAATTGATTAGAGGTGGCAGCAGTAGTTCTTGGTCAAGTAATTATCAAATAACTCAAAAAGGTATCCAGGAAATGACTGGGAAGCAGAAACCAAGCTGATTGCGCATTGATAGTGAAAACCAGATTTGTTTGACAAAAGGGAAAGTTTCTGCCAGAATTGAATTATGTCTCTTCTAGGCAAAAATACACACATAAGGAACAAGGAGCAAGCTCAAAAACTAAAGAAAGTAGCCCATTGCCTGGCAAATTACTAGAAAAATAATAGGAACGTTTAATGTCCATAAGAAGACTTTCATGAGGCCAGGTGTGGTGGCTACCACCTATAAATCCCAGCACTTTGGGAGGCCAAGGCAGGTCACTTGAGCCAGAGTTAAAGAACAGCCTGGCCAACATGACCAAACCCTGCCTCTACTGAAAACAGAAAAATTAGCTGGGCGTGGTGGCAGGTACCTGTAGTCCCAGCTACTCGGGAGGCTGAGGCAGGAGAATCGCTTGAACCTGGCGGAGATTGTAGTGAGCTGAGATCATGCACGCCAGCCTGAGTGACAGAGCGAGACTCTGTCTCAAAAACAAAGACTTTCATGAAATAAAACGAATAATGAGGTATCCTTGGCATCATCTGATGGCTCTGAGTATTTGTTGGGCTGCTCCATTCTGATACGTGGGCCATTCTGTCCAACAAGGTGTGGCATTGAGAAGGATTGGTGGTCACATTAAGGGCTTGTTTTCTTTTATATTGTTAAATAATAGACTCTGAAATGTTACTTTTCTCTGTAAAACAAGGTAGTACTTCCTAGTTCATTTCTTTCTTCTTTGTAAATTAATATTTAAAATAATACTTTCTAACTTTTGGATTACCAGATTAGACTTTATTGTATAATAAACCACATGATTTTAGATTTAAAGTCAGCTTTTGAAAGAAATCCTTATTATTTGTTCATTAATTTTAATTAAAAATTTGATAATGTTTCTGATAAAAAATATTAATATGTGGCTGCTGGGCACAGTGGTTCATGCTTGTAATCCCAGCACTTTGGGAGGCCAAGGCAGGAAGATTACTTGAGGCCAGGAATTTGAGACCAGCCTGAGCAACATAGTGAGACCCTGTCTCGAAAAAAAAGTTTTAAATATTAGCTGGGTGTGGTGGCACATATCTGTAATCCCAGCTACTCAGAAGGCTGAGGTGAGAAGATGACTTGAGCCCAGGAGTTTGAGGTTACAACGTACTATGATTGCACCACCGCACTCCTGCCTGGGTGATAAAGTGGTATCTTGTCTAAAAAAAAAAAAAAAAAATCATGGTATTGAAAGGTATAAAGAGGAAAATGTGAATTATTATTATTCTACTCCTAAGGTAAATATTTAACCTTTTATAGTGAAAATTTTTCTGACACTAAAAATTTTTTTAAAAACATGAGTTTTAACAATAGCAGTCATCTTAAGAAATCATTATTGAGGTGACTACAGCTAGCAAAGAAATTTTTTTTCCCCCAGCTGAAATCTTGGGTACCTTTATACTTTGGTATAAACATGTACACATAGTAGCAGAGAATAATTGTGATGCACTAAGCTGGCAGGTCTGTGGATTTCAGCTCCAAACACAAATATGTAACACTGAGCCTATATTGAAATATGGATTAAGAGGCTCTAACTCACTTTTGTAAAATAAAATGATAGGAGCCACATTTGTGTTTAATTATAGCATGAGAAACCTGAGAATCAAAAGAAATAAGTAAGTTCCATCACACAACAGGATAGGAAAAATAGAAAGTCTACCTCACACTGCTGCATTTGTCTGTAACTTGGCCTACTTTATGAAACTCAAAAGCGAATTAAGCCGGGCGCGGTGGCTCACGCCTGTAATCCCAAGCACTTTGAGAGGCTGAGGCGGGCGGATCACGAGGTCAGGAGATCGAGACCATCCTGGCTAACACGGTGAAACCCCGTCTCTACTAAAAACACAAAAAATTAGCCGGGCGAGGTGGCGGGCGCCTGTAGTCCCAGCTACTTGGGAGGCTGAGGCAGGAGAATGGCGTGAACCTGGGAGGCGGAGCCTGCAGTGAGCGGAGATCGCGCCACTGCACTCCAGCCTGGGCGACAGCGAGACTCTGTCTCAACAAAAGAAAAAAAAAAAAAAAGCGAATTAAAACTACATTTTAAAAGCCTGGTTCTCATCACAGTTTTTGGCTGTTAGGGATAGGACTGGTGCAGGCAACATTGCTCCAGCTGACCAGGAAATGGTCTTCCAGAATCCCTCTGATTTAATGAGCCCTATCTCCTAGCTCTGCGTGGGTTTTGAGTAACCATGAAAAAAAGCTTTTAAGTGATCAAAATGATATATTGATTCTTTCTTTCTAATGCCTTGAATATTCTTTCAGCAAAGCTGCTTTAAAAATAATTTCTGATTTTCTATTTGGTTTTTATCAAGACATGGAAATGGATAGAGGTATTGTGAATTGATCCCAAGAGGAAGAAATTCCTGTAAAATGTAGATGCGTTGGTCACATGGGGGAGAAGCTCCTGTCTGACCTCTATTTCATATTATGAGCTCAAAACATGCTTTCTCATGGGCCATGTGACATCATGTTTGGTTGAGCAAAATGTTAATGTTGCAGTGATTGGGATCAGTGCTGTGCTTCCTGACCCACCTGCTGCATTGGTAAACCTGAAACCACCGCAGCAAATATGTTTATTTGCTTTTCCCTGAAATGTGCTGTTCCTTTTTACCTCCTACAGATAAAACTGACAGGCCCTTTTCCTGCTAGCCAAAAACAGTGAGGAGAACCAGGTGGAAGACACAGCTTTTAAAATGTAGTTTTAATTCACTTTGAGTCCCATAAAGTAGGCTGAGTTACAGACGAGCTGTGGGCTTCACCAAATCACTCCATGACCTCACTTTCCTTCTGGCAAACCTCTCCCAGTGCAATATGTTGATATCGTTGATGGAGTATGAGAAACAGCTTGCTGGAGAAGAGCCTGCCTGTGATCTCTTAAGGTTGCCAGACAACATCACTGTAGGCCATCTTCTCTCTTTTTCCTTATGCTTCAATTTCCCATGGCTTTTGTGTACTACAATAACGTCAGTAACCAACCTCACTGGAACCACTTGGCTTGTAGATAGTGAAAGCTCTGTTTACATTAGAGGTAGTTTCAGAATTGATGAAAGCCTGTGTTGACTTCTTAGTTTCTTATAGTGGATATTTTGATTGAAAACACTGGAATCTCCAATGTGATAATTGACCTTACTGTTGTGTACTGAGATCTCTATTTTAGATTCTCCCCAAATACCACCTTTTTTCTATTTTTAAAATTATTATTGCAAATTCAGTCAAATAATATGGTAGACAGAAATTTGGATGGGCTTCAGGAAAAGAGGTTTAATAGTGGATTTGCCCCTAACTAGCTGTACAGCCTCTTGCATATCATTTAATCTATCTTGACCTCATTGTCTTTGTATTGAGATTCTGTGGTCCAGTCATGGGAATTAAAATCACCATCCATAGAAAGCTGTGTCTCTCGTCTCTTTGTGATTCAACACTTCATCTTTTCTGCAGAGTAGAACACCTTGTAGGCAGGTTCATAATCTTCTCTGTACTTGGAAATCACCCGGAAAGCCCCCTTTCAAGTTTCTAATTGCCCAAGTTATTCTTTTTTTTTTTTTTTTTTTTTTTTTTTTTTTTTTTTTTTAGAGGGAGTCTCACTCTGTTCCCCAGGCTGGAGTGCAGTTGTGCGATCTGAGCTCACTGCAACCTCCGCCTCCTGGTTTCAAGCGATTCTAGTGCCTCAGCCTCCTGAGTAGCTGGAATTACAGGCGTGCACCACCACACCCGGCTAATTTTTGTATTTTTAGTAGAGACGGGGTTTCACCATGTTGGCCAGGCTGGTCTCAAACTCCTGACCTCAGATGATCCATCTGCGTTGGCCTCCCAAAGTGTGCCCAAGTAATTCTATAATGTAGCCAGGATGAGAACCACTGGTATCAGGTCTAGACCCAGGGACTCATTATTATAAAACATTCCCCTTTGACATACCTTTTCATCCTTGAGTCAGGACAATTTTACCTTTCAGAAAGTAGCTACAGTCCTTTTATAATTTACTCCTCACCAAAGGTAAAATACATCCATTTTCTCTGTGTGTGACTTCTGACTATTCTGCACTGATTCAATACCCCTTCGTTTTTTGCTTATTTTTTCATTCTCACCATTCAACCACACTTGACACTTGAATCACTTTTGTTGATTTAAAAGAACAACAACAACAAAAATACAGAGTAAGATCACTTGACTTTATTGTATTAGCCATTAAATCTCTTTCTGGAGCAATAGTTCTCTAAGTATGGTCCCAGGAGCAGCAATATCACTATCACCTGGAAACTTGTTAGAAAGGCAAATTCTCAGGCCCCTTTCTGGACCAGAAGCTCTGGAGATGGTTCCCAGCAGTCTGTTTTCACAAGACTTCTAGGTGATTCGACACACTATTGCTTGAGAGCTGTTCTAGAGAGATTTTATATTTTCAGATAGTTGGATTTTTAAAAATTTTTTTAGTGTGCTCAGATATTTTTGAAGTAATCGTTGTCTGAACTTACTTGGTCTAGAAATAGAAGAGATGTTCTATTTCTAAAGGGGATATTTCCCAATCCTACCCATCTTTTTATCCTTTAGAAGTTTTCATCTTCTTTTCTGCTTTTAGAAGACCTATCCATATCTCTCTTATTTTTACACTGAAAATTTAGTCTTACATTCTATTATCATGGAAACTTTAATAATCAATGCTATTTCAATGATGTATTATGATGTGATGTAACAATAGATGGGGCAGTGACTAATACAACATTAATTTCTACTTCTTCATTTGTTTATTTTTATTGGACCTTCAGATGACATTCTTCTTACTTTATGAAGGGGGCCAGCCCCTCCACACCTGTGGGTATTTCTCATCGGGTGGGACGAGAGACTGAGAAAAGAAATAAGACACAGAGACAAAGTATAGAGAAAGAACAGCGGGCCCAGGAGACCGGTGCTTAGCATACAGAGGACCTGCACCGGCACCGGTCCCCGGGTTTCCTCAGTATTTATTGATTACTATTTTCACTATCTCAGCAAGAGGAATGCGGCAGGAGAACAGGGTGATAGTGGGGAGAAGGTCAGCAAGAAAACATGTGAGCAAAGGAATCTGTGTCACAAATAAGTTCAAGGGAAGGTACTATGCCTGGATGTGCATGTAGGCCACATTTATGCTTCTCTCCACCCAAACATCTCAGTGGAGTAAAGAGTAGCAGAGCAGCATTGCTGCCAACATGTCTCGCCTCCCGCCACAGGGCGGCTTTTCTCCTATCTCAGAATTGAACAAATGTACAATCGGGTTTTATACCGAGACATTCAGTTCCCAGGGGCAGGCAGGAGACAGTGGCCTTCCTCTATCTCAACTGCAAGAGGCCTTCCTCTTTTGCTAATCCTCCTCAGCACAGACCCTTCACGGGTCTCGGGCTGGGGGGATGGTCAGGTCTTTCCCATCCCACAAGGCCATATTTCAGACTATCACATGGGGAGAAACCTTGGATAATACCCAGTTTTCCTGGGCAGAGGTCCCTGTGGCTTTCTGCAGTGCATTGTGCCCCTGGTTTATCGAGAATGGAGAATGGCGATGACTTTTACCAAACATACTGCCTGTAAACATTTTGTTAACAAGGCACATCCCACACAGCCCTAGATCCCTTAAACCTTGATTCCATACAACACATGTTTCTGTGAGCTCAAGGTTGGGGCAAAGTTACAGATTAACAGCATCTCAGGGCAAAGCAATTGTTCAGGGTACAGATCAAAATGGAGTTTCTTATGTCTTTCCCTTTCTACATAGAGACAGTAATGGTCTGATCTCTCTCTCTTTTCCCTACAACTTAAGAACACAGACACAGATTATTTTTTAAAGTTATTCTTAAACATGTGGAATTACTTTATAATAAACCCAAAAGTTGCTGTTGTTAGAGGGAAATTTTTACTAAGTCAAGTACTCTCTGGAAAAAAAAATGTGTGAGCATAAGCTAATATCATAAATGAAATGATGAAGAAGAGGATAAGGGCACATGGTCCTAAGTGAGGAAACTTTGACCCAGAAACCTTTTGCAGTGACAGAAGTAGACCAAGAGTCCAAGTCTCCATGCTTCCAATTCAGTATTCCTTGCATGAAATGTCACTGCCTTTCGAGACTATACCGTTTACCTAATTGGTTGGATCTTTGTCAAGAGCTTGATCCAAGTGGAGTTTCTTTGTTTAATATATAAAGCATTTGCAAGTCCTTTCAAGGGCAGCACATAGTTTTATTTAACTCCCTCAAGCCCTCTCACCTCTGTCAAGTTGCACCAGGAAATTCAAGGTCTAGCCAAAGGCCCCCAATGAGTTAAAAACCCAACCATCCTGCAGAGTAGAAGAAATTAATGTCAAAACCAGATGTTCCTCTGTGGGCCTTGCTGGATTCATAAGTCAGGATAAAGCCAGCGTGGATGCATGCATGTCAAAAAAAAAAAAAAAAGTCTTGGCCAGTGTTGTAGAGAAATGAAGTGTTGTTTCATCTGCAGTTCCTCTCCAGTCCTTGCTGGTTGGGAGCACTGGCTCCCGGGAGACTGGTGGCCCTGACACTCAAGCCATTAACTGAGAATGCTCTCTAATCCCTTGTTTTCATTGTTGGTGTTCCGGCCAGGCTGCCCGCACAGAGCCTGCCCGTTTTCATTGGCTGCAGGAATTGTTATTGGAGTGGCTGACAGCTGTCTGCCAGGCTGCCTGAAACTGCCTTCCTGTGCTCTCCGCTGCTGCTCCACTTCACAGCGCTATTGTTCCTGTTGAGCCTTTTCTTAAAATCTTTCCCAGCTGTATCCTGATATGGTAAACCACTTAAATTAGCTCCAGATTGTTCTGTTTATTTTGTGTTAGATAAGCGACAAAATACAGTCCCAGCGGCAGACCAAGAGGAGAGTGGAAGTCGGGGGAGGGGGGTCAGAGGACACAAGGTCTTTTACAACACAAGGTAGAGTTCCCAGACAAAACTGTGAGAGGCACAAGTATGATACAGTCACTGGCCTGACCATTTATACGTGACTCTGATGGGCCAGGTGAGCAATAACGTTGCATCTGCGCACACCTCATTCCAGAAAAGAAAATCAAGACCCCAGCATACAGCTACACTGGAAGGGAGCTAAATTTCTATTATTGGAAATAGACACAGTATTGCTGTCAGGTTGGTTGCCATGCCAGCTGTCCAGGTACCATGCTTGATGCCCTGATTACCACAAGACTTCCCCCTTCCCCCTGCTTTTAATTATCCTTCTGTAGTGCAGTGTATGGTAACTGATGGGCTCAAAACTGGCCCACATTTGCCAGTCTCCCTATATGCTCAGCACTTGAAAATGAGTCTTCTCTGCTGTAATTTAAAGCTAGAAATCCAAAGACATTGAGTCACCAGCATAGGTATTTTCCACACAGCTGCAAGTGAAACTTCACAATGGACTTGGCCGCTATTTGCTTACACTTGCCATCTGTGCAACCGCTCTACCCGTGGCCTCCCCCGCTTTGTGGTTGTCTTCTAACAGGAGCAGTCCACGCAAAGCCTTCCTGAATACTTAACAAAATTTTAAAAAATATAATAGATACTGTCCTAGCATGAAGGCGCTGCCTTTGTGATTTTTAGGAATTAACCCAAATAAAATATGAAAAATAAACTACCGAGTGCTTTAACGCAGCTAAAGCATGCAAGCAAAACCAGCAACCAGCTGAGTTCCGACAGTTACTGAGAGTTTTGTATGTGGTAATTCAAGACTCCCCAGGAAAGATCTCATGACTCACTCCAGTGTGGCTGGGCCTCCAGTCCTCACTCTGAACCAAAGTCCTGGAAACACTTTTCCACCACGTTGAGAGAAGGCGAGGGAAGAACAGGGTCAGGAGTGATCAAATGCCCTTAGAAACAGTCTCTTTCTTTCCTTTTGGGAAAACAAACTCACTGTGTAATAAAAAGGTACAAAGCCAACTTTGGAATAATAATCACCCCGCCCCATCCCCTTGCCCTCTGATGGAAAGTGCCTTGTCTTCTCCATCAAGGTCTAGCTGGGGGCTTGAACGGCCTCCGTGTCACCTCTAATTCCCCAGTTTTTACCTTGTTTCCTTTCTCTGTATCTTTTTTGCCCTTAGTTGTGTACAGTCTTGTATTTTTTCACATAGGCTATGCTTTCTGTGGATGTTGCCTCCCTCGAAAGCAGGGACCATGTGTTGAACCCCTGTTGCCTTTTCCCAGAGTAGCGGGCACCTAGCAGGTGCTTAATTAAGGTGTGTCAAATAATTGTTTCCTTTTTTATTCTTACCTGACATGAAGTATGCTCCTGTATCAATTCAGATGAAGGTTTAAAAAAAATCAAGACAAGTATCACAAGTTCCCTTAGCCCATTCTCATTAAAATCATGGGCACCACCTTCCCGTGCTCACCAGGATGGAGGAAGTCAACAAATATCTTTCTCATTGATTAAAAACTCTGGATAATACTGAAAGCAACTATCTGAGGCTTCTTAAAAGTACTTAGGTTGGTGCTAAAGTAATTGAGGTTTTCGAAAACTGCAATTACTTTTGCACCAACCTAATATAACAGCAGGGATGATAAGAATAGGGACAGAGAAGAAAACAAAATCAGGTGAATGGAGAATGGGGAATAAAGTCAAAGCTTCATGAATCCCTTGTGTGGTGAGTTTTGGAGGTTTATTTTCTCTCCTCTATCTCTTGGCTTTGACCTAAGAGCCAATGGAATTATGGAACTATGCAGCAGGCACTGGCAGCAACATCTCCAAGAGAAACCTCCTACTTCTAACCAGAGGTCTAGGAAAGTGGGCTCTTGCTCAAGAATATGGGGAATTCCTATTTTATTTGTTTTTTCTTTTCTTTTAATTTTTTGAGATTGAGTCTCACGCTGTTGCCCAGGCTGGAGTACAGTGGTGTAACCATAGCTCACTGCAGCCTCTACCTCCTGGGCTCAAGTGATCCTCCTGCCTTAGCTTCCCAAATAGCTGGGACTGCAGTCATGCACCACTACACTTGGCTAATTTTTTTTTTTTTTAATTTTTTATGTTTGGTTAGCGATTGGATCACACTATGTTGCCTGGCTGGTGTGAGCCACAGTGTCCAGACTGTTTTTTCTTTTTCTTTCCCTTTTCTTTCTTAACTCTACCCCAAGACAGGCCCCAGTTGAAGATCTGCATTGGTGTTGTGGTGGGGTGCAGGCACCTAAAATCTCAAAAGAAGACCCACATTTCTGACCGGAGTGTGAGATAATCTCTGTTATTTTCCTCTTTTTTTTTTTTTTTTTTTTTTTTTTTGCTACTTTGCTCCCAAAGGCAACCTCAGTTATGCAGAAGTGCATGACAGAATGGGGAACTACAACCTAACAGAAACCTGTTTTTCTGATCAGAGAAACCACATAAAGGGGCCCCTGGAGCGGAGGTTGGGGGTGGATCTGAAGGATCTAAAGGGAGAGAAGAACTGGAGAAGAGGATCCCCTGATTCTGTGTATGAGCTAAGCCCCAGGCTCACCTCCAAGTGCATATATGCCACACAGGCCCAAAGGAGCAAAGCAGAGGCTTCGAAAACTCAACTGCCATGTGAACCACTGCCCAGGTCCTAGATTAACCCCTGAGTGGCACATGCGCTGGGCAAACCCAAACCTCATAGCAAAGGCTTTAAAAACTAAACTGACATTAGAGCCACTGTCCACAGAAGGTGAGACAAAACTTGTGGTCTGAGTCTCACTAGGTTGATTCTCTGCTTAACCAAACAAACATCAACACCCTCGAGAGGATTTTAACTAGACCTAGAGGCTCAGAACATGGTATTCAAAATGTCTAATAGACAGTCCAAAATTACTCATTATACAAAAAAAAAAAAACAGGAAAATACGAGCAGTACTCAAGGGAAAAGACTAAAAATAGATTATTTCAGCTGTGATGAGCTCATTTGAGATGATCATCCAAATATTGGTGTTGTCAGACAAAAACTTTAATGCAGCTATTGTAACCATTCTCCATGAGACAAAGTTGAACACTCTTGAAATGAATGGAAAAATAGCAGTGAAATAGAAACTAAAGCCAAACAAATGAACAAACAAAACAAATGAAAATTATAGAACTGAAAAACACAATATCTGAAATTTAAAATTAACTCTATGGGTCCAATAGCAGAATGGAGCTGATAAAGAAGAGTCGGTGAACTTCAAGATAGATCAATAGAAATTATACAGTCTGGGCTGGTCGTGGTGGCTCGTGCCTGTAATCCCAGCACTTTGGGAGGCTGAGGTGGGCAGATTGCTTAAGGCTAGGAGTTCAAGACCAGCCTGGCCAACATGATGAAACCCCATCTCTACCAAAAAATACAAAAATTAGTCAGGTGTGGTGGCACACGCCTGTCGTCCCAGCTACTCAGGAGGCTGAGGCAGGAGAATTGCTTGAACCCAGGAGGGCAGAGGTTGCAGTGAGCTGAGATAGCGCCACTGCATTCCAGCCTGGGCAACAGAGTGAGACCCTCTCTCAAAAAAAAAAAAAAAAAAAAGAAAGAAAGAAAAGAAAGAAAATTATACAGCCTGAAACACAGAAAAAAGGAAGAAAAACAGTGCTGCAGGGACCTATGGAATAATATCAAAAGGTCTAGCATTTATGTCATTAGAGTCCAGAAAGAGAGCAGAAATATTAGTGTAGAAAAAATATATAAAGGAATAATGTGTGAAAACTTCACAAATTTGGTGCAAGATACATGTACAAATTCAAGAAGCTCAGTGAAATCCAAACAGGATAAACTCAAAGAAAACTACACCAGCATCATAATGGAACTGCTGAAAACTAAAGATGAAAAAAAAAAATACCTTGAAAGCAGCAGTCTCATTCATGGGATTGAATGAAATTGAATGAAAGCATGTTCACACAAAAAACAATACCCATATATTTATAGCATCTTTATTGATAATTACTAAAAACTGAAAAACCCAAATGTCCTTCAACTAGCAAATAGATAAACAGATGTGGTACTTCTGTGCAGTGGACTACTACTCAGTAGTGTAATGAACTGTTGATACACACATTAGCATGGATGAATCACAAATGCATTATGCTGAATGCAGGAAGCCAGACTGAAAAGATTACACACACTATGATTTTTTTATATGACATTCTGGAAAAAGCAAAACCTTAACGACAGAGAAGCATCAGTGGTTGCCAGGGGTTAAGGCTGGGTGTACAATTTGTCTACAAAGAGGTGGTACAAAGGAGTTATATCACAGTGATAGAATGTTCTATCCTGATTGTGGTGGTATTTATATGACTCTATTTGTTAAAATCCATAATGATGCACACCAAAATAAGTGAATTTTACTGTATGTAAATTAAAAAGAAATCACCAGCACATGATTTCATATCTGATATGGTTAATATATCTTCATGACTATGTGAAGTATAGAAAAGATTCATGTAATCTCTTATCTATTTTGAAGTCATTTTCCATTTGATTCCATAAACTTTCAGGAAGCCAAAAATGGAATAAACAATGAAATGGTCTCTGATACATACAGAAAGCTTTCCAAAAAAGAATTTTGTGTTTCATATGCCAGGCAGATGTTTTGTAGGGTCAGCTTACCACAAAAGGCCTCGCTGAAAAAATGCAGTATAAAAGTAGGGGCCTGTAAGAGAAAGAGAAGCACATTGACTCCAGAGGAGGTCTACTGTTTTATAAAAGAAGCCAAGCAAATTTGATGGACTGGTGAAAACAAGAACAAAGAATCTGACATGTCTTGGAAGCTCTGGGTTTTGATAATTAGGGAAGTATTTAGAATGCTGTCTCGAGGAATCACATCTTTTGTGCTGAGATATATCCCTGCTTGTGTTCTGAAATATACATGGAGTGGGCAGGCTTGGACTGTTTAAATGAAGCAGATTTTTTACATTCTTGTGACACTAGGAAGACTTTTCCTGAATGTAGGATTTTTTCTTTAACGCACCTCTCATCCAAATGGCAAAACATCCAGGATGGGTGCTTACTTGCAATGAGATCTCCCCAGCTGACCAGAGCTGTACTTTCTCCCACTGCTTATTCCCCCTCTGAAGTTACATCATCATTTTGCTCCCTGGTACACCATTATGGGTCTTATCTATTTTTATACATAAATATATTAAACAAAACTGTTGGTTTTAAGAAACTTTTGACCTATTCTAAGACCTATTCTCTGTTTTTCTATAAAAGTTTTATGGTTTTAGCTGTTGCATTTAGGTCTTTGATCTATCTTCTTTTTCCTCATACAGTATTGTTTTTATTGAGATATAATTCATATACCATGAAATTCATCCTTTTAAAGTATACAGTTCACTGGTTTTTAGTATATTCACAAAGTTGTGCAATCATCACCATTGTCTAATTCTAGAACATTTTAAAAATTAAACATACAAGAAATTCTCTACCCCTTAGCAGTTACTCCCAACTCCCTTTCCTCCCTCTGTCAATCACATAATCTATGTTTTGTCCTTATGGATTTTACTAAGCTAGACATTTCGTAAAAATGGAATCATACAATATATGGCTTTTTGTGTCTGGCTTCTTTTATTTGGCATAATGTTTTAGATGTTCATCCATTTTGTAGCATAAATCAGTATTTCATTTCTTTTTGCTGATGCATAATATCCCTTTTATTGCTATACATTGCTGAAAATATACATTTTAAAAAATCCATTAATCAGTTAATGGATATTTGGGTTGTTCCTACTTTTTTGGGCTATTATGAATAATGCTGCTATGACCATTCAGGTACCAATTTTTGTGTGGACATATATTTTTACTTCTCTTGGGTATATACCTAGGTGTGGAATTGGTGGATCATGTGGTAAATCTATGTTTAACTTTATGAGGAACTGCTAAACCCTTTGCCATGGTTTGAAGGTATCTCCCAAAAGTTCATGTGTTGGAAACCGAATCCTTCTGTCCTCATGAATGGATTAATGAGGGTTTTGCCATCATGAATAGATTAATGTCACTGTCACAGGAATGGGTTCATTACATTGAGAGTGGCTTTGTTATAAAAGTGAGTTCTCTCAGTCTCTCTTGCTCTTGCCCTCTTATCATATGATGCCCTCTGTCATGTTATGACACCACATGAAGGCCCTCACCTGGTGCCAGCACCATGTTCTTAGACTTCCCAGCCTCCAGAACCATGAGCTAAATAAACTTGTTTTCTATATAAATTAACCAGCCTATGGTATTCTGTTACAGCAACAGAAAACAAGACTAAGACACTGTTTTTCAAAGCAGCTGCATCATGTTACACTCCCACCAGCAATTTATGAGTGTTCCAGTTTCTCCACGTCCTTACCACCACTTGTCAATTGTCTGTCTTTTTTGTTATATAGTAATCCTATTGGGTATAAAGTGGTATCTTCTTATGGTTTTAGTTTGTGCCTCTTGGATGACTAATGTGGGACATCTTTTTGTGTATCTATTGACCATCTATTTTTGTGTATCTTCTTTAGAGAAATGTCTATTTAAATCCTGTGTCAATATTTTAATTTGGTTATCTTTTATTATTGAGTTGTAATATGATTCATCTTTAATTTTTATGTGTGTTATGAAGTAGGGTTTGTCAAGGTTTTGTTTGTTTTTTTTAACGTAGATATCAGAATACTCTAGCATTATTTTTTTTTGAAAAAACTATTTCCCTATTGGTTGGTTTGGCACCCTTGCTAAAAAGCAAATGACCATTTAAATGTGGTTGTTTTACTAGGCACTCCATTCCAGTTCCATGAAATCTTGATTACTGTAGCTTTATAGTAGTTCTTGAAATTGGATAGTATAATTCTTCTAACTCTGTTCTTCTATTTGAAAATTGATTGCAGTCTTGGGATAAATATCACTTTATCATCATGTTTGTGGTAGGCAGAGTAATCCCCCGTCTCCCTCCTGCCTCCAAACATGCCCTAAAGCCTGGAACCTGTGAATATGTTATGTTATATGACAAGGGGAATTAAGATTGCAGACCAAATTAAGGTTTCTGATAAACTGACCTGAAGATGAGGAGATTGTCCTGGATTATCTGGTTGGACCAGTGCAATCGGTGACCTTAAAAGTGGAAGAGGGAGGCAGAAGAGGAGGTCGGGTAATATGATATGAAAAGGATTCAACCATCATTGATGACTTTTTTTTTTTTTTTTTTTCCTGAGACGGAGTCTTGCTCTGTCGCCAGGCTGGAGGGCAGTGGCGCGATCTCGGCTCACTGCAAGCTCTGCCTCCCAGGTCCCGGGTTCACACCATTCTCCTGCCTCAGCCTCCCAAGTAGCTGGCACTACAGGCGCCCGCTACCATGCCCAGCTAATTTTTTTGTATTTTTAGTAGAGACGGGCTTCACTGTGTTAGCCAGGATGGTCTCGATCTCCTGACCTCGTGATCTGCCTCCTTAGGCCTCCCAAAGTGCTGGGATTACAGGCGTGAGCTACTGCGCCCGCCCATTGCTGACTTTGAAGGTGAAGGAAGAGGGCATGAATCAAGGAATGCAGGATTTCAAAATGGTAGTATAGAAGCAAGCCAGCTTCAATCCCTCAATAGAAGACCAAAAACAAATATATAGCATTGAGATTTTCACCAGCAACAACCCAGAGTTCAAGTATGAGGATGAGACAGCCCCCAGGGCCACAGAGAAGTGGAAAAACCTTGAGCATATGATTGGAGAATCAGATTTCCACGTCTGCGAGTCCCCTCCCCTACATTCTTTCAGCACCAAGCATGTGGAAAATCTCCCTCAATTCTGTTTTTACACTGGAAAAAGTGAAATTGAGTGGTCAACCAGCTTCCTCACCTTCTTGGGTTCCGTAGCAGGAGTCCTGTCCCTGCCTTAACTCATGGGAAGCATTGTGAGTGCCTGTAGGGAGAAATATCTCTGAGGACAGGCTGCAACAAAGGTCAGAAGGTGAGACTACCATCCCCAACCCTGGAAACTCTGCTCTGTAACTCAGCCAAATGAGACACCAAATCAGAGTGGCTATTCAGCAGCACCACACTGTAGGAGGTACATTCCACAGGTTCCCATGGGCAGGAACCCCTAGCCAGTCTTCCCACACTGCTGACTAGGGGTTCCTGCCTAGGAGCCTGTAGAACATACCTGGGATAATCCCTTTGGTGACTCCCCCATTTGGGACAGGCAGCACTGCAACCGTTTACTAGAGCCAAAGTGAACCTGGGCTTATAGCGCCACCTAGAGCCGAAAAGGAGGCAGCAATCTAGTTGCAAAGATTAAGCAAATATATTCAATGAAAGACAAAACAAGCTGGACAGAGAAAACTAGAATCAATAATTAATCCTTCAATGCAAAGACATAGACATATACCCGCAAGTAACAACAGCAAACAGGGAACCACAGTCTCCCCAAAGGACAAAGCAAAAATCCAATGACTGACCCTAACGAGATGGCGACTATTAGCTTCTGACCAATAATTTAAAATAGCAGTTTTAAGGAAACTCAGGTATCTCCAAGATAATACAGAAAAGCAGAAATTTATCAGAGAAATCTAACAAAGAGATTGAAATAATTTTAAAAAATCAAACAGAAATCTTAGAACTGAGAAATACATTTGCCAAACTGAAGAACTCTTAAGAGGCTCTGAGCAGCAGAGTGAGCCAAGCAGAGGAAAGAATCTATGAGCTCAAAAACCAGCTGTGTGAAAATACACAATCAGAGAAGAAAAAAGAAATAAGAATAAAATGTAACAAAGACCACCTACAATATGTAAAAAATTACCTCAAAAGACCAAATCTAAGAATTACTGCTGTTGGTGTTCAAGAGAGAGTGAAGCGAGAGCAAGGGGTAGAAAGTTGATTCAAAAGGATAAGAACTGAAAACTTTCCAAAACTTGAGAAAGAGAAATATCCAGCTACAGAAAGGTCAGAGAACACCAAACAGATTTGACCCAAATAAGACTACTCCAAGGCATAGAAAAATGAAACTCTCAAAGGTCAAGGACAAAGAGAGGATCCTAAAAGCAGCAGAGAAAAGAAGCAAATAACACGTAAAGTAGCTCTAATTCATGTGGCAACGGATTACTCTAAGGAAACTAAACAGGCCAGGAGGGAGTGGAATGGCATTTTCAGATTGCTCAAAGAGAGACAAAAAAAGCCTGCCATCCAAGAATATTGTATCCAGCAAAATTATCATTCAAATATAAAGGAGAGATAAAATCTTTCCCAGACAAACAAAAGCTGAGAGAATTCACCACCACTAGATCCATCTTGCAAGAAATACTAAAGGCAGTTCTTCAGTCTGAAAGAAAAAACGCTAATGTGCAAAAGAAAACTTTTCAAAGTATAAAACCTACAGGTAAAATTAAGTACCTGGACAAACTCAGAATACTCTCTTACTGTATTGCTGGTATGCAATCCACTCATAACTCTACTATGAAGCTCAAAAGACATGAGCCAAGGAGTGAAAACAGCCTCTAGAAGCTAGAAAGGCAAGGAAATGGATTTGCTAGAAAGGCAAGGAAATGGAACTTCCAGAAGGGAATGCAGCCCTCTCAACACCTTGACATTAGCCCAGTGAGACCTGCATCAGACTTGTACAGGCCTCAGCAGCTGAATGTATTGTACAGCCTGCAGAACTGTACAATAATAAGTGTGTATTGTTTAAGCTGCTAAGTGTGTGGTAATAGAAAACTAATGTATGTTTTTTTATATAAAGCTAAATTTGATTTCCTAAATATTGTTAAAGATTTTTACACCTGTGTTCATTGTGGTTTTCTTTTTCTGTAATGTCTTTGTTTCATTTTGGTGTCAGAGTAATGCTGGCCTCATAGAATAAGTTGGGAAGTACAGGATTCCTATCTATTTTTTGAAAGAGTTTGTATAGAACTAGTATTATTCCTTTCTTAAATGTTTGGTAGAATTTGCCAATGAAGGCATTTGGGCCTGAAATTTTCTTGGTGAGAAGGTTTTGTTTTGTTTTGTTTTGAGACAGAGCCTCACTCTGTCGCCCAGGCTGGAGTGCAGTGGCACAGTCTCGGCACTGCAACCTTTGCCTCCCGGGTTCAAGCGATTCTCCTGCCTCCGCCTCCTGAGTAGCTTGGATTATAGGTGCCTGCCACCACACCTGGCTAATTTTTGTATTTTTAGTAGAGCCGGGGTTTCTCCATGTTGGCCAGGCTGGTCTCGAACTCCTGGCCTCATGTGATCCATCCACCTCAGCCTCCCAAAGTGCTGGGATTACAGGCGTCAGCCACCGCACCCGGCCTGTGGGGAGGTTTTTAATTACTAATTTCAATGTCTTTAATGGGTATAGGGCATGTACGTTATCTATTTTTTCCTGAATGAACTTAGATTAATCATTTTTGAAGTCTTAGTTGCTAGAAAAAAATATTTAAAAATTGGTGAATTTTCTCATTAAAGCAGCTTTTAGTGCATTTTTGAATATAGTAAATATAAATATTTTATATTTATAGAATATATTTTAGATCTGAAAAATAATTATTATGAGAGTCCACATATTACAAAAATACAAATATTATATCTGAGTCCTTACTTACCAGGAGATCTGATTATAACTTGATTTCCCATACATTTATGCCACTCCCATGGGCCATAAACATGCCAGTCACTGTGATAAATTTACTTTGTAAATCAATTAATTGACTTTGTGATTATATATATATCATTTACAGTGATTCTGCTTCTAAAAAGTGGAACCTCTTTCCATATGCTGTTAGAATTATTTATAAGCTTACAGAGGTTTAGGCCAGACCCCAAACTGTGTTAAATTCACAAGGTAATGAGTGCTAACCTGTGAAGCCTCTTGAAAGAGAGGTCACTACCTATCTCTGGCCATATGTCCCAATCCTGCCATTGTATAGGGCAGTGGTTTTTACTGAGAGTATTTTAGAAATTCACTTGAGTGTTACTGATAGTTAGTGAGTAGGGGGCTCAGGATGCAATGCCCGTAATAACCCCACACAGTGAGGAATTGTCCCAAGTCCTGTACAACTTACAAAATATCCTGCTGGTTAGTCATGAAGATTAAAAGCTTGTTTACAATTTTCTGAGACTAGAACCTAAGTCTAGTCTCTATGTTTTACACATAAACACAAAGTATTTTTTGCGTGGTTTTAATATATAATTAATATTCTAATCTTTATTTTAGCATTTATCCCTGCTCTCTCTTTTTTTTTGTATTTCTACTATAGAATGGCCTTAAGTCCAAATTTATTTCGTCTATAACTGTATGCACTCATCTAACCACTTTGCTATGTCTTTTAGGGTTGAACCTGCGCATTTTCCTATGAAATACATGCTATTTTATTATTAATTGCCTTTTTCTACTCTGTATTACACTGAGAGTTATTTTTTTTAATTAGACATATAGTTACAGTATTGTATATAAATTCCATTTCAGGACAAAGGAGCATCACAAAATATTTGTTATGAAAAGGGTGGGGATGTTAGATTTGAAAAGCCTGAGAGGCATGTTATAGAAACAAACTTTCTTCTGATTTCAGTACTTTTCCTATCATTATAGTTGCTATTACATAAAAATGTAAAGTCTTGGAATGAGTCCATATTACTGCTTCAAAATAACCAAAACAATAAAAATGGATTTAACTTCTATTTCGCCTACAAAATAGCCTAACACAATTATTATATCCATCAAGTCTAGGACATCCAGCCATAGTGCTCACACATATGCATAGTAATCACAAATTTCAGTGCACAAACTTAGATCTGCAAAGAATATAACTTACTTCTTTTTTACCCTGTCACTGAACGCAGTACCTCTGGGGTCCCTATTCTGCTGGGTGGAGGAAACCTGGTTCCAGTCAATTCAGATCATCTCAGTTAATTCATGATCTCATCCTGGCTCCCCTCCAGGGAGCCAGTGCGTTGGAGCTGAAGGAAGTGTGTGGTCCATAGTCATCCTTGCACAAGCCTCTGCAGAAACATTCCTGTTCCTGGCTGGCCTTTTTATATCATCCATCTAGATCATGCTGCGACCTCCTTGCCTGCGGAGACTCTTTGGACCATCTCTGTGCCACATTTGTGCTCTTCTCAACACCAAATCAAAAACATTCATCAGTTCAGCTGCAACCCCTTCCACACTGTGGTGTGAGAAGCCTCTGAGCCTGCCTTCCATCACCTTGTGCAACCATTGTCATCTGCTGCTGCCACACTATACTGGGCACAAGAACCGCAGGGAGTCTTGCTATCCTCTCATCTGCCCCCCGGCTCCTCCAGGGGATGAGGCATGGTTCTTTCCACTCTTGTATCCCTCCGTCCATTATTTCTTCTACACTAGATCCAGTCCTGGGGGCAGAGCCCAAGATGTGTGCTTAAGGTCACAGCCATGTCCTTTAGCTTCGTTTCCAGTCCTCTCTCTTCCCCTGGCTCTGAGTGATTGCTTAAGCTAAATCTATTAGCTCATCCACCTGCTGACTATCCATTTCCGGAGCCCAGACATGGATCTCCCTGCCTGCTTCCTGGGTTGAGGGTCACAGGGTGACAAAATTACTAGGAATGAGAAAAGCTGTTACTTAATATTTGGAAACATCATTCCAGTGGAGATGCAGGGCACATGAGGCATACTGCTTAGCCTGTAATAATTTTCTCTCTTTTCAGTCTATATGCCTAACTTTATGCCAGGATAGTGAAAGTTTTCATGTGCTTATCGTTGTGACCTTTGCAAGGTATCAGGTGAAGAAGGCAGGCACATTGTATTGCTGTAGATAAATAGGATTAATGACAGGAATATGGGATATAAACCTTTTTGCTAGGTCTAAACCATCCTTAACTATGCCATGAGTCTCTCACTATCTTAATGATGTAGGGTCATCATTTTAATTTTTTTATTGTAGTATGCATCTTTCAGTGGTGTCTTCAATATACGTCAGTGTGGATCATTTAATGTTGGAAAAACAGGTAAAGACACTTTAGTTTGTGGTCTACTTTTACAATTTATACTTTTCTTCTCCTTTCCTCCTTCTACAAAGATTATGTCCAGCAGTATGCATCTTCCTGACTTGCAGATTCTAGCCTGCTATAAAATTAGGACACCAGACACCGCACATATTGCTAGAATTGCGTCTGAGACTGAATAGGTCCTGAGTTAGTCTCTAATTGCATGGACTTCGTGGTGCCTATTGTGGTAACTCAGGGGCATTTGTTTTGATTTGTTTGTTTGTTTGTTTGGTTGGTTGGTTTGGTTTTTTATCCTGGCCCTTGGCTGTTCATCCCTTTGTCTCCTGCTGCAAGGCCTCCTGTTAGCCATTTGCCTCTCATTAGGCATGGAGCTCCAGGCTGCCTTCCATGTTCTTTCCTCCTGAGTGGCCTCCTCACCTGCTTGGGATGTCCAGTGTCAATCACCTGGATTCTGCCCTCACTCCCACTGTGCATGCCCTGGTCAGAGGTGGGGCTGCTGCCCAGGACTCTGGGGGCTCACAGAGTTTATTTCACTTTGGCCTTGGAGCAAGTGTTATCTGCAGATCCGAAGAGGTTCTTGTTATTATTGATTAAGTATGCATTCAATATTTGAAATGCTTTAAACAAACTGCTTCATGTTTGGATATATTGAGTTATTTTTGTTTCTGCCATTAAATGTTTTACTCTCCGGTTATTCTTCAGGGAGGATTGTGCTCATCAGTGTTCTCGTGACTTTTGTTTGCCTCTCTCTGCATTAAACACCCAAACATCAGTGAGATCCTTTAGAATCTGGCAAAACTTCAGAGAACTCTGAGGAAATGAAACTGCCTGTCCACTCAGTTTCATTGATTTTTCTGAGTAACCTTAAAGGCATATCTTACTACTTAAGAAGTAGAGATTCAGTAAAATGTTGTTTCTGTTCCAAGGATAAAAATTGAGAACATTTAACTTGTATTATATACTTGGAATCATAAAGACAAATTGAAATAGTTGATGTCTGCCCAGATAGAATGTGCTAGCTTTCTCTGGCTTAACCATCTCTGAAAACACATTGACATAAATTTCCATCTTTCTCACCACGCAAGTTGTTAGTACACCTGTTCTTTTGAAACCACAATTCTGTTTGTTCCTGTGTGTTGATGGTATTTTCACTTTTCTCCTGCTGCCCTTGAACTTGCCAGACTCTCCAGCACTTGTGTGGTACTTTTCTCATTCATTACTTCTCTAGTGGCATTACTGAAGGATAAACAGCTGTCTAGTCAAAATTATCTGGCCACGTTCAGTGGGTTTTAGGTCTGAAAGGGGAGCCAAATAATGTGTGAGTAAACTGTAACACTCCCTAAGAGTGCCAAAAAAATTAGTTTGCCTGGAAATCCATTAGTAAAAAATATCAAACATTCCTAAAAATTAAACAATAGGAAAAACAAACAGGGTTTTAGTTGTTAAAAAGGACAGACCAAATATTTGGTACTTTTACTCGCTTAATACATCAAACATGGGTCTTCTGTGCTACTTGTCAGGGGGATTCTGAATATGAAGATCAAACCTTGCATTACCCATACCTCCTAAGTGAGAGCACCTCAACATTTTGTGCTTACCTTACAACTTTCATCTAAAGATCTCCAAGATCTGTGAATACTTATGTTTTAAATTACAGGAAAAAGTTAAGTTGTTGCTTGCCAATATGTAATAAATTAGGACACTGTTTTCCAGTTTCCAGTTCCATTTTAACTTGTAGAGAATAAACGTTTTCAATCTTTCAACAGACTTTGGAGTCTTTTCATCCTTAATAAATGTTAAAGGAGAGATAAAACCCCATTGATATCTCAGCATTATAAGCAATGGCATTAGCCTCATTAAAGTGAGGAAATATTTTACTACAAACTTTTATAACATTTTTCTTTTTAATCCTCATTCATCCCTGATTTTGCCCTTTCCCTGCATGCATCTTTTTTAAATCTCCACATCTTTTGGTGGCTACATCCGTGTATTAGTCCATTTTCACACTGCTGATAAAGACATACCCAAGACTGGGTAATTTATAAAGAAAAAGGTTTAATGGACTCACAGTTCCATGTGGCTTGGGAGACCTCACAATCACGGTGGAAGGTGAGGGAAGAACAAAGGCACATCTTACATGGCAGCAGGCAAAAGCAAAATGAGAGCCAGGTGAAAGGGGAAACCCCTTTTAAAATCATCAGCTCTCGTGAAGCTTGTTCACTACCACGAGAACAGTATGGGGGAATCTGCCCCTGTGATTCAATTATCTCCCACTGGGTCTCCCCTACAACACATGGGAATTATGGGAGCTACAATTCAAGATGAGATTTGGGTAGGGACACAGCCAAACCGTATCAATCGGTTATTTGGTGCCTGGCTGCCAGTCGCACTCCACCAGAACCCTCCTCTTGCTAGCCCAGCTGGACATTCTCCTTGCTGGTGCTCTTAGTCAAGATGTAAAGTCTGGTTAGTGTCTGAGCTGGTGGTCAGAGCACTTATCTGCCCTGAATGCTGCAAACCATTTTAAACCCCTACGAATAATCAAATGTGTATTTGAACAAATCTTCAGTTTCTGGTGTTTAATTTGAATCCCAGGCTATTGTTATAGTGTTTTTTTCTATGATAATTGATGTCCTTTATTTAAACTCATGGGAACAGAAAGGAGTTATCCTGGCTCTCCCCTGATAGTAACAACCCCCCTCACAATTCACTGTGTTGTTGCACTTCTCAAGAAATTACCTATAGAATAGAGAATGCAGGCTGGGCGTGGTGGCTTCTGCCTGTAATCCCAGCACTATGGGAAGCCGAGGTGGATGAATCACCTGAGGTCTGGAGTTCAAGACCAGCCTGGCCGACAAGGCGAAACCCTGTCTTCACTAAAAATGCAAAAATTAGCTGGGCATGGTGGTGGGCACCTGTAGACCCAGCTACTCAGGAAGTTGAGGCATGAGAATCGCTTGAACCCTGGAGGCGGAGGTTGCAGTGAGCCAAGATTGCACCACTGTACTCCAGCCTGGGAGACAGAGTGAGACACTGTCTCAAAAAAAAAAAAAAAAAAAAAAAAAGAATAGAGAATGCAATCTAGGAGGACTCTATGCTTAGAATACTTTGGTCTTATGAAAACGTGATGTTTTGGAGTGTGGCTATGATACTTAAATCTAATATA
The DNA here is from genome assembly GCF_000001405.40 of Homo sapiens. Classification (NCBI taxonomy): domain Eukaryota; kingdom Metazoa; phylum Chordata; class Mammalia; order Primates; family Hominidae; genus Homo; species Homo sapiens. Next base: position 78,892,147 of record NC_000005.10, on the reverse strand, counting down.
TGTTTAGTAAATATCCAGATAGGAGCCTATTCTGTTCTGTGTACTTTGCTGGTGCTGATGACTAGCATACATAAAAATAGCTAATATTATTTAGCACTGCTTCTATGCCAGGCACAATATTAAGGTGGGTATTTTGTTATCCTCATTTCTCAAATAAGGAAACTTAGGCTCAGAGATTGAGTACTTGCCCAAACCCACAGTGCTTAGCTCCTCTCAGTTCCCTGCATTTCAGTGAAATTAGACATGGGGCAGTAGGGGTGATAGGGGAAAGTGATGATGGTCATAAAACACCTAGACCTATACCTTTTTGTTTATACCTAGTCATCATTTAGCTCAAGTTTTCCTTAACTTCTGGCAGCAGAGTATACCTAATAGTATAACTAGTCTTTAATTAAGAAGCAGCCTTGACACAGACACCCTAGTCTCTAATGTGCGATTGCATAAGGCCTCCTGCTCCCTGTGCCTGGGCTCTCATCTCTCTGGTGGTCACTTGGCTGGCTCTGTCCTGTCCTTATGGTTTCAGCTCCTCCACAAAGCCCAGTCATTGCCTCCCATGAATGGAGAGATCTTATCTCTTTTTCTCACTCACTCCGTGAGGGACAGGACCTTGTCCATCCTGTTTGCTGCCCTTTTTCCAGATCTGGAGTGGTCCCTGGAACATGGCAGCACTCAAGAAAGATGTGTTAAAGGAATAAGTGAGTTCTTTCTTCCAGGCCAAGACTGATGCTTCTTGAAATGCTCCCAATCAACCCTCTTAGACTCCAACATAACTGACCAGGGACCAGATTAGACAAACAATTCTGATATTTGAGGGTTTGATTTACTTAAATTCTCACTGGGGTCCAAGAGCACCCCTTGCCAGCTCCTATAGTTTAAGCAGCAGTATGTAGAATAGCCAATGAAAAGTCAAGGTCACAGAGTAGCTGGACAAAGGCTTAGAAAAAACAATGCAGTGACCTAAGTTAATGTTTAGTGCCTTTAACCTCTATTTTCGGTGAGTGGCCTTTTCCCTAATTATTTGTTCCTCCAAATCATTGAGCCCTTCTGTGTGGTAGGTCCTGTGCTAGGTCTTGGAAATAAAAACATTAAGAAACTTTTTGCTCTTGAGAAGCAGAGTTCATGGGGAAGACAAAGCCATGAACAACTGATTAACAATAGACAGAGCTAAGTATAGTAGAAAATGTGCACATAAAATGTAGCAGAAATACAGAGCAGAGATGAAGACCATCTAGGGCACTAAGTGGCAGGTTCACAGAAGATATGATCTTTAACCCGTGGCACTTTAGGCAAGGGAGCCAACATGTGCAAAGGCAAAATTAGCATGAAAGGGCATGACATATTCTAACAACAGGGAGAAGTTAGTTCTACGTGACTGAAGCTCAGGGCACTTTTTATGGGGGAGGACAGGAGTTGATACCCAAAAAGGAGGTTGGGGGCAGATATGAAGGATTCTATATGTGGGCCTGAAGTTGGAACTTTTTCCCTGATTGGAAAGCAATCAGGTCTTTAAACATGCATGTGGCCTGATTGATTTTGGGTTTTACAAACACCTCTGGTGGGAACTTGAAGCGGTATATAAATTAGCCCAGGAGCCCAGACAGAGGAGTGCCTGACCTAAAGCAATGGGCTGCAGAAGGGGGGATGATTGGAAAGCTGTTTTAAAGGTAGACTTGGCAGAATCAAATGCACATTCTGTCAGAAATGATTCAATGTAGTGCAACAGGGAAAGAGTAGCCAAGCGTGGTGGCACACACTTGTAGTCCCAGCTACTTGGGAGGCTGAAGTGGGAGGATTGATTGAGCCCAGGAGATCGAGGCTGCAGTGAGCTGTGATCCTGCCACTGCACTCCATCCTGGTTGGAGGAGTGAGACTTTGTCTCAAAAAAAAAAAAAAAAAGATAAGATTTGAGAATATCAGAATGTAATTTGAATATCTAGGTAGATAATGTCTCCAAAATCTTTTAGCAGGAGAAGATTGAATTTACCGAATCCTTTAGATGTGTACTAAGACATATATTAGCACTCCAGTTTGCCTCTCAGTAATTTAAAAAAAAATCCAAAGAATCAACCATCAACAAGCAGATACTTTTCTGGGACAAAGAGGCTTCTCCATTTTTGAAACGATGTTGCCTACTCATCTGTTAGTCACCCTTGCATCAGGGCCGTGTTCAAAGAGATGTCCAGGCTTGGTATGAGGCTGCTAGAGCCTTCCTTGCTTTTCCTTTTGTGATCTTTGAGTCAGGTTGGGAAGGATGACTAGGGTAAGCCCCAGCTGAAGCATGCACAGGGATGTTGGGGTAGAGATGATGTTTCAGGGCAGCCCTCCACGGCCAAGCCACACATTAAATTGTTTGGGGAGTAGTTCTAAAAATTAATGCTGTTGTCATGGTTTCATTTTGATTTTTATCAGCTGGATATGGATGAGGCTTCATTGTCATATACTTAATGTTTTTGCTTAGATCTTTGGCAAACCAATATTTTTCCATGACTTTTTGACAGTTATTTTTGTTCAATAGTGAATAATAAAGTGAGATTTACGGTCTGTATATGATAATGTTTGTCTTACTTTGACATTTCTTTTCTAGACAGTAAAGGCCTTATAATTAGATTTTCCCTGTGCCAAAACATTGCTGCAAAACCATCTCCCTGAAAAAACGTTTCTTTGCTTCTTTTAGGAGCTGGCGTCATCTTATTTTGATTTGGAATTTTTTTCATATGTCAGTCAGGAAATGAAACAAAAATTTCTCTTGAATATGAATTCTTAACAAGAAAGAAATTAACTTTTGCCGAAAAATAAAACTAGAAGGGAAAATGAGAAGAAACGTCTTTGAAATGCTGATGGTTCCATTGTCTTTTTAAATTCTAATTTATGTCAAACTTCAGTGAGCAATATAGGAAACTCCCTTTTCCACCTTGTTGCAAAAGAGCTTATTTTATTCTTGTTGCTACTCCTACCAGTTTTATGTTGAATTCTTTGAAATACCCAGGAGACTGAACTAGAACTTATGGACCGCACCCTATTTCTCATATAGTTAACCAACTAATGTCCTAACTCAGTGGATTCTGCCCCATTGCTGATAAGTGGCAACCATCGGCCAGGTGCCATCTGTGGGGGTACAAGGACAGGCGAAGCTGAACTGCCCTTCTGCTGAGGCCACATCTGCAGTTGGCGCTATGCCAGGAGAGCCTTGGAGAAGTTGCACATGTGTCCATTGACAGTGCTTTCTCTTTGGAGTGCTCTTAAAAAGAATAACTGTTGATAGAATCGCTTATTGCTAATGGCAAAACATCACAGAGAACTAATTGCAAAAACAGTCACACTTACTACATCCGTGGCCTCCCCTAATGATATGTGGAAACACCTTCCCTTTCCTACAGTAGCAAAAGTGGCCAAATTCTCTGTACAACCCGGAGAATTTTCCTATCTGAGTCATAACTGAAGAGCTGCTCCTAGAATCAGATTCCAGATCCAGCCACCCTTGTCCCCATCATCTCCACTCTTATTTCCACCACCATCTTCATCCAATACTTTCCGTTGAGCACTAACAAATATGTGCAACTGAAGGACACTACATAATACCTCAGAGAAGTGTATCTATTTAAAACAGAGACAACAGGCTTCTTCTAAAGTATTGAGCCAGCATCACTTACAGCAATCCAGACAACAGAGTGAAATAATCGTTCTGTCTCAGCCTTTCTTGATATCACGGGAAGAGTGTAGGTATTTCTTTCCAGTGTATTTTTGTATCACATGAATAGCACCTTCTTCTAAGTTTCGATACATTGGTTATGAGTGATTGCTACTCTGTGCAGTATCATGAACATGGAGGAATTTCTTCTTTCTACTGATGGTGACCTTTTGTTGTTTTGAATATACGGGTCTGCTCAGCTTCAATATGAAATGGAATGTGTATTTCAACAACTGGCCTGAGTGAATGTTTGGGCCTTGAGTTTTTGTCAAGAAGTGATGTGGGGAGGTTTGAAGAAAGATTCTTGTAAGTCTGTGATGTCAAATGATGAGATTGTCTGTCACCGACCCATGTGTTGAAGAATTGTTTCCTCACCTGATCTAACTCAAGACTCTTCTCTACTCCCTTTCGAGAAGCACAGAAAAGAACTGAGAACTGGTGTGTTAAGGGCGCCACCAAAAGTTTCCTTGGCAGTAGAGCCTTGAATTTCTTCCCCAACAGCAGCTAAGCCTTCTCTAAAAGGAATTACCATTACCTTGAAATAACTTCCTATGTACACTCATAGGAAGAGTGTACACTTTGCTGAGGTTGACCGTACTTGTGGTTTTCATCAGGAAGTGAAAGTTTATGTGGCCTACATGTGTGAGCCCACTCTATACTAGGGATAGCAGGAGTGTGGTGCTCTAGGGGCAGAGGCCTGGGGTGTCACACAGACCTTGTTGGAATCCTAGCATTGCCATCTATTCACTGTTTGGCTTTTTCAAACTTCCTTTTAAAAAACGTGACAAAATGGTTATAATACTAAACTATTTGGGTTGTTGTAAATTTTAAGAACAACAGCAGTTACTACCATGTATTGAGCACTTAGGTTGTGTCAGGTACCCTGCCAAGAAAAGATCATAAGCAATGTCACTTCATTTCCATCATAATACATGAAGTAGTGCTATGGTTTGGATGTGGTTTGTTTCCACCAAAGCTCATGTGGAAGTCTAATTGCCACTGCATCTTGGGAGGTGGGGCCCAGTAGGAAGTGTTTGGGTCATGGGGGCGGGTTCCTCATGAATAGATCAATGCTGTCTCCCAGGATCGAGTTCTCAATCTCAAGGGAATGGATTAGTCGCCATGAGAGTGGGTTGTTATAAAGTGAGGCTCTTCCTGCTCTTTGGTCCCTCTTTACCTGCACCTGCCTCTCCTTCCACTTCTCTGCCATGTTATGATGCAGCACAAAAGCCCTCACCAGCAACTGATGCCAGTGCCTAGCGCTTGGACTTATCAGTCATCAGAATTGTGAGCCAAATAAACCTGTTTTCTTTATAAATTACCTAGTCTCAGTATTCTGTTATAGCAACACAAAATGGACTAAATCAATTAGTGATTGTTATTTCCACATGAAGACGAGGAAACTGAGGTGGTATATCACCCCTGGCCACACAGCTAGTGAGTGTCTGGCCTCAGGCTTCTATTCCAGGTCTGCCAACCCCAGATTCTGTGAGAGATAATGCAAAATCAGAGTCACTCCTAGTGCAGTCAGTGCTTAACAAGTGTTCATTCTCTTTCCTCCCAGATGCATCTTGTAGCTTTGATAGATCTCTGATTTCTTAATAAATTTTTATATGTAACATTCTATACAGCAGGTGGTCTGTCATACTGCCCTCATGTGGCTCATTTGGGTAATAGTGGGTTTTTTTTTTAAAGTTTAATGCAAAATATGTGTTATTTAAAATGTGTCTCTAAAGTCACCTAAATCTGTGGATACTTTGGGAGTTTGTATGATTCTATAACCCCAGTATGTAAGAAATGGCACTTTTTCTTTTCTACTGCCCACTTTAATGTCTTAACTCTGAGCCCTCATTTGGCTGGGAAGATACTTAACTTCAGTTACTCTAGTAGCTTCTACCCTGTCTTTGCCAAGATCTCCCATTCCTTCTGTTGTCTTGGAAGAGAAACCTTCTCTTCCCTGGTATTGTGCATAATGAAACTTTATTTCACCATCCTGTCAAGAGGGGAAAAATTTTTTTCACAATTATATTTTTCCATCTAATGTTCTGTTTACAGAGACATTTATCAACCACTGGAGAAATACTCAGCTTTCACACTTAAGAAAGAGATATTATTGCCAGAGTGTAGAGTGTTAATTCATTTTCCAGTTTAAATTGTAGAATTTTTTTTCCAAGAGGAAAAGAAAAAGGTCAGTTTTTGTCTCCACCTATAAGGAGCATTAAGTCACTAAGTGAAATTCCCTTAGTTTTCTCTTCATGCATGGAGAGGGTCCCAGCTTCCATGGACTCATTCTCCCATGCTATACAAAGTTACACAGGTGTATTTAAAGTTTAGTGGATTGTTTAGCTTAGGGATCTCCAAAGCGCATATCATCGAGGGACTGCCTTGTTTTCCAGTGGCTCTCTCCATGGAGGATTTAAAGGTAGATATGTATCACACTGGGCCTTACTTATGTCTGAATAATGAAAGGCTATGTCAATGGGAAAAGGGAATTTAGGGTGGGAAAAGGCAAGGAATTTTCTTTTTTTTTATTATTTAAGCACCATTTAGTAACAATGTACATACAGTCTCTGTTCTTAAATGTATTTAAGAGTTAACATCATCCTCATGCCAAGACCTTACTGTGTTTCAGATAACGGAGGGCAGACTTTGGCAGGGGGTAATAACTGGCCCCTTCGAGGAAGAAAATGGAGCCTGTGGGAAGGAGGCGTCCGAGGGGTGGGCTTTGTGGCAAGCCCCTTGCTGAAGCAGAAGGGCGTGAAGAACCGGGAGCTCATCCACATCTCTGACTGGCTGCCAACACTCGTGAAGCTGGCCAGGGGACACACCAATGGCACAAAGCCTCTGGATGGCTTCGACGTGTGGAAAACCATCAGGTACCTACACCCTGCCCTTTTTCCTCCCAGGACAGAAACTCCAAGAGCAGCCTGACTCCATTGAGCAAGAATGATAGCTTTTGTGTTAAAATGATAGTTCAGCTTACAAATACATGATTTTTAAGAAAAATAAGTGCCTTTAGAGACATTGTAAGTATATATATTTTTAAATTATAAATTTGAGATTGTGGGCCTGTGTTTTACGTGAAGAACAAGATTGTCCTCAGCCCATCGCCCTCCATGGAAGGTCTTTGAAGCTGCGACGTTTTGCTTAGAAGTAGGCTAGGGTATTGTTAGCTTCCTGCAGGGGGTCAGGGAACTAGTCCTGTTGTCTGCTGGAAGAATGGAGGACAAAACAGCAGGGAAAAAGCTGGAATAGGAACTAGGGATATGTTTATTTCCATTTATTAGCAAGTATCTAACAAGCACCTACTATGTGCCATACCTTCTTCTAGATGCTGAGAAATTAGGAATGAACAAGTCAGTCAAGATCCTGCCTCTCAGGAAGCTGTATTCTAGTTGGGGGAGAAAGATGTTGGACAAATGAACACACAGATGAGCAAGATGACTGCCAGTTGTGATAAGTGCCAGGAAGGCAAAAAAGTATGTTGTGATAGATAGAGCTGGCTGATGTGAAGAAGATACATCAGGGAACAGGACCCAGACTCAGATTTGGAAATCGTGATGGTCTTTTTCCTGTTTAACCCCCACAGTGTAGAGCAATAGCCCCCAAGGTTGGGAGGCACATGCCTTAGAGGTTGCAAGATGTTCCCTTGGAGTACAGGAAGAAAATTTCAATCTTGTATTTGTATTAATATCTAATTTCATCTCATCCTTTTTAAAGTATATGTTTTTTAAGACACATAATATATTAGTAGACTTGTACATAAATCTAATTTATAAATAAATATGCATATATTGGAGGTATTATTTTTACGGGTGGAATGACCTAGTGCAATGGTTTTCAACCTCTGTTTGGTGTTACAGCTCTGTTTGGGGTTAGCAGCTGATTGACTGTCCCTTAGTGGCCAGGGGGAGAGGACTTCCTCAGGCCATCTCTTCATCCCACTCCAGGTATCCCAGCTCAAGAATAGCAGGTTTCAGGTCTCTAGTTATAGGAAATACACAATGGAGTATTTAGGAGCAAAAAGCCATGATATATTTAACATACCCTCAAATGGTTCAGAAAAAAATTGTGTGTGTGTGTGTGTGTGTATGTATGTACATGTGCACAGAGAGAATTCAAATGGACTGCAAAATTAAATAAAAGAATATAGGTAAGGTGCATAAGTATTCTTTTGTTATGTCTTATTTTTGCAACTTTTTGTAAATTTGAAATTATTTCCAAATAAAAGTGTTTTAAAAATAGGAAGGTCTGACAGCACTGCACCCACATTTCCAGAAGGCCAACAACTGACTAGAATCAAATAGCTGCTGCCTTCTGTAGATGAAGTATCCACCCTTCAAATCTTCAATCTCTATTGTTCCCAAGTTCCAATACAGATCCACTGCACTCATTTAGGTTACCTACTTAGTCTCTGTAGGCATTTAAGTTTATAGTCCCTGCTGAACATAATCATAGTATTCAACACTCTGGAAATACCATACTTTGACCAATTTCCAGTTGCAAAATATATAGATTATTTCTTATCTTTTTATATTATCAATTTTTCTGTAATTAATAATTAATGTTAAAAAATAGTAGGGTTCAGCAGCCTAAGATTAGTTTTTACAAAGGAAGTTTGATAGCTATTCAAGTTTAAACATTAAAGTTTAAAGTCCTGTGAGTTCAGGAATGGATAGAAGAAGTGTTCAGCCAGGCCGCTCAACCTCTCACAACGTGGAGTCTATGGGTTCCTCTCTAATGGGCCTCACCCAGAAGGGTGAGACTAGGGAAGGTCCTCATCTCTTACAAACCCAAGGGAAAATCTGATTTAATTAGCTTTATAACCTTCTTTCAATTATTTTGCAACTCAAAGTTCCATGTTTTCCTTCGAGAATTTATTAAATTTTAAAGATCACTTTTCAAGCAGCAACATTTATAGTATTGGGTAGCCATTTCTTCACCATTTCTAAACATTATTTTGGTTCTTATGAGTCATATTATTTTCATATTATTTTAAAATCCTCACTAGCCTCAAATTGTTCCCTCTTATTCTTGCCTGAAAAGTTGATTTGTCAGTTTGGAGACAGTGATCAGTTTATGATTTGTCATTTCAAGAACACTCTACAGCATCCAAGTCACAGAAAAAGTAATGCCACTGAACAGCTAAGCTGAGAAGCAAAGCAGTAAAACCTTTTCTCTCACCAGAAATTTTGAAGCTTTGTGCTCATTATGTGCTCATTCATATGCGATGACTTTTTTTTCTTTTTCTTTGAAACATTTCTGCCTCTATCCATGATCTAAACTTGATATGTTAAATTTAAATTTAATTTCCCCAAGCGTGAGTACTATATGTCATTGTAGATAATTTGCAAACTACAAAAAATAAAAATAATTGGCTGGGCGTGGTGGCTCATGCCTGTAATCCCAGCACTTTGGGAGACTGAGGTGGGTGGACCACCTGAGGTCAGGAGTTCAAGACCAGCCTGGCCAACATGGTGAAACCCCGTCTCTACTAAAAATATAAAAACTAGCCGGGTGTGGTGGTGGGCACCTGTAATTCCAGCTACTCAGGAGGCTGAGGCAGGAGAATTGCTTGAACCCAGGAGATGGAGGTTGCAGTGAGCCAACACGGTGCCACTGCACTCCAGCCTCGGCGACAGAGTAAGACTCCGTCTCAAAAAAAAAAAAAAAAAAAAAAAAAATCACTCAAATCTTACCTAGAAACAACTACTATAAACATTTTGTCATATTTCCTTAGAATTTTTCTTTTCAGCATTTTTTTACTACATCTTTTTTCCTTATTTAACAGACCATTGGTTTTTGATTGTGTCATCCAAGAAACTTACTGCAAACACTATTTCAGTCACTGCACATTCAATCGCATGGATATACCTTGATATACTTACCCATTCCCTTGACTTTCTTTTTTAGTTTTTTAAAACATTAGCTCTGAAATGAGCTCTTTCTACATGAACTGTTTGTCTACATTTTGGACTTTTTCCCTTAGATATAAATGATTTGAAATTAAATCATTGAGCTAAAGAAAGTGACCAATGTTGGGGCTTGAAAAACAATACCCCAAACTGGAGGCCCCAGAAGCAGCCTCTACAACAGAAGTTTTTCTCTGACCTCCTCCTGCTCTCTTGTCTCTCAGTCTCATTTTTTCCTGAGGCAAGCCATGGAAACCAGAATCCTTCTTCCCCAGGGCAGGTCATAGAAACCAGAACCCCTTCTCCCCAGGGCTAATCATAAAACCTAGAAATATTATTCTAATTTTCCCTCTGCCCTATTTGTGTAAAAAGTGGCCATAAAAAAGTTATCTGGCCTAACTTGTTTTAACTGTAGGTCATAACATTCCCATTCCAGAGCGGGTCCAACCCCACATCCAGAAGGAAGGAATGCATGCCCAGAGAGGCCGAGAAGAATCCAGAGAGACAGACCTTGCTGGGTTTCCCCACTCAGGCTATTAGCATTAGAGCATACCCTTTTATCCAATCATGTTTCTATATGGCTGTCCATACTTTGTTAAACCTATACATAAAAATGAACGATTTCCTCTATATCTTTGGGTCTTCATTCTAAAGGCTCCCATGTATACACATTAAATACATTTGTATGCCTTTTCTCCTGTTAATTCACCTTTTGTGAACTGATTTTTCAGTGAACTTGCGGAGGGCCAAGGGTGGCCCCTACATGATTTTAAAAGCATTTGATAAACATTACCAAACTGCTTTCTAAAAAGGCTGTATCAATGTACTCTTGTACAGGTGTAGAAAGTGCTCATCTTCCTCATAGCTTTTCCTTATCAAGCTTTTTAAAAAACCTTTGCTAATGTTATAGACAAAATAGTCTTGTATTAACTTGATTTTTTATTATTATGGAGATTAATATTTAACTTTTTATATTCCATTTGTATTTTGTCTTTGAAAGTATTCATTCCATGTGCTTTTCCACTTATTTTACTGAAAAGTAGGTGTTTTTTGTGGATTTGTTTGCTTCTTTATGTCAGGTTTTTGGATTGTTGTATTTCTTGCAAATATTTTTCCTTTTTTTTTGTCTTTTTATTTTGTTTATGTCTTCTACATGGATGTCTTTCCCATGTTTATTTGTCAATGAAATGTTTTTCTCTTGCTTTTTTGTTCAGAAATATTTTTCTCAGCTTCAAATGTGCTAAATATCTATTTTCTTCTAGGTGTTGTGGTTTGAGTTTCTTCCATGTATTTCTTTTTTCTTTTTTTTTCTTTTTAAGACAGAGTCTTGCTCTGTCACCCAGACTGGAGTGCAGTGATATGATCTTGGCTCACTGCGATCTCTGCCTCCTGGGTTCAAGCGGTTCTCATGTCTCAGCTTCCCGAGTAGTTGGAATTACAGGTATGCATCAACATACCCAGCTAATTTTTGTATTTTTAGTAGAGCCTGGGTTTTGCCATGTTGGTCCAACCAGTCTTGAACTCCTGGCCTCAAGTGATCCACCTGCCTTGGCCTCCCAAAGCGCTGGAATTACAGGTGTGAGCCATTGTGCTCAGCCATAATTCTTAAATTGTTGCAAGATGGTGTGCGTGTTATGTGAGGTCAGTGTCTAAATCAGAGGAGTAATGTTTTTTGCAGTTTTTTAAGATTGTAGGCCTCTTTAAGACCGATGAAAACTATGAACTTACAGGAAAAAAGTACCTAAACATAGGCACAAAAATCTAGATATTACCTATTTTGTGATATTAGAAATTGATTACACATTCTTTTCTAAAACATTCTTTACAAGCCTATGCCCCTTTTGCTTATTTTAATGCAAAACTTAATGCCCACTTCATGGTAAAAATAAAACAAAGATTTCCAAGCAAAGCAAATCTTGAACTTTAATTCAGTTTATCATCAACTTTCAATATAAAGGCTGTAGCGGTTTGGCTTGGAGTAGGAGAAAGCTTTGAGTGACTTTGAGATGGCAACATTTGTGGCATGCTTGATATCCAATCATTTTTGATTTTTCTTTTGTTTTGTTTTGGTGGCAAAAATGTTGTAAACCCTGGCTTGCATAAGGACATAATAGCATGTGGAATCAAAGCTTTATAGGACACTTTGCCAGGTGAGGGTGGGATTGAATCGAAAAATAGTTGAATTCATTTTGAGTCCCAAATTTACTGAGGTTATTATCTTTGGCAAAGTTCACATCATTGATGTTTGTCCATATAGCTAAATTTTGGATTACAAATGCACATTTCAACCTTAAGATTATGTTGATCAGAAGTAACCTTTAAGAATTTGGCTCATGTTTGCTTCTGACTGCAGAGAAATTGGGAAAAGTCTAATCACTCTTAGCTCCAAATTGCAGATCTTTCTTCGGTGTTAGCACGTTCTCCTAGCGGCCAATCTCTTATGGAACAGGGGCACGTTCTTCAGTACCGTACATAGTGGTGACTGCGGGGCTTTAACCAAAAGATATGGCCAAAATTATTGTCCAAGTAGGCTAAATCATGAGATAATGGGCTTTCTTTTTTTTTTTTATTTAAAAGTAAAATTTCTGCCCAAAGTTTGATCATACATTTCAAGACTTGTTTTCTGGAAATTCAGCAAATTTCTATTTAGAAAGCAAAAAACCGCTCTCATTCTGTTCCCATTGCTTGAGAAAAATTCCTGAAATAATAATTCAGCCTCGAGCCTAATGAAGTTGGTGCTTCTCACAGCATTAGGCAAGTTCGGAATCGGTGGCAGAACATTTGGCACCCCTGCCTGCTGATACAGAAATCGCCCAGTCACATTGACGTCTGTTGTGTCTTTTCCAAAGCAGCAAAAACAAATGGACAGCCAAATGTCAGAGACACCCGATCTGTGCCCAGAGGTCTGAAACTTTTTTCCAGAAATGGAAATACCACTTTCGAGATGATGGTAGTTTTTGAAAATTTGAAGAGGCTCGTGAAATAGGAATGCCAGTAACGGATGAAAAACAGTTGTCTGTGCTGAGAGCATCAGAAGTTTTATTAGCTGTATAGTTACAAATTTCTCTTAGGACTGCTTCAAAATATTAAAATGTTAGAAGAAATAGTAGTTCTGGAGTGGGTGACATTATTTACAATAGGAGCTCCTTCGACTGCTTCAGTTTTTCTTTGTTGCAAGCCACAGACTATGTTTGCCATTTCTAGGGGACATGACTTCTCTAAGCTCTTTCCAATTCTGTGTAGTTTTTCTGCTTTTCAGCTCAATAATCAGCCTATAGGTTGTTTGAAGACATTTCATAAGGTTGATTGACAAAAAGGAAAACCAAAGGATTAAAACCTTGCAAGTTTCTTTTTAATTATTTTATATTTAATTAAACAATGTAAAACATAAGCAGACTAGGCGTGGTGGCTCACGCCTATAATCCCAGCACTATGGGAGGCCGAGGAGGGAGGATTGCTTGAGCCCAGGAGTTCGAGACCAGCCTGGGCAACATAGCGAAACCCTGTCTCTACAAAAAATACAAAAATTAGCTGGGTGTGTTGGCACACACCTGTAGTCCCAGCTACTCAGGAGGCTGAGGCAGGAGGTTCACTTGAGCCCAGGAGCTTGAGGCTACAGTGAGTTGTGATCATGCCACTGCACTCCAGCCTGGGCAACAGAGCAAGATCCTGTTTCAGGAAAAAAAAAAAGCAATCTCCTGATCATAATGATAGGAATTTCTTTTTTATCATCAATGGGAAACACTTTAAGATGTCATAACATGACAGTGGTGACAACTGAATATTAAAATATCTTAAAAACTTAGTATGTCATTATAAAGACTTTTCCCCCACTATCAATATCATTTCAAGAAGAAAGTTAAAGGAAAAACAAATCTTTTCACCTCAATTTTACAGATGCCATGAAGCCAAATAAAGCATGATGGTCCATGAGCTAAATGTTAACCTCTGATCTAAAATGGATACTTCAAGAAAAAAAAAAAACACATAAAATGATACTTCATTCCACATACTAACAAGAGAACTCAGACTAATTATTGAATAATATTTCTCTTTTCACTGACTTATGGCACTATTTTAGGTTTTAAGTTCTTATGAGTACTGTGCTCTGTCTTGGGGCCCCCTGTTTTAGCCCACTGACTTATCTGTTCTCATGCTGGCATCTGACTATTAATCATTGTCTTTTTCGAGTATATTTAAATATCTGGTAGAAATGGTTATCGGCCTGTCCTTCATTATATTGTCTTTATAAAATTTTCTTGACAACTCTCACTTTTTAATTTTTCTTGGTGAACTCTAGAATTATTTTGTTAAATTAAAAGAAAAGCTTCTCAAAAATTATACTGAGTGAGATTAAGCCTGTAAATTAATCTGGCAACAATGTACATATTCATGCTTTTCACTTGGACACTTAAAGTTGTCCCCCAGTTTACTAATGCTCTTTTTATTTAAAAAAAATTCTGTTTTCTCTTTATTTCATTTTGGGCAGTTTCTATTTCTAAGCCTTTAAGGTTTTTGATTTTTTTCTCAATGTCTGATCTTTCATCAATTTCATGCAATGTATTTTTCATCTCACACATTGTAGCTTTCACTTCTTGAAGCTCCACTTGGGTCTTTTTAATATCCTCCCTGTAACTACTTAACTTCCTGAACATATAGAATACAGTTATAATAAATATTTTAATGTCCCCTGCTAATTCCAACATCTATATCACTTCTCAGTTGGTTGTGATTGATTATTCTCCTCATTATACCGGTCATATTTCTATCCCTTTTGGTCTTTGATTCAATGCCAAGCATTGTACATTTTACCCTGTTGAGTGCTGGATATTTTTGTATTCTTGTAAAGCTTCTAGCTAGGCAGGGTGTGGTGGCTCACACCTGTAATCCCAGCACTTTGGGAGGCCAAGGCGGGTGGATCACCTGAGGTCAAGAGTTCAAGACTATCCTGGCCAACATGGTGAAACCCCGTCTCTAATAAAAATATAAAAATTAGCTGAGCATGGTGGCGGGCGCCTGTGATCCCAGCTACTAGGGAGGCTGAGGCAGGAGAATCGCTTGAACCCGGGAGGCAGAGGTTGCAGTGATCCGAGATTGCACCACTGCACTCCAACCTGAGCAACAGACTGAGACCCTGCCTCAAAATAAATAAATAAATAAATAAAAATAAAGCTTCTGGCTTTGTTCTGAGATGCAGTTAAGTTATTTGGAAACAGTTTGATCGTTTTGAGCATTGCTTTTAGGATTTATTAGGCAACTGCAGAGCAGTGCTCAGTCTACAGCTAATTATACTCCACTGCTGAGTCAAATCCTCTCTAGTCAAACCTTCTCACAGCAGCCTGTGAGTTTTTCAAGGCTGGCTGATGGGAACGGGTACTGTTCCCAACTCTGTGTGAATGCTGAGCAGTCTTCCCCTTAATCCTTACAGGTAGTTCTTTCCCGTGTTGTGAGTAGTTCACTCACAGGCATCTTTTTCTAAGACAATGGTCCCCAAACTCTCTGGCACCAGGGACTGGTTTTGTGAGAGACAATTTTTCCACCGACCAGGGTTGGTCGGGGGATAGTTTCAGGATGAAACTCAGATCATAAGGCATTAGTTAGATTCTCATAAGAAGCATACACCGTAGATCCCTCGCATGCGCAGTTCACAGTAGGATTCGCACTCCTATGAGGATTTAGTGCTGCCACTAATCTGACAGAAGGCAGAACTCAGGCAGTAAAGCTTGCTAGCCCACCGCTCACCTCCTGCTGTGAGGTCCAGTTCCTAATAGGCCACAGATGGGTACCGGTCCACAGTCTTTGTTGGGGGACCTCTGCTCTAAGGGGATCCTCTGCAGATTTCCAGGATTCTCATTCTGTGCAGCTTTCTCTTCTCTGGTCCTCTGTCCTAAGAGCTCAAGCTCCCTTGGTCTCTGGACTCAGCTCTGTCTGCTCAACTCAAGGAATTCATTGGACTACATTTCAGTTGCCCTTCCCTGCACCAGGGCTTAGAAATTCTCTCAAGGCAGTAAACTGGGCAATGATTAAAAACTCACCTGCTTTGTTTTTCATCTTGGAATAATCATTGTTCTTTGCCTGATATCCAGTGTTTTGAATACTGTTTTAAATATTCTGTCCATTTTTCTTTGGGTTGTTTTAGGCAAGAGGGTTAAGTAAATCTAATTTGGCTGGAAGCAGAAGTATCCAAAGAAAAATTTATTGTGCCTTTACTTTCTTTACCAGTATTTTCTTGCCTATTTCTCACTTTCAAGTGTTTTAAATTCAATCTATCAGTACAGACCCAGCTTTTTGCAATTGAATACTTTAAATCTTATAACTCTTCTTCCAAAGCAAGTTTCTTCTTCATTCTACTTTGTAATCACATGTTGCGAAATTTTATATATATATATTTAATTATGTTTAATGTTACCAACATTTTTATTTATAACTTTCCTTAGTTCTTAAGTTTGATTAATCTTTTGATTAGTTGATTAATATTTTAAAGTAATTTTTCAGTAGAGGTACATAAATGGTGAGTTCTTCCAAATTTTTCATATGAAAGAATATATTTCTATTACCATCAAACATAAATAGTAATATAGGTCAGGCGCAGTGGCTTATGCCTGTAATCCCAATACTTTGGGAGCCTGAGGCAGGTAGATCACTTGAGGTCAGGAGTTTGAGACCAGGCTGGCCAACCTGGTGAAACCCTGCCTCTACCAAAAATACAAAAGTTGACTGGGTGTGGTGGCACACACCTGTAGTCCCAGCTACTTGGGAGACTGAGGGAGGAGAATCGCTTGAACCCATGAGGTGGAAGTTGCAGTGAGCCGAGATTGCGCCGCTGCACTTCAGCCTGGGTAAAAGAGCGAGACTCTGTCTCAAAAAAAAAAATAATAATAATATAAATAATTATTGTTAAAAATGAAAGAATGTATTTATTTCATCTTTCGATCATGATACTTACCAACAATGTTGGCATAAACTCCACCTTGTCAAATACCAAAACTGCAATCCTGTCTTGTTTTTGTTTGCCTTTACCTGGTTCACTTTGCTATAATAATACTCACCAGTAGACAATAAACTAACGTCTACAGCATCTTGAGCAGAAAGGATTTAACAAGAATTCTGTATATTATTAATATTATTTTTGTTTGAATGTAATATGTTGAATGTATTTATGTTTGAATGTTAGAATATTAATATTATTTATGTTTGAATGTAATTATTTATGTTTGAGTTCTTTCATTTGAAAGAATGTATTCTATGGGGAATGGTGCAAATGGTGATTTTTTTCTTTGAACCATGTATTTAGAAGTGCATTGTTAAGTTTCCAAATTTTGGGTTTTTCCCTAGTTAAATTATTGATTTCTAGTTTATTTCAGTTGTGGTTTTGAGGACCACAAATAATTGAAATGCTTTGTATTATTTCAATTATTATTATTGTTTTTTAACAGAGACAAGGTCTCAATTTGTCACCCAAGCTAGAGTGCAGTGGTGCAATCATAGCTCACTGCAACTTCTGCCTCCTGGGCTCAAGCAATCCTTCCACCCCAGCCTCCCAAGTAGCTGGCACTACAGGCATGTACTGCTATAACCAGCTAATTTTTAAATTTTTATTTTGTAGAGGCAGGGTCTCACTATGTTGCCTCAGCTGGTCTCAAACTCCTGGGCTCAAGCAATCCTCCTGCCTCAGCCTCCCAAAGCGCTGGGATTACAGGTGTGAGCCATCACTCCTGGGCTAATTGTTTTAAATTTGAGACTTGGCCTAGTAGATGGTCTTTCTTGTTGTCCACATCAGGTGTAATTGAAAAGAATGCGTATTCTGTAGTTGTTAAGTATAGTGTTAGGTTTTTCTTTATGATCCAGTCTGTAATGTTTTAGTAGATGAATTTATACATATTTATAAATATTTTTATTTCTATTCTTAGTTTTTTCATTGTTTTGTTACATTTACTTTTTATCTTTGACCTTTTATTTAGTAGTTCTTTAATATTTAGAAAAATTTATATTTTATCCTACTGTTTATCATTATACAAATATCTTTATATAATTCCTTAGTCCCTTTTTTCTTACTTAGGTTCCACTATTTGGTTTGTCACATTTAAATGACATCTTCAGCTTCCACTTATTACCCATAAGGAAATCAAGCAACTTATGTAACTTTTCATTCTCTTCCAGTTTTGTGATTTAAGTAGTGTTATTCCTACTGTATCAGAGCATGTAATATGTAATACTGTTCTCTCTTTATCCACAATTTTGTTTTAGTTTTAGATCTTCAATAATATATTCAATACTGACCACCCATCCACTTCTAAAGTGTTCACAATTATCTCTTAGTTGGAGGAATTCATCCTTGAATAGATTTCTCAGGATTCTTTGAATTCTTGCATGTTTATTAAAACATTTTCTACAACCTTGATAATTGAACACCAGCTCAACCGGTTAAAATAAAACCCTTGTCCCACACTTTCTTGCTTTGAGTTTCTTGAAAATGTTACCCTAATCTTTGCTTGTTTTCTATGTTACTGTTGATAAGTCTAATATCAGCCTGATTTTATTCCTTTGCAAGTGACTTTGTGTTTTTTGTCTGGGCACCCAGAAGATTTTTTATTATCACTATTATTATAGTTATGATTTAAAATCTAAGAATTTTTCCAGATGTGTCACAAAGGTGACCCTACTGTGTCAGTTTTCTCAGATAAAAGTGAGTTATTTCACTTTGTATATTCAGATCTTCTTTTATTTCAGAGTTTTTAAAAATTACAGTTTTAGGCCGGGTGCGGTGGCTCACGCCTGTAATCCCAGCACTTTGGGAGGCCGAGGCGGGCGGATCACAAGGTCAGGAGATCGAGACCATCCCGGCTAAAACGGTGAAACCCCGTCTCTACTAAAAATACAAAAAATTAGCCGGGCGTAGTGGCGGGCGCCTGTAGTCCCAGCTCCTTGGGAGGCTGAGGCAGGAGAATGGCGTGAACCCGGGAGGCGGAGCTTGCAGTGAGCCGAGATCCCGCCACTGCACTCCAGCCTGGGCGACAGAGCGAGACTCCGTCTCAAAAAAAAAAAAAAATTACAGTTTTAAATATTATATTCTACTGTTTTGTTTTTCTTCTTCAGGAACTCCTAGTTATAGGTATTATTGAATCTTCTTTACATAAATTTGGTTTCTGTCAATTTCTCTCGTATCCTCTTTGCCTCTTTATTTTTTCTTTATTTTGAATTAATTATCCTTTCTCTTTTAATTTCTATTCTCTACACGCTTTCACATAGAGAATGTCATGTATAATGTTTTGTCATTTCTAAGATTTTGTCCTTTTTTTCCCAGTTCCCTTCCTTTAAAAAGTGTGATGTCTGAGTTTTACAATTTCTGAATCATGGTTGTTGTTTCTTTAATATTGGCAGTTGATGATTTCATTATATTTAATTCATGTTGAAATATCCTGTAATGGTTTTCTTCTGCCTTATGACTGTTTTTCCATAGTAGGAGAATGTTTTCATTTGCCAAATTTTTGAATTCTCATTTTCTATTTTTTTTAACTCGTATGGTAACTTTGCATAGATGCTGAGTTCTTTTTGGTTTTGTTCACGTTTATGTATGTTGGCGTTTCCTGGATCTAAGATAGCAGGCAATCCGTAGGAGTGGGATTTGGACACTTTCATTTACTTCAGGTGCTTCAAGAGCGCTGTGTATTGCTATAGTGAAGTGCAGTTTCTTTGCTAAATGTAGCCCCTTTCTTTTTTTTTTTTTTTTTAATTATACTTTAAGTTTTAGGGTACATGTGCACATTGTGCAGGTTAGTTACATATGTATACATGTGCCATGCTGGTACGCTGCACCCACTAACTCGTCATCTAGCATTAGGTATATCTCCCAATGCTATCCCTCCCCCCTCCCCCTCCCCACCACAGTCCCCAGGGTGTGATATTCCCCTTCCTGTGTCCATGTGATCTCATTGTTCAATTCCCACCTATGAGTGAGAATATGCGGTGTTTGGTTTTTTGTTCTTGCGATAGTTTACTGAGAATGATGGTTTCCAATTTCATCCATGTCCCTACAAAGGACATGAACTCATCATTTTTTATGGCTGCATAGTATTCCATGGTGTATATGTGCCACATTTTCTTAATCCAGTCTATCATTGTTGGACATTTGGGTTGGTTCCAAGTCTTTGCTATTGTGAATAATGCCACAATAAACATACGTGTGCATGTGTCTTTATAGCAGCATGATTTATAGTCATTTGGGTATATGCCCAGTAATGGGATGGCTGGGTCAAATGGTATTTCTAGTTCTGGATCCCTGAGGAATCGCCACACTGACTTCCACAATGGTTGAACTAGTTTACAGTCCCACCAACAGTGTAAAAGTGTTCCTGTTTCTCCACATCCTCTCCAGCACCTGTTGTTTCCTGACTTTTTAATGATTACCGTTCTAACTGGTGTGAGATGATATCTCATAGTGGTTTTGATTTGCATTTCTCTGATGGCCAGTGATGGTGAGCATTTTTTCATGTGTTTTTTGGCTGCATAAATGTCTTCTTTTGAGAAGTGTCTGTTCATGTCCTTCGCCCGCTTTTTGATGGGGTTGTTTGTTTTTTTCTTGTAATTTGTTTGAGTTCATTGTAGATTCTGGATATTAGCCCTTTGTCAGATGAGTAGGTTGCGAAAATTTTCTCCCATTTTGTAGGTTGCCTGTTCACTCTGATGGTAGTTTCCTTTGCTGTGCAGAAGCTCTTTAGTTTAATTAGATCCCATTTGTCAATTTTGGCTTTTGTTGCCATTGCTTTTGGTGTTTTGGACATGAAGTCCTTGCCCACGCCTATGTCCTGAATGGTAATGCCTAGGTTTTCTTCTAGGGTTTTTATGGTTTTAGGTCTAACGTTTAAATCTTTAATCCATCTTGAATTGATTTTTGTATAAGGTGTAAGGAAGGGATCCAGTTTCAGCTTTCTACATATGGCTAGCCAGTTTTCCCAGCACCATTTATTAAATAGGGAATCCTTTCCCCATAGCTTGTTTTTCTCAGGTTTGTCAAAGATCAGATAGTTGTAGGTAAGCGGCGTTATTTCTGAGGGCTCTGTTCTGTTCCATTGATCTATATCTCTGTTTTGGTACCAGTACCATGCTGTTTTGGTTACTGAAGCCTTGTAGTATAGTTTGAAGTCAGGTAGTGTGATGCCTCCAGCTTTGTTCTTTTGGCTTAGGATTGACTTGGCAATGAGGGCTCTTTTTTGGTTCCATATGAACTTGAAAGTAGTTTTTTCCAATTCTGTGAAGAAAGTCATTGGTAGCTTGATGGGGTTGGCATTGAACCTGTAAATTACCTTGGGCAGTATGGCCATTTTCACGATATTGATTCTTCCTACCCATGAGCATGGAATGTTCTTCCATTTGTTTGTATCCTCTTTTATTTCCTTGAGCAGTGGTTTGTAGTTCTCCTTGAAGAGGTCCTTCACATCCCTTGTAAGTTGGATTCCTAGGTATTTTATTCTCTTTGAAGCAATTGTGAATGGGAGTTCACTCATGATTTGGCTCTCTGTTTGTCTGTTGTTGGTGTATAGGAATGCTTGTGATTTTTGTATATTGATTTTGTATCCTGAGACTTTGCTGAAGTTGCTTATCAGCTTAAGGAGATTTGGGGCTGAGACAATGGGGTTTTCTAGATAAACAATCATGTAATCTGCAAACAGGGACAATTTGACTTCCTCTTTTCCTAATTGAATACCCTTTATTTCCTTCCCCTGCCTAATTGCCCTGGCCAGAACTTCCAACACTATGTTGAATAGGAGTGGTGAGAGAGGGCATCCCTGTCTTGTGCCAGTTTTCAAAGGGAATGCTTCCAGTTTTTGCCCATTCAGTATGATATTGGCTGTGGGTTTGTCATAGATAGCTCTTATTATTTTGAAATACGTCCCATCAATACCTAATTTATTGAGAGTTTTTAACATGAAGTGTTGTTGAATTTTGTCAAAGGCTTTTTCTGCATCTATTGAGATAATCATGTGGTTTTTGTCTTTGGCTCTGTTTATATGCTGGATTACATTTATTGATTTGCGTATATTGAAGCAGCCTTGCATCCCAGGGATGAAGCCCACTTGATCATGGTGGATAAGCTTTTTGATGTGCTGCTGGATTTGGTTTGCCAGTATTTTATTGAGGATTTTTGCATCAATGTTCATCAAGGATATTGGTCTAAAATTCTCTTTTTTGGTTGTGTCTCTGCCTGGCTTTGGTATCAGGATGATGCTGGACTCATAAAATGAGTTAGGGAGGATTCTCTCTTTTTCTATTGATTGGAATAGTTTCAGAAAGAATGGTACCAGTTCCTCCTTGTACCTCTGGTAGAATTCGGCTGTGAATCCTTCTGGTCCTGGACTCTTTTTGGTTGGTAAAATATTGATTATTGCCACAATTTCAGCTCCTGTTATTGGTCTATTCAGAGATTCAACTTCTTCCTGGTTTAGTCTTGGGAGAGTGTATGTGTCGAGGAATGTATCCATTTCTTCTAGATTTTCTAGTTTATTTGCGTAGAGGTGTTTGTAGTATTCTCTGATGGTAGTTTGTATTTCTGTGGGATCGGTGGTGATATCCCCTTTATCATTTTTTATTGTGTCTATTTGATTCTTCTCTCTTTTCTTCTTTGTTAGTCTTGCTAGCGGTCTATCAATTTTGTTGATCCTTTCAAAAAACCAGCTCCTGGATTCATTGATTTTTTGAAGGGTTTTTTGTGTCTCTATTTCCTTCAGTTCTGCTCTGATTTTAGTTATTTCTTGCCTTCTGCTAGCTTTTGAATGTGTTTGCTCTTGCTTTTCTAGTTGTTTTAATTGTGATGTTAGGGTGTCAATTTTGGATCTTTCCTGCTTTCTCTTGTGGGCATTTAGTGCTATAAATTTCCCTCTACACACTGCTTTGAATGCGTCCCAGAGATTCTGGTATGTTGTGTCTTTGTTCTCGCTGGTTTCAAAGAACATCTTTACTTCTGCCTTCATTTCGTTATGTACCCAGTAGTCATTCAGGAGCAGGTTGTTCAGTTTCCATGTAGTTGAGCGGCTTTGAGTGAGATTCTTAATCCTGAGTTCTAGTTTGATTGCACTGTGGTCTGAGAGATAGTTTGTTATAATTTCTGTTCTTTTACATTTGCTGAGGAGAGCTTTACTTCCAACTATGTGGTCAATTTTGGAATAGGTGTGGTGTGGTGCTGAAAAAAATGTATATTCTGTTGACTTGGGGTGGAGAGTTCTGTAGATGTCTATTAGGTCCGCTTGGTGCAGAGCTGAGTTCAATTCCTGGGTATCCTTGTTGACTTTCTGTCTCGTTGATCTGTCTAATGTTGACAGTGGGGTATTGAAGTCTCCCATTATTAATGTGTGGGAGTCTAAGTCTCTTTGTAGGTCACTCAGGACTTGCTTTATGAATCTGGGTGCTCCTGTATTGGGTGCATATATATTTAGGATAGTTAGCTCTTCTTGTTGAATTGATCCCTTTACCAGTATGTAATGGCCTTCTTTGTCTCTTTTGATCTTTGTTGGTTTAAAGTCTGTTTTATCAGAGACTAGGATTGCAACCCCTGCCTTTTTTTGTTTTCCATTTGCTTGGTAGATCTTCCTCCTTCCTTTCATTTTGAGCCTATGTGTGTCTCTGCACGTGAGATGGGTTTCCTGAATACAGCACACTGATGGGTCTTGACTCTTTATCCAACTTGCCAGTCTGTGTCTTTTAATTGTAGCATTTAGTCCATTTACATTTAAAGTTAATATTGTTATGTGTGAATTTGATCCTGTCATTATGATGTTAGCTGGTGATTTTGCTCGTTAGTTGATGCAGTTTCTTCCTAGTCTCGATGGTCTTTACATTTTGGCATGATTTTGCAGCGGCTGGTACCGGTTGTTCCTTTCCATGTTTAGTGCTTCCTTCAGGAGCTCTTTTAGGGCAGGCCTGGTGGTGACAAAATCGGTCAGCATTTGCTTGTCTGTAAAGTATTTTATTTCTCCTTCACTTATGAAGCTTAGTTTGGCTGGATATGAAATTCTGGGTTGAAAATTCTTTTCTTTAAGAATGTTGAATATTGGCCCCCACTCTCCTCTGGCTTGTAGGGTTTCTGCCAAGAGATCCACTGTTAGTCTGATGGGCTTCCCTTTGAGGGTAACCCGACCTTTCTCTCTGGCTGCCCTTAACATTTTTTCCTTCATTTCAACTTTGGTGAATCTGACAATTATGTGTCTTGGAGTTGCTCTTCTCGAGGAGTATCTTTGTGGCGTTCTCTGTATTTCCTGAATCTGAACGTTGGCCTGCCTTGCTAGATTGGGGAAGTTCTCCTGGATAATATCCTGCAGAGTGTTTGCCAACTTGGTTCCATTCTCCGCATCACTTTCAGGTACACCAATCAGACGTAGATTTGGTCTTTTCACATAGTCCCATATTTCTTGGAGGCTTTGCTCATTTCTTTTTATTCTTTTTTCTCTAAACGTCCCTTCTTGCTTCATTTCATTCATTTCATCTTCCATTGCTGATACCCTTTCTTCCAGTTGATCGCATCGGCTCCTGAGGCTTCTGCATTCTTCACGTAGTTCTCGAGCCTTGGTTTTCAGCTCCATCAGCTCCTTTAAGCACTTCTCTGTATTGGTTATTCTAGTTATACATTCTTCTAAATTTTTTTCAAAGTTTTCAACTTCTTTGCCTTTGGTTTGAATGTCCTCCCGTAGCTCAGAGTAATTTGATCGTCTGAAGCCTTCTTCTCTCAGCTCGTCAAAATCATTCTCCATCCAGCTTTGTTCCATTGCTGGTGAGGAACTGCGTTCCTTTGGAGGAGGAGAGGCGCTCTGCGTTTTAGAGTTCCCAGTTTTTCTGTTCTGTTTTTTCCCCACCTTTGTGGTTTTATCTACTTTTGGTCTTTGATGATGGTGATGTACAGATGGGTTTTCGGTGTCCTTTCTGTTTGTGAGTTTTCCTTCTAACAGACAGGACCCTCAGCTGCAGGTCTGTTGGAATACCCTGCCGTGTGAGGTGTCAGTGTGCCCCTGCTGGGGGGTGCCTCCCAGTTAGGCTGCTCGGGGGTCAGGGGTCAGGGACCCACTTGTGGAGGCAGTCTACCCGTTCTCAGATCTCCAGCTGCGTGCTGGGAGAACCACTGCTCTCTTCAAGGCTGTCAGACAGGGACATTTAAGTCTGCAGAGGTTACTGCTGTCTTTTTGTTTGTCTGTGCCCTGCCCCCAGAGGTGGAGCCTACAGAGGCAGGCAGGCCTCCTTGAGCTGTGGTGGGCTCCACCCAGTTCGAGCTTCCCGGCTGCTTTGTTTACCTAAGCAAGCCTGGGCAATGGCGGGCGCCTCTCCCCCAGCCTCGCTGCCGCCTTGCAGTTTGATCTCAGACTGCTGTGCTAGCAATCAGCGAGATTCCGTGGGTGTAGGACCCTCCGAGCCAGGTGTGGGATATAGTCTCGTGGTACGCCGTTTTTTAAGCCAGTCTGAAAAGCGCAATATTCGGGTGGGAGTGACCCGATTTTCCAGGTGCGTCTGTCACCCCTTTCTTTGACTCGGAAAGGGAACTCCCTGACCCCTTGCGCTTCCCAGGTGAGGCAATGCCTCGCCCTGCTTTGGCTCGCGCACGGTGTGCGCACCCACTGGCCTGCGCCCACTGTCTTGCACTCCCTGGTGAGATGAACCCGGTACCTCAGATGGAAATGCAGAAATCACCCGTCTTCTGCGTCGCTCATGCTGGGAGCCGTAGACCGGAACTGTCCCTATTCGGCCATCTTGGCTCAGCCCCTTTCTTTTTGGTCTGCCTTCTCATGATTCTCTGACACTGTGTTATTATAATGGAACCCTGATCTTTGGCCATGTCCTTCCTTCCCTTTACCATCCATCTTCCAAAGGACACTTGTTCTTCAGCTGCTCCTCTCTCAGCATCTCAGCTGCCCAAGGCAGCCACTCTCGTCCTGCACACTTCCTTATCCAAGCTACTTCCTTGGACTCCCTTTTGACTCCCCACTAGCCAGTGCTTTGATCTGTCAGGTATGAGACCTCTATCAACATTTTGTCCCTTGGGTGTGACCTTCTCTTTCTGGAGTTTATCTTATCAGACGTTATTTGAGTCCTTTCCCCTTGATATGGTTTGGCTGTGTCCCCACCCAAATCTCATCTTGAATTCCCATGTGTTGTGGCAGGGACCCAGTGGGAGGTAATTGAATCATGGGGCAGGTCTTTCCTATGCTGTTCTCATGATAGTGAATAGGGCTCACAAGATCTGATGGTAATATAAGGGGAAATTTCCCTGTGCAAGCTCTCGTTTTGCCTGCTGCCATTCATGTAAAACGTGACTGGCTCCTCCTTGCCTTCCACCATGACTGTGAGGCCTCCCCAGCCAAGTGAAACTGTAAGTCCAAATAAACCTCTTTCTTTGGTAAATTACCCAGTCTTGGGTATGTCTTTATCAGCAGCATGAAAACAGAGTAATACAGTAAATTGGCCCAGTAGAGTGGGGCACTGATGAAAAGATACCTGAAAATGTGGAAGCCACTTTGGAACTGGGTAATAGGCAGAGGTTGGAACAGTTTGGAGGGCTCAGAAGAAGACAGGAAAATGTGGGAAAGTTTGGAACCTCCTAGAGATTTGTTGAATGGCTTTACCCAAAATGCTGATAGCAATATGGACAATGAAATCCAGGCTGAGGTGGTCTTGGATGGAGATGAGGCACTTGTTGGGAACTGGAGCAAAGGTGACTCTTGCTATGTTTTAACAAAGAGATTGGTGACATTTTGCCCCTGCCCTAGAGATTTGTGGAACTTTGAATTTGAGAGAGATGATTTAGGGTATCTGGCAGAGGAAATTTCTAAGCAGCAAAGCATTCAAGAGGTTATTTGGGTTCTGTTAAAGGCATTCAGTTTTATAAGGGAAGCAGAGCATAAAAGTTTGAATAATTTGCAGCCTGACAATGTGATAGAAAAGAAAATTCCATTTTCTGAGTAGAAATTCAAGCAGGCTGTGGAAATTTGCATAAGTAATCAGGAGCCAAATGTTGATTCTCAAGACAATGGGAAAAATGTCTCCAGGGCGTGTCAGAGGTCTTCATGGCAGCCCCTCCTATAACAGGACTGGAGGCCTAGGAGCAAAAAGTGGTTTCAGGGGCCAGGCCTAGGGTCCCTGTGCTGTGTACAGCCTAGGGATTTGGTGCCCTGTGTCCCAGCCACTCCAGCCATGGCCAAAAGGGGCCAATGTAGAGCTTGGGCCATGGTTTCAGAGGGTGTAAGCCCCAAGCCTTGGCAGCTTCCACGTGGTGTTGAGCCTGCCAGTGCACAGAAGTTGAGAATTGGGGTTTGGGAACCTCTGCCTATATTTCAGAAGATGTGTGGAAATGCCTGGATGCCCAGGCAAGAGTTTGCTGCAGGGGTGGGATACTCACGGAGAACCTCTGCTAGGGCAGGATGGAAGGGAAATGTGGGGCCAGAACCCCTATACGGAGTCCTAGTGGAGCTGTGAGAAGAGGGCCACTATCCTCCAGACCCCAGAATGATAGACCCACGACAGCTTGCACCATGCACCTGGAAAAGCCACAGACACTCAATGCCAGCCCATGAAAGCAGCCAGGAGGGAGGTTGTACCCTGCAAAGCCACAGGGGCAGAGCTGCCCAAGACCATGGGAACCCACCTCTTGCATCAGCGTGACCTGGATGTGAGACATGGAGTTTGAGATCATTTCTGGAGCTTTAAGATTTGACTGCCCCACTGGATTTTGGACTTGCATGGGCCCTGTAGCCACTTTGTTTTGGCCAATTTCTCCCATTTGGAATGGTCGGATTTACCCAATGTCTGTATCCCCCTTGTATTTAGGAAATAACTAGCTTGCTTTTGATTTTACAGGCTCATAGGCATAAGGGACTTGCCTTGTCTCAGATGAGACTTTGGAATGTGGACTTTTGAGTTAATGCTGAAACAAGTTAAGACTTTGGGGGACTGTTGGGAAGGCATGATTGGTTTTGAAATGGGAGGACATGAGATTTGGGAGGGGCCAGGGGTGGAATGATATGGTTTGGCTCTGTGTCCCCACCAGATCTCATCTGGAACTGTACTCCCATAATTCTCATGTGTCATGGGAGGGACCCGGTGGCAGATAATTGAATCATGGGGGCAGTTTCCTCCATACTGTTCTCGTGGTAGTGAATAAGTCTCATGAGATCTGATGGTTTTGTCAGGGGTTTCTCCTTTTGCATCTTCCTCATTCTCTCTTTGCCTGCTGCCATCCATGTAAGATGGGACTTGCTCCTCCTTGCCTTCCACCATGATTGTGAGGCTTCGCCAGCCATGTGTAACTGTAGTCCAATTAATCCTCTTTCTTTTGTAAATTGTCCAGTCTTGGGGATGTCTTTATCAGCAGCATGAAAACGGACTAATACACTCCTCTTGTACCCCCTAACCCTCTTTTGCATAATTCTAGCCTGACTCTGCCCTTGGGTGGGTACCAGTCCTGACTCTTCAGGTCTCAGAGGGTTGTTTCCTCACTTCACCCAGGGTTTAAATAGGCCTTGTCTCCTGCTTGTGTCATAGGCTTCTGCTTTGGTTGATATTACTTTCTTTCTTTATCAATATGGTTTTTAAAGAGAATGTATGAAGGGATTTTAAATTTAGATGGCCACCATTATTCTATGAAAATCTAAAAATTCACATGTTCTTAGGTTCTTATTCCACTTTAAGAAAAACAGCACTAGAAACTATAGATAAAACATTATAGATATGGTTTATGAAATAAAGATGATAGGAACAACAATCAGTAGCCCTGCATGCAAAGACTATGAAGTGACTATCTATTTTTTTTTATTATTATTATACTTTAAGTTCTAGGGTACATGTGCACAATGTGCAGGTTTGTTACATATGTATACATGTGCCATGTTGGTGTCCTGCACCCATTAACACATCATTTACAATAGGTATTTCTCTTAATGCCATCCCTACCCCCACCCCCCACCCCACAACAGGCCCCAGTGTGTGATGTTCCCCGCCCCGTGTCCAAGTGTCCTCATTGTTCAATTCCCACCTATGAGTGAGAACATGCAGTGTTTGGTTTTCTGTCCTTGCTATAGTTTGCTCAGAGTGATGGTTTTCAGCTTCATCCATGTCCCTACAAAGGACATGAACTCGTCCTTTTTTATGGCTGTACAGTATTCCATGGTGTATATGTGCCATGTTTTCTTAATCCAGTCTATCATTGATGGACATGTGAGTTGATTCCAAGTCTTCGCTATTGTGAATAGTGCTGCAATAAACATACGTGTGCATGTGTCTTTATAGTAGCATGATTTATAATCCTTTGGGTATATACCCAGTAATGGGATCACTGGGTCAAACGATTTTTCTAGTTCTAGATCCTTGAGGAATCGCCACACTGTCTTCCACAATGGTTGAACTAGTTTACACTCCCACCAGCAATGTAAAAGCCTTCCCATTTCTCCACATCCTCTCCAGCACCTGTTGTTTCCTGACTTTTTAATGATCGCCATTCTAACTAATGTGAGATAGTATCTCATTGTGGTTTTGATTTGCATTTCTCTGATGACCAGTGATGATGAGCATTTTTTTCATGCGTCTGTTGGCTGCATAAATGTCTTCTTTTGAGAAGTGTCTGTTCATATCCTTTGCCCACCTTTTGATGGGGTTACTTGATTTTTTCCTATAAATTTGTTTAAGTTCTTTGTAGATTCTGGATATTAGCCCTTTGTTACATGGGTAAATTGTAAAAATTTTCTCCCATTCTGTAGGTTGCCTGTTCACTTTGATGGTAGTTTCTTTTTGCTGTGCAGAAGCTCTTTAGTTTAATTAGATCCCATTTGTCTATTTTGGCTTTTGTTGCCATTGCTTTTGGTGTTTTAGACGTGAAGTCCTTGCCCATGCCTATGTCCTGAATGGTAATGCCTAGGTTTTTTTCTTCTAGGGTTTCTATGGTTTTAGGTCAAACATTTAAGTCTTTAATCCATCTTGAATTAATTTTTGTATAAGGTGTAAGGAAGGGATCCAGTTTCAGCTTTCTACATATGGCTAGCCAGTTTTCCCAGCACCATGTATTAAATAGGGAATACTTTCCTTATTTCTTGTTTTTGTCAGGTTTGTCAAAGATCAGAAGGTTGTATTTCTGAGGGCTCTGTTCTGTTCCATTGGTCTATATCTCTGTTTTGGTACCAGTACCATGCTGTTTTGGTTACTGTAGCCTTGTAGTATAGTTTGAAGTCAGGTAGCGTGATGCCTCCAGCTTTGTTCTTTTGGCTTAGGATTGTCTTGGCAACGCGGGCTTTTTTTGCTTCCATCTGAACTTTAAAGTAGTTTTTTCCAATTCTGTGAAGAAAGTCATTGGTAGCTTGATGGGGATGGCACTGAATGTATAAATTACCTCGGGCAGTATGGCCATTTTCACTATATTGATTCTTCCTATCCATGAGCATGGAATGTTCTCCCATTTGTTTGTGTCCTCTTTTATTTCGTTGAGCAGTGGTTTGTAGTTCTCCTTGAAGAGGTCCTTCACATCCCTTGTAAGTTGGATTCCTAGGTATTTTATTCTCTTTGAAGCAATTGTGAATGGGAGTTCAGTTGTGATTTGGTTCTCTGTTTGTCTGTTATTTGTGTATAGGAATGCTTGTGATTTTTGCACATTGATTTTGTATCTTGAGACACTTTGTTGAAGTTGCTTATCAGCTTAAGGAGATTTTGGGCTGAGATGATGGGGTTTTCTAGATATACAATCATGTCATGTGCAAACAGGGACAATTTGACTTCCTCTTTTCCTAATTGAATGCCCTTTATTTCTTTCTCTTGCCTGATTGCCCTGACCAGAATTTCCAACATTATATTGAATAGGAGTGGTGAAAGAGGGCATCCCTGTCTTGTGCCAGTTTTCAAAGGGAATGCTTCCAGTTTTTGCCCATTCAGTATGATATTGGCTGTGGGTTTGTCATAGATAGCTCTTATTGTTTTTAGATATGTCCCATCAATACCTAGTTTCCTGAGAGTTTTTAGCATGAAGCATTGTTGAATTTTGTCGAAGGCCTTTTGTGCATCTATTGAGATAATCATACAGTTTTTGTGTTTGGTTCTGTTTATATGATGGATTACGTTCATTGATTTGCATATGTTGAACCAGCCATGCATCCCAGGGATGAAGCCAACTTGATCTTGGTGGATAAGCTTTTTGATGTGCTGCTGGATTCGGTTTGCCAGTATTTTATTGAGGATTTTTGCATCGATGTTCATCAGGGATATTGGTCTAAAATTCTCTTTTTTTGTTGTGTCTCTGCCAGGCTTTGGTATCAGGATGATGCTGGCCTCATAAAATGAGTTAGGGAGGATTCCCTCTTTTTCTGTTGATTGGAATAGTTTCAGAAGCAATGGTACCAGCTCCTCTTTGTACCTCTGGTAGAATTCGGCTGTGAATCCGTCTGGTCCTGGACTGTTTTTGGTTGGTAGGCTATTAATTTATTGCCTCAATTTCAGAGCCTGTTATTGGTCTATTCAGGATTCAGCTTCTTCCTGGTTTAGTCTTGGGAGGGTGTGTGTGTCGAGGAATTTATCCATTTCTTCTAGATTTTCTAGTTTATTTGCATAGAGGTGTTTGTAGTATTCTCTGACGGTAGTTTGTATTTCTGTGGGATTGGTGCTGATATACCCTTTATCATTTTTTATTGTGTCTATTTGATTCTTCTCTCTTTTCTTCTTTATTAGTCTTGCTAGTGGTCTATCAATTTTGTTGATCTTTTCAGAAAACCAGCTCCTGGATTCATTGATTTTTTTGAAGGGTTTTTGTGTCTCCATCTCCTTCAGTTCTGCTCTGCTGTTAGTTATTTCTTGCCTTCTGCTAGCTTTTGAATGTGTTTGCTCTTGCTTCTTTAGTTCTTTTAATTGTGATGTTAGGGTGTCAAGTTTTAGATCTTTCCTGCTTTCTCTTGTGGGCATTTAGTGCTATAGATTTCCCTCTACACAGTGCTTTAAATGTGTCCCAGAGGTTCTGGTATGTTGTGTCTTTGCTCTCATTGGTTTCAAAGAACATCTTTATTTCTGCCTTCATTTCATTATTTATGCAGTAGTCCTTCAGGATTAGGTTGTTCAGTTTCCATGTAGTAGTGCAGTTTTGAGTGAGTTTCTTAATCCTGAGTTCTAATTTAATTGCACTGTGGTCTGAAAGACAGTTTGTTATAATTTCTGTTCTATTACATTTGCTGAGGAGTGCTTTACTTCAATTCAGCAAGAAGAGCTAGCTATCCTAAATATATATGCACCCAATACAGGAGCACCCAGATTCATAAAGCAAGTCCTTAGAGACCTACAAAGAGACTTAGACTCCCACACAATAATAATGGGAGACTTTAACACCCCACTGTCAACATTAGACAGATCAACGAGACAGAAAGTTAACAAAGATATCCAGGACTTGAACTCAGCTCTGGACCAAGCGGACCTAATAGACATCTACAGAACTCTGCACCCCAAATCAACAGAATATACATTCTTCTCAGCACCACGTTGCACTTATTCCAAAATTGACAACATAGTTGGAAGTATCTATGTTTTTAAGTTCAAACTAAATGTTTAAGGAATGCTATATTATTTGATTCCCTAATTTCCCAACCTTTTGGATAAAAGGGCTTCTATCCTACACTCACAGTATGGAGTGTTCTGAGGTTGTTTCAGATTGTTTTGTTAGGTGGTTCCATGTTCCAGGAAGCTACATCTCATGCCTGATCTCTTCCATGTTAGTCTGCTGCTTGCTGTGGGGGTGGACATAGA